>NC_000022.11:47459564-48709564 GCF_000001405.40 Homo sapiens
GGCCTCCCCAGCCATGTGGAACTGTGAGTCCATTAAACCTGTTTCCTTTATAAATTACACAGTCTAGGGATGTCTTTATTAGTAGCATGAGAGCTAACTAATACAATGTCTGAATGGCAGGATTTTTTTTTTGAAAAAAAATTTTTTTTTTTTTGAGATGGAGTCTTGCTCTGTCACCCAGGCAAGAATGCAGTGGCCTCTGCCTCCCGGGTTCCAGCTATTCTCCTGCCTCAGCTTCCTGGGTAGCTGGGATTACAGGCACACACCACCACGCCCGGCTAATTTTTGTATTTTTAGTAGAGACAGGGTTTCACCATGTTGGCCAGGCTGGTCTCGAACTCCTGACCTCAGGTGATCCACCTGCCTCGGCCTCCCAAAGTCCTGGGATTACAGGTATGAGCCACGGTGCCCGGCCTGAATTTTTTAATAATTAGTAGCAAGTATTTTTATGTAACAACAGAACCATTATTTATTACAAATGCTCTTACTGCTACGTCATGCTCTCCACCACAGAGCTGATTTCACCCAAGTTACGCCTCTCCAAATCCACATCTTCATATTGTGAGCTTGCTTAAAATCAGGTGCAGTGGCATGAGATTGGCATCACCCTGGAGGCAGTCTGTCCGGGGCCAAGGGGAGCAGCCCACAGAATCTTACCCTGGGTGGACATTGTATTGCTGATGAGGACAAATTGCCCAGTTTGGCAATCCATGCAGCCCTGCTTCTCCAGATCATTGTTTATGTTCCAACCCATTTTGTACCATACTCAGCCAGACAAAAGCATCGTGCCTCTGCCAGTTTGATGCAGGGCTTAATTCCCTGAAAAATCAGTTTGGCCGGCTGGTGTATGGCAATGCCCTTCCAAGGGAGAGCTCTCCAGGCTTCTGTTATTCAAGAAATGCTGTCACTCAGCTCTGGAATATCACCCTAATTAAAAAACCTCTCTGCTCCAAATAGCTCCCTTTACTTAAGGCTGTTTCTTTCCCTAATCACAAAAAAAAAAAAAAAAAAAGCTGTTACAAAGTCACTTTTTTTATATAAGACCCATATGTCTGAACTCTACCCTGTTAATGAGGCCTACCCAAAAACAAAACACAGAACACTAAATGGTATAAATCTGTGAGTTCTTAGAGTGACGATAAATATCACCAAAGTATGTTTACCAATATATGTATTAATAGGCCAGGTGCAATAAAGAGATGCATGAGGATCATCAGAAGATTTGATAAATAAGCTCAAAATAAAGGAACCAAGTGCAAATGGACTTGCTTTATGTCTCGAGGCATTTTTCTGCAGGCTTTCAAGAGCAGAAAGCAGCAAGGCTGAAATCTAGGATAGCATATTGCCTAAAAGCATGGGCTATGAACTCAAGCGCCATGGCCAGTTCAACTCCTCCTCCTTGTGGCTGCATGGCCTTGGGCTGGTTACATAACCATCTGTACCGAGGGACTGAATCCTAGGACTGTGTTGATGATTCAAGGAGACAACCTATGCAAAGCTCTGAGCAAACAGCCTGGCTCACAATAAGCACACAATGAATATTAGCTGATAACGATCTCATCCGATTTCACATTTAGCCAGCAGGCAGCCAGTGCCCCTACCCTGGAGCAACCTAGCCAGTGCTATGCCAGAACCAGCTTGCACCGACTCTTCCAGGATCAGCATTCAGCAGCATCACTGTGGTTGCTTGGAACAGCCCATGGTGGGAGTGTTTACACCAAGGAAATCAGCAAATGCCATCAATCAAGACCGTTTTATTTTTTCATGGAGTGGCTGTTAAACATTCACCAGCACACCCCTGGGCCCAAGAGAAGAAAGATGAATGGGAATCATGTAAAGGACAACAAGGGATGGGATGGGAGAGGAGTGCGACTTAGATGATGTGGCCCTTTGAATGTCATTCACGCCTTCTTCAAGCCTATCGGATGCCATGCAGTGCAGGGGAAGGGCGTGGGCTGCAGAGGTGGAGCTGGATTTGAATTCTCTCATCTCAAGGATGGGAGATCTGAGGCCCACACTGGGGCTGGACCTGCTCAAGATGAGAGAGTTGCAGACGGCAGAGGCAGGGCTCAAACTCAGCCGCTCTCACTCCTTGGTGGCCTCTTACTTCATCAAGGGGCCAGTCTCATCAGCTCACCCTGACCCTGAAGTCAAAGTCTAAACAGTGCAATTCACTGGCTGCAGTGGTGTGTCTGGGAGGCAGTCTTACAGGGTGTGTTCCCTTAGTTGCACCTCTGTTCTTGAGCTTTGTGTCTTTCTGCAAAACTAAACCAAACAATAAACACTTGAAGCCCCCAATGAGCTCATGTCGTTAAACCCTATTGGAAAACAGTTTTTTTTTTTTAAAAAAAAAAAAACAAAGAAGAAGAAGGTTGGGTACAGTGGCTCATGCCTATAATCCCAGCACTTTGGGAGGCCAAGGCTGGTAGATCACCTGAGGTCAGGAGTTCGAGAGCAGCCTGGCCAACATGGTGAAACCCCGTCTCTACTAAAAATACAACAATTAGCCGGGCGTGGTGGGCCATGCCTGTAATCCCAGCACTTTGGGAGGCTGAGGCGGGCGGATCACCTGAGGTCAGGAGTTTGAGACCAGCCTGGCCAACATGGCAAAAACCCGTCTCTACTAAAAATACAAAAATTAGCTGGGCGTGGTGGCACACGTCTGTAATCCCAGCTACTCAGGAGGTTGAGGCAGGAGAATCACTTGAACCTGGGAGGCAGAGGTGGCAGTGAGCTGAGATCACATCACTGTACTTCAGCCTGGGTAACAGAGACTCTGTCTCAAAAAATAAAAATAAAAAAATAAAAGAAGAAGAAGAAAAAAGCCTGCATTGATTTCCCCATACATTTGCACAAGCTGCAGAACTTGGTTCTTTTATCTTCATTTGGAAACAAGTTGAAACAGCCCTCCAAATTAAGAAAACAACTTTACAAATTCAAGTTTTATGTTCTCTTATTTTAGAAATATTCATGGCCTCAATATGTCTCTCCTAAGTACTTATATAAAAACATTTTTCTCTTCCATTTGCCAATTTATAATGATTTTTTTCATTCTACTTACAACAAAGCAATCATTTCAAATTAATTGTTTTCATTAAAATGTATTATTGTAATGTCCCAGGTACTGAATAGTGATTTTGTTTGACAGAACAAGCCTGAAAGAAAAATATTATACATTTTGCAAGTAGACAATTTCAACCCAATTCCTTCCTCTGGCACGAAGCACAGGGGATTTGCACACAGTAGGTTGAGAGAATAACTAGCAACAATAATTATCAGTGTCATGCATCAGGAGAGTACATTTATAGAGGACTTTCAGAAGTGCACAGCTATTTTGCATATGTTATTTCATTTAATTCCAAGCATTCTTCCACGTAGACCTATTTATCTCTCTTTTTTATTTTTATTGAGAAAACCAAGACCCAGAAATGCGAGGTCACTCACCAAAGGTCACACAGTCTCAAGAGGCAGAGCTGTCATTTGACCCTGGGTCTTTCCACCTCCAGATGCACCTGAGCATGGAGTGTGCAGGGGGAGGTGGGGTCTGGGTCCCAGAAGGAGCTGAGGATCTCCTCACTCTCCCTTCCCAACTTGTTTATTCTCCATTCAAAGCACAGTTATTTTCTTTGCAAGACCAACGAGGTTGATTCAAAATCAGAGTCATTTTAACGTCTTAAAAATATCAAGTAGAGCTTAGAAAATTCAAGCACTAGAGGGAAAAAAATTCTCAAGTTATTTAGAAAGAAAATTTACCTTGATTCTGAGGGTCCTTGAGCTTTCTGCTTTTTGCTCCTTTTTTGGGCCATGCTGAGTGGGGGCCGGGGCTGTGGTGGGAAATTGAGAGTTGCATGAGATCTCCAGATGCTTCTCAGCCCCTCAGTGCCGCGGAGAAAAGAGGAAAACACTCATCTGGACGATCCGTGTCTTGCAGACTCGGTCTCAAATCCTTTGGGGTGAGAATTCTGAGTCCTGGGGGGCATTTATGAGGGAAGCCACACAGAGTGTTCGCTAGTGGGATGAAGAAAGGAAACCAAACTGGGTTCTTTGGTGCAAAAATAAAATAAATTCTTATTTGTTGATATGGTTTGGCTCTGTGTCCCCACCCAAATCTCATGTTGAATTGTAATCCCTAATGCTGGGGGAGGGACTTGGTGGGAGGGGCTTGGATCATGGGGGTGGAGTTCCCCTTGCTGTTCTGGTGGTAGTGAGTGAGTTCTCATGAGATCCAATGGTTTAAAGGGATGTGGCACTTTCCTCCTCATGTGCTGTCTCTGTCCTGCCACCGTGTGAAGAAGGTTCTTGCTTCCCCCCTTGCCTTCCACCATGATTGTAACTTTCCTGAGGCCTCCCAATCATGCTTCCTGTTAAGCCTGCAGAACTGTGAGTCAATTAAACCTCTTTTCTTCATAAATCGCCCAGTCCCAGATAGTTCTTTATAGCAGTGTGAGAATGGACTAACACACTCGTTCATTATTGAATGCTGTGTTCTTGCTCTGGGTCCTTGTGTTCATTTTCCACCGTATTTCCCTCTCCAGGGTGCCCACGCCCCCTCCCCCATCCCATCCTATTACTGTGCTGAACGCTGTCATCTTCACTCTCATAGTCCCACCAGCAGGGCCAGGGCTCCTCCCTACCCAACCAGCACGCCATCAACACACTTCCTAACACGCTTCCCTCTGTGCCAGCCTGCTTACCTCTAGCTCTTTGCTTGTGACATTTTCTCCAACTAGAACACAGAGCAATAACAGGGAGAGGAAGAGCGTGGCTGATACAGCACGTTCCCTGGACCCAGTAGCCATGAGTTAACCCCCGCTGAGGCATTACTGGTCTCGCCTTGGGCATGGCAATCAGCTCTCTGATGTTCATTGGTAACACCCATAAGAAAACCACCTCACAGGCTCAGGATAACACACTGACATGAACCCTCTTAGCTGGCAACTGGTCCACGCTGATGGAACAAAGGTCATCATTTTGTACCTGACACTACTCCAGTAGTGCTGGGTGAGCCGCTCACCCTTCCCAAAGGATGTGGAATTGAGCCCAGGAACAGGTTCATGTCTCCCAGAGGCTGGACTTGTACCTATAGGATCAGGAGCCACAGGAGGCCACAGGGGAACAGAGGCAAAAAAACCTCAGTAGAAGGAGGAATAGAACCTGGTGTGCAGGAAGAGCAGGGAGATGGACGGAGACTCTGGTCACTTCTGATTCTGATCCCATCCCTTCCTGAGGTCCCATCCACATTCCTGCCCTCGCCATGTAGGATACTCCACAAACCCCATAACTGCCTCCTACTTTTCCTTTACTCTGACCCAAGGACCCATGTTTGTTTCTGTTATTAGTGAGCAGATGATTTCAATCAACATCACGAAGAGGGCAGCCAGTGGAGTGCCTGTCACATGATTGGGGCTCAGTGGCCACAGCCTCCTTCCACACCCCACTTCCAGCTTCCAGCAGCTGGAATCAGACCACTCAGCCAGCATGACCTCAGCCCTAAACGGAACTATCGCCCCTGAGCGAGATTCCCACGGGGCTCCAGAACCAATCTTGTGCACCTCTGTGCCCTAATAGCTTTTGAAGAAATGGCACTCTTGTAAGAGGTGGCTCCAAGGACCCTGCAAAAGTGTGCAGATTACCCAGAACCTGCAGCAGTGAGGGAAGGAGCAGAGGAGAGGCACAAATGGAGCCTGGGCACCAGCAGGGAGGCTCAGCTGCTTGCACCTTCATGAGTCACAGATCACCTGGCTGAGCGCTCTCCTCCCTCACCTGTTGCTGCCCGGAGTCATGTCTATCCCGCAGTCCTGCCTCCACTGCACCCTTGGCATGATCCGTACTGCAGGCTCCAGCCAGAGCTCGCCAGCTGCACCCAGAGCTGCCGGGATGAGATGACAGGCCGCCACAGGCCAGGGTCAGAGCTAGGGCCCTCAGCACCCCACCTCCCCTGGGCAATGCTGGCTGTTAGAGACACTGTTCACCCTTCAAAGCAATGGCCCATTGGCTGAGATGAGATCCACAGAATTTATGCTCGATTCCTGATGACATTATTTAAATTGCCTCTGATTTATCACTAACCCAGTATGCATTGTCATTTCTAAGTAATTACAGAAAATATTGTAATCTAAATACTATTACATCAGGAACACAACTCAGAATAAATACTGCCTCTGCCTTCAGTCAACTCAGTAATGTGAATCGATACCTACTGATTTTTTGAATGTGAACATGTTGAGAGGTCTTGAATTCCTATCACTGCGGCTGGGTCATAAATCCTCCTTAGTTAAAGAATGAGGAGCCCACAGGCAGCCTGGTCTCCCTCACATACTTCTGCAGGTGCAGACCTTCCTGCAGGTCCTGTGGGCTGGTGCCCCTCAGGGGTCAGCAGGGCACTCAGTGTCCCAACAGAATGAGTTCAGCCACAGCCCCTGCCTGAAATGTGCAAAGTCAGCTTTCTCCCAGACGGCCTTCATCAAATAATTTATGCAAATACATGCCATGACCAGTAGTGTGCTAGGTACAATGACTGATACCAGGACATAAGATGTGACCCTTGTGCCCAGAACATATTCTAAGGCCCATCTGAAGAGTCTAACTCAGGTGTCTGAATCATGAGATTTGGTTTCAGGTGTGGTTCCACTCTGCTCCTTACTGGCTGGTGGCCCTGGAGCAGACTTAACCTCTCTGAGCTGCAGGCGTACCCCTGGTAAAACAGGACCAACATACGTCCTATCTATTTCATATCACAACTGGTCAACAGAGTTGATGGATAAGAAACATTTGTGGATTGCAAAGTGCTATACAGAAGTGAGGAATAGTATTATTATAGAAGGCCGACGATTCCTGGAAAATACAGTAATCCATTTATGGTCAGAGGAGCAAGAAGAATTCTTCAGACAAATATGTACCATTACACTCACTTCCTTGTAAATGAAAACAGAACTCATTAAAACTAGTATAAACAACACATTATAGAATATAATCAATTTCCATAAAACAGATCATTAAAAGAAGGAGACAAAATGGGACAGAGTCTGGTACATTGTAAGTGCTCAAAGTTATTTGTTGAACAAATGAAAAAATAAGTGAGAAAAAAGACATAGAGAAGGAAGAATCTGTGGGACCCACTGAGAAGCTGACAGCCCAGGTAAAAGCAATGGGAGATGCTGTGAGGAAAGGAGAGCCATGTAGTACCTGGTGCAGCACTGGGAGCCCTGAGGGTCACTGGGGACAACGGCAAAGCTGTTCTAGAAGGAAGGACAAACAGAGAAGAAGAAAAATGGAGTGCAGAAAGAAAAGCCAAATACTCCCCTGTCCCACAACACAGGAGTGTTCCAGTGCTCCGAACGATAAATAACAAAATCAGTACTCAGAACATGAAATAACTCCAGACAAAATTAATTGCATGGGGACAATTTGTCTACAACAAAAATAATTATGTTTAGGGTGTTTAAAGAGATAACAGAGGTGAAGGAGGGAGAATGTCCTTTTAAAAGCACAAGAAACTATAGAAAAATAGAACAGGCACATAAGAAATAACAAAAAACATTTCTTTAAAATAAACAATTAGAAAACTAAGAAATTAAAAATACAGCCAAAGAAAATACGTGATAACAGGAACACATTTTAGGCAGAACAGGGTTAAAGAGAGAATTAGTGAATTGGAGACAATATTGAAGAACTCACCTGGAATACTGCATAGAGAGACAAACTGACTTCTGTAGATAAATATGGATGTGTGCATGCATGCACACATGTACACTGCACTTCATTGATTCCATTTTCTCATTTTAATATATCTGAAATTGGAGCACACCTTGCAACTGAAGGTGACTTACAACCACTCTTGGTCTAGACTGGAGACATCTTCCAAAGAGAATCTTCATTTGCCCCGCCAGTCACTTGGAAGTATTACTGACCTAAGGTCATTTAAAATTAAAATCTATAGTTAAGATTTACATTTGAACTGTAAATCTGAGTGTGTAAAGTTTGGAGGTTAAAACCTCAGGACAGATTGTCAGAGGTTTTTTTTTTTTTTCCTGCCTTTTGCTCACAGTGGGTTTATTTCTCATTTCTCATTTCTTCTTACAGCAAGCCTGCAGCCCTTTGGGGTCCTCACCTTATGTAGGGGTCTTCTACTAAACTCCTTGTCTGTGGCACCTTTATTTCTTAGTGGTGCATGAAAATAATGGTTCCTCCTTCTATTGATGGCTTCTTAGGCTGCTTGAGGTGTGTTTATCTCCACATCTACACACACATACTCACAAGCAGATGAGAGGTGGAGAATAGTCAAGGAGGTCCTATATCTCTGAAATAACAATTTCAGAAGAAGAAAATAGAGAAGCTCTATATGAAAAGCTAGTAATTTATTTTTTGCAGATTCAGAGAAAAACAGGTGTATTAGTCTGTTTTCATGCTGCTGATAAAGACATACTCAAGACTGGGAAATTTACAGAAGAAAGGGGTTTAGTGGACTCACAGTTCTACATGGCTGGGGAGGCCTCACAATCATGACAGAAGGTGAAAGGCACATCTGACATAGCAGCAGACAAGAAGAAAACTTGTGCAGGGAAACTCCCCTTTATAAAACCATCATATCTCATGAGACTTATTCACTATCATGAGAATAGCATGGGATAGACCTGCCCCCATGATTCAATTACCTTCCATTGGGTCCCTCCCACAACATGTGGGAACTGTGGGAGCTACAATTCAAAATGAGATTTGGGTGGGGACACAGCCAAACCATGTCAACAGGAGTCCTCAGTTCAAAATTGCAGTAGAGGTAAAGAACAGAATAAACAAACAAACCAAACAAATCTCACATGTAGGGACGGTAGTGAAGCTACACAATAGCAAGATAAAAAGAGAAAATGTTAAAAGCTACAAGACAGAAAAGACAGATTCCTATAAAGGATCATGAATTAGATGGGTAGTAGATTTATCCACAATGATAAAGATCAGAAGAAATGAAATAATGCCTTCAAACGACTGAGGAAAAATAATTATTAACCTATAATTTATACCAATATAAACAATTACTCAGGAAAAAAAGAAAATAAAAACTTGCAAGGGCTAAAATAACTTGCTTACCACCAAAGATGCTTGCTCTAAGAACTGTGAAGGGATTCAAGAGGAAAAGTACACCCAGAGAGGGCTCATACATGTAAGAGTAAGCTTAGATATTGATGATTTATAGATTGATGAATGTAATTAAATATTGACTTTTGAAATAATAATAGCAGTTTTGAAGTGTTTTTAAGCAAAACGGAATTGCAGATAACAGGAACAGAAAGGGTGATAGCAGGATGGTATAGTGGTTGGTAAATTCTGCTGCAGTCCAGGCCATGCTGTAGGAAAAGACAGAAATAGGAGCATCCCCTGAAGCAAGTCTTCTTCCGTGATGCTTCCCCAGGAGACCCCTTCTTGAGTTTAATACGCTAACTTCATGGAGCTTAATTAGTTCTCAATGCAATATGTCCAGCTATTTATGTGGAAAACATTTATATCTATGTCCCAAAGACTCAATTCAACATTTTAAACAAAACAATATAGAGGAAGTCTCAGGTTCTATTCCAAATAATATTGGCAGAATTGCACATGTAAACATTTTGAAAAGCTCATGAATCTTAGGGTGGGGAAGTGCATGTGGGATGTTGCTGGACCCAAGGGAGGCATTATTCCATGAGGCCACGCCAGTGCTGGGTTAAATATTAGCCCTGAATGTGCCTGGGATAGGTTGAGAAGCTTCAAATGGAGGAAGAAAAGAAACAGCCCGATGTCTCCTAAAACCTCATGTAAATGAATTTATGAAAGTAAACATCAAGACAAAGAGGAAGACTGCATCTTGCAAGTGTTTCACCCAAGAGTATTGAGTAGCTCCTCTGAAGATTTGTCAGACCCCCTCCTCAGAGCAGCCACCAAACCATGGTCAGCCGTTCCCAGGCCTTGTGAGTCTGACAAATGCCCAAAACAATTCTCTCTCACCCAGGTCCTCTCCCCCTCCTCCTCCACCACCAGGACACACAGAAACTGCCTCCTCTTTTCAGCCCTCTCCCTTCTCAGCTGACTTTGAGCTACAAATATCCCTTCTCTACTTGGAGAGCCCCATTTCATTACAGGAATTTGCTTTGAGTTTTATTATCATTTTAGTCTATGTCTTAGATTGGGCTGCTATAACAAGGTGCCATAGGCTGAGCGGCTTAAACAACAAACACTCATATCCCACAGTTACAGAGGCTGAGAAGCCTGGGGTCAAGGTACCAGCATGGTCTGATTCTGGTGAGGCCCCTTCCCGGTGGCAGACTATCAACATCCCTATGCACCCTCACATGGTGGAAAAGACAGCTGGCTCACTCTCTGGTCTCTTCTTACAAGGGCGTCCATCCACCTCATGACCTGTTACTTCTCAAAGACCCCACTTACCAAAACCATGGCACTGGGATTAGGGATTCACATATGAATTTTAGAGGGTCACAAAAATTCAGTCCATTGCAGTCTGTGTTTTCTAAAAAGTGTATCTGCTTTCATTTTTATTTGCCATGCTGTGTGGCAAAGATAATGTTTGCAGAACAGCTTGTAAACTGGATATATTGCTGCCTACAAAGCAATGGTTTGCTAACAACCACAATAAGTGTTGGTGATCTGGAACTGATACTTAAACATTTTATATCCTAATATGCTCTGTTTTTAGTTTTATCTAGGCATTTTTCTGTTTTGGAAACACTCTAGGAAATTGGTTGAGAGTTTTGGATTGATGTGGAATGCCTTACAAATATTTTGCTTTTCAAATATGGGGAAATAAACTCCTCGTTAGCACATTTACATAGAACCTCTGATTTTCAGAAGTTCATGGACAATGGATGTGAAGAAATAGACACCTATGTTGAAGCACTTGGATTTCATGAGAAAAATGTATATAGAGTTAAATATTTAACGTTTGAAAATGTAGAGAAAAACCACTACAACAGTATAATTACAACATATAAATTCCAAATCAATAAAGCAAAAAAGAAATTTAGGAAGTACAGTTAATGCAGCGCAAGGCAAGAAGAAAGAGAAGTGAAAAGGATGACACGCTAAAAACATGGGAAGCAGGACCGAAGTCTAAGCATGGATGTAATCACAATAAGTGCAAAAGGACTAGAATCATGGAATAAAAGTCAAAAAATATTTGTCGCTACCTATTTGTGCTACTATAACAGGATATCACAGTCTGGTTAATACATAAAGAAGAAAAATTTGTTTTCTTACAGTTCTGGAGGCTGGGAAATCCAAGATGGAAGCACTGGTAGGTTTGGTGTCTGGGAGGGCTTCTCTCTGCTTCCAAGATGGTGCCTTGTCGCTGCATCTTCCAGAGGGAAGGAATGCTGTGTCCTTGCAGCACAGAAGGTGAATGCTGCATAAAGCCTCTATTTTTTTTCTTGGAGATGGAGTTTTGCTCTTGTCGCCCAGGCTAGAGTGCAGTGGCGCTCACTGCAACCTCTGTCTCCCAGGTTCAAGCAATTCTCCTGCCTCAGCCTCCTGAGTAGCTGGGATTACAGGCGCACACCACCACGCCTGGCTAATTTTTGTATTTTTAGTAGAGACGCGGTTTCACCATGTTGGTCAGGCTGGTCTTGAACTCCTGACCTCGTGATCCACCCGCCTCAGCTTCCCAAAGTGCTGGGATTATAGGCGTGAGCCACCGTGCCCGGCCTGAAGCCTTTTTTTTAAGGGCTTTAATCCTACTCATGGTGGGGAGGAGCCCTCATGGCCTCATCATCTCCTAAAGGCCCACCTCCTAATACTATTACATTGACAACAGTTGAATTTTGGAGGGGACACATTCAAACCATAGCATTCTGTTACTGTCCTCCCAAAATTCATGTTCTTATCACGTACAAAATACATTCATTTCATCTCAATAGCCCCAAAAAGTCTTAACTTGTTCCAGTATCAACTTTAAAGTCTTAGTCCAACCATATGGATCCATATCTAAACATATGGATACATATCTAAACATACAGATACGTGTCTAAACATATGGATACATATCTAAACATATGGATATATGTCTAAACATATGGATACATGTCTAAACATATGGATGAGACTCAAAGCATGATTTGTCCTGAGGCAAATTCTCCTCCAGCTGTGAATCTGTGAAATCAAACAAGTTATGAGCCTTCAAACACACTGTGGGACAGGCGCAGTGCAGACAATTCTATTACAAAATGGACACACAGGCAAGAAGACAGAGATAACAGGCCTTAAGTAAGTCTAACACCCAACAAGACAAATATTCAATCTTGACAGTCATCTTTGATTTCATGCCCCACCTTCTGGACACACGGGGGTGAGGTTTGGGCATCCAAGGCTCCTGACAGCCCCACCCCACAGCTTTGCTGGGAATTGCCCTTGTGGGGGCTCTCTTGGGTGACCCCAGCCCTGCAGCAGGTCTATGCCTGGACCCCACAGCTATCTGAGACTTTGAAACCACCTTTGCAAAATTATAACTGAGGAAATAATGACAGTGAAAGAAATCACACCTAACCTACCCCATCTTGCTTCCAACCTTTAAGCTGTCCTTGTTCATTCCTGGACATAGGCTGAACTAACTTTGGGAAGGAATTCGGTTCATGGTTTGACTCTGAAACAAAACTGATATAACCCTTTCCCAAAAAGACCCCCTTCTTGTCTGGGGACCAGTCTGCTGCCTTTGCAGGACTAACAAATTAGCTACAAGATTAGAAATTACAGTTTAGGGATCATGCAAGCCTCTGGCTCCAAGAGTCTGAACCTCCCCAAATTGCTCCTGGGCATAACATCACTATTGTAAAACCTAAGATCAGTGCTTTAGATATTTTGCAGACCTTGCACTGGATGGATCAGCTGACATCACCCAGACCAGTAATGTGGCCCAATCATTTCTACCATCACACCTGGGAACAGAAAACAGCAAGAAAAATTCACTTCAACCCCCTGTGATTCCATCTCCAACCTGACCAATCAGCACTCCCCACTTTCCAAGCTCCTACCTGCCAAATTATCTTTAAAAACTCTGATCCCCGAATGCCTGGGGAAACTGATTTGAGTAATAATAAAACTCCGGTCTCCTGCACAGCCGGATCTGCAACGATTACTCTTTCTCCATTGCAATTTCCCGTCTTCATAAATTGGCTTTGTCTAGGCAGCGGGCAAGGTGAACCCACCCGGCAGTTACAACATCTTTTGACATCTGGGTAGAGGCAGCCCCGGCTCCACAGCTCATGCACTGGGTGCCTACAGAATCAGCCCCACATGGATGCAACAGGGCTCACCAATTGCACCCTCTGGGGCAGGGTCCCACGCCTCACTTAGCCCTGGCTGAGCCACAGCTGGGGAGGCTGAGGAGCACTGTGCCAGAGTGTGTGGAGCAGAGACTTGAGACACCCTGGGCAGTGAGTCTGAAGGTCCCAAGGGTGCCCTGAGCGCCTCCCAGTTTCTTCCCCCAAGGCCCTGGCACTCTGGGCTTGTGATGGACATGGCAGCCTTGAAGAAGGTTTTATTGGATTTTTAAATGTTACTAATTCCTAACCACAAGAAACACATCTGAAAAGAAATCAAGCAGAAAAGTTGAAAATAAAGAGATGGAATATATATATGAAAACTACTACATATAGGAAGGGATGTAGCAAAGACACAGAGAGAATATAATTTAAGGCAAAAAGCTTCAATAGGATTTCAAAGCAAACCTTGCATACTAAAAAAAGGAAACCAAAAATAAACCAAAAGAAACCGAAAACCATGAACTTGCAGGAGAATTTTCCAAAGCCGTAATTATAATGAGAGTGTTTTTAAGTCTATAAGAAATTAATATATCAAACAAATAAAGATTAATAAGAATTTGGAATTTGTATGAAATGGCAAAGGAAAAGCCAGGCGTGGTGGCTTACGCCTGTAATGCCAGCACTTTGGGAGGCCAAGGTGGGCAGATCACTTGAGGTCAGGAGTTTGAGACCAGCCTGGCCAACATGGTGAAACCCCGTCTCTACTAAAAATACAAAAAAAAATTAGCCGGGTGTGGTGGTGCACACCTGTGGTCCTAGCTACTTGGGAGGCTGAGGTGGAAGATTCACTTGAACCTTGGAGGCAGAGGTTGCAGTGAGCCGAGATCACACCACTGCACTCTAGCCTGGGTGACAGAGCAAGACTCTGTCTCAAAAAATAAATAAATGAGTAAATAAAATAGATCTAGTCAATGAAACAGCAAAGGAACTAGAATAGCCAAATCAATTGTGGGGGAAGAAAGAACAAAGTAAAATCACACTGATGTCAAGACTTACTATAAAGCTACAATAATGAAGACAATGTGGTATCGGCAAAGGGATAGACATGTAAAATCAATGAAAGAAGAGAGAGTCCAGAAACCGACTCACAGAAATATGGTAAACTGATTTTTGACAACGGTGCAAAGCCAATTCAATGGAGAAAAAATAGTGTTTTCAGCAATTGGACATCCATAGGCCAGAGAACTGAGAGGAGCACAGAGGGAGACCTTGGCCGATACCTTGTACTTTTTGCAAAGAGTAACTAAAAATGGAACAGAGACTTAAATGTAAAATGTAAACTATAACATTCCTAAAAGAAATCAGAGGAGAAACTCCTGTGATCTTGCATTAGGCAAAGAATTTTTAGACAGAACACCAAGAGCACAATTCCTAACAAAAATAAATAAACAAGACTCCACAAAAATGAAAAACTTTTGCTCTGTGCAAGACACAGGAGGCGGAAAGACAAGCCATAGACTTGGAGAAAATACTGGCAATTCACACATCTCAAGAAAGACTTATATCTACAATATATAAAGCACTATCAGGACTCAGCAATAAGAAAACAATGCTCCAATTTAAAAATAAGCCAAAAAATTAAGCAGGCATTTTACTACACAAGATATATGGATGTGAAAGCATGTGGAAAGGTGCGCAACATTGTGGGTCATTGGGGAAAAGCAAATTAAAGCCACAATAAGATAATACCACACCCACTAAAATCACAAAAACTAAGAGTGAAACTGAAACTTAAACCAACAGAAAAAATAAAACCTGCAATAGCGAGTGCCACTTAGGATGCAGAGGAAGCAGCTGGATCTCCCACGCGTTGCTGTGGGAATGCAAACAGCATGGTCACAAGGGAAAGGAGTTGGCATTTTCTTATAAAGCCCCGACGTACACATACCAAAGGACCCAGAAATCCCATTCCCTTGGTATCAGAAGGAATTAACTTGCAGTCACACAAAAATGTGAACATGTGCCTTGATAGCACCTCCAAGCTGAGAACAACCCAAATGCTCTTCAACAGATGAACAGGTAAAGACACAACGGTCACTTCTCTGACCCCCTCAAGACTGTCAGGAACCTGCAGCAAGCTTCAGAAGCCACCTCACTTAAGTCAGCTAACCTCCATGCAATGGAATAGTCCCAGCCATAAAAAATGTTAGGCTCTTGAGTCACACAAATGTGACTCTCAAATCCATTATGCTAAGTACAAGATGCCTGATGCAAGAGGCTACAGAGAGTGCCATTCGATGTGTCTGACACCTGAAAAAACACAGCTGTTAGGATAGAGAACAGATCGTTCTGACCTGTGTAGGGAGGGAGATGATCACAAAAGACAGCATAAAGGAATCTGGGAGATGTTGCAACTCTTCTGTAAAGATATCTTTATTGTAATGTTTAAATGACTATCCATTTGGCAAGACTCATAGTTCTAGACAATAAGAGTAAATTGTACTGGATGAAAATTTTTAAAGACATTTTTTAAAGGAAGGAAGTCTATCCAGCTTAGACACCTAAAGTGGACAAGATAGTGGAAGAAAAGAAAATCGTGCTGTAATCTTGCATAAAAATATATACAGATATACAAAAAAAAAGATACCAGCAACTCGTATCCAGCATTGGAGATCATTACCCAGTAGGGTTTTACACAGGAATTCTAAAACAGTTCAACATCAGAAAAATCTATTATTGTGATACACAAAAGTAACAGAATATAAAGGAACACATATCTCCTAAATAGATACAAAATGGCATTGGATAAAACCCAATACCCATTCAGGATAAAAAATGCTTAGCAAAGAATAGAAAGTAACTTTTTTGATGTGATCAAGACTTTCAGAACCCTTCAGCAAACTCCAGAAGCCATTTCATTAACGTTGGCAACCAGGCGAGGAGGCTGCTGCTCACTGCTTCTATTCTATCTGTATTAGGTCTTTGACAAGCAGAAAAGGAAGAAAGAAAAATTAAGGAAATACAAATGTGGGGAAGGAAGGGCCAAAAGTCTTCATAACTTGGGAACCATATAATTTTTTTTTAAATACATAACACCTTTATGGAGACTTCCTGGAGAAATAATTTACGTAGTATACACAATTCCCTTTGGTAAAGTGAACAATTCAGTGGTTTCAGCGTATTCAGAGTTGTGTAGCCATCACCACAATCAATCTGAGAACATTTTCATCATTGCGAGAAGGAAGCCAGCTCCCATGTGCCGCCTCTCTGCATTCCTCCCTTCCACCTACCACTGGCAGCAACTCATCTACTTCCTGTCTCTACGGATTTGCCTATTCTGGACATTTTATTTAAATGAAATCATAGAACTCTTGGCCTTTTGTGTCTTACTTCTTCCACTTAGCATAATGTTTATAACATTTATCCACCTGCAGCATATAGCAATACTTCATCCCTTTGTATTAACAAATAAAATTCCATTGTGGGATTATAACACATTCTTTTTATGTGTGAGTTGTTTCTCCTTTTGTGGCTATTATGAATAATGATGTTATGAACATTTGTGTACAAGTTGTTTTCTGAACATGCATTTTTGTGGCTCCTGGGAATATACTTGGGAGTGCATTTCTGGGTCATGGAACAATTCCATGTTCATACTCTGAGAAAATGCATGACTGTTTACCAAAGAAGCCGCTCCATTTTATAATCCCACCAGCCATGTGCAAGGGTTAGAATCCTTCCACATTGTCTCCTGCTCCATTTTGCAATCCTTCCGGCAGTGTACACAGGTTCTAATCCTTCCACATTGCCTCCGACACTTGTAATTATTTTTTCTACTATAGCCATCCTAGTGGGTTTGAAGAGGTAACTCATTGTGATTTTGATTTGCATTTATCTGATGGCTGCAGATGCTGGGCAGCTTTCTGTGCACTGAATGACCATTTGTTTATCCTCTTGGGGAACAATGTCTGTTATTACAGAATCCTCGTCCATTTTTAACTGGGACATTGTCTGTTTATTACTGAGTTGCAAGAGTTCTTTATATATCCTGGATACAAGTCCCTTATTTGATATACGATTTACAAACATTGTCTTTCATTCTATGGATTGTCTTTTAGTTGTTTAATTTTTCTTAATTTTTTATTTGGAGACAGTCTTGCTCTGTCACCCAGGCTGGAGTGCAGTGGCGTGATCTTGGCTCACTGCAACCTCCGCCTCCTGGGTTCAAGCAATTCCCCTGCCTCAGCCCCCCGAGTAGCTGGGACTACAGGTGCACGCTCCCACGCCCGGCCAATTTTTTGTATTTTAGTAGAGACAGGTTTCACCGCATTGTCCAGGCTGGTCTCGAACTCCTGAGCTCAGGCAATCCACCAACCTCGGCCTCCCAAAGTGCTAGGATTATAGGCATGAGCCAGTTTAATTTTCTTTTAAATTTCCTTTTTTTTTTTCTTTTCTTTTTGGGACAGGGTCTCACTCTGTTGCCCAGGCTGGAGTGCAGTGGTGCAATCATTGCTCACTGCAGCCTTGAATTCTTGGACTCAAATGGCCTCCCACCTCAGTCTCCTGAGTAGCTAGGAATACAGGTCTGCACTACCATGCCTGGCTGATTTTTAAATTTTTTTGTAGAAACAGGATCTCACTATGTTGTCCAGGCTGATCTCAAACTCCTGGCCTCAAGTGATGCTCTTACCTCAGCCTCCCAAAGTGCTGGGAGTGAGCCACCACACCCAGCCTCAATTTTCTTGATGGTGTCCTTTGGAGCACACAAGTTTGTAATTTTGATGATGGCCAATTAACCTATTTTTATTTTGTTGCTTATGTTTTTGATGTAATATCTAAGAAATAATTGCCTAATTAAATATCATGAAGATGTATGCCTATTTCTCACTGAGTGTTATAGTTTTAGCTCTTATGTTTAAGAGCTAATTTTTGTATGTGCTACATTTTGAGTTAATTTTTGTATATGTTGTGAGGTAGGGGTCTAACTTCATTCTTTTGCATGTGGATACACAATTGTCTCAGCACCATTTGTTGAAAAAGACTATTCTTTCTCCCACTGAATTGTCTTGGCACCCTCTTCAGAAATCAATTAACCATAGATATATGGGGTTATTTCTGGACTCTCAATTCTAGTCTACTGATGCCTATCTATCCTTATGCCAGTACCACCCTGTCTGAATTATAGTAACTTTGTAGTAAGTTTTGAAATTGGAAGGTGTGAGTTATTCAACTTTGTCGTCCTCTTTGTTTTGAGACAGGATCTCACTCTGTTGTCCAGGCTGGAGTCCAGTGGTGTGTCCAGTGGTGTGTTCACAGCTCACCGCAGCCTCAATCTCCCAAGCTCAAGTAATCCTCCCACCTCAGCCTCACAGGTAGTTGGGACCACAGGTATGTGCCACCATGCCTGGCATTTTTTTTTTTTTTTTTTTAAGAGACAGGGTCTTCCTATGTTGCTGAGGCTGGAGTTGTTCTTTTATCAAGACTGTTTTGGCCACCCCAAGTCCCTTGATTTTACATATAGATTTCCGGATCAGCTTGTCTATAGCTGTAAAAAAGCCTGCTGGGATTATTATGGAGATTGTGTTGAAAATGCAGAACAATTTGGGGAGTGTAGCCATCTTAACAATATTAATGCTTTCTACCCATGAACATGGATGTCTTTCCAGTTATTTAGATCTTTAATTATTCAAAATGTTTTGTAATTTTCATAGTATGCTTTGTGCTTATTTTGTTAAAATTATTTCTGAGTATTTATTTTCCATGGTGTTTTTAATGGAATTATTTTTCATAGTTTCCTTTTTGGAATGTTATTGATTTTACCTCTTATAACCTTGGTGAACACACTTATTAGGTTAACAGTGTTTTGGTTAAACCTTATGGTTTTCTGTGTACAAGGTCAAGATATCTGCAAATTAGATAGTTTTAATTCTTTACTTACAATCTAGATGCCATTTATTTATTTATTTATTTATTTATTTATTTATTTAAATTACTAACTGCCCTGGAAACAACTTCCAGTACAATCTTGAATAGAGGCAGTGAGAGCAGACATCCTTGTCTTGTTTCTGAACTGAGGAGAAAAGCATTTTATCTTTCACCATTACGGTATTAGCAATGGATTTTTTCACAGATGCTTTTTAACGGGTTGAAGAATTGACCTTCTAATCCTACTTTGTTAAGGGTTTTTTTAATGCAAAGGTGTTGAATTTTTGTCAAATGCTTTTTATGTGTCAAGATGATCGTATGGGTTTTGCTTGCTATCTTTTATTCTGTTGACATCTTGTGTTACATTAATTGATTTTCTGAAATTCCTGGGAAAAAAATCCTACTTGGTCATGATCTCTATTCCTCTTTATCTATTGCTGAGTTTGGTTTCCTGATATTTTGTTAAGATTTCTGTGTCTGTATTTACAAGCTACATTAGTCTCGTTTTTTTTCTTTTTATGTCTTTCTCTGGTTTTGAAGTCAGGGTAATACTGGCCTAATAGAAGGCATTAGACTGTATTCCTTCCTCTTGCATTTTCTGAAAGAGTTTGTGATGCATTGGTATTACTTCTTTAAATTTTTTGGTAGAATTCACAGAGAAGTCATCTGTGCCTAGGCTTTTCTTTGTATTTTTTAATGCTAATTCTATTATTTTACTTTCTATAAGTATATTCATATTTTCTATTTCTTGTGAGTCAGTTTCAACAGTTTGTTTTTTTAGACATTCGTCCATTTCATCTAAGTCATCAAATTTGTTAGCACACACTTGTTCATGGTATTCCCCAATAATCCCCCTTTTTCCCATAAGGTCAACAGCAATGTTCTTTTATTCCTGATTTCAGAAACTTGAGCCTTCTCTATACTTTCTTGCTCACTAATTTTTGTTGATTTTGTTAATCTTCTTAAAAGAATCCATTTTATTTAATTGAATTTTTAAGTCCTTGGTTTGAAATGTGTCTTCTTTTTTAATATATGAGTATACAGCTATAAAGTTCCCTCTGAGCACTGCATTATCTGCATCACAGAAGTTTTGGTACATTTGTATCTTTATTTGTATCTACCACAGAGCTTTTCAAATTTAACTGTAATTTCTTCTTGACACATCAGTTACTTAGAAGTGTGTTATTTACAAATATGTAGATGTTAAATTTTCAAAATTTCTTGCTGTTATTGATTTCTAATTCCATTCTATTCCAATTGGAGATACTTTGTATAATTTCAGTTCCTTAACGTTTATGGAAGCTTGTTTTATGGCCTAGCATATGATCAGAGAATTTTCCAGATGCTCTTGAAAAGAATGTGTATTTCACTGCTGTTGGGTGGAGTGGTTTGTACATGTCTCTTAGATATCGTTGGTTCATAATTAAAACCTCCCCACAACAAATATTCCAGGCTCATATGGCTTCACTGGTGAATTCTACCAAACATTCTAAGAAGAATTAATGCCAATCCTTCATAAACTCTTTCAAAATATAGAAGAACAGGGACTACATCTCAACTTACCCTATGTGGCTAGTGCTATCCTGATACCAAAACGATACATTACAAGAAAAGAAAACTAAAAAACCAGTTAGCCTTATGACTATAAATGCAGAAATTCTCAACACAATGCTAGCAAATTAATCCAGCACCATGTGAAAAAAAACATATATACGGACAACAAGATCAAGTAAGATTATCCCAGGAATGCAAGGTTGATTTAATATCTGAAAATCAATCACTGTTAACACACCATATTAAAAAAAGATAAACAGAGTCACAATATTATCTCAATAGATACACACACACACAAAAAGCATTTGCTCTCATCAATTCTATTTCACATGGTAGAAGAAATACTACATACCTAATTAGGCCAGAAAAAGAAATAAAAGTCATCCAAATCGGAAAAGAAAGAGTAAAACTATATATATATATATGAACAGATGACACAATTTGAATGAAGAAAACTCTAAGGAATCCACCATAAAACTATTAAAACTAATAAACCAGCTCAGCAAGATTGCAGGATGCAAGATCAATACATAAAATTAAGTGCATTTCTATACATTTGTAATGAATAATCCAAAAATAAAATTAAGAAAGCAATCTATTTTCAATAGTAGCAAAAAGAATAAAATAGGAACAAATTTAACCAAAGTGTAAGACTTCCACACTGAAAACTATAAAACATCAATGACATAAGTTAAAGCAAACCTAAATAACTGGAAAGACATCGTGATTGAGACAATATTGTTAAGATAGTCATACTCTTCAAATTGATCTAATGGCTCAACACAATCCCCATAAAAATCCTAGCTAGCATTTTTGCAGAAATTTAAAAGCTGAACTTAAAATTCATATGTAAATTCAAGGAACCCATAATAGCCAAAATAATCTTGAAAAAGCAACAAAGTTGGAGGTCTCACACTTTCCAATTTTAAAAATTAACTGCAAAGCACAGTAATCAAGACAGTGTGATACTGACATAAACATGAATGTGTAGGTCAAAGGAATAGAATTGAAAGTCCAGACATAAGCACTCAGATTTGTGGTCAATTGATTACCGAAAACAATCCCAAGAAAAATCAATGGGGAAAATAAGATTTTCAACAAATGGTACTGAGAGACTTGACATCTACATGCAAAAGAATGTTAGACTCCTACTGCACACCAAAATCAACTGAAAATGTATCAAAGACCTAGGTGTAAAAGCTAAAACCATAAAACTCTTAGAAGAAAGCATAGAATTAAATCGTTGTGATCTTGGTTATTTAATAGTTTTTTAAATATTACATCAAGATCACAAGTAACAAAAGGAAAAGTTAGATACATTTTATCAAATTTTAAAACTTTTTACTTCAAACAATACCATTAAGAAAGTGAAAAGACAACCTATCAGATATTTGCTAACCATGTATCTAATAAGGGACTTGTTCTAAAATACATAGAAAACACTTAGAACTTAATAAAAACATAACTCAATTTTTAAAACGATAAAGGGATTTCAATCAACAGTTCTCTCAAGAATACACAGAAATGGCCCATTAGTAGAATAACAGATGCTCAACGTTACTATATTGGGAAAACAGTCTGGTGGTTCTTCAAACGGTTAAACATACAACCCAGCAATATTACATCTAGGTACACACGCAAGAAAAATGAAAACATATCTTCCCACAAAACTTGCACAAAAACTTGTACATATGGCCCAGCAATATCACATCTAGATATATACACAAGAGAAATGAAAACATATATTCCCACAAAAACTTGTACAAAATTTTTAACAGCATTATTTACAATAGTCAAAAAAAGCCTGGAGGCCGGCGCAGTGGCTCACGCCTGTAATCCCAGCACTTTGGAAGGCTGAGGCAGGTGGAGCACAAGGTCAGAAGATCCAGACCATCCCGGCTAACACGGTGAAACCCCGTCTGTACTAAAAATTAAAAAAAAAAAAAAAAAATAGCGCAGCATGGCCAGGTGCGGTGGCTCACGCCTGTAATCCCAGCACTTTGGGAGGCTGAGGCAGGCGGATCAAGAGGTCAGGAGATCGAGATCATCCTGGCTAACATGGTGAAACCCTGTCTCTACTAAAAACACAAAAAATTAGCTGGGCGTGGTGGCAGGCACCTGTAGTCCCAGCTACTCGGGAGGCTGAGGCAGGAGAATGGCATGAACCTGGGAGGCGGAGCTTGCGGTGAGCCGAGATCGCGCCACTGCACTCCAGCCTGGGAGACAGAGCGAGACTCCGTCTCAAATAATAATTAAAAAAAAAAATTTGGAAGCAATCCAAATGTCCAAATGGGGATAAATTTTGGCATGCAATGAAATACTACTTGGCAATAAAAAGGAAGGATGTACTGATGCATGCTACAATGTTGATGAACCTTGAAAACATTATGCTAAATGCAAGAGGCAAGTCACACGAGACCATATATTGTATGAGTCCATTTACATGAAATTTCCAGAATAGGTAAATCTACAGACACAGAGAGTACATTAGTGATTGCTGGGGATGAGGGGAAGTTAGGGAGAATGGGAATTGACTACAAATGGATATGAATTCCTTTCAGTAGGGACTAAAATGTTAAAAAAAAAAAAAAAGCACAGATTATTGTATGATTGTACAAAGCTAAATACACTAAAAAGTATTGAATTTTACACATTAAATGAGTAAATTCTATCATGTGTGAATGATATCGGCTATGAATGGGGTATTTATGTTTCCCTAAAATCCATATATAGAAGCCTAAATCCCCAATGTGGTATTTGGAAATGGGACCTTTGGGAGGTAATTAGGTCATAGGTGTGGAGGCTTCATGAATGGGATTGGTGCCCTTATAAGGAGACAAAGAGACAGAAGTTCCCTCTCTTCAATCTTATGAAGATACAAGAAGACGGCTGTCTGCAAACCAAGAAAGGGGCTGTCACCATACACTGAATCTGCCAGCACCTTGACCTTGGCCTCCTGGCCTCCAGAAACTTTGAGCAATCAATGTTTGTTATTAAGCCACTCAGTCTATGGCATTTTGTTATAGCAGCCAAAAACTAAGACAATATCTTTCATGAACATGTTTCAAAAGAGAGATAGCAAGATTTGGGATAATTATAGTAAAATAACATAATACTATTGCTGTAGGAAAAAAAAATGGGTTCTTGTCACACAACCAGGAAAGATTAGGCTGATGGACACATGGAAGGATAAGGAGTAGGATTTATTGGGCAAAAAGGAAAAAATTCTCAGCAAATCGAGAGGAGTTTCTGTTAACAGGCCTCCATTTCACAGACTGAATCCCAGGTTACCACACACGAACAGAAAAGGCCAGGCTCCTGCCCACTGCAAGTGGCACCAAATTCCTGAGGTCCCACCCCGTCCTCCCAGTGTGCAGGTCCGCATTATTCTGACAGAATCAGTCAGGGCCGGGCACGGTGGCTCACGCCTGTAATCCCAGCACTTTTGGAGGCTGAGGTGGGCGAATCACTTGAGGTCAGGAGTTCAAGACCAGCCTGGCCAACATAGTGAAACGCTGTCCCTACCAAAAATACAAAAATTAGCCAGGCATTGTGGCACACACCTGTAATCCTAGCTACTCAGGAGGGTGAGGCAGGAGAATTGCTTGAACCCAGGAGGTGGAGGTTGCAGTAAGCCAAGATTGCACTACTGCACTCCAGCCTGGGCAACAGACAGGAAAAAAAAAAAAAAAAAAGGATCAGTCAGGAAAGGGTGGGCTTCATCCAGGACTGGCTGTCTGGTTTTTTAAACTTCAGGCTATTTTAGGTTTGAAGGCAGGGTTTCGCAGGGGACCCTTGGCTACCTCCTGTCTCTATCACTAATAGTAGATAATATTTATCAAAGGGTTGCTAAGTCTCACCAGCAGTGCAAGATTAGAGATAACCAGGTCTACGCACATGTGTGTCCTTCCACAAAGTCAGTCAATATTGCAAACCATAGATAATAGTATACTTAATACATAAATGTTATAGATTAAACATTCCACAAACAGACAAAAAGTAACATTCAACATCAAGAGAATAGAGATAGGAGAAAGGTTTAACAAACCAGTCCAGGGAGAGCAACGAAGCCAAAAAGAATCTCCTGGTCTGGGCCAGGCAGTCCTTTGGTCCTGCAAGGAAGAGTCTTTGATGTGGCAGAGCCTTTGGTAGCCAATGCTGGGTTCTCATCATGAGTGACAGCAAGACTGAGTCTGTTAAGACCGCAGTTTTGAGCTGTTTATGACCATAGAGTCCTCTGGTGAGGACTGACAGTGGAGGAGCGTGCTTGTTTATGTCCTTATCTGGCTGGATGCAGTCTTTTTTTTTTTTTTTTTTTTTTATTAAGCAAATCATCTTGTCCTTGCTGGCAAAGTGTCCTATGAAATATAAAATAGAGTCCTTTTCTAAGATGGAGTTAGTTATGTCAAGACTGCTCTGTGCAATAAGACAGAGGCATTGCTCTATGTGCTCTAAACATTCTGCTTTGTTCTCCTTTCATAACAACCTTATGAAGTAGCTACTATTATTTCTGTTTTATACAGAAGAACACTGAATCTAAGTGTAGTACTGAAGTTGCTTGAAGTATTACAGCTAACAGGTGGAGGAGCTGGGGTATAAATCCAGACTGCCTGGCTTCAGAGCCTGTTCCATTAACATACAAAATTCAAGTCCACTCCTGTATTCTAGTAACAACAACTGAGAAACTATAATGGAAGGAATAAGAGATGATGAATACACTTAAGATAATAGCAAAAAACTCTAAGGTACCTAGGAATGTATCTATCTAACAGCATATGTGCACAACACATATGGAGAGCATATATGGGACTTCCTGTTTCAGCCCCAATATGGAAACAGCACGGAAGTCACCCCCTCTCATCGTCACATCAGGGAAAACACTGAACAGACTGAACCTCAATGACTTTACCTAGATCCATCAGCTAATTGAGATCACAGAGCAAACCAGCCTCTCTGAAGTTTGTAGAGAAAGGTGAAGACAGAGAATCATAGCCACGATTAGTTTACCTGAGACTAAAACCACTGGTGCCTGTAACTGGTAGAGCCACTTTAACACTAATTTTGACAAATTGCCAGAGGCTGAGTGTGGACTAGCCTGAGAGTTAAAACCTCTTGGGGCCCAGTCTTAGGGGGACTGCAACAGGCTCATGTATTTCACCTGCTGAAACCCCAGCAGGTTCTTGCCATAAAGATCAGAGAAAAGTGTTTTAGAAAGGGGAGGGGAAAAGAACCATTTTGAAAGATGACCAGAAAATTCTCCTTAACAAAGCCGTGACTTCCAACAGTTTCCCCTTGTCTGACCTGGAGGAAGAGCGACTGGCCTGCTCAAGCCCCCTGTAGCTTTCCTGTCTCATGTAAGGAGAGACAAAAAGCCGCCAAAATTTCCTTTGCCTTAAAGATCAGAGAAAAGTGTTTTAGAAAGGGGAAAGCTTTAAAGTGGCCCTGCTGTTACAGGCGCCAGCGGTTTTAGTCTCAGGTAAACCAGTCTTGGTCATGATTCTCTGTCTTCACCTTTCGGCCGGGCGTGGTGGCTCATGCCTGTAATCCCAGGACTTTAGGAGACCGAGATGGGCAGATCACAAGGTCAAGAGATAGAGACCATCCTGGCCAAGACAGTGAAACCCCGTCTCTACTAAAAATACAGAACTTAGCTGGGCATGGTGGCATGAGCCTGTAGTCCCAGCTACTCATGAGGCTGAGGCAGGAGAATCGCTTGAACCAGGGAGTCGGAGATTGCACTGAGCCAAGATCGCACCACTGCACTCCAGCCTGGCGACAGAGTGGGACTCCATTCCAAAAAAAAAAAAAAAAATTACAGAATCTTCCCCTTACCACCACGTCAATAGGGTTCCAGGATAGTAACAGTGGATTACAACCCAGACAGCTGTAAGACACAGGTTCTTATATAAGAAGTTCATAGGAAACCCCGAAGAAAATGGGGAAAAACACAAGAAAACTAAAGCCCCTGGGATATACAACGACAGCAATCATTACACGCAGTCTAACTCCTGGCCAGATTAATATAAAACCTCACACCAAAAGCCTAATTGCCTCCGTTTTTATTACCTGATGCATCATGTCTGGCTTCTAACAAAAAATTAAAAGGCAAGAGAAAAACACAGAACAAGGCTCAGATATAACAAAGATTTGAAAATTATCCAAAAAGGAACTTAAAATATCTGTGAGTCATTGTTATGGGCTCTAATGAAAAAAGTAAATGACATGTAAATGTAAGCAGAGAGATGAAAACTTTAAAAGAATCAAAAGGAAATGCTAGATATCAAATGCCTCAAGACTCATCTGCGATTCCATCCTCAGCCTTGTCACCCCTCGGTCCCCACCCCACCATGGTGCTTGCTGTGTGTTTTCTTGACCTTGCTGTTCACCTAACCCCCTGGAAGGTGCTGTCCCAACCTCACCTGTGTCCCCTTTCTGGGCTGCTTACCTAGACCACTTGGCCTGGGCTGGCTGTGCCCAGGGGGAGGCTGGGAACATCGGCCGGCTACGCCCTGAGGTAGCTCAGATGCCAGTGTCCCACGGTGAGGACACCTCCGAGGCCGGCTCCGTGTCATCTGCTGGATGGGGCTGAACCCCAGTTGTCCTTCATGGGAATCTTCTCCTGAACCTTGCTGTGTGGGCTGCTTTCTCTTCCTTCCACCAGAGCTTCCTGGATGAAGCCCAGCATAAATGTCTTGTGCTTATCCCCATTCTGGAGGCTTCCAAGCAAGCGTAAACTCTGAAAGGGCAGGGGCCGTGAGTGCTGACTGCTTCTCTGGTCACCGTCTCACGGCCTGCCACAGACCTGTGCAGGATAAGGTGGCTACATGAATAACCAAAGGAAGGCGTGGCTGCTGGAGTGAAGTTGTAATGCACACCTACGTGTTCCAGGAAGAGGAAGTTTAGAGTTCACAAACACATCTTAGTGTTTAGACTTACTTCTGAATGTAAAGGCCCCTAGCACAACAGAAAGGGCATTTAAGGAGAGAAAGCTTAGGAACTCTGACACCTAGGAACTTGCTCTGAGATTTCACCACTCCTGTGTCCTTTCGTTAATCTGCCAGATGTTCCTGATCAGCCAATGTTTGGAAGAAGGGTAGTTACTGGTCTGCAGCAGGGCACTGGGGCAGGACGCGAGGAGGAAGGCACTGCTTTGGGCCCGGGCAAGGGCCAACTATATGTGACCCCAGGAGCTCCCCTTTTCCACCCCAGGGGCCCCACCTTTGTGTCCAGAGGCCCCTCTACCTAACTGTGTCCTGCATTCGTGGGTTCTTGGTCTCACTGACTTCAAGAACGAAGCCACGGACCCTTGCAGTGAGTGTTACAGCTCTTAAGGTGGTGCGTCTGGAGTTTGTTCCTTCTGATGTTCGGACGTGTTCGGAGTTTCTTCCTTCTGTGTGGGTTCGTGGTCTAGCTGGCTCAGGAGTGAAGCTACAGACCTTCGCGGTGAGTGTTACAGCTCTTAAGACGGCGCATCTGGAGTTGTTCATCCCTCCCGGTGGGCTCGTGGTCTCGCTGGCTTCAGGAGTGAAGCTGCAAACCTTAGCGGTAAGTGTTACAGCTCATAAAAGCAGTGTGGACCCAAAGAGTTAGCAATAGCAACATTTATTGCAAAGAGCAAAAGAACAAAGCTTCTACAGCGTGAAAAGGGATCCCAGCAGGTTGCCGCTGCTAGCTTGGGCAGCCTGCTTTTATTCACTTATCTGGCCCCACCCACATCCTGCTGATTGGTAGACCCGAGTGGTCTGTTTTGACAGGGCGCTGATTGGTGCGTTTACAATCCCTGAGCTAGACCCAAAGGTTCTCCAAGGCCCCACCAGAATAGCTAGATACAGAGTGTGGACTGGTGCATTCACAAACCCTGAGCTAGACACAGGGTGCTGATTGGTGCATTTACAATCCCTTAGCTAGACATAAAGGTTCTGCAAGTCCCCACCAGACTCAGGAGCCCAGCTGGCTTCATCCAGTGGATTCCGCACCGGGGCTGCAGGTGGAGCTGCCTGCTAGTCCCGCGCCGTGCGCCGGCACTCCTCAGCCCTTGGGCGGTGGATGGGACTGGGCGCCGTGGAGCAGGGGGCGGCGCTCGTCGGGGAGGCTTGGGCCGCACAGGAGCCCATGGAGGGGGTGGGAGGCTCAGGCATGGCGGGCTGCAGGTCCCGAGCCCTGCCCCGCGGGAAGGCAGCTAAGGCCCGGCGAGAAATGGAGCGCAGCGCCAGTGGGCCGGCACTGCTGGGGGACCCAGTACACCCTCCGCAGCCACTGGCCCGGGTGCTAAGCGCCTCACTGCGCGGGGCCGGCAGGGCTGGCCGTCTGCTCCGAGTGCGCGGCCCGCCAAGCCCACGCCCACCCGGAACTCCAGCTGGCCCGCAAGGGCCGCGCGCAGCCCGGGTTCCCGCTCGCGCCTCTCCCTCCACACCTCCCTGCAAGCTGAGGGAGCCGGCTCCGGCCTCGACCAGCCCAGAAAGGGGCTCCCACAGTGCAGCGGTGGGCTGAAGGGCTCCTCAAGTGTCACCAAAGTGGGAGCCCAGGCAGAGGAGGTGCCCAGAGCGAGCGAGGGCTGTGAGGACTGCCAGCACGCTGTCACCTCTCCTAACCACCTGGACTCAGGTCAGCTCTTCCTTTCCCTCCTGTAAAATTCATCATTTGCATTTACATGTTGTTTCTAGTGTTTTTGCAAGAATAACATTTTTATTTTTATGTGGTATATAGTAAAGTCCATCAATCGCCCCCTTTATGGTGCTTTCCTTGGATGTTTTGCATGGGAACGGCCTCCTGTCACGAGGTCAGAAAAACATCGATTTCCATTTCCCCCCAGTCCTGCCGTGGTTTCTGTCTTCACCCCATACAGCACTTACCTCCTTAATTGGCAAATGAGGTGAGGTAGGAGTCAAGCTGGAGACCTGCCCCAGAGGTGGACGATTCTGCAGCCCTTTACGGCCCTCTCTAAATGGAAATGCCACTGTGCCAGCTCCTGAATCCTAATGTGTGGAAGTGTCTGCCTGTGGCCTTATTTATTATACTCTTGCCTTAGCATCGAACTGTTTTAGTTTGTATTGCCTTATAGTCCTTTCCTCTCTCTCTTTTCAAAAAAGAAGGAACAGAGAATAAATAGCATGACTGAAGTCCATGCACCTACCAGCTAGCATGAGCAACTATTAACATTCTGGAAGTTTCCTTTAGTTATCTCTCTTTTATAAAACAAATCCAGGCCTTCAGAAAAAATTGAAGACCTCTCCAGGGTTTCTTCTCCTGTGGCTGACCCTCTCTGTCTCTCCCCAGAATCTGTCACTGTCATGAAGTTTGTGTCACTTTTCTTTTGCAATCAACATCATGTATTTTTATTACCTAGATATATAGGTACGCACGCACGCGCACACACACACACACACACACATATGTCTAGCAATCATAATGCTGTTCTAAGTTTTTAAAATGTACGAATATAGCATTCTATGTTATTGGCTTTTACATTTTTTTACTAGTATTTTTGAGACCTAAAATTCATTGTTACTGTTTCGTTGTATTTTTTCATATCACTCCATAGAATGTTATCTACTCATTTCTTTGTGGACTGACACTTGCAGTGCCGTGGTGGACGTTTGTGTGATGTCATTGTGGAAGATGGCGTGTTCCTTTAGGATGCCTGCCTGGGAATGGAGCGTCTAACCTGCAGAGCATCCTCTGAGGATATCGGCAGAGTTTTTAGCAGAGATGTTGTGGCAGTTTATCCCCCGCTGGCTGCATGCGTGTTCTGTTGATTTGCACATCCTTACCAATCCTTGGTGTGGCTGGAACTGGGGATGTTTACAATGCTGTTCACTGTGGTTTAATTTCCATTTCCTTGGTCACTTAGAAAAGTGGGACTCCGGCTGGGCGTGGTGGCTTATGCCTGTATTCCCAGCACTTTGGGAGGCTGAGGTGGGAGGATCACCTAAGATCAGGAGTTCGAGACCAGCCTGACCAGTATGGTGAAACACCGTCTCTACTGGAAAAAAAAAAAAATTAGCCAGCCCTGGTGGCAGGCGCCTATAATCCCAGCTACTCAGGAGGCTGAGGCTGGAGAATTGCTTGAGCCCGAGAGGTGGAGGTTGCAGTGAGCCGAGATTGTGCCACTGCACTCCAACCTGGGTGACAAAGCGAGACTCCATCCACCCCCCCCACCAAAAAAAAAGTGGAACCCCATTTGTAATTTCATTGACCGTTGAACTTTCATCTTCCATAAAGCATCTCTGTGTTCTTGCTATTGGGCACTTTGCCCTTTCTTATTGAATTATAGGAGATCTTTACATATTCTGGATACTAGTCATATGGTGGTTTCAATGAAAACACCTTTTGCTAGTCTGTGGGTCATTTTGAGTTTATTTCTGGTCCCTTTTTCTTGTCAGAATTGTAAAGTATAATCTCTTCGTGTGATCAGTACTTTCCCCCAGGTGTTGTGCTGATTGTGTGTTGTCTAATGGACATGTTCTCACCATGAGAATACAAAGATGGTTTCCTCTATTTTCTTCTAAAGTTTTGTTCCCTGGCTGACTTTAATCCTTCGGAATTTGTATTTGCATATGGTATGATATAAGGATATCATTTCACTTCGCTTATTTGTTTTCACCATGGTTTTTTGATAGCCAGTTTTCCTCTGATTGACACCCTGACCACAGATCAACTTTCCTCACACGTGTGGCCATGCTTTAAAACTCTTGACCTACCTCTGGTGAATTATCTATTACACATCTGTGAGCCAGTATCATCTTATTTCAATTACTGAAATGTTATATTGATAACCCATATATATTGCATACATCAAAAGAGATTTATGTTCTCTTTTTACAGAATTATCTTTTTATACATTTGCTTTTTATAGAATGCTTTCAATTTTTTAATATAAATATTCTAAACGTAGAGAAAAGCATGGAGGGTAATACAGTGCCCTCTCAGGTACCTTCCCCCCTTGCTTTGTTAGTCTAACAGATTTTTGCTTCAGATCTTTTCTGTAAAGAAGGTTTGTTGCTGTTTTTAAGTGAAAAAGATCATTATGAACAGAGTGATACCCATTTTGTTCTCCCAACTCCCATTTTTCTTTTTCTTTAAGGTCATCCAATTCTGAACTTGTATCATTTTATATTTTTGCTGCATATGTCATGTTCATAAACAACTGATCGTATTTTCTGCAGGTTTCAGAGGTTTATTTTGAATTGATCCTGAGCTAGATACATGCTTTTATAGTTCATTCATTTTAACTGCTGTAGAGAGTTCCATTGTGTGCACAGGCCACACTTTTTTCATTCATTCTCTTTTGGTGAACTTTTAATTTGATCTGCTTTTTTCTATAATAATCAACCATTGTCCTGGAGCATATGTAGAGTATCTTTTTGTATCTGCATCTGAAGGAGTGACTTCTGGGTTATAAAAAACAGATTCAACAGGCCTTCTTTATCCATGGGGAACACGTACCAAGACCCCTAGGGGATGTATGAAGTCACAGATAGTGCCAAACTCTATAGACACCATGTTTTTTTTTTTCCATCTAATAACCAAGGCAGCTCCTAAGTGGCGAAATGGGTGAAGAGTGTAGATAGCATGGATAGCTGGACGAAGGGATGATTCCAGGCAGAACTGGACAGGATGGAATGCAGTGGCTTGAGATTTCATCATGCTGCTCCGAACAGCATGCAATCAAAAACTTACAAATTATTTATTTCTGGAAGTTTCCATTTATTATTTTTGGACCATGGTTGAATGAGGATAACTGAAACTGTGGGAAGTCTGACTGTGGCTAAGGGGGAACTACTATATCTTCACTTTTGCTATTAATGACCTCATCTGCAAAGTGGTTGTTCCAGTTGATGTACCCAAGTATCATGAGACACACATCCTTGTGGGTACCCTTCTCTCCCTCCCTGTCTTTTGTCTCTCTGTCTCTGAGACAACTTCTAGGAGGTTTGCCTATATGATTAGGCTTTCCAAAGAACCAGCTGTTAGTTTCGTTGACTGTTCTCTTATTTTATTTTATTTTATTTTATTTTATTTTATTTTATTTTATTTTATTTTATTTTATTTTATTTTTTTGAGATGGAGTTTCACTCTGTCACCCAGGCTGGAGTAAAATGGTGCAGTCTCGGGTCACTACAGTCTCCACTTCCTGGGTTCAAGTGATTCTCCTGCCTCAGCCTTCTGTGTAGCTGGGATTACAGGCAACCGCCACCACACTCAGCTGAATTTTGTATTCTGCCTGCCTCGGCCTCCCAAAGCGCTGGGATTATAGGCGTGAGCCTCTGCACCCAGCCTTTGTTGACCCTTTTCATTTTGAGCTTGCTTTCTGTTTATCAATGTGAGCTCATCATCTTATTTATTTCCTTTCTTCTACCCTCTTGTGTCCATTCTGTTCTTTTTTCACCATCTAAAGTAGAATATTTCGTTCATTTATTTTCCATCTTTCTTTTTTTCTTCAGCATTTGAGGCTATATATTTTCCTGTAATCATTCCCCATCTTGTTTTTCTCATTATAAAATTGGGGTAATGATCTTATCTAGTTCATTAATTTTGTTTCCCATTTATTGATTTGAGCTTGCTATCTTTACTGTTTCCTTCCTGCTTTATTATTTTTCTTCTTTCCTTCTTGTGCTTACTCTCTTCCTTCTCAGCCTCTAAAGTGGAACACTCACTGATGTATAGTCTTTCTTATTTGTCACAGTGATATGGTTTGGCTGTGTCCCCACCGAAATCTCATCTTCAGTTGTAGCTCCCATAATCCCCACATGTCATGGAAAGGAACTGGTGGGAGGTAATTGAATCATGGGGGCGGGTTTTCCCGTGCTGTTCTCGTGAGAGTGAATAAGTCTCATGAGATCTGATGGTTTTATAAAGGGCAGTTCCCCTGCGCGCGCTCTCTTGCCTGCCACCATGTAAGACGTGCCTTTGCTCCTCCTTAGCCTTTGCTCCTCCTTAGCCTTCTGCCATGATTGTGAGGCCTCTCCAGCCATGTGAAACTGTGAGTCCATGAAACCTCTCTCCTTTACAAATTACCCAGTCTCGGGTATGTCATTATTAGCAGTGTGAGAAGAGACTAATACACACTGTCTTCAAGGGGATGCATCTTTCTGTGCTCATCATTCCAGGCCTCATATCTGTCTTCACTTTCAACACGTTTACTTTTGTCAGCCGTCCCCCGCTCCCACCCTTTCTGTCCTCCAAGCCTAGGGGCCCCTGCTGTTTAGGGATTGTCTCACCACTTTTTCACATTTCCTTCTCGAGCCTTTGTAAAACCTCACGTCTATGTGGGTGTCTGCTGGCAGTGTGACCCTCTTCCAGGTGAAGCTCTGAGAGGCCAGAGGCCTTAGCTGTCTTGCTCTCTCCTGCATCCTTAGCACTCAGCAGGCATCCTGGGTCTTGGTAGAATCCTGACAACATTGGTGAGTGATTTGGGGCAAGGGAGGGATAGGGAAGCATAAGTGGTTTGTCCATGCTGTGGCATGTGTCAGAATTTTATTCCTTTTTATGGCCAAATAATATTTCAGTGCATGTGTATACTACATTTTGTTTATCCATTTGTCTGTTGATAGGCATGTGGGTTGCTTCCACCTCTTGGCGATTGTAAGTTGCCCAATACTTTACTGTGTTGACACACCACTGAGTTTCAGGAAGAGCCATCTGTGTTATCATTGCTTCCACTTCACAGTTGAGGAATCCGATTCCTAGGGACTAGGGGAATTTTATTTCTTCAAGGTACATGGAAAGTGACAAAGAAGACAGGTGGACCTCCACTAAAACATTCAATCTGTGGGCTCAGGGATTTGGTCTGGCTTAGTCATTATGGCATTCCTGGTTCTAGAACAGTCATTGACACATAGCAGATGCTCCACAGAGATTTGTAGACTGAGTGGCTGACCCACAGGCCCCCTTCTGAAACCTTGTTCTGTAACCTTCTCCTAAACCACGCTCTGTCTTTGTGCCCCTTTCTTGCAAGTGCTTTGTGATTATTGCCCGACAGAGTTCTGCAGTGAAGACAGATGAGTCTCATGAATCCTCATCAGGAATTCAGAGGGCTGTTTAGCAGTTCCACACCCAGATCACCAGGTAGAACACTTCTGCCTAATGAAGGTCACTGAGCCCACCTTCCCATGGCTGTTCTTACTAATGAGATCTGGAGGCTACACCTGGCAGTGCTCTGCGGCCAAAAGGTTGTGTGGATTACAGAACTCTGCTTGCAAATGAATGTTTGGTGATCCCTCCCTTGAATCAGGCAGCAGTTACTCCCTTGTAGTAACTCCTTATTTAAATAAACTTGGAAAAAGTGACAACTCCAATCAAACTTACAGCAGACTTTTTGCCCCCTCCCCTTGGAAAGGCTGAAGTGACATGGTGGTTTCTAAGGTAACCAACAATAGACATCATGATTATTAAGTGGCACAGTGAGCAGAAATGGCATGCTGGGCCACTGCAAGGCCACCCATCAGCCTTGGATGGGAGCAATAGTTTTTCCTCCAAGGCCTCCTTTTGTTCTACTTTCCTCCCCATCAGTTATAAAGCAAGGTAATTCTAGCCAGATGATTCCCAAATAGGAGGTGCTGCTCTCCTTGTTGCTTTCTGGTTGGATTAATTTTGTTTACGCAGGTTGAGAATGGAGGGAAATTTTTCACACTGCAGAATGGTCCCTGCCTTCCTGTAAGACAGAAATGCTGAGAAAGTTGAAACCAGGGAAAGGCTGAAGGGCTTACAATGCATTCGCCCACCTCTGCATCCCGATAACCCAGCCCTGCCTGCCCCAAATGCCCAGTCTTACTTGCAGTGTAGACCACTGCCTTGTCTTTCAGATTAAGTCTGCATGTGGCTCCAGTGAGACAATTTATTGTGTTCAACTTCAATCTCCCCAGGGTGTTGTACCTCCTGTTCTGCCACTTCCTGTCTTGTGTCCTACTTCCCATTCTATGTTCCATTTTTTGTTCTATGCTCCACTTTCTGTTCTGTGTTCCACTTCCTGTTCTAAGTATGCCCCACTTTGTGTTCTGTGTTCCACTTCCTGTTCTGAGTAAGTCCCACTTCCTGTTCTATGTTCCACTTTTTGTTCTATGCTCCACTTCCTGTTCTGTGTTCCACTTCCTATTCTGAGTATGCCCCACTTCGTGTTCTGTATCCCCTTTCATGTCCTATGACCCACTTCCTGTCCTGTGTCCCACTTCCTGTTCTGAATTATCCCTTCCTGTTCTGGACCCTTCTGCTTCAGTAGGCACTTGAGTATTGGGAGTGCGCAAGGACGTGTCCTTCATCTGCTCTTCTACATACTCACCTTGGGACCTCCCACCTTGCTTCTGACACATTCTGGGCGGTGCACTTGGGCCCAGTGCTGTTTTTCCTGCTCCTCAAATATATCAAGATTGTTCCCAGCTCAAGGCTGATGCCCTTCTCATTTCTTCTGCCAATACATTTCTTCCCACAGTGACTCTCAAGGCTGCTTTTCCACAATGTTCAGCCCTCATGTAAAATGTTGCCCATCCTGACCATCCTCTCTCGCTTCCACACTGGCATGTATGGCCCCCATTCCTGCCTCCCCTTGGCTCTAGATCCATGTTGTCCAATGTGACAGCCATGAACCCCGTGTGGCCACTTAGCCCATGAAGTGTGGCTGGTCTGCATGGAGATGAGCTGTGAGTGGGAACTACACTCCAGATTTCAAAGGCTTATTTTGAAAAGAAGAAAGTAAAATGGCTCAATATTTTGTTTTTACTGGTTACTTATTGAAATAATATTTTTGATCTATTGAGTTAAATGATCTATATTATTAAAAAAAAATTTCACTCAAAGGGTACAAAGTTTTAGTTAAATAGGAGGAATAAGTCCTGGAGACCTATTGTATGGCATGGTGACTATAGTTAACAATAAATAACATATTGTACACTTCAAGATTTCTCAGAGTAGGTTTTAAAAGTTCTCACTACAAAAATAAACACACGAGGGGATAGATAAGTTAATTAGCTTGATTTATTTATTCCACAGTGTATACATATATCAAAACATCTCCTTGTACACCATAAATATATATACATTTTAATTGTCAATTAAAAACATAAATTAAAAATCGATTTCACTTTTTAAAATACGTTTAAACATATGGCTACTATAAAATTTAAAGTTGCATTCATGGCTCACATTCGTGGCTTATTATGTCTGTACTGGGGGGCAGCATAGCTCTAAAGCCAAATGACTAGGTTTGCAGCTGTGCTGACTCTCATTAGCTGTGAAGCCTGTGAAATTTCCTTACCAAGCCCATGCCTCAGTTTTTCCTCTGCACAGTGGAGAGAAGGATATTAAGCATGTGAAGCCCTTCCACAGGGCTGAACGCATTATGATAAGTCCTCACTTCATATTAGCTGTTAGTACTATTCATTTCGTTTGTGCATTTGAATGACCTTGTTTTATTTTCCCTCCTCACACTTAGCAGTCCAGGAGATGACTCTGTTTAATCATTTGTGCACTTATTTCTGTTTGGTCCTGCTTTTAGGTGTCAGCTCTGTGAACACAGGGACTTGCCTGTTTTGCACACAGTGTGTCCTCAATCCTGTTCTGGGCCCCCCTCACAGTAGGAGGTGCTGCTCAGGCAATGCATGCTCAGGCACACAGGACTGCTCAGGCAATGCGTGCTGAGCAAATGAATACATGAATGAAGCTGTGCTGTGATCCCTCATGCCTTCTCATCCTATCCTGACACTTGCACCCACTCTTTTGAAAAGAAGCCATTAGTGGGTGGCATAAGTACGTGTTTGTGACATGAATGGATGCATAAACAGAAAGGCAGTGGTGGAGGATGGGGGAGAATGCATGAAGTTCTGCAGTGTTGAGAGGAGAGAAATACTCCCACAGCCCAGGCTGCATGCCCTCGGCCTGATGGGATCCCAGGTGAGGATGGAGCGAGGCTGCTGGGGGCTTGGTGAGTGAGAACGTCAGGACATGAATGACCTTTGTCTTCGTGCTGACACACCACTGCAAGCTCAGGGGTCTGGTTCCGAGGAAGGCATGAACATGGGTGAAGTTGGGCGCCACAGTCCGGGAGAGCCTGTTCAATTGAATTCGCCACCAATATCATCTGGGTGAGCTTTTGTGAGATACTCAGCTGCTGCTTGGAGCCCCTGCTCACCATCTGGAAATGAGGATGCTACACCTACCCAGCAGAACCCATGCACAGTGCCTCAGGGGAGAAAGGCAGCAGGAAGGAGGTCAGATCAGTGGGCCCTGGACATCCTGCCTCCCCGGCTGTGGGGCTTGTGGCTGCCTCTCCAGGGCCCAGCCCAGCTCTCAGACCAATTTCTCAGTGAGGCATGAGAAACCAATGATGATAGAATACTGCTTAGACATTACCCCCTAAAGATGGTTTTCAATTAATTTGCATGAATGTTTCTTTCTCAATGACTAATTGATTGATTGAGTTCCCATATTGTTCTCCAAAGGATAGCTATTTTCACAATTGCAGCTGCTCTTTCATTCAGCCGGCTTCCCTCAGGGCCTACTTGGGGCAGGGCTGGGGCTGGGCGTGGAGACCCAACCATGGTCGGTCCAGTCCTGGCCCACAGTCAACTCTTATCTGCTGGGGGAGGCAGCCAGCAGACAGAAGCCAGGACTGTGGGGCAGGGCCTGAGTGGGGAGGGCTAAGTCAGCTCCCAGGGTGACCCAGCTCTGCTGAGACCTCTCTGCCAGCAAAGAGGTCACTAAGGGAAGTCCGGCCCTCCCCTTTTCCTGACGGCTGGTTTATCTGTCTGTTCCTGCCCCTCCTCTTGCCGCTCAGTCGTTGAGGTGCTTTCCACCAGCTCCCTTTGACTTGGTCTTACCTCTGCTGCTTAGCAGAGAGGTCTCAGTAGGAGCTGGGTCACCCTGGGAGCTGACAAACAAGGAATTAAATATCCTTGGCGCTGGTTCAAGGTCACTGGATCCTGTGGGTGACAGAGATGGTGAGATAGGTGGTTGTCGACAAAGACTCTTTGCTTGATCGAACTTTTTCTGGCTCCTCTGAGCCTCTTCTGCACTCAGCCTTGGCCTGATTAGCCCCATTTCAGCAGAGTCCTGCTAAGCCAGTTTGCTGAGCATCCTTTCACACTTGGTATCTACTCCAGCTCCTCTTTCCTTCTTGATATCTGATCACCTCTAGGAAGAATCCTATTGGGCCAGTTTAGCAAGAATTTTCTACCCTTGATACCCACTCAAGTCCCTCTGGGTCATTTTCCATCCTGTCCTTGCTGAATTCAGAGTTGAGCCCAATCTCTCCCCTCTATGGCAGTAGTCTCAAATAAAGCTTGTCTTGCCATTTTAAGCAAGTGTCTGATGAATAATTTTTCTATTACAGTGGGAAGAGATGGGGAACAATGGAGAGGAATGAGGAGGGGCAGGATAAAGTCTTTGTAAGGCAGAGGGGTTTAGATTTTCTGTAAAGACCACAGTGCGCCTCACCCTGAGTTAAATGCTCAAAAGCTTCCAGAAAGAGAAAAGTCCAGGCCCTTCTTCTGAGGACCAGAGGAACCACCTGTGTAGTTTAGGGTGAGCCCTGAGCTGAGTTCAAGTCTCCTTCCAAACCCCCCGATCTGTGCCCCGGCTGGACCTCAGTTGCCCTATGTGTGAAGTGGACCAATGAGGAAGGCAGCCAGTGTTTCCTGCATGTTGCTGTCCAAGCTTCCTACAGCACCCAGGGGCCATGGAATTATAACTGGCTACTGGACTGTGAAGTACTAGTGAGATGGATGCTGACCCCAGGCGCTCTTTTTGGTGTGTCCTCTCCTGACACAGAAACAGTGGGGCAGGGGCTGAAATCATTTACTAATGAGGGCTGGGGGGCTCAGAGAGGTGGAGGGCTCAAGGTCACACAACACTTAGTGGCGGTGGGCTGAGCTGGGATGCAGCCTTCATCCCCTCAGACACTGCCTCCTTATCAGCTGCACAGCAAATGCGTATGGAGCCCCTGGCTTTGCTCTCACATCAGGCCGGCATCTGACCCTCGGAACCCAGCCACTTCTCTCTGTAACTGCATCAGATTCCTTTATTCTTTCTGAGCTGTGACCCAGAAAAACCCCATTTATGGAGCACAAAGCTTGCTGCCTGCCTGGAATTCACGAGCAAGCACATAATCACTCCCTTTGGATACCCAGTGCTTCGGGTGGAGAAGGAGGCCCTGCCAGTAGGAACCAGACCAAATGTGCTGAAGGTGCAGGAGCACGTGGGGCCCATCTCTCTGCACCTGGGATCTGTAGTGCTCAGGACCTGGCACCAGGCAGAATTTGTTTTCTTGCTTTGAATGGATAAAAGATGGAGCCTTACAAAAGCAATGGCCTGAGCAGAGGAGGCAGCCCCATTAGGAGATATGCCTTGGAGCTGAGCCCTTTTGGGGACAGGCTGATGGGAATAGGAGCAGAGGGCTCCAGAAGAAGGACCAGGGATCAGAAATATTAAAGAGTCCTCAGAGGCAGGTTGAGCCTCCACCTTCACCTGTTAGAGATTGTCTGGAAATCTGGTGCAAATCCTATACCCAGGAGTGGGGGCTCCCCAGGCACTGAAGGCACAGAGTCTTCATGATCAGTAAACCAGTGCTGTGTAGAGGTGGACAGCACTCCCTGTCAGGAAAACAAATGCATTTCTCTGTTTTCCTAGAAGTTTGGAAATCCAGGCTCCTGCCTTTTAGTTACAAAGCACCTGGGCCCCTTTGCTAGGCACTGACTGAGAATCCAAGCAGGGCAGACCTATGCTGGGAGCTGAATCCATACTGATGACCAACCCAGGCCTTTTCCTGGGAGCTTCCCAGTCCAGTGAAGGGCACAGACTAGAACCAGAAATGTTCCAAAAATGGTGTGGCAAGTGCATGGCTGAACCCAGGAAACTGGGGTCAGAGAGAGAGAGGAGGTGGCTACTGGCCTAAGACTTGAAACAAGACAGTGATTTCACCAACTTTCTAAATTGGAAAGAGCAGTTTAGACAGAACGGGCAAATCTGCAAAGGCACAGTGTTGAGGTCCCCAAATATAATTGGTTCTTTTATAGAGGCATCAATCCCATTCATGAGAGCACCATCCTCATGAGCTAATCACCTCCTAAATGTCCCCCTTCTTAATTCTGTTGCACTGGGGATTAAGTTTCAACATGAATTTTGGAGAGGCCACCATCATTCAATCCATAGCAGAAAGCAAATCCTGAATGGGATGCATGGAGCAGCTCCACGAGGGCCCTGGAAAGGAAATAACAGCAGGCAGATTGGCAAAGTAGAGAAGAATTTGAAGAAGCGCCAAACTGGTGGTTAGGTCCCCATTTTATTTTCCTCTGCTATTGCCCAGACTGGACTTGAAGTCTGCATGAAATATCAAAGAATGCACCAGTTACAGAGAAAAAGAGCTTAAAGAAGAACCTTTGATTTCTGGCCAGAGGAATGGGAAAGTATACACCAATGGTCCAGAGACAGAGGGGAAAATTCATTGTTTTTTCCCCACTTTTATTCATTTTCTCTTGCCCCAGCTACCCAGGCAATCTTTCTAGGGTGCAAAAGAAGTGGAGGCTGGAAAGAAACTCCAAACACTTAGGAAAGGCAATACTTTCCTATGACTAGGGGTGGTAATAGAAGCAATAGAATGAGTTTCTGTTCCTGTTTTTCCTCTCATCCTGCTGTTTGACCTAGACACAATGTGGTTTTGGAAAATAATAGCAGAGCAGAAAAATGTTAGCCTCAAGTTTCTGGCTCAAGGACTGCAAAAGGGAGCTCCAGGGAACCAAAAAGAGTTGGAGACATCATGAAGAGAAAGGAGACCAAGGAGCTGTCCTATAAAACTATGTATAAACTCTTGAGTTCACCTTCAAGCTGTGCATGAATGGATCTGACCTTCAATAACAACCCGGAGACTTTGAGAGCTGAACTACGGACTGCACCATTGCCCAAGTCTGAGATTGGCCACTCGATGGCTCACACTGGAAAATCTTAATAGCACTGCAAAGCATTTAAAAACTTTTCAAACACAGAAGAAATGGTCAGAACTATGTTCTGAACATAACCAGATTGATTATCTGCTAAACAAAATCATCAACTATATAATATAGTATTTAAAATTTTCAAGATATAATCCAAAATTAATTGGTATACAAAGAACCAGGACAAAGATAGCTTGTAAGGTAAAAGTTAATCACAGACACCAACACCAAGATGACACTTACGTTGAAATTATTAGAAAAACACTTTAAAATAGCTATCAAAACCATGCTCTATGAAGTAATGGCAAACACTTGGAAACAAATGGAAAGGAAGAAAGTCTTCACAAGGAAAAATAAGTTATAATGAAGAATAAAATAAAAATCTTAGGACCAAAGAATATAATAACTGAAATTTTAAATATTCAAATGAATTTGATAGCAGATTGGAGATGACAAAGAGGAAACCGGAAGATAAGTTAATATAAAGTATCAATTCTGAATCAGAAAGAAAACATATTAAGAAAATGTATGGAACCCCAGGGACCTGTGAAAGAAAAACAAAGTTCTAACATTTATGTAATTAGAGTCCCAGAGAAGTAAGAATAAGATACAGGAAAAAAAAAATACTTGAAAAAAAAAGTACTGGTTTAAAAGTTCCCAAATTTGGGGAAAGACATAAACTTACAGATTCAAGAACAAGTTAAACTCAAAGAAATTCTTCACCAGAAAAATAATAATCAAACTGCTGAAAACTAAAAAAAAAAAAAGGTATCCAGAGAAAGACACTGAATAGAATGTAAGGTAGTAATCATTCAAATAACTGCAGATTTCTCATGACAAAACAGGAAGACTAGAAGGAACGAAGTGACATCACATTGTTAAGTACTGAGAAAAAGAAGTATTGACCCAGAATTCTAGATTCCACAGCAATATCTTTCAGGAGTGAAAGAGACAGATGAAGAAAGTTTAAGATAACTTGTGGCCAGTAAGCCTGCTTTAAAATAAATACTGAAGGAAGCTTTTCAGAACTAAGAAAAATTATACCAGACAGATATTTGGAACACTGAGAATGAAGGAAGAGCAAAGGAAATGGTGACTATCTAGGTAAACATAATGATACATTATTTTCCTCTTAAGTTCTTTAAAATAAGTATGATTACTGAAAGGAAAAATTATTGAGATTTTCAATGATTGTAAACATGATATACATAAATGCTACCACATACAAGAAATGGTAAAGAAACTATCATGGTGAGGTTTCTGTATTCCACTTGAAGTGGTAAAATGTTAATTCATACTTAACTATGAAAAGCATGTACATTATAACTCCTATGACAATCACTAAAATCTACACAAAAGTTACAGGATAGTACTAAATAGATAAAATAATATACTAAAATATTAAAATAATGCAGTCAGACAAAACAACAACAAAAAGGTAAGTAGTCTAAATACACATGCCAATTAAAAGACAGAAATTGGAAGTAAGTCATAAAAACCACATATGGTGTGATTTCATTTATGTGAAATGTCCAGAATAGGCAAATTCACAGAGAGAGAAAGTAAATTAGTGGGTGCCTGGGGCTGATTCAGGGGAAAAATTGAATGGCTGGTAATGAGTATGGAGCCTCTTCTTGAGGTGTTTAAAATGTTCTAAAATTAGATTGTGGTGATGATTACACAATTCTGTGAATATACTGAAAAGCAAGCAACTGTATACCTTAAATGAGTTAATTTTATGGCATTTGAAATATAGCTCATAATACTGTAAAAATTGACACATTAGAAAATAAAATAGTATAATTATATTTTAAAAGATAATCAAAATGGATGAAAGACACAATTATATGGTCTTTAAAAATTCCACTTTGAGTATAATAATATGGGTAAGTTAAAAGTAAAACGATGGATAAAGATATATAATGTACACATTAATCAAAGGAAACCTGAAATGGTTATGCTAATACCATGTGTTGACTTCAGAACAAAAAAAAAAAGATCAGAGATAAAGAGGGGTATTTCAGAATAATAAAAGGGCTAAATTACCAATCAAGAAGATATAATAACCCTAAATTGGTTTGCACCTAAAAATAGAGCTTCAAAATATATGAAGCAAAAACTGATAGAACTGAAAGGAGAAATGAACAAATTGGTAATTATATTTGGAGACTTCAACACATCCTTGTTAGTGGTCAATAGAACAAGTAGGTGGAAATCCTGGAAAAATGTAGAAGACTGAACTACACCTTTAGTCCCATCCACTAAATCAATCAATATAATTCACCGTATTAAAAGAATAAAAAGAAAAACCATATGATTAACCAAATTTTTGCAAAAAAATTTTGACAAAATTCAACTCCTTTCATGACAAAAACTGTCAACAAACTAGGAATAGGAAATGTCAGAAATTTTCTTCACCTGATAAAGGACATCTTCCAAAAACCTACAGCTAACGTCGTACTTAATGAAAATCTCAATGCTTTCTTCCTAAGATTAGGAATAAGACAAAAGATGTACACTTTCATCACTTCTATTTAACATCAGCTACTAGAGGTCCTAGGCAGTGCATTAAAGCAAAAGAAAGAGAAAAAGAAGAAAGAAAAAAAAGAAGAAAAGAAAGGAAGAAAGAAAGAGCATACACATTGAACAGGAAGAAATAAAATTGTCACTATTCACATATGAAGCTATTATGTATATAGAAAATCTTAAGGAATCTTTTGAAAAGTTGCTACAATAAATACATTTACTACAGATGCAAGATAAAAAAGGTCAATATAAAAATTATATTTTTACATATTTACAATGAGCATTTGGAAACCCAAATTAATAGAAATAACACTACTAAAAATAGTTTCATACAAAGTGGAATACTGGGCTGTAAACCTAACAAATACGTACAGAATTAGTATGCTAGAAACATCAAAACATGGATTAAGAAATCAAAGACCTACATAAATGGAGAGATACTATATTCGTGGATAGGAAGACTCAATATAGCTAAGATACAAATTCTTCCCATATGGACCTATAGATTTAATGCAGTTCAACAAAAATCCAGGCTGGGTTTTTGTTTTTTGGAGACATAAACTAATTCTAAAATGTGTAAGCAAAACGAAAGGAACTACAATAGCCAAAACAACTTTTAAAGAGAGGAATCAAGTTGGAAAAACTATACTACCTAATTTTAAGACTTATTTTAAAACAACAGTAATCAAGACAATGTGATATGGCAAAGGGATAGATCTATGAATCAAAGGAACAGAATGGAAAATACAGAAACAGTATGTGTAATTGACTCCCGACAAAGGTTCACTAGAGAAAGGATTATCTTTTCAACAAATGGTGCTGGAACAATTGGGCATTTGTATATAAAAAAGAACCTGGATTTAAATTTCACAATTCATACAAAAATCAGTTCAAAGAGAGTTATAGATCTAAATGTAAAAGTGCAATTATAAACTTTTTAGAGGAAAAATTATAGGGGTAAAGTATTTACGACCTGTTAGGCAAGGAACACCAAAAATATGGCTTATAAACGGAAAAGAAAGATAAATAAGACCTTATCAAAACAAAAGATTTTGCTCTGTAAAAGACCTTGTTAAAAGGATAAAAAGACAAATTCCAGACTAGGAGAGAGTATTTGTAAGTCACATATTTGATAAAAGACCTCTATTCAGAGTATATTTTTTAAAAACCTCTCAAATTCAACAGTTAGAAACAAACAATCCGATGGAGATAAAATAAGCATAAGATTTGAACAGACGCTTCATTAAGTTAAGACATACAGATGGCAAAAAGGAACATGAAAAGATACTCAACATTATTAGCCATTAGGGAAATGCAAATTAAAACCACCATGAGATGTCTCTACACACTTATTGTACAAGGTAAAATTAAAAATCTGACAGTATCAAGAGCTGCTGAGGATGTGGAACTACTGGAATACACATATATTGCTGACGTGTCTTATATTGTTGAATGCAAAATAGTACACAGAGCTATTCTGGAAAACAGTTTGGCAATTTCTTATAAAATTAATCATGTACTTACCATGTGACCCAGCAATCCAATCCCATTCTTAGGTATTTACTACGGAGAAATGAAAGCTCTGCACATGTATGTTTACAGCAGCTTTATTCATAATCATGAAAAAGTAGAGAGAACCCAAGGGTCCTCTAGCAGGTAAATGGACAGACTGTACTGCCTCCATGTGACGCAGTCTATGTGTCAATAAAAAACAAATGAATATTTATAGATGCAACAACATGGATACATTTCAAGGGCGTTAGGCTACGGGAAAGAAGACAGTCTCACCGTATGATTCCACTTATATCATCCCTACAAAGGCTAAATGAGAAAGACAAAGAATAGCTCAGTGGTTTCCAGGTTACAGGGGTTGGGGGAAGCTTCAGGGAATAATTTGGGGGTGATGAGATTGTTCTCTACCTTGATTATAGTGGCAGTTATGTGAATCTGTGTGTGTGAAATCTCATTGAACTGTAAACCAAAAAAGTCATTTTACTGCATGTTAATAATGTTTTAAAATTTTTACTATAAATTATTTTTTAGAATTATTATTAAATAATAAGTGTTCTATGGGTTTCTACTACGACTTTCTTTTTTAATATTTGTTTTATTTCAATAGCTTTAGGGGTACAAATGATTGTTGGTTACCTGGATGAATTGTATAGCGGTGCAGTCTGGGGTTTTTGTGTACCTGTCATCCTAATAGTGTACACTGTATACAAAAGGTAATATTTCATCCTTACCCCTTTCCCACCTTCCCCTCTTCTGAGTCTCCAATGTCCATAATACCACTCTGCATGCCATGGCATACCAAAAGCTTAGCTCCCACTTATAAGTGAGAACATGTGGTATTTGATTTTCTGTAGCTGAGTTACTTCACTTAGGATAATGGCCTCCAGTTCCATACAAATTGCTGCAAAATATATTATTTTGTTCTGTTTTGTGGCTGAGTAGTTTTATTATATAAATATATATGTATATATATACACACACCTAAATCATTGAAGAAGGACCATATAAATATATATCACATTTATATATATTAAATATGCCATATATATTATATATATTTTATATATATATCACATTTTCTTTATCCACTAATTGATTGAAGGGCACTTAGATTGATTCTATATCTGCAACTGTGAATTGTGGTGTGATCAACATGCTTGTGTAGATGTCTTTTTTATATACTGACTTCTTTTCCTTTGAGTAGATACCCAGTAATGGGATTGGTGAATTGAATGGTAGATCCACTTTCAGTTTTTTGAGAAATCTTCATACTGTTTTCCATAGTGGTTGTATTAATTTACATTCCCACCAGCAGTGTATAAGTGTTCCCTTTTAACTTATATCCGTGCCAACATCTGTTGTTGTGATGGTTAATATTAGTTGTCAATTTGATTGGATTGAGGGATGCCTAGATGGCTGGTAAACTATTGCTTCTGAGTGTGTCTGTGAGGGTGTTGGCAGAGGAGATTGACGTTTGGGTCGGTGGACTGGGAGAGGAAGACCCATCCCTCAATGTGGGTGGGCACCATCCACTGGGCTGCCAGAGTGGCCAGGACAAAGCAGGTGGAGGACGGTGGGATGACCTTGCTTGCTGGGTCTCCTGGCTTCCTTCTCTTTCCTGTGGTGGATGCTTCCTTCTCCTCCTCCTGCCCCTGGACATCAGGATCTAGATTCTTTGGTCTTTGGACTCTGGGACTTGTCCCAGTGGCTTCCCTGGGGGTTCTGAGGCCTTTGTCTAGCAGACTGAAGATGGCACTCTCAGCTTCCTGGTCTTGAGGCTTTTGGACTCAGACTGAACAACTGCTGGCTTTTCTCTTCCTCAGCTTGCAGATGGCCTATTGCGGGGCTTCGCCTTGTAATTGTGTGAGCCAATTCTCCCTAATAAATTTCCTTTCATATATAAATAGATCCTATTAGTTCTGTCCCTCCAGAGAACCCTGACTCATACAATTGTCTTTTGACTTCTCAGTAATGGCCATTCTGGCTGGAGTGAAGTGGTATCTCATTGCTGTTTTAATTTGCATTTCCCTGATGTTGAATGACGTTGAGCATTTTTTCATGTTTGTTGGCCATATGTGTATCTTCTTTGGGGAAATGTCTGTTTATGTCGTTTGCCCACTTTTTATTGGGATTATTTGTTTCTTGTTAATTTCCTTGAGTTCCCTGTAGATTCTGGACATTAGTACTTCACTGGAGGTACAGTTTGTAAATATTTCTCCCATTCTATAGGTTGTCTGTTTACTCTGTTGATTATTTCTTTTGCTATGCAGAAGCTTTTTAGTTCTCCTAGATATGATAAATGAATTCAGTAAACTCTCAGGTTACAAAATTAATGTACACAAATCAGTAGCACTGCTGTATATAAACAACAATCAAGCTGAGAATTAAATCAGGAACTCAATCCCATTTACAGTAGCTACACAAAAAACCACCTAGGAATATAACCAAGGAGGTGAAAGAGCTCTACAAGAAGAACCACAAAACACGGCTGAAAGAAACAATAGATGACACAAACAAATGGAAAAACATCCTATGCTCATGGGTCAGAAGAACCAATATCATGAAAATGATCATACAGCCCAAAACCATCAACATATTCAATGCAGTTCCTATCAAAATGCCAATGTCATTTTCCCCAAAATTAGAAAAAACAATCCTAAAATCCCTATATAGCCAAAAAAAAATCGTGAATAGCCAAAGCATCCTGAGGAAAAAGAACAAATCTGGTGGCATCACATTACCCCACTTCAAATTATACTACAAGGCTGTAGTAACCAAAACAGCATGGTACTGATATAAAAATACCATAGACCAATGGGAACAGAATAGAGAACCCAGAAATAAATCCAAATATCTACAACCAACTGATCTTTGACAAACCAGACAACAACAGATATTGGAGAAAGGACACCCTGTTCAATAAATGGTGCTGGGAAAACTGGATAGTCACATTTAGAAGAATGAAACTGAAGCCCTGTCTCTCACCGTATATAAAAATCAACTCAAGATGGAGTAAAGACTTAAATCTAAGACCAAAACCCATAAAAATTCTGGAAGAAAACCTAGAAAAAACTCTTCTGGACATTGGCCTAGGCAAAGGATTTATGACAAAGACCTCAAAAGCAAATGCAGTAAATGCAATTTTTAAAATTAAAAATTTAAAACATGATACAATGTTATAAAAATGCCTGGCTCATACGTATACACAATACTTCTTGGCTTCATGCTTCTTTTTGCTGATTAAATACATTATTCAAAAGATTCTATTGTATTAATGTGGGATGAATGAACATTTGTGACCAGCAACACAAAGAGGCCGCCCCAGTTTCTAAGCAGCATCCCAGCCTCTACTTTCACCTGACAATACCAGAAGGGCTCCCTGTAGTTTACCTCACCACCCTGTGTCCCAGCCTTAGGGTGGGCCTACTGCCCTTTCATAAACTCATTGTGGTTGGGTTTTGGCAGCTGATAATGGTCGTGACACACCTAATGGAGATTCTGGAGAGACAGGGCTAAAAGTAGTCTGACTCTACCCTGCCAAATCTTTGTCTGGGCTACTTTTTTAACTACTTCTGCCCCTGTGATGCACTCCCCACAATGTGCTCTCCATACCCCAATTAGGAGCCCTGAGGGGACAGCAGGGTCTCTGTCTGAGTTACCTCAGTGTCCCTGGAGCCTGGTCCAGAAGAGGCTGTGGATGAGGCGGAAAGGTGCTCAGCAGGACAACCATGCCAGGTTGGCCATGTCCTCAGACCCCAAAGGAGAGCTCTTTGAGGGTCAAGACCATGTCTTCTCTAGCCTTATAAGCTCTAGTGGGTTCCATTCAGGCCCGGTGATGGTGGTGCATGAGGCAGCACCTAGACCTGGTCTAGGCTGAAGTCAATGTATGGCCAAGGGTAGAGCTGTTGCCTGCCTCCCTCCAGCAGAGGAAAGGGCTCCTGGGGGGTGTTAAAAATTAGAAAAAATATTCAACGCCACTTGATAAAGCATTCAGAACCACTGAGATAGCTATAGGGACCACTGAAATGGGATTTTGCAGTGGGAAAGGGATTGGGCTTAACTTCAAATACAGCACAGGGAATTGAGAACTTATAGCCAAGGAGCAGGGTGGGAGGGAATGGATGGAAAATTACTAGGAGGAAACATCAGGGGTCAGGGGATTCTGCCTAAAGTGACCTAACAGGATTCTTGCTGAGGACAGGCCAGGGTGACCAGACATCACCCGGGGAATGGTGGAGGATGAGGAAGTGGGTCAGATAGTGAGGATGATCAGATATCAAAGATGGGGGGAGTCTTGATAAACTTGAATTTTTCAAGGACGTGCACAGCTGGTGTGTGATTCAAGAACCTGACTAAAGTCTGGACAAGCAAAAAATTGTTGTCTGAGAACAACATGTGCACACTGGACCCAGGCCGGCTCTTCCTCTACCCTACTAATGAAGTGCCCTTGTGCGCCCTGGTGACTCTTCATGAAGCAGGAGTTAGAGAACAAATCAGCACCAAATAATATTTTTACTAAATTTCTGCTCTCCAGCCTGTGCAGTTGTATCAACTTGTTAGTGGGCCTTTGGGAACGCCACGGTGCATACTGATGTTGGTTCATGCCAATTACGAGGCTGAGTGATGAAATAGCCTTGTATCATTTCACCAGCGCATGGGAACAGCAGGTGAATGCTATAGTTTATGATTTTCAATTATAAATCAAATAGACTGAGTTCTCGCTTCTCTTAATAAAGGCTGTAAAAGCGCTGAAGTGTGGACAAGCTTCTGCCTGGGAAAGAAAAACAGGTTGAGTCTATAAGCTATCACTTGTGTGGTGTTTTTGTTTTTGCCACCGTCTGGTACATTTAGTGTTTGGAAGGACATTTTAGAATATGTGCACTGGGAGGAGCAAGAGGCAGAGGGTCCTATTAATTACCTTGGATGTGCTTGGACAATATACACAACAGACAGAGTCATCTCAATGTCCCTCTGCTCCTCCTAATCCAGTCTTTGCAGCCCCATGGGAGGTTCTTCAGCAGAAGAGGCCAGGGCATTTACAGTGGACCCCTGGGGGTCATTTTCCCACTGGACCAAGAGATGACATGGTGTTTTGGGTTTGTCATTAGTTCAAGTGTGGATGGAAAACCAGAGAGAATGGGGAGCAATGGCAATTCTGTCAATTTTGAGAGAATTTGATGGTTTCCTTTCCTTTGAGCATCTTGATACTGCTTGGATAAGCCAATTAATCCCGGGCAATGCTATGGGTTGAATGTACCCTCCAAAACTCATGTTGAAATTTAATTGCCATTGTAATAGTGTTGAGAAGAGATGATTAATGGATTGTTGTCATTGTTGTAGGAGTGGGTTAGTTATTGCAGGAGCTGGTTGATTTTCACAGGAGTGGGCTCTTGATAGAGGGTGTGTACAGCCCCCATTTTCTCTCTGTCTCTCACACTAGCTCATCATATGATGCTTCTCTATGGGATGACCCTGATCAGATGCCAGAACCATGCTCTTCAACTTCACAACCTCCAGAGCTGTGAACCAAATAAATCTCCATTGTTTGTAAATTACCTATTTTGTTGTACTTTGTTATAGCAGCAGAAAATGACTAAGACAGGCAATGCTCGTAACTTCTCCATTCCCAACTTGCTTCATCTACAAATGATGACGGTAATAAATATCTTGACATAAAACATGGCTGCTCACAAACCAATTCCTGGGCAGCAGCTTAGTGTGGGAAGGGGAAAAAATAGACTGGTTCAAGAGATGAGAGAACACCTGAGATGTGGTAGACAAAGGATGGAGAGCCAGTATGTGGCTATTTGTGTCTGGTTGAAACACCTAAACACATAGAATTGAAGCAAACATGGAAGAGAAGGAAGATGAGTTTCCTGCCTTGAAGAAACAGCTCATCTATCAGGTAGAAATGGCTTACCACATTACATTTTAAATGAGACATATCCAGTGAAAATTGTAAACTCTAAGGATAAAAAATACTTGGTAAAAATCTCAGGAGAAGAAAGAAACTATGACAAAATGAACACACATTCTTTTGGCCTCACATTTCTCCTTGGCTATATTTAATGCCCAAAGACAATGGGACCACCTCTGCCAGCAGCTTATGAAGTGTGTTAATTGGTTTTTATGGTAATAAGCCAAAGGCCTAGGAATTTCAAGACCTTATAGCCAGTCTTGCTCTGCGCAGGATCTCATCAGGGCAGCGTGTGCAAGAAAAGATAGCTGGAGGATGAATGGTGGTCCCCAGGGCAGGTGTCTCTGAGAGCTGGAGCAGGGTAGCCCCCACTTCTTGTCCCCCAAATCCTTGATAACTGAGTCTACTGAGAAGGGAGCTGAAGCAATGAGAAAATGGAGACCTGATGGTATTAGGATTCAGGGCCTTTGGGAGGTGATGAGGTTGTGAGGGTGGACCCCTTATGAATGGGATTCATGTCCTTATAAAAGTGACTTCAAAGAGCTGCTGTGCCCCTTTCACCATGTGAGGATGCAGTGAGACGGTGGCAGTCTTCAACCTAGAAGAGGCCCTCACAGAACCCAACCATGCTGGCACTCTGACCTTGAACTTCCAGCCTCCGGAACGATGAGAAATAAATTTCTGTTGTTTACAAGCCACCCAGCCTATGGTGGTTTCTTATAGCAGCCTGAATGGACGAAGATATCTTTCTTTTGAACTTTGAGGGACTTAAAAGCCAAGACTATGTAGCCATTTCCCAGTCCAGAAACCTCTATAAATCTGAGGAGTTCTTTAGAAGACCATGACCCAATACTTCCGCATTTCTCATACAGGCAGCACTAAAATAGACAGTGTCAAATGAAAACAAATGTGTATTGAACTAAGGAGAGACTTCATTCAAAAGGATTATTGTGATAAAGGGAAGGGGGCTATTGCAGTAGGGGGAACAATCTGACAGTAATAGCTGCAGGCATCTCAAAGTTCTGTTGGAAAGAAACTTTCTTTTATGGGGAGAACCAGACAAGGCCAAAAAATAATTGGGTGTGGGGGAGTGGGTGGTGAGATCAGAGTTGATCAGTTGGGGAAAGTCTTTCCTTGCAGTCATCTAATTCTGGGGAGGGGCTGTTTGCTGGCTCAGGCTGAAGGAGGTTCAACATTCCGGGTCCTGAGGGAGTGGAGGAGCTGAACTAAAGTTTAATCAAGTCAGTTAACAAGTACTTTGTTCTGACTGATCAGTGGGATAACAGTTCAGGTTATCATTAAGAGGTGCAGAATGAGAATTTGGAGGGTGTATCTGGCCTTGTCTTAGGTAAACAAGGGAGCATCCATGAGTCTTATCTGAGTCATGTGGGGAGGGGATCTTCTTTGTCATAAGCAGTTTCCTGGAACACAAAAGGGTGAGATGATTTCCTAATACTCATTGCTTTCCAGGAGCTTAGGGCTCAGGTAAAGTCCAACGTTGTCAACAACTTAGGTCCTGATGGTGATGATGATGGTGATGGTGATGATGATGATGAGGATGGTGATGATGATGGCAATAATGATGATGATGATGATGGTGATGATGTGATGGTGATGATGATGATGGTGATGAAGATGTGATGGTGATGATGATGATGGTGATGAGGACAATGGTGTTGATGGTGATGATCATAATGATGATGATGACTGATAATGGCGATGATGATGGTGATAATGATGGTGATGATGATGGTGGTGATGATGGTGATGATGGTGATGGTGCTAATGATGGTGATGATGATAATGATGGTGATGGTGTTGATGACAATGATCATAATTATAATGATGTGACATTCTTATAAGTTTTTCGTGTGTGTTATTTGAATTACAAGGTAAATACTACCATCCAACTTTATAGAACTGAAACACAGATGATTAATTAACTTGCTCAAGGTTCTGCCACTGCCTGCTTTGCAGAAAGTTGGGTTTACACCAGGTGACCCTGTTCCAGCACCCACCATCTTGCTACTGTGCTCCACTGTTTCTAAAATGGGTCAAAGAAGAGTATAGCTTAGTATAGCCCCAAGGCCATACTGCCTGCCAAGCCCCAAATGAACCCTGTATTCTAATTCCTATTATAGCTGATCAGAGATAATTCCACAAACATTACCAATGACAGCACAAATTATCCCAGCTTTGAACAATTTGAACTCACTTTTACTAATACATTCCCACCAATGCATGAAGTCCCTGAATTAGTTTCCTAAATGTGCTGTAACAATTAACCATAAACATGGTGGCTTAAAGCAACAGTTTATTCTCTCACAATTCTGGAGGCCAGAAGTCAGAAACCAAGGAATCAGCAGGGCCATGCTCCCTGTAGATGCTTCAGGGGAGAGCCTTCTTGCTTTCTCCAGCCTCTGATGCTCCTGGCATCTTTTGGTTTATGGCTGCACCACTCCAGCCTCTGCCTTCATCTCCATGTGGCCTTCTCTCCTGTGTCTCTGCCTCAAATCTGCTTTCCTCTTATAAGGATTTGGGGCCTACCTTAATGAAAAATGAACACCCATCTTGAGATTTCTTAACTTAATTACATCTGCGAAGACTCTATTTCCAAATACAGTTGCATGCACAGGTTTCAGGAATTGAGGCATGGATGTATCTCTTTGGGGCCACCATTCAAACCACTGTAGTCCCAAATGAAATTCCTGCTGTAGCTCAGCCAGAAGGGTCTCCTTCAGAGTATTGGTGAGGAACCCATCTGCAAAACATTCTCTGGAGTGGGCAGATTACTTCAGCACTTCCACGTGGAAGAGAATAGGAACCTCAGGTCCCAATGGGGTCACGCTTCTCCTTCAGCTCTTCCCAGTGGGGAGAACGGGAACCCAGGCTCCAGTGGTTCCACCTCCTCACACTCCAGAGGGGGAGCAGGATGCCCCAGAGCCCCCTGGGCAGCCTCTCACCTGCAGGGCTGAGATTTGGAAGCAGTCAGCCACCATGTTTACTAAGGAAAGTGGCACTCCACTGCTGCTATGGTGGGCCATGGTGCAGGTGACAGTGGTAGCCAGAGAGCAAAGAAGAAAGAACAGAAAAAAAAATCTTGGATCTTGGTTTCAAACTTGTGAAGACATTCAGTTTCTTCCACTTGCCTGGATTCCAGGACTGTGAACATAACCCAACAGGGAAATGTCTTCCACCAGGAAGTGGGTCAAGTTGCTGTCTGATTTTCTTGAACCTGGTGGGAGCCTAAGGTTTCTCCAGCTCATATGGCTGTGGGAGACAGACTTAGAGTCTTCAGAGCTCAGAGAGAAACCAGCAAAGCTGTCACACCCGCAGCCCTGAAGCCATTGCTAGGCTTTGTCCTTCCATAGGTTGCCTCTCTCTCTAAGGGTCTTGTTAACTTTCATGACATCAGCTGCATCTTACATGTTCCTTTCTTTTTTCTGCTTTACTTTTGCAAACACACCTGTCTTTTGGTCACACCAGACAGGTAGGATTGGACGTGGACTTGGGAAGGCTGGGAAATAAAGGAGGGATCCCTGATCCCTGAAGTCTCAGTGTCCCCTGTCCATGAAAAACACTCTTGCACTGAGCCCAAGGCTGCTGCCTCTGCTGGCTGCAGAGAGAACTGTCCCATCCTCGAATGAATGATTTTTCTCACAAAATACTGACATATACAAGACTGCAAGTCTATGCCTGCAGAAGAACCTTGGATACCTCATGAGACCCACTGCACCCAATGCGAACAGCTCTACGTGCACCTGTGGAACCTCGCTGGTTACTGAGATGCTTGTTTCCATGTGAGCTTAAGGTAGAGTTAAGAAAGAAAGTCCTAACAAAGGAGGGACCCCTTATGTCCTAATCCTCCTCCCAGCCTTCCAGCTTGAGGGAGTCGTACGCACAGGTGCTTTTTTAGAGAACTGTGCTTAGGCCTGGAGTCCTAACAATTCTTCCTGGGACTCTATTTTGTGACCTATTTACAAAAAAACATGCTTACAGAGAAGGAAGGGTCAGGAAGAACAGTGTCCACTGCTTCTGCCGAGGTTTGAAGATAAAACCTTTATAATCCAGTAATTTGGAAATCAGGTTTGATTGGATTCGATTGATTGATCTTTTAAAGTGTGAAGGGACAAAAAAAATCACCACCCCCCCACCCACAGACACAATCACACACACACAATTCCTATGTAACCTTCTTTAGATATCATTTGGAGATATATGCCAGTCAAGCAACAGATGAAACAAATTAAGAGCTCAATAATGATAAAGTGATGGCAGAACAGGATTTGTTCTGAGAATTAGAATTCTCTAAATATAGAATCATTTTTGAAATTCTGAAGGAAAAAAATATTGTACATTATATACATAATTTACGTATGTATTTAAAGAGAGAGTAGCATAAGAGTTTGCTGAGTCATGTAACATAAGTTTAGATGTCAGCCCTCTGGAGATGGTATGGCCTCTTCATGACGCTGCTGGAGATGATATCCCTGCTTCTCTGTCCTGGCTTCACAGTCACTTACTGATCCCTTAGCCTTTACCCTCACAGGGTCCTGGAGTCCAAGATGACTGTGGGAACTGGAGGGCAGCAGGGGAAAGAAGGGAACACAATGATGCCCTGCTAGTGGATGCCCTTCCCTAGGTCCCATTCAACAACTTCTTCTGTCTCCTTGGCCAGAAAGCCACATGACTATCCCTGCTTAAGGGTAGATGGAGCTATTGAGCTGGACACCCTGATGTCTTACATATAAGTGTTTTTGTTTTTCACCAAGGATGAAAGAGAGAATGGTATCTGTGGTCACCTACCCATTTCTGCCATTGAGGGGCAATAATAGATCAGGCAAAAGATTCACAGTCATTCCAATATTAATATCAAAGAAGAATTCATGACAAGACACATCACAAAGCAGAGCTTATGATTTTACAGAGATAAAAGCTAAACTCACAGACACAGAAAACTTTGTGAACAACAGATCATTATGTATAATAGTAATAAAGAGTATTAGATAAGACATGGAGAGACTGGCAATAGCACAATGGTAACAAAATTATTTACACAATTGTTTCCCTTTGTAGCATGTAAGATAAATCATCATAATAAATTATAAATAATGACTCATATTAAGGCAATATAGGATCTAATTGTCATTAATTAGGATAATTTATGCATTCACTCCTCAAATAAATACTAATGGAGTGCCTACTATGTGCCGGCCAATGTTTGTGTGCTGGGGCACAGCAGTGTGAAACCATCCCCTGTCCCTATGTAATGTGCATGCTGGGAAAGGTTGATTGGAGACATACTGAAATATGAATCATGTAGAGAATATCTCTTCTTTTCCAGAGCTGTTGAAGCATTTATAAAATTTGATGAACTCTTAAACCATAAAAACCAGCAATCTCTTATAAAAAGCAGAAATTGTTCAGATTACTTTTGCAAGCTACAATGTCATAAAGCCAGAGAATAATAAGACGATTTTAGAAAGATGGAATATAAATGTTCTCTTAACTATTAGCAAAGAGAAGAAGAAGAAAGAAAGAAAGAAGCCAATATTTCAATTATAGACTATGTTGAACGCTATGTACCCAAGCTTATGGCATTCGACCAGAACAATCCTCAAGGGAAAATGCATAAGCAGGAATTACTTTATTATCTAAAACAGAAAATGACATTATAAATATAGCAATTATATTTGTCAGCTTTGGGTGTATAACAAAGCACCCCAAAACTTACTGGTTTAAAGCAACCACTAGGTTGAGCTCTGCTGGACGGCTGCGTCATTCCTTTGATCTGGGTTGGTGTGGCTGGTTTCTGTTGGTTCTTTCATATGTCTGGTCAGCTGGTGGGCAGGATAGCTGATCGAGAATCGCCTTATCTAGATAGCTGATCTAAAATCACCTTATCTACATATCTAGTGGTGGGCAGGTTGTTGGCTGGGGCACATTAGTTCTTCTTTGTGTGTTCTTTCTCTAGCAGGTCAGCTTTGGTTTATTCTTATGATGGTCTCAGGGTTCCAAGTGCAGCAACAAAGAGCAAGTTCCAGTACAGAAGCGCTTTCAAGTCTCTGTGTCATGTTTCTTATTAACCTGTGGGCCAAGGCAAGTCACATGGGAAAGCCCAGAGTCAGTGTGGGAAGGGACTACCCAAGGGCAAGGATACAGACAGGGCCATTGTTATAGTCATTCTTGCTAACAATCTATTTCTGACTTTTAATGAAAACACATAGAAAACCACAAAAAACAATGTTACAAAAGCAGAAAAAAAATTAAATAATAAAGATACAAGCAGAAACAAGTGGTATAGAAGATAGAAAAGGCGTAGAGTTGGTGAATATATTCGAGAGCTTATTCTTTGTAATAAAAACAAGAAAATCAATAAACATCAGCAAACATGAACCACAAAACAGAATGAAACACAAATCTAGTAAAAGCAAAACTATTGTGACAGAAAGTAGGTCAGTGATGGCCAGAGGCTGGTGTTGAGTGGACGGGGTTGATTGCAATGTATGTGAGGGAAATTTTGGGGTGATGGAACTATCTGATATTTTGGTAGTGGTGGTGATTACATGACTATACAGATTTATCACATTAAATTGTATCTTTAATATTGGAAAAAAATTTTCATTTCCATTTATAGAGGACTAATTTGCTTTAGACCATTCCTTCCACTGATAACAAAGATAACAGCTTGGGGAAATATAAAAGTAATCTATTGGAAAATATCAGAAACTATGGAGACTGTCAGGACTTGGGTGGTTAAAATTCTAGGGATAATTTCTAGAGAGAAACAGAGAGCAGAACCTAACATTTGGCAGTTTTTTCCTTTCAAGGTATTTGCTGATTTGCTAGCTGTGGCTAAAAGGCTGAGAGACTGACCAGAGATTTTACAAACCCATGGAGCTCTGGGAACAAAATTGGAGTTCATGGCTTGTCAAAATGAGAGACTTGATAAACATTGAGGATTTCAGCAGAAAACTCCAATATTCTATGCTCTGGGGTACACGTAAAGCCTTCACAAAGCTTTCACAAAGAGAAAAGCTCTCACAAAGACTCAGGGCCAACTTTCAATTATCTTCATCTCAGAGATCTGCTTTACCTGAGTTGCCTGCAAAATTAAAAAGTATTGCCTCTGCAGAATGGCCACATCATCCAGAGGCTCAAATGACCTCTACAATATTCCAAGTACAATGCCCAGCATTCAATAAAGATAAACAGCCATTGACTGGATATTTAGTTAAAGAAAACAATGGAAACAGACTCATGGGAAATCTAGTTATTAAATGTGTCAGAACAATAAAATAACTGTTTTTAGTGTGTTCAATAAATTAAGATACCAAGATCATGTTATCAGGAAACAGGAAACTTTAAAAAGCTACAATAAAAATTCTAGAACACCAAACAAGGAAAATAAAGATTTCAAAACACTTTCAAAAACTCAAAAATTTTGTCAGCAATTTAGATGTAGCTTAAAAGAAAATTAATAAAGCGGAAGACAGGTTAGAATAAAATATCCAATAAATTGAGAACATATGAAAAATATTAAGTAGACTATAAGACACACGTGAGCCACAGTGGGAAGGTCTGCCATACATATAATTGCAGTCCCAAATGCAGAGGTAAAAGAGAGGGTGGCAGATGCAATCTTTGAAGGCAATAACCACCGCCCCTGCCGCCGCCCAAGTTTCAGAATTGGCAAAAGACATTAAGCCATAGGAGAAACAAATTACTAAAGCATATCCCAGGCCCATCCTGGTAAAACTGCCAAAGCTAGACAGAGAGATACTTCCCAATTTATTTCATAAGGCCAGCATAACCTTAATACCCAAGCTTGACAAATGTTTAAAAGAAAAAAAGTATAGAACAATTTATTTCAGGAATATAAATGTAAATATACTGAATAAAAATCAGCAAAATGAATCTAGCAGTACATAGAGATAATACATCATAGCCATGTTGGTGTTCTTTCAGGAATTTTAGTTGGATTTAACGTTAGAAAGTTATTCCTTGGAACATTCTATGAAGTCAGAATAAAAGGGAAAAACTACATGACACAGCAGATAAAGCAAAGTATTTGATAAAATTCAACACCAAAGTAATACAACAATTTTAGAAGACTAGAAGTAAGTCAATTATTTAATATGTAAAAGAATATTTACTGGAAAGAAACAACAAAAAGCATCATACTTATCAAAAACTTTTCTCTTGAGATCTAGAAGGAGAAAAGAATGCCTATTATTACCATTTGCGATCAGTATTTTACTTGACTTTTTAACCAGAAAAAAGGGCAATAAAGAAACTGAATGTAGAATTGGAAAGCAATAAATAAAACTGTCATTTCTTGAAGATGAAATGATTATATACTTAATCCAAAAGAAAATACAAATACACTATTAGAATTAACAGGTGAATTTGGCAGGGTTTTGGAAATGAGTCAATATGCAAAAATCAACTATATTTCTTTGGGATGGTCCCAATATCTGGAAACATATATTCTTTTCTCCTGTATTGTAATATAATATCAATAAATCATTTACCAAGTATTTGTCTATCTTTTCGTACTTGGTGGTCTCATGTATATATCACACAAATTAGAAAATAAAATTTAAAAATAACACTTAAAATAACATTTGCAAGAGCATCCCAAAACTCAGGTAAACATGGAGCTCTCTACATAGGAAAGGACAAAACATTACTGAGGACAAAGGACGAAACAATATTGAGAGAGGTTAAAAAAAATTGTTTAAATTGAGAGAGATTAAAAAACATTTTGAGAGAGATTAAACATTGAGAGAGCTTAAAAAACATTAACATTAAAAAAAAATTAAACGTTAAACATTGCGAGAGATTTAAAAACATATTGAGAGATATTAAAAAACATTATTGAGAGAGATTAAAAAACATTATTGAGAGAGATTAAAGAAGACCTAAATAAATGAAGGGCTGGATCCACTTCTGTGCTCCTAATTTCACATGAGAGCCAAGCATGTGTTTCTTCCCCAGTCTCTGTCTAGTAACAGCCATACTGTTAACTTAAAATTGGTGATAGTATTTACACCACAGAGTATTTACACCACGTAGTATTTACTTAAAAAAACTGTTAACTTGATTGGTGATAGTATTTACACCACAGAAATTGGCAACTGCTTCAAAACATGTTTTCCCTTGAAGAAACTGTTGTTCACTATTAACCAGCATGTCAATATCATATTCATATGGTATGAATATGATATTCATTCATGAATATGATATGAATATGATATTCATTCATGAGTATGATATGAATATGATATTCATTCATGAGTATGATATGAATATGATATTCATTCATGAGTATGATATGAATATGCTATTCATTCATGAGTATGATATGAATATGATATTCATTCATGAGTATGATATGAATATGATATTCATGAGTATGATATGAATATATTTATAAATTGAAAAACTAAATATTGTAAAGTTATCCATTTTGGGCACTTTCATCAATAGCTCCAATGCAATTTCTATAAAAGTTTCAGCAAGTTTTCTGAGGACATTTGTAAAAAGTTTTAAAATTTACCAAGAAAATATTGAATAAGAGCAGTGGTGGGAGACTTAAACAACTTATTATTGAAATTTCTTATAAAGCAGTAGTAATTAGATAAATGGATATTAGTGAAAGGATGGACAAACAGAGAGTCAAGAAACAGCCCACACATTTGTTGGCACTTGATTTATGATCCTGTGGAACAGTGGCAGAGAGGCTGTTAAAACAGTCACATGGAAAAAAATCTTGCCATGTATACAAGTCTATTGCACATGAAAGTCTACTGTAAATCCACATTTGAGTGGTAAACAATAATGCTTATAGAGGAAAATGTAGAAGAATAGCATCATGACCTTGGGACAGGCAAAGTCTTCTTAAACTAGACACAGAAAGTACCAATCACAAAAGGAAAACACCGGATAACTGAACTACATTAAAATTACGAAGCTCTGCCCATCAAAAGATATAATTCAGAAAGTGAAAGGACAAGCCAGCATTTACAGTACATATACCCAAAAAAGTGCCCATATCTGTATTATATAAAGAACTATTTTGAGGCTGGGCATGGTGGCTCATGCCTGTAATCCCAGCTCTATGGGAGGCCAAGGTGGATAGATCACTTTAGGCCAGGAGTTTAAGACCACCCTGGGCAACATGGTGAAACCCCATCTCTACTAAAAATACAAAAAAATTAGCCAGGCATGGTGGTGCATGCCTGTAATCCCAGCTACTCAGGAGGCTGAGGCATGAGAATTGCTTGAACCTTGGAGGTAGAGGTTGCAGTAAGCCGAGATTGCGTCACTGCACTTCAGCCTGGGCGACAGAGTGTGTCTCCAAAAAAAAAAAAAAAAAAAAACCATTTCAGACAAATAAGAAAATAACCCAATAGCAATATGGAAAAAAACCTTGAGAAAAAATATTCAATGGTATTAGTTATCAAAGAAATACACATGAAAACTACAATAACATCCCAGACCAACCACAATGGTTAAAATTCTAAAAGACAGAAAATGTTAATGTTAGCAAGGATTTGGAGGAACTGGAACTGTCATGCATTGCTTCTGGGAGTGTACCTAGAATGACTTATTTTGGAAAACTGGTAGAGCATACACTACCAGTATGCTCAGTAAGCAACAGTGATTAGGATAATTGGGTACTAGTGTGAGGGTAGATAAATAAATCAATGGAACAGAATAGAGTCTAGAAAGAGCCCACACATTTGTTGGCACTTGATTTATGATCTATGCCCCAGAATTCTTATTTTTAAATATATAGTCTATAAAAATACATATATGTGTATACCAAAATATATGTAAGCAATCCAAATATTCATCAACTATAGAATGGAAGGAAAAACATTGTGGTATGCACTTATGATAGACAACGATGCAGAATGAAAATATATAAACTATTGTCCCTGTCAGCCACAAGAATGCATCTCACATACATAACAACACATGCAAAAATCCAGACCTATGAGAATGTGTGTTGCATGATTCCATTCCTATAATGCTCAAAATTGGTCACAACGAATCTATGGGATTAAGAGTCAGGTAATTGTTACCTTTTTTTTTTTTTTCTTGAGACGGAGTCTCGCTCTGTCTCCCCAGGCTGGAGTGCACTGGCTCGATCTCAGCTCACTGCAAGCTCCTCCTCCTGGGTTCATGCCATTCTCCTGCCTCAGCCTCCTTAGTAGCTGGGACTACAGGTGCCCACCACCACGCCTGGCTAATTTTTTGTATTTCTAGTAGAGACGCGTTTTCACCGTGTTAGCCAGGATGGTCTCGATCTCCTGACCTCGTGATCCGCCCGCCTCGGCCTCCCAAAGTACTAGGATTACAGGCGTGAGCCACCGCACCAGGCCATGTTTTGTATTTTCACTTGCATAGTGGTTACTTGAATATGTTCATTTTGTAATGATTTATTGAGCTGTAAACCATTTATTTTGTACACTTTTCCTTATAGATGCTAACAAAACACCCGCATACACTGCCAAATAACTCGCAGATACAAGATGAAACCACAGTAGGATTAAATGTATCTACAATTGAATGATAAACAATCATTGCATGGTTCTTTTAGTTAACTTTATAGCCACATTTATACTGGAGAAAAGGAAAGTTTCGAAAGTGAACTGTGTATCCATATTAAAGTAAGAAAAATAACAGAATGGATAAAAAAAGTAGAAAGAAATAAAAGAGTGTAAATCAATAAAATTTAAAACCATGAAGATACAGTAGAGAAAATCCACCCACAAAGCCACTTCTTGAGGAATAAACCCATCAACATGACTTCCCAAGAGAAAAGAGAAGACACAAATAAACTATATTATGATAAAAAGAGAGAATTAAATGCAGATAAATCGAGATTAAAAAGATAAAAGAATACCCTCAGTATCTATATGCCAATAGCTTTGATAAGTTTGAGGACATAAAATTCTTAAAAGATGGTAACTTACCAGAACTCACTGAATAATGAATAAAAAGCTTAAATAGTCCTATGCTGTTAAATAAATTGATGCATTAAAAAGTCTTCCCACAGAAACAAAAATGAAACAAGTAAATAGACCCAAATGCTATTAAAATTGAGAAAAAGGGGGAATGTTCTTTAACCTATTCTATGAGGTCAACATAACCGTGATACTAAAACCAGACGAGGACACTACAAGAAAATAAAATGAACAGTTAGTCTGCTGATGAATAATATTTTTTAAAACCCCAAATAAAATATTAGAAAAGCAAACCCACCAGTGTACAAAACATATGATACACTACAACCAAGTTGGGTTTATGGTAGTTGAGTAAAGATGGTTTAATAAGGGATTTATAAATTTAAGTTATTAAATTAACAGATTAAATAAAGCGTATATCTTCTCCATAGATACAGAAAATTCATTCGATAAAATTTTAAAGGCTCTTAGTAAATTAGAAATAGAGAATTTTCTTAACCTGCAAAAGAATATAACAAATCTGGGATAAACAACATTGTAAAAGTGGGAAATGTTGGAAACATGATTTAGAATCACTAAAGGGGGGGATATCTGGTACTGACACTTCAACATTGTATGGAAGGGCTTAGCTAATGCATTAACATGGGAAAAATATATTAGGCAAAGGACTAGAAAGTGGAAACAGAGCTGCCATCATTTATAGATAACATGGTTATTTAGAGATTCTAAAATAATCCATGCACAAATTATCAAAAATAATAAATATTTAGCAAAATGGCCTAATATAAGATTAATATACAAAATGCCGAAGGTCAAGAGGTGTCACTTACAAGAGTATCCAGCTATCAAGTGTTCACTAGTAGATATAACAGGGTATGTTCCAGAGCTTTGCAGAGAAAGTTATACACTTCATTAAGAGATACTAAAGAGGAGTAAATAAGTGGAAGGAAAATGAATGGATAGGAAACGTACTACAGTGAAGATATAAACTCTTCCTAGTTTGATTTAAAGATTAAATGCTCTTCCAATCATATTCCCCATGGGTATTTGGAATGATATTTTAAAGATGATTCTGAACATTACATGGAAGAGTCAATGGCCAAGAATAAGCAGGACACTTTTGAAGAAGAGCTGGGAGGACCTGCCCTCGTAGAGAAATCAGGCATTGTGTAAAGCAGTTGTAATTTAGCCATTTTCATACTGTGCAAGAGATATACACATTTACCAACTGAACAGAATAGAGAGCTCAGAAGCAGACCCATCCCAGTATGGAACTTTGACAATGTAAGAGAGATGGCATGTAAGATCAATAACAGGAAGGAACTTTAAATAAATAGACTTATTTAAACATGGTTACCCATTCAGAAAAAGGCCAAATCACAGCCCTGCATTCTACATTATGCAAAAGTCAAATCCAGATGGATTAAGTGCTTAAATGTCAAAAATAAATCCTTAAAACTCTTAGCAAAAAACCTAAGTGATTTTTTTTAGAACTAGGGGTAAAGAATACTTTCTTATACAATTTAAAAACCTTTGATTATAAAAGGAAAGATAAATTTGACTATATTAAGACTAAGGGCTCTGTCTGTCAAAAGACCCATTAAAGAGGTGAAAAGGTGATTTACAAATTGGGAGATATTTCTAATATATAAAATTTATTTTAAAAAGTAATACCAAGTCTATGTATATGAAGAAAATATACATATGGAATGAATATTCACATAGTCTATAATCCAGAACCCAGAAATTGAACTTCGGGGTACTATGCAAGAGAAAGTTTGTTATAGTGTAATAGGTGAAATGCCTAAGACTACTCGTATGTTCAGGATAGGAAAAACTGGAAACAACTCAAATTCCTATCCATAGGAAAGTCGATTCCTAAATTATGATCTATTCAGACATGGGATCTTGTACAGCAGCCAAAACAAATGAACTACGATACGTGGAAATACAGATGACTCAATTAAAATGAAAATGAAAAAGTTCTAAAATATTTTATATAGCATATTACCATTTTTATGTATTTAAGCACAACTGAAAGAAAAGCATATACCCATTATGAATAGCTATCAATGCAATGCAATCATGTAAAAAGGTGAACAGGTGAGGATGGACCCAGGACTCAGGATGATGGCTCCCTTGGATGGGGAGACAGAGGACCATGGGTCATTGGTGTGTGCACCACACAGATGCCAGTTACATCAGGGTCCTAGATTTGGTTCTGAAAGGTGGGTATGCAGATGAGTATTACATCTTTACAGATAACTAATTACATAACTAAGTAGCAGAGGACTGTGGACAGGCCACTAATGAGAACATTCCAGGTACTGTCACAGGGATGGTGGCTGTCTAACAACTTACCCCACAACTTAGTGGCAAAAACAATGATTTGCAATGCACATGGACTCTGTGGTCCAATAATTCAGACTGAACACAGTGGGGATGGTTTGTCTCTAGTCCTCAATGTATGGGACCTCATCTAGAAGAGCAAGGATTCCTCAGACAATGTCAAGGTATCCTCTCCAGGTGGCTCTTCAGCATGGTGGCTGTAGGGTGGCGGAGTCTTACATGTTGACTCTGCTCCCTGCAAGGAGCACTGAGAGCATGAGTGAGACAGACAGGGGCTGCCGTGCCTTTGAAGACCCAGCCTCAGAGGATACGCAGCACACTTCTGCCATTACTTGAATGAAAAGAGTCCTAAAATATTTCATACAGAAATATATGAATGTTATGCTGGGCACGGTGGTTCACACCTGTAATCCCAGCACTTTGGGAGGCCGAGGTGGGCGAATCACGAGGTCAGGAGATCGAGACCATCCTGGCTAATACAGTGAAACCCCATCTCTACTAAAAATACAAAAAATTAGCCGAGCGTGGTGGCGGGTGCCTGTAGTCCCAGCTACTTGGGAGGCTGAGGCAGGAGAATGGCGTGAACCCGGGAGGTGGAGCTTGCAGTGAGGTGAGATGGTGCCATTGCACCCCAGCCTCGGGGACAGAGCAAGACTCCATCTCAAAAAAAAAAAAATAAAAGAAATATATGAATGTTATGTTAATTTTATCATTAGTGGAGGCAGTTATTACCAGGTATGCTCAGGTGCAAGGGGAATGAACATAGGCCCCACTTGTGGGTGGAGGAGCCCCTAGGGTGGGTATACATTGACACGGCCATTTTAGCAAAATGACATCTGCAGCAGGCAGGAACCAAGGATAATAATTAACCCAATTCTATGCATCTGAGGTCCAACATGCAAAAATAAAAACAAAATAAATGGTTAAAAATAAGTCAATAAATTTAACTATTGACAGCGTAATTACTACAATTTTGTGCTTAAAAATGGTGAAAGTAAAACAATAGCCTACAATAATAGGAATAGGGTAAAGGATAGTTGAGGAGTTCAATGTGTAAAATGAGTTAAATTCTGCTGTTTATAGGAAAAGGTACAAATAAAGAGTAATTTTAGGAATTATTGGGAAAATATGTTTAATTCTGGTGATTAAAATTATGGCACGTCTTTTAAATAATGTAATATATAGTATCTAAAGTGATTGTTGGCTAGGTGCGGTGGCTCAAGCCTGTAATCCCAGCACTTTGGGGGCCAAGGCAGGCAGATCACTTGAGGTCAGGAGTTCGAGACTAGCCTGACCAACATGGTGAAACCTCATCTCTACTAAAATACAAAAATAAACTGGGTGTGGTGGTGGGCACCTTTAATCCCAGCTACTCAGGAGGCTGAGGCATGAGAATCGCTTGAACCTGGGAGGTGGAGATTGCAGTGAGCTGAGATCACGCCACTGTGCTCCAGCCTGGGTGACAGAATGAGATTTTGTCTCAAAAAAAGAAAAATAAAGTGACTGTTAAAGAAAAAATTATTCACGAATACTTGTTAAAGCACGATAATAAAGACTTTTTTTCATTTTCAGGGCCGTTGAGATAGGTTTAGGGACAACAGCAATAGGATTGTGCAGTAGGAGAGATTGGGCTCCACTCTGAATATAGCACAGGCATGTGGAGATTTGTAACCAAAGATCAGGGTGGGGTCAGTGTATGGAAAGTTACTAAGAGGAAACATCAGGGGCTGGGGGATTCTGCCTTGCTGAAGACAGGCTAGGGTGACCGACATCGCCTGGGGGATGTTGGAGGATGAGGAACCCAGTCAGACAGTGAGGTGGACCAGATATCAAGGGGACAGGGTTCTGGCTAAACTGACTTAGATTCTTGCTAAAACTGTTTTTGTTGTTGGTGTTGTTGTTTTGAGAGACCGAGTCTCGCTCTGTCAACCCAGGCTGGAGTGCAGTGGTGCAGTCTTGGCTCACTGCAACCTCTGCCTCCCGGGTTCAAGCGATTCTCCTGCCTCAGCCACCCGAGTAGCTGGGACTACAGGCACGTGCCACCAGGCCCAGCTAATGTTTTTGTATTTTTAGTGGAGACGGGGTTTCACCATGTTAGCCAGGATGGTCTCGATCTCCTGACCTCGTGATCCATCCACCTTGGCCTCCCCAAGTGCTGGGATTACAGGCCTGAGCCACCGGGCCGGGCTGCTGAAACTATTTTATGGGAAAGCACACAGATGGGCCTAGGAGAAGGTTCAGAAGCCTGACTAAACCTTGATGAGGCAGAGAATCTTTCTACCCCTTGTTTAAGGAAAGAAGAGGCATTCTTTTCGGTAAGCATTAGCAGTCCATTTTCTTGCTTGATCTTTGGTTAATTAAGGATCAGCTGAATCATCTACTGGGCTGAGAGATCTGCTGGAGGGTGTGAGCCATCAGGCCTTTAATGAGGGGAGTTTAGATTCTATGGAAATAAAATAAAAACAAAAAATAATATTTGGACACTCCATTTCCAAGTCCAGAGGCCAGCCAGTCAAAAAGATTTCTAGATGCTGGACCTGAAGTATCTTCAGTTGGCGTGAGGCAGGCTGTGGCAGATGGCAGGTTTTCCTAGTTTGCAGTTTGGATGTCATGAAGGTTGTCATTTGATGACCTGTCATGTAATTTTCGCTAAAGTTTATTTCAAGTCATCCAACCTCATCCAAACTCAGCTGGAGCTTCAGCTGAAGTTTTCTTCTGAACCATTACTTTTTCTCTCTGAAGTCACACCCATTTATACCAAAGATAATCAGTTAGACTGGGCTGTTTGCAAAATAAGTTTATTTTCATTAAACTTTGCCTGGATATTTAGATACATGCAGCAAGAATAGTGACTGATTATACAGACTCTTTTAAGGTTTGCTTTGCTGGATCTTTTGAAAAGGAATCTCGGCTGGGCGCGGTGGCTCACGCTTGTAATCCCAGCACTTTGGGAGGCCGAGGCGGGTGGATCACGAGGTCAGGAGATCGAGACCATCCTGGTTAACACGGTGAAACCCCGTCTCTACTAAAAATAAAAAAAATTAGCCGGGCGTGGTGGCGGGCACCTGTAGACCCAGCTACTCGGGAGGCTGAGGCAGGAGAATGGCGTGAACCCGGGAGGTGGAGCTTGCAGTGAGCAGAGATCGCGCCACTGCACTCCAGCCTGGGGGACAGAGCGAGACTCCGTCTCAAAAAAGAAAATAAAAGGAATCTCAGATTGAACTGGTAGAAGCCTCTGAAGGTAAGGAAGCCAGGCCAAGGACTTGCCAACAGGTTTCATCTGTAACACTTATAGATTTGGCAAATTCCTCTTTTCTTGAGGTCCCCCAAATATCTAAGATTTCTGGACTTGTCAGGAAGTGACATTCCTTTCTCATTGGTAAGGTTTGAAACAGTTTTCCAAGCTGTCTTCCCAGGCTCTTCAAAGTCAATTTTAGTTCCTTAAGCTGTCTGGTCGTATTAGAAAATATAACATTCCAATCAATATAACATTCCAGCCTTGGTGATGTAGCCAGTGTTTTCAATTGTGTCCTGTTATAAGGAGAACAGATTATCATGGAACTTATGCAAATAACTATATTACTATAAATAAGAATGCTCACAAATCGTTTCCAAATTCTGGAGAAATCAAGTAAGAAGAAAAATGTTTCAATTTTTGTTCACAAAAGTACACTTTACCAAATTGCTGTAAGCTATACATAGCTTAAAAGAAAAAAAAAGTTTCCTTAAATCTAGAAAACAAAAGATTTTAAAAACCAGCAATTTTTTAAACAAAATGTCATTAAAAATTTATCCTCATTTAGTTCATTTAGTCCCATGTAATAATTAACTCTTGTTCAGCTTGATCTCAGGATAGCTGTTTTATGAACCCATCGGTTTCATTAAAGTTCTGAAAGTTCTTATCCAGTTAAATGGTATGATCTTAAAGTTATTGGAAACCTGTACTTGTCAGAGTCCTTTTCATGAGTCTCTTTGAAAAAGAAGCAATTTTGGATTGTAGCTGATTGCAAGGACTTTACAGCAGAATTAAAGTAAAACAATAACTGTCTGTAATAACAAAGACAAAATGACTATAGTTAAAAATCTGATGAGCGCTCATTATAATGATGACACACTGATAGGGAAATTTGTTTATTTCTATTACATACACTATTTTTACATAATAACTGAAATTATGACTGATAACATCAGATTTCTAGAAATTTCATATACTTTCTAGAACACATATTAATAAGATAGCCATACAAATTTAACTCAAGTAAAGGTAAATATCATTTCTTATTTCACAGTGTTTCACATGCAACTTAATATATCAAATAAGCCTAATTAGTTCAATATCTTTCTTTTACAGATCCCTTCCGACCTTCCAGGGCCCTCCAGAATGTCCCAAAGTTAGCTAAAGGTCAAAAAGACTTAATTAGGAATTTGATCTTGGGAAGATTGTAAAAAATGTCAAAAAGTTTAGAACACTTGATTAGATAAGATTTTGGTTATCTATTTAATTAAGGTAACAATAAAATATTTTAAATATTTTAAATTCAGAAAGTTTATAGGGTTTGAACAAAATCTTACCTCTTTTAATATTGGGGAGACTCAATTTTCTTAAGTAATCACAGACCTAGTAAAAGCTGTAAAGTACAAAAAATTCCCTTGATAAAATACAAAATCTTTGCTTTCTAGGCCACTTACTTAAAGTATTTTTAAAACCCTTATATTCTCAGACCAATACTCCAAGAAAATGTTGTCATTTTAACAGAAAAGACCAAATTCTACTTTGCATCAATGTAGAACTTAACTAATTTTTAATAAAGCCTTATAAATGAATCCATGTAATCTTAGTGAGCTTTGACCACACAAGATTTTCACAATCCTTTTATAATCTCTTAAAAAAGATTTTCTTTTGCTTTTGCAATTGACGTGCATCAGGCAATTCATTTTTACTGTACATTCTGCTCTTAGGTTAGATTTATACTTTTATTTAACATCTAACAGACACAACAGAAACTTATCCAGCAGCAAACCCAGGCAAAAATGTATGTCTGTATTATCTTGAATCCTGACAATTCTAAAGACATTTTTACTTTCATCTTACAGTCAGTTTTAAAACTAGCTTTTATTTGCCAAAGATTATATCAGATTACATGAACTTAAAAAAACATTTTGGAAACCCCATCTCTACAACAACAACGACAACAACAAAATTAGCCAGATGTAGTGGCATGTACCTCTAGTCTCAGTTACTCAGGAGACCTGATGCATGTCAATTGCAAAAGCAAAAAAAAAAAATATCTTTTTTAAGAGATTGTAAAAGGATTGTGAAAATACTATCTTGTGTGGTAATCCCCACTCGGAACAAGGATGGGAGGATTGCTTGAGCCCAGGAGGTTAAAGCTACAGTGAGCTGCGATTGTGCCACTGCACTCCAGCCTGGTGATGGACTGAGACCCTGTCTCAAACAAAAAAAAAAAGCAACAACAAAAAACCCATTTGGGATGGTTTCTATTTTCCTGAGAGTTTTATGAATACTTAATTTATTTAAGCATTAATTTATCCCTAAGCCTATTTGGGTATTTTAGTTAGGTGATATCAGCAGAGGTAGAAACCGTCATGTATATGTAACATACAAGCATACATGTACATATACATAAACATACCAATAGTTGCAATCTGATCTTATGGCTTTTCATTTAAAAAATTTTAGTCATGAGGGAATAAAACAGAGTAATATACATTCACTGGTTTTTCTCTAATCTATATTTTTATGTAAATATTTTATATTTATATAATATAAATATAATTATATGTTTATATATATTTATAAAGATATTTACATAATATAAAAAATTATATATTTTTACATAAATTGTGTTCCTGACAAAAATGGGACAAGTTAAGAGCTTATTAAGGGCTAAAGCTTTTTACCAATATTTGTAGAGAAGCATTTCAAAATTTTTCACTTACCCAGTTTCCAAATAGTTCCTTCTTTTTCTCTCTTTTCTGCCTCACATGGTTGCTTTTGGGGGCTCCTGAGTCCCTTGAGAAGCCCCTGGGGAGGGTAGGGGGCCTAAGTTCAAGTGACTGAGAGGCTGGAGTGGGGAAGGAAAGGGCCTGGCAGGGGTGGGCAGAGGATGGAGGAGGTAGGGGCTCGAAGGAGGGCATATCAAAGAATTCAAGGGAACTGGAGGGCAAAACCATGCCAACAAGATGCAGTGGACAGAGCTGGTAGAGCACAGAGTCAGCAGTTCAAGAAAGGGGCTTCAGGTGACAGAGAAGTTCCCACAGGAGGATCAGCATCCAAAAGAGAGAACGTGGCCTCACAGAGGCCAGGAAGCAGAAAATCCCAGCCCCGGGAGTCAGAGAATAATCCCCACTCAGAACAAGGAGCCAGGAAGAAGACTTGGCAGCACAGAAGGTGCCTTTCCGAAGAAGCCTGGGACTCAGACCCAGCTTGAGAGCATATTCCCACACCTTAAGAATCAAAATCTATCCTTAACAGCTTCAACAGACTTTTGTCCAGAGCAGCGGCTCAGTAGTTTGACTCACCACTGGATCCCCAAATCAATCGGTCAGGAGTGAAGACAAAGGCCTCAAAACCATGCATGTAGGACCCTGGGTGGGAAGCCTGGGGGTTCAGTGATGAATCTGACCCTATCCAAGTCATGGCACCGTAACTGTTAAGGAAAAAAATTATTCAATGGCCCTTGTCAAAGTACAGCAAGGAAGACTTCATTCAGGACCATCACGATAGGTATAGGGGCCACTGCAAAGGGGTGCTGTTGTCGGGAGAGATTGGGCTCAACTTTGAATACAGCACAGGCAAATGAAAATTAATAGCCAAGGAGCAGGATGGGGTAAGGGGATGGGAAATTCCTAAGAGGAGACATCAGGGTGAAGGGGATTCTGGCCAAATCCATCCGTTAGGATTCTTGCTGAGGACAGGCCAGGGTGGCCGACATCACCTCGGGGGTGGTGCAGGGTGAGGAACCTGATCAGATAATGAGGATGATCAGATAAAGAGGGTGTGGGAGGCCGGGTGCAGTGGCTCACACCTGTAATCCCAGCACTTTGTGGGGCCGAGGGGGGCGGATCACTTGAGGTCAGGAGTTCGAGACTAGCCTGGCCAACATGGCAAAACCCCATCTCTACTAAAAATAGAAAAATTAGCCTAGTATGGTGGTGCATGCCTGTAATCCCAGCTACTCAGGAGGCTGAAGCAGAAGAATATCTTGAACTTTTGAAGCCAAGAGGTAGAGGTTGCATTGAGCGCCACTGCACTTTAGCCTGGTGACAGACCAAGACTCTGTCTCAAAAAAAAAAAAAAAAAAGAAAGGAAAATAAGTGTTAGCGGTTCTTGCGGAACTGTCTCTGCAGGGTTCTTTTGCTAAAACTCTATTTTACGGGGAAGTGCACAGATGGGGCTAGGAGAATGTTTGACTAAAGTTTGGCCAAGCAAAGAATCTTTGCCACAACAGAGAAACAAGAAACTACCATCAAATTAAGAGAAAGTAGGAAAGGAGGTAAGAGAAGCGAATAAATATGGTGGCAAAAGCCAAAACCAAAACCAAAACCAAAACCAAAACAGGATAGCAGAAATAATTCAAAGTCTTCCAGCAATCATAATGAATGTAAATGCATTGGCCTTATCTTACATGACTGGGACATCAGGTAAATGTTTAAAAATGTAGCTATCGAAGGATGCCCCTGGAGGAAATTGAATTAGGCCCATTGTGCATGTGGTATTTCTCCCATCCTCCATCCTGAACCTTGAGAGAAGTCTTGCTTCCATCTACAACCTGCTTGAGCTGGGCTACAGGATGAGTCTCGGGTTGCACTGGGGCCTGAGGGTTCAGCGTTCTCCTGATGAGATGATACTGGTATCAAAGGACTCAGTGAGAGAACCAGGAAGGGGTGCATCATTGGAGGAATGTCTGGGCCACCAGCCATTGACCTGTCTGCGCCTGGAGACTCTGTTGAGTCCCTCCCAGTCTTGGAGAGGCTCGATTTTCTTTCTTTTCTTTCTTTTGTTTGAGACAGAGTTTCGCTCTTGTTGCCTAGGCTGGAGTGCAATGGTGCGATCTCAGCTCACCACAACCTCTGCCTCCCAGGTTCAAGCGATTCTCCTGCCTCAGCCTTCAGAGTAGCTGGGATTACAGGTGTGTGCCACCACGCCTGGCTAATTTTGTATTTTTAGTAGAGACGGGGTTTCTCCATGTTGGTCAGGCTGGTCTCGAACTCCCCACCTCAGGTGATCTGCCCGCCTCGGCCTCCCAACGTACTGGGATTACAGGTGTGAGCCACTGCGCCCGGCCTGGATTTTCATTTTTATTATGGAAGGTGTCATTGCTTTGTTCCTCATTTGTGACAAGGAGATTGCATAGCATTTACCATGGGGACTCAGTGGGACGAAGGATGTGAATGTGCCCCAAGTGCCTTCAAGGGCCATGCCAACAGGAGGACGTTTCATTTGATGAAGACACATCTTGGGAGCTGTCCTGGATCCCGGAGGATGAATTCTGATTTCTCCTTCCTTTGCAGAAACATCTTCCAAGAGCCTGCCATCAGCTCTGCCATCAGCCCTGCCATCAGCTCTGCCATCAGCTCTGCCAGTACTGACAAGGACTCCCTTGGAGGCACTTCCCCTTAGAGGCCCAGATCACTGGTATTTGTAATCAGCCTATATTTAGCAGATGACAATTACACTGACTGGGGAGGCACATTTGAATTCACCACTCAGTTGGCAAGAAGAGGAGAGGCCGTCACTCACCCCTCTGTGAGTGAGCTCTGGTGAATTCCTGGGAGCTAAAGCTTTCTAAACTGTCTTTTCATCATCTCTAAAAGCATCACGTTCTAATGAGGTCCCCAGACAGTGCCTCCCAACACAGGCAGAGGTGGACTTGGCCTCATTATTCCTCATATGAGACATCTCATGTGGTGGTAGGAGGTGGGAGGTGATGGTAAGAGGGGGAAGAAAGGAAACAATTCAAGTAAGACTATTTGCAGTTCAGATTATTCTGTGTTGTCAGAGGCAGGTGGAGGAAGCAAGTTGACAGGACAGTCTTAGCTAAAGCAACATGGATTGAAAAAAAGCCAGCAAGCCTAAAGAATTCTTGAAACAAACAAGCTCTGGATGGTTTCCAGAGTTCTCGACTTGCTGTATTTTGTCAGCTGCCGGCTCCAGACATGACTGGAAACGTCTGCTACAAGTAGCTGCCTAGCATGGCTTTCCTTCTTGGGAGAAGCCAGCTTCAGCTGCCCGTGGGCGTGTGCGGCCTATTTGGCGAAAGCCGTGTTCACATCTGGGGCCCAGAAGGCCACTCTCCAGGGTCTCTGTGGTGAGGGTTGGGGTCTCTGCAGTCTGCCCTTTCCTCACTGAGACCTTCCTGTAGAGAAGCCCACGGCAGGCAGGAGGAAAGTGTGTGGCCTGTCTGCTGGGCTCATGCCAAAGCCAGCAGGACCTGCCCGGCCTGGCCCTCGCCATGTCTGTGAGAGGAAATGCTCCGTAGGCCAGTGCTGGGGAAACGGGGCCCACATTTGTGGTACCAAACTTCTCTGTGTCCATGAGATAGGTGTTCTCATCTGTCAGTTCCCCAGCTGCCTAACAAAGAAGCACAAACACAGTGGCTGAAACAACAGCAATAGATTGTCTCATGATTCTAGAGGCCATGAGGCCGAGATCAAGGTGGCAGCTTGGCTGGGTCCTTCTGAGGCTGTGAGGGGGGATCTGTTCCAGACCTCTCCCCCTGCTGCTGGGGTCTGTTGGCTGTCTTTGGCATTCCTTGGTGTGTAGTTGCATCACTCCAATCTCTGCCTCTGTCTTCATGCAGCGTTCTCCCTGTGTGCCTGTATGTCTGTGTATCCAAATTTCCCCACTGTGTAAGGACCCTACGCGTGTTGGATTAGGGGTCCAGCTTATCCACTATGACCTCATCTAAACTTTAATTATGTCTGCAAGGTGCTGGGGTTACCACTTCAACATACGAATCTTGGGGTGACACAGTTCAATTCACGACACCTCTCAAAGCCATCACAGGCAGGAGACATCCCTGTAGGCCCCTTACCAGAGCAAAGGTGAGGGTTCCAGCTCCATTTCTGGGGAATAGAGGGGCCCGACTGCTCATCTCCCATGGCCACGTTGACAGCGGCCTCCTGGGCACTGAGAGCTGCTTAAGAGACAGCACAAATACACATGCCAGGTTGCAGCATCCTGCAGGAGGTGCCGTGAGCAGGTCTCGAGGACCGAGGGACAAGACATTTGCAGGGAGACACAGCAGCACCTGCAGAATTGGGACATGGCGAGAAGCAGGGAGCAGAGTGCTGAGCGTGGTGCTCGCCGAGGACACCAGGTGCTTGGCACCGAGGACTTGACCTGGGGTACATGGACCTGGAAAGCTAGACAGAGGGTTTGCAAGCTACCTGTAAACACTGAGCAGCCTCTCAAGATGTTTGGGCGGAGCTGCTGTGATGCCGGAGCATGGTGGGCAGCCAGTACCCAGGCCTGCATCCTTTCACGGGAGCGTCCACCTCCGATGCCACCTCCCCTGCCTGGGCACCCACCCCTCCTTCCAGCCAGCCTGGCTCTTTGCTGTGCTGCTTTCTTTTTAACATTCCATTGTATGGATGGACCACATTTTCTTTATCCGTTCATCTGTCAATGGATGCTTGGGTTGCCTCCACTTTTTGGCTGTTGTGAATAATGCTGTTACGAACACGGGTGTAGCCACTTCCTTTTAAAAATTGCAAAAAATTGCTTTCTTTTTCACTTTTTTAAAAGAATTAGGCATAACCATACTTCATATCATGAAAATGAGTCTGTAAAAAATCCACAAAGAAACTGTTCTTGGATTCTGGTCAAATAATGAAAACACTTGTAGACTAAAGTATATAAAAATACATTTTAATTAGCACGTTTTTCCCCTCATTTTCAAGTGACTTTTGTAGTCATCCTTTTCATAGGTAATGTTTCATCTCTTATATTTTTTTCTGTCAGTGTTAGTCTGGTAGGTATTTAACTTTTGAAATGAAAACAAGCAGAATGTTCACCAAAATATTTTTGTGAGTGGGGAGGTTCCCCAGCAGCACATGGGAGAACGCATTGCAGTGGAATACTCTACAGCCAAAGTTGATGGGGAAAGAGGACGCACAAGCAGAAAGGATCTCGGGTGATGAGCTTACCTGCCATTGTAAGCCGTCCCAGGGCCGATCCACTCTTGCTTCTGAAAAGACTCTCTCTATGTATGAGTCCTGCCCCTTTTATTATTCTGTTAAAATTTACATAACAGGAAATCTACCATCTTAACAGTTTTCAAGTATACGGTTCAGTGGTGTTAAATACATTCACTTTGTCATAAAACCACCACCACCCTCATTGCCAGAACTCTTTTCATCTCGTGAAACTGAAATTCTGTACCCATTAAACGCCACATTCCCCCTTCCCCCAGGCCCTGGCACTCCTCTGTTCCACCTTCTGTCTCCATGAATTTGACTTCTGTAGGGACCACATGTAAGTGGAACCTCACAGTGTTTGTACTATTGTGACCGGCTTATTTCACTGAGCATCGTGTCCTCTAGGTTCATCCAGGCTGTAGCATGTGTCAGAACTTCCTTCCTTTTCAGGGCTGAAAAATATTCCATTGTATGGATGGACCACATTTTCTTTATCCATTTATCTGTCAGTGGATGCTTGGGTTGCTTCCACCTTCTGGCTATTGTGAATAATGCTGTTATGAACATGGGTGTAGCCACTTCCTTTTAAAAATTGCAATCAGTTGCATTCATTTAGTACCAGGCCCAGGCTCCCCTCTAGGGAGACAGGCAGAACCACCCAGCTAAGTTGTCCTGTGATTCCTGACTCTCAGAAACTGGGAGAGATGATAAATGGCTTGTTTTAAGCTGCTAAGTCTTTGGATAATTTTGTTATGCAGCAACAGATTAACATAGAGTGTGGAAGCAGAAATTAGGAGACCTAGATAAAGACCCAGAACTTCTCTGGCCAGGGCAATCAGGCAAGAGAAAGAAATAAAGGGTATTCAAATAGGAAGAGAGAAAGTCAAACTGTCTCTGCACATGACATGATCCTGTATCTAGAAAACCCCATCGTCTCAGTCCAAAAGCTGATAAACAACTTCAGCAAAGTCTCAGGATACAAAATCAATGTGCAAAAATCACAAGCATTCCTATACTCCAACAATAGACAAGCAGAGAGCCAAATCATGAATTCCCATTCAGAATTGCTGCAAGTACAATAAAATACCTAGGAATACAGCTAACAAGGGAAGTGAAGGACCTCTTGAAGGAGAACTACACACCACTGCTCAAGGAAGTCAGAGAGAACACAAACAAATAGAAAAACATTTCATGCTCATGGATAGGAAGAGTCAATATCGTGAAAATGGCCATACTGCCCAAAAGGTCTAATATCCAGAATCCACAAGGAACTTAAACAAATTTATAAGAAAAAAACAACCCCATTAAAAAGTGGGCAAAAGACATGAACAGACACTTCTCAAAAGAAGACATTTATGCAGCAGCCAACAAACATATGAAAAAAAAGCTCAATATCACTGATGATTACAGAAATGTAAATCAAAACCACGATGAGATACCATCTCATGCCAATCAAAATGCCAATCAAAATGGCGATTATCAAAAAGTCAAGATACAACAGATACTGGAGAGGCTGTGGGGAAATAACACTTTTACACTGTTGGTGGGAGTGTAAATTAGTTCAACCATTGCGGAAGACAGTGTGGTGATTCCTCAAAGATCTAGAACCAGAAATACCATTTGACTCAGCAATTTCATTACTGGGTATATACCCAAGGGAATATAAATCATTCTGTTACAAAGATTCATGCATGCGCATGTTTATTGCAGCACTATTCACAATAGCAAAGACATGGAATCAACCCAAATGCCTATCAATGATAGACTGGATAAAGAATATGTGATACATATACACCATGGAATACTATGCAGTCCTAAATAGGAATGAGATCATGTTCTTTGCAGGGACCTGGATGGAGCTAGAAGCCATTATCCCCAGGAAACTAACACAGGAACAAAAAACCAAACACTGTATATTCTCACTTATAAGTGGGAGCTGAACAATGAGAACACATGGATACAGGGAGGGGAACAACACATAATGGGGCCTGTGGTAGGGGGAGTGGGGAAAGGGAGAGCACCAGGATAGATAGCTAATGTATGTGGGGCTTAATACTTAGGTGATGGGTTGATAGGTGCAGCAAACAACCATAGCACACGTTTACCTATGTAACAAACCTGCACGTCCTGCATGTGTATCCTGGAAATTAAATTTAAAGAAACAGAATGTCCATTGACTGCTGAGTGATCTTCAGTAGCGACCTAACCTCTCTGACTACCAGCTTCCTTGCCTGTAGACATGATAATGGGGTGATACTTTGCCTCCAAGGAGTGAAGTGAGACAAGGAATTTGAAAACCCTTTGGCAACATCGGGCTGTGGTTTGGATGTTCTTTTCTCTGGAAGCTCCCATGGTCCTGCACCTTTCCCTCTCTGCAGATGGCAGGGCTTGTCTTTCTCAATGGCCACTGCAAGAAGTGGCCAAGATTTGTGGGTTTATCCCAGTCAGTCCTGCAGCTGGGGTGTGAGGCACAGACCCCAAGTCAAAATGAAAGGAGCTCTTAGACCAGGCCTAACCAGGCTCTACTCTCTGAGTAAGGTTAATAGTACATGTGGTTAGTGGGAGACTAACAAGGTGCAGGTAATGAAGAGTTAACAGAAGTGGAGTGGAAAGAAGTCTTCCAAGTGGGACACACACACTTCCTGAAGACAAGTCAGCTGAAGGAAGGATGACCTGCAGCCTTGCTGGGACCCATGCCCTGCTCAGAATGAGCCTCTTGGCATCTCCTGCTCAAACAAATCCTCATCCCCAAATTAAACCTGTCCTGCCATTGCAGGACATTGCTTGAGAGTTTTAAACACTGCAGGGGCCAGCGCCAGCCTCTCGTTCATTTTGTATGAAAGCCCCTGACGTGGGAACTACTGAAGACCTTCACCTTCCATCCCAACAGCCCGCGATATTACCATGCTGTCAGGCGGGGTGTGTGTGTGTGTGCGCGTGCGCGTGTATGTGTGTCTATCTGTCTTCATATCAAATCTTGGGATTGGAAATTAAACACAAATGAGTCAATGGTTGGTGTTTTGGTAGGCTGCTGAGCGACGGGCAATCCTGCTTTCTCCTTCTCTTGAATTTGGAAGCAAATAAGGACTAAGGCTCAGAAGACACACAGCTGGGGAGTAAAATGCTGGCTTTATTGCTGACCAAGCTGCCTGGCTTTTAGGTCCAAATAAGCCTGCAGACAGTTGCCCTAAACTGGAGCAATGAGTACGCCCAGCTCCGGGCACAAGACTGATGGGTAACCGCAGCCCTCTCCCTTGGGCACCACTGCCCTGCATGTGTCCCGTGTCTATGGTGGTTGTCCAGTGCCAGTAGAGCTTCACTCAGCTGCTCTAGGAGTCCCCTACTGGCTAAGCCATGGTGTGAGGGCAGGGGTGAGCTGAGAGTGCTGCTCCTGCTCCAGCCCTGGCCCAAACTGGGGAGCAGAGGGACCCCCTCCCTGCCCCTCGTGGCTAGGAAGGCCAGCTGTTCGATGAAACCCATTCTCTCCTGTCTCCCCAGGGACAGAGGACCTAGGCTCATGGCCACCCAACTGGACTGCATTTCCCAAGGTCCTTTGCAGTGAGGGGATCATGTGACTGAATTCCAGCCACAGGGTGCAGCAGGAGGGCCAAGTGAGCTCATCCTGGGGTCTGGGCTACAGCCAGGCCCCTGCCAGACTCCCCTCCTCACGGGAGGCCACCCATGACTGTGAGGGTGGCAGAGGGACCAGTTGGGAGATCCCCCGCCCCCCCCCCCAGCCAGTCCCCAAAATCAGAGATAGAGCAGCCCACAGAGCAGCCGAACTCCTGGTTCTCTAAGAGATGGTGGCTGTCTTTGTGCATGGGATTAGCTTTAGCATGACTAAGGGTTTCTTCACACCTTTTTTTTTTTTTTTTTTTTTTTTTGAGATGGAGTCTCGCTCTGTTGCCCAGGCTGGAGTGCAGTGGCATGATCTCGGTTCACTGCAAGCTCCACCTCCCGGGTTCACGCCATTCTCCTGCCTCAGCCTCCCAAGTAGCTGGGACTACAGGCGCCCACCACCACGCCCTGCTAATTTTTTGTATTTTCAGCAGAGATGGGGTTTCACCGTGTTAGCTAGGATGGTCTCGATATCCTGACCTCGTGATCCGCCCGTCTCGGACTCCCAAAGTGCTGGGATTACAGGCGTGAGCCACCACGCCTGGCCTCTTCACACTTTTATTACTATTTCCTATCTTAAAAAAAAAGTTGGCCGGGCGCGGTGGCTCACGCCTGTAATCCCAGCACTTTGGGAGGCCGAGGCGGGTGGATCATGAGGTCAGGAGATCGAGACCATCCTGGCTAACAATGTGAAACCCCGTCTCTACTAAAAATACAAAAAATTAGCCGGGCGCGGTGGCGGGCGCCTGTAGTCCCAGCTACTCGGGAGGCTGAGGCAGGAGAATGGCGTGAACCCGGGAAGCGGAGCTTGCAGTGAGCCGAGATTGCGCCACTGCAGTCCGCAGTCCAGCCTAGGCGACAGAGCGAGACTCCGTCTCAAAAAAAAAAAAAAAAAAAAAAAAAAAGTTGTCTATGCACATTGTAAAAAGTTTAATCAGTGTAGGAACTGATGAAGGCAGAAAAAAGCAAAATTTGCTATTTACCCTGCTGTTCAAAAGCCACTGTTGGCTAGTGACTATTCCTCCTATTCACTCTTCCATGCAGAAACACACAGTTTAAAAAATGGAATCATCCTTTATATACTGTTAACTAACCTAGCATTTTTTGGACTCTCTTTGGAAATAGCTTTATTGTTTCCTGATTCTCAAAGTATTACATGCTTATCATAAAAATCACATAAAATATCAAAAAGTCTAATGAAGAAGACAACACTCAACCATAAATCTGTGACCTCTAAGGACTGGGATTTGGCTGGGATCTGTCCTGCTAGATTTTTTTTTTAAGGCATACATTACTATTTAGGTAACATGGGTAGATAGATGTTGGAGCCAGGATTTCTTAACAAAAATTTAAAATGAGTATGGTGGCACAACATATCGTTTTATAAGGAGATTTGAAAACCCTTTATGGTGTATTATAGACTTCACTCACATGATTTTAATTTGTAGTGCATGCGTAGTATTGTCTTGCCTGGGGGATTCATAAAAATATGTTTAACAAATTCTGTATGTAGATTATTTTTATCTCATTACTGTGAGAAATGCTTTCGTAAGCATTCTTGTGCATAGATTTTTGTACACTATGGTATACTATGTGCTTATTAGGATAAATCCCTAGAGAAGGTACTAGTAAGTCAAAGACGGGGCCATTTTCTGTGATGCTGGTGCCTGTTGCTCTATGAAAGCTTGTGCCAACATACAAGTCTCCAAATTGTGAATGCCAGCACCTGTACCTCACACTCACACAAATATTGGAGATTACAATTATTTAAAATATTGGCCAACCCAATGGACACATATCTTGCTTTGTTTTACCCTATAATTATTTTACTTTTGGTGAAACTGAACGTATTTTTATATATTCAAATTTGTGGCCCGGTTCTTCTTTTTCTATTGAGGCTTCTTTTGTTATAAATGATTTGTAAAAGCTTCTCAAATATTAAAAAAACCAGCTCTTTGTCTACCAGTTTATTTGCCTTTTAGGTTTGTCAGTGGTCTCTATTTTTCTTATATAGTTTTTATTACTGGTGTGTTACTTTATAGATTTGCTAGTAGAGAAAAGAACAGAAAAGCTTTTCTCATCCAGTGGTTATAAAAATATGATTGCTTCACAGATTATAAAAGTAAATATTATCTTACTGATTAAGCTTTTAAAAATGTTTTAAATCTTCTATTCATCTGGGATTGATTTTGGTGTAAGTGTAAATGATAAATCTGTCTTAATATTTTCCCAAATGGCTAATTACACTAATTACTATATTGATGGAAAATAATCCTTTTTGTCCTTTGATTTGAAATATCACCCTATTTTCTCCTTCTTTCTCTCTTTCATCCTCTTTTTCTTTTCTATCCTGATGTTAATACCATATTCTTTTAATTATTTTAGCTTTGTAATAGGCTTTAAAATCCAGAGTGAATGTTATTTTGTGATTCATGAATTGATGGAAATAATAATTTCATGTCCGCTTGGGCCCTGCCTTTCTCCCTAAAGTGTGTGGTTTGTAGAAATGAAAATCTATTTTTAAATTTAATGTTGTGCATGCTCCCCTCTGCTTCTCTATCTTCCTCTGCACAGCAGTGGAGGCCTCTATCCCCTGCCTTGTCTGGGGGACTCACACCTAAGTGTGGTTTTTTGTTTGTTTGTTTGTTTGTTTGTTTGTTTGTTTTTAGACAGAGTCTCACTCTGTCACCCAGGCTGGTGTGCAGTGGCATGATCTCGGCTCACTGTAACCTCTGCCTTCTGGGTTCAAGGTTTTCTCCTGCCTCAGCCTCCCAAGTAGCTGAGGTTACAGGCACCAACCACCATGCCCAGCTAATTTTTGTATTTGTTTTTAGTACAGACAGGGTTTCACCATGTTGGCCAGGCTGTTCTTGAACTCCTGGCCTCAAGCAATCCACCCACCTTGACCTCCCAAAGTGCTGGGATTAGAGGCGTGAGACACCGCGCCCGGCCCTGAGCCTGGATTCTCTTTTCCACCTCCTCAGAAAGCCCTCCCTGGCCCCCCAAGCCACGTGAGACCTCTTTGCTTCTCCCAGAGCACCCAGTGCTGTTCCTTCCCATCACTTATGCAATTAATGATTAAATATGTATATGCATGATGGATTCTTAAGGTACTTCCCCTGTCCTCCAATTAGACTTGAGGCCCCATGAGGCAGAAACCATATTGACCAGTTTACCTGACATCTACACAGGTGATCATCAAGGCATGTTACGGAATGAATAAGTGCATGTTGAGGTCCGACATCCTCTGAGCAGTGCTAAGGGCTGCCATTGGCTGTGACCCTCTCGACACCATTCCTCAACGCTCCGTCTTCCTCTAAACCGAGCTGCCCAAGCCAGCCTTTTGCTTACGTTCTTCCCTCTGCAGGGAATCCTTTCCAGCCCCTCCTCCCTGTGGACACTTGCTCATCTTCTCAAGTCAAGACCAACTGTAGCCTCCTTAGCGGAGTCTCCAGGGGGCTGCCGGTGGAGCTGAGCTGATCCCCACTACTACAGTTGGAATATTTGTGTCCCCCTAAAGTTCATGTTGAGATTCTCACCCCAAGGTGATGGTGTTAGGAGGGGGCTTTTGGGAGGTGATGACGGTAGGAGGGTGGAGCCCTCAGGAATGGGATTCATACCCTTATAATAGAGACTCAAGGGAGCTAGCTCACCCTGTCCACCATGTGAGGACACAGAGAAGGTGCTGTCTGTGAACCAGGAAACCCTCACCAGACACCAGATCTGCTAGACCTTGATCTTGAACTTCCAGCTTCCAGAACTGTGAGAAATGGATTTCTGTGGTTTATAAGCTGCCCATTTTATGGAATTTTGTTATAGCAGCCCAAGTGGACTAAGACAGCCACCATGTTCTCACAAAGCTTGACTTGCCCCAATCAACTGCGAAGGCCTCTGGGCAGACCCACTCCGCTCTTGGGACTCCTCTGGGGTGAACATGAAAAGGCATAAAATAAACTTCTCTCCAACAAAATAAAGTGGAAAATCTATCCAATCAATTCAGATACCAAGGGGCCTTTCTAATTCAGAGTCAGCCATCATTGCATCCTCTATTTGTGTCTTTTCCTTCTGGTTGAGCCTCCAAAATATATTGCACCTTAAAAAAATTGAATTTGCTCTTATTTGGGATCAATATACGATCTAGTTCTGTTGTTGCAAATAGATACCCCAAATCAAATAACTTGATTGGATTTACTTTTCTACTCTCGATTTGTCTTCAATTTGCTGTCATCAGGTTGGATGTGTTTATGGTTGGGTGTGCTTTTCCGAATAGAGATTGAAAGCCAGTCATTATGGTCTTCCACTTGTGGAATTCCCCATCCACTGGGCATCATCCTTTTTTCCTGTTTTCTCTCCAAACAATTTCAGTGCCCAGACTTGATGTCTTCATTTCACAGTTGGAAAAACTCTGCTTAACGCTCAAAGGTGAGTTAGTGCTGCCACAAAATGGGACGTGAAGTGAAGGGCAGGCATCTCCTCTCCAGGCATCACATGTCTTCCTGGTGGCCAGGTGCCTATGGGCTGGAACATAACGGTCTCTGATTGGACAGCAGCAGGCTGGGAAGGGTTGAGAGAAGGGAGATGGGGAGCATGGAGCATGCTCCACCATTCTGCCCAGCCCTGCATTGGTCACCTCCCTCTGCATGCCCCCAACCTGGAAGCCTCATGAAGGGCAGACTAGGGGATGTGAAGACTACTTCTGCTTGCAGGGGGACCTGGGGAAGGTGTGGGTTTTGTGCTGGGGAGGAGAAGAGGAAGGGCATGCAGTTATCCTCCTGGTGGGCATGGGGACTGTGGGCAGAGTGCCCCACCATTTTGGTCTTGGGTCTGTAGCTTATTAGTGCATGGCCCTGGACAAGGAATCAAGCACCCCACTGTCATCATCTGGAGACTGAGATGATCAGGTTACTGGGAGGATGAAAAAGATAACTCAGGATAGGTGCCTTGTATACGGTCAGTGCCCACTAAGTGTTCCTTAGGCAAAGACACTCTACTATCCTGCCTGACCTCCATTCTTTCCTTCTTCCTTAGTAAGAGATGTCTGATCTTAGTCATGGAGGAAATGAGACTGAGTTAAAAATATTACATTTTTAAGCATTTCTTGTAGATAGGGTGACCAGTTATATATTTTTAAAAGTGCACTGGTAGAAAGCTTGTTTTACTCTTTCTCCTTCTCAGTCTTACTGCCTAGGATGCACTCACGATGGCTGGAGCTCCAGCAGCCATTTCGTGTCTTTCACGATGAAGCCAGCCCTAAGGATGCTAGAACAGGAAGACAGAAGGTTAGGTCTCCAGTGACCCTGAGATGTCCCAGTACCAGCCCCAAACCACTGGACAACTGACCCATTTTCTGCTTAATATGATTAAGCTGATGCAGTCAGGTCTCTGCTAGCAGCAATTAAGCACTTTTGATAATCTCTGGCTATGCAGCAATTCTCTTATTCATTCATCCCATAGACATCTATTAAGTGCTTATTCCATGTGAGGCATTATATTAGGCTTTCCTGGTGAAAGATATAAACGCGATTCTGCTTCTCACAGAGCTTTGAGCCAGTGAGGAAGATAAGCTGTATGCGATTCTTATAAACAAGATGAAAATTGCAGGTGCAATGTGTAAGCAGCTAACGGGAGGTATGAAAAGGGGGACCTGACCATCCCTTGACGGGTTCAGGGAAACACTGACCATCCCAGAGATTGCCATGGGATCTGGTTTTCTCCTTTAGAGCAACATGACTTGTTTTATGGTGTTAGAAGCTGCTCTGGTACCCAGAAGGCACAGAGCACTGGACAGGTGAGGGCCAGGGGCCCACATGTCACCTTTGCCTGCCCCTGGAAGTGTGGGACTTGCGACTGTCATTTTCCAAGCCTAGGTTCTTTGTCTGTCAAAAGTAACGGATTCTGTTGGAGGGTCCCTTTTGCTTTTACATTTTGATTCCAGAAGTCAAGTGCATGATGGTGAAGGGATTTGAAACTGATTTTAGTGGAGACTGACATGGAACCGAGGGCATCAAGTGTGGAGAAGGGAAGGCCTGATGTAGCAGGACCTCTGGAGGATGGACAGAGCTTGTGGGTTTTGGATGGAGAAGGCAGAGCCGGGACCTGGAGGACTCTGGCTCCTGGGTGGCCCAAGACTGCCTTATCTGGTTGCCACTCCACACTGCTGTGCTCCTTCCTTTTTTTAAATTAGCCATTTTTAATGGCAGCGATGACTCCATATGGAACAATGCACTGTGTCAGGAAAAACAAACTGGCCACCACCTCTGCCCCTGCAGCTCCTACCCCCTTTCCCAGAGTTTCCTAAGGAAATGTCCAGGATTTCTCTCTCAAGACCTGTGCCAATGTGTCTGTCTTGATTTCTGAAGAATCCACCCCTTCTTTATACTGTCATTGCCAACTGCTATTAAGAGCCTTGGCTGGGCGCGGTGGCTCAGGCGTGTAATCCTAGCATTTTGGGAGGCTGAGGAGGGCGGGTCACTGGAGGCCAGGAGTTCGAGACCAGCGTGGCCAAGATGGCAAAACCCCGTCTCTACTAAAAATACAAAAATTCACTGGGTGTGATGGCGCGCGCCTGTAATCCCAGCTACTCGGGAGGCTGAGGCAGGAGAATCGCTTGAATCCGGGAGGCAGAGGTTGCAGTGAGCTGAGATTGTGCCACTGCACTCCAGCCTGAAAGACAGAGCAAGACTCCGTCTCAAAAAAAAAAAAAAAAAAAAGCCTTGGCACCTTCTTGACCTTGGGATCTCCTGCATCCACTCCAAGGATGAGCATTGCGTGCCTCAGCTCCCTGTCCGACACGTGCCCCCATCCTTGTCTCCCTACCTCCCTCCTTCACCCGGCTGCCCTGGCCCTATCGCCACCCTGTAAACTGCTCCTGGAGGCCCCCGGTGCTCCCATGTTGTCCTGGTGCCCAGGCCCCTCCTGAGCACCCCTGTTGGTGAGTTTAAGGCCCCTCAGCAAAACATATTTGACATGAAACCTGTCATCTTCTCCCTGAGCTGTTTTCCACTTGGGGGCTTGTCCTCCCACATGTAGTCCTGTGCCCAGCCCTTTGCTTCCTCCTCGTCACTCAATGCTTCCTGACACTCGGCTTCTGTCCATCTGGCCTGTTGCTGTCTTGCCTCAGGCCCAGCCAAGGCACCATCCTGTCCTGGCAACAGCCCCTCACTTACCCAGCTGGGGTCTGATGTGGGCCCCTCCTCCTGCTCTGCACCTAGAAGTCAGGTACATTTTCACAAGGAACCCCCATTGGGTTACCCTCCAGGTTTAAACACCTCGGCGGCTCTCAGAGAACAAACCCACATCTTGGACCTGTGGCAGGTGAGGCTCAGGCCTGGGACTGACCCTCCCCAAGACTCCCGGACCCCATTGGCTCTCTGAGCCCCAGCCTGGGCAACATCCGGCCACCAGTGAGTAGGTATGGAAGAAGGGATGGAGGGAGAGGAGACTTTGATAGAAGCATTGCTTAAAAATAGAAAGTAGCCCAAATATGCTCCTTTATATTCATGAGATGTTTGACAATGTAGAGTGCCTGAGCTATTTTTAATCGAAAGTTCCCACAGTTGAGGGGTGCTGGAGAGTGGAAGCCCTTGCAGGCGCCGCTCCTATGCCCTCCAGACCCTCTGCCCACACAGCAACCAAAGTGACCACTTAACAAAGTCAACCAGACCTGGCCTGGCTGCCTAAAGCCTCCCGGGCTCTCCACCCTGCACTGCGGCCCCAGCAGACGCTGCTGTGACTCCGCTCTGAGCTCACTCTGGCCTGTCCGCCCTGGCTTCCTGGCATGGGGTCTCAGGGCCACCTGTTTATGGCCACACTGGGCAAGTGGCAAATGTGCCAGGTCATGGCCCCTGCCATCTGTCTCTCCCGGAGCACGCCCTTGTGTGGCTGGCCCGCTCTTCATCCTGCAGCCTCAGCACCCCCTCGAGGGGTCTTCCCTGACCACCTGCCCAGTGTTGCCTCGTTATCCCCACTGGGGTGCCCATTTTATTACCTGCACCTGAACCTGCCCTGCTTATGCTCTGACATTCGCATCCCGTGTTCTTCGTGTGAGCTCCACAGAAGCAGGGTTTTGTCTGCAGGGGGTGCCTGGCACACGGTCGGCCTTTAATAAATGGTGTTGGGTGGTTGGACAGCTGCAGGATGCCTCTTTACACAGCCACAAGGAAGCATAGTTTTAGAGCCACTGTTGGCAGAAAGGGACAGGGGTTCCTGAACGTTAGGCAGATACAAAAATGTGTACGTGACAGATGATAGCGTCCGCCTGTAATCCCAGCTACTGGAGAGGCATTCTGTGTTCACTTATCTATCTGTACTGAGTCAACATCCCTGAACAGAAAAAAAGCACCAACATACTAGAAAATTAGGGAGATGAGCTATGTGATTACCGGTGATTTTTATTTTCTTCGCCATTGTTTGTATTCCTCTAACCTTCCACAAAGAGCATATATAGGTTTCTTAAAAACCTCTTATATTTAAATAATTATAGAGTCACAGAATTTGCAAACATAATGCAATGAGATCCTTTGTGAACTTCCTGTGTTTCCCCAGTGGGTCTGTCATGCCATGGAGTGAAGGCACGTGGTCAAAACCGGGAAACGGACCCTGGTATGATCCATGGGCCTAATCTCTGGTGGTTGTTGAAATCAGCAACCACAGTGAATGTGATTTTCAAACAATAAGAAAAAAAATCCTCATTTCCCTCACTGCCTACAGAACATGTGTGAAGGCCAAGCCTGATTGAAGGCCCTGAGCTCCTGGGGGCCTGAGCTCCTGGGGGCCCTGAGCTCCTGGAGGCCCTGAGCTCCTGAAGGCCCTGAGCTCCTGGGGGCCCTGAGCTCCTGGGGGCCTGCTGGGCTTGCAGTGGGGAAACGGTGGACAGGACAGCAGGATCCCATCCGTGCTGTGGGGAGCTGGACTTGCTTCTGTGACCCTCAGCTTCCTCATCTGTAGCGTGGGCACCATGGTGGTGCCCTCGTGGGCTGTGGGAGACTTTGCTCTGCCTTCCGAGGCTCCTGTGGGCAGAGCAGCGCTTCCACCCTGTGCTGGCCCAGGGCCCTCTTCTCTCGGGCTCCTCCCTGTACTGAGAGCTCTTCCAATGCCCAGCTGAGCTGAGGTTCTTGGAGGTGACTGTCGAATTCATGGACAACAGAATAAGAGGGTGCCCATGGATGTGGGCACTCGGGTCTTACTGTGCTGGCCTTGGGCCGTCCTTGAGCTCCACCCATCCCCATCCCCTGTCATGGGCAGTGGGAAAAGGCAGGGAAAAGTTTTGCTAAAGGCAATGATGTGTTTGAGGGTGGCAGAGGAACTGTCGGGGGTGAAAAGCACTCATTGCTTCATGAAGGGTCCATCTCCTTGTTAAGGGAACATTACTTACCTCTCTGCATTTTTGGAGGTATGACGTCATATACCTGCCTAACATCACAGCTGGGCCATATGCATAGATCATTGATCTTTAAATGCCCAAGGGCCAGACTTTCCTGGGTTGGCAGCAACAGCAGGAAGGTGGGGCCCACCGTGGAGTTGGAGCCACCCAGAGTCCCCACGCAGGACAGACTCTAGACTGCACATCACAATGACGTGTGAGTGCCAACGGTCAGCGCCAGCCATCGTTCTGGGGGCATTTCTGTCCCTCTTTTTTTTATATATATATTTTTATTATTATACTTTAAGTTTTAGGGTACATGTGCACAACGTGCAGGTTAGTTACATATGTATACATGTGCCATGTTGGTGTGCTGCACCCTTCTGTCCCTCTTTACGCTTCTGCTGCTCCTACAGAGGCAGGCACTTGGCCCCTCCCTCACCTGGGGAGCTTCTGCTCGGTTCCCCGGCTCACTGGCCCCTGGGGGAGGAGGGACTATTCTCGGCATGACCCGCAGGCATCTGAAATCGGGCTGGGCTGGGTTCTGGTCACCTTGCAGTCCGAGCTCCCAGGCCAGCCTGCATGCTTGGGCTTCCTCATTTCTTGGGGCTGGATGCATCGAGTACCTGGCTGCCCGGCTCCTTCTCTTTCCTTCCTCTCTCCACATGGGAGAGATGTGCCCCATGGCCAGCATCTCCCCGTTTGTCTTTTCTCCTCTGTGCCAAGTTCTCTACCTAAAACTAAGTGGGAAAGACAGGTTGGGTCTGATCGCTGGGCTTGGCTCCTTTTCATCAAGTAGGGGAGAGGTTAGGCTCTTTGGGAGTCAAAGCCTCGAGCCTGGGATGGAATCACAGTTTCTAAAAAAGCCTTGGGCAGTGGGTGGGCAGCTTGGCTTCTGCCCCATGCTAACAAACCTGTCCCTTTTAGCTGTTGTTTAAAGGTTCTTCTGTGTGTGGCCAGCTCCTGTGCAGTGGGCAGGGAACTCCAGAGAGGAGGAGCTGCACAGGGCCCTGCCAGTGATGTGGGGGCTGGGGGGGGTCTCATGAGGGAGCCCAGCTGCCGGTCTTGACCTTGTAGGCTGGGCAGCGTCCTGCCCCGCTGCGTGTCTGGCCTTGTCTTCCTTTGCTGGATGCAGATCCGCCCCCCGCATCCTTCTCGGTTTGCACTCAGTTCTCAGAGGCCCCTGGGCTGTCTCTGACACTGTCTCCTCCTCCGCGGGGGCAGTGCCACACCTCTGGGGTACAGTGTCACACTTCTGGGGGACAGTGCCACACCTCTGGGGGACAGTGTCACTTATACCTCTGGGGGGACAGCGTGACACCTCCAGGGGACAATGTCACACCTCCGGGGGACAGTGCTTCTTATGTCCCCACTCCTTTCCTGCACTATGTCTGCTGAGACAAGCCCCAGAATGGGCTGTGTCCTCGGAGTCCTCCGAGTGGAGATTGTTTTCTAACTCCCGGGGCTGGGGGTTCCTGCCTCCTGGCCTCGGTAAGTCCGCTCTGTTGTTTCTTTTGGCTCCTGCTCTTCCCATGGGAACTTCTCTGCCATCTGAAACCCCTTTCTTGAACTCCTGCTGAGACCCTTCCTCATCACAGCACTGTCCTCCGCCTGGAATCTCACCTGTGCTATCGGTCAGGCAAGCCACCAGCGGCATGAGGGCAGGGAAGGGCCAGTTGTACTTGCCACTGTTCCCCCAGGGTTCGCACCGTGCCCAGCATACAGTGAATTCTTATGGACTCACACCGAGCGGGGTGCTTGGGCACCTTCCTTTTAAGACTGTGACCTTCTCCAGGGAATGGGCTGTGATTCTCTCACACTGTACCTGGCATGTAAACAGTGTCTATGCTTTTATTTTGGTTGAATCAATGCATGAAAGAATGACACAGATCATCCCAGTTCCCTTTTATATCCTGCCAGGACTGCCCCGCTGGGATTTCCCATTCATTCCTTTATTCATCCATGAATGTCTAGGAAGCTTCTGATATATATCAGGCAGGGAACTGGGAGCGTGCACAGTGAGCAGGGCTGCCTGATGGCCGGGTGGCTTCAGTTATGCAGGCTGTGGCTTTTGGAGAAGTTTCACCAGCGTCCTTCTTGGCTCGCTGTGGCTAATAAAATGCACATAACAATCTCGGAAGAGCCCGACGTCTCCCCCCATGTGCTCCGTTTTAATCGAGTCAGTCTTCCAGTGCGTGCTTTAATACTGTTAGAAGCAAATCAAAATTAATGAGATTACCTCCTTTGAAATGTTATATATAATTAACCTCAAATTAAGGACAATATGCATTTGAATTTGCCAATCAGTAACACCTTGTGATTGCCGAAATACACAGTGGCAAATAAGAGATATTGACACTAACCTGCCCGTTGAAGTTGCATGTAAGTATCTCAAGGGAAATGGCTTTGAAGGTCCCCTGGTTGAGCCCCCAGCCAAGGGCAGGAAGAGAGTAGAGAAGTGTCCAGGCAAGGACGTGCCCCAGAGCCCCTTCATGGGGCACCCAGTTCTGAGTTTGGTCCAGGACTGCCAAGCACCTCCTCCATTCCCAGAACATCCCCACTTCCCAGCTGCAGAGGCCAGAAGCTCAGCTGGGCATTGACAGCCATGTGGGCTGGCACCTTCCCATGCATCCCCTGAGGCTCCTTCAACTCAGACCAAAGGCCATGTAGCCTGAGTGGCTTGTGAAACCCCTGGTGTTTATGCTTCTCATTGGAAGCGGGTAGAACAACTTTCTAAAACCACATTGACAGGTTGTAAGTTCGCATCAGCTTCCTGCCTGGCAAAGCCATGGAACTCTGGAACAGTGGTCAGCCGGCAGCATGGATGGGGATAAAGGGTGATCATGATGACAAAGCCTCCCCGGGTTTCATTAGCGAGGGAGGTTTTATAATCTCTCCAAAGTCACATTACTCAATTCTTACAGGAGCCTTCTAAGGCTTGTAAGATTATTTAGTCTTTATTTTATAATTGAGGAAACTGAGGCCCAGAGAGTTGAGGTGCTTTTCCCAGGGCTACGTCATTATGAAGGAGCAGCGCCCAGATGCTCCACTAAGGGAAATGACCCAAGGGCCTCCTGACCCCCACCCCCCTGGAGAAGACCCAAATGCGGCTTTCTCCAAACAGATTCGGCTCTGCGGGATGCACCGCCCTGGCCCACAAGCATCTCCGCCTATTGTTTTGCTCTTCCGTGCAATTGCTTGAATGCCTCGCCGGCTTGTTTCAGCTTATTTGACTGAAAACCATCCACTGCACAAAAGCTGGGAGTTCCCAGAGAAGCCTCCATCTCTGTCACCCTCACTGCCCTCACTGTGACCTGGAGAGGGCACAGGTCGTGCCTCCTCCGCATCCCTCACCCATGAGCCCACTTCTGCCCTTGTGTTTTCTCACCTGGGCAGTGTGCCAGCCCAGTAACAATGCATCCTGGCAATGACAGACTGTATGCGTGTCACGGAGCCTCAGTGCAGTGGGTTGAATAGTGTCCCCCAAATTCGGGTCCACCCAAAACCTGGAATGTGATGTTAGAGGGACACAAGGTGCTTGTAGATGTAATTGAGGTCAGGGTCTAGATGCGGTCATCCTGGAGTACAATGAGCTCTCAAACCAAAGAGAGTGTTCTTATTTTCTTATTTCCTTTTTTTTTGAGATAAGGTCTTGCTCTGTCACCCAAGCTGGAGTGCAGTGGTGCAATTATGGCTCACTGCAGCCTTGAACTCCTGGACTCAAGCGGTCCTCCCACTTCAGCCTGGCCTCAAACTCCTGGGTTCAAGTAATCCTCCCTTTTGCCTTGGCCTCCCAAAGTGCTCGGATTATAGGCATGAGCCACCATGCCCAGCCTAGAGTGTTCTTACGAAAGCCAGACGTCATAGGATGATGGAGGCAGAGATTAGAGTGAGGCTGCCATAAGCCAAGGCACACTCGGAACCTCTAGAAGCGAAAGGGCAAGGAATGGGTCCTCCCTGGAGGCTCCAGATGGTGAAGCCTCTGCAGGCACCGTGGCTTCAGCCTTCTGGCCTCTAGAACAGTGAGATAATGCGTCTCTGTTGTTTTACACCACCCAGTTGGTGGTCATTGGTATGGCAGCCCCAGGAAACTGATCCACTTGGTATGTTGTTTGCAAGTGCCATTGCATGGAGTTTGTAAGATGCCTGCCAGGCAGCCATCCATTCCATCTCAAGAGAACCGTGGCAGTAGACCAGCAACCCCAATCAGCACAGAAGTGTTCCCTGGTCTCCCCTAGCAGAGTCGGCTGTGTGGGCTCCCACCCCATGCTCACCTCCTGCTCTGGCTCCTACTATACTGTGAGATGTTCATGTCTTTATTGTGCTTGCCCCCCACTCTGTACGTCAGCTCCCGGAAGGCCTCCGTCTCTGCAGTGTTTTATCCCCAAAGCTCAGCCGAGTTCCTCATACACAATATTGAAGACCCGGCTTGTCCTGAAGAAGCAGACAGACTTAGTGCATTGGGAACAAGCCACGTGACTATCCGACTATGTGGATATCTAGCCCCCACTGATTTGCACAAAACAGTTCCATTCAGTTCAGCAAATGTTCACTGAGCCCCGACTCTGCCAGGCATAGTACAAGCGGTTGGAGTGTGCAGATAATTCTTGTTCTCAGGGAGTGGGAGAAAAGATACATCCACAGATCACACTGAGCTTCAATTATTTTAAATTTCAGAATGAGTTTGTATTCCTTTTGGAAATTTTTGAAACTACAAGTAAGTGAAAAGAAAAGAGACGTCACTCATAAGCACTCTGTCTGGAAATAGTCATTTGGTGGACATAGGTCCAGATGCGTTAAAATTGGGACCTGGTTATACAAGTCATTTTACAACATGTCCTTTTGTTTTCTTTCCATCTTCAATGACAATTAAATCAGATCCACATCATTCTTTTTTTGTTGTATTTTGTTTTTGTTTGAGATGGAGTTTTGCTCTTGTTGCTGAGGCTGGAGTGCCATGGTGAGATCTCGGCTCACTGCAACCTCCACCTCCCAGGTTCAAGCGATTCTCCTACCTCAGCCTCCCAAGTAGCTGAGATTACAGGCACCTGCCACCACACTCAGCTAATTTTTGTATTTTTAGTAGAGAGGGGGTTTCACCATGTTGACCAGGTTATTCTCAAACTCCTGACCTCAAGTGGTCCACCCGCCTCAGCCTCCCAAAGTGCTGGGATTACAGGCGTGAGCCACTGCACCTGGCCCCATATCATTCTTTAAGTGGCTAACTCAGACCCTTCAGCTATCTCTCTTCATTTAATTTGTTTAATCAGTCTCTCTATTTAATCAGTAAGATATTTATGCTTTTCCAGTTTTTATCAGGTATTATTATTTTGAAATGCAAATTGGTTTTAAATTGTAAAATTACTACTGATCGTAGAAAAAATATCAATAGTGCAGAAGGGTATAAAAAAAAATCACCTTTCCCCTCACCCCTGGTCTTCAGAAGTAATAACTGCTAATAATACCTTTCTAGAAAGTTTTCATGCATTCACAAGCATCTATATCTAATCTATACCTATATCTGTGTGTATCTATGTCTCATCTATATCCATATCTATATCTAACATATCTATATATCTAATGCATATCTGCATCTAATCTATGCCTATATCTAGTCTATATCTATATCTAATCTATATCCATATCTATATGTAGATGTATATCTGTATTTAATCTATATCTATACCTAATCTATAACCATATCTAATCTCTACCCATACCTATATGTAATCTAATCTATATTACTGATATCTGTATAATTTAAGAAAGTCCATTTCTTGACATGTATCAGTCTGTTCTTGCACTGCTATAAAGAAACATTAGAGACTGGGTAGTTTATAAAGAAAAGGGGTTTGATTGGCTCATGGTTCTGCAGGCGGTACAGGAAGCAGAGCGGCATCAGATTCTGGGGAGGCCTCAGGGAACTTCCAATCATGGCAGAAGGTGGAGGGGAAGAAGGCTCCTTTGCATGGCTGGAGCAGTAGGAGAGGAGCCAGACATTTCTTGTATGTATATATGTATGTATGTGTCTATTTATCTATTATGTATCTATTATCTATTAATATCTATCATCTATCTGTCTATCGATCATCTATCACTAGTTATCCTTTTCACAGAAAAGGAGTCATTTTGTACATATCATTCACTTTGCTCATTTCACTTTATGTGCCTTACACATCTTCCCATATCAGAACATGTAGATCTGTCTCATTATTTTTAAGTTTTGTATTTTGAAAATTTCCAAGCGTATATAAAAGTAACAGTGTGGGATAATGAAACTCCATGTAGCCATCTTCCAGCTTCCACGATTATCTCAGCTCTTCTTCCCTTCATGTCATGCTGGGAGGACGTGGTAAAGGAAATTCATACCTGAAACATTTAGCAATAATTCCTTAAGATAAAATAATCTGTGTTCAAGTTTCCCTGTTTGTATTATTATTATTATTTTACTCTTCCTTTGACTCATGGATGTTTCCTAATTTCTTTTAATCTAGGTGTTTTTCGCCCCTCTTTTTTTTCTTATACTTTTATCTGTTTCTTGTTCTAGAGATTTTTCTATATTTTGAATTTTGCTGATTTCTTTCCTATGTGTACTTGCTATGTTCTTAGCACATATTGTACTCAAATATTTGGGAATGATTTGTAGACTGATGCCCCTTTATCTTCAAATACTTGAGTGGGTATTTTCTAAAAGCAACAACATTCTGTTTCATAACTATAAGTACAAGAGAGTTAGCAGTTAAACCTTATTTTCTTTTTTGCAGACATCCAGTTTTCACCAAATATCCCAACAAGTTTCTCTATAGCAAAAGCAAGCCCAGCCATGTGCCGCACTTCAGTCTCTCCTAATCTGGAAAAGTATCTCAGTCTGTGTTTGTCTTTCATGACACTGACTTTTTCATTAGAATTTTGTAGAATGCCTCTCTTTTTAAGTTTATTTGATGTTTCCTCAGTATTCAATTCGGATTATGCGATTTTGGTAGAGATACCCAAAAGTCATGCTGTGTTCTTCTCAGTGCCTCATGGGAGGAGGCCCATGGCGTCCACTTGCCCCGTTGTGAAGCTACTGCGGATCACTCGGTGAAGGGGGTGTCTTCTAGGTTTCCGCACTGTGAAGCTACAATTTCCACTCTATAACTATCAAATATCACATGAAGGAGGTAATTTCAGTTTATGGAAAAGGTCTGTCATTCCTCAAACTTTCCGCCATTAGTTTTAGCATCCTTTGATGACTCTTGCCTGAATCAGTTATTATAATGGTTACCAAATGGTAATTTTCTAATTCCATACATATTCCTTCTACATTTATTAGTTGGCTTTCTACTGTTTGGAGCCTTCTTGTGCATGTATGAGTGTGTATGCATGTGTGTGTATGTGTGTATGCATGCATGTGATATGCTTATGTATGCATGTATGTATATATGTGTATGGATGTATGTATATATGTGTGTACACATGTTTATGTATGTTTATACGTGTATGTGTGTATGCATGTATGTGCATATGCATATGTGTGTATGTATGTATATATGTGTGTATGGATGTGTATGTATGCCTTTATATGTATATGTGTACATATTCCTGTATATGTATGTGTGTGTATGTGTGTATGTGTGTTCGTGTATGTATGTGCATATGTGTGTTTGTATGTGTGTATGTAGGTGTATGTGTATGTATGTATGTGTATGTGTATGTATTGATGTGTGTATGTGTGTATGCATGTATGTGCATATGTGTATGTATGTGTTCGTGTGTGTGTATGTATGCATGTGAATGTATGTATATATGTGTATGTGTGTATGGATGCCTTTATATATATGTGTGTATGCATGCCTGTATATGTTTGTGTGTGTATGTGTGTATATGTGTGCATGTGTGTGTGTTTGTGTGTGTGTGTATGTATGTATATGTGTAGTGTGTGTATGAATATGTATGTATATTTGTAAGTGTGTATGTAGGTGTGTGTATGAGTGTGTATGTATGTATGTATCCACCCATCCATCTATTTATATGCTCACTCACCCATATTAGTATGGACTTGAATTTCTGCTTTCAATGAGCTATAATCCTTTAATCCTTTGCTATCATTAAGTTAATGCTCAAATCATTCCAGATTTGGCCAGTGGAACTTTTTGAGTGGCACCTATGCCCTTGGGACATAGCCCCATTGTTCTTTGCTCTTGCCCTTGACCTTGCAAGACGTCTTGGGCTCATCGCGTACTTCCTCTGTCCCAGATGCTTCCCTGAGCCTCCCTGGTCCCTTCTAGTGAAAAACAGTCTCTGAGGCTCCCTTGTAGGTGCTGGGCTGCTCCTTGCTGCTTTGCTGATCATTGATCCTGTAGCTTTTCAGTTGAAGATCTGGGATCTGTGTTTTTCTAAAGAAAATGTATGATACCAAGTATTTGTACTGATATTTCCAATTCAAATTTAGGTTACGAGCTTTTATTTGACATCTTTTCCTTTATATTTGATCTCTTTTCTTTCATGCTGAAGTTCTTGGTTTCTATGATACTAACACAGTTACTACTTTGCTTTATCTTATGGGTCAAAACTATTTAAAAATAGCAAGAACCATGTGTCATTATTAGCAATATGATTTCTAAAACAGTTAAGATTTGTTTCACTAGTTTTTGTGTTTAGGATATATTTAATAAGGGAAATTCAAACACTGGTTACTTGATCATCTTAAGGAATTACTGTTCGATGTTTTAGGTGTAATAAGAGTACTACGTCTTTACCAGATGGAAGAGGGGAACCATGTTTTACATAATTTGAAACATGAAATAATTTTTCTCTTTGTGGTTGAGCACCAGCTTCTACACAGCTACATTCTTTGTTTCATTTTGCTTTGATTTGGGAGGGATTGCTTTTTACTTGGCTTTATTGCTTGTAAAGTATGCAAAAAAAAAATCAGTTATAAAGTAGGTAAAGTACGTGTGAAGAGGACACATTTAGGGAGGAGTGAGGGAATGGCAAGGATTCATGTTTGAAGCCAGGTATGCAGGGGCCTCAGGGAATGCAGAGAAGTTCACGGAAGCTGGGCTGGTCATAGCCGGTGGTGAAAGGGAAGAGAGGCCCCCAGGGCCCCTGCTTGAAAGGAGCCAGGGTGTCTGCAGGTCTATTGTGCTGGGTCTCTGAGGTGCCCCCATACCCCCAGAGCAGCCCAGGGAAGTGGGGAGGCACTGCCTAGCGAGTGCTTGGTGGTTGGTCCACACTCTCTATCCTGAGGAGCCCATGGATCTGAACCGGGCCAGAGGAGTGAGTAGGGTTCCCTGTTAATGCAGGCCTTTGAAACTGCAAAGCACAGAAAGCCGGCAGCACCCAGGCGTGTGCCGTGGGGCCAGTGTCTTTGCTTCCTTGCAGAGGTGGTGGCCATGGCTGGGTTGGGACATGAGGGTGGCGGTGGCCTAGGGGGCCCTGGAGCCATGATAGTGAGTACTAGAAGAGTCTCTGTGTGGCTTGCAGGTCCGCTAGCACTGGTGGTGCCACCTGTGAATGTGACCCCGTGTGGGGATGGGGCAGCCCATGTGTTGCTTCCATGTGTTGCTTCCAGTGAGCAGAGGAGGTGAGGATTGGACACGGCCAGAGGCCGGGAGTGAGCTGGGTGCGTGTGGAAATGCCCAGGGTGTGGCTTCCTCACTGTATGGGAAGATCCAGGAGGCAGGTCCTGTGCAGCCTGCAGAGTTCCCGCTGCCCACTGGAGAGGAAGGGCACCAACCCACGCTGGATCTCTACCTGTAGGTTCAACCAATGGAAGGACGAGGACACTGCGTGTTTGTTGACATCTCCCTCCTCTCCCAGAGCCTGGCCTGACTTTACCTCCCAGTTTGTGATGTTGGGATTATGTGTAGCAGGTGAGGAAGCAGAGGAGGGAAGGGGCTGCCCCTGGGAGCTCAGGGGCCAGAGGAGCCTGGTAGCTGGACATTGCCAAGGACTCTGTTCAGGTGGTGTGATGGTTAATACTGAGTGTCAACTTGATTGGATTGAAAGATGCTAAGTATTGTTCCTGGGTGTGTCCGTGAGGGTATTTCCAAAGGAGATTAACATTTGAAATGTCCGTGGACTGGGAAAGGCAGACCCACCCTTAATCTGGGTGGGCACCATCTAATCAGCTGCCAACAGGCCAAAACAAAAAGCAGACAGAAGAATGTGAAAAGACTAGACTGGCCTAGCCTCCCAGTCTACATCTTTCTCCTGTGCTGGATGCTTCCTGCCCTCGAACATCAAACTCCAAGTTTTTCAGCTTTGGGACTCAGACTGGCTTCTTTGTTCCTCAGCTTGCAGATGGCCTATTGTGGGATCTTGTGATCATGTGAGTTAATACTTCTTAATAAACTCCCATATATATATGTGTGTGTGTGTGTGTGTGTGTGTGTGTGTGTGTATACATATACACACATATATATACTAATATATATATATCCTAGTAGTTCTGTCTCTCTCTCTCTACATATATATATACAGACACACGTATATGTGTGTATGTGTGTGTGTTCATGTATGTATGTGTGTGTGTGTATATATATATATATATATATATATCTCTCCTAGTAGTTCTGTCCCTCTAGAGAGCCCCGACTAATTGACTAATACCAGGGGCCCTTGGGGATTTCCCCAGCAGCGCTCACCACCTGCATTAAGGGAACTGTGGATTAACGTGTGTATGTGTGTGTGCTCTCATGTGTGCATGTGTGTGTATGGGGGGTGTCTAAAGACCCATCGCAAGTCTAAAGGGATGGTCACTTTTTAAAATAAGAACTGTTTTATTGTTAGATGTAGTATTGCAAGCCATCTGTTCTCTAGCAGGTTAGCACTGTAAAGAGCTTTTATTAGGTAGGCATCATCTACAGGCTATTATATTTAAATGATTGCTTTTAAAGATTTGATACCAATTTTATTTGTTTATTGTTTGTACCTAGATCAAGGAGAGGGCCTATGATCCTGTTTAGATGATAGGCTTCAGGGTCAGTTTTGCCAAACATATGCTGAGTGAATTACAGGTACACCTCCGAATTAACTTAAATGTTGAATTAGTATTTACATCTCTACAACAATTTACCTCATGGCAGGTACCACTCATCTCATCTTCCATATGACCCTTGAGATGGCATGAGAGTCATGTTGTCTGCATCCTGTGGATGAAAAACTGGAGCTTGGGGGCTTGAGGTGTCACTGGTGGGAGGCAGAGGCAGGCCAGATGCAAAGCTAGGTGAGCAGGTACACACACTTGGTCTCTACCAAAGGTATATAATGTTTGGAGCGATGGTTTATTATGATTTAAGAGGCAGAGAATTGCTTAGCATATGGTCAATAGAAGCTCTTTGCTGCTTTCATAAGCCATTTTTCATATCATTAATTTTTTGTATATGTTTCATTAATTTTCAAGGTAATCCATATTCCCCTTTCCTGTGAAATATATCACCGCAGGCTTAGATGTCTTCTCCATGTAGTGCTAAGCCACCTATTATTTTTGGTCCGTCTAGTAGTCCAGGGAATTACAGACACCATAAAATGTATGCAAATTGAAGGGTGGTGACAAAAAAATCCATCGGCCCCTGCATTGTGTATTTATTCACTGCACACCTGTTAAGCTCCTACTACGCACCAGGCTCTGAGAGGCGCTGGGCATGTGGGGAAGAATGGGATGCAGTCTCACCCAGGCTCTGAGAGGCGCTGGGCGTGTGGGGAGGAATGGGATGCAGTCTCACTCTGGCGAGCTCATGGCCATGGGGAGGAGATGGATAAATCAACTGCAATTCACCCTAAGTGCCACAGCAGAGGTGTTCTGGAACCCACAGGAGGGGGCACCCAGGAAATGGGTGCAATTGCCCATTTATTTCCTGTGAGGGGAGAGGGACCATCCGTCCTGGCAGGGAGCAGAGACATGAAAACCCAGCCAAGCAGGGCTCTTCTCATTGAGAGCAGCAGGATGTCAGGGATCCGGGGAAAGAAGTAACCCAGGATGCATACGGTGGGAGCTGACATGGAGGATAGGAGGAGAAGCTGAAGGAAAAGGAAAGGCTTGCTGGGTAGTTGAGGACACAGCTGGCATCCAATGTGCTACTCTCCTGGTCAGGCGGCCCCTCCCTTCTGGCCCTCTGTCCCCTCGTGGGTTCCATTTCTCTGTGATCTCTCAATCTGTGACTCCAACTACCACCCAATGGGTTGGGTCTGGTCCTCTTGTCAAGCTCCCTCCCTGTGAACAGAGGGGACTAAGTTGAATTTATAAGCATGGCATTCCCTCCATTTGGGGGCACCAGTGGTTCCCCCATGCAACTAAGGCTGAAGCTCAAGCTCCTCCCCAGGGCAGGTGTCAATCATCTCTCTCACCTCATCCATCACCTGCCCTGGCAACCTCAGCACTGCGACCATGTGGCTGCCCTGAACATGCCGTCACATTCATGCACCTGCACCTCCTTCAGCTCACTTAGCATCGAGTGCACGCCAGGCAGCACTGCAGGTATGGGGGATGCAGAAGTGAACAACAAAGACTCTTTTCTTCACCCAGTCTACATCCTGGTGCTGACGATGAGGGTAGACAATGTGCAAGAAGAGTAAGTAAGTTATAAAGTGTTTCATTGGACAATGAATTCTGTGGGGAAAAATCAAGCGTATGGGGTTGAGTTCTGGGTGTGGGAGACTTTTTTTTTTTTGAGATGGAGTCTCACTCTGTCGCCCAGGCTGGAGTGCAGTGGCGCAATCTTGGCTCACTGCAAGCTCCGTCTCCCAGGTTCACGCCATTCTCCTGCCTCAGCCTCTGAAGTAGCTGGGACTACAGGCACACAGCGCCATGCCCGGCTAATTTTTTCTATTTTTTTAGTAGAGACGGGGTTTCACCATGTTAGCCAGGATGGTCTCCATCTTCTGACCTCGTGATCCACCCACCTCGGCCTCCCAAAGTGCTGGGGTTACACGCGTGAGCCACCCTGGAGGGTGTCAGGGAGGCCCTCGGGAGGGGCTGGTGCAGAGCACAGGCTCAAAGAAAGTGGCTGATGGGAGGACCAGGGGCTGCCTGCAGAGGGTGCTCCAGGCGTGGAGAGCAACAACTGCAAAGACCCCAAATGTGTCCAGCTGGACCCCACAGCCTGCACAGTGCGACTGAGAAGCATTGAGGAGACGGGTGCTCCGAGAGCACTGGGGAGCCCCCAGAAGTCAGTGCCTGGCCAGGCCAGCAGCAAGGGGCAGACTGCGGTGCCTGCGGGGCATGAGAGGCCGGCCATCTCCATGTGAGGAGAAAATGCTGAAGAGCAGGAGCTCCAAGCACAGCAGGGGCCTCATTCAGCCTGGATTGTGTGTGTGTGTGTGTGTGTGTGTGTGTGTGTGTGTGTGTGTATGTGTGTGTAGGGGCTGATCTTGCTATGTTGCCCAGCCTGGTGGTCTGGAACTCCTGACCTCAAGCAATCCTCCTGCCTCAGCCTCCTGAATAGCTGGGATTGCAGGTGCACACCAGCACGCCTGGCTCTGGCCTGGATTTTAAATGCATGCTTGGGCTGCTGTGCTGAGAATGGGCTGTGGGAAGAGGTGAGGGCGGGGCCAGTTGGGAAGACCAGCTGGAAGCTTTGCAGTAACGCAGGGCAGAGACCACTGGCCCAGATTCCTCATGTGTTTTGGAAATAGAGGCTGCAGAGTTTACAGATGGATCACCCATCAAGGATTTCAGTCTGGAGAGTGAGAACGGTGGAGCTGCCATTTCCTGAGACTGGGAAGAGCGTGCGGGGCTCAGGTTCAGGGGGCGGAGACTTGGAGTTGGGTTTGGGGCGTGTGCTTACAGGTGCCTGTGGGGCCGCCCCGTGATGTTAGGAAGGGAGTGGATTCATGGGTCTCACGGTCAGTGGGTGCATCAGTCTTGTGGCCAGGAGGGACACCTGGGCGTTGTTAGCACTGTGGCCCTTACAGCCATGTGGCTGGTGAGGCCTTGGGGGCGGTGAGTTTGCACAGAGAAGAGGCCAGGCGTGTGGGGCTGTCCATGGTCCCAGGGGGAGCCGGGGAGGAGGCAAACACTGATGAGGAGCAGTCAACAAGGATGGAGAGAGCCAGGGCAGAGCAGAGGCCTGGGAGCCAGGTGAGGACTTCTGCAAGGTGGACGATGGAGTCAGCGTCAAAACGCTGCCGAGGATGAAGCACGGTGGGGGCTGAGGAGGGGCAGTGGATAGGACATGGAGGTCATGGGTCACTTGGCAAGAGCTGCTTGGGGAGGTGTTGGGGGCACAGTCCTGGCTGGAGAGGGGTCAGGAGGGAGCAGGACGGGAAGAGCTAAAGGAGCAAGTGCAGGCAGTGCAGGGGCCGTTCCTCCCACCTGGGGAACCTTTTCCTTTTGTTCATCCAGCCCAATCCACGCTGCCTATCAGGACTCGGCTGTACTCGGGCCTCCGGGACAAAGACACTTTGACCCCCTCTCTGCCCCCCAGGTCTACTTCATGGTGCAAGCGCTGCCATGTTCTCGGGATAAGAGATGGACTCTGCCTCCCTTCTGCAGGTGGGTGGGCTGCTTGGGGCAGGCCTTGTTTCCTCCTTTAAGTCCCCGTGTCTGGCCTGGCAGTTGATCCCGGTACATGCCCAGCAGATGTCGGTGGAAGCCGGAATGATGCACCGAGGCAGACTGCAGGGCGGGTCCAGGTTCCTGACTTGGAGGGGGTGAGGGAGAGGGGTGCCTGGGGAGGGTTGTGTGCGTCTCTGCACATGCAGGGAATAAAGGGGGCCAGCACGTCGTTTACCGAGTGGGAAAGGGGGTGACCTAGCGGCTGCCTTCATAGTGAGGGTGAGGAACACGCAAACACTCAAACTGCCCAGAAAGGTGACATCTGTCTAGGAAAAGGGGCTCCGGAAGGGTTGGACAACCTATTTGGAAGACAAACATCACTTTCTCAAAATGCAGCCTGAGGCCAGCTCCAGTTTCTGTCTTCACCCACAGTTGCTGCTTTCAGTGGGAGGAAGCCATGAATCCTGAAGTCGGTGGGTGGGTGCACACTCAGCGACTGAGGGGAAACAGACGGTTTTCAATTGTTTATTTGACAAATATGACTAAGTATTCAATAAGTTATCTTTCAAATTATCCTGTCAAAATAATCATGACACAGGATAATGATCAAACAGCTCTTAGGGGGAAAGGAGGGGTGTTTGCACGAAGCAGCTGCAGCTGGCCCCTGGGGTGCTGCTGATGGATGAGTCGACGGCTGGAAAAGGGAGGGAGTGGAGGCCGTCATGGGTGTGAGCGCGCGCACTTCCAGATGAGCACCACCCACCGTTCTGCTCATCCTCTGCACCCAGACACAGGAAGCAGGGGTCACGCTCGCTGCCTGTCTGCAGTGTAGACTTCTGTGCCGGGAGAGCATGGAAACCAACCATACCACATGCCCTGTCCAAGCTGGAATCATGGGTAGAAACAAATATTGCGGGGCACTTTGCCTCAGGGTGCTCCAAATACTGAGTGTGGGCATCCACATTAATTAGCTTCATTGCAGTGGGATGACCTCAACCCGGAGCTGACCAGCTAAATTCAAATCTACCAGCATTTTGAAAGCTGGGACTGTCCACTCCATCCTGTGTTGGGTGCTGAGGGGTCAGGGTAGAAGAGAAGTTGAAATGTTTATAATGAGCATGAGATTTGAAGTCAGAGCGCCGTTTTCATCTTCTATGGCATTTTGCCTCCTAATCTGTGGAATGGAGAAAATGCCGCCTGCTTTATATCTGGGTCTGTAGCCAGGGAGAAAGTGAGGGAGCCTGCTGTGGCTGCAGAGAATTAATGATTTGCTCTGTGGAGAGTTTCCTCTCCTCTGCGGTCTTTTGTGGGTCAGTTCCAAATGCTCATCTTGGAAGACAAATCGGCTTATTAGATCTAATGTTCAAAAGGAGTATCCAACCCGTAAGATGGAAAAGCCGTGTTTCTGATGGGCCAATTTCCTGGCCCCAAGTGGCCCTCCTTTGTCCCCACACACCTAGTACCTTCTCAGAATGCTGCCAGAGAAGGGAAGAGAGGCCAGGTCTCTGTGGATGAAGCACCCCCCAGAGAGATACTGGTGAGGCTCAGTTGTCTGAACGCGTGGGCTCCTGGAATTTTGTTGTTGGCTGGGTCATGGTCAGTGTGAGAAGCAGGGCAGGTTCCCTGTTGGCTGTCAAAAGAGTCAGACCGTAGATGTGTTTCCCTTTGGGGACTTTGTCCAGGAGCTGTGGTAGGAGAGGCTTGAAGAGGTAGGAGAGGGTGTGGCCAAGTGAGCAAGCAGGGAGGGGTTTGACTCTGGGTTGATGCTGAAGGTGAGATGTCACAGGGTTGGGAATGGGTGGGTGCTTGATGAGTAAATGCCGGCTGCTGCATTCATCAGCATATTAGAGAAGTTCTCCTGGGGGCCATGCCCTGGGATAGGCTCTGGGAATTCAATAGGAAACAACCTGCCCCTCCCCACACTTGTCCCAAGGAAGTGTACAGATCCATGGCAGGAAAGACAAAGGTAATTAATGCTAAATGGAGGTTGGCCCCAGAGTCCAGAAAGCTTCTAAAACAATGGTGTCTGCTCTGTCTTAATTAGCGACAAGGTGCTCCTGCAATGAGGAGAAACGTACTCTACACGGAAGCCCAGCTCATACGTTTCTACCCAAGTGGGGTCGTATATACAGGAGATCCTACAGAATGTATGGCTCCACAAGGTGCTTTTTGCTCCTAACCAGAGGCCTTTGAGATGTTTCCCTGTCATTAGGTCCATCTGGTGGTGCCCCAGAGCCGGCTCACATGGGCTGCTGAGAGCTCATTGTCAACGGTTCAGGAATTGCATCAGCTGATGGGCATCAGGCTGGTATCCTGAGGTCTGTCATGGTGGAGGGACTGTATTTACACAACAGAAACCACCAAACACTGCAAGTCATCTGCCCACCTTCTCAGGAGAGCCTGTCGTCACAATTCACAGCATGTCACCGTGCTGATCACGTTCATTTTGCCAGCTGTGGAGGGGCGGAGCTCCTGTGCCTGCTCCTGACTTAACAGGCATTTCAGTTCCTCCCAGGGTCTGGCTACTCCATGGACGTCTGCGTGCATGGGTTTGTAAATGTTAGAGTATGTGTGACGTTTTCTGTAGACCAGACTCATGGAGACGCTGTGGCTTGAAAATTAAGTGACATCTAGATAAGAGTCTGCAGAAAGCATGCTATGCTCAGGGATGTGTTTCCAGTGGGAACGCTGGGGAGAACACAGTTCCATGGGAGCAGGGGTGTGCCTGGAGATTCACAGAGTAACCGCGCCATCAGGAACCATGGTCTTTATGCGGCACAGGTTGGGGGGGAGCTAATTATGAGTTTCATAAAAATAACAATTATTATTAGCGATAATTGTTATGATTAATCCTAACGTTTATTGGTGACTGTCCTGTGCCGGTCACTGTTCTAAGTAGTTTTACACATATTCACTAAGCTAGCCTTCAACATGCCTACGAGAGAGACACTATTATTAGTCTTCCTTTTACAGATGAGGAAACTGAGGCCCAAAGAGGTTAGAGAACCTGCCTAGGCCATACGGCTTGTAGGGGTAGACCAAGGAAGTCTGAACTTTATGACAGCCATTGGTATTTTAGAAAGGACACTCTGATTGCAGTGTGGGCAGTGACTAAAGTGGTCATAGCTGAAGGTTTCAATAGTCCAGGTAAGAGACAGTGAGCCTGGCTCAGCGCCCCCGTATCTGCAGCTCCTGTCCCCTCTCCTTCTAGCGCACCAGGCTGTCCCCTTTCCCAGTGTTCTCAGGCCCCTGCCAGGGCTCAGGAAGATCCCATGTAGTTGTGCTTTGGGACCAACCCAGGCATCTGCCCTCTGCAAAGCCTTTCCTGAGCCCTGATCATAGTGATCTGTGTATTCCACTGTTTTTGTCCAGTGCCATCCTGGGCCATTGTCGACCCAGCCACCGGTTTTCTCTGGACCTCATGGCCTAGGGCCGGGAGCCCCTGATGCTCGGGTGTGGGTCTTATTCTCCCCTGAGTGGCCCTCAGTGCCCGCATAGGGATACAGTGGGGCTGAGTTGCGCTTTCTGCTTCTCGGGATAAACACGTGAAGCACAGGCTGTGGCGGAGGCCTGGCAAGCTTGGGCCAACACAAATTCCATTTTCCAGATCCTAGATATTCTTAATGCAAATTCACACAAGCCATCAATAACATCCATGGAGATGATGCCTTCCATCAGAAGCACATCATAAAAATAAATAATGTGACAGAAGCCACATCAAGAAATTACTTCACTCGCCATGAAGTGCCGCTCGCTTCGGGGTGAACACAAAACAGCTGTCTGATGCCACACAGCCGTCGACAGACGGCTCTGAAAAACAAGAGGCTCTGGGGCGAGGCGGGAGGCTGGATCAGGGGAGAACATTCTGGAAAGCCAGAGGCTCAGTTCATTTCCGGCCCAGGAATGGCGATGCCAGTCAGGCCCCCTGGTTAAGGCATTTTTAAAATTGATGACGCAGAGAGCACATATGGGTGAGAGAAGCCTGAGCCCCACGCCAGTGAAACAATCGCTCCTTGGGGGCCTGGTGAAACTTGTCAGAATCAAAATGGAGTCACTTGTGTTAAAAAAAATTTTTTAAAAAGAACTCTGACAAACAGGGTCAAGGAAGGTCACGAAGAGAGGGTTCTCCAGCCAGACAACAAAGTCTATCACAGAAGACACTGCAACAACCACCACTTTGCCCAAAGGCCATCACAACCTTACACAAAAAATACACGTGTGAGGACATCTGCCCAGCAGCTGCCTGTCCAACCTTGGACTGGTGCCACCCTTATTACTGATCCTCATAGCTGAGGGCATCAGTCCGTTCTCTCACTGCTATAAAGAAATATCTGAGGCCGGGCAAAGTGGCTCACACCTGTAATCCCAGCACTTTGGGAGGCTGAGGCGGGTGGATCACTTGAAGTCAGGAGTTCAAGACCAGCCTGGCCAACATGGTGAAACCCCATCTCCACAAAAATTACAAAAATTAGCAGGGTGTGGTGGCACGTGCCTGTAATCCTAACTACTTGGGAGTCTGAGGCAGGAGAATCGCTTGAACCCGGAAGGTGGAGGTTGCAGTGAGCCGAGATGGCTCTGTCTAAAAAAAAAAAAAAAAAAAAAAAAAAAAAAATCTGAGATTGGGTAGTTTATAAAGAAAAGGGTTTTGATGGCTCATGGTTCTGCAGGCTGTACAGGAAGCAGAGCGGCATCAGCTTCTGGGGAGCCCTCAGGGAACTTCCAATTGTGGCAGAAGGAAAAGGGGAAGCGGGCTTGTCTTACGTGGCTGGAGCAGGAGGAGGGGGTAAGGGAAGGTGTCACACACTTTTAAACAGCCAGATCTCGTGAGAACTCACTCGCTGTCGTGAGAACAGCACCGAGAGGATGGTGCTAAACCATTCATGCAAAACCCAGCCCCAGGATCCAATCCCTCCCTCCAGGCCCCACTCCCAATACTGGGGATTCCAATTAATTCAACATGAGGTTTGATGGGGACGCAGAGCTAAACCATATCACCAAGGACAATGGTCTCAAAACAATTACACAACCCTCATTTTTTCCTTGAAAAACCTTTACTGTCCTCTGCCTCCCTGCGTATGCACCTAGTTTCACCGTGGCACACGTATTCCCCCTGCAAGGCCTGTTCCTGAATGGACACCTTTTCTTTTAGAGAGCCTCTCTCTGTCTGTTATTTAGGTTGACAGCCTCAGCACCACTCACAACTCCCCCATCTCTCTCCCAGATGTGAAGATGTTTTTGGGTCTGAGGCCTTCTTCTAGCCTGACCTCCTCCCTCCCGTATGCTGTAGCCAGGAAAATAATTCCAGGAAAAAGCATCTGAATATTCACCATATTCACCTTCTCCTTTCCCTGCTGAGTCCCACAATGAAGCCCAGGTCCACAGAATAAGTCCTCGCTGCTCACGTGCCTGGCCTGCGTCTCCTCAGCTCTGGAGGCCCTGATCTGTGAGTGAATTTCATTCCTCGTGCCTCTGTTGAGGCTGCAGTGGTCTGAAATGCTGTCGGGGTCCTGATGCCAGCCAGGCATTTTCTCACCTGTGAGGGCTGGATGGCTTCCCCTGCCATGACATCCCACACACCCTCAGCACCTGCGTGGAGTGAGTCTCTTTTTCTCTGGTGCCTCCCACTGCACCCTGATTGACCGGGGCCCTGGCTACCATTTTCTTTCTGTGTTATTTAGTTTTTACTTCTACCACTCTCAGCTCTCATCTTGGCAATCCCAGTGCCTGGAGTCATGGGAGGGAGGGCTGAGCTTTCAGTAACTGATCTGCACAGGAATGACCGGGGTAGTGGCTGTGTGGCTCACTGCTGGCTCCGCCCACGCAGGCCATGATGGAAACACTGGCCTTGGTGCAGTAGGAATGGGGCTGTGTGGCCCAGTGGTGGCTGGAGGCTGGCGTGTCTTCATTTTGGGTCAGTGTTGCCTTGAGTATCCCGTGCTGGTGCCTGGGCACTTCTTGCTTTGGGGTTTGATTCAGCGAAGGTGGGAAGCTGTCAGTCTGCAGGCAGGAGCTTCTGCCTCTGCTGCACAGGGCTCAGCAGCCACATTTCTAGTGGTCTTGTTGTTTGCGTTCATGGTGTTCGGGCCAGGTGGGAGCCGGGACTTTGCATGCTTCCCTTGTGGTGGGCGCTGGGTGGTCAACCCATCTCATTTCTTCCACCTGCCCTTGCTCTCCAGAGGCTGTGTGCATCTCACAAGCATCCTCCATCTTCGGGGGCTGGCCAAGGAGTTCACGTGGCATTGTGTTTACTACTAAAACTTTTACACACATATTTCGTTATCACAAACATTTCTTCTGGCACAGACCTTGCATTCACTCCCATTTTGCAGATGAGGAAACAACCTGAGAGGACATTCACAATGTACCCAAGCAGGTGCAGCTAGCGGGAGGCGGAGCAAGGAGGCAGCGTCTGCAGCTGCCACGCCATGGGGCCTTCCCTCTTAGCGGCTGGTGTGCAGCTCGGAGTCTCCCCGGCCTGTGGGTCCTTCCTGTTCGCTTCCCAGGCCTGTCCACTGTCATCCCTCTGACGTCTGCGCTCTATCTCCACCTTCAGATGCCGGACTGGACATGTCCTGGGAACTCCACTCTTCCTCTTGTTGCAGCAGAAACATGTCCAAGAGCTTCCTTTTTCTGGCAGACATTCCTGTGTTTTGGTGTCTGCGAGGATGGACAGGCTGCATTCTCACTGCCTGCCACTGCTTCCCTTTCTAGCTCCTGTTCTGTGTGGGCCTCAATGGAAAAATGACTCAATTCTCCCCCTGGGGACTGTGGGTGTCCTGAGGAATGGTGGATTTAGAACCTGAGAATTTGATTCACATTCAAGTTCTGTTGCCTGTCAGCTCCAGGCTAGAAGGACTAATCCAGCCTCTATGACCCTCAGCATCTTCATCGGTGAAGTGATAGACCATGAGGAATAGATGCATCCTTAAAAGGAGGTTTTAGCAGTCACTGGAAGTCCCTGGCGCGGAGCAGGTCCTCCACACGTGTCAAATTTGCATCTGCACCTCTCCTGCCTGCTGGGCAAAACCAGGCCTGTCTGTTCTTACCCTACTATCCCTGGATCCAGTCAATTTCCTCCATTTCTTTAATATTATTATTATTATTAATTTTTATTTTTTCTGAGATGGAGTCTTGCTCTATCGCCCAGGCTGGAGTGCAATGGTGTGATCTCAGCTCACTGCAGCTTCTGCCTCCTGGATTCAAGCCATTCTCCTGCCTCAGCCTCTTGAGTAGCTGGGATTACAGGTGTGCACCACCATATCTGGCTAATTTTTGTATTTTTAGTAGAGACGGGGTTTCGCCATGTTGGCCAGGCTGGTCTTGAACTCCTGACCTCAAGTGATCCACATGCCTCGGCCTCCCAAAGTGCTGGGATTATAGGCGTGAGGCACCGACACCCAGCCCTTCCCTTTCTTTAATATTAGAACCCAGGACTTTTCTTGAGTGTGGGGAGAGAGAATTGTTATAGCACCACCCTGCCATCTCTGGGTACTTGGTTACTAGCAAGTGGGGACCAGAGGCTCCTCCTCCCCCAGTGAGAGGGACAGGAAAGACGACCTCAGTGCCAGCCTCACAGGACAGCTCCGGTGATGCCGGGCTGCAGTGACAGTGGCCACCCAGTACGGGGGCTTGCTGCATAGCAAGGTCACCCTGATGCTTGGCAAGGCCCTACCACCACTAGCTCCTTATGGGTGGCAGAGGAACCCAGGGTGGCCCCCTTCTTGGAGCCCCATGGTGTATCCACCTATGCCTGGCCTCAGCTGTCACCGAGGGATGACAAGAGACAGAGTGGGCACAACTGTGCTGACTACCCTGTGCCTCTGAATCCTGAGCCTCTCATGCATTTGCCCTGCCTCCCTCCTGCCACTGCACTGGGCCCTGAACCTATTCCCCACCATTGGCCATTGCCTACTCAATGCATCAGAAAAAGGCCCAGTTGTCAGGTTAGCAGCAAGTACTAATTCACGTTCAGCCGACCTCCATGCCAGTACCAGTCACCACCAGCAGAATGTAATTAGATGTGGTGACAAGTCCATTTCACGATCCCACTTCCAGTTCATTTCCCTAATTGTTTTATGAGAAAATAATTGTTTATATAGACTGCAATATGTTCCTTTCTTTGTCCTGGTGTGGCTGACACAAACCACACACCAGATCTTCACACCAGCCTGTGAAACAAGCACACCATCAAATTTCCCATATGTTTGGGAGACCCTAATCATGTAAATGGTTTGATTAAATCTTTAATGAACTGAGAATTTATTCCTCTCACTTCCGAAGCTTTGACATTCTCAAATACCTTAGGACCGGAACAAGATGATCTCACAACCATCCCATCCAAGAACGGAATCCCGGGAGCCAGGTTCTGGAGAAGGTGATGGGTTGCTAACGCCTCAGCGTGATGTGGACATTTTCCCAAACGCTGGTCCTAGATCAGCCAAAGGATGGTGAATATCAGTGGTTCACACTCAAGTTCTGTGGCCTGTCTCTGTCTTTCTGGAGAGACTCCAAACGCGAGGCTTCATCACAGTGTGTATGGTCTCTGCATCTGCGAAGCATTGTTCTTTCCTGGGTGACCTGAATGGTCGCTCAGCATGGGAAGTGCATGCTGCCTTGTGGGCCAGCCACCTGGCTGAGGGCTGCCCATCCGAGCTCCTGGACAGCTTCAAACGCTTCGTTATGGGGAGCTTGGGGGATATGATGACACTGGATTTCCACTCTACAACATGAGCTTATTTTTTTTTAATTTTATAAGTCTGAGAATAGCTTGTCCATTATAATTTATCTTTCCAAACAGAGCAGCAAAGAATTTTAGGTGGTCTTTTAAATTAATTATGGAATATTTCCTCAGCCATGCAGTATGAAAATGTTTCCTGGGTGCGTGCCACACACGTTTCTCACTGTCTTTAGGTTCATCAGACTGCCCATTAGTCTTTCCCCTGCTGTCTCCCAGGAAGCCCCACTACAGCCCTTCTATCCTGACCCCACCCCTGGGAGCTGTCCCTGGACGCTCTCCACCCACCTACTTTCTGCTCCGCCCATGTGCAGCCACTTTGAGGTCTGTCATGAATATAAAGTGTGTGACATATTTTTATTTCCTGGCTCTCTTGTTCATACGTATCTTTATTTAATTCCCAGCATGTGTCATGTTATGTGTGTTCTCAGCTTATGTTTTTACGTTTAGAAGAGTTTCGCCTGTTTTCTGCAGGGATGAGACACTTCGGGCCAACTTCAATGTTCTAATTCCGAGTTTGGAAATCAACTTTTGGACTGAAAGCTGAGCTTGTCTGAGATTTGTCAGGGCCCCTGGTGGTTGGAAAAGTGTTCTGAATCCAATAAAAGGAAAGCGGTGATTTACACTATGTTTCCCTTTGTATTTTGGGTACATTTTACATATTGGGCAATTTTGACTGGAGGTAGTTGGGAAGGTATTTGCTTGAATGTGTGCACATGCGTGCATGTGTGTACATGAGTGCATATGTGTGTATGTGTCATGTAATTGTGGATTTGCATGTGTCTTTGCACCTTGTGTGATGTGTGGGTGCATGTGTGTACACGTTGTGTGATGTGTGTGCATATGTGTTCATATGTGTGTGGTGTGTGCGCGCACATATGTGCATGTGTACATGCAATGCATTTATGTGTGTGCCTTGTATGATGTGTGTGTGCATATGTGTGCTTATGTGTGCTGTGCTGTGTGTGTGTGTGTAGGCTACAGTACCTCCGTTTTGGATGCTAATCTGCCATATTGACTTCTGATTAACCCCATTTCCAGAATGCCTCTGAGATTTCTGCTTCATCTATTGTTAAGAACACGTACTTACTGTAAATCCTGCCACCCGGTCAAAACAACCTTGATGCCACACTCCTTCTGAAGTAATTTACCCTTTCCCTGTGGTATTTAAGCCCTGGGTCTGGGGGGGTACATTGTGGCCACCCAAGACATGGCTTCTGTTCCTAAGTCCCTATGAAATGTTTCTTTCTGAGAAACTGGATTTGTCAGCCTCTCTTCAGCCTCTCAGCTCTGTTGGCTTTGGGTATGAGTTTGCATAGGCCTGCTCACCATGGAACAGTGTGTATATGTGTGCGGTGTGTGTGCATATGTGTGCCTGTGTATGCACCTGTGTATGTGTTTGTGTATCTGTCTGTTTTTCCTGGTTGGCATTGGTGATGAGGCAGGGAGAGGAAAGAAACAGACAATAATTGATGCTTTACAGCAGAAAAACTTACAACCCCGTGGGAGACCCTACTCCTTTGAGCCCACAATCTGGTGTCCTTGCATATTGATTGCCTACTAGTTGAGAATAGCTCATAAAAAGCACTTGTTTTCCGAAATCATTCTCATAGAGTTTGTAGTGGCCAGATGGGCACAGGCTATCCCCAGGAGAGGGGTGTTCCTGTTCAGCCAGCCTTCTCCTCCCTAATGGAAGGATTTCTCATGGTGGGGGGTGGGTGGGGCAGCAGGAAAGACCACTGTGTCCTTCTGGGCCCCCAGACCATGGGTTGGATTAACTATCTCCCTGGACCTGCTTCACCCCTAGGTCTCAGCCTGTCTTGTGGCATCCACGGTGGTTTCCCAGGGTAGCTGCTACTGATCTGTTCATCCTGTCCCTGTGGGTGCAGGGTGGGCTGGTGGATTTGGGTGGACTGAATGGAAAAGACCAAGCATCAGTGGGTTGAGCTGAACACCCAACGGGGTTGCTGCTGGGACGCTCCATCAGAACATGGAGGCATTGCCTGCAGGCTCACCAGTGACCCCCAAGCCTGCAATGACCCCTTGCAGAAGAATAGATGGGAAGAGATGGACTTCTGTAAATGAGTAAGGCAATTTCAGTGCAAATCCCTCGTGAAGTTACTCCAGGCTGCAGGTGGTTGGCGGGGGTTGGGGGACAGCAAATCCCTCCCAGGACACAGGGCAAGTCTATAGGTCCCCTCCTTCCTCTGGAGCTGAGGAGAGGAGGGAATGTAGAACACAGAGCTAGAATGGCCCCAGAGGACAGAGGGGCAACATTTACTCAGGGCAGGCAATGATAATGGGTACCCTGGAGGGAAGGCTGGGACAAGTCACTGAACTCCTTGAATAAATGGTAGTAACTTCATTCCGGTCACAACTCACACTTTATGGATAAGCCAGGACTGTTTTTGTTTCAGTCTTTTCCAAATTTGGTAAACAATTTCCAGGAGCACGAGCTCACCCTTTCTTCCGACAGCTTGGTTCATTTGGGGCCTTCTCCGACTGAGACACTCATCCCCTCCCTTCCCTGTGCTGACTTGAGATCCGCCACCTTACGATGCTCTTCCTTGCCGGGCTGCACGGGCCACCCTCCTCCCTGTCCTTCCCTTGGCCTTCAGAGCTCGTGGCTCTCAGGCCCTGCCACCTCCCCATATGTCAATATTGATCTTCAAATACAACGCCCCAAGTGGACACAGAGCCAGATGGATTCTGATCAGCCCAGGAAATGGGCAGCCCCGCTCTTCTGGGGAGCATCCAGCTGTACATTATGATCATGTTTGTTAGACTATCATATTACCATTTATTTTCATTTTTACAATTGTTTAAGTATGTTTTTTTCTTCCCCGACACCAGTTCTTCAACTCTCTAGACACTGGGTGGGTGTTTTACAATTCAATCTAATTCTGCACCAGCTCTTAGAGTAAATGCAGACCCCACTGAGAGTAAGGCCCCAGCAGACTGCCCCCACTTCACATACTAGCTACCAGTGGGGTGCCCAGGCTACTCACACTTCTGCTTGGACAACTACAAATTCAAGGGCTCCCATGCCCCCTTCTTGGGTTCAATGATTTGCTGGAGTGAGGCACACAACTCAGGAGAGTGCTTCCCTTACTATGATCCATTGGTTATAAAGTATATGCCACCCAGAAACAGCCAAGTGGAAGAGATGCAGAGACCAGGCATGGGGGTGGAACTCGGGGTGCGGACATGGAGCTTCCACACCCTTCCTTAGCACAATCACCCTCCCAGAACATAGAATCTCCTTGTTTAAGAGTTTTTAAGTACTGATTGTCCTTGGCTTACAGTGGGATTATGTCTGGAAAAACCCATCGTAAATTGAAAATATCGTAAGTCAAAAATGCGTTTAAGACTCCTAACCTGCTGAACGTCATTGCTTTGCCTACCCACCTTCAATGTGCTCAGAACATTTACATTAGCCTACAGTCAGGCAAAATCATCTAACACAAACCCTATTTTATAATAAAGTGTTGAATAGCTCATGTAGTTTATTAAATACTACTGAAAATTAAAAACAGAATGATTGTATGGGTACTCAAAGTAAGGTTTCTACTGAATGTGTATTGCTTTCACATCATCCTAAAGTAAAAAAACCACATGTCAAATATGTCGGGGACTGTGTATATACATACATTATTATTAACAACAGACACTGTGTTGTAAGAGAATCTCTTGTATTTATTCCTCCTGGTGAACTGAAATTTGTTTAGCCTTTGATCAACATCCTCCTCCCCTGCCCCAACCCCAGACCCTGGAAACCACCATTCTACTCTCTGCTTCTGTGAAATCAACTTTATTAGATTCCACATAAAGTGAGATTATTTGATATTTATCCTTTTGTGCCTGGCTTATTTTACTTAACATGATGTCCTTTCTGTTCATCCATGTTGTGGCAAACAACATGTGGCATTCATGTTGTTCATCCATGTTGATGGTGTTTCTTTCTTTTTGGAGGCTAGATAGCATTCCACTGCATGCCTACGCCACATTTTCTGTATCTAATTAGTCATCCATGGGCAGGCACTGGGGTTGTTTCCGTATCTTGGCTATTGTGAATAATCCTAAAATAAACCTAGTGCAGATATCTCCTTGACATATTGATTTCACATCATTTGGATACCTCATGCCAACAGAAGAATCATAAGTTTGGAAAGGAGAGCTTTATTTCTCACAGAAGGTTGCAGCTTGCAGGCTGGGAACCATAACCTCTGGCAGAAGCTGACAGTAAGCACTTCAGGGAGGGGTAAAGGGAACAGAAATGTATGCTGATTGGGGAAGCTGAATATACATATGCAATAAGCTAAAGGAGGAGTCGTGAATATTTATGAGGAGAAACATGCACGATTGAGCTTATGTCCCTTTATGGGTTGCATGTTCAAAACATCGCAGCATTAGCCTGACCAAATGGTGGTGTTTTCAGCCTTCTGACATCAAAAGGTGAAGCAGAGGACACAGCAACCCTCACTGTCCATCCTGGGAGAGTCAGACAAAACTGGTGCAGAGATGGCGGTCAGCTTTTGGGAAGGAATGCATTGCGACACTGGCGAGCTGTCATACCAAAACAGGAAAGAGGGCTGGGCATGGTGGCTCACGCCTGTAATCCCTGCACTTTGGGAGGCCGAGGTGGGTGGATCATGAGGTCAGGAGATGGAGACCATCCTGGCTAATGTGGTGAAACCCCATCTCCACTAAAGATACAAAAAATTAGCTGGGCGTGGTGGCACGTGCCTGTAGTCCCAGCTACTCGAGAGGCTGAGTCTGGAGAATTGCTTAACCTGGGAGGCAGAGGTTGCAGTGAGCCAAGATCATGCCACTGCACTCCATCCTGGGCGACAGAGCGAGACTCTGTCTCAATAAAAAAAACAAAAAACAAAAACAGGAAAGGGAGGGAGGGACGGGGAGTCCAGTCTCGGCCTCAGAGGATTGGCTAAAGGAATAAAGGAAAACCATTTCTTGTTTTCCGGAGTTGTTTTCTACTTCCTCTTCAGGAAAGAATTCTGGTTAAAGGTTAATAAGGAAGCTATGCTGAGATGTGTGCCAATTCCATGCCATCATGGCTGCAAACTCAGTTTTTAAGGTTTCCCTGGGGATCCTTTGTCCAAGAGAAGATCTGTTCAGTTGGTTGGGGGACTTAGGATTTTATTTCTATTTCTCAATACCCAGAACTGGGGTTGCTGGATCTTATTTCTATATTTAACGTTTTGTGGAACCTCTATTCTGCTTTTTTCTAAAATAGCTGTGCTAATTTGCATTCCCACCAATAGTGTACAAGGGTTCTCTTTTTTTCTATATCTTTTCCAATGTTTATTTTTGTCTTTTTGATAACAGTCATCTTAACAGGCGTGAGGTGATTTCTCATTGGGATTTTAGGGAACTATGTGAGGTAATAGATATGTTAATTAGCTCAGGTAGCCAACCCACAATGTGCACATATGTCAAAACATCGTGCTGTACATCATGAATATATGAAAGGAAAATAAATCTTGGGGCCTCCAAATCACTAATCACTAAGCTAATGGGGAAAGGGAAGCTGGGAGCTGTTCAGGGCAAACCTGCCCCCCATTCTATTCAGTCACCCCTCTGCTCACTGAGATAAATGCATATCTGATTGCCTCCTTTGGAGAGGCTCATCAGAAACTCAAAAGAATGCAGCCATTTGTCTCTCAACTACCTGTGACTTGGTAGCCCCCTCCCTGCTTTGAGTTGGCTCCCCTTTGTGGACGGAACCAATGTTTATCTTACATACGTTGATTGATGTCTCATGTCTCCCTAAAATGTATAAAACCAAGCTGTGCCCTGACCACCTTGGGCACACGTCCTGAGGCTATGTCACCGGCACACATCTTCAACCTTGGCAAAATAAACTTTCTGAATTAACTGAGACCTGCCTCAGATATTAGGGGTTCACATTTTGATAATAACAAAGGGATTCTGGGTGGGGGTGCCCCTGACCTTTGACCAATCTCCTATCGGTACTTGGTACCAGCATTAGCTAACTTTATGGCTCAAACCAATAGGACAATTTGCTGAGGTCTGGAAGCACCCGCTCCAGAGAATCCCTAATCCTCCCAAATTTGGTTGAGATCTAAAGTTTATTTTGCTGTACAACTCCTTTTTTTGAGTTTTACTTGCTTCCAACACAAGGAAGGCAAATTTCTCCTGCTTCCATGATGATGGAAGGCAGCTAACTCCTTTATGGAGTTGTTTTTTTTTGTTTTGTTTTGTTTTGTTTTGTTTTGTTTTGTTTTGAGATGGAGTCTCGCTCTGTCGCCCAGGTTGGAGTGCAGTGGCATGATCTCGGCTCACTGCAAGCTCCACCTCCTGGGTTCACACCATTCTCCTGCCTCAGCCTCCTGAGTAGCTGGGACTACAGGCGTCAGCCACCACACCCAGCTAATTTTTTTTGTATTTTTAGTAGAGACGGGGTTTCACCGTGTTAGCCAGGATGGTCTCGATCTCCTGACCTTGTGATCCACCCACCTCGGCCTCCCAAAGTGCTGGGATTACAGGCGTGAGCCACCGAGCCCGGCCCTTTATGGAGTTTTATTCGCTGCTTCTAGGATGGTAGAGAGCAGTCTTCAGCCTGAGACCCGTCTGCAGGTAAGTAACTGAACTGGGGTTTGTCTTGGCCAAAGTTAAGATTAACAACCAGCTGGACTTAATTTCTCCTTACCATTAGAGTGCTCACTAATTGTATAAGTTGTGCAATTGATTGTTTGTTTTGCTTACCTGTTTTTTTGTTGTTGTTGTCATTTGTTTGTTTCTGTTTTGTAGTTCTTTTAGTCTTTTTCCCATTGGGTTTGACCAACTCTATCTGACTCGATCAAATCCGAAGGAATGTTCCAAATTATAGGGAATGAGGCTTAACTTGCCCCCTCCAACCCCCGCCGACACACACACGCAAAGATGCTGTGGTGGGGAAGAGAAAAATGACCAGCAGAAGGAAAAATAAAAGGAAAGATTTTTTATTTTGACCACTTAAGAGGCTTTATTTACATAACAAGGCCACCTTTTTGCTAGCCAGGCCATTCTGAAAGAACAATAACTGTCGCCCCATGCTGAAGTTCCATAGCTAAGGTTCTGCCTTTTTTTTTTTTTTTTTTTTAAACCGGCACAGCCTGGGTTTGGTTCCTAAATCAAGCCCTTTCTGGTTTGATACTTGGTACTCCTAAAATAGCAGTAATTTTTCCTAGCTGAAATATGGTAATGAGATTTAAAAAGTTTTTTTTTAAAGGAGCTCAATGGTTAAAAGTCAGCTTAATTAAAAGCTAAAATCTAAGATGTGTATGTGTGTGTGTGTGGGTGGGTGTGTGGGTGTGTTTGCATTTAAAAGGATTTTATGTTGTTGTTTTAGTTTTTTTTTTGTCTCCTAGGACCTTGCCTTTTTTGAGCAAAAGTTTTTTCTTCTTAGTTGACTGAATTCTGTTTTCTTCATTTACTTCTGCTGTCCTTCTTTCCTCTTGCACCCCCTGCTGCATGAGGGACTCAAAATAGTTTATAATAGCCTGGGATTCCTTCAAAAAATAGAGAAGGTGCCAGACACCATTTTGGGGAGAAACCTCTGTTTTTTCTTGTGGAACCCCAGGAGTGTAAACAGACAGGTTCATCTCAGCTCTTAAACTGTTTATTTTTATATTGTGTTACTTGATTTTTTCACTAAAATAGTGCAACAGACGGGTTTTTAAGGAAGAGTGTAGTTTAGACACTTAGGAATGTCTTTGTTAAAAAAATTTTTTTATGTGCCCTGTAAAAACATCACATGGTCTAGCCTCATAATAATTCTCCCTTTTTGGAGACCCAGGATTCAGTGTAGGCTCTGCCTAGATTTCAGAGATCCAGTTGAAAGATAGGTAGCCCCTATCTAAATAAATTGGTCCCCTTACACAATCTTATGATCGATTTCTAATAATTTTATCTTTGATTTGGTATCCATCTTTAATCTCCCTCTAGCACCACCAGACTTTTTCTCTCTGTACCTTGAGATGTTCATTTTGGTATTTGATTTTTCACCTAAGAGTTGTTTCCTTCAGTATGCCGATTTAGGGCTATTTAGCTGACAACTGCCAGGATAACGAAACAGGTTATGAAGCGTTTGCTAGTCTAAAATAGGAAAAAAGGGAGGTCTTATGAACTATAACATGTACTTCTATTGGTATGCCTAATATGTCTACATATTTATGTGTTGTGTGCACAATATTTCACTACTAAAAATATATAAAAGAGCTCTAATTAATTGGCTTAAAGAATAATAAAAGCGCTCAAATGACATACTTTATCAGAAAAAAGGAAAGACTAGTCAAATCCTTTTTCAAGTTTATGTGACCTAAGTAAAACCTTTAATAAATAACCCAGCTTTAAAATTATTGGTAAAGTAATATTAGAAATGTCTTAAGAATTATCAGCATATATTTTCAGTTGCATTTATTGATCAAGCAATTTCATACTTATCCCTGCCAAATGCCATAAGGTGTCAAAATTTGGAGTATGGGTTACAAAACTATAAAACCAAGCCCAAAACAGAATGATCTTTGCTTGCATAATTTTTGATAAATAAGACATTGATATTAGTTTAATGAAAATAGCCAAATCTTGAATTATTTAGTAAAATAACCATAATTGCTAATCTTGTGGCTTTAGGCAGTCTAGTTCCCAGGCAGGAAGGGGGTTTGTTTTGGGAAGGACTGTTACTGCCTTTGTTTCAAAGCTAAATTACAAACTAAGTTCCTCCCAAAGTCAGTTTGGCCTACACCTAGGAATGAACAAGGACAGCTTAGAGCTTAGAAGCAAGATGGAATCAGTTAGGTCAGATCTTTTTCACTGTCTCAGATATTATTTTGCGATGGTGGTTTCATAACTTTAAATGATGACTATTGTAGTTTTCATAACTAATCTAGGTAAATGATTAAAATAATTAGGTACGTGTAATGGGATAAATACTTGTAGACAGACTTGTCATAATTTAGAATCTAAAGTTAAATTAAATAACAGATATTTCATTATTTGGGTATTTTCCAATAAAAATATATTGAAGGAAACCATTCTTTCTAAAATACATATATATTATAAATAAATATATATATATATATATAGTGTGTGTGTGTGTGTGTGTGTGTGTCCTTTTTAAAAAAGTGAATAATTTTTGTTGAATCCAAAGCTTATCTAAAGGTTACGTTTAAAATAAGGTAAAAGGAACCAGGAAATAAGAGAGATGTAAAGAAAATTATAGAAATAAAGAGGTATTTTTTGGTAAGAAAGCTTAAAGAGAAATAATTTTATATGAGAAAAAATCTTATATGGCAAATTTAGTCTTAGAATAAAATGACTGGTTGCTTAAGAAAGAGGGATGCTCAGGACAAACCAGAAAGTCCAAGCATGTCCATGAATGGTCTGTGTAAGTCACAATAAGAGGATTTATAAAAAATAAAAAAACTTTTCTTTTCTATGATCGAGTTTTCTGTAATTAAAAGGAAATTATAATGGTCTTTCTAGACATTGGGTTTAATGTAAAAAAACACTTATACACTAAAGAACTGGTTAGACAATGAAATTTTCTTAAGGGATTGATTTAATATATTGTAACAGATTTTATGTTTTATTGAAATTATTCCTGTGACATTATTATTAAGTTTTGGTTTACTTAGAAAAAAATGAGATTACTTTTTTTAAAATTAAGGTTATTACATGTGTGTAACTTTGTGTGTGTGCTTCTAAAGTCCTTGTGCCATTAAGTTACAGGGTTTTGACTCCTGGGTCTAAAAGGACACCAAGTCCTGCTAAATCTTAACATTGACAGCAGTTAAAGCCTCATCTACAGACCCTGTAGAAGATGCCAATCAAAGTAAGCTGGGTTTGTGAGACACAGGGCCCGAAATTAAATCTATTTAACTCCTCAAGGCCCAGGGACTATTGCAGGAGAGGTGGACATGTGAGATTGTAAAGGCTGATTTTGAGAGATAAAATAAGTTCAGTTTCTCTATAAATTAACCATTGATGTCAAAGGCACACTGATACAAGATTAGCATATGGGCCCCTGTATCAGATTAACAAGGTTTTCTTGAAGCATTAACCAACTCCTTAATAAAAGTTATAAAAGGCTTATTGAAATTATATCTTATAGTCAAGATGATTAAAATTTTATAGATTGTTTATAAAATTTTGAAAACAAATTTAATTTGCATCATGCTATTTTTATTAGGGCTTATTGTTTGGAAAATTAAGTCTCCTCCTTCAAAAAAGGAATGTTTTCACCTTTTTTTGAAATCCTTGAGTTATCACTTTGGTTAAATGAATGACTTATTTTATAATGACCTGTGATCCTATTTTGTGATATCAAGTGTTTTAAACCTTTGATATTTGACAAACTTTCCAAAATCAAATTATAAATTATGTCTTTTTCTTTTCTTTTGTTTTCTTTTCTTCTTTTTGAGACAGAGTCTCCCTCTGTTGCCCACTGGAGTGTAGTGGCATAATCTCCGTTCACTGCAACCTCCATCTCTTGAGTTCAAGTGATTATCCTTTGTCGGCCTCCTGAGTAGCTGGGATTACAGGTGTGCACCACCAAGCCCAGCTAATTTTTGTATTTTTAATAGAGATGGGGTTTCACCATGTTGGTCAGCCTGGTCTTGACTCCTGACCTCAAGTAATCTGCCCACCTCAGCCTTCCAAAGTGCTGGGATTATAGGCTTGAGCCACCATACCTGGCCAAATTATGTCTTTTTTTGACCTAATTAATCCTTTAAGATATTAGGTTCCCTAAAGTCCAAAAATAATATATTTGGCTTATTTGGTATAAAAATCATACAGGAAGCATTGTCAAATATGAAATGGTGTTTGGCTTTCTTTGGGCTGTATTTATATAAATATGTTATTGGTATGTGTTCCAAAATTATGGGAAACTCCTGTAATTCCAATATGACTTAGTGTATGTTATCAGTAGTAATTATAACTGTTATGTTAAACTATTGTGTGCCATGGATGTAACACATTTCCTTGTCACAGAGGTAACACATTGTTTCTTTGGCTATGGCTTTCCTAAAATTTTTTGTCATCCACAGACAATTATTGCCTTGTTTTGATCCTCTTTCGAAGGTGGTTTTATAATCAGCAAACAGTTTATAGCTGTTCTGATAACCTTGGAGATTGTGGCATTAGAATAGAGGGGAAAATACTTTCTGGACTCACAGAAGGCTGGAATGTTCATGGATATTCATGAATATCAAACAGGAGTTAACTGTGTGGACTGAACTAATAGAAGACTAAAGTAATCTTTTGACTTTTTGCTTAAAACATTGCTAATCCTTTGTTTTGTTTTTCAGGGTCGAGAAACCTTTCTTTTGAACTGTTTACAGCATGGAGCAATTGAGTAAAGTATACTCCTGTGAAAAAAATTTGGAGCATATTTATTTCTCTCTACCTGATTTCTCCAGAATTTTGAAACTATTTGTGAGTATTCTTAACTTACAGCAATATAGTTATTTGCATAAGCACAATAAGAGTGTTTTCTTTTGCAACAGGACACCATTGGAGAAACTGGTTATTTTACCAAGGCTGTGACTGGAATGGTGTGCTTTCTTTTAAGGAATCAAATTTGACTTACAGAGCCAATAAAAGCCCCTTGGAGAAACTGGCTGCATACCTTGTCTACACAGTCCCTGTACAGGGTTCCTAACCTGTGGTAAGTAAAGAACGTCACTTTCTGACAGGCCCAGGAGCCCTAAGTTATCTTGGGACCTCAAGAGGATAGGAATTTACCCAACTCATAGGTATTTGATGGTACAAAGCCATGGCTGAGCTCAGCTTTAAAAAAAAATCTTATCTAAGATCCCTTCTTTGGAGCAAATTTCCATCAAAGCCAATTTAAAAAGCCTATGTGAAGAATAATTATTCTTGCTGCACTTTATACAAATAATATGGCCAAGTATAAGAAAATCAATCCTACCATGATTTGTCTTTAGTAAAAATGGGAAACTGGAGAGAGAAAAATTATGTTTCAAAAACTATAGTACACCTGTTGTTAAATTCTAGTCTTGCCTTATGTTTTTCAATTTTTATTATTTTCTACAGTTTGGACTAAATTCTAATTTTTCCTGGCTACAAATCTCCAAAATAATATTTTAATTTTTTTCTTCTTTTTTTCCTCCATTTTTCCTAATTTGAAATCACTGAAAACTAGGCTGTGCTTTCTTAAAGCCCTTCGAACTGAAGCTAGACAATTTAAACTCCAGAAGAAAATAACAGCAACTTATTTACATACATAAGTCACTCTCATACCTGTCTACTGATTATTATGAACTTCAGAGTAATGTGGCCTATATCAATTTTCCGGGATTGCTCTTTTGTTTGTTGTTGTTTTTCTCCCTTCCTCCCCCTATTTTCTCTTTGTAGGACATGAGACTTCATAACCTGCTATAAATGAGCTTTTCTAATAACTTGAAACCTACCCATGTAGGAATAAACTGTCCTAGCCATGAGAGATCAGATGAAGCCTGAGACCAGAGACTCATTTTCTTCTAAAATACTTTCTCCAAAAGATTTTAAAAAGAAAAAGGGGGAAATGTGAAAGGAAAATAAATTTGGGGCCCCCAAATCACTAAGCTGATGGGAAAAGTCAATCTGGGAACTGCTAAGGGCAAACCTGCCTCCCATTCTATTCAAAGTCATCCCTCTGCTCATTGAAATAAATGCACATCTGATTACCTCCTTCGGAAACGCTAATCAGATACTCAGAAGAATGCAACCGTTTGTCTCTCAACTACCTGTGAGCTGGAAGCCCCCTCATGGCTTTGAATTGTCCCGCCTTTCTGGATGGAACCAATGTTCATCTTACATATGTTGATTGATATCTCATGTCTCCATAAAATGTATAAAACCAAGCTGTGCCCTGACCATCTTGGGCACATATCTTAGGACCTCCTGAGGCTGTAATGGGTGTGCATTCTTAACCTTGGCAAAATGAACTTTCGAAAGTAACCGAGACCTGTCACGAAAGTTAGGGTTCACAAATACATACAATTTTTGTCAATTAAAAAAACAAATTTCCATCAGAAAGGTATTAGTTTTACAAAATTAGTTTTCTTTATTAAATGAATAAAGAAAAAAATTGCTTTAATAGAGTTCATTCTCCAGCCTCCTTCCCCTGGGAGTGAAGGGGCAACGCAGAGAGGGCGGAAAGGGTGGGGCTGAAAGATTTCCCCCACTTCTAATTCCTTGGTCTTCCTGGTGGCCAGCCTGTCCTGATGCCATCTAGGAGTCCCATCCTTTGTCACCTTATTGGCAAACACTCCAATATGAATATGAATAACAAAAGACACTCCTGTCACTCAGGAAATTCCAAGGGCTTTAGGTGCCCTCTGCTGGGAACCAGGGACAAAGATCAAATACATATTGTTAATAAACCACAGCAAGATAGCTCTAAAATGCTCCCATGAGTCATGCACTAAGTGTGGAGTGAGGCATCCTACCTGGATTGAGTGGTTCTCTACATGAAGAAGACATCGATTTGGACACTTCCCCATCCCCCTTCCAGGAATAGACATTTCAGCTTCCAAGTCAACACCGGACTTGAGATTCTCTCCGATTCTCTGTGATCCCAGTGCCAAATGACCCCATTAGTCAATGAGTTCCAAAAAAAATCAATAGAGAAAATGCTTGGTGAGATCTCTGGGCTGTTGCCAACTCTCCTTTCCATGAACGAAGAATGGCCACTGGGGAATATCAAACTGAAAATAAGTCATGTTGATAGGGTGTGAACCATTTGCCCAAGCAATTTAAAAAAAAAAAAAAAAAAACCTTTTCAACCACCCACCCTCAGCTGATCTCCCCTGATTGTTTGGCTCACTTGGCAAAATTGCTTTAAATTGTAGCATTGCAGATGTTGCAGGTGATCCTGGGGTCTGCTGTTCTCTCCTTCAATTTTTCTCTGGAACTTTCTGCTTAATTCTAGTTAGGGGGTAGAAGTGGGGAAAAAAACTACCCTGCTGTGAGCCCTTCGTGTGGCAAGAAGTGCCTCGGGGTTTTGCTTTTTCCTTTTTGCACTTGGGAAAGTGGGAGCTCTACGTAGGCTGAGCAGTTGAACAAATAATGAACCTGGACCTCCCTTCTTTAAGCCCCACGTTCTTTGTTATTTATTTTCACTTGGACAGACCGTGAATGTGGCTTTGGGGGTCCCTGATTTGTGTACTTAATCACCATTCCCACAGTGAGGCAGGCAGGTGGCTGGCGGAGAGCAGGTTCACCCTGTGGCTCGGCCTCTCTCCTGCTGGCTGTCCTGGGGCTCCGGTTTTCCCTCTCTGGGGGAATTCAAGCCCTGCCTGACATATAAGAGTTGTAATTTGGACATGGAAGGCCTCTGAGGGTCCTTCCAGTTGTGCTGTGCCAGGATGTTTATCCACAAGGTTGTTGCATACACGGACAACATCAGCTGAAGCTACAAACACTGCAGAGAACACTTCTGGTTTTAAACCCATCACTGCACCCCAGATGTCCACACCAGGATATGAAATGTCCCAGCATGTGGGAGAAGCAGGAAAAACTGGTCACCTTATGGATCTCAGCAGGAGACCCCACAGCCCCTCTGGGACACTGATCCATGCATGGGGTGCTGTGATGTCTTCCCTGTCTTCAGACCTAGTGTCTCGAAGTTCACCTGTATGTCTTACCCTCCAGGCTGCTCACAGAATGACCTTCCAAACCCAGAGGCACCGCTGGCATGGATGACAGTTCTAGCATCTGAACCCTGCCCAAGACGGGGCTCCTCAGCATCCTGAGCTGTCCTCAAAATAACACCAGGCTGCGCACTCAGGACATCTTGTGAAGGCCAATCAAAATAATGCCAGTGGGAATGCCTCGTCCCGAGGGATCCCTCTATAAACTTAAAGGATGATGGTTCAAATGTTTCCGCAATAATGAAGGGACTCAAAAGGAACCTACACTCAAAACAGCTGGGGGAAAGTCCAGAAGTTCAATTACACTCTGTTCACTTATGGAAGGGCAGGAGAAAACCTCATTTATTTTAGCATTTTATGTGGTTTCTGCAAAGTTCTTCTCTGTACCAGGCGAAGAAATATAATACTACCTCATATTTGCAAAGGGTTTTCCAGTTAACAAAAGACTTTTGCCACCTGCTGGGTTGTGAATTCTACCGCTAGCCTGGGGTGCTGGCCGAGAGGGTGTGTCCTGGAGTTGAGTGTAGGCTGAAAGAGGAGGTGACTTTCCCAAGGCCACCAAGGTCCAGGCAGATCCAGGGCTTTTGCCATGACTGCTGGACAATCCAAGCTCCTTGGTTTCTAGGATGTTAAGAGCCAAGTTAATGAGGCTTTAAATGCCCATATTAAAAGATGGTGACAGAAGAGGACAAATTCAATGTCATAATGCATTTGAGGCCCTGAGATCATGAGAGTGATATTTGCCAGTCAGGGGTCTTCCTGAAATCTCTGTCCTGCCGTCTCCCACTCTCTTCCTGCCTCCTCACCTGCTCCTCCCCAGCCACCATTGCTGCTTCCTTCTCACCACCCCGAGCCCTGGACACTGATGCCCTGGGCCTGGTCCGTGGACTTCCCTCCTCGATGCTGACGCCTGGGTGCCCTCCTCAGGCTCCACACACCCTAGTCACTCCCAGTTGATAAATGGAAATAAAATCCTAAACCCCTCAACTGACCGAACAGACCCCCTCTTGGCCAAGGAGTCCCCAGGGAAACCTTGAAAACAGAGTTCCCAGCCAGGAAGAGACGGGAGGTCTGTTATGCCAAAGTGTGTCCCTTCTTCATTAACCTTTAACCAGAATGCTTTCCTAAGGAGTAAGCAGAAACCAGCTCTCGATGACTCTTTCCAAGGAACGGATGACTCCTTCTTTCATCACCTTTAGCCAGTCCTCTGAGTCTGCGCCTGAGCTCCTCTCCCTCTTTGCAGATGTGACAGTTGGCCAGTTTCACAATGCACCCCTTCCTGACGAGAGACCACCAGCCATGGAGGGGCTCAGGCCAGTCTTCAGGGGATGCCCAGTGACAGCTTCCGTGTGCTGTGGTTCACCTTTTGACATTAGAGGGCCAAAATCTCCACCTTCGGGTCACCTTAATGCTGCCAGTTTTTGAACATGTGATCCCTGAAGAGGTATGAAGCTCAAATGGGCATGGGCATGTATCTCCTGCTCTCATAAATATTCAGGGCTCCTCTCATAGCTTATTGAATATGTATATTCAGTCTCCCCACTCACTGTACATTCCTGTCTTATGCTTCCCTCCCTCCAAGTGCCTGTTTCCAGCTTATGTCAGAGGCTACGCTTCCCAGCCTGTGGATGGCCACTTGCAGGCTGCAGCCCTTTACGAGAAAGAAAGCTCTTCCAAATCTCTGAACCTCATGGTTCTTCAGTTGACACAGGAGATCCCTGCAGCACTCCCCTCTGTCCTTGGCTGGGGGCTTTCACACCACTGGGCATGTTTGTAGACTGGCAGGGCAAGCCCATATTGAGCCCAGAGCACTCAGCAAATGGCCCAGGTGCCACCTGTGAGTCCCAATCTTCTTTGCCCTAAGGGAGTCGGGCTGCTCCTCCCCCATGGTTTCCCTTGCAGTGGCACCTTGGGGACCTTGGCTCTGGAGGGCAAGAGATGAAGGAAGACCAGCCCCGGTGGACGGCGTGGGGAGAAGTAAGTCTTGTTACATTGGCGCTGACATGCTAAGTTGTACATTTCTGCCCCAGAGTCTGCCCATCCTGCTGAAGGCATGCTCGGTGAGGCCACGACCCTGCCCAGACAAAACCCACTCTCCTCTCAGACTTTTCCACTCAGCTCTGAGAAGCAAACCTGGGGGTCGGCTGTTTCCTCCCTGTTTCTCACTCACGTCGAATCCAGCAGCAATGCTGATGGCACTGTCCCCACCGCATTAGTCAGATCCTGCTCCTTCTCACACCATTGTCCTGCCAACACCTAGCCGAGCCACCCTCATCTGTCCTCCAGCCTCCCAGGGCTCTTATAAGCAAGCCACTGTCCATTCAGCTCTTTAGGAAAGTTGATCTGATGAGGCCAACTGCAGTGCATTCTTGTGATTCTACCTTGTCTCAGCGTGCATTCTGAATATAGGTGTAACTCTCACACCAGAAGCAAAGCTCAGTCACCCTCTCCCGGAGTTCCAGTTCTCCATCTCCTCCCAGTTCCTCAAGGCAGTCGATCAAGATGTCTGCCTTATACCACCACCTGCCAGGGGGCCGTGCCCTACAGGACAGCTGAATACAACCCAAGGACCCCCACCCCCACATGCACTGTGCAGGTCTACACAGCAGTGAACCCACCCCCACATGCACTGTGCAGGTCTACACAGCAGTGAACCCACCCCCACATGCACTGTGCAGGTCTACGCAGCAGTGACCCCCACCCCCACATGCACTGTGCAGGTCTACACAGCAGTGAACCCACCCCCACATGCACTGTGCAGGTCTATGCAGCAGTGACCCCCACCCCCACATGCACTGTGCAGGTCTACGCAGCAGTGACCCCCACCCCCACATGCACTGTGCAGGTCTACGCAGCAGTGAACCCACCCCCACATGCACTGTGCAGGTCTACACAGCAGTGAACCCACCCCCACATGCACTGTGCAGGTCTACGCAGCAGTGACCCCCATCTGCCATCTCATGATCCCACAGAACTCCTGCCTGCTCCAAACCCACCAATTAGAACTCCCTATGGGAAACCTGCCCCGGTAATCTCTTTGATTCCAAAGAAGGCTTTAGTCCCGCAGGTCTCTCTCTCTCTCCCTCTCCACCCCCGACCACCTGCTGGTTGAGCTCCCTGCCGTCTCCAGACTTCCCGCAGTTCCTTGCAGGACCCTCTTCTCTGTGGACCTGGGAGTGATAAACCGCTTCTGTTATTTCATGTGTTCTGTTGTGCTGTCTCCCCCGTGGCCCACCTGACCAACGCACCCAGACCTAACTCTCTGCCGGCCAGGGCTCTCCTAGGGAGTGGCGGTCTTGGTGGGAATAAATTGGACACAGGTCGGACAAGAGCCAAAGGGCGTCTGCCAGGGTAAACGAGTTTCCTGTGAGAGGGACACCTGATCACAGTCAGACACTGAGGCATCAGGCTGTCCGTCAGGATAAAGAAGTATCCCTGAGAGATGCACTGTGACACCCACAGCCACCTGCCCTTGAGCTCCACCAGGGCAGGGCTAGAGTTCACAGCCACCCTCCAGAGAGGGGCCTCCCAGCCAACTCAGAGGAAAATATAAAACCAGTGTAAAACTTCCTCATGCTTCTGCCAGCCCTGCTCACCTGGTGCTCACCCTGCAGCTGGGAGGGCAAGTACCATAAGTCACTGGGCCCGGAATGCTGGGCAGAGGGGGCCTCGGAGGGGCTGAGCTGAATGCCAGGCCTGTGGGGCTGAACTACACCATCGCTTATGAATTAAAACCCCTTCATCGGTGCAATGTCCACTGGGCACCGTGTACAGGGCCTGGCCTCAGCCGTGGGTTCAGGCGAGAAGACACAGGTTTCCCTTAGGAAATCCTGAGCCTGGTGCATTTGATAAGTAGTCAGGTCCATATGGATTTTTCCCCCAAAAAACAATTGAGAAGATGTGGTAATTTGCCCACCACACAAAATCGAGAACTTGTTCAACCCTGGGCCATCCCTGCAGGCTCAGGGGGCTGTCAGGTTTGTAACAACAAAGTGAGGGGAACGCCCTTGGTGCAGCTGATGCTGTTTCGATCAGCCCACTCTCTTTGACTAACGTGTGGAACAAGAACTCCAGGCACCGTGTTAATTTTCACATTATGGTAACCAATTGGATTAATTTGTATTGAATAGATATCATCCTTTGATGGATCCCCTTGTTGAAATTAAAATTCCAGATTAATCCAAAGGAAAATGCCATGAGTAATCGGATTTCCAGTGGAAATGGAAGCGGCGCCTGAGTCATTGAGAAGCTTCCCGATTAGGAGCCATCAGGCCCTGATTCATATCAGACATAAAGTGATGCAATTAGAAACCCTCACACCTAATTACCCATCAGAGCAAACGTGCCGTCGTGTGACACTGAGCCCACGGAGGTGTTGAAAGAGCCGTCACCCGAAGGAAACGAAAGCATTGAGGGTCGTCTCTCAAGACAGAGCATTTCAGAAACAGACCATGGCCGGGGAAGGGGCCACATGAGCTGCCAACAGCCCGGTGAGCACCCAGTATTTCAGTCCTCTCTTCACTCATTGAGCACATCTGGCCCGACCATGGGCTGCGGACAAGATGTGAGATTTTAGGAAAAAGAATAATTTTCCCTCGACCCATCTGAGTTTTCAGCTGTGATGCCTGTAACAAAAGAAAGAACAGCAAGAGAAAAATAAACCCGGCTGAGTGGGGTGGCTCACGCCTGTAATCCCAGCACTTTGGGAGGCCGAGGTGGCCGGATCACGAGGTCAGGAGTTTGAGACCAACATGGTGAAACCCTGTCTCTACTAAAAATACAAAAATTAGCCTGGCATGGTGGGGTGTGCCTGTAATCCCAGCTATTTGGCAGGCTGAGGCACGAGAATCACTTGAACCCAGGAGGCGGAGGTTGCAGTGTGCCAAGATTGCACCATTGCACTCCAGCCTGGGTGATAGAGCGAGACTCCATCTAAAAAAAAAAAAAAAGTTTCCTGAGGCCTCCCCAGCCATGCTTCCTGTACAGCCTGCAGAATCATGAGCCAATTAAACCTCTTTTCTTTATAAATTACCCAGTCTCAGGTAGTTCTTTATAGCAATTTGAGAATGAACTAATACAACTACAGAGAGAGCCGCTGCCTCTGGAGCTCAGATAGACAGTGACTCTGTGGTGGCCTGGACATCTTAGGTGACCGTGCCTGTCCCTGCCTCTGTGGACCATTTCCATGTTGACAGCCTGGAGTCTTTCCTGACCTCTTGGGAGAATCGGCTTATACTGCTCTGTGTCCTCATACATCTGGACCTGCCTCTGCAGGAACCTCCTCAGTTCTGATAGCGAGATGCTCCCTGCTTCTGAAGTTCAAGGAAGGCCCTAAGCTTTTCTGATACCTTGCCCTCAAGCTCTAACCTTGTAGCATGTGGAACTCCCCGGGCCCCCATGGAGATGGGGCATCAGGCTGTGGCCGGGCGTCTGTCTGGAAGATGGGTGAGGGAGAGGCTCGGTCGGCCAGTGCCCCTGAGAGCTCACAAAGATGGCCCTGAGCACAGGGACCCGGTCATCTTACCTTATTCACCTCAGGAGAATGCAAGCTGCATGGGCAGGGAATGGCCCAGTGGCCACTGCACTGCGTGATTGCAACAAGTCCTAGCTGGATGAATGGTTTTGGTAGCCCAGGATACCAATTGGAGAGACGTTAACAATAAGAGGTATAGCCTTGAGGCATAAGGCTCTGCTTCTGCCCTGTAAATTTGGAATCATAAACCCAGCTGTTATGGACTGAACTGTGTTGCCCAAAATTCATAACTGCCAGGACCTCAGAAGATGACTGTGTCTGGAGACAGGGTCTTTACAGGGGTGGTATGGCGGGATGTTTGTCCCCTCCAAGTCTCATGTTGAAATGAGATGATTCCCAGTGTTGAGATGGGACCTGGTGGGAGGTGATGGGGTCATGGGGGCCGATCCCTCATGAACGGCTCTGTGCTGCCCGCGCTGTCATTAGTGAGTTCCGGCTCTGAGTTCACGTGCGCTCTCGTTGTTTACGAGAGTGTGGTGCCTCCCTCCCCTCTCTGGCTCTTGCCATGTGATGCACTGGCTTCCCCTTGGCTTGTGCCATGAGCGGGAGCTCCCTGAGGCCTCACCAGGAGCAGATGCTGACGCCATGTGTGTGCAGCCAGCAGATCGTGAGTCAATTCAACCTCTTTTCTCTATACATTACCTGCTCTCAGGTATTCCTTCATAGCATTACAACAGTGGCCTCACGTAACCTGCGATTGAGGTTAAATGAGGTTGTTAGAGTGGGCCTTGGTCCAGCCTGCCTGGAATCCTCATAAGAAGAAAAGATTAGGAGACAGACACACAAAGAGTGGCCTGTGTGTGGACACAGGGAGAAGGCGACATCTACGAACCAAGGAGGCCTCAGGAGAAACCAACCCTGCCCACGCCCTGGCCTCCGACTTTCAGCCTCCAGAACTGTCAGATAGTGAGTCCCTGTTGTCTGTGCTGCCCGGTGGTGCCGGGTTAAGGCAGCCTGAATTAATACAGCACGTGCAGGGTCCTGGTGACATCACCGCCATGCCACGCTGTAGGTCGTTCGGTGCTGGACACGCTCTGAGGAGCAGTGCAGAGCTGGTGTCTGCAGCTGGAAGAAGCAGTGCCCCTTCTGCCCCCAGGGCTGCTCTCTCTGAAGTGCGGCTCAGAGCACCCTGGGGACGGGGTTTGTCCCTGCATTCTCCACGCGACTGGCACAGGGCTCCACACGCTCCCAGACCAGCAGAATTCCAAGTGATTGGAAGGTAGGTGCTTGCCAGGTTCTGGTCAGCTCCCTGGCCCTCCGTGGTTGACTTCACAAAGTGCTGCATTGGGTAGAGAGCCGCTTGGTGGGGGGAAGGTTGCCAGCTCCCTCTGAGTGGAACCTCTGACCTCATGCAGTTTTTATCTTCTTTTTTTCAAAGACATTGTCAAACCCTAGAATATGCATTGGTTTTCATTTGAACCCCAAATGTGCAGAATTTTGACACACTGTCACCCGAATGCCCACTTGACAGCAGGCACTAAGATTATGGAGCCGGCAGAGTGTGGGGGTGCCAAGGAGGTTCCCCGGGTTACCCTGTGTTTTAGTGCTATTAACATGATTGGAAATTGATAATAACGATGCTGGTGACACCATCAGTGCTGATGTCTTCCACTTCTGCTTCGCACTGGGCCCTGGCCTGGGTGCTTTCTATCCTTTCATGAATGCTTGCAATGGCCTTGAATGAGAGGGTCCCTGGTTTACAGCAGAGGAGACCAGTGTCCTTTGGGATGAAGTGACCTGCCCAAGAACAAGGTGAAGTAACTGTTAAGCTCACCTTGTAAGCTCACCTAAGTAACTGCCCACGGTCACACAGCTTGGACGGTCCCATCCAGCACAAGGAGTGGCACCAAAACTCATCCTTCTTCCCAGCATCCCCAAGTGCTGACTTGTTATGAATTTGCTAATTAAACCCTCCTATCTGGTGTGCTCTCGTGCTGCATCAGGCAGATGAATGGCAGAATCCAAATCGTTCAAGCCATCTGCTCCCAAAATCTGTCCTTTTCATTTTCCATCAACTCTGCATTCATTTCCTGTTCACTTGACAGGAGCAGCAGCAAGGGCCTGTCCATCATCCCCAACCACCAGCCCCTCCTGCTTACAGACCCTCTCAGGCAATTACCTAAACATGCCAGGCAAGAGTTCCTAGAATGAACCAGGCCTTGTTGGTTGTAAGTGACAGAAAGCACAAGAGTATGCTGATGTGGCTCCCCGTGGAACACTGGCAATGTCTAGAGACATTTCTGATGGTCACACCTGGTGGAGGTGCTATTGGTCTCTGGTGGGTGGACACCAGGTGGAGACCAGGGGTGCTGCTCAGAATCCTCCTAGGCCCAGGACAGCTGCCTCAGCAAAATATTTGCCCCACGTATCTGTGGTGCCAAGGTATAGGAGGTTTAGTGAACTCACCCAGGGATCCTCAATACAGACCAAGCATCAATAGTGACTGATGCTGGGTGGGAGATATTTATGTTCTTATTTGGATTTATGCGCATTTCAATTTTTAATACTGAAAATATATTATTTTATTTATTTGTTTTTATTATTATGGTTTTTTGAGATAGAGTCTTGCTCTATTGCCTAGACTGGAGTGCAGTGGCGCGATCTCAGCTCACTGCAAACTCCGCCTCCTGGGCTCAAGCAACTCTCCTGCCTCAGCCTCCTGAGTACAGCCTCCCACCACCACACCCGGCTAATTTTTGTATTTTTAGTAGAGACAGGGGTTTCACCATGTTGTCCAGGCTGGTCTCGAACTACTGACCTCAAGTGATCCACCCACCTCGGGCTCCCAAAGTGTTGGGACTACAGGCGTGAGCCACCGTGTCCCACCCAAAAATGTATTATTTTATAAAGAAAGCACGTTATTTTAAAAATAAGAGGGGAGGGAGTCTGAGACAGTTGGATCACCTGAGGTCAAGAGTTCGAGACCAGCCTGGCCAACATGGTGAAACCTCGTCTCTACTAAAAACACAAAAATTAGCCGGGCATGGTGGGACGCGCGTGTATTCCCAGCTACTTGAGAGGTTGAGGCAGGAGAGTTGCTTGAACCAGGGAGGTGGAGGTTGCAGTGAGCTGAGATCGTGCCTGCCGACAGAGTGAGACTCCATCTCAAAAATAAATAAACAAATAAGAGAGGAAATGTAGACCCACGTATTGCCCTGAGAAGTCATGAGTTCCGGGGCTAGAGTGCATTGCGTTTTGATGTGGGAGATTGCAGGGTGCAGAGCAGTTCCCTTCCTGGTGTGTCAGGAGACCCTTGGCAGCAGACGAGTGACCCGGTCCCTGACCAGACACTAACCCTCCCCCAGGTCCTCAGGCGCTCAGTCCTCCTATGGCCCTGGCCACCTGTTGTGTGACAGCCCGCAGAAGACCCATGTCTGACCTACGCTGCCCTGGCACTGCTGTGGGGCCTGGTTGCAGAGTATTTTGCCCATAGAGACACTGAGTCCATGCACCTGACCTCACTCCCAGGCTCTGTGTGGGCTTAGACAACTGCAGGTGGATGGAGCCTGAACCAAGCCCCACAAGCTCCTTAAAGAGCAGCTAAAATTGACTTAGCTTCTGCACCGACCAGGGCACTCCCTATGGCCACAGAGTGTCCTGTGCCTCCAGGAAACAGTGTATTGGTGAGAAATGCTTCTAAATGCCCTAAATAATTCGTATTGCTAATTCTTGGGGGCCTTGACAGCAGTTTCGCTTTTCTGAACATTTACCTACCTGGCAAGTTTCCGAGTAAAGTTGGTGTCAGAGTAGAAGACCAAGACTGGTATCCCCTCTTCCCTCCTCTCCCATGAGGCTCGTTTCTATCAGACCCACTTGGACTTGCTTTCTACCTTGTTTCCATGGTTATTTTATGATGGTCGGACTGATATAAAACACTTCAAAACCCACATCGGTAGTGGCCCCAGGGCACACAATGCCTCAAAAACTCCCTCTCCTTTAGCAAGGTATATTTTAACTTATTGCTGTTGAAATGCATTCTGGAAATGGCATTCGAAGCAGAAAGGGTCATTTGTCTTCAAGGCAGATAAGGAGAGAGATGTCTGACCACGAGGGCTTAGAAATGCCGCTCCTCCCTCCTATGCACCTGCCTTTTCCCGAAGAGTCCCTCCTCTGTCTCCTCCTTAAGGCAGCTGACCTTGTTCAGCAGGAATGTCCTGGCTGCCGTGGCTTCTGCTGTGTGATTAGCGGTTGTCATCCACCCTGCCTGCCCCGTGGAGAGGCCAGGCCACTCTCTCGTCAGAGAACCTGAGGCCCCTCCTCAATCCTCCATGCATTTGACACCAAACACATGCTAAGCTCCTGTTATCCCACTGCACACCAGGTACCGCACCTGAGCAGGTACTGCACCTGAACACTCAGATACAGGGAGGCAGGATCATCCAGGAAAATGCAACATAGCAGAGGCTGAGAACTTTCCTTGCTTGGAAACATGTGAATTTCACACGTTTTGCTTCCATGTGCCTCACTTGTCTTTTTTTCTTTTAAGACTAATTTTTAGAGCAGTTTTAGGTTCATGGTAAAATGAAACTGATGGTACAGAGAGTTCCCCTTTCTTCTGTGCCCCCAGATATCCACAGCCTCCCTCACTATCAGCTTCCCCAACCATGGTAGTTTGTACATTTTCATTGTGATTGCTGGACCTCTATTGAAACGTCCTCACCCAGAGTTCATTGTTTATATGAACATTCACCCTCGGTCTTGAGCATTCCATGGGTTTTGACAAATGCATAATGGCGTGTGCCCACCACTGCAGTGTCAGACAGCATAGTTTCACTGCCCAGGAAATCTTGTTTTTCTCTTAGTCAACCCTCTCCCAATCCCCAACCTCTGACAACTCTTGATCCTATTTTATAATTATTTTATTTTTTAAGAGATGGGATCTCACTCTGTTATCCAGGCTGGGGTGCAGTGGTGCAATCATAGCTCACTGCAGCCTTGAACTCCTGGCCTCAGGTGATCCTCCTGCCTCAGCCTTCCAAGTAGCTGGGATTACAGACGTACACCACTATAACTGGCTAATTTTTAAAAATTATTTTTGTAAAGATGGGGTCTCACCATGTTGCCCAGGCTGGTCTTGAATTCTTGGCCTAAAGAAGTCTGCCCACCTTGGCCTCCCAAAACTCTGGGCTCTGATCCTTTTATTGTATCCATTTCCAGCATGTCATATAGTTGAACTCATACAGCATGTAGCCTTTTTAGACTGGCTCCTTTCACTTATTAATATGTATTTAAGTTTCCTCCATATCTCTTTATGGCTTAAGAGCTGATTTCTTTTTAGCACTGCATAATATTCCATTTTCTGGATGCTCCAAAATGTATTTACGCATCCATTGGCTGAAGGATGCCTTGGTTGCTTCCATGTTTTAGTGATTGTGAATAAAGCTGCTATAAACATCAGTATGCAGGTTTTTGGGTGGACATAACTTTTCAATGAATTTGGATAAAATACCAAGGACTGTGATTGCTGGATCATATGGAAAGACTGTGTTTAGCTTTTAGCCCTATTTTTTTTTTTTTTTTTTTTTTTGAGATGGAGTCTGGCTCTATCACCCAGGCTAGAGTGCAGTGGTGTGATCTTGGCTCACTGAAATCTCCACCTCTCGGGTTCAAGTGGTTCTCCTGCCTCAGCCTCCCAAGTAACTGGGATTACAGGTGCCCGCCACCACACCCAGCTAATTTTTGTATTTTTAGTAGAGACAGGGTTTCACCATGTTGGCCAGGCTGGTTTCGAACTCCTGACCTCAAGTGATCCACCCACCTTGGCCTCCCAAAGTGCTAGGATTACAGGTGTGAGTCACCACATCTGGCCTGAGTTTAGCTTTGTAAGGAGCTCTCAGACTGTCCTCAAGATGGCTGCCCCGTTCTGCATTCCGCCCACAGTGATGAGAGTTCCCGCTGCTCCAAGCCCTCGCCTGCACTTGGTGTTGTTCATGTTCTGGATGGTGGACATTCTAATAGGGATACTTCATTTGTCTTTCAAATCAGAAGATGGTCATTCGCCAGTTAATAATTGGTTTCTAATGCAGAAGACACCACTGTTTGTTAGACTCTGTCATGCTGGAAGTGCACCCAGGACACTCTGCAGGGATGGGTGAACGCCTGAGGAGAGGTCTTCAGCCCAACCTGGGACCCCCTTGGGGACTTCCTAGAAGGGCAATGCCCAAGCTGAGTCTTGGAGAATGAGAGGAGTTAAGTATCTGCTTTGATTTCTTTTTTTTTTTTTTTTTTTTTTTTTTGAGATGGAGTCTCGCTGTGACACCAGGCTGGAATGCTGTGGCATGATCTTGGCTCACTGCAACTTCTGCCTCCTGGTTCAAGTGATTCTCCTGCCTCAGCCTCCCGAGTAGCTGGGATTACAGGCGTGTGCTACCACTAAATTTACAGGCGTGTGCCCAGCTAAATTTTGTATTTTTAGTAGAGACAGGGTTTCACCATGTTGGTCAGGCTGGTCTCCTGACCTCGTGATCCGCCCACCTTGGCCTCCCAAAATGCTGGGATTACAGGCGTGAGCCTCTGCACCTGGCCTTTGATTTCTGCTTCATTTGCCAAGGCCCCTCCTCTAATTTCCTTGGGGCTTCATTCAGTATTTAGGTCTAGCCTTAGAAATGGTACATTTCCGCTCAATTTTCAAGACCGGCTTCCACACCAATGCCCTGAAAGTTTCCCTGTCCCTGGCCTGGGCAGTGTCCCCACGCTCTGGGCTTCTATGCACTTTGCCTTTGCTTCCCTTTCTTTCCGCATCAGCATCACACTCACAAACATCAATCTTCCTTTCTAGGTCTGAGCTACAATGGGTGGGGACAGAGACCACAGCCCAGCCTGTAACACTCACCGCACAGCTCAGACAGGTCCAGGCCACAGAGACTGGGGACCTCTCTGCCTCAACAGGCTTAGCTCTACCCTGCCTTTGACATTTATCGGCTCAAGAGAAAAGAGCTCCTTGCAGACCCGACGCAGGCACAGAGCGATCTGGGTGGGGTCAGGTGGCGGAGGATGACCAGCAGGGGCCGTCGCCACACATGCTGGGTGCACAGCCCAGGCAGACGGGCAATCAGCATTTCCAGACTCTCATTAATTGAGTCCATGTTTTTCATATCTCAAGTCATGTCTGTCAATTTTAAGTCCTAATTGTTTCCCTTGAGTAACTGCAGAATGTACTTTCCCCAAAAAGTAAAACTAAGTGTAATACATCTTTCATTTTTCATGTTAACTGGAAATTTTTTCTTAAAATGATAATAGAGACAAGGAACTCTCCTCTCAGCAGAGATGAGGAAGGCCAGGCTGTTTTCTGGGAGGAGGGAATAAGGTCTTAATAATGAAACCCCTCACCCCTCTCAGCCTCTGTGCAAACCCTGCCCCTCTCAGCCTCTGCGCACCCCGCGCCCCTCTCAGCGTCTGTGCACGACCCCCCAGCCTCTGTGAACACATCTCCCGCTCCTCAGCCTCTGCGTGCCCCCGGGTCCCCCAGCCTCTGTGCATCCCTGCTCCTCCCAGCCCTGTCCCTCCCAGCCTCTGCACATCCCCCGCCCCTCCCAGCCTCTGCACATCCCCCGCCCCTCCCAGCCTCTGACATCCCCCGCCCCTCCCAGCCTCTGCTCACCCCCTGCCCCCTCAGCCTCTGCACACCCCCCCCACCCCCCTCAGCCTCTGTGCACGGCGCCACCCCTCTCAGTATCTGTGCATGACCCCCCAGCCTCTGTGAACACCCCTCACTTCTCAGCCTCTGTGCACCCCCTGCCCCTCCCAGCCTGTGTGTACCCCCCGTCCCTCCCAGCCTCTGTGCAAACCCTGCCCCTCTCAGTCTCTGCACACCCCCCGCCTCTCTCAGTGTCTGTGCATGACACCCCCAGCCTCTGTAAACACATCCCCCGCTTCTCAGCCTCTTTGCACCCCCTGCCCCTCTCAGCCTCTGCGCACCCTCTGCCCCCTCAGCCTCTGAGCACCCCACCGCCCCCCTCAGCCTCTGTGCACGGCGCCACCCCTCTCAGTATCTGTGCACGACCCCCAGCCTCCGTGAACACCCCCCGCTTCTCAGCCTCTGTGCATCCCCTGCCCCTCCCAGCCTCTGTGTACCCCGCTGCCACTCTCAGCTTCTATGCAGCCCCCCTGCTTCTACTGACCTCCTCTTTGTTCTTTGAATCCTGGCTCTGAGCACCACTGCCTCTGGGCATCCCTTGCGCTGCCCTGTGCACTCTCTTGCCCCTCCCTGGCTCTGGCTGAGGCCTCACTTGTGCAGTTCTCTCCTGGCCACCCCACCTCTACTGGAGACTCAGCGTCAGATCCACGCAGCAAATTGCCTACTGGCTAGCTCTCCCCTCTACACTTCTGTTTTAATTGGTGGAATTATCCTTTGAGGAAGCTGCCAAAGATGGAGCATTTGGAAGCTGCTGTCAGTGCCTCTATTAACCTCACAAACAACATTCTGCGGGCTTTTGTTTCTGCTGACTCCACCTTCAATTATCGCTTGAATCTCCCCATCTCCTGCTTGAATTGAGGGTCTTCTGGTCTCTAATTGGGGCCACTGCTGTGTCTTCCTGGAGGTTCTCTGTCCCTGAAGTCACTTGCCCTCCTCCTTCTCCATCCCTCCATGTGCTGAGCACGATGGGAAAGCCATCCTCGGGCTTCCCTTAGTGGGGTGGGAGGGCCTCAGCTCCACTCCTTCAGCCTCACCTGCCACTCTTCTGGAAGTGCCCTTGGCCTTAATGGGGCCATTCACCACCCTCCCTCCCTGCCCCAGCTCTCCTCACCAAAAAACCCAAACCAACAAAACCGAGTCCTCCCACTCACCCCTGTGTCCTCAGCTCTCTGCAGATTTGCCCATCCGTTCCCTTCTTAGAAGACACACTTCCCATGCCTCGTGTGCCTGAGACATCCCTGATGTCTGTAAGCACAACTCAAGTTCACTGATGCGATCAGCTGGGCGACTAGGAGACTCAGGTTCAATCCGTGGACAACTCAAAACGCCGTTTGGTCTTTGGCAGAGAAGTTTCCTCTAAACCACCCGAATCACAGTCTTGGCCACTGGTTCTTCAGGGACTTCTGTGGCCCAGATGTTCAAGAGCATTTCCTGACTGTACTTGCCTCCCCTCAACTCTGTACGTTTGTCTATAAAACAAAAGAAACCTGATTGGACATCAGTATGTGGAGTTCTGAAACCCTGGAGTAAAGCGGGTATTTTATAACCCAGACGGGTTAGGCACATTTCTCATTGTCAATAAACCATTTACACATTGAAAAAAAAATCTACACATGGATGTCTGATCATACTATTCAATGTAAAGTCCTAAGAGGGAAACATAGAATTTTGCTTTTTTGGGAGCCTCTCATTAAAGAGTTCTTAAAAGCTGTAGAATTTATCATTTGGAAACAGACCTGTAAGACTGTATAATTGATCCTAACAAGGAGAAAATGTTTATATACACACACAGCATATATACACACACAAAGATATGTATATACACACACAGAGATATGTATATACACACATAGATATGTATATATATCACATATAAAAAGTAAAATATCTATATTATGTAAATATAATATATATCTATTTTCTAGCAATGAACTGTATTTAGATTCTAACTGAATATGTGCCACTAGTTGTGGGAGAAACTCTTATTTGCCTCCCAGATATTCATTTTTCTGTTCTTTCTTGCTAACAGAAGTGTGTGTTGGGAGAAGCAGTGAGCCTGCCAGAATGGCTGTACTTCTTGAGTCCCTCTACAGATAGGGCTGACCTTGTGATCCATGTGGTCAATGAGAGGTGAACAGACATCACACGGGGATCCCAGGAAATCGCCTTGCTCCGTCACTTTTCTCTTTTGCTCCTGTTAGATGTAGCTGGGATGGCTGGAGCAACAGTTGCCACTTTGAGGCCTGGAGGGAAAGAAAAGCCCTGACATCTCTGAGTTGCTGGGCCAGTGCCAGACACCACCTACCTGTGAACATCTCATGAGGTGAGAAAGATAAACACCCTTTGGTTAAGTTACTGCTTGTTGCTGCTGTTGTTGTTGTTGTTACTCATAAGTGGACAGAAATATCACATTAATTGTTTTTGTTGACTTGGGTTTCTATAAAAAAATAGCATAGACTGGGTAGCTCAACCACAGACATTTATTTCTCACAGTTCTGAAGGCTGGAAGTCCAAGATCAAGGTCCAGCCATGATATGGGTTGGATCTGTGTCCCCACCCAAATCTCATGTTGAATTGCAGCCCCCAGTGTTGGAGGTGGGGGCCTGGTGGGAGGTGGTTGGATCTGTGTCCCCACCCAAATCTCGTGTTGAATTGCAGCCCCCAGTGTTGGAGGTGGGGGCCTGGTGGGAGGTGGTTGGATCTGTGTCCCCACCCAAATCTCGTGTTGAATTGCAGCCCCCAGTGTTGGAGGTGGGGGCCTGGTGGGAGGTGGTTGGATCTGTGTCCCCACCCAAATCTCGTGTTGAATTGCAGCCCCCAGTGTTGGAGGTGGGGGCCTGGTGGGAGGTGACCAGATCACGGGGGTGAAGTTCCCATGAACGGTTTAGCGCCACCTCCCTTGGTACTGTATAGTGAGTGAGTTCTCGTGAGATTTGGTTGTTTAAAAGACTGTAACACCAACCCCCTCTTTTTTCTCGTTCCTGCTCTGGCCATGGAAGACCTGCCTGCTTCCGCTTTGTGCCTTCTGCCATGATTGGAAGCTTCCTGAGATTCCTGAGGCCTCCACAGAAGCAGAAGCTGCTAGACTTCCCATACATCCTTCAGAACTGTGAGCCAATGAAGCTTCTTTACTTTATAAATTACCCAGTCTCAGATATTTCTTTATAGCAGTGTGAGAACAGATTAATGGAAGCAGCTTTTTGTTTCTGGTGAGGTCTCTCTTTCTGCCTTGCAGACAGCCACCTTCTTCCTGAGTCTTCACAAGGCTGAGAGAGAGAACTCTCTGGTGCATTCCTATAAGAGCACTAATCTCATTGTGAGGCTTGTACCCTCATGACCTAACTAGCCCTAATCACCTCCCAAAGGCCCCACCTGCAAATGCCATGATGTTGGGGGTTAAGGCTTCCACATGTAAGTTGCAGGGGGACATAACACCAGTACACAAGGGATGCCCGTTGGTTTTTGATGGAGGTTTTAACAGGAGCTTTCTTTGTGGTCAGATAATCAGGCAGAGCTTTTCTGCTGGATATTGTTGCTGACATTTATGTACATTTTAATATATTAAACATTCTGAGCATTCTATAGTAAAAAAAAAAACCCAAACATTTATTTATTCCAATTCTTTTTTCTTATTTTTCTCAATCACAAACACTCCGGCAAGGTAGCAATTTACCATTTTGGAAAATATTGAGTTACAGGAACTACTGGTAGATGGGAAGGTTACTAACAAACCCTGGGTAATATTTTAAAAGGCAAAAAGCATTCCTGTGAATTGCAGTCTCTGTGAATTAGATGCTTTATTTTGGAGAGGTGGGTGGGAAGTATTGGGAATAACAAAAGATTATGCCCTTGAGGCAGACAGCCCATGGCTGTCAGGGCGAAGGTAGGTTTTCTTGAGAACTGAAGCTGGAAGGAAGGTTTGGAGGGATGGAAATGGAGCAGGAGGAGGCTGGAGAAACTAGGAAGGCCCAGACCACACAGGCCTGCTGAGACACATTGCGGAGTTTTGGCCTTTTCCCTAAGAGTAACCCATGTGTTTTAAGCAGTCAGGGAGAGTGTGTTCCTATTGGCTGCTGTGAGGATGATGGACAGGAGGGCAGCAGGGGACACGCATTAGCTCCCCTGTCATCCCTCTGCCAGCACCTCCCAAGAGCAGTTTGTGCTAGGTGTGGGAAGCACAGGAACAGAGAGAACCTGGGGTTAGTTTGAGGCAGGAATATAGAAAACATACTAGAAGGGGCTCTACTAAAATCTTAATGGTAATTAATTCTGGGTGGTTGGCCATGTGAGATTTTAACTCTATTTCTCATGGTTCTATAATGCTTCAAAATAAGCATGAAGTCATATAGTCTAGAAGAAATTGATAAATATTATTTTAAAAGCATACTTTTTGGCTAAGCAATTCTTGACTTTTTTTCTTAAGAAATAACCAGAAGGTCAGACAGAGATGGTAAGGTGAGCACACGACCCAGCCTCTTCTGAAGACACTGCTGAGGAGGGAGGCAGAAAGTGCCCCAGCTGGGGGGAGTGCACAGGGAAGAGTCCACATTTCAAATTGCAAATGAGACGGTCCCATCGGGTCAGTCATCTTCCAAGTTGCACGTGGACGGATTCAATGATCCCAGCTATCCCCTCCCGAAATTAAACTGATGAGCAAATGAAATGCAAGCACAGAGTTTGTGGAAGGAATAAATATTCCTGTTGCGGCCTGTGGACAGTACAGTCTGCCTTTATGATCAGCATTATCTGTCGAGGGAATCAGCGTTAGCCTGAGCTGATGGAGGGGCGCAGGGGAAACACTTGCACCTCGCGAGCGAGCGGCCGCACTGCACAGCAGCCTGGCGATGGCCAACGTGCCTTAATTACATTATGCAAAACAAAGACAGGCTCCCGGCTGCTGCAGCCCTGCATCCCAACAACGCAGATATCTTGGTCCACATCAGAGCCATCCTGTCACAGATGAAAAGGCAAATACCTTTGGACACCTGGACATTTCATTTCATTGATTTATCACCCAGAGGTTTACTGAGCACCCAGCAGGTCCCGGCAGCGTGCCAGACACCAGGAGCGTGGAGGAAGCCAGACCTCTGGTGCACAAAGCAACGTGCATGGAGAGTGATGGCTCTGAGTTGGGGGCTGGGGTGTTCTGCAGCCCCTCTCTTGGGGGCATTTGAACTGAGGAGAGGTCAGGAAGGGCCTTCTCTGGGAAGGGATGTTTGAACTCAGACATAGAGGATGAGAGGGAGCTAGAAAGTGGGTGACAAGGGCCACTGAGGGAGGAGCAGCCAGGGCCCCACCCTCCCAGGTAGGAAGAAGAGCAGGTGTGCAGGCTCACAGGTGAGCTCAGCGTGGACTGGTGGGCCAGGTGTCACTGCGAGCTAAGGCTGCATAGCCGGGCAGGATGGCCCCTTGCATACTTAGCATTTTCTCCTGAGAGCAGAGGGCTTCTGGTAAATGAGGACACTCCCATTCTGGCAGTGTCAGGAGAGTGGTTTCGGGGAGCGTGGGTAGTAGGGAGAGCAGTGGGGAGGGCTGTAATGCTGGGGGCTGGTGCCTTTAGCCTTTGTGCTCTGCTACCCTCAGAGCTGATTCCATCATCTGGCCCCTGGTTCTCACAGATGGCAAGGCACTGCCAGAGTCTGAGAGCTACATGCCTTCTTCTTCATGTGTGATGGGAAGAGAGGCTTTCTCTGGTGCAGAAGCAGAGTTCATTGTCTGTATCTGATGGAAAAGGGAGGGAAGAAGGAACTGCTCTGGCCTGAGCTCCCCTGAGTGCCCGGGCCAGCGGTCAGCCAGGCGGGTTGGAGTCCACCATGAGCTCCCCTGAGTGCCCAGGCCAGTGGCCAGCCGGGTGGGTTGGAGTCCACCATGAGCTTCCCTGAGTGCCTGGGCCAGTGGCCAGCCAGGTGGGTTGGAGTCCACCATGAGCTTCCCTGAGTGCCCAGGCCAGCGGTCAGCCAGGCGGGCTAGAGTCCACCATGAGTTCTCCTGAGTGGCCAGGCCAGTGGTTAGTCAGGCGGGTTGCAGTCCACCATGAGCTCTCCTGCTGCAGCCTAGTGCCGGGCTTTCCGTGGAGCACTCCTGGATGTTGAATGTGAAAACTACCTGGAAATGAGAAAGCAAGAATTTAGCTGAATAATTCTCATTTTTTTCCCTGTAAATTGACCAAATCGAGTCAAAACATTTTGTTGGGACCCCAACCAGTGGATTAGCCTAAACGCGGTCTGCAGCCACTATTCAGACTGAATGAGGCCACTTTTCCCCCCAGAAGGATGTGTGTGCATGGGGTCACAGTCCTGCGAGGGAGACCTGGCCGCACTGCAAAGAGAACAGAGCTCTTCTCTGCAAATCATCCCCGGCTCCGTTGCGACTGGCTAAGAAACCTGAGTAATAGAATTTCCCTTGTAGGCAATGCTATTACAAACCAAACAAATCACACTTTCAAGTAATAAGATTTTCTTGTAAGGAGCCAGGCGTTAGGCGACTGGCCTGGTTTTTTGTTTTGTTTTTGTTTTTTTTTTTTTTTTTTTACAGAAATCACTGTTTTCCACAGTGGCAAGGTTTTAAAAAAGGTTTTGCTGTGTGTGTCGATTAGTGGACAATGAGGTTCAACATTCTTCATGCTCTCATCAAACCGGTAACTTCCTGGTTCTTGCCATGCAGCCTACAAATGTGTCTCCAGCCCTCGCTGCTGTGTGGGTTTGCCATCTCAATCAGAGAACTGCAGATCCTCCTGGGTATGCAGCGAAAGCTGTGAGTTTTTCATACCTGCCTTTTTCCTTTGCCATGTGACTTCAGGTGTTCCCCTAAACTTCAGTTTCCCATCTGTTAAATATGCAGGTTGGGCAAGCTGCTCCCTCATGTCACAGCTTTGATTTCTGGTTGTCTGTCTGATGGGACAGGCAGCCCTGGCCTCCTCCTCCTTGGCCTCAGGTCTGGGAATAGAGGACATGGGTAACTGAGAGCTGCTACCGCTTGGCAGCCGGGGTGATCCAGCCCTGTGGGGGTTCATGCCCGGGGGAGTCAGCAAGCCCGGGTGGAGGTGATGCTGGGAGTGTACCCGGTAAGATGGCGAGGACCATCTTCTCCCACATGGGCAGGGCAGTAAGGGTCAAATCAGGCAGGGGTAAGAATTAGTCTTTTTTTTTTTTTTTTTTTTGAGACGGGGTCTTGTTCTTGTCACCCAGGCTGGAGTGCAGTGGCAGGACCTCAGCTCACTGCAAGCTTTGCCTCCCAGGTTCAAGCAATTCTCCTGCCTCAGCCTCTCGAATAGCTGGGACTATTCGAGCACATGCTCCACACCTGGCTAATGTTTGTATTTTTAGTAGAGATGGGGCCCATGCCACCACCCCTGGCTAATGCCGCCACACCTGGCTAATGCCACCACCCCTGGCTAATGCCGCCACACCTGGCTAATGTTTGTATTTTTAGTAGAGATGGGGCACATGCCACCACACCTGGCTAATGCCACCACACCTGGCTAATGTTTGTTTGTATTTTTAGTAGAGATGGGGCACATGCCACCACACCTGGCTAATGCCACCACCCCTGGCTAATGTTTGTATTTTTAGTAGAGATGGGGGTTTCACCATGTTGGCCAGGCTGGTCTCGAACTCCTGACCTCAGGTGATCCACCCACATTGGCCTCCCAAAGTGCTGGGATTACAGGCGTGAGCCACCGTACCCAGCTGAGAATCAGTCTTTATAGAGAGAGGGCACACTGGCCAAAGATGGCAGGAAATGACCTGGAGTTTAAAAGCCATTGTGGAGCTTTCCCCAGCAGAGGGGAGCCCTCCTTGGGAAGGCACTTGGTAAGTGGAGAAGCACATCAGAGGCCTGCAGCAGCCTTGGTTGGGGGTCACCCTCCTGATATCAGATCAATGTGCCCTCTGTGTGCCTGGTCAGGGAGTCAGCATTGGCCAGGGCTGGAGAGAACACCAGGAGGGGCAGGAAGCAGCTCTGGGCTCCGTCATCCCCTCAGCGTGTTTGCTGAGCTCTGTTCTAGAACCGAGGGCAGAGAGGGGAGGCAGAACCTCCCCTGCCTCCTGGGAGCCCCTATCTGGGCTTCACCCACTTATTCAACAAATTCACTGAGCACCTGCTTTGTGCTGGGCATTGCTGAGGGTCCTGGGGACACAGAAGTGGGCAAGTGAAATATGCCAGGCTCAGAAGACAAATGCGGGGTTGCATTTGCATATAGAATGTGGAAGACTGGGACTCGTAGACACTGAGGGCAGCATGGTGGTCACCAGGGGCTAGGGTAGGGGTAGAGAAGGGTGGGGAGATATTGGTCAAAGGGCAGGTAGGCTCAGGACCCCGGGAGGAGAATGGCCTGGAGATCCATCGCACAGCATGGGGACCATGGGTAACAGGGCTGTGCTATGCACCTGAGGTTGCTGTGGGTAGATTTTCAATGTTCTCACCACACAAAAAAAGATAAGTATGCGAGGTGGTGGTTATGTGAATTAGCTCAATTTAGCCATTCCATAATGGGTATGAATGACAAAATCTGTAGTGGCCCGTAAATACATTCAATACACTCTTTTTTTTTTTTTAAGTTGGAGTTTCCCTCTTGTTGCCCAGGCTGGAGTGCAATGGCACGATCTCGGCTCACTGCAACCTCCACCTCCTGGATTCAATCAATTCTGCCTCAGCCTCCCGAGTAGCTGGGATTACAGGCATGCGCCACCACGCTCAGCTAATTTGTATTTTTAGTAGAGACAGGGTTTCTCCATGTTGGTCAGGCTGGTCTCAAACTCCCAACCTCAGGTGATCTGCCCTCCTCAGCCTCCTAAAGTGGCATGAGCCACCACGCCCGGCCTCAATAAAAAAATTTTAAAAAGAAATGGGCAAGGTGAAAGAGCCCTGCCCTCGTGGGGTAGAAAACACGATGACCGTAACAGCAGAAAACAAAACAAAACAAAACAAACAAAAACAGGAAAAGCAGTGGCTGGTGTGTGCCTTGTTTACACGAGGTGGGCTGGAGTCTCCTAGAGTCTCAGGGAGTGGCGGGTGGCCGGGAAGGTGATTTCGGATGGGCAAGGAGCAGCTAGCCCTGTTGAGATGCGAGGAGGAATGTTCCAGAAGCAGCACAAAGCCCTTCGTGGGGAGTGGGCTTTGCCTGTTTGTAGGAGCAGAAGTGAGGGAGACACGGGGTCCGGGGAGTTGCACAGGAAACGGAGCGGCCTGCAGGAGGCAGCTGAGGGCTCCCTAGGAGCGCAGAGCCTGCTGAGGGTACAGAGGGAGGGGTGATACCTGGTTGAGGCCCCAGCACTCCCCTGGCTGCGCGGGAAGAATGGAAAGTGGGGTTTGAGAGAGTGAGGGCAGAGGGACCAGCAGGAGTCTAGGTTGGAGATGGCATGGCTGAGACAAGGATCTTGGCAGTAAAGACAGAGAAATCAGAAAGGGGCTTGGAGGTGGAGCTTTTAGGGTGTGTTCCTTCCCGGACATGCTACCTAGGTGGGAGCAAAGTGAGTTATTCAGGGAGGACACCTGGATAAGAATAGGGCTGAGATGGAAAGGTCTTCAGGGAAGTGGGGAGCAACCCGTGATTCTCTTTCTGCCACGTGGCCTTTGAGCGTCCTAACAACATGGCCGTGGATAGGAGCCTTCTGCTCTCTTCCAGTGCGCAGCAGAGTCTGCTCCCCAGCCCTCCATCCTGGGCTGCTTCCCAGCTTGCTTGGGCCAAGAGCACGTGCAGAAGCGACTTTGTCCAAGTTCCAGGCCTGAGCCTACCGGTGTCTTATCCCCATTCCTGCCTTCCTCAGCTGCTCCTGCCACTGAAGACACAGAGTCAGCCTCGGTGAGGGCGAGAGATGGGCTGAGCCAGCCCAGCCACCAGCCGCATGGGCACCACCTTAGGTGAACCCGGCCCCATCAGCTGCAGGGGGACACAACTGCCTGAGCGATCCCAGGCTGACCCAGGAAATACTGCCCCACCGAGCCCAACCCAACTGCTCCCCCTCACGACTGTGGTCCAGGGATATGGGTGTTGTTTTAGGTGGTTTGTTCCACAATAGATGGTCGATACAGGTGTTCATGTGGAGACACTGAATGGGCAATTGGTCATAGCAGTCTGCAGTTAATGGGCAGAGATCAGGTCTGGTTTGTTTGTGTGTTTGTTGAGCGGCTACTTTGTGCCGCCTCCATTCCAGCTACCAAAGACGTGAGGGTCACGGGCAGGACACCGTCTCTCTCCACACAGTACATGGATTCTTGTGGAGAGACAGGAAGAAGATGCTCACACATGCGAGGCCATTCCAGACAGTGGCGCAGGCTCCAGGCCTGTGCTGTCCCCCGCAGGGCCACCCACCATGCATGGCTCAAGTGCCTGAAATGTGGCCAGTCTGAACTGAGATGTGTTGTCAATGGAAACCACACACAGGATTTTAAAGACTTGTTAAAAAAGTCAAATATCTCATTAAAATTTTTCTATATTCATCACACATTGAAATGGTAATATTTCGGACATGCTGGGGTAAATAAAATATATCATTAAAATTAATTTCACCTAGTTGTTTTTACTGACTAAAAAATCTTTTTAATGTTAGAGTAGATTAACAGAGAAGTTGTGAAGGTGATAGAGTCTTCTGTACCCCACACCTGATTTCCCCTATTGCTAACATATTCCATTCCAGTGGTAGATTTTCCACAACTAACGAATTAACAATATTTTAATAATAATCTGTATTGTTAAACTTAAATAATATTCATAACTTTATATAACTCAAATATATTAATATTTGAGTTATAATAATGTTATGAATATTATTTAAGTTTAATAATAGAAATTATTAATTATAAAATAATTATATATTTATATATAATTATATACAATTATATGTCAAATAATTGCATATCATTATTATATTATAATTAATTATTTCATAATTAATAATTTATCAATTATATACAATCATTATATTATATAATAATATAATAATATTAATTATCAATAATAGATCAATAATATATTAATATAATTATATATTATTATGTTAATATATAATTATATTATAATTATTTATTTCTATTATTAAACTTAAATATATTCATATATTATTCGTATATCCATGTATCATTGTAATATATATAAACTAATTACATATAATTATATTTATATAATATAAAATTGTATAATTATGTAAATATAATATAAAATAATTATATAAATATAATACAATATAAAATAATATAATTATTGACATATGTTAAAGTTATATATTGCTATATATAATTATATATTTCTAAGTATTATGTATTTTAATATATTATATATTTTATATAACTATATGATAGTTATATATTATAATAATATAATATATAATAATATAAATTAGTAATAATACTTGAGTTATAATAACATGCATTTTTATAACTCAAACTCATAATTTGTTCAGATTTTCTTAATTTTTATTTTTTTTTAAGAGGTCTTTTTCTTCTCCAGGATTTGATACAGGATGACACATTGTATTTAACTGTGACTAGTCTTTTTACCTTTTAAAACATTTAGACACTAGACAATTGAAGGTCACACATGAGGTCTGCATTGTTTCCATTGGACAGCGCTGCCCTGCAAAAATCAAACAGGAGAATTGAGTAGCGGTGACGAGGGTGCTCTTAGAGAAGCCCAGAGCCTCCTCCGAACACGTGACCCTGGAGTGCGGGTCCGACAAGGAGCGGCAGACAGCTGTGGGACGGGGGAGTCTTGGAGAAGAGGGAGCTCTTGCTGTCTCCAGGCACAGCAGGTAGAAAGAGGCAGGAGGAGAGGGTTTGGTGCATTCCAGGAACCGTGCAGGTGGAATGAAGCCAGCTCCAGGGCTGGGGGCTACTCACTCCTTCCCCCTTCAAACAGTCCGCATGCGTGTCCTGGGCATCCACCATGGGCCAGGCACCAGTCCAGGTGCTGGTAATTTAGTGGGGATCATGCAGTGCCGCCCACCTGATGGAATGATCTAGAGGGTGGAGAGAAAGTAAACATCAAAGAGCATCTGTCAGGTGGCCGTCGGCCTCTGGTGGGCAACTAAGCAAGGATAGGGGTTGGGGCAGAGGTGGGTGGGGGCCGCCCTTTCCTGTAGAGCGGTCAGGGAAGGCAGGCTCAGGGCGGAAGGTGGAGAAGGATCCTGATGAGCTGACCCCGTCAAGTGAGTCCTTTAGAAGGAGAGAGTTTTCTCAGGCTGGTCCTAGAAGAGGAAGCCAGAGATTCAAAGCCCGAGAGGGCTCTGACCTTAAAGATGGGGGCCCTTGTGGTGAGGAACGCAGTGGCCTCTAGGGTCCAAGTGCAGCCCCTAGCTGACTGCCAGCAAGGAAGTGGGGACCTCAGCCCTACAGCCTCAGGCAACTGGATTCAGGTGGCCAACCGAACCCATGCTTCAGCGTGGACTCTTCCCCAGAGCCTCCAGGGCTTTTTAAATCCTAAATTACACCCTACAACCTCTTGCTCAAAGCTTCCTGTGATTCTCCATCTCAGGCAGGGTGGAAGTGAAAGCTTCACACGAGTCTATGAGGATCTGCAAGGTTGAGACCCCCATTTCCTGCACTCTTCTCCTCATTCACTCTTCACCAGCCCTGGCTGTCCCTGGAGCACTCTTGACATCCCTCTGCCACGGGGCCTTGGCGTGGGCCATTCCTGCTGCCCAGGACAGTGTCCCTCCACTGTCCACATGGTTATTACAACCGCAAGTCCTTGCTGGAGGATCATCTCCGAGGGGCCTTCCCTGCTGCCCAGGACAGTGTCCCTCCACTGTCCACATGGTTATTACAACCGCAAGTCCTTGCTGGAGGATCATCTCCGAGGGGCCTTCCCTGCCCTCCCGCTGTGCTGTCAACACCACCCCTCGTTTCTTCTTGGCTCCTTCCCTTCATCGCGTATAACCTACTGATGCCCTATATAACTTGTCTTTCTATATTTTTGTGATTAATCTCCCTCCACTAGGATGTAAACTCCCTGAGGGCAAGGCAGTTTGTCTGTCAGCACTGAGAACAGTGCCTAGTTCATAAAATACCAGTATTTTAGATGTGGACACAGAATGTCACGCTATAGCCCCTTAGCAGCCTGTCGCAGGGGCACGGATCTCAGAGTTGGGGTTTGCAGCCCTGGATCCCGGAGCCTGGTCAGCCACCGTGACCTGTGTTACAACCGAAGTGTAGTTTTGGGGGAGTCAGGTCTCTACTGATGTTGTGGGAGTCATGTCTACACAGATAAACCAGATCCCACAGCCAACCTGGAGTCAGCTTCCCTGAACTGCATGCATTGTACATGGGAGAAAAGACAGAATCCAGAGCTAGACCAGAGATGAACAGGAGGAGGCAGAAAGACACGGAATTGGCTGCCATGCCTAGGAGGATCGCAACCCTGGAAATGGGAGCAGACACCCAGCCCTGGTGAGTGCTGCCCTCTGTGGATGCCCCAATGCTTGGCATCGCCTGCTGGATGGGAAACCCTGGAAACACCTCTCGGAGCTCCCCCATGGCCCCTGGAAGCTGCCCAGGCAGTGAAGGCCCCTTCCTCATGCCAGGCCTGCAGGGAGCTAATTCCTAAAGAGGAGTTGAGGTGCTGTCAATGGAGAGACCAAGCCAAGCAGTGTCCTTTTGACATTCGCAGCCACCCTTGGATCTGGTCCCGTCTCTCCCTCCCCAATCCTACTTTATTGCCTCTCGCAAAATTATTTGCTTTATTCCCCGCTAAGAAACAAGGTAGCCAGGCTCCGTCGTAGGCTTGGGGAGGAGGGGGCAGTCATCTGGGTATATAAATGGCTTAACGGCGCCTTTCCCACGCCTTCCTAACACGGAATTGAGGCCAATTAAATACCTGTTGTGTTGTGAAACACTCTCAGGATCATTCTGATTTTAAGTATTTATCAGGTCTTTTTAGGCCTCTCTGAGTAGCACTAAAATGAATAAGTTGCCCACGAGAGCACCATTCTGTGAGTTTCTGTGTTATAGCCCAAGACTCCTTGTTAGTGGGCTTTTAAATCGCTCTCTAAGCGCTGCCAGCAGCTGCCTGTCTGGAATAAAAAACCTCAGGAAGGAGGAAGCCCCCGGCTGCACCACGGTTTCCTGGAGCGAGCCGGGCAGGGGGCAGGTGGGGGCAGCCATGGTGCTGGTACCTTGGTTTATGGACTTCTCAGAAGGGTTTGGACCTGCATGCAATGAGGACAGAAAAAAATGCTGCCAATCAGTCTCTTTCATGGTAGAGGCCATGTACATCAGGCTGGAACATAGATGGAGTGCGGCTAGGCCCCCAGTAAGGCTAATATATGGACTTGCTCACTGCCAGCCTCCATTTCCGGGGAATATTTAATTGTTTAGAGGAAGCGTCTTGCTTAAATATGACTCATCTCCGGAACACCATTTTGTGGAAACAGAAAGTGCTACCCATTTCCCCGGTCTCCATCTCACCACTGAGATGACCTGACAAGAGCCGTCTCCCAGGTGGGCTGTGGGGATGTGACTTGGACAGAGTCACATCTGTCCCCCGTGCCCAGGCCTAGTGTATTGGAGGCCACTCTGCGCGCACTCCCCCGAGCTTCTGAGGGTGGTCATGGTGATGGGGGCCAGAGTGAGGACCCGCAGGCCAGCAGTTTGGGATGAGAGGAGGGGACTCGGGGCTGCCATCAGACTGCAGTAGCCTGAGGAGGGGTCCAGGTGGGGCCTTCCCTTGAATTGAGCAATAGTTTCTAAATTGTGATGTGGGGAGCCTCTCAGAGCCCCGCGGAGATGGCAGGAAAGGGATGGGCATGAGTCTCAGATACAAACCCCCTTCACAGCATTGGAGGAGAGATGCTGTCTGTTTCATCCACCATCGTATTTCCAATACAATTGTTCTCCCTTCTCTTTTGTTTTTCTTTCCATGGTTTCAGTTACCCATAGTCAACCAAGACCCAAAAATATCAAATGGAAAATTCCAGCAATAAACAATGCATAAGTTTTAAATTGCAGACCATTCTGAATTGCATGCTTAAGTTTCATGCTGTCTGCCCCATCTTGCCTGGACGAGAATCCTCCCTTCGTCCAGCATCTCCAGGCTGTGGGCGCTCCCACCCTCTCATCACTTGGTGGCCATCTGGGTTATCAGATCCACTCTTGTGGCTTCTGAGTGCTTATGTTCAAGGAACCCTTATTTCACTTAACCATGGCCCCAAAGTACTAGAGTAGTGATACCAACAATTCAGGTACACCAAAGAGAAGCCGTAAAGTGCTTCCTTAAATGAAAAGGTGAAAGCTCTACACTTTATAAGGATATAAAATAATTGTTTGCTGAGGCTGCTAAGAACTAGGGTCAGAGGGAATCTTCTATTAAAGAAATTGTGAAGAAAGAAAAAGAAATTCATGCTAGTTTTGCTGTCACACCTCAAAATGCAAAAGTTACAGCCACAGAGCATGATACGGACTCAGTTAAAATGGGAAAGACAGGAAATCTGTGGCTGGAAGACGTGAACAATGTTCCCATGGGTGGCTGTCAGGTGCGGTGCTGTCTGAGATTTCAGGCATCTGCTGGGGGTCTGGGGATGTGCCCCCCACGGATAAGGGGGAGCTATTGTACATTGTGACAGTGTACAATATCACATAGTGGCTGCTGAGTTAAAAAGTTAAAAAATAAAAAGGTTCTATTGTTTAAGGGCTTTTTTTGAAGCACGATGTTCGCAGTAAGCTGATGGTTCCTCCTGGATGGGCCAGGGGACAGTTTTTGAGGAACGGGTATCCGTGGGTTTCTGCTCTGTCATGGGGGGTGGGTGGTCCTGAGAGCAGCTGGAGGCCCTGGGCCCCACCCTTGGAGGCTCCGGCCGAGGTGGCCTAGGGGAGAGTGTGCCTGGAAGCCCATCCTAGTTTGCCTTTCCCGCTGGGCACCCTTGGGTTCCTTCCCAAACAGCCTGTGGCCCTTCACGAGAGGGCGAGGCCAGGCAGGCCCCCTTCTGGATTCAGCGGTGAAATGTCCAGTCCTTTGGACGGCCACTGCAAGCCGGCGTTGGCCCCTTCAGTGGCTGCTGTGTCCTCACACCAGGAGCCACTCCTTGGAAAATGGCCACTGTAAGGAAGAACCACAGCTGGTGGCTTCAAGCAACAGAAAGTTACTGTCTTAAAGTCCTGGAGGCCAGAAGTCCAGGCTCCAGGGGCAGGAGGGCTGTGCTCCCTGGGAATCCTGTGTGGAGGAGCCCTCCTGGCAGAGTCTGGCCATCTGTGGCACTCCTGGCTTGTGGCTGTGTGGCTCCAGTCTCTGCCTCCATCCTCACGTGGCTTCTTTTGTGGTCTCTCTCCACATGGCTGTTCTCCTGGCAAAAACATGAGTCATCTTGGATTGGAGTTCACCTACTCCAGGACGACCTCACCTCAACTAATTCCATCTGTAGTGACCCTGCTTCCAAATCAGGCCACAGGCTGAGTCCCTCAACCTATCTTTTGTGGGGAGACACAATTCATCTTTAGGCTTTATAACATGCACTTTCCTCATAAAACTAATGCATATTCTCAGAGTATTTTTCAAAGATGGAAAAAAGCATAAATACCCATAAACTTCTCCCAGATAATCAATAATAATATTTTTGGACAATATTGGAACATGCTTTATATATACTTCTGTTCCCTTTTACTTTCCTTTTACTTTTTTTTCACGCATTGAGAATTTCTCCATGTTGTCAAGTATTCTTCAAAAACAACCTTTAAAAAAAACCCACAGACACCGTGGAATACTACACAGCCATGAAAAAGAATGGAACCATGTCCTTCACAGCAACATGGATGCAGCTAGAAACTTTTATCCTAAGCAAATTAATGCAGGAACAGAAAACCAAATACCACGTTTTCTCACTTGTAAGTGGGAGATAAACATTAGGTACAGATGGACACAAAGATGGGAAAAATAGATACTGGGGACTCCTGGGGGCAAGGTAGAAAGAAAACTACCTATTGGGTACTATGCTCAGTACCTGGGTAACAGATTCACTCATGCTCCAAACCTCAGCATCACGCAATATAACTTCATAACAAACCTGCACATGTACTCTCCAATTCTAAAATAAAAGTTGAAAAAAAGAAGAGAAAAAGAAATTCACAGAGTAAAAGTACAAATCGTCAATACACATAAGTAAAAGTGCACAATGTCACTAATAATGGAGAAATATAGATATGAAAATATTTGAGTCATTAAATTGGTAAACATTCATTGATACTTTCCTCTATAATTAAGGATGTGAGTAAATAGCAACTTCTGCATAATGATGATGGAAATATTAATTGGTGAATCCCTTTTGGAGCTCAATTTTTAAATTTTTATCAAAAATATTAAGCATTGGTACTATTCACATAAGTATTATAATTTTAGGAATTAATCATTAAAGAAGAAATAAAAATCCTCATTAACGCACCAAAAAGATGAAGATGTAGGTCTGCCAGGCTCAGCACTGCGGACAATATCATGTGAATCGGATATGAGTGTTTCCCAGAGGAAAGCATGTACTCCATGCCTTCCCTCCCTGCTGCCGAGGACCTGAGGTCACGTCCTCTTTGCTGTGCCCCTGACTGCCCCGTGCAGCACCCCCAGCCCGCAGCCCCCACTTCACTTGAGGTTTCTGTGTCTGCCTGTCTCCCTAGACCCTGTTGTTCAGGAGGGAATCAGCAGCCACAGCTCACAGCTCTGAGTTCTGACCATCCAGCCAGGGACCACCTGGGCCGGTGCCCGTGGAGGCTGCAGGAACGACAGACAGAAAGCACGCCGGGCAGCCTGACTTGCTTCTAGGAAGGGGCTGATTGGCTATTGTGCTCGGTGGTGGCTCCCCCGCCCTGGAGCTCGGCTGCTCCCTGGGAGGCTCCTGTCTGCCGGCACTGAGTGGGGCCGAGGCACCCTGCGGAGGCAGATGGGCTGGGGGTGTTGATTTGACCTAACGAGCTGCAGGGATTGCCCCGAAACATGGTCTTTTCTTTCTGACATAAACACAATCTGTTTCCCCAGAAGTGCTGCCATAAACAGACACCAGGCATCCCAACCAAGTCCACAACACGCTCCAGATACTGTGCCACTTGAGCTCCTTTCCAAGGATTTCTGGAAACATGGAGCAGAGAGGGCCCATCAGGGGACCTTGCACAGCTGTGCACCTGCTGCACGGCTCTGCCCCACACGCACCCCCTTCCCATGTCCTGTGCCAGCATCTGATCCCGCCGGCCCCCTCAGAACCGCAGGTGAAGCACACCATTCTGTCCCACACACAACTCAGATTTTGGAGGCCAGGACTCTGCTTCTCTCAGTCTGCGTCTGCCAGGCACAACATCATAAGCCAAGCACCTTTGTGAAGAGACAGAAGTTCAGAGAGGTCAAGTCACTGCCTGAAGATCACACAGATAGAAGGTGGTGGAGAAAGGGTCAACCTAGGAGTTTTTGCTTCCTTGAGTCCTTAGTGTGAATCAAAGAGGTCATCCAGCCCGGGGCTTTTCTCACTGAAGACACTTCCAGATCTTTCTAGAAAAAGTGCAGAGGCTGTGTGCACAGTTCTTTGCCTTTTCCCTGTGCGGCATTATCCATTTTCCTCATTAAGTCTTAGCCTATTAATAACCAGCCATTTGTCTTAATTCAATAAAAAGATGATTGATCATATTTGCAACGGTTTCATCGAACCCCTGAAGGTGATGGATGGGTCCTGCAATGAGGAAGCCTCCAGAAAAGCCACGTCCTTGTGCTCACTTCAGAAGCGGCTGCTTCTCTCTCTGTCTCACCAAACACTTGGGACAGAATTTATTTTTTAAAATATACATTTAGTATCCTCGAGGATCAATGCAGAGAAACACTTTTCCTTGACATACTGGTTCTGAATCTTGCATCTCAGGATTAGAGGCTGAATTGGGGTCGATTTCCATGGAGGGGCACTTTAGTTTACCTTTCATTACATTTAGTTATGAGCCGCAGAACCACGTGTGTGCGCGCGCGTGTGTGTGTGTGTTCCTGGGAAGAGGGGGTGGTTGTTTATGTCTTAGAGATGAGAAAATGAGGCCTCAGCTGGCGATGAGTGAAGCTGGACTCACCTAGAGTCTAAATGCAATGTCCTTCCTGGTCGCTGGTGGAGGAGGTGATCCTACAGGAGCTGCTTCCGCAGGGGACACGTCCTGATGCATGCACCTGCGCCCACACCTGCTCATCAGCCCCACACCCTCCTGAGGGAGGCTGCCCACAAGCCCGTGGCCTACACTCCTGTGCCGACAGGCCCCCTACATCGTGGGACCGGGGCTCCTCACCAGGCATCTCCAGGCCTCCTGATTTGACCCAGTCCGGCCCACACAGCCCCCTCTGGCTTCCCACCTTATGCCTGCGCTCTGTTGGACCTATGTGCCCCTCCAGAACCCTCCATTCCTGGGGCTCTACTCACGACACTTCACAGCCCCTTCAGGGCATCTGCTATGGGCTGAGTGTGTGTGTCCTGCAGTTTCACATGTTGAAACCTAATCCTTAATGCAATGGTATTAAATAGTATTAAAAGGTGGGGCCCTTGGGAGGTGATTAGGTCCTGAGGGTGGAACACTGGTGAATGAGGAGAGTGCCCTTTTAAAAGAGTTCTGAGGGAGATCCCTCAGCCCTCTACCAGGCGGGGACACAGCAAAGAGGTGCCGTCTATGAATCAGGAAGCGGCCCTCACCAGACGTTCTGCTGGAGCCTTGCTCTTGGACTTCTAGCCTCCAGAACTGTGGGAAACCAATGGCTGTTGTTCATCGGCCCCTAAGTCTATGGCATTTTGTCATGGGAGCCCCAACAGTCGAAGACAGCCTGCGATGGGCCGGTCATTCCTTCCCTCTTAGAGGTGTAGATCTTGTTTGTGTCTTAGAGATGTGTCTTAGAAGTCCCTGGGCTGAGGATTCCAGGAACCACAGTGCCTCAACTTCAGCAAACGGCACACACCCGGCCACCCACCCATCCCTGGCCCTCTCCTTTCCTCTGCCTGCCTCCAGGTCTGGTCAGGGGGTCATGCTGGCTGGCCCACTGTGGTAGCCCCATTCACCATGCCAAAACCAAAATGTCGAGAGGTCAGAAGGGACAGCAGTGAGGCCGACCTGGAGCAGGCTCTGCCTTCTGGGCCTCCTGCGTAGTTTCTCTTGGCCAGGTCCCTCGTCGCGGGAGGACATTACGAACACGCCTCCTTTGAAACATCACCTGAAGACTGAATCATTTCATCCCTTATTTTAGCCAATATCTCAAAACCCTGGAAAAGAGTTCTAATCAATAGGCTGTGAGGATGATGAAAACCTATTACCAGGAAAGAAACACATTATTAGGGAGATCAAAGGATAATAGGGCTCTAAGCAGAAGAGGTGGGGGGTGTCCGGGCCTCACCGGGTTGATGTGGATGAGTGAGCCCTGTTCTTTTCTTCCTTTGAGAGGATCACATGTTTAAGTGGACTCTCTTTTATGTACATTTTCTTCCATTTATGTCTCTGAAGATGAAATCAAGAATTTTCATTACATTATGTATATGCAAGTCTGTAGAACCCATAAGCATAAGAACATCGGAGTGGATTTTTTTGTTTGCTTCTTTTGTTTTTTGCCTTTTGGCTCACAGATGTGTGAGGACGTCTGCCTGCCTTCCAGAGCTCTGTGCGTGAGGACACAGGGACAGACCCAGCCGTTCTGCATGGCTGCACCCTGATGGCGTCCACTCCACATCCTCCAGAGTGTGGAGGGAACAGGGTGGGCCAGCAGCAACCCCATACTCAGAGCGTGCTGTGCCAGGGTCTTCCTCCTGGCTCTCCCATGCAGCTCCATCCCACAGCCTCAAAACTAGGGATTCTCAAAAGCCCCCCGCAGGATCTAGAGATAAGCAAGCTTGGGTCTTCCTTGTTCCCGAAGGAGGGGTGCAGAATTCACGTCAGAACTGGGCTTCTCAGCCCATCAGCTTGAGCTCCTGGTAGAAGACTTCAGACCCCAGATCACCAAATTCTAGGAGGGGTTGGGGTGGGAATATCGATTAACGGAGGACAGGAAGAGGAAGGAGGCCTCATCTTCCCTGAGAGATTGGACAGGGTTTGCCAGAGAAGGGGATGCTTTCTAGAACACTGAGCAGGGAAACAGAGTTCTGGAGGGAGGAATGAATTTCCAGGTTCACCACCTGGGCCATGGCTGGACTGATGCTTAGAGAAGCCACATTTGACAAAGAAAAATACAGGATATCAGCTAAATTTGAATTTCAGATAAAAAACAACTTTTTTTTTTAGTATATCTCAAATATTGTTAGAGGCACACTGGTAGTAAAAAACTACTTGTTACCAGGTGTGGTGGCTCATGCCTGTAATCCCAGCACTTTGGGAGGCCGAGGCGGGTGGATCACCTGAGGTCAAGAGTTCAAGACAAGCCTGACCAACATGGTGAAACCCCGTCTCTATTAAAAATACAAAAATTAGCCAGGCATGGTGGCACATGCCTGTAATCCCAGCTACTCAGGAGGCTGAGGCAGGAGAATCACTTGAACCCGGGAGGTGGAGCTTGCAGTGAGGCAAGATCACACCACTGCACTCCAGCCTGGGCGACAGAACGAGACTCCATCTCAAAAAAAAAACAAAAAAACAAAAAAACCCCCAAAAACATAAGTACTTGTTATTTATCTGAAATTCAGATTTAACCACGCATCTTGCATTTTATTTGGCAGCCCCACCTGTGGCTGCTACGCCCAGCTCTTCGTCTCACCGGTCGTTCATTTATTCACAAATGAACTCATTTGCTTACAAAAGTTCTATAATTTGCTAGGCACAGGGCCAGATTGGGGAGGAAGGCGGGGTCCCTCTCCCTGCTTACGTTCTGCTGTTGATGGTCCATCAGAGCATTTGTCTCTCACTGTGCGTTACACATCAGGATCACCTGGAGGTCTTGTGCTGTTGGCAGGACAATGGGCTTCCAAAAATGTCCAAGTCCTAATCCCTGGATCTTGTGAACATGTGACCTTACGTAGCAAAGGGGACTTTGCAGATGTGATTCAGTCAAGGACTTTGAGATGGGAAGATTACCCGGGTGCGCCCACCCTAATCACACGGGTCCTTACGTGGGTCAGATGACGATGTGACAATGGAAGGTCAGAAGACGCGAGGCTGCTGGCTTTGAAGGTGGAGGAAGGTCCGTGGGCCAAGGAAGTTAAAAAAACACGAGGAAACGACTTCTCCCTTACAGCATCCAGCAAGAAACGCAGCCTCCCAACACCTTGGTCTTAGCCCAGTGGGATCCCAGCCTACACAACTGTAAGGTGATGAGCGCGTGCACTCTGCAGTCACTGAGTTTGTGGTCATCTGCTCCAGCAGCTGCAGAAAATGCAGCCTGTTAAAGTAGATTCCTGGGCCCCAGCACCTGACTTCTGAATTCTATAGACCGCAGAGGGGCCTGAGAATCTGCATTTCTAGCACACTACAAGGTGGGACTGATGCTGCTGGCCTGGGACTCCCCTTTGAGAACCTCAACCTAGAACAAAGATGGTAGAAAGGGGCAGCTATGCTCCGTTGTGCAGGGGACGGAGGGGATGACGATCCTGTTCTTGGCTGACAGCGGCCCTTCTAATGGTGGGGTTGGGATTCAGAGTCCCTTGCATGCATGATATGGAAGGGCTGCTGCAGGGCCCAGGCTGGGACACTCAGTCCCTCCAGGTACCAGAGGGCCTTGTAGGGACCATCTCGTTTTCCAGCCTCATTTGCAGACATGGCCCCTGAGTCCAGAGAGTGGGAGGGACTTATCCGGGGCCCCCTGGACAGGCGGTGCCAGTGTCTGCACCAGAGCCTGAGTGATTTCATTCCAGGGACTTTTTCTAGGCCTCCAGCAAGAGAGAACGGAGGTCCAGGTATGCAGGGAGAGAGAGTACAGGGAGCCTGAGCGCTGAGGACCCCACAGCCTGCGATGTCTCGGCCACATCACAGGCAGAAAGCGCACGGTGGGTGGAAGGAAGGCTCTCATTGTGCCTCAGGATCCCTGGCAGCTCTGGCACGGTCACCCGTAGCTGGGACACAGCTCAGCCTCCAGTCCCAGCCCTGCCTGACGTGTAATGATGGTCGAGAGCAAGCAGAGAAGTGGCAGCAATTTGTAAATCATTATGCCCCGTGAGAAGCCCAGGCTCCCAGAGGGAGTGAGCTGCCCAAGGCCAGGCAGTGGCAGGTGGTGAAGCTGGGGGCGTCACTTGGGCCACCTGTCCCACATCTGGCCTTCCCGCCCATCCCAGCAGCCCTCGGACGGTGACAGGGAGGACAGGCTTGGCTGCAGCCGCACACATTTCATTCTCATCTCCTGCCGATCTCATTCCCTCCCCTGCTGGGCGCTCCTGGCAGTGAATTTATATATAACACGGTGCCCGCCCCTCCCAGCCCATTCCAGGAGAAGCCTCTTTGAAGGCAAAATAGCTTCCAGAATGATCGTTCACTAAGAGACATTCGTCAGTGAGATGTCTTCCATAAAACTGAAATATCAGGAAATCGCACGCACGTGGGCCAGGAGCTGGGTAGCGGCTGTTTCAGCCCAGAACATGGGCCACGCAGAATACAAGCGACTGTTTTTGATAAATTAGACCCCAGTTTACACTGTTACTTGCTTGTTGGAGAGAGTGAAATGGCCATTCAATCAACATCCTGGCTCCCAGGAAGGCAGGGACAGTGGCCTCATCCCCAATCAGTCACCAGCACAGCTGCAGGCCGGCTGTCGGAAGGGCCTGGGCCCACTCCTGGCGCCCCAGGGAGAGCCGGGCTTGAAACAGCGAGTCAAGGTGACAAATGGCGCCTGGGAAGTTTCCAATCATGGGAATGGGGCCCATGTACCAGAGCCCATCCCTAGCCTACCTGCTTGGCCCTTGGCCTTCCTTGGAGGATCTCCTGGCCGGGGAGAAGGGCCGCTGGCTGGTGCAGGCAGCCGAGACATGCCTGTCCTCTAGGAGGAGGCAGCCACGTCCATCAGGCCCTGAGCCTTGCTTGAGCACTCATGAGGGCTGTGATGGGAGACGGGGTGGATAAGGAGGGTGGCTGTAATCTGCGCCTCCTGAGCAGTTCGGGGCGATGTGCTTTGTCTCCTACAAGCCTGAGATCTCCTTTGACCACCCTGCAGAAAATGAAACCGCATCTCCAGGCTCATCACCTGCCTGAGGCCACATCTGGGTCTGGAGGGAACTCTGGGATCCAAACCCAGGTGTCCTTCTTGAATTAGCAGCCAAACCCCTAAACGGCCCGGCCTCGGCTGGCCCGCACTTCAGTTATGATCTAAGTCATGAACGTGGTCGCAGAACTGGATCTAGATCTAACAACAGCAGGTTCAACAGCCCATATTTGTGAACACTTCCCGGTGGGACAGTCTCTGCTGAGCACTTGGCTGCATTCACCCCACTCAGTCCTGTCGAGACGGGGACTCCTGTTAGGCTGGAGAAGCAGCCAGGCTCGGCACAGTCGATGAACTCGCCCTGGCCAGGGGTAAGTGGGCAGCAGAGTCAGGCTGGGGACCAGGTCTGATGATAGAAATGTCTCTGTGTTTGGCCACTGCACCTTCTGCTGCCGGTAGGCCCCAGACTCCCAGGTGGGGACGACTGAGCCCCTCTGCCAGGTAGAGATTTCCATCTGCGGTGGTGGGAAGGGCTGTGAGGACCCCAGTGCACCCACCCAGAGCTCCCGAGGGTGCAGACACGGGACCCGTGCCAAGGGTTGCTCCTTAACAAGGTGGCTCCAGACACGAAGTCGGTACCTGGTGAGCTGCTCTCACCTCTGATTTTGAACATGCTTTATAGACATCAGTTAAGTATTGATTGATAAACGAATGCATTAAGATCCTGAGAAATGACTCCGGGCACAGAAGTAATGACTTGTTACGGTGAAAAATACAGCTTGGAGGCACAGTGATTTCTCGCCCATCGATGGCCCTCGGTTCTGTACTTGCTCTGGGCAGGAAATAAAAACAGGCGGGAGCAGGATTGGCTGAGACCTGCAGAGATGGGATTTTGAGTTCTGAAGAGCAACTGGACCTGTGGAGTAGAGGAGAGTAGCCTCCAGCTGCTGACCAGCCGCTGATCGGATGCTGCACTGCGGCAGAACGGCCTCTGCCTTCTGTGCCTCTTGCCTCTGCCCACTCCTGCTTTGCTGGTGACCCCTCTTCTGCCAGCCTGGCAACCCCTTTCTGCCAGCCTGTCTGAGGGTGAGCCTGCCCTAGGCTGCCCAGTTCTCTGCCCTTGTCCCTCCATACCCACCATCTCCCCGTCCCGTCTTCGCCCTGCCTCCCTGCAGCGACCCTTGATGGAGAGGGTCCACCCTGGCCACCCTGCCCTCTGCCCTCCATACTCCCACCCACCAGAGCACCATCTTCCTGGAGTCCACGTCTTGCTCCCTGTGGTTCCCCGGGCATTTCCACCCAGCGTTCATTCCAGGCTCGCCCTACCTCCCTGTCCTGTCTCAGATGAGAGCCTGGGAGCCACTGGCGGCTGTTGATGTCTGCCTGCCCGTCCCTCCCTCCCTCCTCCCGTGGTCAGGGACCCCTCAAGTGCATATTAGTTCAACACCACGCCCCTCGAGGGGTGCTGTGCCGTGCACTCCACAGGCAGTGGCAAGGGGGTGGGGGTGCACAGTGAGGGACCCAAGCTCTCCCGGTGGCAAATGACCTAATCACAGGAACCTGTGGGAGCCTGTGGGAGAAGCAGCCACAGACGTGATCGGAGCGACTGCGGTGGGGCAGCCCCCAAATAAGGACTCACAGACGTGGTCGGAGCGACTGCGGTGGGGCAGCCCCCAAATAAGGACTCACAGACGTGATCAGAGTGACTTGTGGGTGAAGTGCCCGAATAAGGACTCATGACACGATCTCCACTCCCCATGGAGTCTCCGCAGGACACACAGGCGGTCAGGCTGAGCTCCCAGGAGGTGAAATGGCCCTGCTTACACTGGCCATGGCCTCCCTCCTTCCTGCCTTGCCAGCCCCTCGCCGGCCTGGGGTCCCCACACATGTCTGCTGGCACAGCCCTGTCCCCTCTGAACTCCCTTTTTCTTCCTTTCTGTTGACTCAGTGCCCCCTTCCGCCTGGGCCGTGCAAGGACCCTGGGCTCTGTCCTCTCACCTCCTCCCGGTCTGTCTCTAGCTCCCATGGTGATGTCTTTGTTGGGTGGAAGCCAGCCTTCTGGGGTGAACCTAGGTCCTTGCTGCCCCAGTGTCTGGTTACTCTTTGCTGGACACATCCACCTACATTTTCCTGGGACATCCTTCCCCCCACTTCTGGTCCCTGAAGCTGGGGAAACACCTTTCCTGGCAGGTGAGGCCTGAGTGATTTAGACCCGAGCAGCTCTGGACATTACACTCCTCCAGCCACACAGAGATGGACGTGAGGACTGGGTACACAGAGGGGACACACGGAAATGTTGGCCAGGGCCCTGGCTTTCCCTCTGAACTTGTCACTGAGAGGACAGAAAGTCTCTGGCTCCTGCTACCATCTTGTCAGTAGAGGGCACCCAGACACCCTACACTGGAAGCTGGAAAGACAGCGTGTGTGCCTCCATCAAGCCATACCTGAAGCCTGGTCTGCACTTGGACTTGTCACTTCTGTGGGTTGACAAAGGCCCTTTTGCCTCAGTGAGTTCTCAATTGCACCTGTACGAGTATCAGTTAGTATAGGCCACCTAAACCACAGACTTGCAGGCTGGGAAGGAGGCTTACCTCCTCCACCTGCCTTCCAGAAGTACCTCCCCAGCTGAGGCACAGCTCCAGGGAAGGGCCGGTGGGGATAGACCATGGGTCAGGACTGCCTTGGGTCAGGACCTGGGATCTTGCTGCAGCTCTGCTGACCTGTAGAGAAATGCCTGGCCTGTGCAGGCTCCCAGCAACCATGCTGCAGAAGTGGGTCTGGCCCATCTTGAAGACTCTCTTCTGCTGTGGCATTTCCTGGTGCTGGAGGAATGAGTGTCAGCTGGTGCTCTCTGTCTGGTCTGAAAGGTTGATATGAATTGTGCACTTGATTTTGGCAGTTGACTGTGCTGATTCTCCAGCCCTAATTATAATGAGCATGAGCATGAATGTCTTGAAATATAGACGCATACGAGCTGCCAAATACGGTGAGTCATCATATTCCCAACTTTCAGGCAAGCTTAGGTGCCAGGGGAAGCGACCTATACATCAAAGAGATGAAGTCCTGGTTTCTGCGGGCGGGGGCGGGGAGAGGGCTGGGGAGCTGTTGGCTCTGGGGTGGGAGCGCATATTCCTGTCTGTCAGATCAGAGGATGCCTGAGAGGTGACAGAGATGGGGCTTTTTAGTCCTGTGAAATTCGAGATAGGCCTGACAAATCATCTTAATAAAAAGTTCTCTGAAGAGAATAATTGGGGGAATTGGGTGGAGTCCTGGCAGCTCCCACAGGTTGGCAGGTGCCGAGGGACAGGCGACACTACCACCCCACGGGGAGTGCAGGCACGTGTGCGTGAGCGTGAACACGTGTGTAAATGTGTGTGTAGTTAGTGTGTGCATGTGAGTGTGCATGTTGTGAGGATGTGTGTGTGAAGGGTGTTTGTATGTGAACGTGTGTGTGTTAGTGTGTGCATGTGAGCTTGTGTGTTGGGTGTGTGTGGAGGGTATATAAGTGTGTGTTAGTGTAAGCATGCATGTTGTGGGGGTGTGTGTGTGGGTGGAGGGTGTACAAGCCTGCATGAATGTGTATGTGAACATGTTAGTGTGTGCATGTGTGTGTGTTGTGGCGGTGTATGAGTGTGTGTGGAGGGTGTATAAGTGTGCATGAGTGCATGTGTGTGTTTTGTGGGGTATATGTGTGTGGAGGGTGTATAAATGTGCATGAGTGTGTATATGAACATGTGTTAATGTGTGCATGTGAGTGTGTGTTGGGGTGTGTGAGTTGTGTTGAGGGTTTATAAGCGTGCATGAGTGTGTGTATGGACATGTGTGTTAGTGTGCATGTGAGCGTGTGTGTGGACGGTGTGTAAGTGTGCATGTGTGTGCAAACATGTGTGTTAGTGTGTGCATGTGTGCATTGTGGGAGTGTGTGTGGAGGGTGTGTGTGAACGTGTGTGTAGTGTGTGCATGTAAGCGTGCATGTTTGTGAGTGTGTGAAGGGTGTATAAGTGCATGAGTGTGTGTATGCGAACATGTGTGTGTTAGTGTGTGCATGTGAGCGTGTGTGTTGTGGGGGGTATGTGTGTGGAGGGTGTGTGTATGTGAACGTGTGTGTAGTGTGTGCATGTAAGCGTTGGTGTTGGGTGTGTGTGGAGGGTGTGTAAGTGTGCGTGTGTGTATGTGAACGTGTGTGTTAGTGTGTGCATGTGAGCGTGTGTGTTGTGGGAGTGTGTGAGAGTGTGTGGAGGGTGTATAAGTGTGCATAAGCATGTGTGACCGTGTGTGTGACTGAGCTTGTGTGGCCCTGCACAGTTGTGTGTGCTTGTGTGCTTTTGCATGTGCAGGCATGTCTGCAGGTGCCGTGTGTGTGCTCACCAGGGACTGGCCCATGGGTGCATGTGCATGTGTGTGATGTGGGTGTCCAATGTTGGGGAGACTCTGGACGCACTGACCCTTCTGTGGGCTTCTGCGCGGCAGCCTAGACTGTGGGTGTGCCTAAATAGGTGAGGAGGGCTTCATGCACAGCTGCCTGTGAAGGTGTCTGGAGCTGGGGCCCCCCAGTCAACACCAGGGTCCTGGGAGGGCCAACAGGGCCACGGCTCCCCTCCCCAACTCACAGCTGTGTCCTGTGAGGCTGCTGCACGGCTGGCTGTCCCGTCCACCTTCCTTTGTCCAGCCTGTGTCTTCTCCGCTCTTGCTTGGTGAAACCTGCAAGGCCCATGGGAGCTCCGCCTTCTCCATGACGTCTTGTCTACAAGTCCCGCAGGCCTCTCTGCAGCCCGGCCACGGTGCTTGGCGTCCTACCAGGCGCTCTCCCACTCTGCTGTAACAGGGCCCCTTGTTTGCGGGGCTCCCCCTGTGTGCCTGTCCATCACCTCCCACAGGGCAGGGTCAGCCAGCACCTGGCACGGAACAGTGTGCACTGCAGCGTCCATGCTGAGGACGGACCTCGCTCTCACACCCTCCAGATGGCGGCGTGTTTTGAGGACTTGGATCTCAGCCATCCCTGAGGCAAGGGGGGCTTTGTCACTCTGAACGGGGGAGGTTTCTCCCTCCTCCCGCCCAGCTCTCCAAGTGACCCTGGGCAGGTCCTTCCTTGGGGTCGCCTCTGTAGGATTGAGCTGGATCCTCCCTGAGTTCCGTCTCAGAGAAGCTGGGTTATGCCTCAAATTTCCCCTGGAGCTTTCCAGAGCCCCTGGATCCTGCCAGTGTCACCCCCAACAGTGGCCAGAAGGCGGAATGAGAGTCCTGCTGTAGTTCCTGGGCCCGATATTTCAGGAGATTCTGGGCAAACCCCACAGCCCTCACCTCATTCCTCTCAGCCCCAATGGGGCATGAATCCTCCCAGCTGGACCACAGAGCCATCGGCAGCTCAGATTGCTGAGCCAGCCCCCACGGAGCCAGGGAGGAATCCGGCAGCCAGTTCCAGCCCTGAGGAGGATGAGGGGCAGGCTCATGGAAGGATGGAAGGATGGAAGAGAAAGGAGGGAAGGGGAGCTGGGCTCTGGGGCTTTTGGCTTCTGCAGCCATTTGGACAGAGGTGAGAAAACTCAGAGGAGAACAGCGTGGTGTGGGGTCAGTGGTCCACTTTGGGGCATTGCATGGAGACTGACAGGTGTGTACCCCAATCCTCAACCCCCTTCTTCTTCAGCCACAGAGGTGGCCAGGTGCCATGTCTAAGAACTACTCTGCCAGCTCCCTTTTCAGAGGGTGGCAGCTATAGAGAAATCAGCAGAGCCATGGGTGGGGAAGGGGTGTCTGGGCAAAGCCCCCTGGGGGCTGACCAGGCAGGACCAGCCCCCTCTGCCTTCTGGTCTCACCTTCTTCCTGCTGCCCGGAGCAAGAATGCGACTGCTGCAGCTGGTGACCAGCGGTGACATGGACAATGGCCCATGTGAAAAAGGTCAGAACAGAAAAGATGGACACAGCCTGGTCCTGGTGACCATGGAGTGGCCAAATCAGTCTCTGACAGCTGGTCCCAGACTTTTCTACAAAAAGAAAAATGAACCTCTCTGCAATTCAAGCCCTTGCATTGCACCTCAATCTAATTGCACCTGATACAGACCTGTTCCTTTGGAGGGCCTTGGGACACATGGAGGGGGTCCATCGCAGACAGGACCACCGGGAGGTGGAGAGGCTAAGATGCTAGCAAAGGGCAGACCTGTAAGAGAGAGCCCTGGAGGGTGGGTGACAGCAAAGCTGACAGAGGGGGTCTTTTAGGAAAAGCCGTGGGATGCTGCATGTCACAGGAGAGCAGACGGCCTGCTGGATTTGGAGACACTCAGGTCAGGGCCCGACTTAGGACAACTTTGGGCTGTGAGGTAAGAACCTGGGGCATAGTACTTGGTTATCAAGGGGAGGGAAGGAGCCTACAGTCCCTGTGAAAACGCTTTTGAGAGAGGGGAAGGAGCTGGGAGGCTCTGACGTAAAGATACTGAAGAGCAGCCTTGGAAGCCCACAGAAAACGCGAGCTTTTAGAAAACAAGAAGGAAGGCTGGTGCAGAGGGTGGGTCCGGGGCACCGCAGCGGGATTGGCCTCTGGTCGGAGGGAACTTGCGGTAGGGAAGGCAGGGGAGGGGAAGATGTGAGTGGGTTTGTACATGCACTGCTGTGAGATGAGAGGGTTTGCATTAGTCAGGGTTCTGCAGAGAAACAGAGCCAATAGGATACACGTACATAGGAAGAGATTCGTAAGGAGACACTTCGTGCAATTCTGGAGGCTGAGAAGTCCCACGATCTGCTGTCCGCAAGCCGGACACCCAGGAATGCTGGCAGTGCAAGTTCCAAGACCTGAGGGCCGGGATCCAATGGAGTGGACGCCAGTCAGAGTCTGAATCCCTGAGAACCAGGAGTACCAACGGCCAGAGGGAACGGATGTCTGCCTTGGGTCAGGCAGAGAGAATCCAAACGCCCTCCACCTTTTTGTCCTGTTCCGGCTTCCACAGATTGGACGAGGCCCACCCACCTTGGGGAGGGGCCAGCTGCTGTGTTCAGTCCGCCATTGCAAACACGAAGCTCTTCCAGAAACGCCCTCACAGACACCCCGGAAGTCACGTACCCACTCTGTAGGTGCCCCGGGGCACAGGCAAGCGGACGAGCCAGTTATCCCTCAGAGCTCCTGCTGCCTCGCCCGCTTTCTCTCGGAAACGTGAAGTGTGGCCTCAGCTGAAAGTGAGGTGAGCGTGAGTGTGGACATGTGTCAGTGTGCGTGTGCATGGGAGGAGTGTGTGTGCGCTTGATGACGATGATGGAGCCCAGTGAGCCACCGTCCGTGGAGTGTCAGAGCCTCCTAGGATGGCCACGCCGAAGGTGCGGAAGGAGGCGGCTGGCCCAGCGTCAGACGTTTCCAGCATCCGCGGGAGTGAAACGGAGGCTGGTGGGTGGTTGTGATGTGTTTCTTTAAGAATGGATCCTGCAGGTTCTTCTTCCTCCCGGTCTCCGGTGCCGGAAGGAGGACACCGCGAGTGTTGCTTGTTTGCTTACAGAGAGTGTGCAGCAGCAGCAGCAGCAGCCCGGGGCCAGCTTTGGGAGGACTAAGGATATTTCAGGGTTTTAAGCCAGGGGATGACACAGTGGGCTTAAATTCAGGAAAAAAAAAAAAATGCTTCTGGTGGCAAGGACAGGGAGAGACTGAATAAGTTTGGGGTAAGTGGCAAAATCAGAGAAAGAAAACCTTCCAGGAGGTCTGAGCCCAGGAAAGCAACCTTAAGGATCCGAGCTGACAAAGTCATCCTGGAGGTGGAGGCATCAGGCCCAGCTGGAGAGATTGTGAGGGCGAAGAACCTACAGGACCTTTTGTGAAAGAAAAGAAACAAGCTCAGTTTTGAGTATTTTGCATTCTTCACTTGGGGGGAAAAAGGAGCTATAAAAATTGCAGGCAGGTGTGCATCATGTCTTGGTAATTTCCAAAGGATTGCTTTTAATATGATAGGCACATAAAAGATTTTAAAAGCAACTGCTTTACGTGTACATTATCGACTGCTCCTGGAGCCTTATGGCACCAAGGCAGAGCTTTGCCATTAACCACAGCTCCATGGCAGCAGAGTTACGCCGGCAGGTAGCTGAGGGAACGTGAGGACATCAGAACTGGGGTTCACAGGAGGCAAAAACCTGCAGCTGCTTGTAGGAGGCCTCAGGCTTCCTGCACCCGCCTCTGTTATCCTGTGGATTGGGGCAGCCAGTACAGCAAAGAGCCGGCCCCCGGAGCCCACAGCCTGCAGGGAGACAGACAGGAAAACAGATGATGAGACGCCCTCTCATCATAGCAGGCACTATTTTACCACGGCACGGCAGGAAAAGCACTTAGATTTGCTGGGGCATCTGTTGAAATGAGGTAGAGAAGTTTCCTTCTGCACAGTCTCCTGAGTTCTTTCCAGGGGAAGTGACGAAGGGGTGACGTTGTTGTTGCTCAGAAATTTCTTGACAGCCTGCTTGGGGCAGAATGTGGGGATCTGAAGGGTGCAAGCGTGAGCACAATTCTTCATGGATTGTTGTGTGAGATGATGAGAAAGGAACTCACCCATCTTTCTGGAGGGAGGAGGAGACATGGGGGCAGGGGGGGAGCCAGAGGTGGCAGAAGGTGACACAAGCCCCAGAGTCACCCCTTCTATCATGCCCGATGTCTGTGAGGCTGCTGAATTTCCAGCCTGCTTGGCCGTGAGTGGGTCTGCAGAGAAACCGGTGGGAGCTCCGGCCTTCGGGTATAGCTGGGGGCATGAATGTCTGACCATGCCCATGAGCATGAATGCAGAGAGGCAGCCAGAAAGATGGGGGTTTGAACAATGTCTCCCAAATTCAGAGAGGCAGAAAGACCCTGGCTGACACCTGAGTTTCTCGTGTTACTTCATGAGGTGTAGATGATGTGATGATACAAGAATCCACAACTTCTCCAGACAAATCGGTAGGACTAATAAGAGATCCCTGGTTAGATTTTTCATTCACTGAAGTTCCATTTCATTCTTTTTTGAATCTATCCATTTTATTGCAGGCAAGTCTTTGATTCCGTCATATTTTTGAAATATTTGCTATACATATTGTGCGTGACAGCCCACATATCTGAAGTCTGACTTTGTTCTTTTCTCCTCGTTTCCTGTTTTGGCTGAGTTTTGCTATGTCTGGCTGGCTAGTTTATTTCTACAATTGTGTGATTTTTAGTTATGAACTCATATGGATTCGATATCTATGGTAGGTCTCTGGGGAAGCAAGCTTTTTCGGGACATGAGAGGGCCTCAAATATTTGGGGAGAATTTTCTCATTGTGCCAAATCCAGGGCTGAGAAAGACACTTTTCATGGCTTTCTGCTTCTGTAGGACTGTTCCTCCGTTTCCCACTCATCTTTTCCTTCTGTCTAGCCCTTCCTGACTCCTGGCTTCATGGGGGTAATTTCCAGTCCAGCTATCAATGACTGGGAAAGAAATATTAACTTTTCCCTAGTTGATTTTAGATGTATTAGCTTCTTCTTGCTTAACGTTGGTGACTGCTTTATATATTTTTAAGCCAAATTATTATGAGCATACAAATTGATCATTTTTCATCTCCCTTGTTAAACACTTACTCTTTTCATCCTTTCACTTTTTAAAAACTTAAAAGCAGTATTTTAAATTCAGAAATAATTTTATATATTTATGAGGCTCTAAGGGATGTTTTGATATGTGTATACATTGGAGAAAGGTTAACTCAAACTAATTAACATGCCCATCACCTTACCTGCTCATCATTTCCTCACTTTTCATCCAGCTAGGTGGCGTAGGGTACCACAAGTTGATTTAATCCTAGCTCCTCTGGGGACATGAAGAACACAAGAGCCATTATTCTGAGGACTCTGCTGGGTCTGAGCCCTTGCTCTTGCCTCCAGGACCCACTGGCATTCCTTTCCCTAGCAAAAGGCGGAGGCCTCTGCGGGCTCACGACCCACACAGCCGCACCTGTGAGTTGCATGTTTACAAACGGCCTGTCTCCTGGAAATAAATCTTTGCACTTTTCTCAGGAAATATAGTCTATAAATCACTGTGACATTTAAGATGAGGATCGCCTCCTCCCGCTCCTCTGCCTCTAAGTATAGGCCCCCCACGCTTGCTGCAGAGCCTGGGAGGTGGCCAGCCCAACTCTGTCTGGCTGGGGTAGGGACAGTCACTTAGAGTTGAAATCACTGACATCTTCAGATGTCAGCCTTGTCACCACGAAAATGACCTTGCATTGCAATGAGCGGAAAGATGACTTTGTGAAACGTTAAGCAGGTGAGTTGCCCCTGCTTCATATTCATCCTGGTCTTAGAATCCCACTGTTGTCACTTTGGCATTCGCTTTTTAACGCTGTGATGATTAATTTTATGTGTCACCTTGGCTGGGCTAGGGTGCCCAGTTGGTTGGTCAAACACCAGTCTAGATGCTGCTGTAAAGTTAATTTTCAGATGTGATTAGCATTTAAATCAGTAGACTTTAAGTGAAGCACATTACTCTCCGTCATACAGGTGGGCCTCATTCAATCAGTTGAATTCTTCAAGAGAGAAAAACTGAAGTCCCTTAGAAGGAAAGAGTTCTGCCTTCAGACTGTCTTTGAACTTAAGACTGTAGCGTCGACTCCTGCCGGAATTTCCAGCCTGCTGGCCAGCTCTGCAGATTCACACTTGCCAGCCTCCACAATCGTGTGAGCCAATTCCTTAACTTCTCTTTCTCCGTGTATCCCTTTGGTGCTGCCTCTCTGGGGAGCCCTGACTAATATGCATGCAGATGATACGGTGCCTGGCATTCTGAATACATGCACTAAATCCACCACTTTTCCCCATTTATAGATTTGGATTAACACACTAACTTACTCATATCTGCAAGTATAAATAAAAAAAATTGCTGGTGCCAATTTCAAAGTTTTGCCATGAGGTAGCTTGAAGGAATGACATTTTAAGGAATTCGCTCAAGGCCGTAGGACATGCGATCAGGTTGTAATGCCAAGCAACTCTTATTGGGCCCTCTGCTCTGATGCCCTTCACATCTGCCACCTCAATGGATTAGAGCTCTCCCTGCAGACACCCCTAGCCCCAGCTCCTGCCTATCGTTTCTTTAACGTGCTCATCACGCTCCAACATGTCATGTATTTACTGGCTAAGTTGCCTTTTTTTATGTGTTTTCCTGGGATAAATGTCAGCTCACAGAACCTAGCACCTGGCACATAGTAGAGGCTTAATTCCATATCTGTTGGAATTGATGCAAATAAATGAATTATTGTCAAGAGGGAGGGAGGGAGAGAGAGAGAGAAAGAGAGAGAGAGCTGTAGCTCAGGGAGTCAAAGTGCAACAGAATGAGTGAATGAGTTTGGGGCTCCGTCAGACCAACTTCAAGTTCCACCTCAGTCACTTGCAAGGTCATTTAGCCTCTCTGCATCTTGTTCTTCACATCTAGAGTGAGTAGTATGACTTGGAGTTCAGTACTCACCTAGAAAATGAAGAAAAGCACAGACCACAAGCCTGGTGTATAGTCCACACTCAGTGTGAAGGGCATGTATTATTTTTGTGGGATCCCATAGCACTCTGCTGGCACCCCGTTGAAAGTACCTTCCCTACCTTGGAGTCATTTGTCTTATAGGCACTTTTGTATTTTGTTAATATTTACAGTTGTATTATAAGCCTCTCTTTTTCCCCATTGAGCCTGCTGTGGTGCACTGCAGGCTGGTGCATACAGAGTGCTCCGTGGATGCTTGCTGAGTGCCTGTGTAAGAGGGTGGACCGATGATGGGTCTAGTGGGTTGCATGGCTGGCTTTCTCCATCCATTTATTTAGATGTGCGTTGCCCTGTGTGGCAATACTCTGATGGTAGATCTTAGGCAAAACTCAATTTACAGAGGACCCAAGGGTCAAAATCCAAGTCACAGCTGTACTTTGACACCAGTGATAAGCGACTTAGAGCAGCATACTACCCTTTACACAATTTTCAAAGTCATCATTCAGTTTAGTCCCCATGAGCTAGATCTGATCATTATTTCTAGGTGGTGAAGCAGTGATGTACGGCTATTTGGCAGTGAATTAGAGTCCCAGGTCAGCTTGAGTGTGGCTGTGAGAGGAGCTGTGGCTCTGGGTGGCATGTTCCCCTGCACCTTGGACGTCATGCTCCTGGGGCAGAGGTATGAATGAAGGAAGGCGGACTTTCCTCTCTAGCCCAGAGCTAAGGATGACTGCACTATAGGGAAACTGTTGGGAGGGTGCTTGGTCTGAAGGTTTGTGTCCCTTGAAATTCACATGTTGAAACTATAACCCCAAAGTGATCATATGGGGTGGTGGTGGGGTTGGGAGGTGATTAAGTCATAAGGGTGGAGCCGTCATGAATGGGTTTGGCCCCCTTGTAAAATAGACCCCAGAGAGCTCTCTAGCCCTTTTTCCACTATGTGGAGACACAGCAAGAAGACAGCCATCTATCAGCCAGGAAGTGGGCCCTCTTCAGACACTGAATCTTCTGGCACATTAATCTTAGACTTCCCAGCTTCCACAACTGTCAGAAATAAATGGTTGTTGTTTAAGCCACCAGTCTATGGTATTTTGTTATAGCATCCAGAACTGACTAAGACAGAGAGGAACATAAATTGAGCAGGAAAGGGAATTGCTATGAACTGACTGTGAGTGTCTCCCCCAAAATTCATATGCTGAAGCTCTAATTCCCAAGGTGAGAGTATTTGGAGGAGGGGCCTTTGGGAGGTAATCAGATTTAGATGAGGTCTTGAGGGTAGAGTCCCTATGATGGGTCCCCATAATGGGATTAGTTTCCTTATGAAAGGTGACAAGACCCTTTCTCTCTCCTTCATGTGAGGACACAGCAGGAAGGCAGCCATCTGTGAGCCAGAAAGTGAGCCCTCACCTGATGGCCAAGCCTGCTGATGCTTTGGTTTTGGACTTTCCAGCCTCCAGAATGGTGAGAAGTGAATTTCCGCTGTTTAAACTCCCCAGTTTGTATTGTCTTATTGTAGCAGACTCAACTGATTAAGACAGGACTCTAGGGGAGAAGAAGAAAGATGGCGCAGATAAAAGTGAGGGAAGGAAGAAGGGAAAGCAGATCTTCGGAAGAAAGAGGCCGTAATTTTGGACACTGGATGTTAACCTTAGAAGAGGAAGCCCTGGGACTGTGAAGCCACAGAGGCACTCTGACCCACTCTTTCTTTCGAATAATACTGGAAAATCATCTCACTTAAACTAGCAATAAAAGCTTGTGACTAAATGCAAAGTTAGTATAAAAAAAGGAACAATTAGCATAATAATATCCCTACAGACACTAAGGCACAACAGAAAGATATGGTCACAATAAACCAAAAACTTTAATCTTTCAAAAACAATATGTTGTTCTTTTACAAATAACAGAATTTGTGAAAGAATAGCATCTATCAGAATTAAAATAACACATAAATAAGGTGACTGGATAAGTAGATGACAAATAGAGCTCACAGAATTTAGTAAATGACTAGAAATAAAAGAAACATCATTTTAGAACAAGAGAGATGAAATCAGAGGAAATACAAAAGTAAATAACCATCACATATAATATCAACAGATAAATATAAAATGTAAAAAAGGAAGTATTTTAAAAGAAGGAAAATTAAGAAAGACATTAAAAATATTTGAAAGTAATAATATAGAAGACTAGAAGATTCAACATATGTATAATTGGAGATGCTGAGGCAGAAGCCAAAACACGGGACAGAATGAATACTAAAGCCAATACTTATAAAACAAAGCTTCCTTAAATGAAAAAAAAAAAATAAAATAAAAACTTAAATATTGGGAAAGAACATACTCCATTTGGGAAATTCCACCTGAACGGTCAATACAAAAGCATATTCTAGTAAATTATTGGGCTTTAGATTGAAATCCAATTATTTGGGCATTCATGTAAAAAGATACAGAATCTTACAGAGGAAAGAGAATCAGGCTGCATCAGACTTTTTGACAGCAAGTCTTTATACCAGAAAAAAAAAATGGAGAAACAGATTTAAGATACTCAAGGAAAACAATGTGAGCCAACCAGCCAGACTGACTTTCAGGCATACATCCATATAAAAACTCAGAGAATATTATTCCTATGAAGCCCTCCTGAAATGTCTAGTACCCCACACTAACTATCCATATTTCTACCACCACTTTGCCCTCATTTTTGTTACATGAAGCTGTTTCTTAGTTAATGTGGGGTACCAGCACCCAGAGATGCTAGTTAGCTGGTGTACTAGGACCCAGAGAACTACTTAGCATGGTGTAACAGCACCCAGAGAACTACTTAGCATGATGTACTAGCACGCAGAAAACTACTTAGCATGGCGTAACAGCACCCAGAGAACTACTTAGCATGGTGTAACAGCACCCAGAGAACTAGTACCGAATGGTGACTTTGAGGAAAGCATGCAGTATGTAATGGCTATATGCTTTAACAACGTAATACCTGGAAAATTATCAAAATTGGGGGTGAAAGGAAGAGGGGAATATGTAAAAAGTGGAGTAATCTGACTGAGTATAAGTACTAACTGAGAAAGAGGGCGGATCACAATGTCAGGAGATTGAGGTCATCCCGGCTAAAACGGTGAAACCCCGTCTCTACTAAAAAAAATACAAAAAAAAAATTAGCCGGGCGTAGTGGCGGGCGCCTGTAGTCCCAGCTACTTGGGAGGCTGAGGCAGGAGAATGGCGCGAACCCGGGAGGCGGAGCTTGCAGTGAGCCGAGATCCCGCCACTGCACTCCAGCCTGGGCGACAGAGCGAGACTCCGTCTCAAAAAAAAAAAAAAAAAAAAAAAAAAAAAAAAAAAAAAGAAGAGAGGATGATGAAAATACAAAATTACTAGAGTAAAGATGTCCATTAGAAGAAAAATTCACGCCCTTCTAGATGCCGAAAGACATGAGAGAAAAAGCAAATAGAAAAAGCAAGTTGAGTGTTGTATGCAGTAAGTGAATATCTGTGTATGTGTGTGATATGACATATATGTGCAAGTGTCATATGACTGTGGCAGACTGAAGACAAAGACATTGATTATAGTGATAAATAATACATAAAATGGGCTTAATATAAATGGAAGAAATATTATTTTCAGATTGATGAACAAAGTGAAATCCAAGTCTGTGCTATGTACATGAGACGTGCCTAAAATAAAGAAATTTAGAAAACAAAGTACAAATTAAGATATCTGGGAAAAATGTGAACAAAAAGAAAGCAGGTGTAACAGCCATGCTGTCTAACAAAGTAGATGTTAGAGCTCACGGCATTAAAAGAGATTTAAAAGGAGGTGTTTTCATAACACTGAAGCTACAATTCACTATGAAGGTATCACAGTTATTAATATACATGTGCCCAATAATACAGTCACTTTCAAAGAGTAAAAAGTGCAGGAGATACAAGGAGAAAGGATAAAATTATACTCAGGGCTGGAGAATTCACCACACCACTCTCTATCCAAGACAAACCGTTAGTAAGAAGATAGAAGACTTCAGTGACATGGCCAATGAGGCAGATCCTACAGAAGTATATTGAACTCTGAACTCTGATAATTGAGAATATGGCTGCTTTTTAAAAGTGCATGAAATATCTCCCAAATTGACCATATCTTATGCTACAAAGAGAATCTCATTAAATCCAAAGCATAGAAATAATACAATCAGCCTTCTCCTACCACAAGCAATAGAACTAGAAGCTAATTGTAGCATTAACAAAACAAAAAGATTTGCCCACTAAACATGTTATTAAACAACTCTTGGAACAGCAAAATAAAATAAAGACAAAATAAAGAATGAAATGACAGAATTTCCTAAAAATAGAATTTATAGAATATGGCTAAAGCAGTTATAAAAGAATAATTTTAGACAAATAAAAATTAATATTATTAAAAATGCAAAAAGGAAAATAAATGAATTAATATCCAACACAAAAAACTAGAAAAGAAACAAGACAGTAAACAGAAAGCAGCAAAAAGAAGTAACAAAAGTACTAATGAGTTCAAACGAGTTGGTACAAATGCAATAGAACCAGAAATACATCCAAAATCTGTTCGTAGACAAACTGTGAGGCCATCTAAAAAAAATTCTGGTGAGGTTTGGGAGAAAGAGGCACAAATATAAAAAACTTAGAAATGACAAATGCATCAAATCCAGAAGAATTTATTTTTTTTAATCATAAGATTACTTTGTAGAATTGTATGTAAATAAAGTAAAATACCAAGATAGGATAATTTTCTAGAAAACTGCAAAGTACCCAAACTGACCCCATTAAAGCGAGAATCTAAACAGGCCAGTTACCATTAAAGAAATAGAGGAGGTAGTTAAAGAGCACTAACTCCTTTCAAACCCCAGTTACCACAGAGGAAATATACCAAGTTTTAATTAGATCAATTAATAGCAATGATACTTAAATAATTTCAGAGTATAGGGAAAAATGGAGAACATCCAAATTCTTTTTATGAAGCAAGTAAAACCTCTATAATATGACAGAACTTTTACTATAAGACAAAAGTACTAACTAACTTCACTTATGAACATAGATGCACAAAGGTCTTAGCTAAAATGTAATTAAGCAGAAGCAAACAGCATGTAACAAAATAATGCATCAAGACCAGGTGGTTGTTTTACCAGGAACAGGAAGATGGTTCAATATGAGAAAATATATTAATATAATCCATCAAATGAATATAGCTAAGCAGAAATGTCATCTGGTCACTTCAAAAATAGAAGAGGCATTTTATGTAATCAAGCATATTCATGTTAAAAACACTTGATAAAAATAGCAATTGATGTATCCAGAAGTTAGCATACTACTCAATGGCAAACAAATATGTCCTCTGGCTAAAGACAGGAGGAAAACAAGAATGCCTGAATCTCTTATGCCATCTAGGATTGTGTTGAAAATATTAGACAGTGCAATTAGCCAAGAGAAAGGAGTCAGAGGCACAGGCACTAGAAAAGCAGAGGAAAAAATAAAACCATCTCTGTTTGCAGATGAGAAAATTACGTAGCTTGAAAATCCCCCCAAAAATCAAAGGAAAACTATTACCACCCCCAGAAGAGAGAGAGAGAGAGAGAGAGAGAATTGCTAAAAATGGCATATTATAAAATCAACAATTTGCACATCAGTAAGAACTTTTGCTTCCAGGAAGATGGATAATTTTCCCTATTTCTTCTACTAATTTCAACTACCTACTGTGGACATTATACATAGAACAAACCTAGGACGACTCCCAAGGTGCAGAGGGAAAAACAGGCTGACCTCAGCACCCAAGAAACAGCTTGGTGGTGAGTTTCCTGGGTTTTCTTTTGTCTTCATAGTTCCTGGATTTGAAACTGAAGAAGCAAGCAATCTGGAAATGTCAGTGGATGCACACAAAGAAACAACCGCAAAAGCCTGCTCGCTCTAGCCAAGGGACAAGAATAGGGGCAGTCCATCAAGACAGAATCCTTTTAAAAAATAACCACTCCACTCCAGCAATACCACAGAAGAATCTGGCTGTACCCCAGGTACATCAGCAAAGATAACCTTTACCTAGCAGTAAAGAGGTCCCCCTTACACTGGGAGCCCTAGTGAAGAGCAGGGACTTTCACCCCCACCTAGCAGTGATGGGGCCCCACCCACCACAGTGCCAGCAGAGACCATGTGGGAGCCAGAATCCTCATCCCTACCCAGCAGTAACAAGGAGCCCTCCTCACTGCGGGCATCAAGGGTGAGTGAGTGCAAAACCTGGGTGTCACTCGGAAGGGAAGAATGGTGTCTCCTTCCTTCCCATCCCCTGCCAGAGTGATATCACTAGGAAAAAGAAAATAATTTATCACCAGCAAATCTACCCTACAGCTAAAACAGAGGGCTTAAGTTAGGCCCAGAATCTCATGACATAATACGAAAATGTCCAGAATTTAATAGAAAATCACTTATTCTACTAAAAATGGAGAGGATCACACAATGGGTGAAAAGACAATCAGTGCATGCCATACAAATTGACAGAGATGTTGGAATTATTTGACAAAGGTTTTAAAACAGCGATGAAAATGCTTCAATAAACAATTACGAACACACTTAAACAAAGGAAAACAAAGAAAGCCTCAGCAAAGAAATAGAAAGCCTCAGCAAGGCAATAGAGATATAAAGAAAAAAAAATGAGTAGACATTTTATTATTTATTTATTTATTTATTTATTTGAGATGGAGTCTCCCTCTGTTGCCCAGGCTGGAGTGCAGTGGCATGATCTCGGCTTACTGCAGCCTCTGCCTCCCGGGTTCAAACGATTCTCCTGCCTCAGCCTCCCGAGGAGCTGAGATTACAGGCACCCACCACCATGGCTGGCTAATTTTTGTATTTTTAGTAGAGGCGGGGTTTCACCATGTTGGCCAGGCTGCTCTTGAACTCCTGACCTCAAGTGATCCACCCACCTCAGCCTCCCAAAGTGCTGGGTTTACAGGCATGCACCCCCACACCCAGCCTCAAATAGACATTTTAGAACTGAAAAATATAATTGAAATTTTAAAAGCACAGTGAAATGAGCTCAACAGCAGAATGAAATGGACACAGGAAAGAACTGCGAAATGGAAGATGGAACAATGGAAATAATCCAACCCGAACAACATGGAGAAAGTAGAAGAATAATAAAACAACAACAAGAACAGCAACAACAAAAAGTGAACCAGCGCCTCAGGGACTTCTGGGATTATAAGAAAAGTCTAAATTTTGTGTCATTTTGTCCCTGCAGGAGAGGTGAAAGGGGGAGAGGCTGAAAAGTACATGAAGAAATAATGGCTGAAAATGACCCAAATTGTTAAGATACATAAACCTGCAGATTCAAGAAGCTGAAAGATGCTCCAACAGGATAAACCTAAAGAAATCTATGCCAACATGCATCATAATTAAACTTCTGCAAAGCAAAAAACAAAACATTTCTGAAAACAGCCAGGGGAAAAGAACACCCAACCTGGAAGGGAAAAACAATTCGAATGACAGTGGATTTGTCATCAGAAACCATGGAAGCCAGGAGGAAATGACACAATATTTTTCAGCTACTAAGAGCAAAAAACTGTCATCCCAAAATTCTATACCCATAAAAATATCTTTCAAGAAGGAAGGAGAAATGAAGACATTCTCAGATGAAGGAAAACTGAGAGAATGTATCAGCAGCAGACCTATCCTAACAAAATAGCTAAAAAGAGTTCTCTAAACAGAAAGGAAATGATAAAAAGGAACCTTACAACATCAAGAAGAAAAAATGATGAGCAAAGTAAATAAAAATATGAATAAATATAGTAGGCAGTTTCTTTTTCCTCTTGAGTCTTATAAATTACACTTGATGGTTGAAGCAAAAATTATGATATCATTTGATATGGTTCTAAATATATGCAGAGGATATATTTATGACAATTATTGAAAGTAATGGCAAAAACTGTAATTATTTTGCACCAACCTAATATAAACTGGGGAAATGAAGGTTCTTAAAGATAGGCAAGAGTTCTTTATTTGACTCCACCTAATAAAAGGATAACACCAATAGCCTGTGATACTATGTAAATATAATATAGTACCTACATCAACCACTAAAAATGCTGTACAGAGACGCACATTTTAAACACTACAGATACATCAAAATGGAATTGTAAAAATATTCAAGTAATCTGTAAGAAGGCAGAAAAATGTAAATGACCCCGGAAAGAGAGAGAGAAAACAAGAAAAAAAAGAAATAAAGAATTAAAATAGCAGAGTTAAGCCCTAAAATATTAATAATTACATTAATGTGTAAATTAAATACACTAAAATACAGAAAGTGATAGGATGGATTAAAAAGCATGACCCAATTATATGTTGTCTATAAGAAACTCACTTCAAATGTTGTAATATAGGCAGGTTACAAGATAGAATGTATCCTTCACCATAAAACAAATCTCAACAATTTTAAAAATAATTAAAGTCATGCACTTGTTCTTTGATCACAGTGGACTCAAACTAGGTTATGAATAACAGCACAATAACAGAAAAATCTCCAAACACTAGGAAACAAAACAACATACTTCTAAATAATCCATGGGTGAAAGAAGAAGTCTCGGGGGAAATAAAAATACTTTGAACTGAATAAAAATGAAAATAGAATTGTTGGGATACAGCTAAAGCAGTTATGAGAGAGAAATGTATGACACTAACTGCATATGTTAACAGAGATGAAAAGTCTCAAATAAGTAACCTAAGCTCCCAGCTCAAGAACTGAAAAATAGAAGAGCAAAATAAAAAAAAAAAAACACATAGAGATAATAAAGATGAGAGCAGAAATTTTTAAAAAGTGGAATGTAGTAAAGATACCAATTTTACTCAAATTGATATATAGGTTTAACGCAATGCCTATCCATCTCAGCAATATTTTTTGTAGATATAGACAAGATTATTCTAAAATGTATATGGAAAGGCAAAGGCACTAAAATTGCTAAAACAATTTTAAAAAGGAGAACAAAGTGAGAGGAATCAGTCTACCCAATTTTCATTTTAATTGTGATAAAATACATATAACATAAAATGTACCATCTTAGCCACTTCCCAGTGTATAGTAGTGCTAAGTACATTCACATTGTTTTACAACCAATCTCTAGAACTCTTTTTATCTTGCAAAACTGAAACTCTATACCTGTTAAACAACAACTCTTGAACCCTCCCTGCCCCCAACCCCTGGCAACCACCATTCTGTTTTCTGACTATAAATTTGACTACAGTAGTCCCCCCTTATCTGAAGGACATACATTCCAAGATCCCCGGGAGATGCCTATAACTACAGATAATACCAAACCCTATATATACTATGTTTCTTCTATCTGATAACTGAGACAGATATGAAGTGACTAGCAGGTGGGTAGCACATACAGCATGGATATGCTGGACAAAGGGATGATTCACATCTGGGCAGGGACAACATGAGATTTCATCATGCTACTCAGAATGGCACATGTGACTTATGAGTTGCCTGTTTCTGGGATTTTTCATTTAGTATTTTTGAACTGTGGTTGGCTGCTCGTAACTGAAACCATGGAAAGCAAAACAGCAGATAAAGGGGGACTTCTGGACTCTATGGACCTCATATAAGTGGAATCATGTAGTGTTTGTCTTTTTGAGACTGGCTTATTTCACTTAACGTAATGTTCACAAGATTCATCCACGTGGTAGCATGTGTCAGAATGTCCATCCTTTTCAAAGGCTGAATCGTATTCCATGGTCTGTATACATTATTTTGTTTTTCCGCTCATCTAATGAGGGGCATTTGGGTTGCTTCCACTTTTTAGCTATTGGGAGTAGTGCTGGCATAAACATGGCTGTGCAAATATCTATTTGAGTCCCCCCTCTTCCCCAGTTTCTGGAGTATATGCCCAGAAGTGGAATCCCTGGATCATATGGTAATAATTCTATATTTACTTTTTAAGGAACTGCCATACTGTTTTCCATAGCAGCTGCAGCATTTTGCATTCCTACCAACAGTGTGCAAGGGTTCCAACTTCTCCTCATCCTTGCCAACACTTGTTATTTTCTGCATTTTTGATAATAGTCGTACTAATGGGTATGCTTTATTCATCATAGTTCAAAGCTGGAAACAACCCACGTGGCCTTTGTGGGTGGATTATTAAATAACTGTGGTACATCCATAACCATGCCATGGAACACTTACTACTCAGCAATAAAAGAACAAACTATTGATCTATGCAACCATCTGGTAGAGTCTCCAGAGGATTGTGTAAGTGAAAAATGTCAGTCCCCAAAGGTTACATACTGTGTGATTCAATTTCTATAACACTGAATCAACACAGTTACAAAAATGGAGAGAAGACTCCTAGCTGCCAGTGATTATGGATGTGGCTGTAAGAGGCAACAGGAAGGATCCTTGTAGTGATGGAAGTAGCCTGGATTTTGCATACATTGTCATCAGTATCCTGATTGTTACATTTTATTATATGCTTGTTGCATTGTATGTAGTGTATACATATTTTTGCTAGATGTTACCATGGAGGGGAACTTGGTAAAGGGCACACGAGGTCACTGTGTATTATTTCCTACAACTTCATGTAAATCTGTACTTATCTCAGAATTAAAAGCCTAGTTCCAAACATAAAGGGACGGAATCAATAATTACCATGGATATAAGCCAAAACCTGTTAGAGTATCTATCACTCTGTAACAAATTACCTTCAAACTTACCAAATTATGACAACAAAACATTTGCTAACTCACAGTTTTAAGGGTCAAGAATTTGGCCATGGCAGAGCCAGGCACCCTGGCTCAAGGCAGAGCCCTCACAGGCTCTGGGCGGGCTGGCACTTCAAGGCTTGCCTGGTGCTGTGGGACCCACCTCCAAGTTCACTCACATGGTTATTGGCAGCCTTAGGTCCTCACTGCCTGCTGGAGAGTCATAGACCAGTCCCTCCCCAGGACAGCTTACAGCATGACAGCTGGCTTCCATTAGAGCAATTGAGGGGGAGAGGCTGATGGAGCGCCCGAGACAGAAGGCATCGTCTTTCTGTGACCTTATCTTGGAAGTGATATCCATCAACTTTTTCTACATTTTATTCATTAGAAGCAAGTCACGGGGTTCAACCTGCATTCAGAAGAGGGGCATTCTCCAAGGAGGCAGGGATCACTGGAGTCATCTTAGAGGCTGCCCACCAGTGTCCATACACACATCCCCTATACACGTCCCATGCACACACACATGCCCACACACACACAGACACCCCTCACATGCTCACATACACACATGCACACACTCACATTCACACCACACATACCATACCACACACTACAGACAGACTCACACCATGCATACAGGCATGCACAATACATACACACACATGCTCACATACACACATGCACATACTGACATTCACACCACACATACCACACCCACGCACTGCACACAGACTCACACCATGCATACAGGCATGTACAGCACACACACACATGCTCACATACATACATGCACACACACATTCACAGCACACATACCACACCCATGCAACACACATGCAACATACACAGACTCACACCAGGCATACATGCATGCACAATACACACACACCACAGACACATACATGCTCACATACTCACACCACAACCGCTCACACTATATGCAAAACAGACATACATCATAAATGCACCCTCCACACACTCATACAACACTTATACACATGTACACATACACACACCACAGACACATACACTGTCAATATACATATGCACACACGTGCTTACATGCACGCACACATGCTCACCTATACACACACCACACACGTACATGTACATACACTCACATCATATACACACTCCCTATACCACACACAGACTCATATCACATGTACACACATACACAACACTCACACACCCCACACAAAACAACACATACACACACTCAAACCACACACGCACACACCACACACATATTTTCCATGAATAAACTTTTTAAAAATTGTCCCAAAATTATATGCGGTAAACTGTAAAACGCTTTTAGACACAGTAAAATAAACTTGAACAAAGGAAAAGACACACTGTGTTCTTAGATGGGAAGGCTTTGGCCAAGCCTTCTTAAGTTATTCCATAGTATTAAAGTATCTCAGTCCAAATACATTTTCCCTGGATCTAAATCACTTGGCTATGTATTTCATTAGGAAGAACACAGTGGGAAGAGTAACTACAAATTGCCAGCTAACCCTTGAAAAAGAACAATTGGAGGGTGCCAGCCACACAAAACATTAAAAGATGTCTTCTGTAGATACAGCCCCAAATACAACAATCCGACAGGAAAATGAGTAAATGGGCAATACAAATAAATGAATCATCCAATGAAAAAGAAATAAAAACAGCCCTCAAACCTCCCCGCTTACAATAAAGATAAATGTACAAGGCCATCCCCAGACCTAGCGACAAAATGAACGTATGAAGTTAGCTGTGTATGCAGTGGATGAGGAAGTCACACAGAGAGCTATTTCCATCCAGTGATTTTAGGGAACCCTGATCTGACAGTGCACTCCTAGGGGTATGTACCAGAAACACAAAATAAGCTGCATGAGTTATCTCAAGCTTTTTTCAGCCATCAGGGTGTTGGTGGAGGTGGTGATGCTATTACTTTGACACGCATGTGTGTGTGTGTGAGAGAAGGGGTAAAGTAAATGAGTAGTTGTGTGGGCCACAGGACATAGGATATTTAATATGATGTATAGGGGATTGATGATGTAACAGCAACAAGGGTAAGGAAAAAAAAACTTTCTTCAAAAGCAAGGAGGCAAATGACAACTCAGTATGAAGGAACAACCCTGATCCCCAGGCTGTGATCGCTAAATCCAATTTACCACTGAAAGCAACCAGGGCTTCTTGGAGAAATGGTTAGTTCTGGGTATGCATTAGAAAATGTACAACATGAGACCCAAAGATCTCGTACCAGAAAGTAAGGAAGCTGCCGTAGCTCTTGGGGCCATGCCAAAAAGTTTCTGAAAACACATGGCCTTGTATGTCTGGTTCTTTCTCTTAGCATGTTTGCAAGGTTCTTCCATGTTGTAGCAGGTGTCAGAACTTCATTCTTCTTAAAGCAGGGATATGCCACATTTTATTTCTCCATCCATCCCTTGATGGACACTTGGGCTGTTTCCAGCTTTTGGCTATTGGGAACAATGCTGCTAGGAGCAGGTGCATATACGTTTTTGTTTGGAGTGATGAAAAATGCTGGAATTAGATAATGGTGATAGACACGTGGCATAGTGCATTTGCTTAGTGCCACTGAATTGTAAATCATTACCATGGTCAATTTTTACATCATGTGTATTTTACTACAACTTTTAAAAACCTAAGAAAAAGAAATAAAAAAGAATGAATGAAAATAAAAAAAGAACTCAGCCAGACTTGAAGAGATTCTCTCAACCAAAGATAGGCCAATGTTAGCATCATTAACCCGATTGCCTTGAATGGATACAACACATTAAATATGACTTAATCCTTGAGTTTATTAAAATGAAAAGTAAAAAACTGGTCACTATCGGAGTATGTCAGGGAAACTACTCATTATTGTAAAAACTTGGAAAGAAATAAGTATTTCTCCCTGCTTTACATATAAGAACTGTATTTCTAGCTAAGCAGATAATTGAAATGGGAGGTATCTTTTTACATAAATAGTCCAGCTGCCACATGAAGAATTCATGTTGGAATCAGAGTGTCATCCTTTTCCACCCTTACTGTATTAATGACTCGTGATACTCCTCAGTGACTGCTGAGATTACAAGAACAGAAGCTCAGCAGACATCACAAATCCCCCATGGAGGCACAGCACAGCATAGGAAGTCCTCTGGCCAAAACCCAAAGCCTGAATCCGATCAAGCCCCCAAATGTAACTCCCAGTTTACAGGAGCCCTGGGACGTTGAAACACAAAATGCAGACTACAGGGGGCTCTACAGGAAAAACAACCCTGCTTTGTTGATCCATATAGCACAAAGGGAAGAAAAGGCGTGAGTACCAGACTTCAGGACTGAAAAAACAAAGGCTTTTGGAGACATATCAGCCAGTTTCAAAATATGGGTCTTACTTGGATTCAGATGTGAACTAGCAAAATTACAATGTAGACAGTTGGTAACACGTAAGCATTTATTGGATATGGATGATATTTTGGACATGCTTTTAAAAAGACCTTTCTTTTGGAGATGCACAGTAAGATATGTATAGGTAAAATCTAAACATGATATTAAATAGTGGTTACTTTAGAAAAGAAGAAAAAAAACAGAAAAGATAGGAAAGAAAAGGAAGGCAAGAGGCTTCCTTCTGCAGGGGAGAGGCCCATCCAGATTCTGCCCCGCACGGAGCCTTGTCTCCTGAGTTCCTCAGCCCTTACCAGCTGTGCCTCCGCCACCTCTGCCTGGGAACCTTTTCCTGGCCATGAAGGAAACACACTTCTGTGCTGGGGGTAGGAGGCCCATGTCTGGCTGCCCCAGAAGGTGGATGATAAGCATAGCAGAGGGGTATGGCTTTATGATGGTGGAAATGCTGCATTTCTGCATCAGGGGCACCTGAGGTGAAGACTCAAAGCTGGTGGAGGGAGCAGTCCTCCCCTCTCCACCCGGCCATTCGTGGCCCAGACGGCAGGTGCTTCAAGAGTTAAGACGCAGGCTCTCCAAGCAAGCCCTGCCCCAGCCCTTGCATGCTGTGTGATCTAGGGCCATGCGTCTAACCTCTCTGAGCCTCAGTCTCCTCCTCTATAAAATGGAAGTAATAACAGTGCTTGATGGATAGAGGTGTTGGGAAAAATAAATTTCCCAGTGTGGCCTACACAGGTGGTTCAGTATGAGCTGTTGCTAATGCGCACCCCCCACTCACACCATGTGAGGAGGTTCCTTCTGTTTCTACAAACATCCCATAACTGTTTTTCTGTGCAACTTTGTCTAAAGTCCTTCTTTGCTTGCCAGATTGTCAATTTTGTTTTTCAGTGGTGATACAGGTTTTCACATTTTCACATCTTTCCAGGATCTTTCATGAGAAATTGGAAAAAGACTTACTAGGCATCTTAAAGGGGTACTGCTGAAGTCCAGCACTGGACAGGAGGCGGGTGCAGAGCAGCTGGGGAAGGAGGAGAAGGTGGGGTGGGGTCAGTGGGAGGGGCCGTCCCTGTGGACTCACCCCCATAGGCCACACGTGTGAGTGCTTGTAAAGAACCCTAGGATTTGCAACTCAGTGGCCATAGGGACCATAGCGACAGTGAGTTCTGTGGAGCAACAGGGCAGGAGCCAGAGTGAGCTGGGTGAGAAATGTGCAGATGGGGAAATGGATTCCAGGAGGCCAGGGCAAGAACAGGGTGGCAGGGTGGTCAAAGGGCACAGGGCCAAGAACTGGCTGGCCTGGCTATTGGCATATGGATGTATGGGTTGTTCTGTCTATCTATCTCTATCTGTGTATCTATGCATCTGTCTGTGTATCTATCTATGTATCTATCTATGTATCGATCTATCTATCTATCTAATCTATCTATCTATCATCTATCTAATCTATCATCTAATCTATCTATCTATCTATCTATCTATCTATCTATCTATCTATCTATCATCTATCCAGTCTATCACCTAATCTATCTATTGATCGATCTATCATCTATCTGCCTATCATCTCTATCTATCATTTATCTATCATCTAACTGTTATCCATCTACCTGTCATCTCTTTCTGTTATGTATCTATGTACCTATCACCTATCTACCTATCATTTCTATCTACCTATCATCTCTATCATCTATCATCTATCTACCTATCATCTATCTTTCTATCATCTATCTACCCACCTACCTATCTACCATCTATCTATTGACCTGTCATCTCTATAATTTTTCTATCATCTACCTACCTATCATCTCTATTGTCTATCTATCAATTATCTATATATTTATCATCTGCCTGTCATCTCTATGTATCTATCATCTATCATGGAGACAGTTTGGAAAGGAAAAGATGTACACCAAGGGAGGAAGGCAGCCCGGACTCCAGGCTCAACCAACTGTGAGTCCTGGTCCTTCACTTTCCTGCTGGATTGTACCCCAGGGAAATTGTTGCCTGAGCCTCAGTGTCTCATCTATACATTGGTACAAATAAATACCATCTCAGATGCTAGTAAAGGCATTAATCATGGGAACTGATGTGTAGCGTGTGGTGTAATTTAGGTTCCTTTCTTTCCAGCCAGCAGGACAGATCTGTCCTCACATGGGTGCTAGTTCTGTAGTTTGGCTCCTCACTGGTTTAGAACCACACATTGCCTTAATGTGACAAACATCCCTGACATGAGCCTCAGAGAGGCCTGGAAGGACGGCAGGGCAGGGACTGTTTCCTTGTGTCACTGATCCATCCAACCAGCACATGGGCACTGAGTCCTACTGGGTGCCAGGTGTTGCCATCAGGGCTGGGAACTCTGCGAGGAGCAAGGCCAGGCCTGTGCCCCAGGGAGCTTCCAGTCCAGGCGGAGATGGGAGGAGACAGAAAAGTGAAAAGACAAGTAGATACACATTTACACATTCTGATGCATATTGTGACCACTGATGAGAAAGGAACCTGATTTCAGCTTGGTGGGTTGGGATGCCCAGGGCAGGAAAGCCATTTTCAAACTGAGACCCAGGGACAATGGGGAGCCAGCCAGGCAAGGCAGGACGTGGAAGAGTTCCATGCTGTCATGACTGCAGCAGTGAAGCTCCAAGCAGGGAAAGAATGGTTGCATGCTGGAGTAATTTACTGAAGGAAGGAAGTGGGGATGGCCAAAAAGAGCATGAAGAAGATGGGAAGGGCTGGACCACCGAGGGCCTTGGAGGCTATGCTTGCTGTTTTGTGACTGAAATGATGTGAAATGGAATATGCATGTGCAGCTTTTAAGCAGGAGAATTACAAGCCAGGTGGAGGACAGATGGCAGAGATGTTGGGGGGCACTACAAGAGGCTGGTCAGGAGTCTACTGCAGCGGGCCAAGGGACAGAGAGGTGCCTGGATGCCTCAGTGGAGTGAGGGTATGAGAAGTGGTAGGTCAGGCTCTATGGTGATGCTGAAGCTAATAGGGTCTGATGGTTCTTGTGTACAGGGCTTGGGGAAAGAGTGGAAGAGCCATGGGGCATGGTGGCTTATGCTTGTAATCCCAGCACTTTGGGAGGCTGGGGTGAGAGGATCTCTTGAGCCCAGGAGTTTGAGACCAGCCTGGACAACATAGAGAGAACCTGTCTCTACAAAATATTTTTTTTAGATGGCTGAGTGTGGTGGTGTGTGCCTGTAGTCCCAGCCACTTGGGAGGCTGAGGTGGGAGGATCACTTGAGCCTGGGAGGTTGAGGCTGCAGTGATGGTGCCACTGCACTCCAGTGTGCACCTCAGCTTGGCAAACATAGCAAGATCCATCTCAAAAAAAAAAAAAAAAAAAGTGGAGGTAGTAGTCAAGGGCAGTTGCAAGATTTCATGTGTTTGTTTCCTGTGAAAAGTTGAGTCCAAAGTGAGGCCATTTCCATAGATGGAGAAGACTAAGTAAGGCACATATTTACAGGTTGGTTTATGTATTCTGAAAAAGTGATGTCAAGGCAACCTGGAAAAGAAGAGTGTGAGTTTGATAAATACTTTAGTGGTAATACCAGTAGGGTTTGGTGAGGGATGGGAGGGGTCTAATTGGACTTCCAGATGTCAAGGGCTCTGAGGCCGCCTGGACAGTGGTGGTGGAGCGTGACTTCAGACATGGCCTCCTTGGCACAGAGGCAGCTATTTCCTCATACAAAGTATGCTCCATACTGAGATTAGGTCAATACAGGCATATGCCAATAAATACTTGCTAAGCGCCTATAAGAGCCAGATGCCAATGCAGGAAGCTGGGAGGTCTTGGCCTGAGGCTGTCCACAGAGTCCACAGCCAGGAGACAGCTCCCAGACAAGGCTTGGCTTTGCAGGGACACTCACAGGAGGCTATGTTGTGAAGGGGAGACAAGGCTGGGAGAAGAACTTGATGCAGGAGCAACTCCCTCAGCCATTCAAGAGAGCAGTGAGCTGGCTACTGAGATGCCTCATCGTTGTCCAGTCCATGCTTTTGAGGTAGTTAAGCACATTAGGGAACAAGCTGGTGTGATGGAAAGGGCTATGGACTTTCACAAAACTGGGTTCAGTCCGACCACTTACAGCTACTTAGTTTCAAAAAAAGTCACTGCAACTTCTGTAAGCCTTCTTTGAAGAAATAAATACATAAAAAGGATCTAGTGCTTATGATGCAAGGTTGCTGTCAGGATTAGAGATAATTTGTGGAACATACTGAGCACAGAACTGGGCATCCATTTACTGACTACAGATAGCAATGATGATATTATAATGATGGTGGTGATCGTCATAGTGATAGTCATTAATGGTGAGGATGATAATGATGGTGATAAGGATGGTAGTGATGATGATGATGGTGGTGGTGATGGTGGTGATGGGTAATGGTGATGATGGTGGTGATTGTGATGATAGTGTTGATGGTGATGGTGATGGTGGTGATGGTGATGATAGTGTTGATGGTGATGGTGATGATTGTGATGGTGATGAAGGTAATAAAGTTAACAAAAAATGAACAGTTGCCAGCAAGTGCATCCTATCCCTGGACAAATTGTATTGGTTCCAAGATTTGAAAAGTGCCAGTGCTTTTTACTTTATAATGTAAAGAGATTTTGCACATCCCCATGTTAATGTTATTTTGGGTGTGAATATCCCACTTGATGCCAAACATCTCAGTGAAAACTGAAAATGCAGTCAAACATCAAAATGTGCTCAGACATCCAGATGTAGTGATATTCTGCCCACAAAGTTAAGTACACGTGATGGTTATATGTTTTCAGTTTTCATTCTGTCATTTGGCATTGGACTGACTTCGGCACTGTAATAATAGCTATCAAGAGGTACGAACATATACCAGACACTTGAAAAGAATTCAAAGAGAATGCCATATTGTTGCTGGAATCTGATACATTAAGAAAAAATGCAGGCAGCCTGCTCCTTCTGCATCAGGCTAAGTGGTTGTTGGAGGAAGGGATAGCATGTCTGCTTGGCACAGTATCTTTTCTGCACAGATTCTTAGGTGTGATACAGTCTAAAAATAGCCATCCTCTATGCTGGGTTGTCTGGGGAATAGCTGTTGGACTCTCAGCTGCTGCAGCTACAAAAAGCAATATGCTTTTTGGAAAGGTATTAGGCCAGAGTTTTGTTCTGCCAGCGTTGCTTCAAATTGTCTCTTCTGGAACAAACAGAGGCCTGCCATTCCTCCTTCCCAACTAAGCAGAGGAAAAGAAACGGGAATGGAGGGAAGGCTTTCAGGCAGATCTGGACTTGGTGTTGCACACCTGCAAGGGGCACAGGCACGTGGACCAGAGTGCAGGTGTGCAGGAGAGTTGGCATACACACTAGAGAACCTGTACAACACACACACACACACACACACACACACACACACACACACACACAGAGGAGAGAGAGGGACAGTGACAGTACTGCTTCTAATATCCTAACACAATTATTCAAAATACCCAGGGAATTGGGACAAATCTCTGATGGGTCTAAGGTGATTTCTGCTTTTCAAAGAATATTTTAAATTGTCAGGAAAGTGTATTCATACTTTTTCAGCATAATTTTTTTGAAGAAAAACTCTTTAAACAAATGAAAATCAAATTTATGTACTTTAATAAGATACTGAAAGTAGAGCTCTTAGCAGACTCCCTGGCACATAATAAAAACTCATTGATATTAGCTATCATCATCAACATCACCAACACCATCATCATCACCATCATCACCATCACCACCATCATCACCACCATGATCACCATCACCATCGTCATCACCACCATCATCACCACCACCACCATCATCATCACCACCATGATCATCACCACCATCACCATCATCACCATCACCATCATCATTACCAAAATCATCATCACCATCATCGCTATCATCACTATCACCATCATCATCATCACCACCATCATTGTCGCCATCATCACCACCATCACCATCATCATCACCACCATCATTGTCACCATCATCACCAACATCACCATCATTGTCACCATCATCACAATCATCACTATCACCATCATCATCACCATCACCACCATCACCATCATCATTATAATCACTATCATCACCACCATCATGATCACCATCATCATCACCAACATCATGATCATCACCACCCTCACTATCATCACTATCATCAGCTGAAGGGAATCGTTAGCTGATGCACACAGCACAGAAACGCCCAGAATGGCTGGAAAGGTGCCCTGTGGAAAACACTCATGAATGCTTATTCTCAGCTTGTGCTAGAGCTGAGTGTAATTTTTTGTGCGTGCTGGACCCTTTGCTCTGTCCTCTCTTCGTGAACATCCTGAAATTGAGGACAGAGTGTGCAGCCACGACTCTGAGATGGGTGAGCAACTGGCTGACCCTTGCTTACTCACTTGGGAGACCCATGTGGAGAACATCCCTTCAGAGAATCGTGAAGGTGGCCAAACACACGGCTGATGCACCCGTGGCAGGAGTTTGGTCTCCTCAGCTCAACTCAGTGGTGGATTGATGCAGCCATCCTTGCTGGGGAGTCCTGAATGTGATTCAAGAGTGGGATTTGGGGTCTCCAGTTCCATCCCCCACTTCCACAGTATAGGGGACTCAGGTATGGGCGTGTCAGCCACAAAGGAGTAACCGAGCCAGGGCAGGGCTGCTGCCATTGTGTCTGGCTTTTACAGATACCAGGTGGACAGTATTGCCTTTTGTTCCCAGAAAGAGGCATTGGGCTCAGGAAACTGGGCTTCAGAAGGATCGAGTGCTTTGCTGGGCTCCTGGGAAACTGTGGGCTCCACACTCCTTCTACCCGCCCAGTGCCCCGAGTTTGCCCACTGGAAGGTTCCACCTCAGAAGGTTTCTGTATTGGTCCAGAAGCATGGGGAGAAGGCGTGCCAAGTTATTGTAGGACAGGGCGAAGGCATGCAGGGGCCCATCCTGGGAAGAGAAAGGTGGTGAAAAATGCTGGAGCACGGGAATCCCAACCGGCAGAGGGGGGCCTTCCCTTCCCTTTAACTTGGAAGGGAAGTTTGCTCAGACCCCTCTTGGGAAAGAAGATTCGCCCCTTTGCTGTCCCCCTCTGCTGTCATGGGTCCCTGGGTTACCCCTGTGTGCTGTGGAGTTGCATAGGATTATCTGCCAGCCAGAGGCAGAGTGAGGACAGGAGACACTTCCCAGAAATGTTTGTTAACTTAATGTGCATGCATTGAATATTGTCTCTGTGCCAGGCCCTGCGCGGAGAGGAGTGGCAGGGAATTTTCTTCCAGCAGAGGTTTTATCTGACCGCTATTAGTGGTTTACTACTCACCCCACCCTGGGCCGAGGCCGGGTCTAGGATCAGCAGGAGGCACCTGACCCTTAGTGGGTATACTCCAAAGTGGGGCTTCACTGACTTTTATAAACAGGCTTCTGCCTGAGTGCATCAACCCTCTGCTAGTCTGGATTTACCTTTTCTTTCTTGTTGTTTCATTTTTTCCTTTAATAAATAGAGTTAGGCTATTAATAGCCATGGAGAACATCACATATATTTACTGGGTTATATTTAAGGAATGCTTCTAACAGTAGATGCATAATGACTTCTAAGTTAAGCACAGTGTTCTGGAAAGAAAACTAATTTATCCTCAGGAATCCTACTATAATTTCCTCTCAGCTCTACTAGGGATAATACATATTATTATAATGTATGAACTGATATTTGATAGAGAAGATGATGATATGGAGGGTGATCATCATCATCATAATATTAACAGATTTGCACCTATGTTCCTCTCTCAGCTTTCTGAAGATTAGTCTATGCCTCAATTGTTTTTTCCTCTCCTGGTTGGGTGAAAAACAATATTGCTGCATTGCTGGTTGTAGCCACTGATAGGTTCTTAATGGGCATTATTTCTACTCCTTAATTTTTCCAGTAGATAAAATGATTCCCATTTTACAGGGGAGAAAATGAAGCCTCAGGGATAGAGGAGATGCAGCTGGTGGTGGGTCTGAGCCAGGCCAGCCAGCCCAGAGCTGGGTGGTCCTCCTGCAGCGTGTGATGGCTCAGGGAGGGCTTGGCCCTTGCACAGAGCCTAGATCTGGAGGTGAACGTATGGAGCCAAGAGTTATGATCAGGCTGCATGGGCACTACCCCACACCTCCAAGCCTTTGTGCAAGTTGCTCCCTCCACCAGGAATGCCTTTGCCCCTTTGTGCATGGCCAGGTCCATCTCAGACTCCTTGTCCGCTACATCTACTCTCTTGACTCTGCCCACATCGCACTATGAGCACGCTGCTCTCTCCATCACAGAATCTGCATCTTTCTCCTGGAGTTGCTAGGGACTGCCTGGGATGATGAGTGGCAGGTGCTGGTGGTAGCCTCTTGAACACCGGTGCGAGCCCATGATAACACTATGGGTAATTATGATCATGATGATGGATAAGCCTGTAGAGGTCTGTATTAGTCTGTTCTCATGTAGCTGATAAAGACATACCCGAGACTGGGCAATCTACAAAAGAAAGAGGTTTAACTGGACTTATAGTTACACATGGCTCAGGAAGCCTCACAGTCATGGTGGAAGGCAAGGAGGAGCAAGTCACGTCTTACATGGATGACAGCAGGCAAAAAGAGAGCTTGTGCAGGGAGACTCCTCTTTTTCAAAACCATCAGATCTTGTGAGACTTATTCACCATCTCAAGAATAGCACAGGAAAGACCTGCCCCCATGATTCAATTACCTCCCACCAGGTCCCTCCCACAACATGTGGGAATTCAAGATGAGATTTGGTTTGGGGACACAGCCAAACCATATCATTCCACCCCGACCCCTCCCAAATCTCATGTCCTCACATTTCAAAACCAATCATGCCTTCCCAACAGTCCCCCAAATTCTTAACTCATTTCAGCATTAACTGAAAAGTCCACAGTCTAAAGTCTTGTGTGAGTCAAGGCAAGTCCCTTCCAGCTACAAGCCTGTAAAATCAAAAGCAAGCTAGTTGTTTCCTACATACAATGAGGGTACAGGGATTGGGTAAATACAGCCATTCCAAATGGGAGAATTTGGCCAAAACAAAGGGGTTATAGGACCCCTGCAAGTCTGAAATCCAGAAGGGCAGTCAAATTTTAAAGCTTCAAAATGATCTCCTTTGACTCCAGGTGTCATATCCAGGTCACGCTGATGCAAGAGGTGGGTTCCCATGGTCTTGAGCAAGGTCCATTTCTCTACGTCCCAGCTCTTGAGTCCTCTGCACCATGGCAAAGAAAACTCATAGCTAAATAAATACTTGCAGCTTCTCAGTCTGTATTGTCCTCCCTCTGCATCCCAAGAGTTGAATCCCCCTTCATCTGGTGTTCCCCCAACCTCAGAGCTCCTGGGCATTTTAGGGCCAGGCTGGCACACCCTGCTGTCTCCCTGACATGGAGGAGAGATGGCATCTGGAGAGCCGCACAGCTGTGTGCCATTGGATCCTCCTCCCTGGGTTGAACTAGCAGCAGGCCAGCACTACAGGGGAGTGGATTATCAAATGCTCCCTGGAGAGAATAAAAGGGCATTGTTCCTTTAAACAGCAACAATGCATCCAGAGAACACTATTATCCTCTTCTTTAGGATGTAACTACTCTAGTCAAGTGGCTACTAATTGACTGCTTTGATAAACAATGTTTGTGGTTGTTACTCAGAAGTTGGCTCTGCTTGAGCTTTGCATATGGACTTCTTGGCTGAATAAATACTTAGCCTATCTTTTCCACATGTGTAGATAATGTGCATTTATTTAAAGAAAGAAGATCAACATAAGCTCATTTTCCTGCAGGCTCTGCTGGCATGCTGAGCCTCCCTCTGGGGTGCAGTTAATCCTGCCCTGAGTGAGGAGCAGGTTAGGACTGCTTTGCTGGTGGACGGGGGTCTGGGCCCAGTCTGTTGGACTGCTCTTCTCTGAAGGGCTCACAAAGGCCTGGCTAGCAGAACTCCACTCTGCCTCTCTTCGAGGATCACTCAGGACATCCAGTGAGGGTGTGGTGACCACCCCAGTTAGGGTAGGCTGTAGGCAGTTAGAAGTTTTACAAAAGTAGTGATTGGAAATGAACTCTTCTCTTAATCCCCTGCCTTCTTCATCACCTTCATCTCTTCCTCATCTATATCTTCATTTTTCTCCTCTTCCTCCTTCTTCTTCATCACCATCTCTTCCTCCCCTTAATCTTCATCTTCACCTTCTTCATCGCCTTCATCTCCTCCTCCTCCTCCTTCATCTTCATCACTTTTATCTCCTCATTGTTATCACCTTCATCACCTTCATCTCCTCCTCTTCTTTCCTCTTCCTCCTTCTTCATCTTCATCACCTTCATTTCCTTCTACTCTTCCTCCTTCATCTTCTTCATCACTTTCATCACTTCTATTATTCATCTTCTTTATCACCTTAATCTCCTTGTCCTCCTTCCTCTTCAACTTCACCACCTTCAACTCCTCCTCCTCTTCCTTCTTCAACTTCATTGCCATCATCTCCTCCTCCTCTTTCTCTTCTTCACCTTCATCACAATCATCTCCCCCTCCTCTTCCTCCTTCTTCATTACCTTCATCTCTTCCTCTTCCTCCTTTTTCATCTTCTTCTTCATCCCCTTCAACTCCTCCTCTTCCTCCTGCTTCCTCACCCTCATCTTCTTTATTGCCTTAATTTTCTGCTTCTTCATATCTTTTCCCTCCTCTCTCTGGCAATACACACTAGAATATTTCAGTAAGATAGCTTTTAGTTCATTTGATTAAACTGGCAAAATAATTATTATGAGGAAGATGCTGAGATCTGGTGGCAGTGGTTGAGAGGTGAGAGGATAACAGAATAATGTTGGCTTGAGATGGCCTGTGACCCCAAAAATGTCGAGTTCTGGGAGACATAGGTCCTCAGGAGATGTCTGTGGTCCTGCAGTACCCAGGCTTCATGTTACCTTAGCCAGAGATCTCTTCTTGACTTCAGCCTCCTCTGGAGCCAAACTTGGTGGCAAGGTCTGATTTGGACTCAAATGCTCTGACCTTCGTTTTTGCTCTCAGTCAGAGCCCCACTTTCCCTCTTGTGCAGCCCCAGCCGCATCCTAAGGGCACTTCCATTCTTGCAAGTTTCTCCACCTGGCCTGACCTGTATCTTTCTGTTAAGAACGGAACAAATCTATCAACTCCCATTCATCAAGGGCAAACTATTTTACAATAAATAGAAGCTAGACTAACAGGCACAGGAAGGGGGTAAGAGTCAAAGGGGGAAAGGGATGCAAGCTTTGAAAATACATACAACTGTCAAGTGGTGATTGAGGAGTCTTGTGTGGCCTTGAGGAACAGAATAACCTCATGTGGAAAGGGATGCTTTGGACTAAAGTCAGTTTCCCTTCCCAGGGGCAGTGGAAGAAGACTGCTCAGAGAGGGACTGGATGGCCATTTTGGTGGAAGCTCAGTGGTTTAGACTTGAATCTTGGATTTAGACCGCGTGACCTTCAGGTCCACATTAAAGCTGAAACTTTATGACTCTGAATTGGAATGGAAGACCGACTTGAACCCAAATGTATGCTCAGAAATTCTGCAAGCAGCTTCATTACTGAATTACTCCATTTCTAATCTCACACTCGTAATGCAAATGGGCTTACTAAAGCTGGTTATCAGGGAAATCTAATTTAATTTCACTGTCTGATGAAGATGATGTCTAGATGGGTACTATATTCTTGACTGGCTTTATTGAACATACTTTAATGTTAAGTGTCTTCGAATATTACATTTTCAGGTACTTGCATGGGCTGCTCTCAGCTAAGAGTTTCAGATCTGAATGTTAACTTTGGAGTCCACTTTTAGGTCACCAAGGGAGCTATGATATCTCAGTAAAGTCACTTTAGCTTTCTCAGATGCAGTTTCCTCACTTGAAAAAAATTAGGCAAGTAAGGCTTGGCTGCCTCACAGGCTTACTTCAAAGTCATATATAACTGAAAACTCCTAAACATAAACAAGGGAGAGATTATTGTTCAATTTTTGTGTCTAAGGAAGCCATGGTCCATAATCTTCACATCAGTGCAAAAACATCACTGCACTATGGTGACAAGTCAATGCTTCTGTGGACAGAGACTTTTGTACAACAGAATTCTTGCCTTGAAGGAATAACAAAAATTTATCTAGGGACTTAAAAGGCTATTTAAAAATATTCTCCATGTAAAGATAAACTTTAAGAATAATATTTGCATAGCTATTAATTTAATTAGTACATGCCTACATCAAAGCCAATGTATCTAACTAGAACCTAAGTTATTTTCCTGCATCTCAGTGTTTCTTCGATTTGAAAGTAGTCACTGTTTCCTAACTGACCAGTTTACAATAACCATGGGAGGCACCTTGGCTCATCCTTCTAATGAGTTTGTTGGTCTGGTCTTTCCTGCTGCCAGCAGCTCCTTCCATAAAGTAGGTGGTCCCTCACTCCAGCTCATAGAGAAAACTTGAAGAGCCCTGGAAAGTTGTTTGCTTCTTTGAAGCGTTTTCCAACAGTATAGAGCTCAGGAATCAGACCCTTGATGCAGATGATACTGTATTTCCCAAGAGGTCCAGCAATCAAAAAGCTCTCTGTCAAGGTAATTTGCTTCCCATTGATTTTGCCCATAGATCAGCTCATTTACTGACTCTGCGTTTAGGTCTCCCCATGCAAGACAGCATCTGAGCCCTCCAGCCTCAGCATAACTGAAGCCTTGCAGAGCTTAACAAAAGTTATTTGAAGACACAGCAAAGGTAAAGAAGCTAGGCTGGACGCAGTGGCTCACGCCTGTAATCCCAGCACTTTGGGAAGCTGAAGCGGGTGGATCATCTGAGGTCAGGAGTTCAAGACCAGCGTGGCCAACGTGGTGAAACCCCATCTCTACTAAAAATACAAAAATTAGCTGGGCGTGGTCGCAGGTGCCTATAACCCCAACTACTCAGGAGGCTGAGGCAGGAGAATCGCTTGAACCCAGGAGGCAGAGGTTGACATGAGCCAAGATCGTACCATCGCACTCCAGCCTCATGACAGAGCAAGACTCCATTTGCAAAAAAAAAAAAAATGGTAAAGAAGCTGCAACACCTCTTAGGCCTTCAGGCTCACACTTCTGACACCTCTGATCCCGATGACGAAGGTCAGCCTGGCTTCTGCAGGCACCCACAAGGTTTTCCTTGTTGTCCCAGCCATCCAGACCCCAGCTCTGTGCCTCCTTCTGTGTTCTTTGTGGTAGTCACAGTGTTCTCATAGATAAGCTTCCTCCTTACCTTTTGAAGCACTTTTTGGGCAAACTTCTTTCTCCGGCAGTTGATGTTCAGGTCTGTGAAATTCCTTCACTGTCTCTTAAGGGTTTCTATCACAGCAGAGGTCTTCTTTCTTTCCTCTTTGAGACTCTGCATGGCTCCAGCCTGAAAAGAGCCTCTTCCATCTCAATTTTAGAAGAACAAAATGGAAGTGAAGAGGAACACCTGTCCTGCTGGGCTCCACTCAGGTGTGTTCCACGACAGAGAATCCCAAGTTAAACCAGGTCCTAGGTTGTGCTTGCAGAATGAGGGCTGGAGAGAAGGGGAAGTCCTGGTGGGCTCTCAGGGTCAGAACAGGGAGGTCGTGTGCTGGGAGGTGAAGCTCGGCTTTTGCTTAGGGCACTGGGGAGCCAAGGAGGATGTCTCTCTGGGCACCAGCATGCCCAGTATGCTGGAGGCTTTCTAATTTGTATACATCCGATTTGCCTGAAGTGGCCTCCAAGCCTTGCTTCCAAAGCTCCCTGCATGCCTCTGTCTTATCACGTAAATACACATTGCAATTCTGTTTACTTGTCACCTCTTCCACTAGGCGGTGAGTTCCCAGGACAGGGTTCTAATGGGTCCACCTTCCTTCTTCTCCAACCAAGCAGTTGTTTGGCGTTACATGGCCATTTCCCAGACATTACATCATTTGCTTTTACACAATCATCTTACAGTTATAGGTGAGGAGAGTGAGGCTTTGTATGGGGGAATGATTTACCGAAGGTCAAATAGCTAATAAATGACAGAGGAAACTTTAGATTTCCTGATTTAAGTTCCATACGCTTTTGATCGCCTCGTAGTTACCTATGTGGTAGAAATTATCACTCTGTAACAGAGTTTCTTGACCTTGGCAACAGTGACACGTGGGGCCAGATAAATCTTTGTTGTAGGCGGCTTCCTGGGCTGTGCAAGATGTTGAGTAGCATTCCTGACCTCCAGCACCTGGTGACCTCTACCCTCTACCCCCAAGTTGTGACAACCCAAAGTGTCTCCAGACACTGCCAGTGTCCCTGAGCGTGAAAGTCACTGCTCTAGAATAACAATTTTGTAAACTGGTTATGGCTATAAAAAATATACTTATTAGAAGGTATGCATTTTGAATGTTTGAATAGAATACAGGAAAAAGTATTTCTTTTTACCCTATTCTGCTCCAAAAGGCTATGACTCACACCTGTTGCTTGTTTGTATTCACAGAGATGTCCACTCACTATACTTCATTCTGTCTCTCTCTTTTTTTATTTTTTATTTTTATTTTTATTTTTTGAGACAGAGTTTCACTCTTCTTGCCCAGGCTGGAGTGCAATGGTGTGATCTCGGCTAACCGCAACCTCTGCCTCCCGGGTTCCGATTCTCCTGCCTCAGCCTCCCAAGTAGTTGGGATTACAGGCATGCGCTACCCCACTTGGCTAATTTTGTATTTTTAGTAGAGATGGGGTTTCTCCATGTGGATCAGGCTGGTCTCGAATTCCTGACCTCAGGTGATCCGCCCTCCTCGGCCTCCCAAAGTGCTGGGATTACAGGTGTGAGCCATCGTGCTCGGCTACACCTCTTTCTTATAAAACCTACACTCTTCTGCATCTTCTTCTTTTTTTAACAAATGATTTGTCTAGGAGATTTTTTCCCTGTCATTATATACATAAAGGAACAAAATTATAGCAAAAAAGTATTCATTAACTTCTGTGTTACGAAGAGTTTTACCTATCAAAAATGGAATTAACTATACTTAAATGACTTTTCAACATCTTTGGAATTAATCATATGATTTCTCGTTTTTCATCAATTAGTATGGTGAGTCATGTTATTTGATTCTCCAGTTATTAAAGCATCATTGAATTCCTGGAAAAAACTCTGCTTTGCCCTATTGTGGGGTTCTTTTATTTTGTTTTGGAGCCTGTTTTCTGATATTTACGGTGCTTCCAACATATTTACATGGCTATTGTATTCATAGGTGAGATTAGTATCTTTCTTGTGTTTTCTTTGTACTGTTTTGGTTTTATTATAATTCCACCTTTATAAAAGTGATCTGGAAGATTTCTTCCTTTTCTGTGTTTTCTGAAACCGTCAAAGCAATGTCATAAAAATGTGACGTTACAGAGTTTAGAGAATCCATCTTTGAAACTGTCTGGACCTGGTCCTTTTATGGGTTTGCTCTTCGACTTTATATGTTTAATTCTATATTTTTACTTACATCATCAGCTTAAATATTATCTTTTGAGCCCAACAACAATAATATGGAAACACCAGAATATGCTTTTCCCACTTTCCACCCTAAACAACTCCTTTCAGTGGGCTTCTCTCTCTTACCCTATCTCTTTTATTGGTTATATTACTTCTATATTGACATGATTTATCGTGTTTGCCTCCTATTATAGAGCCATAATTCCCGCACTTACTTTGGTCTTAAGACTGCAATGGAGCACATTCCATTTTTACGTCCATTCTTTTGTTGCGGTTTCTCTCCCTACCCACCAAAATTATATTCCTTGATCTTTGAATGTACAAAAATAGCTGTCTTCTGCTCTGATATCTGAATGTTTTCAGTTGAGAAAAAACATTTTTTGAAGATTTTTTAGGAACGGTTTTTTGAATAATTTTTGGGAGAAGGCTGAGGCTAGCTAGAATGTTTATTTTCCTTTACGAGTGTCTTGGTATGTTTTCCTACATGCTCAAAGGATTCGTTTGTGATTATTAAACTCCAGTAATTTTACTAGTCTAGTCTATATCTTGGTGTTGATTGTTATAGATGGTCCTTTTTCCTTGGAATACAGTGAGGCCTTTTGTCTTTAGATTAGAGTTTTATTTTATTTCAGAAAAATTTTCTTGAATCAGGTCTGTGTACTATTTCTCTCCTTTCTTTAGGAACACAATTATGCTCTGGCCTGGTCCTTTTTTGTTTTTATTATCTATTATTTCCTCCCTAATCATCTTAAATTCTTGGCTTAGTGCAGTTTCACTTCATGTTGCTTTCTCGGCCATATCCACTGTGTGCCTCAAACCTATTCCCGGGAGTGTCTGTTTGTTTTTGTGCTGCGTCCAAATTGGCATTCATTTTGGTGATGGAAACATTTTCCCCCTCAACTACCTCTCTGAGTTCTACGAGCCACAGTTTCATTCACCTTTTCGTGCTCCTCCATGGGTTTCCTGAGCAACCTGAGCTCTGACTTAGCTCTTTATTCATCACGTTCTCTGAATTCATGGTCATTGGTCAGGTAATGATTCTCAGGCCCTCGGCAACACTTCTGTGACAGCATTTCATCTTCCATTTGCTTCCCTTATTCCCTCCTTTTTTCTTCTTCTTCTGCTCTGTCTACACCCTGCTCAATTCCCGTTGTGAAAAACGAATCATCTTTTTATGAGGTGAGTCCTGTTGAAGGGTGACCCACTGCTCCTGATCATCTCAGATTTTCCTGGTGTTAGCAGAGGAAATCCTGTAACTTGGGAAGCCTCTCATTTCTGGGCAAGCAGGAAGATTTGTCACCTGGGACTTTACAAGCTGCTCTTGGCCAGAGATTCTTTAGGAGGATCCAGGTGTGAGGCTGTTTGATTACGTGTGACTTGGGTACAAGGGAGATGAAGACGGGGTGACTTAGGGACCTACACACAGGCGTCCGAGCCCCGTTTCTCATCTGTTTGTTTCTTCTCTTCCTTCTCATAACTTGATGAACTTTATCTCTTTTTTGGTAGGAAAACAAGTTTTTATAGAATCAGTCTTCCTTCCTAAATTAACAGCATCCATATGTTTTAAATTTTTTTTGTACTTAAAATATGCTAGTTCTTACAACTCCAAAAGACATTTTTCTTAAGGTTTTGATATTTACTATGGTTTTAAATTTTAAAAAAAATTTAAGCTATAAAAACCCCTAATTCTCTCTTAGTGAATTGGCTGCCTCTGATTGAACACAGGGAAAGATCCATCTGAAGGGAAATGAAACAATTGGAAATCCTGGTTAATATCGTGGAATTCTGTCCCTCTAAATTTCCTTCCTGTTCTAGTATTTTAAAACCAAAGTGGAGGTAACTTTACTCTTCTGCTTTTCCTTTTTTCTGTTTTTTTTTTTTTTTTTTTTTTTTTTTGAGATGAAGTCTTGCTCTGTTTCCCAGGCTGGAGTGCGATGGTGTGATCTCGGCTCACTGCAACCTCTGCTTCCCAGGTTCAAGTGATTCTCCTGTCTCAGCCTCCTGAGTATCTGGGATTACAGGCACCCACCACCATGCCTGGCTAATTTTTTTTTTTTTAATTTTTGGTAGAGATAGGGTTTCACCATTTTGGCCAGGCTGGTCTCAAACTCCTGACCTCAGGTGATCTGCATGCCTCAGCCTCCTAAAGTGCTGGGATTACAGGCATGAGCCACCTCGCCTGGTCTCTTCTGCTTTTCTTATGGAAGGAGGGGTCAGAGAGGCAAAAGGCGGCTAAATGAGAGTACAACTGGAAACAACACTTTTGTTCCTGGAGTTGAGGTGGTGGGGATGATGGATGACAGCCATAGGATGGTAGCAAAGTTAGGGCAGAGTCAGTGGCCTTTAGATGGTGGGAATGATGATGGTAAACCTGATGTTGAGGGTGCTGAGGGTGAGAAGAGTTGAATCGTAACATGCACCCCAGCTTTGTGCTTTATCCTCAATGAAAACTCTGCTTAAATGTGCAATGTGTTTCTGAGACTGTCAACAACTCCCTAATTGAAAGTCTCCACTGGCAGCCTGAGAAAGTTCAACAACTCAAGAAAAGCCATTGTTATGGCTTGAATATGGTTTGGCCCCACCAAAACTCATGTTTGGTGGCCCCAGTGTGGTGATGTTGGGAGATGGTGCCTTTAAGAGGAAATTAGGTCATTAAGAGGAATGAATGCTTTTCTCAAGGGAGTGAGTTCTTGCTCTTGCAGAACTGGATTAGTTACCATGATTAGTTACCATGTTATAAACCGAAGCTGCCTTTTGCATTTCTGTCATGCGATGCTGTCTGCCATGTCATGACACAGGACGAGGCACTTACCAGATGCAGCTGCCTGATCTTGAACTTTCAGCCTTTAGAGCCATGAGCCCAATAAACCTCTTTTCTTTGTAGATTACCCAGTCTCAGGTGTTCTGTTGTAGCAACAGCAAATGGACCTTTAAGACAGCCACCACTAATAAAACTCCAGTGACTGCCCAGGAGAGGATGAAGGGGAAAGCAGCCCTCTCCAAAGATTCCAAGCCATAAGCAGACCTCCCATTCATCACAGGACGTCAAGGGCTCTGTGATATCTTGGGCTGCCCTAATGTTGTTTCAATATAGAAAGGGATTAACCTGCAGCGGGAATCCTACTTTACACTGCTTGTGAACAGGCGGCCATAAACTATCCTTTATAAATTGGTATGCAAGGAATTAAATATGATTGCCTGTTGAGTTTGGGCCCATAGCTAATGAAACCATAAAATATGTCATTGATTAGAGGAATGTTTTCAAAAGGTTAATTAGTTTGTTTTTCTTTTGTAATCAACTATGGAGACCATAAAGTTCAGGAGAAAACACCAATCATCCACATGATTTCCTAAGACTCTTGATCAGGAATACTCCCCCTCAGATATCCCAAAATATACACCCAGGTGTTCTCTCTGCCATCTCCAGGGTGGACCGCCATGATAGGTGATGAACTAGAGGCCTAATATTTATGCATCCTAGTATGTGTGAGGTTTTGTGAGGAATGATAATAGAGGCCATGCAATGCATGGCTTCTTGCCCTCAGGGAATTCTTTAGAATGTTTAGGGTCAATAGTGCCACAATGTGAAAAATAAACAACACCTGTTCCAGGTGGTTGGAGGGAGGCTGAGAATAATTCAGCCAGTGGTGGTCTAGGAATTCACGATAACAAAACCCAAGGCCACTCCTGTACCATTGATCAAATAAATGTTAATTTCATGGCAGAAATATGTCAAAGCTTTTTGAAGTAACAGAGGTTTCTGTGCAACAACCTTTGAAACTTGTTGTTGTTAGTTCTGTGGTGAGTCTTATTTTCCAGATGATGACACTTTAGCATAGAAAGGTTCATTACTTCACTGGAGTCATCCAGTTCTTAAATGGTACAACTGGCACCCAAATCTGGTCAGGCATGCCCCAAGGCATGTACCCACGGTGTGCAAGATGCAGTGTTCCAAGCCATGCTTGAAGAGGGAACAGTGTCTAAATAAACTGTATCTGCAGAAAGCAGCCCTGGAGGAGCTGGTCTGGGAGGGTAGCTGATCTCCTTAGGACCTATATTAGTCTGTTCTCATGCTGCTAATAAAGACGTACCTGAAACTGGGTAATTTATAAAGAAAAGAGGTTTAAGGGACTCACAGTTCCACATGGCTAGGGAGGCCTCACAACCATGGTGGAAGGCAGAGGAGGAGCAAAGGCATGTCTTACATGGTGGCAGGCAAGGAATGTGTGCGGGGGAACTCCCACTTATAAAACCATCAGATCTCCTGAGACTTATTCACTACCATGAGAACAGTGTGGGGGAAACCAGCCCCATGATTCAATTATCTCCACCTGGGACCACCCTTGACTCATAGGGATTATTACAATTCAAGGTGAGATTTGGGTGGGGACACAGCCAACCCATATCAGGATGTGCCCCAGTCCTGTGTGCTCTGAGGTCCTCAGGTGTGGGTGGGCAGTAGGTTCGTTATGCTGGCAATGCAGGTTAGGGACAACTAATGATATGATGTGGACTCTCATAGGTCAGATCCTTCTTCCCAGAGACAGCAGAAGCCATTGAAGTTTTTATGTTGCCTTTCTTGGTCCCAAGGGTGAAGGAACATAGGAGGGCCCAGACAGTGGCAAAACAAGCAGTGTCTCTGAGGAGAGAAGGTCAGGAATATCAAGGCATGAGCTGATCAAACCCTGGGCTCGGACTTCAAATCCTTTGTGGAACAGAGTGTTCACATAAAGACAAAAACAAGCCAGGCACGGTGGCTCATGCCTGCAATCCCAGCACTTTGGGAGGCCGAGGTGGGTGGATCACCTGAGGTCTGGAGTTTGAGACCAGCCTGGCCAACATGGTGAATCCCTATCCCTACTAAAAATACAAAAAATTAGCCGGGTGTGGTGACAGGCTTCTGTAGTCCCAGCTACTCGGGAGGCTGAGGCAGGAGAATCGCTCGAACCTGGGAGGCAGAAGTTGCGGTGAGCCAAGATTACGCCATTGCACTCCAGCCTCGGCAACAAGAGCAAAACTTCATCTCAAAAAAAAAGAAGACAAAAACAAATACAAACAAATGTGGCAGCAGTCATAGGAAAGAGAAACACAGAGATAAGGATAAAAGAAAAGCCAGCAACATGGCTGATGGCTGGTTAGACATGGAGAATGTAGGAGTAGTGGGCTTTGACCTTGGTGGCCTGAAAGAGTGCAGGTTACAACAAACTCCTGTTCTCAGTGAGGGTGTCATTTGTCTACGGCAGACTTTATAGGAAGGAAACAGAATGCTGGAAGGCAGAAAAACTCAAGGTAAAAATCACAATGATTCTGATGATTCTGATTCTGATGATAGTGGTGGTGATGGTTGTGTTGATGGTGTTGGATAATGGTGGTGTACGCTAAATAAATTTCAAAGCATGGCCAGGCATGGTGGCTCATGCCTGTAATCCCAGCACTTTGGGAGTTTGAAGCCAGCAGATCACCTGAGGTTGGAAGTTCGAGACCAGCATGAGCAACATGGGGAAACCCCATCTCTACTAAAAATACAAAATTAGTAGGGCGTGGTGGCACATGCCTGTAATCCCAGCTACTCGGGAGGCTGAGGCAGGAGAATCGCTTGAACCCGGGAGGCAGAAGTTGCGGTGAGCTGAGATGGCGCCATTGCACTCCAGTCTGGGCAACAAGAGCGAAACTCTGTCTCCAAAAAAAAAATTCAAAGCATGGTTCCAACCAACAGTCAGGAGAATCTTATAATCTAGGAAGCAGGCAAAGTCATCAAGTCAATCACAATGGCGAGTACAAATGGACCAGAGACGTCCAGCTGCACCAGGAGTTGGACATTGGCCCTGTCTCCTGCCGCACCCTTTGTATATATGAAGGGAATACATGAAGAGCTGCAGGCATCATTGATTAGGGTTATGACAGGGGAAGGGAGCTTATGGTCCTTGGGTCATTAGAGTAGCAGCCTAGGCATCTCCGCACCCAAGAACAACACTCTGGCCTATTTCCACAGGTTCTGAAAGTACAATATGCCTCTTATAGCAATAGTCCAAATATTATGTTCTGAGACCCCTTCCACTGTCCAGCAAGGCACCAGGACTTTTCCAAGGATACACAGCCGGCACGTGCAAGGACTCCACAGATGCTACTGTCTAAATACATAATGGCCTCTGGATCCCACTGGCTTCTGGGTGTTGGAGACTCACAGGTTAGTGCTGGGGGTGGGTTATCCACAGAGACCCCAAGGGACAGCCCACGGCACCCGCCACCTGCTTAAATCCTTTGCTCTGTGTCATCCTCAGACCACCCAGTCTCAGCTATGACCTGATGCAATGTCCTGCTCTTTTTAAACGCTGGACACTTTTATATTACACATCTTTTTTTTTTTTTTTTTGAGACAGAGTCTCACTCTGTCACCCAGGCTGGAGTGCAGTGGCATGATGTTGGCTCACTGCAGCCTCCACCTCCAGGGTTCACAGGGTTCAAGAGATTCTCGTGCCTCAGCCTCCCAAGTAGCTGGGATTACAGGCACGTGCCACCAAGCCCAGCTAATTTTTGTATTTTTAGTAGAGACATGGTTTTACCATGTTGGCCAGGCTGGTCTTGAAATCCTGCCCTCAGGTGATGCGCCCACCTTGGGCTCCCAAAGTGCCGGGATTACAGGCATGAGCCTCACACCCTACATATCTTACAATTACCTGGGGTTTAAAGTATTGGGGGGTCTCATGATGCCGACACAGCAGCTTCATCCCTGTCTGCAGATCTCACCTCTGTCCACCACTAGAGTTAGGGGCTCTGGCAGGTGGTGTTGGGTGCCCCGCGTGAAGCAGTTCCTGCTGCCTGGCCAGTTGAGTCCAAGTCTGTAATGGAGCCTGATGGAGAAGATGCTTTCTCATTGTGGAGGATCTGTTTCGTCTTCTGGCCCCTCTTTGTTCCTGTCCTTGGAGTTGCATGGGGTCATTTACACACGGAGGCCACTTCTAGGCATGGACAGCAGAAGCGGCTTCATGGCTACACTGCTGCTTGCCAGACAGGCCTGTGCCCGGCATGGCTAGCATGTCCCCACCGTGGTTGGCACACCAGGCCCTGGGAATGACACCGAGGATGCCTGGGCTCCCAGCCACTGGGTGACATCCCACAGTGTCACAGTGGTGTGCCTCTGGGGACCTGGTGTGCCTTCCAAGCCAGCCATAACAGTCGTGCTGGCTGAGGGCTTGCTTTCTCTGCACACAGCTCAGGAGCATTCAGGCTTGAGAGCGTCTGACCAGGCAGGAAGGTTTGCACTTACGTGTCATCACAGAGCTGAAGTTGAGGCAGTGACGGGCTCCAAGGGTGTGCCCGGTGCACCAGCCCCTCCATGATGGTGTGGGCCTGCACGGTGCAGGGTCATTCTAAGTAGCCACGGTCAGAAGGTATCAACTGGCTGCAGCCGTGGTGACCGTCTTAGATTGTTTGTAACACATATGATGATATGATTAGTAATTTCAAGCCCCCCTCAAATTCTAAAAGGGATGACCTCTTCAAGAAACCACGCTAGGGTGTGATCCTCTAGCCAATACACGGAGGGCCATGTCCCCCTTTGTTGGACGTTCCATTTTTCACGGATGATTGCTGCCTTCTGGCTTGGGGCTGGATGCCCTTGGATGTACCCACCTTATTTAGACATCACTGGCATCCCCATCGTTAGTTTGGCCGAAGATTCTTAATTTATAACCCATCTTAAATGTCGTTATTGTTTTGGGGGGAATGGAGAGGAGTGTTGGGGGTTGTATCTGTCAGGGTCCAGTAAGAAAAAACAGAAACAACTTGAAGTTTTTTGAGAAGAGTGCTTAATTCTGGAAATCAGCTGTTTTTCAAACCATCTCCAGGACTGGGTGCTAAAGTCCAGGAGGAGGAACTGCGGACTTCTGGCAGTTCACGGAGTGCAGGCATTGCAGTGAAGCTGGCACCTGTGACTGTGGCTCCCCTTAGCACCTAGCAGGGGATTCACAGAAGCTTGTCCTGAATCTGTGCAGATTCCAGGCTTCTCCTCTAGCCACATGTCTGCCTCCACCAGAGGAAAATCATGGTGTTCCTTTCTGCTTTCAGAATCTCACATGAGCATCGACTTGGCCGAATTCCAAAAGCCTGCTAGCAAGAGGGTCTGGGCAGTGTGGTTTTCAGCTTCCAGCCTCTGCCTTGGATGTGAGCAGAGCTTGGAAGGGTGGGGAGGGGTTGAGCATCTGCAAAAAGTATCTGGTATCCACAGAAAAGAATGAGACCATGTCCTTTGCAGGGACATGAATGAAGCTGGAAGCCATCATTCTCAGCAAACTAACACAGGAACAGAAAACCAAACACCGCATGTTCTCGTTCACACGTGGGAGTTGAACAATGAAAACACATGGACACAGGGAGGGGAGCAACACGCACCAGGGCCTGTTGGGGGTTGCAGGGCAAGGGGAGGGAGAGCATTAGGACAAATACCTAATGCATGCAGGGCTTAAAACCTCGATGACGGGTTGGTAGGTGCAGCAAACCACCGTGGCACATGTGTACCTATGTAACAAGCCTGAACCTTCTGCACATGTATCCCGGAACTTGAAGTAAAATAAATTAAATTTAAAAAAACAAAAAGGATCCAGCACCATGGGGAACTCTTGACTTCTGCATGATTGAGGAAGACCTTGGTACCAGGTGGTTGTCACCAGGTTTTCTAAGATGTTCCAAGGATTGAATCTGGAGTTTGTTCTGTGAATGCTCAGAAGGTGAAGGTACAAATGCATGAGGCTCCTCAGTGGATCTTCATCTTAGTCTGTTTGGGCTGCCGCAACAAAGTACCCTAGAAACGCATTTCCCCCAGTTCTGGAGACAAGAAGTCCGAGGTCAAGGCAACCACAAGTGCAGTGTCTGGTGAGGCCTCCTGGTTCAGACAGGGCCTTCCCACTGTGCCTTCATGTGGTGGGAGGGGGAAGGGTCTCTCTCTCTCTCTCAGGCCTCTTTTATGAAGGCATTGATATCATTTATGAGGGCTCCACTCTCACACCCTCATAATCTCCCAAAGGTCACTTCCTAATACCATCACACTGGGGATTGGGATTTTAACATACGAATTTGGCGGGGCTGGCCAGGGGTGGGGCGGACCTAAAGGTTTATGCCATAGCAGTGTCATGACACCCTTTCCCACTTGAGAAAAATCAAGCCTGACGTCGAAGACTGTAACTAATGATGATGTATGGGGCCACCGTCACTGTCGTCGTGATCATCTTCACCTCTGTTCATCTGGTAGCTGTGGAAGATGCAGTAATGGATGCACAGACCTTTTTGCCAGGCCGTCCACTCACCCGCCACGCTACTGGGATTAGGAAGTTTGCAAACAGCCTATGTGTGTTCCCCTTTGCTGACAAATCGCCCTCAGTTTGCAGAAGCTGCCTCCCAGGATGCACACTTTGAGGACAGGGTTCTGGAGTTGGTCTCCCTCTCTGGCTGTCTGGCCACGCAGGTCCCACTGCTGGGGGAGGTGGGGAATCCTTCATCCCTAGTGCTTGGGAGCTATCAGTTGTGACAACTTCCACCTGTGCGAACAGAGGTTGGAAGCAGGTTTATACTGGCTCGTGTCATACCTCTGCCATTTTCCCAGAATAGAGAAATAGAAAGTGAAAGAACTGTGTTCAGAAGAGAGAAAATGACAGACTTAAGTTGATCAATGACCAATTAAGGCAACACGGGAGTCAGGGGCCCTCTCTAAAGAACCCCTCGCTTCTGCGGTAGAAGCAGCTGGAGATCAGGCCCTCGACGTGGTTGTGGAAAGGGAGGACCTGAGAGAAGACAAGAGTATCAAACCTCAAGAGTCTCCTACCCCTGGGGTCGGGGCCCTGATAGGGAAGGCATGGGATGCCAGGAGCCTGGAGGGGATGTCCGGGCAGATGCTGCAAAGCGTCTTGCTCCCCTGAACGCTGGGTTGCAGAAGTGCTTCACTCCCCTTCCCGGAAGACAGAGGAGGGCCCCATTGGTTGGATATCGTGCAGAAGCCTCATGCGTGGGCTTACCACATGAAATAAAGGGTGCCCAGTTAAATCTGGATTTCAGATAAGCATCGCACACTCATTTAGGATGAAGTATGTTCCATCGTCAAACGGTAATAGGGCTGGCTGGTAATAACAGCTCCGTTCCAGCAGGATTGTTTCTCTGCCCTTTGGTTCTTCCTTCACAGGCTGCTCTCATGGTTGTTCTAGAAGCTTCGTTTAAGCTAAGTGATCCTTATTAAGAAAATAAAAATGTAATAGTTCATTGTGCCAAGTAGCACGCATTCAATTACTCTTGAAGCTACTGTTTTACACGTTTTCTTTGGTATTTTTTCCTTTTCCTTTGATGAATAACCAGCTAATCCTCCTTGCCCATTTTTCAATTTGGGCTATTATTTTATTTTCTTGTAGTTTTTTTAAAGAGAAGTTGATGTATGAAAGACATTGTCACATATTGTGATGAAATTTTTTGTTTTTGTTTTTTCTCTGAATTCTGTTAGTGTTAATTTTCTAGCAAAATTTACTTATTTATTTTTTTACCTTTATGCAGTTTAAGATATAACCTTTTCCTACAAATATATTTGCTGTTCTTTCTATTTTGCTCTTAAAGACTTTGCTTCCTTTGAGATGAGGTTGATAGTGTCCTATGCTTTGTTCTATTTTAAGTTTCATGATTTTATTTTATTTTATTTTTGCTATCAGAATTTTAACCTTCTAGTAATTTTGGTGTGCGCTATGAGTAAGGCTTGGCTTTTGTTTCTATCGAAATGTTTAAGCATCAAATTTTCCTTGCTGTTTATCAAATAAACCATCTCCCTCCCTTGAAATTCTACATTTACTTAGATCTGGTTCTGGGAGATTTATTCCTATCTGTATGCATCCTTGTCCCACCCACCACTACATTGCCACAATTGTTTTGAATAATAATACAACCTCTTATTTGACATGGAAATCTCTTTTCCATTATTCTCTATCCCCACCCCTACTTTTTTTTTTTTTTCAGTGTCTATTGGCTGTTCTTGGCAATTTATTTTTCCAGGTAAATTTGAGTATCCTTTTGTCAGGTTGTAGAAATAGTCTGATAAGGTTTTGATTGAGATTGTATGAAGTTGGGAAGAGTGTGTCTGGGTTGGGCCTGCAAGCTTTGCCGCGTCTGTGGAGCATCACCAGCCTTCTGTGCTTGGTGTGGCTGCTGGAGGCAGCTGGGGCAGTGCATGCCCCCTCTTCTCCCTTCTGAGACTAGCTAGGGTTCCCCTCACAGCAGGCCCCTCCATGTCAGTGTGAGTAGGTGCAAGAGTGGCCTGGAGAGCCCTGGACCCCCAAGCCTCCAGACCTTCTGTGGCTCCATTCTCAGGGCAGAAGCTACCCTGTGGGCCCCTCCTGCCATGGCCTGCTCGTGTCTCCTGGATTTAGGGCATGAGCAAGCAGGTGACCTGGGGCTCATCTTCTTCTTTCACAAACATGGTAGGTGTTCTACGTGCTTTATGTGTATTTTATTTTATTTATTTTTTTATTATTTTTTTTTTGAGATGGAGTTTCACACTGGTCGCCCAGGCTGGAGTGCAGTGGCGTGATCTCAGCTCACCACAACCTCCGTCTCCTGCGTTCAAGTGATTCTCCTGCCTCAGCCTCCAGACTAGCTGGGATTTCAGGTGTGCACCACCATGCCTGGCTAATTTTTGTATTTTTAGTAGAGACAGGGTTTCACCATGTTGGCCAAGATGTTCTTAATCCCCTGACCTTGTGATCTGCCTGCCTCAGTCTCCCAAAGTACTGGGATTACAGGCAAGAGCCACCGCGCCTGGCCTATTTATTTATTTATTTATTTAAGATGGAGTCTCGCTCTGTCACCCAGGCTGAAATGCAGTGGCGCAGTCTCAGCTCACTGTAACCTCCTCCTCCCAGGTTCAAGCAATTCCCCTGCCTCAGCCTCCCAAGTAGCTGGAATTACAGGCATGCACCACCACACTCGGCTGGTTTTTATATTTTTAGTGGAGATGAGGTTTCACCATGTTGGCCAGGCTGGTCTCAAACTCCTGACCTCAGGTGATCCACCCGCCTTGGCCTCCCAAAGTGCCAGGATTACAGGCATGAGCCACTGAGCCCGACCTTTATCCGTATTTTTAGAGGTTAATCCCAGCAGCACTCCTGGTAGAGAGCTAATAACCCATGATAACTGATGAGAAAACCGGGGAGGAGAAGTTCAAGTACGTCCGAGGTCACCTGGCTGGAGGCTGGCTGACCCAGAACCTAGACCTGGCCTGTCTCTGAGGCTGTCTCTCACTTGCTGTATTACACATTTGCACGGAGTGCTGGGCCATCAGGAGTTAGTCAGATTCCATGGACAGCTCTGCCTATAGCTTTGTGTGGTTACCTGCCAGAGCCAGGATGGCCGGGCTCCCCACAGTTGGCTGCTTTTCTTGGATTGAATGTACTGATCTCCCTCTTGTTCTGAGTCTCAGTTGACATCCAGGCAGTGTCTCCACCCAGCCGAATTGTCTCATCAGCAAATGAACACCCTGGTAGGGTTTGCATCCGGCAACCTCTGAGCAGGCCTCACTCTCCCTATGGGTTGGTCCCTCACTGTGTCGTACCTGTGTATTCACCCAAGATTCAGTGAGAACTTGGGCCCAGTACTCTGCGTTCCTGACCTTCAAGGGCCTTCTGTTACTTCAGATAACGGGAAGCTGCCGTTTCTGTGAAAACTCCTTATCACTTAAGAGAGCATTTTTCTGTTTTCCTAGAAGAGTCTTCAAAACCCAGTTTCCATCTCCCACTCACTTCTCTTTCTCTAAGAGACTTTGACACACAGGAGCTTTGAAGAAGAAAGCTGCCTGTTTCTCAGGGATGGAATTTCTTAATCTGAGCTCCATGTACATCTTCTGTGAGATATTCTTACACATTTTTTATCACTGCAGTGATGTTAAGTATTCAGTCTAGTGAACCCTCTGATTTTTATTAACTTTTCTTCTTTTTATTTTGAAGTAGGTGTCAGATTGGGCATGGAGTAGGAGGGGGGTGCTTTTCCTGGGACAAGATGAAGTTAACTTTGGGCAGACTCCTGCATTGATAAGCTCACAGCTAAAAAATTGGCTCCCAATCCCCTGCCGTCTCCAATCATTGCAATGCAAATTCGATAGAAAAGAGCTGCAGGGGTCCCTGGCAGCTGAAAATCAGTCTGCATTGAAATGGGAATAGATGCCACCACCTAGGTATTGGAAAGCCAAGTTCCCAGGCTGAGGAAAAGGGAAAATTCCCTTCTCTGTCAAAACTGTCAAATTACCCAACCGAGGGGAGATGCCAACCTCTTAGCTCGTCTCTCTTCAATCATCTGTAGGGGCAGGCGGCCAGTTGTTTTTGACCCAGCACCCCTATCCACTGCTCACAGATGCCCAGCCAGCTCCGGCCACCTCCCCTCCTTTCAGGGAAGGAGAAGGTGGAAAGGTCAAGTTCTGCTTGAACAGCCCTGAAACTTCCCTGTTTTCTGGCCCTCCCAGCCAACACTGGTGGAGAGGAGGCTTCCCCTGCTGCTGGAGCTCACCCCATGAATAAATAATGAGCAGGTGGATGATTCCATCCTGTTAGCTTCAGCTTCTGCAGCTTCCTGACAAACAGAACTCTGATTGTGATGGCAGAGTTTTTGTTTCGTTTTTGAATTTCACGTCATTAATATTTTTTCTTTCTAAACTTACTGTCATTGAGAGTCTTGATGTTCAAAGATTTCTCTGTGAATCAATTTATAGCATACATAATACAATCAGAGGCGGAGAGCTGGGAGAAGCATCTGGAATCAGCCAGTCTGCTCCCACAGTTAATAGATCAGGAAACTGAGGCCCAGAGAGAAGACATAGTCTGCCCAAGGTCACTCACGGACTCAGAGGCTAAGTTGCAGCTTTTTAGAACTGTCAAGCATGTCTTCTGATCTATCATAATCCATCTATCCATCCAACCATCCATCCATCCATCCACACATCCATCCATCCATCCATCCATCCATCCATCCATCATCCATCCATCCATCCATCATCCATCCATCCATCCATCCATCCATCCATCCATCCATCCATCCATCCATCCACACACCCATCCATCCACCCATCCATCCATCCACACACCCATCCATCCATCCATCCATCCATCCATCCATCCATCCATCCATCCATCCACACACCCATCCATCCATCCATTCATCCATCAATCACACCCATCTATCTACCATTCATCCATTTATCAATCCACACATCCATTCATCCATTCAACATTCAACATTCAACATCCATCCATCTGTTCATCCATCCAACAACTGAGAGAGGTGTGCTGTCCCTGTGATTGCATATGGGTAGAAATGAAAGGCATGAAACTATATATATATATACATATATATATGTGTATATATATACACATATATATATGTGTATATATATATGTATACCTTCCATTGGGGTTTCAGGGACTCCAGGAGAGAGGATGAGTGAAAGTCACCTAATTGGAAGCCATTGTTGGCTGGGGGTGGGGGTGAGCCAGGCTTCGCATATGCTATAGGCACTGTAAACCTCAAGTAAACAAAAGGGTCAGAATCTAGTTTAAAGAGAGTTCATTCAATTGCAGAGCTGAGGATGAGCCACCCGGGAAACACAGATTCCAAAGAATGGAAGTCAGTGTTCCGAAGTGCAGAAGTTTGGGATTGCATACATAAACAAAGTTCAGGGAAGACTAACAGAATTTCAATATCTTTCTATATAAGGTTAAATGTATAGTTACAACAATCTGATTAGTTGAGGTGGTCTTTTTCTTTCAGAAAAGGTATATTTAGCATTCTACACTGAAGATGTAATGGTTATGGGGTCTTGAGCACCATCTGGGCTGAGTTGAGTACAGGGCAATAAAGGAGGCAGTGAATCCATAGCAAAGTCTTGGATTGGAAGGGGGAGGCCTGGTACAAGAGCAATGAGGAAGATAATTCATCTCTCCTCATTTATAATCTAAGAAGCAGAATTGCAAACATGCTACATAACACAGTCTCTAGGGCTTAACCTCTCCCTTGGCATAATACATTTAGAGGGTCCTGACATTTTATTTTCCACACCTTTTCGAGGTGGGGATGCAGTTAAGGATGAGTGTCATTGGGTAGAACAGTCAGAGGATAAAGCTGGACTGAGAAAGCTTAAAGAGGAGGGGCTATGGAGCCATACCTCTGAGGAGGGGCAGGCTTTCCAGCAGGGCTGGAGCTCAGAGCCATCAAAACATCCCTCTGAACAGTTAAAAATAGGACTCTCCTCTAAATATGGAATGAACACTCCTCAAAGATTAACTTACCTCACGAACAGGGAGCTGGCAGGAGGGTGAACCCCATTCAAAGGAGAATTTGAGGAACAGGTGCTTACACCATAAGCCAGGAAGGCGAGCTGAAATCAGGTTGCTACGTTAAAGGCAAAGCTGGTTGCTGTCCTCCAGGGCAATGAAGTCATCGCCTGTGGGGTTATCTTCTTCACCAGGTAGAAGTCATTTGCATCTTTGCCAGGCAGAAATCCACAGCTTGACAAATAATTTCAGAGTCTGGGAATGAATCAGTAGGAAAGAGCAGTAGGAAAGGAGCCTCCCTAAAGAACAAACTCTCGCATATGTGGGCTGCTAGACGGTAGCCCCGTGTGGCGTCGGAAGCCATCCTTTTGCTTATTTGCAAGTCTTGGATGATTTTTTTTAAACAGAGGCAGGCTCTGGAGTTGGAGTGTCATGTTCACATCCCACCTTTGCCTCTCGCAGGTGGCTGTGGGACTACCCCTTCTTCCTGCTCTGAGCTGGGCTTCCTCATCTGAGGATGAGTACAGGGGATGGGGCCCGTCATCATGTATACATCATAGGTCAGTCCCGAAGATCGAATGAAGTCTACATATGAAGTGGTTGGCCCAGCCACAACTCAATAAATGTCAGGGGTAATTACAACAACATTTGAATATTAATGTAGGCAAGTCTCAGCATCATGAAGACTTTAAATAGCTGCTGGCTTGAGGCCAAAGCTACTGAAAAGGCAGTGATGGGAGAAGGGCCATAGAAGGCATGGATTCCCATTTATAGAATGAATCGATGAAAACTCAGAACTGGTGGGGGAGGCAGCCACCAACTCTACTTCAGAGATTGCGGCTTCTGGCAGCAATGGTTGGTTTGAGCAGGTTTGAGTGGTCAGATGTGTGCTCAGCAGGACATGGTGGGCATCTGGGAGATGAGGTGGAGCCAGAACCCGCAGAGTGTCAGGGCACAGGCAGGCAGCAGACCAAGCGAGGTCCATGGGGCTGGGTGGCCTTCCTACCACCTGTCCTATCCAGGCCGCACTCGCAGGGAGTCTTTGTCCTGGGACCAGTGGTTGCTCCTGCCTCCAGGGCATGACAGCCTCCAGGACAGGGCTTGCTGGGCATTCTGGGCTCTGAGTGGCAGCTCCAGGTCACCCTCGCCATCCGTCGGTGTTTTTGCCTGCCAGTTCACCTCTCAGCCGCATGCTGTCTGGCACTGGACTGGAGCCTGGCCATCTTGTCCACTCAAATCTCTGTGATGTGGAAGGCAGCCTGTCTATTCCAAGCAGCCCAATGTCCCCCAGATCCTGCCAGCATCTCTGAAGAGCCTCACCCTGAGGCCCTCGGGGCAGGAGTACCTATTGAGGCTGCCTTGATGGCACTCTGGATGCAGGGAAGCCGAGTGCCACCCTTGCTGAGGGGCACCACGCAGTCCTGCTCTCACCCTCGTGAGGAAAGCAAGCCCAGCTCCTCCCTAATGGGACCTCTTCCCTCCATGCCTGGAGCCTGAGACTCAAAACAAGGCAGAGCTGCCCAATCCGCCTTCCCCCTGCCCTGAGGGGCAACTGCCATGACTCTTTCCATCCCACAGGGCAGCCTGGGAGAAGCCTGGTTCTTGCTTCCCTTCTCTTTGAGCCCACAGCCCTGGACCTAGAGGGTACATTCGTCAGGCAGCCCTCTTGGTTCTCTTCCCACTCACCTGTAAACCCAGGTGCTTGCTGGCTCTGGCAAGAGGACCCTGGCAGTCTTGGTTCATTTGGGCAGCTATAGCAAAATACCACGAACTCGGGCCTGGAAGTCCAAAAACAAGACACCAGGCAGGTTCAGCATCTGGTGAGGGCTTCCTGCTTCCTTATGTGCTATTGAGGTTTTATGGTATTGATTTTAATTGCATAAGAAGGAAGAGAGCAAAAGAGTTGGGATCAAACGTCAAAGTCTTCCAAATGTGAACAGCTACACACAGACTCTCCTGTGAGCACAAGGCCTTCATATGGGCTTGTTATGAAGGCTGCTCCTTACTGGGCCATCCTTGTTGATCCAAGCAAGAGGGATGTCCCGGGAAAGGACAGCAAGGGGATGAGGAAAATGCAGATGGCTGTAGCTCTGGGAGCCTTGGGAAAGTTGTCTGTTTTCCTGTTTCCTCATCTGTACAATGGAGACTGTGATGGTGAGAAGTTAGTGCAGTGGCTGCAGGGCTGAATGTGCAGATGCACAAGACCAGAACCCTCCCATGGTTCTTCTCTGTGCCTTGGGCCCACTGCTCAGCCTTGGAGCTGCTTGGCTGCTTCCTTCCTGACTTCAGGAGCTGGTGCCCCAGGACGCTGCAAACAGAGCCACAAGTGCTCAGGGGTGCACAGTTGGCTCTGTGCTGAACAGGTCCTTCTTCCTCTCATAGCTTCCATTTCTTCATCCTTCAGATGATTCTAGGACTTGGCCAGGATAGCCTGAATGTTCCCATCAGCTTGGCTGATGCTTGGGCAGGCTTCTTCCTGACTTGAGGCCCCTGACCTCCCTTTGCTCAGAGCATTGCTTTAGAAAAATTGCGGTTGTAAGTCTCTCTCTGGCCCTTTGAGATGGAAACCTTCTACAACCCAGGAATGTATTTCTCAAGGACCTGGAAGTGGTTCCTTCAAAACATGATCATCAGGAAGATGGTGCCCCCGACTCCCAGTCCCTGAGGGAGGGGAGCCTGATGTTGATGAGAGGTGATTGGCAAACACACACAGCCTGATCACATCAGCCCACCTTCCCCCAGTGTCCTCTAGGACTTTACCCCTAGCTCATTCCAAAGCTTCAAAACCCTCCTACCTGTTGTTTCAGTGGAATTGAGTTCAATCTCTCTCCCAGGTTGCAATAGTCTTGGATAAAATCTTCCTTGCCTGTTTAACTCTGACCAGTACATTTTTTTTTAAGACTCCGCCATTTAGTGTTATATATATTTTTCAGGTAAGTTACATAAGTTGTGCAGCCTCAGTCTCTTTTCAGCCTTCACATATTTGCTCAAAGCATCTGGGCCACCCTCTTCCTTCCCCACCCTCCTTTCTAAATGCTTCCTTCCCATTTTTCAACGTTCTTCTGCTGATTTATCCCTGCCCAGCGGTAGTCAGTGACCCTCCTTTCCCTTGACTCTAAGCCTGATGAGCTTCGCTCTCTTGTTTTGCTTCTGGGCTGCTCTTCAGGCACAGAGTCGAAGTTGGGTGAACTCATGAATTTACGGCTCCCCATTTTCAAGTCCAGCCCTGGCATATATACAAAGCTCCAGGGTTGTCTTACTGCCTATCCTGGGTTTATTTCAAACTCAGTATAGGAAAGAAAGCTTATAATTGCCCCCTCATCCCCCAAGACACCACTTTCCCTCCTTATTTTTTCTGCTTCTCAAATGCCTAGGTATTCTCTGAGCCCTGACTCAATAAAGTGGAGCCAGTCTTTGTCTCCACCCATATCTAATCCATCTTTCCCTTCTGTTAGGAAAAAGTTCACTCCTCTCTATTTATATGTTGAAAGTCTAGCTTCCAATGTGACTACATTTGGAGATAGGGCCTTTAAGGAGAGAATTAAGGTTAAACATGGTCCTAAGGGTGGGGCTTAACCTGATAGGATTGGCATCCTTATAAGAAGAGACATCAGAGCTCTCCCTCTGCCACATGAGGACACATTGAGAAGGCTGCCACCTGAAAGCTGGAAAGAGTGCCCTCATCAGGAACCACAGCTGGAATGTTGATCTTGGACTCACCAGCCTCCAGAACATGAGGAAATAACCACTCAGTGGTAATTTGTTATGCAGCCCTAGCTAACAAATACCCACATTTCCCATTGGTCTTGCTTTCTCTTCCTAATGCCTCCTAACTGTGTCTCTCATGCACATAATGAGTTGGTAACCAAAAGCCACACAAGAAGCCCTACATAAGTGGTAGCTCCTACCGTGTAACTACTACCACTGTTTATCTATTATTTATTTATTCATTCATTTTTTTGGTGGTGCAATATACATAACAAAAAATTACCATTTTAACTGTTTTTGAATATATAATACGGTGGTATTTAGTACCTTCATGTACAACCATCACCACCATTCATCTCCAGACTTTTTTATCTTCCCAAACTGAAACTCTATAGGCATTAAACACTAACTCCCCTTCTCCTCCACAGCCCTTAGCACCCACCATTCTATTTTCTGTCTCTGTGAATTTGACTCCTCTAGGGACCTCACATAAGTGGAATCACGCAGTATTTGTTGCCTATCTCTGAGCAGTTCTCTCAGAGAACTGTTGTGCTCTCCTGCAAAACAGTTCTTAAAGGGGGTGAAGCTTTTGGGTGAGATTGCTTTTCTCCCCACTCCCCACCCAAGAGTCCACAGATGGTTCAAACGCAGGTTTCTCAACGCGTTTTCTTTACAGAATCACTGTCTCAGTATGCTGAGGGGCTGAGCTCCTTAAGGGAAGTGGCCACATCATCAAGGGAGAAAGAGGTTCTTAATGACTGTCCACTACAGCCTCAGTTTTCAGGCAGAGCCCAATTTGCTGTCTTGGGTAACACTCATAGAAGCCCTGAGATGCAGGTACTGTCAGTCCATTGCAGGGGAGGAATTGAGGTTAAAAAGTGTCCAAGATCATGTGGCCATTCAGGGCCAGGTCTGTGCCTTCAGTTTCATGAAGCATTTGGAGGGGCTGGAATGACCCATCTGTACATCTGCCTAGTTCATGCCTGATACTTTATGTGAATAAGGCAATGGAAGGTGCTGGGGTTTTCAGAGGATGAAAAAATATATAGAATGCTGTATTAGTCTGTTCTCACATGGCTATAAAGATACTACCTGAGGCTGGGTAATTTATTAAGGAAAGAGGTTTAATTGATTCACAGTTCCACATGGCTGCGGTGGACTCAGGAAACTTACAATCATGGTGGAAGGTGAAGGGGAAGCAAGGCACTTTCTTCACATGATGGCAGGACAGAGAAGAGTGAGTGAAGGAGGAACTTGCCAAACACTTATAAAACCATCAGATCTCATGAGAACTCACTCACTATCAGGAGAACAGCATGGGGGAAACCGCCTCCGTTTTCCAATCACCTCCCACTAGGTTCCTCCTGCAACACCTGGTGATTCAATTCAAGATGAGATTTGGGTGGGGACACAAAGCCTAACCATATCAAATGCCTCACTGAGCCCTGGCAGAGTCCCGTCCAGCTCAACGTGCTGAGCAGTTAGGTCAATGAGGAGGCATTTGGAACAGGCTGGAAGCTTCCCTGTGTGACAATGGCCTTTTCTCTTCTGCAAAACAGGCAGCTGAGGCGGAGGAACCCTAAGGGCTCATTGAGATCATGGATTTGCCCTTCTATGCATTGATGGAGCACCTGCTGCCCACAGCGTCTGTATTTGGTGCTGGGATGCTGAGGTATGGCCATGAATACTCTCTGGCAAGGAGAGAGGCATGGGACCCCCCAGAAAGGTGCCCAGTACATGGGCAAGCCCTTTGCAAACTCCTGGAACATGCACATCTGATGGATGATGTTCATTCCGAGTTCAGGCAAACATTCCTTGTTCTGCTTTCCACTTTCATTTGAGCCCCTCTGAGTACTGACTTTTGTAGTTACAGCATCTTCCTATGTGTGCTCTTTCTCTCTCTCCAAGCCTCCTTCTTTATGAATTTTTAAAAGGACACTGAGATCTTCAAACAGAGGCTGCCACTCTAAGCAAACAGATCCCGAGCCCTGGACTCTGAAGCTTGGGCCCAGTTCTCCTTTTCTCCGGGTTTCAGATCCCACTGTGAAGTGAGGGGTAAGTACCAGGTGGTCCTCATGGTATCTGCCTGTCTGATTCTGCCCTTGATGGACATCAGCCCTCAGTCACAGAACCAGTTTCCAAAGAGCCATCTGTGTCTGCAGGGCCCTTCTGATTCAGGACCCGGGGAAGCCAGGGGCATGAGCATCGGTGCCTCTTCTCTATTTCAAGGACCCTTCTGGGTGTAAAGTTCTCTGAGATGCCTTACATGGATTCCCACCACTGCAAGATAACCATCGTGTAAGTATTCTGATTGTTTTTCTTCCTCTCTGATAAGGTTTTAAAAGTAATAAAGGAAGATGCCCCAAGGAAACAAGATAACGGGATTAAAGTGAGAAAAGGAGAGAACAGCCAGGCAATGTTTCTGAGATGCTCTCGATGACCTGCAGGCAAATCCTTCCTTTTAATTGTCACTAAAGGGATTATACAATTTCCTCCTCAGATGTAAAGTGTTATGACCAGCAGAGCGTAATTGAAGTGCATTCCAGAGGGAAAGACAGCGGCTCAGGTAGGCCTTAGAGAATCCGCCTTGGGACGAATCCCATTCTCACACTCCTGTAACATCCTTATCAGAAGGCTGGAAGACCAAGCTGGGGCTGTGGGACTAGGAGTAATTAAAATACCTTTAATTGGAAGATTCTATAATGCCTTCTGCAGCAACGGAGCATGAATACCATCCGTTCCTTGGCCCTCCTGTTGGGAGCCATTGGAAAGGCAAGAATTCTTCTCTGTTGGGAGAGTGTTCAAAATGCAGCTTGACTGTGGCTGTGTCCACACACGTAAGGCGATTTCCCTGAAGGTGAGGGCAGGAGAACAACCCTAGGAATTTTTCGGGCAGGATGAGGGAGAGATGGAATGAAAGAGTGGATGGTGGGGCCAAGGCTGAGGAGCATAGACTAATAGTGGTGGGACCAAACATGTTGGAAGAGTGTAGGACTTGTCTGTCTATTGCTGCAGCAAGAAATTTTCAGAAAATTAGTGACTTTAAATTATATAGATTTACATGCAAAATGGGTGGTCAGGGCTGCATTCCTTCTGGAGGCTCTGGAAGAGGACCCATTTCATTGCCTTTTCCAACTTCTAGAGGTTGCCTGTGTTCCCTGGCTCATGGTCCCTTCATCCTCAAAGCCAGCAGCATGCCATCCTCCAATCTCTCTCAGACTGACTTCTGCTTCCAAGGACACATCTCTTCCTCTGATCCTCCTCCCTCCCTTGTGTAAGAACCCTGATTAGCCTGGACCACCCCCACCCCCGGATAACCTGAGATCAGCTCCCCATCTCCAGTTCCTTAATTGCACGTGCAAAGTTCCTTTTGCCATGTAAGGTGACATGTTCGCAGGTTCCAGGAATTGGGACACAGACTGGGACATGGACTGAGACGTAGACTGGGACATGGACTAGGATAAGGACTGGGATGTGGACATCTTTGCAGGGCTGTTCTTCTGCCCACCATAATGACCAAGGAGAAGCCAGTAATTAGGATGTCACAGAGTCTGCGTTTAAAGGGAGACCCTGGATAGGTGCAGAAAGGAGCTGAATCACCAGAGCTTGCTTTCTTTTTAAAATATCATGGTAAGATACTGTTAAAAAATTAACATAGTCACATTAAAACTTTAAAGGGTTTATGTCAGCAGAAAGCTACTCATGAATAGGGCAGCTCCAGATCCCAGCTGGTTGGGGGTTCTGCTGGAGGGGCTTGGAGGGAAAGCTTTTATAGGGTGAATGTGGAAGCAGAGCAAAGAAATTATTTAATTGGTTAAAGTGGAGCAGTCCTTTCATTTGAACTCTCCAGCCAGGGGGAGTTCCTCGTAATAGAACTCATGCTTACTTGGCTGCCTGTGATTGGCTGAGCGTAAGTTTCTTTTTTTCTTTCTTTTTTTTTTTTTTTTTGAGACAGTCTCACTCTGTTGCCCAGGTTGGAATTCAGTGGCATGATCTCGACTCACGGCAATCTCGCAATCTCTGCCTCCCAGGTTCAAGTGATTCTCCTGCCTCAGCCTACCAAGTAGCTGGGATTACAGGTGCCCGCCACCATGCCTGGCTAATTTTTTTTTGTATTTTTAGTAGAGGTGGGATTTCACCATGTTGGCCAGGGTGGTCATGAACTCCTGGCCTCAAGTAATCCACTGGCTTTGGCCTCCCAAAGTGCTGGGATTACAAGCATGAGCCACCACCCCTGGCCTTAAGTTTAATTCTGCTTATGTAAGAACCCAAGGCATTAGGGTACCCTTAGTCTGAGGGCCTCCCTTTTAATTGTTTTAACAATATACAAAACATAAAATGTATGGTATCAATCACTTTAAAGTGGCTGAGCAGAGAGGCATTAAGTATGTTGGCAATGCTGGGCAACCATGAACATTACCTAAACGTAGGATATTATCAAGTCCCTACAAAAAGGAGTTCCCTCATTCCCTCCTCCGCCGGCCCCTGGTAACCATCTATCTACTTCTCATCTCCATGAATGCGCCTATTCTGGACAACTCATGTAAATGGAATCAGGCACTATATGGCCCTTTGTGTCTGGCTTATTTCACAGAGCATAACGTTCTCAAGGCTCAGCCACACTGTAGCCTGTGTCAGAACTTCATTCCTGGCTGGGTGCCGTGGCTCACACCTGTAATCCCAGCACTTTGGGAGGCTGAGGCGGGCAGATCACTTGCAGTCAGATGTTCAAGACCAGCCTGGCCAACATGGTGAAAACCCATCTCTACTAAACATACAAAAATTAGCCGGGCGTGGTGACACACATCTTTAGTCCCAGCTACTCAGTAGGTTGAGGCAGGAGAATTGCTTGAACCTGGGAGGTGGAGGTTGCAGTGAGCCAGGATCACACCACTTCACTCCAGCCTGGGAGACAGAGCAAGACTCTGTCACAACAAACGAACAAACAAACAAACAAAACTTCATTCCTTTTTATGGAGGAACACTACCATATTTCATTGTATAAATATACCACATTTTGTGATACACCACTTGGGTTGTTTCCACTTTTTGTCTATAATGAATAATGCTGCCAAGAACACTCCTATGCAAATATGTATTTAAACACTGCTTTTGAGTCTCCTAGGTACATGCCTAGGAGTGGAGAGTTGGTCATACAGTAATTCTGTGTTTATCATATCAAGGAGCTGTTGTCGTATTCTTTTTTTTTTTTTTTTTTGAGAGAGGGTCTCACTCTGTCACCCAGGCTGGAGTGTGGCAGTGCCATCACGGCTCACTGCAGCCTCGTGTTGTCATATTCTTGATAGAGATTACATTATTTAACCTCAGAACAGCCCTTGGCCCCAATTATCTTGGACTTAAGCTGGCATGAGACCATGCTGGGTGGTAAGTGTGGGTGTTTCTGATATTTAGAGATAAGGAAGCAGGGGGTCGGGAAGATGGTATGGTTTGTCCAAAGGGCTGCTGCAAACAACAGCTAAGGATGCTTTTCCCTATTGGTCAAGACCAATAGATCTGAGTTGGAATAACAATAGAAGGTGGAAGGAGCTGAGTTTGATGCCTTCATCTCTTTACAGAAGTAGAAGATCAGGGCTTGCCAAAACCAGGGGCCAGGCTGAGGGCTTGGGAGGCAGGAGGAGGGCTGAAGCCCCTGCTGTGAGAGAAGGGATGAGGTTGTGGCCTTGGCAAGGGGTGGATCAAAGGACCCACTGTCAGGGGGTTTTAAGGACCATTGATGGCTGGCCCTGAGAGTAAGTAGAGAACCTGTTGGTGGCTTTCTCCAACTTCCAGGACAGCAGGGCCCCCTGGATTTGGACATCGCTGGCCATGTGCACCCCATGCTTGTGTGGCTTGAGGCACCTGGCTGTGTGGCTGAGCTTCCTTCTCTGTCAATCGCTCCCTCCCTCCCTCCCCAGCTCCACTGGGCTCGAGAGCCCTGCAGGCCATGTCCCTGACCTTCCTGAGTGGTGCCTCTGTGAGCTGAGCGTGAGGCTCACAAACTCATATGAAGGTGGGCTGGAGGCCTTGCCAGGCGTTTTGGGGTTTCACCCATGGGATGCTGCTTGTTTGCTGATACCACTAAGCAAATGAACAGTTGCATTCTCTGAGAGGGAAACAGTCCAGCCAAAATGGTGCATGGCTCACCCAGGATTCACGCCACACCCAGTGTCACCCCAGCAGCGGGGGGCCTGGGAACCACTTCTGTGTAAGGAGCTCAAACCTTCCCCTCAAAGTGGCTTTCCAGAGGGCCAGGCTCACTGAGTCATGGTTTGTCCTTATTTCCTACAGATTCTATTGAAAGAAACATGACATAATGATACCACAGCAAAAGCCAATCTTGCTCCTTTTTAAAAAATTAAAAACAAAACAAAACAAAATTAAAAAACAAGAAAAAACACCACCATAGGATGTCCACCCTGGGAGACTAATTCTAAGAGAGAAGCTCTGTTCTTCCACTGCTAATCACTCCAAATAAATACCACGACTGAGCTTGTCGGAGAAGAGAGAGCAGCAACAGCCTTGCCCACAGGTCTTCTCATCTGCATGAGAACAAAGTGGATGGCTCAGAAAGACAGAGACACTCTTCCATCCAATATGAAATCCCATCAGAAGTGTAGAGAGGCCTCCAGCTGCATCCACCTCCAGGCCCCACCCAGCCTCCTGTCCTGAGCCGCTTTGGATGAGATCAGGGGCTCATGAGCCATGCAAAGCCAGCCCGGCATTCCTGCCCAGAACAGCCATGCTTGCATGTTTCTGTACATTTCGTCCATGGTCTTCTTGTCCACAAGTCTTAGCCGGCCTATTTCCCTTCTCCAGAAACATAAACATGGTATTTGTAATTTTATTATCACCAAGGTTGCATTGATGAGAGGCTTTCTCCTTGTGTGTCGCGGTTCAGGAGCCAGTTTGAGGGGCCCAGGCCCTGAAGCAGCCTTCTTAGGAGGGCAAGCCTCTTTTTGCGGAGAAGATTCCTGGGCTGGCAGAGTGTGTGGTGTGGTTCATTTCATGTGCCAACTTGCCTGGGCCATGGGATGCCAGACAGCTGGTGAAACATTATTCCTGGTGTCTGGGAGGGTGTTTCTTAATGAGAGCACATGTGAACCCACAGATTGAGTCAAGAAGACCCCTCCCTAGTGTGGGCGGGCATTGTCGTCCAATCCACCGTGGGCCCTGGTAGAACAAGGAGGCAGAGAAAGGGTGCATTCTTCCTCTCTGAGCTGGGACATTTGTCTCCTCTTGCCCTTGGACACCTGTGCTCCTGGTTCTCAGGCCTTAGACTCTAGGACTCACATTATTGCCCTGGCCCCCATCCTCGCCCACCCTACCCAGTACTCAGGCCTTCAGACCAGGACTGAGCGTGCACCTCCTGCTTTCCCGGGGCTCCAGCTTACAAATAGCTTATCCTGGGACTTCTCAGCCTCCATGATCCTGTGAGCTGGAAAGGGAGAAACAGATCAGTGGGTTCTGTATAGTAATACAGAAGAGGGCTGGGCGCGGTGGCTCATGCCTGTAATCCCAGCACTTTGGGAGGCCGAGGCGGGCTGATCACCTGAGGTCAGGAGTTCGAGACCAGCCTGACCAACATGGAGAAACCCTGTCTCTACTGAAAATACAAAATTAGCCAGGCGTGGTGGTGCTTGCCTGTAATCCCAGCTACTCGGGAGGCTAAGGCAGGAGAATTGTTTGAACCTGGGAGATGGTGAGCTGAGATCGTGCCATTGCACTCCAGCGTGGGCAATAAGAGCAAAACTCCATCTCAAAGGAAAAAAAACAAAGAAGTAATACAGAAGAGAAAATTTCCACGTCCCTCAGAAAGTCTCTTCTATGTTATTACATAGAGCCCAGTGGTCTGTTTCTCCGGCAAACCCTGACTCATCCAGGGCGGCCTATGCATTTTCTGTAAAAATACCTCTTTAGTTACAAATAAGCACATAGGTCTGGTACCCTGCATGTTGTCCATATTCAGTGAGTATTTATGGAGTTGGACATCAAACGAAAGTAAAAGGCCTTTTGGATGAAGATTCGGTCATCAGCAGTATTTTGGTGGAAGGACTGTAGCTTTGCTCTGCTGTTGTGATGGAAACACAGTGATGTATCTTTTTCTCCACATCACAGACCTTCTGGGCAGTGGGTGGGAACCTCAGTCTTTCTAGCCGTTCAGAGCCCGCCTCCACAGTTCATCGGGGTGAGGAGGCTCCAGTCCTTGCTTTACCAGAGATACATGTCAAGACCTGGCCCTGCCTCTGCTCCAGACCTGGCAGAGGGAGGTCTCCCAGAGACACCCCCTCTGGGACTTGTTCCCCCGAGGCAGCGGCACATCTGATCCCCTCCACGGTGTTCCCGGTTCTAGGGCGTTGCTATTGGCTTCTGCACTGGATCTGCCATCTCCACCTTCTCTCTGCACAATGGGGCGTCTTTGCAGGGCTCTGGTGAGTGTATGAACAGCTGACCCATGTGCTTTCGGACTTTCTTTCCTCGATTGTTCTGGCGTCTTTCCAGGGCATCTCTGCAGGAGGCTGGTACTCCTTGCTCACCATCCTGATCACGTTACCTCCTGTGTGACCCAGGCGGTAAGAGGGCAGCAGAGGAAAAACCCCTGTCCAACAGAGGAGAGAATAGTGCCAGGGAGGTTAATGTTCTCACTCAGGCTCCTGCAATAATTTGATATAAAACATGTGTCTGGATTCTGGGCATCCTCACTGGTTCTACCACTGCACTACATGGAACTGATTTTATTTGAGTGTTTTCAACACCCCATTGACTGACAGCCATGTCTCTTTAATCCTTCATTTTTTTTTTTTTTTACTTCCTCAGTTTCCAGGGATTGTGGGATATAGAGATGCATCAGGCACTTCCCTCTCCTCCAGGACTCAGTGGGAAGAGACTGTCCACTGTGGGAGGCCACTGAGCTCCTGGTTTGATTATCCAAAGTCAGGGGTGTTTGTTAGAGTCATGCATGGGGGAGCAGCTGCAGCAGCCCCCAAGGACGACTCGCCCCAGCCCCCAGCCCCTTTGCGGGGGCTGCCTTGGCTGGTGACACTCCCTGTAAGGTAGGAGCCTACTGGGCTTCTGTATACACAACTGATTCTACATGAGACCATGCTCACACATGTGTTTTTATTCACACAGATCCAGAGGGTCTGCAGAAGCACGTCCTCCCCTGGTGTAGGGGCTAAAGAGGCACTGTGGGCCCAGGAGTCACGACTTCTGCCACAGCACACCTCTTGACCCCCAGGGTATCAGGGTGGCTTTAGGGCGGAGTTGGCCTTGAAGGTCTTCATCACAAATCCATCCCCCTCAAGGCACCATGATGGTTCCATGGTGTCTGTCTATACTGCAGGGTTGGGAAAGTAGGATTGGGTGGCTGAGAGACACCACCAGCAGAAAAGAATCTGTGTTGCAGATCGTAATGACACAGCGTGACAAATGACAACAGTCGCAACAAGGGCAAACAGAATTATCATGGTGGTGACACCTGGCATTCCTTGTTTATTTGATCCCAGGGATTGCGTTGACCACATCACATGGTGTCACCATGATGCTTTCAGTACCCTGGTTGACTGCTTTTGTCCAGTGAAAAGATGATTCAAGGGTCACTTAGGAACTTACATTTAAAGAATATTATTTGATGTATGAAAATTACACATTAAAAAATGACTTCCTTATCTCTTTGAATTCAACTCTGATTAATGTTTGATCCTATTTATAAACTTAGACCATGAAATTCCCTCAAGTATTTTAAATGGAATTAATATATGTAATATATTTGATTTTCTTTTCTTTTTTCTTTTTTTTTTTTTTTTTTGGTATTTCAATCGTCTGGCTAGCAAACAGAACTTCCAAGCATTTAAACAGTGCTTGTAAATCTAATAAGTTAAGCTAACAAATATGAAGCAGCTTTAATTCTCTAGATTTTAATATACTTTGTGAGCTTAGTAACATTTTCCTATTCCTCTTAAGATAAGCTTTTTTTTTTTTTTAAAGTGGAAACTAATATTAAAGGGCACAATGGAAAGTGTAGGGCTGGAATGAATGAATGAATGAATGAATGAATGAGTGATTTGTGGAAAGAAAATACACTCATGTTACCAACTCAAGACAAAACTATAATAACCCAGAAGCCTCCCTTGCGGTCTGCCCCATACATTACCTGCCAAGTTTCTGCTATTTTTACTTATATCACTATAGACATTTTCCCCTAAACTTCTGTAGATAGTATCACTCAGCCAGCAGTCTTTCAAGTCTGGCTTCTTTCAGATACTAGTGTATTGTAGCACGCTCTAAGGCAGTTGTCCCCACCCTTTTTGGCACCAGGGACTGGTTTCATGGAAGACAATTTTTCCAGAGACCAGGGCTGGGGTGGGGGTTGGTTTCAGGATGATTCAAGTGCATTGCATTTGTTGCGCATTTATTTCTATTATTATTACATTGTAATATATAATGAGTCATTCTATAATTTATCGTAACATAGAATCAGTGGGAGCCCTGAGCTTGTTTTCCTGCAACTAGGCGGTCCCATCTAGGGGTGATGGGAGACAGGGCCAGATCATCAGGTATTAGATTCTCATGAGGAGCATGCTCAACCTAGATCCCTCACATGTGCAGTTCACAATAGGACTCACATTCCTATAAGTCTCTAATGTCATTGCTGATCTGACAGGAGGCAGAGCTCAGGTGGATCAGTAGCGTTCTGTGGCCTGGGGGCGGAGGCCTCTAAGACACGGGTTGTGGCTATAAGATGAATGACAGCCATAAGGCCCACTCTGACATCTCTCGGGGCCGATGCACTATGTATCACTTAGCAAGATGCTGTAACCTGGTCTGGGGATTTCCAACCCTGGTCTGGGGAATTACTGGGTCTCCATGACAACAGGACCTAAAAAACCTGGTTGCCCTAGAGACAAGGCCTCCTCAGCACATATGCAACCTTCTTGAACCTTAAAACCAACCTTACTCTTACAAGAATAGCTTAAACTCCCTTTATGAAAGAAACACCTGGTAACTGACCCAGACTGAAGGGAGACATCTCCCCTGGGGAACGTGGTTCACTAGGACCATCCAAGACCCCTGAATGAGGCAAGTATGTCTGTGACATTCATTCATACTGTTGGGCAAAGCACTGGTTCCTTCTTTTCCATTGCCAGACAGTGTTCTACTGTGGGAATCTACTATAATACATGTGTGTGTCCTACTGTTGGTGGACACTTAAGTTGGTTCTGGTCTTTGGCCATTAGAAGACTGCTTCAATGATGTACATGTCTCTTGTACACATGTACAGATTTCTGTTGAATAGATACGGACATGTATATGTTTGTTTTTGGTAGATAATGCCAAGCAACTTTCCCAAGTTATGTGCCAATTTCTACTTCCTTTTTTTTTTGAGACAGAGTTTTGTTCTTGTCGCCCAGGCTGGAGTGCAATGGTGCGATCTCGGCTCACTGCAACCTCTGCCTCCCAGGTTCCAGTGATTCTCCTGCCTCAGCCTCCCGACTAGCTGGGATTACGGATGGCCGCCACCACGCCTGGCTAATTTTTGTATTTTTAGTAGAGACGAGTTTTCACCATGTTAGCCAGGCTGGTATTGAACTCCTGACCTCAGGTGATCCACCTGCCTCGGCTCCCCAAAGTGCTGGGATTACAGGCGTGAGCCACTGTGCCCGGCCACCAATTTCTACTTTCAAAAGCACTGTCTGGGCATCTTCACAACCTCACCAACTTGGGATGGTCAGTTTGTAAAATTTTGGCCACTTAAGTGGTTATATACTCATAATTCTTTGTGGTTTTAAAATGCCTTTACCTGATGATTAATAAAACTGGACATCTTTTCATATGTATTGGCCATTTTGATATCAAATTTTATGACGTATCTGTTCAAGTCTTTTGCCTACTTTTTATTAGGCTATTTGTCTTCTATTAAGAAAATGGTCAGACTTATTTTTATATATTAGCCATTCACATTGCAAGCATACTGCTAATATTTCTTCTGTCTGTGGTTTGCCATTTTACTCCTTTAAAGTTATCCTTTGATGAAAGAAGCTCTTATGTGATGCTTAGAGGTCCTTAATTTTAATGCAATCCATTTTATTGATCTTTACTTTGTGGTTAGTATTTTGTTGTGTGCTCTTTAAGAAATCTTACCCTTTTCCTGCGGTCGTGAAGATATTTTCCTAGATTTAGCATTTTTCCATCCACACTTTGGCTATGACCCACCTGGAATTGATGTTTGTGCATGGGGTAAGTTAAGCATCAAGGTTCAGGTTTTTCTACATGATACACATTTTCCAAATGCCCCAACAAAATTTAAGTTATTTCCTCCCTGCACTGCCATGGCACCTTGCCAGGTTTGTGACTGGCCATGTGGGGTCTGCCTCTGGACTCTCTGTTATGTTCCAGTGCTCTATCTCTCCTATGCTTGTTCCACAGTCTTTTGTGTTAGTTTGTTTTCGTTTTTATCTTTTGGTACATTATTATTGACTAAAGTCCATTGTTTACATTAGGATTCATACTTACTGTTATACACTCTATGGATTTCAGCAAATGCATCATTTCATATATTACAGATCATACAGAATAGTTTCACTGCCTTAAAAAATCCCTTTTGCTCCACCTGTTCAACCCTCCCCCTCTCTCTGAACTCCTTGCAATCACTGATCTTTTAAAAAAAATGTAATTTTTAGGATTATGGTAAATATGCATGGGATAGATGTAACCATTTTAATCATTTTTAATTGTAAAATTCAGTGGCATTAGGCAGTGTTGATGTAAAGAGTCAAACTGTAAAATATTTAAAGAGATTTATTTTGGGCTGGGCATGGTGGCTCACGCCTGTAATCCCAGCACTTTGGGAGGCTGAGGCAGGAGGATAACCTGAGATCGGGAGTTCGAGACCAGCCTGGCCAACATGGAGAAATCCTGTTTCTACTAAAAATACAAAATTAGCCAGGCGTGGTGGTGCAGGCCTGTAATCCCAGCTGCTCAGGAGGCTGAGGCAGGAGAATCACTTGAACCCGGGAGGCGGAGGTTGCGGTGAGCCAAGATCACACCATGGCACTCCAGCTTGGGCAAAAAGAGTGAAACTCCATCCCCGCCCCCCCAAAAAAAAAGAAAAGATATTTATTTTGAGCCAAATGTGAGGCCCATGATGTTTGACACAGCCTTAAGAGGTTCTGAGAACATGTGCCCAAGGTTTACAGCTGGGGTTTTTACATTTTAGGGGGACAGAAGTTACAGGCAGACATCAATCAATAAATGTAAGCTGTACATTGGTTCAGCCTGGAAAGGCAGGACAATTGAAGCTTCCAGGTCATAGGTGGATTCAAAGGTTTTCTGATTGGCAATTGGTTGAAGGACTTAAGTTATTATCTAAAGATCTGGAATCAATACAAGGGAATGTCTGGGTTAAGATAAGGGGTTGTGAAGACCAAGGTTTTTATTATGCAGATAAAACTTCAGGGAGTAGGCTTCAGAGTCAATAGGTTGTAAGTGTTTCTTATCAGACTTAAAAAGGCGCCAGACTCTTAGTTAATTCTCTCCTGGATCAAAGTAAAGACCTGGAAAGGGAAAGGGATTCTCTACAGAATGCAGATATCCCCCACAAGAGACAGCTTTGCAGGACCACTGCAAAATATGTCAAAGAAATATATTTTGAGGTAAAACACTTCCATTTCTTTCAGAGCCTGCTATCTGTCATGTGATGCTACACTAGAGTAAGGTTGGAATTTGGTGTCCTATTGCTACAAGGAGTCTGTTTTTTCATTCTTCAGATCTCTGTCTTCATGGTAACGCTGGTCTGTTGTGCCTGAACTCCAAAGGGAGGAGGGTAAAATGAGGCACGCCCAACCTTCCACTTCCTCTCATGGCAGGTTTCTCTGCAGTGCCCTTGGCCGACGGCAGGACCCATCAGTCAGCTGGAGCGCTTGTAATTTTATTTTTGGATTACAGCATAGTCACATGGTTATGAAACCATCACTACCATCCATCATTCACAGAAACTTTTCATCTTCCCAAAGTAAAACTCTGTACCCATTAAATACTAACTCCCGATTCCCCCATTCCCAGTCCCTGGCAACCACCGTTCCACTTTTGTTACCGGCGGAAGGTATCTGAGTTACCGGCAGTGAATCCATTCGGGTCTGCAGCAACCTCAATTCTTGCCTCCCCAGAAAAAAAAATTCAACTGAGGGGCATAAGGCAGAAAAGGACAACAGGCAAGCCTCAGAGCTGGAGTGGAAGTTTATTAAAAAGATTTTAGAATAGAAAAGAACACTTGGAAGAGATCCTAGTGGGCGACTTGAACAAGTTCCTTGCTTAACTGTAATCCTAGGACTTTATACGCCGGCATCTTGCATCCCTTTCCTATGATTCTTCCCTTAGGGTGGGCTGCCCACATGTGCAGTGCGCTCCTTACCTTGGGAAGTGAGCATGTGCAGTGTGTTGGGGAAGATGTACGCATGCCCGTTTGAGGCTGTCTTCCTTTTTCCAGTGGCGTGCCCCGGAAGGTCATCCTCTGCCATTTTTGTCTCTTACTGTGCATGCCCAGGAAGTTGTTTCTCCCTGACACTTGTGTTCAATTATCACTTTAGTACAATAGGTGTGGACATCAGGAAATGGCCTCTCCCTGGCACCAGCTGCCAGTTTATCACTTTTAGAGAGGCAATGTGACCACTGCTGAACCATCACCTGACATTCGTAGTGGGTGGGGGAGAGCCTCTCCTGCCGCCGCTCATGCCTGTCTAACTACCTATAACACTTTCTGCTCTATGAATTTGACTATTCTAGGGGACCTCATGTGAGTGAACCATACAATCTTTATTCTTTTGTGGTTGGCTTATTTTACTTAGCATAATTTTTTCCAGGTTCAATAACCAACTTATAGTATGTGTCAGAATTTCTTCATATATTTTGACAGTTTGTTAGTAGGTGTGTAAATGTTTACTGTTATATCTTCTTGCCGTATTGAACCTTTTATTAATATATATTGTCCTTTGTCTCTTGTAAACTTTTTTGATTAAAGTCTATTTTGTTTGATATTAGTATAGCTGTCTTATTCTCTGTTGATTACTATGTGCATGGAATATCTTTTTACATCCTTTCAATCTATTCGTGTTTTGGGATCTAATGTAAGTCTCTTATGGACAGTATACAGTTGGATCATGCTTGTTTTTGTTTATCCATTCTGCTCATCTCTTTTGATTGGAAAGTCTGATCTATTTTCATGTGGAGTAATACTGATAAAAAGGAACTTACTTTTGTCATTTTGCTTTTTGTTTTCTATATGCCTTATAATTTTATTTCCTTTATGTCCTGCATTACTTCGTGTTTACTTGATTTTTTTTCTAGTAAAACATTTGAATTCCTTTCTCATTTCCTTTGATGTATATTCTATAGCTATTTTTTGTGGTTATCATTGAGATTACATTTAACTCCTAAAATTATAATAGTCTAATTTGAATTTATACCAACTTAATGTCAATAACATAAGAATGTCTGATCCTATATATCTTTGTCCTTTACCATTTCAGTTATTGATGTCACATAATTATACCTTTAGACATTGTGTGTCCAAAGACATAGACTAATAATTTTTAATGTGTTATTCTTTTAAACCATGTAGAATACAAAAAGTGGAGTTACAACCCAAAGTTACAATAAAACTAGCTTTTATAACTGTCCATGTATTTACCTTTACTGAGGTATTTATTTCTTTACTCAGCTTCAAGTTACTGTCCAGGGTTCATTCTTTTCATCTGGCAGTTGATCAGCAATTCTTACAGGGCAGATCTAGTGAAGGAACTTTCTCCATTATCTGGGAATGTCTTAATTTCTCTCTCATTTTGAGGGACAGTTTTGCCATATATGGGATTCTTCACTGATGATTTTTTCCTCTAGCACTTGAAATATATAAACCCACTGCCTCTTGTTTCCAAGGTTTCTAATGAGAAATCTTCTATTAATATTACTGGAAGTCTCTTGCGTGTGTTTAGTTGATTCTCTTTTGCTGTTTTTAAGATTCTCTCTTTGTCTATTGACAGTTTGATTATAATGTGCCTCAATATGATTCTCTCTGAGTTTATACTTCTTGAAGTTCATTGAGCTTCTTGGATGTTTAGATTCATATCTTCCATCAAATTTGAAAAGTTTTTGGCCATTATTTCTTCATATAATTTCTCTCCCCATTTCACTCTCTTCTCCTTCTGGTAATCCCACAATATATATGTTAGTCTGCTTGGCAGTGACCCACAGGTCCCTTAGGATCTGCTCACATTTCTTCATTTGTTTTTCTTCTGTTCCTCAGACTCAATCACTCAAGTTGTCATATATTTAAGATTACTTATTTTTTTCTTCTGCCTGTTCACATTTGTTTTTGAATCACTCTAGATTTTTTTTATTTTAGTTATTGTACTTTTCAGCTTTAGAATTTTCTTATCTTTGTCCATATCTTTTAACGCCAAGCATCTTTAAGACAGTCATTTAGTCTTTAGTAGATCTGCAACCAGGTCTTTTTCAGGGACAATATCTGTTGATTCATTTTTCCTTCGAATAAACCATACTTTTCTGTTTCTTTTTGTGTCTTATACTTTTTTTCTTTAAAGCTAGACCTTTGAATCTTATGCTGTGGTATTGTCAGAGGTCTGAATCCCCTGCTTTTCCAAGAATTGCTTTGAAAAACTGTTTTAAGGTGTGTCTGTTCTGAGCTTGTGAGTTTCCCTGGGCCTGCATAGTGATTTTCTGAATTCCCCTGTATATACGATTGCCTTTGAATGTCCTAGTCCTGAGATTGCTGGCTCCCCAAAGGGGAAAACTAGGAAAATAAAGAAGAGTAATAAAAGGTACCCCTGTTTTAAATCCCCTGAAAGTTGTTTCAGCCAAAGGGGAAGAGGATCGCAACAATGCAGTGGGTGGGAGGGCTGTGCAACAATGGCTGCCCTCCTCTGTGTCTGCACCTCTGTGATCAGAACCAGCAATCAGCAATCAGAACAGAGATACCTCATATTTAAAGAACAGGATCCCTATTGCTCACCCTGACTCCCACAAGCTATATGCAAACTACTTCAGGAACACATGCATGGATACCTGGCATAGGCATGGGGGTTGGAAGACGGGTATTTGCCATTAAGCTAGAGCTGAAACTGACCAAAATTAACTGCAATTTACTGTGCAAGTCTTACCCTGGAACTTGTAAGCCTTCAAATAGACTTCAGACTTCCAAAATACTTACACCAGACAGATTCTGCCAGTATAACTTGTGGTAAAGTGGATTCCTGGTGCTTCCACTTGGACGTCTTTCAAGAATTCTCTTTCTTACTGTCTTTTATTTAGACAGTGGATTATATTGGTTCCTAGTACCTGGTGAAGTAAGACTGTCAATTTTTCTCTTATTCTTCATGACTGTGTTTGTTTGCCCTTTTTAATCCTTTGCATTTTTATATAAATAATAATTCTCCTCCTTGTTGTTTTTGTTGTTCTTCTTCCTCTTCTTCTCCTCCTCCTCTCCTCACTCCTCCTCCTCTTCTTCTCCTTTATCTCCTCTTCCTCCTTCCCCTCCTCTCTCCTTGACTCCCACTCCCTCTTCCCCTCCCCTCCCCCCTCCCCTCCCCCTCCTCTCCCCTCCCCACCCCGCTGCTGCTGCTGCTGCTGCTGCTGCTGCCTCTTCTTCTTCTTCTTTTCTTCTTCTTCTCTTCTTCTTCTTCTTCTTCTTCTTCCTTCTCCTTCTCCTCCTTCTCCTTCTCCTCCTTCTCCTTCTCTTTCTCCTTCTTCTTCTTCACCTTCTTTCTTTCTGTCTCTCTCTTTCTCTCTTACACACACACACACACACACACACACACACACACACACCCTTGATATTTTGATTAGAGTTACATGGAATCTCTAGATAAAGTTGGGGAAAACTAATATCTTTAGAGTGTTGTGTCTTTATAGATACATTTATTTAGGTCTGCTTTGAAATATTTGTCAATAATAATACTAGTTTTTTATGTAGAGTTTATGTAAATAGTTTATTTCCTAGGTGTTAGATTTTATGTTCTGGTATTATTTTAAATGATAACTTTTTAAAAAATTTCTAATTATTGTTGCAGAGATAAAAACATAATTTATTCGGTATTTTGACTTAAAATTAAGGAATTCTGCCATGGTCCCTTATTAATTCTAATAATATAAATTTTTCAGTTATTTATTTTGGATTTTCTTATATAATTAAGACATTTTTAATTTTTCCATTCCAATTGTTATGCATTTACTTACTTCTTTCTTTAGTATAGAAAAAAGCAGAAATCCTTTTCTCTTTCCTGATCTCAGAATAAATTTTGCAATATTTTCTCAAAAAGTATGATGCTTGCTATGTGACTTTTCTTTTTAAAATACATTCTTTTTCAGAGTGAGGGGAAAGTTTAATTCTATTCTTAGTTAGGTACTAGTTGTGTCATGTATGAATGTTAATATTTATGCTTTGTACTTTTTGTACCCTGTGGTGTTATATCATCTTTAAGTATTCTGAAGAATTTACCATGAAGCCATTGAAATTTGTATACATGTGTGTGAGACTTCTAAAACTATGGATTAAAACTGTCTAATACATAAATGACTAGACTTGGTATTCATTTTTGTGTAACTTTTGGGATGTTATGTTTTCCAAGGAATTTGTACATTTCATTTAAAGTTTCAGAATTTTTTGGCATAAAGTAATTCAAAATATCTTATTGTTCTTTTAAGACCTATCTAATCTGTAGTTGTGTTTCCTTTTTTTAAAAATTAAAAAAAATAATTTTTAGGTAAGAGATGTAGCCTCACTATGTTGCCCTGACAGCTTTCAAACTCCTGGGCTCAAGCAATCCTCCCCACTCGGTCTCCCAAAGTATTTCAGTTTCAGGCATGAGCCACCATGCACAGCCTGAGTCTCCATTTTATTTGAATATTTTTTATTCTTGCTTATATCATGACATCTTCCAATTGAGTTTTAATTCTATTAGTGTTGTGAAATGTTCCTCCTTATTCTCTAGTAATACTTCTTATTTTTTTCTAGTAATACTTCTTATCTTAAATTCCATTTTGTCTAATGATACCTATACCAGCTTTCTATTAGTTAATGTTTGTGTGGTATATATTTTCCCAATATATTTTATGCAATCTGTGTGTGTATTTATCTTTAACATGTGTCTTTCTTAGGTAGCATATATTTGAATTTTCCTTTATCATTCAGTTCGACAATTGTACTCTTTATTTGAAAAACACAGTCCCATTACATTTAATGTAATCTGATATATTTGAAAATTTAACTGTTACCTTATATTTTCTATTTGTTCCATTTATTCTTTATTTCTTATTTTTACTTTTCACATTCTTTTCTCTTTATTTTATTTTATTTCTTTATTTTTTTGAGATGGAGTCTTGCTCTTGTCACCGAGGCTGGAGTGCAATGGCATGATCTTGGCTTACTGCAACCTCCGCCTCCTGGGTTCAAGCGATTCTCCTGCCTTAGCCTCTGGAGTAGCTGGGATTACGGGCACCCGCCACCACACCCGATAATTTTTGTATTTTTAATAGAGATGGCGTTTCGCCATGTTGGCCAGGCTGATCTCAAACCCCTGACCTGAGGTGATCCGCCCGCCTCGGCCTCCCAAAGTGCTGGGATTACAGGCGTGAGTCACCCCCTGCCGGCTTTTCACATTCTTTTCAACGTGTGACAGTGATAATCAGATAATCATCATGTTTCCTATTCTTACCTCTATTCGCTTTTAGTTATACATTCCTTCTTATCCTTTTGTTAGTTACATGGGGGCTCAATGCACTAGAGAGGCTATCTTAAATGTACACTTTTACCATTTCCTTGTCAATACGAAGACCTAGCATGACTTGGTCTGCCAACAAAAGTATATTCACATATGAGAACAATTCATTACATTATCAGGCATCTTTTCTCAGCTTCCCTGTTCCTTTCTGTGGTTTACAGATGAGGCTTCAGGCTTGACCAAATCTGACTGGCTGGCTGCCGGAGACACTGCTACCCATCGGCCCTTAATAAATGGCCTCATTTGATCATCATGTGATCTTCAGAAGCTGGGCTTGATTATCCTTGCCAAACAAAATGCTGAAACCAAAAATCTGAAAGGTATTTCTTGCTAAGTAAGGGAGAGCTGTGCTTGTAGAGTGTGGTCACCCTGAACAGCGCAAACTGCTTGTGGAGCTCCAAGACTGGCAGACTTGGGAGGGGGAGCATTTAGGGATTGGATGACTTTGGCCGTGGACTCGGGGTTGGGACAGTGAGGCTGCCACTGAATGGCTGTCACTCAGAAATGTAGTTACTGATAAAAAGTTGACTCAATTTGTCAGGGCAGGCTTAAAATCAGTTTTGGTAGTTACTTTTTGTCATGGCTGAAGAGCAATCCTCTGTCTTCTTGAATTTGGACCTTTATTTGGACTTGAGTTTGGAAAAACTAAGAAATTTTTGTTCTCATTTTCATTACATGCTTGAGAAAACTGAGGCTCAGACAGGCGAGTAAGTTTCCCAGGGTCACGCATTTACCGGCTGGCATATTAAAGTTTTGAACAAAGTCCACGCTTTTCTTACACACTATTCTCATTAGTATTAGTTTTAGTAGTAATCGTAGCTGTACTTTTGGTTCATAGGTTCATAGAGAGTTGTTAATCCTACTCCTCACTGATAATCCATTCTCGCCATCATGCCCTACAAGACCTCTGGTTGTTTAATTCCATTTCTCCTTCATGCTGGATCCCATCTCCCATCCCCTCTCCACCCCTCCGACAGAGTCACTCTTTCTAATGTCTTTTTATCTGTACCTAAATATTTGTGTAGCTTTGAAAAATCTAATTTGTCAAGGGTTATGTGTTCATTTTACATTTCCATACATGTTATTGTGCAATATATAGATCTCATTTGTTTCCTAATTTTTTTCACTCACCACTGTTGTGAAAACACACTGACATTTCTGTATGACCCTCTTCTGACCTTTGCTTCACAGCGTGCATCTACCATACCTTAACCTACCCTGTTCCTCTTGTCATGGACCCCTGGATTGCCTCTGGCTCCCCCCAACACACACCTTACTGCAACATCCACACACTGGGGTCTTTATGGATTTCCCTGGGTTTTCACTTAGGAGTGGGATTGCTGGATCCTAGGAGACACCCGTTAATTCTGCTTGGCACAGACAGTTTGCTCTGTGTGGCAGGCCATATTCCCATCAGCAGTGCGTGAGGGGTTCATTCTGCCACATCCTCACCAGCATTTTTATACTCCTTGAAAGTTTTGTCAGTTAGATGAATGGGTGCAAAATGTAATCTTAACATTGATTTAACCTGCATTTCTGTGTTTGCCAAGGAAGTTGTGCGTCTCTTCATTACTTAGCAGCCATTCAAGTTTCCCTTTCTGTGAAGCTCTTATTCATATACCTTAGCCAATTTGATAGTCCATTGTTTTTATTTTGTTGGATTTCACTATTTCCTTGCATGTTCTAGATGCCAATATCTTGTTGATTTTAAAAGATGTAGTCATTCTCCCCCCAATCTGTCACTTGTTTACTTTAATGATGCCTTTTTATCTCAAACCCAAATTTTTAATGTTGCTATTGAAAGGGCAAAAGTTCCCTTATCCCTGTCACAGGGTGTGTGATGCGGGAGTGGCTCACTTCCTCAGCGCCCCGCTGCTGAGACCTTTAGGGGAGCATGCAGATGGGCCGGTTGTGTGGCTCCGACCCCACGGCAGCGTCTAGGGGTGAATGTTTACAGCTGCTGAAGCCACAGTGGGCGTGTGTTACAGGATGCTCTTTTAGTTCAGCCATCCGTAGGTGGCTTGTGTTAGCTCAATTAGACACCCTTCCTTATCACAAGGACACAGGGATTTCTGTATCCCGGGGTTTCTTGCCTTGGTGTACTGGAAGAATCGGATCAGTTGTGGGCTTGGAGAATAAGTGTAAGTTTGTTTTTTTGTTATTTTATTATTATTATTATTATTTTGAGATGGAGTCTCGCTCTGTTGCCCAGGCTGGAGTCCAATGGCACAATCTCGGCTCACTGCAACCTCTGTCGCCCGGGTTCAAGCATTTCTCCTGCCTCAGCTTCCTGAGTAGCTGGGACTACAGGTGCCCGCCACTGTGCCCAGCTAATTTTTGTATTTTTAGTAGAGACAGGGTTTCACCTTGCTGGCCAGGCTGGTCTTGAACTCCTGACCTCATTATCCACCTGTCTCAGCCTCCCAAAGTGCTGGGATTACAGGCGTGAGCCACCGTGCCTGGCCTAAGTGCAAGGTTTTATTGAGTGGAAGTTCTCAGCAGATGGATGGGGAGCCAGAAGGGAGATGGAGTGGGAAGGTGGTTTTCCCTTGGAGTCGGGCAGCTCAGTGGCCCAGGCTGTCCTCTGACCTCCCTGGTTGAACTCTGTGTCGTTCTGCAGGTCAATGGCCTGCCAGCCTGCCTGTGTCTGTCAGTGTGCTGTTCTGCTGGGGCCCTCTCCACATCCAGCTGCTGTGTCGTCTTCCACTGATGCGTTCCTCTTGACATCCAGCCGCATGTGCATGTGTGTCCGATGGGGCCTCGGGGTTTTTATAGGCATAGGATGGGGGTGTGGTGGGCCAGGGTGGTCTTGGGAAATGCAACATTTGGGCGGGAAAACAGAAATGCCTGTCCTCACCTAGGCCCATGGGCACAGGCCCTGGGATGAAGCCCTAGCCAGGGACCACACCTTCCTCTACCCAGCACGTCCCTGTCCCCCTTCCATATCACTGTGGTAAAATCCAGTTTTTTTCACCTTAGATTTTGTACATTTGAGGTATGACATAAAGTGCATATTCAGTTCAAGATAAAAAGTTTTCTCCAATAGTCTCCTATTAGCTTTATTTTTATGCCTTTTCATTTGAGTTTTTAATCAATCTAGAGATCATTTTACTTAGGATGTAAGGAAGAGTTCCAATTTTAGTTTTACCCATCAGGCAAGCCAGTGGTACCCAAAGCCATGTATTAAAAAAGTCTATTCCTGTCTCACTGATGTGTGTCACTTCTGTCATAAAACAGATCCTTAAACACACATGGGTTTGGTGTTGAGCTTTCTGTTTTGTTCCACTTATGAATTTAATATTTCTGTACCAAAACTGCACTTTTTTTTAAGTAGTATTTTGTGGAATTTTTTCATATCTTGTAGGTCAGGTCCCTTTTATTCTCTTTTTCTGAAATTGTTTATTTTTTAAAGAATTTTATTTTTTCATGTAAATGTCAGAATAAGATTGTTGAAGTCTTCAAAAATCGCTCCTAAAATTTTTTTTTTTTAATCAGAATCTCATTTAAGTATGGCTTTTGTGGAGAACTGCCATTTCTTCAAATGTTAAACTAGTCCATTATGGGATATGGTATATTTTCTCTTTATTCTAATCTTTCTTTATATCCTTTAATGAATTTTAAAACTTTCTCTATAAAGAATCATGAATTCTTTGTTAGATTTATTCTTAGATATATTTAAGTTTTTCTTGTTATTGTAAATGTTATATTGTTTTATTATTATATGTTTTAGTTAGAAATTACCAGTGTGAGGAAACATCATGGTATGGTTGAAATCACACCTCTTAATTTTTGTAGAACTCTTAATTCCAATATTGCGTGCATTGATTCTGATGCATTTTCTATTTAGGTGATCATGCCATCTGCAAATAAGGATAGCCTTGACTTGTCTTAATATATTCTTCTACCTCTTGTTGATCTTTCTCTTGATGAGTCCATTGGACAGCTTTACCAGTAGCAATAAGATTGCGTTTTTCTTGTTTCCAGTCTTAAAGGAGCCATGCCTCAAGTCCATCCTCTGAATATGGTATTCGTCAAAGACAAGCATAGTTATTTATCAGATAAAGAACATTCTCCTTTAGTTACAGTATTCTGGGAATACTGTATGTAATAATAATAATGTAAATAATTTTATTTAAAAACAAGTTGGATATTTACAAGTGCATTTTTTTTTGCTTCTACTGACCTAGTCAATATTTTTTCTTTCTTCATCTTAGTATCTTAAAGTGGTGAATTAAATTCATAGGCTTTCTGATGTTAAAACTTTTTTTCATTCCTTTGATGAACTCTATTTATAATGATATTATTATTATTTTCAGACAACATTAAAGTCAATTAGCAAATATGTAAGTAAGACTTCATAAGTGAAAAGAGCCTATACTTTGCATTTTGAAGTTTTTTTTTTTTTTTTTTTTTTTAAACCAGCTTTGGAATCAAGCAAACAATTTTATAATTAACAGAAGGTCTCTGTCTCTGTCTGTCTCTCTCTCTTTCTCTCTCATTGTTTGGAACAACTTGTGATTTGTGTAAGACATAGATTCTTTCTTGTTTAAAAGTTTGATGTAACTTTTTTGTGGAATGTTCTTGGCCTGATTTTTTATTGCCTTTTTTTTTCCCTCTTGGGGGAGGCTTTAATTACCATTATGAATTTTAAATGAAAATCTATTTATCCTTGCTCCAATTTGGAATATCATACTTTTCCAACAGTGTGTCCATGTTGCCTTGTGTTTTCAAATTGATGTCTTTATAAAAAAGATTTTACATTGTTTTTGCAGTTATTTCCTCTTTTGGATTCTGTTTTGTAAATTTGCATCTTCCCCTTATTGTATTGACTAGATTTGCCAGAGCTTTTTGTATATTGTATTAATATTTTAAAGAAATTGCTTTTGGTTTTGTTAATCTTCCCTATTTCATTGATTTATGTTCTTATCTATTTTATTTTCTTCTTGTTTGTCCCTTTTGGGTTGCTTCTGTTTCTTGTTTGTTTTCTGCTTGGATTGAATACTTAGCTCATTTTTTCTTACTTTCTGATAAATACATTTAAACATATGGAGCTATCACTACAGTGTGGCTCCATTATTTTGTAATTCTCTTATGTTTTACTTTGTATCTTAAAGTCCTTTTAGCAGAATGACATTTTAGTTTTTGAACATATGGTATATTATTTATTTTTAATCATTTTTGTTACTGGTTTCTAATTTCACTGCTTTGTGCTCAGGGAACATACTAAGCTGGGTGGATTGTTTGGGCTCATTGTAGCTTCCAACCTCGTCCATCATCCGTGGTTGTGAAAGCTTCGCTCCACACACACATATATTTTGCTCTGGGATTTTTATTAATCTTGTCAATCAAATTTTGTATGCATTTATGCTTTTTTGTTTTGATTTTTTTTTTTGTCCCTCTAATCTACCAGTCTCTAATAGGGCTTTGTGAAAATCTTGGGCAATAAATTTTGTTGTCTCTATGTTCTCTTGTAATGCTGTCAGTTGTTATTTTATATATTGTGATGAGCTATTTTAAAGGGCTTATTTATTCATAACTACTATCTTCTTGATCTAGCACACTGTTTTGGCAGTATATAACATCGCTTTTTGGCATCATAATGTTTTTCATCTTAAAACCCATTTAGCCCAATACTAAAAAGTCTTACCTTGTATTTGAAAAAAATTCTTATTGAAACAACCTTTGGAAACTACACACATACTTTCCTTTTAATTATTTCATGTATTAATTTATGTAAGTTTTCATATCCATTTTTACTTCTCATTATGAATCAATAAATTGGTTTTCTGAATTTAACTCTTGGACTAGAGATTCTGCTCTTTGTGTGCCGAGAATTAGTTTGCAGAGACCCAGGTCTGCAGCCATCATGAGGACTCAACTTCGCCACACCTCACGGAAGAGCCCCCTGTCTTCTCCCCAGTGCTGTGTGATGCAGATTCCTTTTACAGCCTGCCTGCCTGCCTCCCTCCCTCCCTCTCTCTTTCCCTTTTTCCTTCCTTCCTTCTTTGAATGTTACTTTTTTCCTTCTCTGAATTGTAATACAGACATATGGTAAATGGCATAAACATGGCACACGTTGATAAGTAAGGAAAAGGAGACTCCCCTGTAAGTGCTCATGACCTCAACACCAGGTCATGAAATGGAATATTACCAGCAGCCTGGGGTTCCCTGTGTGCCCCCAGCTGTCTGCAGTCATTTCTGTCTCACTTGCCTCTAGGTAACAACTATTGTCACCTTAGACTCATTTTCTTGCGTTTCTTTATGGTTTTAGCTTTGGACATTCAGTTCTGCCTGTGCTGTTTCATGCAATGAAATCATAGGTGAGTCTCACATGAGTGGAATTGTATCTGTCTTGTTTCACTCAACATTATGTTTTGATGTTTTGGGGTTTCATCCATATTTTTGGATGCACCTGTACTTTACTCATTTTTGCACAGTCTGGGAGTTTGTTGTATGGCTATACAACCATTTAATTTTCCACTGTTCAGTCGATGGACACTGGAGTTGGTTTCTAGTTTGGGGCAATTACAGGCCAGGTTGCTAGGAAGGGTTTCACACGTGTGTCCTAGTGGGTGTGCCAGTGAGTTTGCCTAGAGTTTGTACTTAGTCATGAATTGCTGGGTAGGAGCTATTACCTGCAACTTGACTAGATAATATCAAATATGTCCAAAGTTGACATTCCAATGAGATCTCCAGGGTTTGTGAGCTGTTATTGTTCCGCGACCACACTGATATTCATATTTCCAGTTGTTTACTAAAGGGCTAATAAGTTATAAATACATTCATTTGCTTTTCAGTCTAGTGGGCACGTGTTGCCATGACTTTATTTTGCCTTCCCCTGATTAGTTTGTTAGTCATTTTTATCCTCTCTTTCTAAGTATCTGTTCCTATATTTTTGTCTACCTTTTGGGGTTGCTTGTCTTTTTATTGATTTGTGTGAGTTAAAAAAAAAAATGCGGCCGGGCGCGGTGGCTCACGCCTATAATCCCAGCACTTTGGGAGGCGAAGGTGGGTGGATCACGAGGTCAGGAGATCGAGACCATCCTGGCTAACACGGTGAAACCCCGTCTCTACTAAATATACAAAAAAAAAAAAAAACTAGCCGGGCGTGGTGGTGGGCACCTGTGGTCCCAGCTACTCGGGAGGCTGAGGCAGGAGAATGGTGTGAACCTGGGAGGCGGAGCTTGCAGTGAGCTGAGATCACGCCACTGCACTCCAGCCTGGGCGACAGAGCAAGACTCCATCTCAAAAAAAAAAAAAGCAGCCGGGCGCAGTGGCTCACACCTGTAATCCCGGCACTTTGGGAGGTCAAGGTGGGCGGATCATGAGGTCAGGAGATTGAAAGACTGTCCTGGCTAACACAGTGAAACCCCATCTCTACTAAAAATACAAAAAATTAGCCGGGCGTGGTGGTGGGTGCTTGTAATCCCAGCTACTCGGGAGGCTGAGGCAGGAGCGTGAACCCGGGAGGCAGAACTTGCAGTGAGCCGAGATAGCGCCACTGCACTCCAGCCTGGGCGACAGAGCGAGACTCCGTCTCAAAAACAAAACAAAACAAAACAAAACAAAAAAATGCTTGTCTTGGTGCAGTGGCTCATGCCTGTAATCCCAGTACTTTGGGAGGCCAAGGAGGGAGGCTCACTTGAGTCCAGGAGTTCAAGACCAGCCTGGGCAATGTAGTGACACCCCGTCTCTACTAAAAATAAACAAAATTAGCCGGGTGTGATGGTGTGCACCTGTAGTCCCAGCTACTCAGGAGGCTGAGGTAGGAGGACTGCTTGAACCTGGGAGGTTGAGGCTGCAGTGAGCTGTGATCATGCCACTGCACTCTAGCTTGGCAGACAGAGCAAGGCCCTGCCTCAAAACAACAACAAAAACAAAAACCCATATATATATGCTTTGGAGATGAGCTCTGTTTTTTGATTATAAGTGCAGGAAATACCTTCTCCTGCTCCGTGTCTTGTTTCTCACTCTTGCCTAATGTCTTTTGATGACCAAAAGCTCCTAATTTCAGTGCAGTCAAATTCATCCACTTTTTTTATGTCTGAGAAAATCTTATCTTACCCTAGTATTAAATAATATGTTAGCTTGATATAACAATCTGGGCACAATTCTTTTCTTAATATTTAAAAATTATTGTTATGCTATTGCTTGGCTTCCATTGTTGACAATTGTGATACCAACTCGATTCTTATTTATATTTATTGCTGTTTTTTTCCTGATAACTTTTAGATTTTTTCCTTATTTCTCATGTTTTAAAAATTTCTTTTACCTTTATCTAGTTTTGCTTTTTTCTTTCTTTTTTTGGACCCTTTGAGTCTTTTAAATTCAAGGTCTTGCATTTCCTTTATTTCTTGCTAATTGTTGGTCATCAATTTTTAAGGCATCCTCTAATCTCTGTTCATTTCTCTGCCCTTCTGGCAATTCTGTTGCATGCACTTGGCACTTCCCTCCTCCAGCGTCCCTCCTTGCATTTTCTGTCTCTCCATTTCCCCTTCATGCTTCCTGGCGCTAGCCCGCTAGCCCGGTCTTGCTCTTTCACATACTGATATGTCCTCAGTTGTATCCATTCTGTTACTCAACTCATCCACTCGGTTTTAAATACCAACTAGTATGTCTTTCAAATGTATCATCTCCAGTGTAGTCTTCTTTATAACTTACTTCAGCTCCATGTCTTCGTCTTTTCTTTTCTCTTTTATAACATCTTTCATTTCTACTTTGATATAGTTTTGTTTAAAACATGATGATAGCCCCTAAATGCCATGATTTTGCATTGTGAGTGAGCTAAGAATCCCTGAGGACATTAAGCATTGTGGCCAGGGATGCTTCCCTGGGGATGTGATGGCTGCTTGGCCTGGCTTTTGGCTTTCCTTCTGGGTTGTGCATGGAGGAGAGATGCCTCAGGAAGGAGTCTCCAGTGCTAGTCTATGTAACTCTCCCTTGCACTGCTTTTTTTTTTTTTACACAGCATTTAGCTCTTGTTGCCCAGGTGGGAGTGCAATGGCGCCATCTCAGCTCACCGCAACCTCCACCTCTCGGGTTCAAGTAATTCTTCTGCCTCAGCCTCCTGAGTAGCTGGGACTACAGGCACATGCCACCACGCCTGGCTAATTTTGTATTTTTACTAGAGACGGGGTTTCTCCATGTTGGTCAGGCTGGTCTCAAACTCCCGACCTCAGGTGATCCACCTGCCTCGGCCTCCCAAAGTGCTGGGATCATAGGCATGAGCCACTGCGTCCAGCCTGCACTGCTTTTTAAAAAAGTTTTTCATCTTACTCTTAGTGTTAATCATCTCATCTTCCAGATCTGGGGGTGGTGGGGCAGAGGAGAAGGACCCTGGGGTTGGCAGGTCCATCAGATCTGGGGTTCACTCCTGGGGTCTCCATGGGGCCTGCAATGAATAGCACTCTTCTTTTCCCTGCCCGTGGCCCCCAGGCCTAGACATGTGAGAAAGGGTAAAGATGGAGACCAAAACTTTGCCTTCATGTTAGAGGCTTATTTAGAGGCCAGAGCTCTAAAGAGACCTGCAAGCTGAACCCATGAGAAGGGGGTGGACCTTCTCCCTTGCGGCCTCCAGGGGCCAGCCCTGTCCCAGGGAGGAGGGGCACAGCTGAGCCCGGCAGGCCCAGCTACTTTCCAGCGCAGAGTGAGTGGAAGGTAGGAGAGGCTGGGAGTGTGGGAACTGGGACGGGGAATGCATTCAGCTCTTCAGCGTGCTCCCGTGCACATCTGGCTGAAAGCAGCCCCCATGTCACCGGGACCCAGCCTCTGCTGAGATGATAGCAGCTGCATTTCTCTCTCGTAGGCCTTTGTCTGGCATTGGCTGACTCAGCACAACATAGGAAGAAAGAGGAAGAAAGGGTGCTCCCCTCTCTGCTCGCTTACCCCGCTGAAAACCCTCACTTTTCTCCACTGTGGGCAGTTGTATTTTCCACCCTAGGAAGCAGACACCTTTTGCCACCTCAGGGCCCCTCAGGGCCTGTGTGCGGTCACCCAGCATAGCCCCCACCTCTCTCTGGCTGCTATGGTGCTTACAGGGCTTGGCTCAGGGAAGGTTGTCGGCAGTCCTGGGCCACTTTGCCATGTGTTGGAAATCAGAACCTTCCATGTTCCTTTCATAGCTGGAGCTGATTTTCCCAGTGGCGTGCACAGCTCCCGGCCTGGGCTGTGTCGTCTTGGGGAGGTGGAATTTGCTACCTCTAAGGTGGAGCAGTAGTTAGTGTTCCTGGAACAATCGTAGAAGTAAGCAGGCCAGAGGTGAATGAAACGTGGGGACATTAGCACAGGGGGCTGGGGCACACTGCATGGGTGGGAAGGGGTGTCCCTTACATCAGGGGCATGGACTGTCTAGAGAGACACCATTTGTCCTTCAACTCCAGGTGGTGTTTCAAATCCTGCTGGTGTCCAGAGGCCTGGACTCTGTCCCCATCCTATAAGGATTTCTGTGACTGCTGCCGTGGGACTGGCATCACATTCTCATTGAGGGGACATGCTTTCCTTGGTTCTAATCCTGAGTCTAAGAATGTGAGGTTTGCCTAGGCAGTGTCACTGTCCTAATCAGCAACAATTGTCTCTTAGGCAATGTCATCATCCTGACCAGAAACAATTGTCCCTTAGGCAATGCCATTGTCCTCACCACAACAATTGCCCCTTGGAGTGGTCCCCTGATTGGCTTTTGTTCCTCCTGAGGCCTGGACACCACATAATTTAGCGGACTGAGAACCTAATTAATAATCATGTGCTCCGATGTCCACCAACATCAATCGTTTGGAAAATCTGGAGTAATTAGGAAATGCTGCTGAACTAGAGAAACTGTTCCCATAAAATGTCAGGTACTTTATTTCCTGGAGGAGTGAATATCTTACTGACTAGGTCTTATGTGTAAAATGCAGTATTCTGAGTTACCAAGTTGTACTGTTGAAATTCCTTTAAGTTGGATGGTGGCATGGAAGTTTCTGGAAGCTGAATTCTGAATAGTTTTAATCTTTCTTTGAGCCTTGGTTTCCTCATCTGTAAAGGGCATAATAGCTTTGTAAACTGAACTAACAGGATGGAATCAAAGGACAGCAATTTTTCTTATAGCATTGCACAAACGTTAGCTTGGCCTCCCAAAGAAGCTTAATTTTAATTTAATTTCAGGAAGAAACAAAAATGTGTGAAGATGTTAAAAAAATTTTCGCTAGTCATCATTCAGCTTCAGTGTCTCTATCATTTGTTTTTTTTTTCTTTTTTTTTTTTAAGTATACTTTAAGTTTTAGGGTACATGTGCACATTGTGCAGGTTAGTTACATATGTATACATGTGCCATGCTGGTGCGCTGCACCCACTAACTCGTCATCTAGCCTTAGGTATATCTCCCAATATCATTTGTATCAGTATAGCTCAACTGAAGCGCAGGGAACGTTCTCTGAGCCAGGCTGGGGCTTCTGGCGGGAACCGGCGTTCCCTAGGAGGAGCCCCTGGTGCTTATGCGGTGGAGGGTGGAGTCAGGTCTGAGGAGCCAAGGGCTGTTTGGCGGTGAGACAAGGAGAAGCAGCAGGGGGTTTAGTGTCCAGGCCTTGGGGAGCTGGGAGTCCCCTGCAGTGGGAAGAGGATGCAGGGGTGAGGCCCGTGGGACACGTGGGAGCCAAGTACAATCACAGGCAAAAGCTGGGTCTCCACCAGGCCAGCAAGCATGAGGTCACAGGTCCAGTCACCCACCCAGGTTTGCACCTTGGGACAAGGCCTCCGACCAGTGTGCGGTGGGTAGGGGGTCTCCTTTGTGAGTAACGGGATGGGAAGAGAAGCGAGGGTGGAGAAGCCACCAGAGGTGTTGACGTGGAGGCTAGGAATGGGTTCTGTTGGTCTTCCCAGCATGGGTGTGGCCGGCGGGAACTGGAGGAGTGGGCACAGGGGTGGGACTGAAGGCAGGTGTGCTGGTGGAACGGGCCCTGCCACCAGGGGCCAGGAGGGGACTTGTGATTGGGGGTGTGTGGAGGTGAGTGTGGTGTGTGGGGGCAGCGAGGTAGGTGGGAGAAGAAAGGTGGATTCTTGGCCTCAGACTCACTAACTATCAGGACTCCCAGCCAGGCTGGACCACAAGGTCCGAAAGTGGCCCCGACTGGAGTAGACGTGCTTGGAGGCTTCTGGGCAGGTGCAGCCACGATGACAGCCGGCATCAAGGCCCTTCCTCTGCAGGCCCCAGGTGCAGGCCCTGGTGGTTTGGGTTCAGGGTTTATGGGTGATGGGCGCCCAGCCCAGTCAGGTTCAGCGGGGAGAAATCCAAAGCCATTCTGAGGGGCAGGCTCCAGGCCGGTGCGAAACAGTGGGGAATGGCTTCCCGAGAAGCCACTGGAGCTGCGCCTCTTGCCCTCTGTCCGGTCCTCCTCCACACTCCAGCAGAGGGGGGTCTTCCAGGGTCCTTTCCTCCTGTGGCCTGGGCGTGCCCGTGTGCAGAAGGAGGAAGGCGAAGCCGTCCGGCATCTCGGAAATGGAGCCTCCAGGGTCTGCGTCACTCGGAAAGGCGCGGGCTTTCCCAGGCCAGAGTCTTTCAGTCCCAAAAGGCTTTGTCCACCTCCTCCCTGAGTCATTGCGGCTTTGTGTGGGTCCAGGGGCAGAGACCAGCAGGAAGGACGCTGCTCCTGCCTGCGTGAGAAGCCCGTGGTGCACAAACGCCTCTCACTCCTCTCAGTGATGGAAATCACCATCAGATAAACACCCTGGCCTCCCATTTTGCCTTATCTGCCCCACCCCCACCCCCCCCTACAGGCACACACATCCAAGCTGTTTATCACTGCACTTTTACTTACAGTAGCCCAAGGCTTCCCATGTCTAGAAGACAGAATCTCTAGCCTGGCACTTTGTACTCTGCCCTCTGATGACCTCTTCAATCCGAATCTCCTGCCAGCCTCCCGCTCTGTGCTCCAGAACCCCGAGCTGCACACAAGTGTCTCTGGACGCCATGCCCTTGCCTACTTCTGTGTCTTTGTCCATGCTATTCTCTCAGCTGGCACTTCCTCTCCGGCTGTGCACACCGGGCAAACTCCTATTCATACCACAAAACCCAGCTCTAATACTCCCTGCTCAAGGGTCTTCTTGGACCCAGAGAGGCAGAATTCATAACTCCCTGCCCTGGATCCCTGGAGAAAGCTTTGCTTTCCCCTGTTGCCCTGTGGATTGTAATCAATCCCCACTCTGAGTGGGTGGACAGAAGCCTTTCCTGAGAAGCAGGCTGGCCGTCCTGGGGTCCTGGGCTTGATGTACCTCCCGTGCAGTGCCTGGCTAGAGAGGAGGCACAGCCTGCAGAGCATCTGTTCTGGACTGAACCCCGGAGCCATCAGCAAGTTTCGGGCAAGTGTTGGGGGCTTGGAAGAAGGACGATTCATTCTGAGATTGAACCTGACATTTATTTTTCTCCCACATACACCCAGCCTTGACTTTGCAGAGAGTTAAAGCAAATAGTAATCCAGGACAGATTTGTTACATATTTATTTATTTCCCTTGAAATCTCTACGACTGCAAAGAAGGTGTTTATTTTAAAATTTAAATTGTAGCTAGCAGAGTGTTGCAGTGACTCACTTAATCACCTCCTCCACCTGACCAACTCCACCAAAATCCCTGCTGCAGCTTCCCATTCAAACACCCCCTTCACAATTGTGATTTTTCTCCGCCAGGTGACTGACAGATGGCCTGGCTGTTTTGGATGCCACTGCCACTGCCAAATCACTGATTTTGAGGAATTAAATCACAAAAACTTACCTCAAATGCAAAAAATGAAAAGGAACTCCTTCCTCATTTCCTGCCTGGTGTGGACACAGTGTGCTGTCTACACGAGGCCTTGTTACAAATCTGCACCCCGCTGCAGTTCCATTGTGCCTGCAGTAGAGAAATTCCAGAGCCTGGGGACCTGGGCTCAGGCCCTTGCTCTCATGACCAGGCAGTGGCAGCGGCTCTTCCCACTAAGCTGCCCGGAAGGAGCTCCAGGGACTCTTGGAAAATGTCACTGACTTCTCCTAAGACTAGTATCACTTCTCCAAGTACCCCTAGTTTCCCTCCTTCCAGCCCATCCTTCATATAATTACCCAATATAATTGTGCACACCTGGCAAACTCCTATTTATACTACAAAACCCAACTTCAACACTCTCTCCTCAGGAGTCTTCTTGGACTCAAACCATCTGAAAGGCAAGCCTGGTGGAGTCCACTTGCTGGACAGCCGGAAGCAGCTCCTTTTGCTTTTGGTGGGAAGCTCAGACTTCCTGACAAGGTCCATGTGACCCCTCCTGGCCTGATTCCTGCCCCTGCTCTCCCTGCCCAGCCTCCTCCCTCCCACCCTGTCCCCGTGTCCCTCCAGATGGAACTATTTGGTGCATCTCTAATCATCTGTGGTGATGGAATGGTATTTTTCCATCCATCACAGATGGTATTTTGAAAATTACAGCAAAAAGAAGTTACTCAAAAACTGAAAGCAAACAGCATACAAAATATAGACTCCACTTTTTTTTTTGGAGACAGAGTCTCGCTCTATCCCCCAGCTGGAGTGCAGTGGAACGATCTCAGCTCACTGCAACCTCTGCTTGTTGGGTTCAAGTGATTCTCCTGCCTCAGCCTCCCAAGTAGCTGGGATTACAGGCACGCACCTCCATGCCTGACTAATTTTTGTATTTTTAGTAGAGAGAGGGTTTCGCCATGTTGGTCAGGCTGGTCTCAAACTCCCGACCTCAGGTGATCCTCCCACCTTGGCCTCCCAAAGTGCTGGGATTATAGGCATGAGCCACCATGCTCGGCCCAGACTCCACTTTTTATCATTAATTTCAACAGACATAAAATTACTCTGTCAATTTTCTATAAACATTTCTAAACACTCAATTTTTGTTTCCATCTCATCGAGGACTGCAACAAAGGCTGGATTGGCATAGGTCCACAGACCACACTGGGAGAAGCTCTGATCGAGAGTTCCTGGAGGAGCCGGTGTGCTCTCTTGCCCTAGGATTGCTCATGCTGTAGCCTCTGCCAGGGACCCCTCCACCCGTCGTGGGCAACCGAACTCTCACTCCCCTTCCAGACTCGGTTTCGGAGCCTCCCCTCCTCCAAACATCTTCCTGGACCTTGTCCAAGTCGGGTGCCTTCTTCCCTGTCTGTTTCACTGTTGCTGGCCTCTACCCAGCACCTCATCCTGCCTGTGGGATAGCGTAGGTGCTCGGCAGTGTATGTCTTGAGTGACTAGACCTGTAGTAAATGCAGGAATGTGAAGATGCTGCTTTATACCAGTGCTTCTCCAAGTGCGGGCCACAGATCTCCATGTGAGTCCGACCACTTTGGGTTCCACACTCACTCGCGAGGGAATTCTTTCATGGCGTGATCTAGGGAAGAACACACTTGGCTCCAGAGAATCTAGAGATGATTTACAAAGACATGTGGTGCGGTTTGCTTGCAGGCCAGGAACTGATGTCTTGCTTTCTGTGTCCATTTGTTGATTCTAACGAGAAACGTTAATGAGATATCCCTCAGCAGATGGTAGGTATGGTGGCATCAACACAGTTTTACACTGAAATCCTTAGGCTCAAAAGGATAAGGCAGAGGCAGAGGAGATAGGAAAAGGATGCAGATGGAACTTCCAGAGATGAGGCCGGGCGCGGGGGCTCACGCCAGTAATCTCAGTCTTTTGGGAGGCTGAGGCCGGCGGATCATGAGGTCAGGAGTTCGAGACCAGCCTGGCCAACATAGTGAAACCCCGTCTCTACTAAAAATACACAAAATTAGCTGGGCAGGGTGGCAGGCACCTGTAATCCCAGCTACTTGGGAGGCTGAGGCAGAAGAATTGCTTGAACCCAGGAGTCAGAGGTTGCAGTGAGCTGAGATGGCACCATGGCACTCCAGACTGGGTGACAGTGCAAGACTCTGTCTCAAAAAAAAAAAAAAAAAAGAAAGAAACATCCAGGGATGAGAAGTGTGATGTGTGAGATGAGAAGCACACAGGATGGGATGAATAGCGACACTGCAGGGGAAATATTTGTCATCTTGAGGCACAGCTATAGTGACTACCCAAAATGAAACATTGACAGCAAAGAGTAATCTTGGGGACACTTTTTACTGTTGACAGATGTTCTGCTTTTTAGAGAGATGCCATTTTGTTTATCCATCCAATGGCTGATGGACGTTTGGGTTGCTTCTAGCCGTGGCTATTACAAATAGAGCAACTGTGAGGATTCTAGCACACGTCCCCATGTAGACATATGTTTGCATTTCTCTTGAGTGGATGCTGAGGTGTGGAATTGCTGGGTTTATGGCAAGCTTGTGTTTAACTGTTTAGGAAATTGACAGAATTGTTTCCAAAGTGGCTGTACCATTTTATAGTCCCACCAGTTACCAATAAGGGTTCTAGTTCTTCCCTCCTCACCAATGCCTGTTATTGTCTCCCCCTTTGATTGGAGCCATTCTAGTAGGTGTGAAATAGTATCTCTTTGGGGTTTTTATTTGCGTTGTTAAAATGTCTGATGGTGTTGAGCATCTTGTCATGTGCTTTAAACCGTGTGCACATCTGCACCAGTGAACAGTCTATTTGAATGTTTCCTTTTTTAATGTTTTTAGATTGGGTTGTTTTCCTTCTTATTAATTTGTAACAATTCTTTATAGAGTCTAGATACAAGTCCATTATCAAATATATGATTTGCATGTATGTTCTCCAGTCTTTGCTTTGTCTTGTCATTTTCTTCATGATTTCTTTTGAAGAGCAAACATTTTTATCTTTGAAGGAGTCTGATTTATCAAATTCTTTTTTATGGATCATGCTTTTGGTGTCACATTTAAGAAATCTTGGTCTCATCAAAGGTCACAAAGATTTTCTCCTTTTGCTTCTAGAAGTTCTAAAGTTATAATTATTACATTAAGGTCTATGATACATTTTGAGTGAATTTTTTTTGCATATGGTGTGAGGTAAAGCTCTAAGTCTTCCTTCTCCACCTCTGTTCCTTTTCCACTTCTTCTTCCTCCTCCTCCTCCTCCTTCCTGTGGATATTCTATTGTTTCAGCACCATCTATTGGAAAAACTCTTCTTTTTCCATTTAATTGTCTTGGCACCTTTGTTGAATGAATCATAAATGTTAAGGACTCTCAATTCTGTCTCATTGATCTGTATGTCTATCCTCACGCCAATATCCCATTCCCTTGATTGTTGTAGCTTTAAAGTAAGTTTTGAAACTGGGAAGAGTAAGTCCTCCAACTTTGTTCTTCTCTTTCATAATAACTTGCGCTGTTCTATGACTTTTGTATTTAAATACACGTACTAAGATGAATACATCATCATATAAATAAAAACCTGCCGGTATTTTGTTTGGGCTTACATTGGATCCATGAATCAATTTAGGGGAGAATCACCATCTTAACAATGTTGAGTCTTTTAATCCATAAACATGGATGTCTTTATTTATATAGATCCTGAATATATCTCCAGAGTACTTTGTAATTTTCAGTGTACAAGTCTAGCACTTTTTAATTAAATGTATTCCTAAGTAATTTATTCTCATTGATGCTACTTTTGAATGGAATTAGTGTTTTTAAATTTCATTTTTAGTTAGCTCGTTACTCATGTAGAAATACAATTGACTTTTGTATCTGAAATTGTATTGTATGACGTTGCTAAATCTGTTGATTTGCTCGATTGGGTTTCTGATGTTCCTTAGGAGTTTCTGCACATAGGATCATATTGTCTACAAGTTAAATACATAAAAAAATTGGCAGAAGTAAATGGAGAAATAGACTCGAAATCATATGTGGTGATAACACCCATTTTTTGGTGTGATAGAAGTAGACACAAAATCTTTAAGGATACAGAAGATGAGCACAAATCTATCAACAAACCTGATGCAGCTGACATTTGTAAAACACCATATTCAACAATCACAGATACACGTTCTTTCCCTGTGCATATGAAAAGTTCGCCATGACAAAACAATCATACATTGTGGCATAAAATGTGTTTCAGTAAATTCTGTCGGAATGAAACTTAAATGATATGTTTCTTGGTCACAATAAAATGTAATACAGGGAAGGAGCACTTTACAAGTCATTTTAATAACTTGGTGCAAAAGTAATTGCAGTTTTTGCCATTACTCTCAGATTTTGCTTTCAATGGCAAAAACCGTGATTATGTTTGCACCAACCTGATATTATGAGAGCAAAGCCTGATAAAGACACTGCAAACAAATTAGAAATTAATAAAAAGAAAATACCCAAATAGTTGGCAATTAAAGTAAAAAAAAAAAAAAAACCCATGAGTCAAATAAATCATAGTGAAAATTAGAAACTATTTTGAACTAAATGAAAATAAAAGCATATCTAAACTATGAGCTGGAGTTGAAACAATGGTTAGAAAGAAATCTATAAATTTTAATGTGTAATTAAGAGGGAAGAAAGTTTTAAAGCTAATGATCTACCTTAAGAAGCTAGAAAAAGAAGAAAAAAATAATGCCAAGGAAAAGAGGCTAATAAAAACAATAAAAGTTAGACCAGGATTAAATGAAGGAGAAAACGTGCAATTAAAAAATTAACAAAGTTCAAAAAGTTATTTGAAAAGGCTAACAAAGCCAGGTGCGCTGGCTCATGTCTATAATCCCAGCACTTTGGGAGGCTGAGGCGGGCGGATCATGAGGTCAGGAGACCGAGACCATCCTGGCTGACACAGTGAAACCCCATCTCTACTAAAAAATACAAAAAATTAGCTGAGCGTGGTGGTGGACACCTGTGGTCCCAGCTACTTGGGAGGCTGAGGCAGGAGAATCGCTTGAACCTGTGAGCGGAGGTTGCAGTGAGCAGAGATGGCGCCACTGCACTGCAGCCTGGGCAACAAGCAAGACTCCGCCAAAAAATAAAAATAAAAATAAAAAAGGCTAACAAAATTGGTAAGACCTCAGCAAGACTGATAATAAAGAACACACACACGCACACACGCACGCACACACACACACACACACACATAGAGTGAGGTAAGGGAACGGAAAGCTGCTAATACACAATATCAGAATGAAAGAGAGGATATTACTAAGGGATGCACAGATGTTAAATGGATATTGCTAAAATCTTGATGTTGGTAATTTTTACAACTTAGATTTAATGGATAAATTTCTTTTAAAAAATAACTTACCAAAACAAGAAGAAATACAAAATCTGAAGAGCCCTAAAGCTATGAATACATTGAATTGATAATTAAATACCTTTTTTACAAAAAAGCTCTAGGCCCAGGTAGCTTAAATGATGAATTTAACATCAAACTAAGAAGTATTACCAATCCTATACACTCTATTTCAAAAATGAAGGAAAAGGAAATATTCACTTTTAAATCATTTCATACCAGTGTAACTCGGATACTAAAACCTAACAAAAATATTACAAGAAATAAAATTATAGCCCAATAATTCTCATCAACAGAAACACAAAACTCCTAAGCAGGACATTAGCACATAGAATACAGTGATAAATACAAGCACACTATGCGTTACTAAATGGGGTTTATTCTGGAAATGCAATGTTTGTTTAACATTCTAAAATCAGTTAGTATAATTCATCACTGTAGGGCCCCCCGGTTCCCCGCTCTTTCTTTCTGTGTCCTGACCAAAAGTCATGGAGTGCATTGACCACTCTGTGACCCAGCCAGGTGCAGGTTTTCCCCAGCAGACTTGAACCCAAACCAGGCCCTTGAACATTCCTGGGCACTGATAAAGGTATTTAGGTTATTGCCCAAAACGATGAAAGAAACTGGCCGTGGCCCTGAGTCAAATTCCTTAAGCCCTCATGAAAACCCCATGCCTTGTCCCCCTCGCTGAGGACATACTTAGGTAGAACACCTCTTTTCTCTCACTGCCTGTCTCTAGGAGTGCTGCAGCCCTCCGCAGTTAAGTTCCCCATTGCTGCAGCCCTCTACAGGTAAGTTCCCCTAATCAATGCTTTGGGCTGATCACCCAGGCATTCTGCGCTTCTTTCTTTGGAACCCCAACTGGTCTCATCCCCAACTGGGGCTCAGTTTGGAGATGCCTTTGTGGGAACTCCCCTAAGTTGGGATGTCTTCAGCTGTGGGTTCAGCAGGATGAGACAACATATTAATAATAAAAGACATACATGAAAAACCTGCAGCTAACATCTGACAACCAAGATAAGCGACTGAGGCATAAGTCTCAGTCATCAAGGATTTTTAAGGCAGCTTTAGGGCATGTCTGGGAAAAATACTAGCCACAGACACACCTGTGGCTGTTTTTTCTGAAGAAGTTTTCAGGAGGATTAGTAGGAATACTTTTCCTTGTAGTGGGGGAAGGCCTCCAGGAAGAGGGGCATGTAGGTCTTAAGGGGAATGGCTTTTTTTCCTATGAGACTTTAGTAAATGCCCAGTAAATCTACATTTCACGTAAGATAAGATGAATGTTTGAAGAGAAAAAAGGAGGAAAGAGAGTCAGTTATACATATGTCTCTGGGTAGGTGGAGGAAATGAGTCTTGTCTTTGCTCTGCATCTGGGAAGATAAGCTTGTAATCAGCATTATCAGTGTGGAATCAAACAGATTTAGTCTGAGGAGCTAGACTTAGGTTGTAGACCTAAACTCACAATTAGCATGTCCTTGTTTATGGGAGGCAGGCAAAGAACTTACTGGTGAATGATATGTAGGGGCAGCTTTTCCAGATGCCTGCAGCCTTTTACCTTTTCCTGGGGGTGTGGCAGATGCGTGTTGCTAGTGACAGCTCTTCATCTGGAAGAGGGGGTTGCATGAGGCAGCCTCGGTGCTAAAGTTTGGGGTCTTGAGATTTTTCATCTTTCTTTACACATCATCTAACGGTGAAATATTGAGTGCTTTTACCATAAGATCAGGAGCAAGGCAAAGAGTCTGCTTTTGATCCCTTCTGTATAACATTATAGTGAAAGCTCTAGCTAGGGTTAGCATGCAAGAAAAACATACGTGGTAAAAATAAATATTTGAAAGTAAAAAGTAAAACTGTCCATGTCAACAGATATGTATGCATTATTGCTTACATAGAAATTTCTTAAGCAATATAAAACAGCAATAAAAAAGGAGCAGATTAATAAGTAAATTTAAAATTGTCACATAAAACAAATCAATATAAAGTTTGTTTCCTATTAGCAGCAAACAATTGGAAATCACATTTAAAAATAATTTAATTTATGAAAATAAAATAAGGATAACTTTAAAAATTACACATGACGTTTTTATTTGAAAAATGTAAGTCTATTAACATACCATATAAGTTTATAAAGTAACTTTATAAAGTTGAAAAAGAGTTACATAAATGGAGAGATATACCATGTTCATAGATTTGGGGAATCAATATTATCAATGTCAATTCTCTCCAAACTGATACATATATTAAATACAATTTTATTCAAAGTTAAAACTCATTTTTTGTTAGTAATAATTTGATACTAAAATTCATATTAGTATGCAAATTACATAAATCAATGGAAAATAATACAGAGTCCAGATCAACTCGTACAATATAAAATTAATTAATTTTTGACAAAGATGTCAAGGTAATTCAATGGAGAAAAAAAGTATGTTTAAACAAATAGTAATCTGACAATTAAATATCAATTTAGGAAAAAAATCAACCCTTATTTTACACCATTCACTGAAATTGAGACTATAGTCTTACATGTAAAATCTATAACTGCAAAGGTTTTAGAAGAAAACCAAGGAATCTAATTGCAATTTTGGAATAGGGAAATGTTTCTTAGCAGGATACAAAAAGCAATAACCATAAAAGAAAATAAATGGACAATTTGAGCTTCCTCAAAAGTAAAAGCTTCTTTTCATCAAAAGATACTATTAAGAAAATGGAAAGGCAAGCCACAGACTCAGGTAAAATATTGCCAATACAATATGGCAATACAGTACAAACATTTGTCCCAAGACAAATGACTTGTTTTAGAGATTACATGGGAATAGCCCATAAGTCAGTTACAGGTCCAGCAACCATAGAATAAATGATAAATGATTTAAATAGCTACTTCATGAAAGATTTGTGGGCAATAAGCACAAGAAAGGGGTTAAGAACTTCAGTAATTAAAGAAATACAAGTTAAAACCACAATCAATACTACCTCTCATCCAGAGAGATGATTATATTAAAGATTAATGGCATCAAATATTGGTAAGAATGTAGATTAATGAGAATCTCCATATGTTGCTGGTGGAAGAGAAAAAAGTATATGATTTTGGATAGGTATTGATCAGTTTCCTATAAATTTTAATGTATACCTATCCTATGATCTGGTAATTCCTGCTCCAAGAGGAATAAAAACATACTTTCTCAGAAAATTTGTAAATGAATGCCATACTAGCTTTATTTATAGTGGCTCCAAATTGTAAACAAATTTAAATGTTCATCAACTGGAGATGAACTTATAGTTTGTAGAATATTAATACAATAGTATACTACTCAGGAATAAAAATAATAATTTTTTTTTATTGGAATAAGGTGGATAAATCTTAAAAACATTATGATATGTGAAAGAAGCCAACCCACAGAGCACATACTCTGTGATTACATTTATACAGAGTTCAAGAATGGGCAAAGCAAATCAGTGTTGCTGGAGATGTAAATGATGATTGCCTATGGAGGTAGGGAGTGTAAACCAAAAATGAAATTCCAAGCCCCCCAACAGACTAAATGGACCCCCTCTTGGCCAAGGAGATTACAAAGAAACCTGAAATCCAGTTCAGGCTAAGATGGCAAGGAGCAGGGGTAGGACATACCTCATTATACCCTCTCCCTTTTTTTTTTTTGAGACAGAGTCTTGCTCTGTCACCCATGCATGACAATGGCATGATCTCGGCTCACTACAACCTTCATCTCTTGGGTTCAAGTGATTCTTCTGCCTCAGCCTCCTGAGTAGCTGGGATTACAGGTGCCCGCCACCATGCCTGGCTAATGTTTGTATTTTTATTAGAGACAGGGTTTTGCCATGTTGGCCAGGCTAGTCTTGAACTCCTGACCTCAGGTGATCTGCCCACATTGGCCTTCCAAAGTGCTGAGATTACAGGCATGAGCCATCACACCCCCCTCTCCCTTTTGACCTTGAGACAGAACTGACCAGCATTGACATTAAAATCAAGATTCTAAGACTGACAATACAGACTCTTTGTAGTAGTAAGATACCAACTCCAACCTGACTCTGGTAAGTACCACATGACAGATAACAGGTCCTAAAGGAAATAAAAGTATTTTATCCCAAAATATATTTCTGTGACATATTTTGAAATGGCCCTGCAAAGCTGTCTCTTGTGGGGAAAATCTACATTCTTTAGAGAATCTGCTTCCCTTTCCATGTTTTCTCCTAATCCAGGAGAGATTTAAATCAGAGTCTGATACTTTTAAGTTCTGATAAGAGATATCTACTATCTATTCTCTCTGAAGCCTGCCACCCAGAGCCTTCATCTACATAACAAGAACTTTGGCTTCCACAACCCCTCTTATCTTAACCCTCAAATTTCTTTCTGCTGACTCCAACACTTTAGGGAAGCTTAACTTTTTCAACCAATTGCCAGTTAGGACATTTTTGAATTCACCTATGACCTGGAAGCCCCTTAATTTGAGATGTGCTGTCTTTCTGGGTCAGACGAATGTAAACCTTACATGTAGTGATTATGTTTTTGCCTGTAACTTGTCTCCCTAAAATGTATAAAATTAAGATATAACCCAGACACCTTGGTACACGTTATCAGGACCTGCTGAGGCTGTGTCATAAGTCGTAGTCCTTACATTTGCCTCAGAATATTTTATAGAGTTTTACAGAATTAGGCTTTTTTTTTTTTTTTTCCAACAGAAAGTGACTGGAGGGGTGCTTTCTGAATGATGTAACTTTCTGAATGATAAAAAGGTTCTAATTCTTGATAGGTGTGTATATGTAAAAGTTTATCGAATGGTACAGTCAAGATCTGTGCATTTCATTGCATGTAAATTTTCCCTCAGAAATTTGAAAAAAGAAATGTGGATAGTCTGATATAATTTATCCATGCCAAGCCTACTTTTTTTTTTCAATTTTTATTATAAATTTTCCTTTGAAACCATGGCCAACCACAAACCACCAACCTGTCCCCACTCTCAATAGAAATCTCAATATTTCAAACAGCAAAATAGAGTGAGAGGACTTGGCCCTCTTCTATCCTCCCATCACCTCCCTCTGGTGATTATTTGTGGTGGGAGGAGAACTGCTCTGTTCTCCCAAACCACCAATGCACTCACTCTGCTTCCACCTATGCTGCCTTCCCTCATTGCTCCAGGAACCCGTGGAAGAAGTCCAAAAATAAATATCCTGTTTTTCTCAATGTTTTAGGTAGAATCAGTGGTTTCTCACTTGAAAGTGATCCAATGTCTTTGAAAGAAGCTTTCTTTAAAATGCAAATGCCATTATTTTCTCCACAGTGAAGGAAAGACCCTGGCTTTCCTCCCCAGCTCCAAGTGGGCTGTTCTGATTGCTTCCGGGTCCTGTCCTCATGGGGAGCAGCACCACGGGAGACTCTGCCTCTGCTGAGTTTTCTAACATTAGTGTCGGGAAACAAGAATCTGCCACTGATGCTCCTTTTGTAAAGGTATAAACATGTATATAAAGGAACACCCCAGCACACCCTTCTTGTCCTTGTCCTCTTTTTCTTCCTCTGCTTCTTCATCCTCATTTTGTCTCTTCTCTATGCTTGCTGCTTTTCTCCTTTAATTTTTCTTTTGTCTTCCTCTGTTTCCCCCCGCCCCACCCCCACTCACTGCTGCTGTTTTACACTTACTTGGCTATCTGTGGAATTTGTTTCCAGAAATATTGGAAATCAACATGCCTATGGGATAGAACAGGGCTGGATTACAGAGTAGAGTCGACAACTTTACCTCTTCTAGCCAGAATGAATAAACATCTGTTTAAACAGAAGTCTAGGAACCATGAAGAACTGGAGGAGGTTACCCAAGAGCTAAGAAACAATTGGGTGGAGTTTGGAAAGGCAGGGATTTGATAGAGTGCACAAAAGCTCCAGAGGAATGGAAATCAAATGCAAGAAGATTTTGGTTCAAGATAAGAAAAAATGTACCAAAAGGAAGACTTATACATTCATAAAATACCTGTCAGTTCCCTATTAGCAGAAGTTTTTACATTTAGAATTGATTGGAAATTTTAGAATAACAAACATTTTTAACAGCACATAAGTTACACAGGGAAAATCTGAATTCAAATGCCTCAAAGCAGGTGCAATTTTATTTATTTATTTATTTATTTATTTATTTATTTATTTATTTATTTATTTTTTACTGTCATCTGCTGGAAATGTAAGTCCACAACCACCAAGAATACTAAGATATTTTCCAAAGTGACATTATAAATCAGTAAATGGTTATGGAAAAATATCCTTTGGCCACGTTGCTCTGAGTTTAGAAACAATAATAACGGTCATAATGATAACAACAAACTTTCTAAGTTCACTGTGTGGTATAAAAATACAATGGCGGCCAGGTGTGGTGGCTCTATGTCTGTAATCCCAGCACTTTGGGAGGCTGAGGTGGGTGGATCACAAGGTCAGGAGTTTGAGACCAGTCTGCCAATATGGTGAAACCCCGTCCCTACTAAAAATACAAAAATTAGCCAGGTGTGGTGGCGCGTGCCTGTAGTCCCAGCTACTGGGGAGGCTGGGGCAGGAGAATTGCTTGAACCTGAGAGGCAGAGGTTGCAGTAAGCTGAGATCATGCCACTGCACTCCAGCCTGGGTGACACAGCGAGATTCCGTCTCAAAAAAAAAAAAAAATACAATGGTTTTGTTTTTTTAAAACAAGATATCACAGTATACAACCTATAAAATGTGGCAATTTAAAATGTTTAATGGAAAATGGTGTATGTAGGCAACTTATATGTTGCTATTCAACATTTTTCTGAATGTCCTGCCCAATGCAATCAGACAAGAAAAAAAATATATAATAAGGAAGAAACAAATTGTCTTTTCTTTTTTTGAAGGTGATATGTTTGTCTAATTCAAAGGGAAAGAAAATAAAAATAACAACACATCTGACATTCATGTCCATAAGAAAAGAGATCAGTAAGAGGGCTGGATAAATGGTGAATATTTTTTTAAAACATTTCCTTATACACGAGTCACAAGTTTCTTCCTTAAATTCTAGACTCCTGTGCAGGTACAATGCCTGTTTAATAGCACTACTTATTTCGTAAATTATTCTCTCTTTCTTCCATTCCACAGATGTTTATGTAACCCCTATTATGTGCCAGGTCTTCTTTGACTCACTAGGGATTGAGTATGACACAGATAAAAAGAAAATCCTGCCTGCATGGACCTTCCCCTCCAGTGGAGAACCAACCGGACTATTAAAAATGATATATTTTTGGTTAAAATCATGTGTGGTATATTAGGTAGTGATGCCTGCTAAGGAAAAAATAAAGTAAGGAAGGCAGGGTGCAGTGGCTCATGCTTGTAATCCCAGCACTTTGGGAGGCCAAGGCAGGCAGATAACAAGGTCAGGAGTTCAAGACCAGCTTGGCCAATATGGTGAAACCCCATCTCTACTAAAAATACAAAAATTAGCCAGGCATGGTGGCCCGTGCCTGTAGTCCCAGCTACTTGGGAGGCTGAGGCAGGAGAATCACTTTATCCCAGGGAGGCGGAGCTTGCAGTGAGCCGAGATCACACCACTGCACTCCAGCCTGGGTGGACAGAGCAATACTCTGTCTCAAAAAAAAAAAATTAAATAAAATAAAGTAAGGAAAACAGAGAGAATTGATAGAAAGAGGGTTATGCTTTTAGATGGGATGCCTGAGAAGGTCTAGGGGAGAGGGCATAGAGGTGTGAAATGCAGAAGAGCATTCTGGATAGAAGATACAAAGACCCCGAGGCAGCAGACTTCATGGCATGCTCCAGTGGCCTTGAGGGCCAGTGATATGGTTTGGCTGTGTCCCCACCCAAATCTCATCTTGAATTGTAGCTCCCACAATTCCCATGTGTTGTGGGAGGGACCTGGTGGGAGGTAATTGAATCACAGGGGTGGGTCTTTCCCATGCTGCTCTCATAATGGTGAATAAATCTCAGGAGATTTGATGGTTTTGTAAAGGGAAGTTTCCCTGCACAAGTTCTCTTCTCTTGCCTGATGCCATGTGAGATGTGCCTTTTACCTTCCACCATGATTGTGAGGTCTCCCCAGCCACGTGGAACTGTGAGTCTATTAAACCTCTTTCATAAATTGCCCAGTCTGAGGTATGTCTTTATCAGCAGCTGGACAAATACAGCCAGTGTACCTGGAGTAGAGCAAGAGAAGAGAAGAGGGGTAGGAGAGGAGGTCATTCAGGAATCTGGGTCACTGTGAGGATGTTGCCTTTGTCATGAGAGAGATGGGATGCCACTGGAAGACTCTGAGTCGAGGAGTGACCTGATTTCTACTTGACATTCAAGACAGACTTCTTGACTGCCCTTCACCCACACTCCAAAACTTGCTCCTTTCCCGGTATTTCCAGGTAACAAGTGGGTTCTCTTCTCTCTTCGCTGGTCACTCCGGCCATGATCCTTGGAGCCTTTCTCACACCTCTCCTCTTCTGTGACAACACACCAAATCCATCATCAGATCCTGTTGGCCTTACCTTTAATACATAGCTCATCTTCTCAAGATTCCATGCTGGTCTAAGATATAATCCACTCTCTCCTGGGCTAGGGCAAGAGCCTCCTGCCTCATCTCCCTGTTTTCATTCTCACCCCCTATGCTCTGTATTTCATAGTGAAGTCACAATGATTCTTAAGAATATAAAAATCAAGGCATGTCTTTTGCATGCTCAGAATTCTCCAAACCCTTCCCATCACATCTAGAAAAAAACATCAGAGTCCTTGCTAGGTGTGTACAGGGATCCAGGGTCTTGCCCATTGCCTTTCTGATCTCAGCTCTTTCTATTCCTGCCCAGTTGGGATCCAGGGTCTTGCCCATTGCCTTTCTGATCTCAGCTCTTTCTATTCCTGCCCAGTTGGGATCCAGGGTCTTGCCCATTGCCTTTCTGATCTCAGCTCTTTCTATTCCTGCCCAGTTGGGATCTAGGGTCTTGCCCATTGCCTTTCTGATCTCAGCTCTTTCTATTCCTGCCCAGTTGGGATCCAGGGTCTTGCCCATTGCCTTTCTGATCTCAGCTCTTTCTATTCCTGCCCAGTTGGGATCCAGGGTCTTGCCCATTGCCTTTCTGATCTCAGCTCTTTCTATTCCTGCCCAGTTGGGATCCAGGGTCTTGCCCATTGCCTTTCTGATCTCAGCTCTTTCTGTTCCTGCCCAGTTGGGATCCAGGGTCTTGCCCATTGCCTTTCTGATCTCAGCTCTTTCTATTCCTGCCCAGTTGGGATCTAGGGTCTTGCCCATTGCCTCTCTGACCTCAGCTCTTTCTATTCCTGCCCAGTTTGCTTTCACTTCTGAATCCCTGACCAACTTGCAGTTTCTCAAAGACCCCAACACATTCCCTCTTTAAAACCATTTCACGTTTTTTTCTTTGTCAAGAAGAGTTCTTCTTCCTGAGTCACCAGCTCATGTACTTTCTGTCTCTGCTCGAATTTCACCTCCTTAGAGAAGATAGCCCCTGTGTTCCTATTAAATGGTCTTCCCTTATCATCCTATTTCAAGTGGGCACATGCTCCATCATGTAATCTATAGAATCAATGAACTGACCCTAAAGAATCTGGCCGGGCACGGTGGCTCACGCCTGTAATCCCGGCACTTTGGGAGGCTGAGGCGGGAGGATCACCTGAGGTCGGGAGTTCGAGACCAGCCTGACCTACCTGGAGAAACCCCGTCTTTACTAAAAATACAAAATTAGCCAGATGTGGTGGCTCATGCCTATAATCCCAGCTATTTGGGAGGCTGAGGCAGGAGAATTGCTGGAACCCGGGAGGCGGAGGTTGTGGTGAGCTGAGATCGCACCATTGCACTCCAGCCTGGGCAACAAGAGCAAAACTCCATCTCAAAAAAAGAAAAGAATTCGGTGAAATTTTTGTGCCACTTGACAAACTAATTTTAAAGTTTGTGTGGAAGAAAATTTGCAAAAAGAAGAATATATAAAATAATTTTTTTTGTTTTGAAAAAGCAAAACAAGGGAAGAGTTGTCCACAAGATATGAAATTGTAGTATGGTGTTGAAGTAATTAAATCAGCATGCTGTTGGTGCTAAAACAAATAATAAATTGAATAAATGAGGGGGAAAACACATTGATGTAAACATAAGATTTCAGTTTATAGTAAGTGTTTAAGAGAGGCATTTCAAATTCATGATGAAATAGACTGTTAAGTAAGTGATATTGGAACAAATATCTAACCATATAAGAAAGGCTAATATCGTAATAGGTGACATTGAACAGTAAATGCTAAATATTAAATCATAAACTATTAGAAGAAAATATGAATTTATGATAATCACTTGGTATCTAAAATCTTTTCCAAAACAAGGTGGAGAATTTGGAAGCCATGAGGAAATAAGAAATACAGAGATATTTGACCTAATTGAAACAAAAATAAAGTACTTTGATAATAAAACACAACATAAACAAAATTTAAAGAAGGTTTCAAACTGTGAGAAAATGATTATTCCATGCGATGTAAAAAGCACAGTACCTTTTAACTAATAAGGAATAGGCCTCCCCCCTTGGGAATGCACAAAGCCTTTGGCCAGGTAATTTTCTCTCGAAGAAATAGAAAACAATCATGAATAACATAAAAGATCACTATTATGAATAGCCATGGACATGAGAATTAATATACAAATGAAATATTTTAGCTCAACAACTCTGCAATTTTTTATTGACAATATCAAGCATCAGTGAACTTGTAGGTAAATAAGTTTGTTCAATATAACTGCAGATGATTCCGTGTAATAGAGAGAGAAGCCTCTCCTACTTTCACTCCTTGACCCCCAGACCCACGTTTTCTGGCTAAAGGCAGAGAAAGCCCCACACAGTAGTCTCTGATTCCAAGCATCTAATGCACCCTGTAAGACTTAACCCATCCTTTGGGGGTATTCTGTCCTTCTGTGCTGTCATTGAGTCTTCAGAGTGCTTGTTCACCTCATGAATAGGCCATCTGCTTCTGGGTGATGGGGTATGCGGTGAGATCAGCTAATTCCCTGGGTAGGAGCTCTTTGCTGTCCTCCTTTGCTGTGGAATGAGTTCCCTGGCCAGAGGCTGCACTGACAGGAGGGCTGTGTTGGTGGAGAATGCATTCTGCGAGCCCAGGATGTTGGTGATGGTGGAGGCATCACAGGGTGGGAAGGCGCAGCCGTAGCCACCACAGGTGTTTCTTTCTGTGAGGATGCATCTCTGTCTTGTCCGTGATGGAAGAAGTCCAGTGTCATCAACCTGCCTCCAGATGGCCAGCTGCTCCCCGCGGGGAATGGTGCCACATGGGGGCTCAATGTTGGTCTCTGCTGCTGGCAGATTGGGCACCCAGAAGTGACGTGAGCCAGGCCAGACTTGATGAGGGAAGTCCATGCCAAGTGCAGGCACAGCCTCCATCCCTGCCACCATGGCCACGGTGTTTAGGAGCCCATTGGACGATGACAGGGATGACTGGGGAAGGTGGCAGCCTTGTATCCACAGAATATGTTATCTTGTCCACCTGAGTATTAAGAATTTCTTCCAGGTGGTTGTTTTTTGGGGGCATTCATTCACATGGGACACACATATTTTCACAGTCTGTTTCCATTCTGAGAGGTCTATCCACAAACCTCTTCATAGCCAGCAATCTTCCAGTCTTGCTCTTTCCAAACCATTAGCAAATGCACACACATCAGTGTGGGTCTGTGCTTCTAGCCAGCTCTCACTCTAAACCTAAATACTGCTCGGAGCTCTGCTCACTGAAATAATTTTCCTTCCCCACTGTGCTCCAGGGTCACCCTGAGTCGGGCAATTGTGCTCCAGCTGTCCACTTTCAGGGGTAGCAGGAGATCATGCAGCTCCATCAGTATGTTCAGCTGAAGTTGGTTCTTCCTCAGTTGGTGTAAGAGACACCTTGAGAAGCCGTAGGCATGGCTCCTGGGGTCGGGGGAGGCAGTGCCTGGTGAGTTGGAGACACCTGCTCACCTTACATGTACCTTACAGACATGCCTGGACGCCGTCTCTCATGCACCATTTCCATTTGACAATACATTGCTGCTGCCCACACCCAATCTACCCTGGGTCTCAGGGGATGAAAAGGGGTCTTCTGGGTAGACAGATGTGGTGAGGGAACTCCAAGTTGGAGCACAGTCACGTTGCAAAAGGACAGGGGTGTGGGGGCCTGGTTTCGCGTAAGACCTGGCTGCAAAGTTGGACAATGAAGACTGGGAGCCAGATGGGCCTGTTAAAATCCATCCAGGCTGTGGCACCATCATCTGGACAGTTAGGTATGAGGGGGATTTGCAGGGGGTGCGGCTGGGTTCAAATCAATTCGGTTCAAATCAATTCGGACCTCTTGGCCAGCCCTTCAGTTTGACAGCTGGGGACAAGGGACACTAAACTGGAGTTTGCCTGTGGTCCTGCCTGGGAGCACAGGGATAGCCTAGGTGGAGACAGGCAGGGAAGCCTGTGGCCACCTGGACCTCTTGCTCACCATCTCTGTTCTCAGTAGCTCCGTCTCAGAAATGAGAGGTAGCGTCCACCCCATCAGCTGACCCCCAGCCCCCACTGCAGTCATTTGAAACCAGGTACTACAGGTGGGCCAGGAGGTCAGCTTTTGAGGTTTTGTGAGAAAAACATTCATACCTGCTACTCCCTCATGGCACCAGAGAAAGTGGAATATTCCATTTGTACCCAATAAAAATACACCAGCGTTCTCATCCTAACACACCCCGCTGAACACTCTCCCTGGAGAGCGAGATGAGCAACCTGCTGGCCTGGTTTGCTGAGCAGGACGGTGCTGGGTACATGCATGAAGGTGCAGGACTAAGGATGACACACCCCCGGGCGCTTCCAACCACTTGGCAGTTTGCCTCATATAGGATCCCAGTCTCGTCTCAGAATAAGAGTGATTTCACTGAAATTTGCTTGGCTTATCCTCCAGTCAGGCCCCAGCAGCAGCAGGGAGGTGCTGAGCCATGCTCTCCTTCTCCCGGGCTCTGTCCTGGCAGCTACATCACAACTCCAAGGAGAGATGGCTGAGTCCCTTTCCCTGCTGGAGTTAGGGTGGTCTCTGACCTCTGCCTTTTAATTCTGGGTGAGTCAGGAGGATAAATTGAGGGGTAAATCTCTGTGTAATATGAGCTCAATTTATTGCTGGTATGAGTCACACTTAGGTTGCATTTAGGAAAAAAAAAGTAACTGGAGAGTGAAAATTGAATTAGATTTCTAGAAATTCAGGTAAAACAAGAGAACAAGGATGCAAGGAGGTTGGGTCCGTGAGTGGCGCTGAGCAGGGCAGGCGAGGCTCTGGCCTGTGGTCAGGGAGGCCCTGGGGACCACGCACAAACTTCGAGCAAGAGCGTCAGGAAGCAAGTCAGGCAGTGTGGGCAGGATGGATCTGGAGAACCTGGGGCGCTTTAATTTCACCCCTCAGCTCCTAAATGCAGCCTCACCAGAGAGGGGAGAAGGAAAGTTTCCAGATCATCTGCTGTGTTCCAGTCCCCTTGGTAGATATTTCCATATTTGATAGGTCATCGATATGGTTTGGCTCTGTGTCCCCACCCAAATCTCATCTTGAACTGTAATCCCCATGTGTCAAGGCAGGAACCTGATGGGAGGTGATTGGGTTATGGGGATGGTTTCCCATGCTATTCTTGTGATAGTGAGTCTCAAAAGATCTGATTGTTTTAAGAGCGGCAGTTTTTCCTCATTCTCAAACACCCTCCCTCCCGCAGCCTTGCGAGGGAGGTGCCTGCTTCCCCTTTGCCTTCCACCATGATTGTAAGTTCCCTGAGGCCTCCCAGCCATGCCTCTTGTTAAGCCTGTGGAACTGTGAGTCGATTAAACCTCTTTCCTTTATGATTACCCAGTCTTAAGTCTTAGGTAGTATTCTTTATAGCAGTGTGAGAACAGACAAATACAATCATCCTTGCCACAGTGTCTCAGTTGCTTCAATTTAGGTATTATTCATTTCTCTTTGGAGTAAACTGAGGGAAAGAGAGGAAGTAACTTATCTGTGGACACACCAGTTTCAGGTGAAGGGGCCAAGATGACATCCAGGTGTGTTTGGCTCCAAAAATATCTCTCTGCACAGCTCCAGGTGGCGCCTTCTCCCTCTCTCTCTTTCTCTCTTTCTTTCTTTGTCTCTCCAGTATTCCCCAAACATTTGTATGGACCTGGAACTCTCATTAGTCTTTTTCCATCTAGACCTCAGGGTGACTTCTCCCTGGACATACCTCTTCCTTCTCTACTCCTTCTCCAAAATCCATCACTTGGCTTAAGTTGGCAGAAGACACGTTCCTCCTCCTCCGTGTGGTCGGTGTGCTAGAAATACAAGCTTCCTACAGTTCCCTCTAAATGAATCTCTCCTTTTAATCTCTTACATGGCCCATCATCCTGAGTTCTCTAGCCTGGAGATGGATAATGGATGCAGGTGTGTTGAGAACCGCTTCTCAGCACGTTTTCATGGTTGGCTGGTACCTCTGAATGCAAGGTGGAGGACGTAACACTCTGAGTTCTTGGCCGCCATTCTGGGAGAGGACCCGTCCCATTTTAGTATGGGTTACACGCACATTTGTACCAAGTTCCCACTAGAGCAAACTCCTCCATGCTGGAGGATGGTGTTACTTCATGTTGGTTTTTATTCTGTGTCCCTTGTTCACACAGTGGGGCATTCCAGACAGGGAGGCCTCGATCTGAGTGGCTGGAGGGTTGGGTTGTTCTGAGCACAATCTTGTAGGCAGGAGGGGGCCTGATGCTTCTGACTTCTGAGCCCTTGTTTTCAGAGAGCACAGGTAGTATTGTTCAGCGTCCCAGTGTGAAAAGTATTTTTAAATGTACTGGGTGAGGAGTACAATTGTTATTCAGACACAGTCTATTTTCCCCCTTGAAAGACTGCCTCTGAACACTGAGTTATTTTCCTGCTCTTTTTCAGTAAATCAAAGGTTTCGCCATCATGTAAACCCTTGGGCGACAGAGTCTACCTGTCTCCCCCTGATATTGTTCTATGAGATTTCGATGCTATCTTCATTGCCAGCAGCCCTGACAAAGATGCACTGCAGACGGATAGCCTCTCAGGTGAGATTAGATTGAACCCTCCTTATCTCTTCATTGTGGTTTCATCACTTTCAGGAGATGCTCTGTTGTGAGACCTTGCTTTGTTGTTGCTGTTCTTAAAGGGAACACTCCCTTTGTTAGGAAAATCTGACAGCTGGAAGCCGTGAGTTCTTGGCCCCTTGCCCTGAAGCAAGAGTGACCAGGCCTCTCTCCTGAGGGAAGGCCTTCCCAGGTGGGGACATAGGCCCTAAAGTGAGAACTGAAGCATTGTCCACTCCCTCTTTGATGCCACATGCATGGACGGTTCAGTGAATGTCGTGGGAACTCAGCTGTGCCCACCCCTGCTTTGTTACCCCGGCACTTTGGGAAACAGCAGAGTCCAGCAGAAACCACTGAAGTTTTGGGCTCGGAGGGATTCCAGTTCAAGCCCCGGCTTCACCACCTACAAGGTTCAATTTTGGTCTAGGAATGGAACTTCTCTGAGTCTTAGTTGCTGTCATCAATATTATTTTACTGTCATCATTATTTATAGTAAAATAATAACCTCTCAGACTCGATAAGTCTATTTGCGTGCCTGACACAGTGTTATGAGGTTATTATGCCTTATTTAATGCCACCATCCCAGGTGGGTAAATTAGTATCATTCCATTTCATAGTTGGAGCAGCTGAGGCTCAGGGAGATTAATAATTTGTCCAAGACCCCACAGCTAACAAGTGGTGGTTCTGGAAGGAAACCAGGGTGGCTGCTCCAAAGCTGCCATCAGCCTGGGCATCTGCCAAGGTGCCGTCTCTACTGGGGCAGCCGCCACCTCCCAGCACCTGGAGAAAATGTAGCAGGCTAGTGAGTGGGGTGGGAGGTGGGCCCGTGTGGCTCACTCCATGCATGAAAAACCCGTAAGTGACAAATGCGTACGAAGCAGCGCTTCTCAGCCAGCTGGCCGTCACTGTCTGCAGATTGCCTGGCATTCGCCTTCTCAGAAGAATGAGTCTCAGACCTCAGGGTTCTGAGGTTCTGTGTTGATGTGGTGGCTCAGCTTTGCTTGGGAGGTTTCAGAGGCTTTCTGTGAGCTGGGCATTGCACACTTGGCGCCTGTTTATGTATTTAACACTTGTGGAAATCCTTTGAGGATTGAGGTCGCTGGTCCTCCCTTCTGAGTGTGACCTTTGGGGTGAATTTGCTCCAGCTGTTTTCAACCTTGTTACAAAGCCCTGCAGGGAGAGGCTGAGTTCAGTCAGTCCCGGAGGGAGGGGAGCTGGGGGCATCAGGGATGGGCCTGGCAGAGCAGTGGGTGTGGAGGGGCAGGTCCGGGGGAAGCCAGTGTGGGGCAGGAGGCTGGGCACCTCAGGGCTCCTCAGCTTCCTCCCCACCCAGCTCCGGGGGATGCCTCCGTGGCAGAACTCCTGGGTATGCTCAGGACCTGCTGGAGTCCAGAGAGGCCGGGGTGGTTTTCCAGTCTGCAAAGCCCATCCTGAGGTGGAGACTGATGCTTGAGATTCTCCACAGCTGACCTTCTCCAAGGTGGCTGGGGCCATTGAGCCCCTGGCAGGGCACTGGGGGCCTCTATGGGCTGACCAGCTCTGCACCCACCTCGCTCCACCCCTCAGCTGTGCCTTATCAGGACAAACTGCTGCTAGCTCCCGAGATGTCCTTGGATCTGTGGCCTTCTCGCCCCACACTCCCTATTCTGGCTGTGTGGAACCCTCTCCCCATCATTCCTCACTGGGTCTGTTCCTCCTCCTCCAAGTCGCTCATGGAACAATTATCTACGGAATGCTCACTCATGCTGGTCATCAGGGTGCAGTAGCAGTAACGCAAGCAGCTGCCTCCAGAGCCCAAATCCTCCAAAGCTCCTCACCCAGCCCAGTGCCTCCTGGCTGCAGGTAGGGCCAGGGCCAGCTCATGTCCGTACCCCACAGCGAGCCTTGCTTGGAGCCTGACAAACCCTCCATGAAGGTCTTTGAGTTGAATGGGGCTAGTCCTTAGCAGGCAACCCCCTGCTCCTTGAGAGCCACACCATTCTCTAAGCTCACTCTCTGCAGCCAAGCTCTGCCGAAGGGCTAGAAGGATGGCCAGGACCCATCCCAGATACCCAAGTGATCCAACAAGGCTCCTGTGGGAAGTGGGGCTGGGCCAGGGGATGCTTTTGCAACTGCAAACTCAATGTGCAGCTATGTCTTGGCAACTCCTGCCTGATGCTGCAGAGCCCCGGCATCTCACCTGCCCCTGCCCAGTCTCTACTTTCTTCCCACATGGACCTCTGTGTGTGGCATGTATATGTGAGTCCAGACACAAGCGCGCTCTCTCACAGCACCTGTGCTGGGCAGGTAGCAAAACCTCCGAGGAATGCGCAAATGCCTTTTTTCAGCTCCTGCTCTGCTGACTACGATTCAATATCCATGTCCAAATAGAGCAATGCAGTTTTCCCTTCCTTCCAGCCCTCCTCTGAAGAAGAAAGCTCTTTTTCCTCTTCCTCCCTCCTCACCATTGCTTCCCTCCTACGTTTAATAAGCTAGTGGGTTACTTACTGCAACCACCTTTTGTTTCCTAACCAGAATCAATTTTCTTTGCTTTTCTCTGTTCCCATTAATTGTGATTCATAGGAACTTAAAAGGCTCTCATAGCAGCATTTATATTTGGAAGCTGTAAATCTCAGAAAGTAACTTTCTCTTGGGATACATAGACACACACACATCCTCCCTGACCTGCGAACAGCACTTTAGAGATTACAAAGCCTTTTCACAGTGACTGCCACATTTGAGTGTCCCCTGGCCCCAGGAGGGGTCAGGGCAGCTATTCTTCTCATTTTCTAAATAAGAAGAGAGACCTCTTGTATGTGGTGGCACAAGCTGGGGCGTGAGCCTTTCAACTCCCTGCTTTCCTCCTTCTGCCCAGAAACCCGGCCGAGAATTAGCAGCGGGGTAGAGGGCTTCCAGCTGAAGATGGGATCCAACTTCCTCCCTACTTAGTTCCTTGAGCGCAGCCAGGAGCCTCTGGGAATATCACACAGGTGACCATTTCAGCAGCAGAGCTAGGACTCTGTTGAATGGACTTGAGGAAATGGCTCCTGCTCTGAGAATTTGCAGATGTAACATGACCATCAACCTGCCCAGCCCAACATGACTGGACGCACGCCACATCCCTGAGGTGGTCAAACTCCTTCAAGGACTATCACAGCCTTTTGTAGAAGGTGGAAACAGGATTGGAGAGGTCAAGTCTTTTCTCTGAGGTCACACTACAGCTGCATCTCAGCTCAGCCTTAGGGCCTGGGCCTGTCCTGCTCTGGGGCCCTTGCCCTTGAAGTGCAGCTTGGTAACCAGTAGCACAGGGCTCTCCTCCAGCTGTCCCCTCCTGCTCTGGTCTGAGCTGGTCTTTTTCTACCACGTGGAAATTCTGGCTTGCAGATTCCTTCCTGCAGCAGTCCTCTGCTCGGAGCCCTCAGCCACTCTGCTGCTCTCACAAAGACCCTCTGGGCAGCCCTGAGAGATGGCAACCCCTCCAGAGGACCTTCCCTCTCCCACTGGACTCTGGTCATCACTGGCATGTGCGTTATTCATTGTCAGGCCTGTATTCACCCCCACTGTCTGTGCTGTGAGCTCCAGATGGCAGGGCCTGAGCCCATCGCTACCCCTCTACCTTTATAGGGCTGTTTCATATACGAATGAGTTAATATATGTGTATCAGTCAGGGTTCTCCAGAAAAACCTCTTGCTCTATCTATGTAGTGAGAGGTCTATCTACATATAGAGAGAAATTTATTTTAAGAAATTGGCTTGGCTGGGCATGGCGGCTCATGCCTCTAATCCCAGCACTTTTGGAGGCCAAAGCAGGTGGATTGCTTGAGCTCAGGAGTTCCAGACAAGCCTGGCCAACACAGCAAAACCCTGTCTCTACAAAAAACACAAAAGAATAACCGGGCAGGTGGCACACACCTGTAGTCCCAGCTACTTAGGAGGCTGAAGTGGGAGAATCACCTGAGCTCAGAAGCTTGAAGCTGCACTGGGCCATGGTCATGCTACTGGGTGGCAGAGTGAGATCCTGTCTCAAAAAAAAAAAAATTAGCTGACAGGATTGTGGGGTGGCAAGTTTAGAATCTGTTGGGCAGGCTGGAAATTTGAAGAAGAGTTGATGTTAGGGTGTTGAGTTTGAAATCTGCAGGCTGAAAACTCAGGCAGGCTTCCTATATTGCAGTCTTGAAGCAGAATTTCCCTTTCTTCAGGAAATCTCAGTCTTTGCTTTTAACTCCAACTGATTGGATGAGGCCCACCTATACGATGGACAGTAATCACGTTACTCAAAAGCTACTGATTTAAGCACTCAGCACATCTGAGAAGTGCCTTTACCATAACACCAGGACTGGTATTTGACCAAAGAACTGGGCACCGTGGCCCAGCAAAGTGCACACATAAAACTTTCCGTAGAATAGTGTGTGGTGAATAGGACACATTCAATAATTGTAGCAATTATTAGCTATCTGCAAGTGAATACTCAGTTTCTACTGAATCACTTAATAGATTTAATACTTTTTAAAGAGTTCAAAGAATTATTTTTTGACATGGAGAACCTGATACAAACTTCCCACCATGTTGCATGGCATTTCAGAACATTCGAAGACTTGGTGAACCACAGGGTTCCATCTGGGTAAAGAACTCATTAAGGTCCCCCTGGTTTTAATTTCTATGATGTCGTTATTTTATTAGTCTTCTTAGGCAAAACAAAAAATGTTGTTTGCCTTTTTGTAATAAAGTAACACCTAGAAAGCCATGAGATTATGAGCATATTTGAGGATTTCTATTTGGAATCATTTTATATTCATGGACTTTAATTGGAAAGCGTGCAGTTACCTGGCTGGAGGTTTATCTCAGCCGGCTTGATACATTCTCTGTGATTATGAGTGAGGAAGCTGCCTGGAGAAAGCCTATTTTTACATAATGCAGTTTTTCATGGTGTTTTTGTTTTCACAAAGATAAAATAATTGTGGTGAAGTGGACAGAGAGACTCCTGCCTTTTTATTTTTCTTTTTCAGGCTTGTTGTAGTAGACTCTTAAAAATGTCAAAACAAATCACCAATTTTGGTATGTTTATTATACTTTTTCTCATCTTTATTGAGAGAAAACACTTTTTTTTAACCTGAAGAATTACATGGGTAAATTTCCACAACAGATGTTTACTAAGAAAGTATGGTGCTGACATATTCTAGAATAATGGCTTTTACTAGATGAGTGGTTGATGGCACTTGGAGTTGGCATGGTGAAAATGGGCCTTTCTAACCAGTCAGATGGTCCTCCAAAATGCACAGAGGCAATTTGGGAATTATTTAATATTGTTGGAACCATTGTACACTTAGAATAAACAAATGCTTGCTTAAATTAGACAAATTTTATTTTTTTACCAGTCATTTGTGGAAATTTCATAAATACATTTCACACATCTGGGTAACTTCCTCATTCCAATTATATTCCTTAGCTCAACGTGAAGCCTTTGCATGACTCAAACTCCTTTGAAATGGACAGAAATGCATCATTACTCTTTGGAAACTTTAGTAGTCCCTAGGACTTGTACAGAAACGAGCAAATTCTGGATCTGTTTCAGTCACAACGCTAAAGAGTGAAATAAAACAGTGAGGAATTCTGGTGGGGCTTGAACAAAAGAAGTCTGAAATTTCTAAACACTATACTTGGATTCAATAGTTGAATTTTTATGCTGTGCACATTGTACATTTTGTAAATATGTCTTTAATATGATTTACTGAAACACAGCCTAACAACTGCAGAGGATACAGGGGACTGGACATACTGAGCAAGTGCTGTGCTTTTTCTCATTTGTTAATTTTAGTATGTGCTATTATGTGTACATTTATGAGAAATCTCAAATCACTTTTTTTTTTGAGATAAGAGTCTCACTCTGTCACAAGGTTGGAATGCAGTGGCATGATCTCGGCTCACTGCAACCTCCGCCTCCCAGGTTCAAGTGATTTTCCTGCCTTAGCCTCCTGAGTAGCTGGGACTACAGGCACGCACCACCATGTCCAGCTCATTTTTGTATTTTTAGTAAAGACAGGGTTTCACCACATTGGCCAGTATGGTCTCAATATCTTGACCTCATGATCCACCTGCCTCGGCCTCCCAAAGTGCTGGGATTACAGGCGTGAACCACTGCGCCTGGCCTCTCAAAACACTTTTATAAAGGGTTGATGCTGCCTAAAAAATACAAACACAAGATACACACAAACACACACACGCACTTCTATAGACAGTCTTAATGTGAATGCCAGGAGAAATAAAATGATCCAACACAAAATATGTTTCATGTTTTGCACACATTAGATGCCCAATAATCATTATCAATCACAGAAAAACTGAAGATACCAGTTGAATATTTGAGAATTGAAGGATTTCTCTGTGTGGTAAAATGAGGCATATGTTATTTCTCGTGTCTTTTCATCCGAGGTGTATTAGCGTTCTCCAGAGGGACAGGACTAATAAGATAGATGTGTATATGAAGGGGACTTTATTAAGGGGCATTGACTAACACCATCATAAGGTGAAGTTCCACAATAGGCCATCTGCTTGGCTGAGGAGCAAGGAAGCCAGTTCAAGTCCCGGAACCTCAAAAGTAGGGAATTCGACAGTGCAGCCTTCAATCTGTAGCCAAAGGCCTGAGAGCCCCTGGCAAACCACTGCTGTAGGTGTAAGAGTCCAAAAGCTGAAGAACTTGGAGTCTGATGTTCCAGGGCAGGAAGCATCCAGCATGGGAGAAAGATGAAGGCCGGAAGATTCAGCCAGTCTAGTCCTTCCATGTTCCTCTGCCTGCTTTTATCGTAGCCGCGCTGGCAGCTGAGTAGATGGTGCCCACTCACATTGAGGGTGGGTCTGCCTCTCCCAGTCCACTGACTCAAATGTTAATCTAACACCCCCACAGACACACCCAGGAACAACACTTTCCATCCTTCAATCAAGTTGATGCTCAGTATTAGCCATCAGAAGTCCACCCCTTGTCACCTTGAACCCATACACAGCTCCTGAAATCATACATAATCTTCAAATAAAGACAATAATAAATTCATAATTACAGCTAACATTATACAGCTATCCTTTGTACAACGGAAACATACTAATTCTTAACCTAAGTGCTATTACATAAAGTTAACGACACTTAAATGCTGATATGAAGTCAGTAAATCTTATGTGATAAAGGAAAAAATAAAAACATATTTTCTTAGTATAAGTGTATACACGAACAAATACGTTCTTAAAATAAGGAAGAAATACTCATGATAATTACAGTTGTCGTTTCTGCAGCTGGTCATGTGGTATTAATGACTGCTTTTTTCTACTACCCATTCTGTATTCCCTTTGCCTTCAGCAAGCACTTCAGCAGGTCGTGTTTTTTTTTCTTTTAACCTGGTGGAGTGATGCAAACCTTCATTGCTTCTGCGCCATTTGCCATCCTGCCTGGATTGGGTTGTTGTAGTTTCCTGTTGACCTTAATCACAGGGCATGGGGAAGGGAAGGAAGCATTTTCTTAGATACCTGGAGGAGACAGCAGGCGTTGTAAGATTAAAACTGTGATATTGGGACTGTCTCACCATCATCATCTTTGCTTCTCTATGGGATCAAGCCCAATTCTTTGACTCCTCCTTTTGCTGGGGACAGGGACTCCGACAGCACTGGGGTAGCATGGTACAGCTCACGAGCAGGGAAAAACACACCTGTTTCTCCAGTGTGTCATGAGACTAGAGGAGGCTTCCTGTGAGCTGCTTTGGTCACGTGTCTAGGAGGAATATGGTGTTATGACGGCCAGCATGGGTCCCCTGCATGCTTCTATGGACCATTGAGTAGGGAGGTGACACAGTGAAATTCACAGTCCTGGCAGAGGCACTGTTACCAGAAAAGGGATCGGATCCCAACCCTAAGAGAGGGTTCTTGGATCTTGCACACAAAGGAATTCAAGGTGAGTTGTGGAGTACAGTGAGAAGAGATGGTTTATTAAAAACTATTCCATTACAGAGGAGGTCATCCATGGAAAGAAAGAAGAGGAATGCACCATCTTTGTCTGAAGGTTTCCTTATGTAGGAGTCTTGTCTATGTAAAGACTAAACTAAGCTGTCCTATATGTGGATGGGCAGGCAGCATGACAAAATTTAGTAGTTTATTAATGTAAAGAAAACTATCCTTGACATTCTAGTGTGTAAGTACATCAAAGTGTTACCGTAATTATCTTGAAAGCGTATATCGTTATGGGTATTGGGACATCTGGGTTTTCTGTTGTTGGAGGGGTTTGTCCTTGTAGGCATTAGCAAGCTGCTTCCTTAGCTGTAAACATCTAAGGACCATGGGTGGTGACTGACCAGGAATGTGCCTTGGCGAGTTTCAAGATGGAAGGCCAGGTGCGGTGGCTCACACCTGCAATCCCAGCACTTTGGGAAGCCAAGGCAGGTGGATCACCTGAGGTCAGGAGTTCAAGACCAGCCTGGCCAACGTGGTGAAACCCCGTCTCTTCTAACAATACCAAAATTAGCCGAATGTGGTGGCGGGTGCCTGTAATCCCAGCTACCTGGGAGGCTGAGGTAGGAGAATAGCTTGAACCCGGGAGGCGGAGGTTGCAGTGAGCCGAGATCATGCTATTGCACTCCAGTCTGGGCAACAGGAGCAAAACTCCATCTCAAAAAAAAACAAAAAAAAAAAAGGGTACAAGATGGAGCTGAACTTAAAATGGTGTCACTCTGACTCTCCTGGGCTCCTGCTTCCATAACAGCACCAAAGCAGAGAATCAGGGGCAGGAGGCTTTTCGGCAAATCAAACCACAGATATCCCCTTCCCTAGCACCTCTGCAGGCCGCAGCAGCTGCTCTGTGGAGAGAAGTGAGTTGAGCACTGAGGATCTGCAGGTAAGGAGCTGAAGACACTTCCCTGCCATTCGGGGTTTTGCGTCCTATAAGAAGAGATAGACATAAAGAGTTAAACAGTGGGTTTGAGGCTATTTTGTTTGTTTGCTTTTTTGAGACAGAGTCTTACTCTGTCGCCCAGGCTGGAGTGCAGTTGTGTGATCTTGGCTCACTGCAACCTCTGCCTCCCGGATTCAAGTGATTCAGGCACGACCCACCATGCCTGGCTAAATTTTTTTTTTTTTTGTATCTTTAGTAGAGACAGAGTTTCACCATGTTGGCTAGGCTGGTCTAGAACTCCTGTCTTCACGTGACCCGCCTGCCTCGGCCTCCCGAAGTGCTGGGATTATAGTCTTGAGACAATATGTCGGCCCAAAGGCTATTTTAAAAGACTCCATGAGCAAAAAGACGCAAGGAAGAGAAACCGGGTGAGCTGGGAGGTTTGCTCAAAGAGCAATGTGACTCCTTGGCACCTGCAGGGTGAATGGAGGTTTGAGAGGTGAAGAAAATAGGTACATTGTTCAGGGTGGGGATGCTGTGCTGTGGTGACAAGTAATAAACTCTTAGATGCTTGGCACAAAAAAGAATGGATCCGCTTATATCATACCTCTAAGTAGTTTGTGGGTAAAGGCAGTGGACAGTCCTCTATGCAGCTATTCAGGGACTGGGGCTCCTTCTGTCCTCCTGGGATGGAGCTAGTCTCAACACACAGCCTCCAGGGTTGCCATGGAAGGGGCAGAGGGAGGAGGATGGACGTGGAGCTTTGTTGTAAGGCAGGCCATGAAAGACTCATATTATTTCTGTCCTGTTGGTCAAAGGTGATCACAAGGCCCCACTTGGATGCCCTGAGTGTGAAATGTGTTCTTCCTGTGGACCCAGTGGCGGGGACGGTAGAATTTAGACATGTGCTGAGCACTTGGCATTAGGTCTGAAAAAGTCAGGAAGAGCATTTCAAGCATAGGAACAAATGAGGCAAAGACTCAGAGGCACAAAAGAGCCAGATGTGTAGGTGGAACCCTGCTGTGCTGATGTGGCAGATGGTAATTGTTGAATGAGAAAAAAGGAAGACGGACTGGAGGAGGAGGAGGGTGCAGGAAGGTAACAGACCCTGCGGGCTTTTCCTCTAGGCAGTAAGTAGTTGGCAACGGAAGTGTTGGAGCAGAGGAAGGAGTGGCTTGTTTTGATCTAAGGATGAGAATTCTGGCGGCAAGGTATGAAGGAGAAGGTTGGAAGTGGCGAGCTTTTTAGGAGCCTAACACAGAAGTTCTTGTAAAGGAAAAGGGTGTCTGGATTTGGGGTATAAATCCAGGGACCATGGGGTGAACATGAGCAGATGGCTGTGAAAACTTTCAGTTCGGGAGACAAATTGGATGCTGGAATGTTCCAGGAAAGGGTCACTGTGGAGTTACAGAAGAATGGATAAAATAATGTGCCCTAGTCCTTCATCCCCAAGAAGTACCAAGAAAAAAAAATAGCAGGAAGATACTCAGAGGTGATGCTGATTAGCGGCTATAGCCATTGACCCAAGATGAAAGGACGAGTTTGATCTTCTCAGGTTGCTGGTATCTTGGCGCTCCTGCATCCGCTTCTAACTCGCGGAGATAGTTCATCATTTCCCACGGCTTAAAGTACAGTCTTCATACTGCCGACTCCTGAATGTCTGTGTTTGGCTCAGGTCTCTCCCATGAGCTCCAAACAGGTGTTTGCAGCTGCCTAGTAGAAAATTCCACTTGGATGCCTCCCAAGTAGCATCAACTCAATCTGTCACAAACTTATCTCAGAGACTTTCCTTTTAAACCCAGGCTCACCTTCCTGGAGAAATATCCCCCCCGCTTCCCAGTTGCTTATGCCAAAAACTGGAGAGCGTTTTTCATACGAACCTCCCCTTAAAGCTCATATTCAATTACTCAACACGATCAATATTTCCTTCCCAAATCTTTTCTTCCACGGTTCTTCTCTCCATCACCACTGCCAACACCTTACTCTAAGCCACCCTGACTCCTCACTGCAGCAACCAACTCTCGGGCCACTTCACCTCTGGGTCTCCTTAAGGTATTTTCTATAATACAGCCAGGAAGATCTTTTTAAAAATGGAATTCAACAATTCAAATCATGCTATTCTTGTCTTATAATCCCTTAAGAGCTTCCCTTTATTCCTCAGTTAAATCTCAGATTTGTAGCCTGCCCTGGAATGTCCTGTCTGACCTGGCCACGCTAAATTTTCCTCCATTTCGCTCCATGATTTCCTCTGGATGCGGCGCCAGCAATTAGCTGACCTTCCTTCCTTTCCCAAATGGGCCAGGTCCTTCCAGCCTTATATCCCTCGCATAGGCCAGTTCAACCGATGGCTTGGAACACTCTTCACCTCCCACCCAGGGCTCCCTGGCAGCGTCGCCACCTTCAGAGGGCTGTCTCTGACTGTCCAGACCAAGACAACACCTGGAATGCTCTTCCTTCCTTAGCATGTCCTACTTAAGGACAACTGCAATTAAAAGTACAGGTCAAAGTTGTGAGGGAAGTCTTTCTGTTGAGGGTCAATGCAGTAAGGACAGGGATTAGAAATAAGTTTTGCTGTCATTAAACTCTCTATTTGAAAACTATGATTGCACATAAACGTGTTTAGTAAATGTTTGCATTTTATATTTTCGGACTTAAAGCAGGACTATATAGAGGTATCATCTTGGTTAGAAAATTGGTTCCATGAACTTCCCAGTATACCCAAGACCGTATTTCAAAATTGGAATCTTCAGCACATCATGAGTTTTCAGCCTTTGGGGCTCAAGGGAGGCAGCAGAGCCAGGGCATGAGAACCTGGAGTCAGGCCAGATGGCCTCATTCCAAATCCCTGCTCTGCCAACTGTGTGACCTGAAGAAAATGTCTTAACCTCTCTGTGCCTCATTTATTTTGTATGTAAATTGGGGGAATAATAGTATTTATACCATAGGTTGGCTGCAAGAAGGAAATAAAATAATTGATGTAAAATATTTAGAACTGTACTTGACATATACTAATTGGTTATTCTGCGTTGTTAGTGTTGTAATAACGATTAGAACTAGTAATCTTCTATTATTGTAATCCTCATTTTGGCTATGTTATTTAACACCATATATATGTCATCAAGATACATAAATAACAAAACATGAGGCAGAAGGAGGTTGCATGCAATTAAAGGGCTACAAGGGTCTAACATTTTCTTGGAGCTGTTAAGGTATTAATTTAAATTTGACTCTAAGAAGTAAATAATGAAATTAAATTAAAAGTATAGGGAAAAAGCTAGAGAGGGGAAAGAAGAATGATGAAATATATTTAATTCAAAAGACGTCAAGAGACTAGTTAAAAAGGAAATAGAATGTGTGGAAAAAATAAAAAAAAAGTAGACACAAAATCAAACATGTCAGCAATTACTTTTAATGTAGAAGAACTAAAAGCAGCAATCAAAATGCCAACATTATCAGGCTGGATAAAAACCAAAACAAAGTAAAACCTAAATGTATAATCTTTACAAAAAAACACACATTAAATATGAAACGTTAAAGGTAAAATGATGGGGTAAGTTACCTCTCTCACAATAGTAACTGAGAAAGCTGGTAGAGCAGAACACAGACGAAGTAGGGTTTAGGGCAAGAACATTTATTAGGAATACAAAGGGATTGTTTCCATAATGGTGAAAGAGTTAACCCACAAGGCTGTGGTAAAAATATTCAATTGCTAGTGTCTAATAATATAGTTTCGCAAAAATAAAGCAACATTCACCAATAAAAGGATCAAATACATAAGGCAGAAGTCATAGTGGAAGATTTAACATAGTTATTTCAATAATGAATAAATAAGTGAACAAATAAGAATACAGAGGATTTCAACAAGGTCAACACATTTGGCCTGAGTGGGATACACAGAAGGCTGCCTGTAGCAATGACGTACTCACAGTTTTCGAGTGTACCCGGCTCGTCTACAAACACTGACTTCAGCTGGGACAGAAAGCAAGTCCAGAATTTCTCAAAGAATTGACATAATTTTGAGTATGGACAGGAAGGTGACCAGGAAATGCTAAATATTTGGGATGTAAGCAATGCACTTCTAAATAGCCATGAATAAAAGAAAAACATGACATTGACAATGAAACAGAAATATGTTGAATTAAATAGTAATACAAATACAAGGTACAAATGCGTGGAATGCAGCTAATTCTGTGCTTAGAAAGAGACGTATGCCCATCCATCTGGATCCATATCTAGATACATGCCTATATCTAGATATTTATGCTTAGATATTCATGTCTATATTTAGCTATAGAAATAGATACTTGAAACAACTGTTTAGACGTCTAAATAGAGATATATATATGTAGATACAGAAGATTTGAATATGATTAACAAACAATCTAAATGACACATAGAGAACACTCCATACAAAAAAAGACCAGAATTCAGTTTTGCATTTACCTACATACCTATCTAGTCATCTGAATATGAATATTTAAAAATCAAAGGAAAAGAACAACAAATTAATACCAAATAAAGTAGGAAGGAGCAACTAACAATAAGAAGATAAAAGTTATGAAATTAAAATTTAAAAATACAAATATGCAAAGAAAATCAATGAAAGCAAAGCTAATATCCCCAAAATAAGATAATCATTAAACTCTTAGCAAAACTAAAGAATAAAGGTGAGAAGGCACAAATTGCTAATTTTGGAAAAGAAAAAGGTATAATCACTGTAGATCCAATAGATATCAAAAAGGCACAGGGAAAATTATAAACAACTTTTTAAAATTGATATGAAAATTTAGATGAAACAAACACTTCTACAAAACATAAAACTTACTAAAACTGACTACAAAGAAATAGAATATTTTAATATTTATGTATCTATTAAATTATTTAAACTAATTTTTTTAAGACAAAGTTTTTTTTTGTTCTTGTTTCCCAGGCTGGAGTGCAGTGGCGTGATCTTGGCTCACTGCAGCCTCTGCCTCCCCCACTCAAGCAATTCTCCTGCCTCCGCCTCCTGAGTAGCTGGGATTACAGGCACCTGCCACCATGCCTGGCTAATTTTTTTTTTTTTTGTATTTTTAGTAGATACGGGGTTTTACCATGTTGGCCAGGCTGGTCTCGAACTCCTGGCCTTAGGTGATCCACCTGCCTCGGCCTCCCAAAGTGCTGAGATTACAGGCATGAGCCTCCACACCCAGCCTATTTAAGCTATTTTTTTTCAAATCTCTATGAACTCAAAGTTTTACTTATAAAATGGACCAAATATAAGGAAGAAATAACAGAAAACTTTTGCAACATCATCTTGGGAACATAAGAAAACACCATCAAACTAGTTAATAAGGTCAACATAAACATGTTTCCAAAACCTGACAAGAGCTTTACAAGAATGGGAAATTACAGGCAAATTTCTCAAACTTAGATGAAAAATTTTAAGCAAAATATTAGTAACCCAAATATAGCAAAATCTAAATAGTACAATATAACATGAAGTTGGATTTTTCCATCAGTGCAACCTTGGTTTGCTATTCAGAAGTCAACTAATGTAGTTCACCACAGTGATAGAATAAAGAGAATATCATGTTTGATCATCTTGATCGATGCAGTGAAAACATTGGATAAATTCTATACTCACTAAAAGTATGAAGTAGAAAGCTATGGTTCAAAGAAAACATTTGAAAGCAAATACATTGACTCCACCTAAAGTGTACACCAATACTTCTGCTTCCTGTGGATGGAATATCAAGCATTAGACCTAATTTCTCACTATAAAAGTAAGTAGAAATTTGAAAACTTAACATTTGAAACAACTCTTTCCAAATATTGAACAACAGGCAGCCCAGGACTGTGATTCCAAAGATAAGAGAAGTAAAGGCTTGTCTCGCATGTGCCATATTTCTTCCCGAAGACAATTTCTGCTATGTGGATGTCGTAATGAGAAATGCAAAAGAGTCTGGGAGTGTCAGAATTAAGTCAGTAAAAGGCTGAGGCATCTAAACTTTGCAGAGAAGTGCTATAGAAAAAAGCAGAAAAAGTGCCCAGGAGTCTATATGGGAGTCACCGTGGGTCTTGGCTGAGTATCAGTCATGCATGCATAGAGTGCAACTTCATAGAGCCAGGCAAAGGATCCCCGAGGACCTATTAGTTTAACATTTCTGAGAACCCACATCCGAGAGGAAGATATTCAAGTTCCAACCAGCTAGAAGGGAGGGCCTCAGAGGTTACCTGGGGTAGTCAGTGGAAGGCTCTGTGGAGCTACACCTTAGCAGTCAGGTGGAACTATCCCCATACTGAAGGTTCCTCTCCACCTTCCCCAGCAAAGCCTAAAATGGAACCGGAATGGATCAGACTGGATAGCAGATAACTTGATTTTCTGCAAAGTAGAGTAGGCCCAACATTCTCGGAAGGAAAACAACACACACATCACCATGTCAGGCATTCAACCAAACGACTAAACATCCCCCAAAGCCAGAAAATGTGACACGCAATCAAGGAAAGAGTCAATAAATCAATCCCAGGCACTACAAAAGTGATTGAAAAGTTGAAAAGAAGCACATTAAAACACCTACCATAAACATACCCAGTTATTTTTAAAAAAGGGATATATAAAAATGAAACAAATCTTCTAAACATTAAACATGTATCTGATATGAGTCTTTCAGTGGATCGGATTAACAATGGGTTTGAGACTACAGTAGAAAATATCAGTGAACTTGAAGACAGACATAGAATGTATGCAAAATGGAGTAATGAGAGGAAAAAAAGAAAGAAAATGAGCCTAATTGAGCTAGGGGCAATATTAAGCCATTTAACCTACGCAAATTTGTACTGGAGAAGGGGCAGAAGTTCAAAAATAAATTTGAGGTAAAAAGGGCCAAAAATTGGTTAAGTTTGATGAAAATGATAAACTTTCAGATGAAAGAAGGTCAATGGACCCCACACATGAAAAATACAAGTGTGCATGCATACACACATACACACCAAGACATATCATAATAAAACTGTTGAAAAAAACAGTTATAATGAGAAATAGCTTAAAAGCAATGACACAAAAGGCCAATAAAATATAGAGCAATAAAGATAAGAAAATCACAGATTTCTCATGAAACTGCAAGCTAGAAGACAATGGAACAACAGATTTAATATGCAGGAAGAACAATGTAATCTAGAATACAATCTACATGCAGTGAAAATGCCCTTTAAAATGAAGGCAAAACAAAGACTTTGTCCAAGAAAGAAAAGCCGAAAGCATTAATAATCTCCAGCAGACCCACACTACCAGCATTTTATTGAAAGTTCTTTAGAAGGAAGGAAACTGATACTAGAATTTGACACAAAGAAATAAAGAGCAACAAAATGGTAAATGTGCCCTAAATTTGAAGTATTTTTTCATTGTATTAAATTTTATTAACAAGATTATTGGCTTTTTTTTTCTTTTTTTCTTTTTTGAGATGGAGTCTTGCTCTGTTGCCCAGGCTGGAGTGCAATGGCGTGATCTCGGCTCACTACAACCTCCACCTCCCGGGTTCAAGTGAGTCTCCTGCCTCAGCCTCCCGAGTAGCTGAGATTACAGGTGCGCACCACCTTGCCCAACTAATTTTTGTATTTTTAGTAGAGACGGGGTTTCACCAGGTTGTCCAGGCTGGTCTTGAACTCCTGACCTCAGGTATTCCACCTGCGTCTGCCTCCGAAAGTGCTGGGATTATAGGCATGAACCACTGTGCCCGGCTGATTATTGGCTTTTTAAAGCAAAAATGTGGGGTTTGTAACATATGGAAGTAAAATGTATGACAGAAATAGCATAAGGTGGTGTCTTCGTAAGTATGTTTACATAAATGTGCAAGTATTCATTAAAGGGCATATTTTGATCATGACTTTTCTGTATGCTGTACATAAAAAACTTTGCCTAAAACCAAAAAGAAAAGGATACTGCAGTAGATTGTCTTACTATTTAACAATATGCATCCTAACGTTCTCACCTCTCTGGGAGGAATTTACTTTATCGATATATTCATGGTGGATTTGGCCATATGATTTCCTTTGGCAAGTGGAATGTGAGAAAACATGACAATATGCCAGCTCCAAACAGTGGCTTTATAATGTAATTCAAGCTCATTCCACATCTCTTGAGCTCCTCTCTCTACCATGAGAGCAGCAATATACAGGTTAAACCTTCCGTCTGCACCCTGGACTCTAGGGAAGACCTGAAACTGACACCAACCTAGAGATGATCAGTCAGAGCATATGCACAGGCCCAAGAGTGAAAAATGATTATAGTTTTAAGTCATTGAGCTTTTGCAATTGTTCATTATGAAGTATTGTTGAAGAAAAAGCTGACTGATACAGAATTTAGAATAAAGAAGTGGAGTGCTCTTGTAACAGAAACCTAAAATACACTGTTTCTTGGTATTGTTTTGCAGACAGGGCAGCAGGTAGCATGGGAACCATAAAATGAATCTGAAAAATTACAACCTATATTGTGCAGTAGTAAAATATTTGGCAAAGTACTAGCCTGTAGTAATTTATAAGGAAAAAAAAATGAGGCTAGGGGCTGTGGCTCACGCCTGTAATCCCAGCACTTTGAGAGGCCGAGGTGGGTGGATCATGAGCTCAAGAGATCGAGACCATCCCGGCTAACATGGTGAAACCCTGTCTCTACTAAAAATACAAAAAATTAGCCGGGCATGGTGGCGGGCGCCTGTAGTCCCAGCTATTGGGGAGGCTGAGGCAGGAGAATTGCTTGAACCCAGGAGGCGGAGCTTGCAGTGAGCCGAGATGGCGCCACTGCACTCCAGCCTGGGCGACAGAGTGAGACTCCATCTCAAAAAGAAAAAAAAAAGAAAAAAAGAGAGAAAAAAAAACCTAATGAATTTGTGACTCTGGGCAAAGATATTTCAGGACCGACCATACTAGTGCCAGTTAAGCATTATTAGTTGCATTTCACAGGGCTCTACTAGGAAGTCATAAGTTAAGAAAACAACTGGCCATTTTACAAGCAGAAAAGAAAGAGAATAGAGAAATCTGAGATGTTCTTGGACTTGGCAAGTTTAGAGAATGGGTTTGTTTCTAAACACATCAGGAGTGGTCAGTCATTAAGGCCACGAATCTCCTATCTTGTTAAGATACTTGATTGGGTAAAAGTGGTTCCTGGTGAGTCCTTTCAGTTAGAATAAATGTCTCAAGAGTGTGGTTCCTGAGATGCCAGATAAGTTCAAAGTACCTCCTGTAAGATTTGAGGTGTAAAATGACCTTTGAGACCCACATTTCTAAAGGCAGAAAGGAGGAGAATGCTGTTTAGCCAACCCCAGGGCATAGTTTCCAAAGCCTTCTTCAGGGATAGTTTTCAAACGCCTTCTTCAGACATGGCCTAGAAAGATAAGGATAACAGGGCTGGGCACAGTGGCTCACGCCTGTAATCCCAGCATTTTGGGAGGCCGAGGCGGGAGGATCACGAGGTCAGGAGATTGAGATCATCCTGGCTAACGTGGTGAAACCCTGTCTCTACTAAAAATACAAAAAATTAGCCGGGCGTGGTGGCGGGCACCTGTAGTCCCAACTACTCAGGAGGCTGAGGCAGGAGAATGGGGTGAACCCGGGAGGTGGAGTTTGCAGTGAGCTGAGATCACGTCACTGCACTCCAGCCTGGGCAACAGAGCAAGACTCTGTCTCAAAAAAAAAAAAAAAAATAGAAAAAGAAAAAAAAAAAAGAAAGATAAGGGTAACAGAAGGAACTCTTTGAAGGAGAAGCCAAGAGCGATGGAGAACAATGGAATAGAACCTCAGCCTAACCCACCAACATTCTTTACCTGACAATAGGGAACTGTGGAACACCAGCCACCTGGATTTCGGAATTGCTATGGGCCAGTGACTGCAGGGTCCTCCCTATTCTTCCCCATTCCAATAGAAATGTTCAAGGCAGTTGTCCTGCTCTATGCCACCATTATTTTTCAGCTCTGTGAGAGGAACATATCTTTGAAAAAAATTCCTAGGTCTCCAGACCAAGAGAAGTCCCACTGAGACCTGATGAAAAAATTGTAACATTTGAGCTTTCAATTGCCGCACCTGGATTGGATGATTCTTTTGAAGTGTTAGGGAGAAAGGAAAATGCATACTTGTGACTGTTCAGAAAATATGCACTCTCTTTTCCCAGCACTCTGCTCCACTCCCCTGCCCCAGAAGGGTGTACTTTCCTGCATCATTGATATTGGACTTGGTAATTTGATTTATTTTGGCCAGTAGAATGTGGGGAAATATGACAGCATGGCAGTTCCAAAACAAGGTTCTAAGAGACTTTACAAGTCTCCAGTATATATTTTGTATTCTACCATACACCGCAAGAATATCACAGCACAGACCGTGTCTGATTCTTCAGCTTGAGTCCTAGAATCAAAAGCCACGTGGAGCTTGCCTGAACTTCACCTCTGCCTGGAGCTGAGAAGTTCATGTGAAATAAATGTTTGTTGTTTCAAGCTACTGAGATTCAGGAGGGTCAGTTGTTAAGCAACATTACTGCAAGAAAATCTGAGTAGTTCTTCCTTATCTATGGGAATATGTTGCAAGACTCCCAGTGGATGCCTGAAACTGCAGATAATACAGACTCTACATATACTATGTTTTTTTCCTATACATGTATGCTTATGATAAAGTTTAATTTATAGATTAGGCACAATAAGAAATTAACAATAAAATAGATCAGTTATAGTGATCTACTGTAATGAAAGTTGTATGAATGTGGTCTCTCTCGAAATCTCTTACTGTACTACACCCTCTTTTTCTTGTGATGAGGTGAGATATAAAATGCCTGTGTGGTTAGAGAAAGCGAGTGAATGATGAAGGCATTGTGACACCGTGTTAGGCTACTGTTGACCTTCTGATGTCGGGAGGATCATCTGCTTCAGGTGATCCTGGATCATTGAGCCGAGACAATATCCATGGTTGGATGGTAGCAGCAGACAATGTCAATGACTGACTGGTGGGTAGCATGAACAAGCTGGACAGAGGGGTAATTCACGTCCCAGGAGGCATAAAGTGGGACAGTGCGAGATTCCACCACGCTACTCAGAACAGTGCACAATTTAAAACTTACGAAGTGTTTATTTCTGAAATTTTCCATGTGATATTTTTGGGCCATGGTAACTGAACTGTGGATAAGGGGTGACTGCAATAGTACAGGTAAACAACAAATGGTGCTGATGAGAATAGCTAGTCGAAAGAAATAATCCTGGCTCAACACTGTGCAGCAAAACATACACACGTGTTAAAAATGGAGCATGTTTAAAGCAAACAGAAATGCGAGTAAAATATGGATGCAAATAACCAGCTGATATCAGAGTATAAAAGGCATTTGAAAGGAATAAATTATTTCAAGAAATCAAGGAGAAAATTAAAATAGGTTAGCCTCAAAATATTTAACCTTCTGAATAATTGAAAAATATTAATGAAATTAAAATTCACAAATCATGGAAATGTTTCTGAAATAAGTATCATCTAACCCATGCTTTAGGGAACATGAGAACGGAAGAGGTAAAATCACTTTCAGGTCTGTATGCAGAGGGTAGGTAGAACCTAAAACTGAGGTCCATGCTCTGTCAGCAGACATCAGGATAATTATTAATAGAAGCAAAACACCTAGTACCTAGAGACTAGTCCTCATCCCTGTGGCTCACGACAAAGGTTCCTTTAGGTTCCTGATGTACTAGGCACTCAACTGTCTTTTTGACAGGGAACCAGAGTTATCATATATTAAATTCCACATATGCAATTGACTGCCCAGCACAAATTACACCTTTCAGAAATGTCATTCTGTTGAATAGTGAAAAGCTATTCCCAGGGTGGAAAACATTGAGATTTGTTATTACAGACAGGGATTGGAAAACAAAATATTGTGAAATTAAGTGTGTCAGATTGTTTAAGCACAACAAAGATGATACCAGAAATCTCATTCATTGTCATTCAAATCTCCATTTTCAATGGAGTCTAGAGAAGAGCAAATAGCTAGGTACAAACTCCAGTTACCCCAGACTGAACTAAATAACATATCCTGAACAATGAGCCCATGGGAGGTATTTGTGAAATACTTGAGAACCTTTCTTATTGTGTTTGGTAACTTTGAAAAGCAGATGATACAGCAAGCACCACTTTACTTTCTCTACATTAACTTAGAGATTTTCTCCCATGGGCTTGAAGAATGAGACCCTCTGTGCAATCTGGCCAGGGCCCTGGAAATTAGCATCTACTGTAGATGACCCATGGGCCAAGGCACGTGGGAGCCCATAGGATGGAGGGAAATGAGAAGGTGAGGCAGAGATTCTGCCTCCTGGTGTTCATGCCGTTGTATAATCCCTTCCTCTTCAATGAGGCAAATACAATGTACCAGCAAATAGAATATGGCAAAAGCCATGGAGTGTCCCTCCCACCATTCTAACATGGGTATGCAAATCTCCGTCTTATCCTTAGACCACACGCTTTCTTTGCTGGCTAGATGACCTTAGCAACCTTACCGGGGAAACCCATGTGGCAAGGAGCTGCAGGTGGTTTCTAGGAGCTGCAGGTGGTCTCTAGGAGCTGCAGGTGGTCTCTATAGGAGCTGCAGGTGGTCTCTAGGAGCTGTGGGTATTCTTGAGGAGCTGCAGGTGGTTTCTAGGAGCTGCAGGTGGTCTCTAGGAGCTGTGGGTATCCTTGAGAAGCTGTAGGTGGTCTTTAGGAGCTGCAGGTGGTTTCTAGCAGCTGCGGTGGCCTCTGGGAGCTGTGGGTGGCTCCAGGAGCTGCAGGTGGTCTCTAGGAGCTGCTTGGGGGCCTCCAGGAGTTGCGGGGGGCCTCCAGGAGTTGCAGGTGGCCTCCAGCTTACAGCAAGCAAGAAGTCAGACTGCAGTCCTACAGTCACAAGAAACGGATCCTGCCAGTGTTCTGAGGGAGGTTGAAAGCAGATTCTTCACTATCCCGGCCTCCAGGTAAGCCCCAGCTCTGACTGATACATTGGTTGGTTGCAGAGTTATGAGACCCTAAGCAGTCATGGCCCAGTTCAGCCACTCCCGGACTCCTGACCCAGGGAACCTGTCAGATGGTGAGTGTGTGCTGTTGAACCCATCAAGGTCGTGGTGGTGACGATGTAGCAGCAGATGGTTAATACAAAAGGGAAGAGAAGCAGGAGACCCGGCAAGAAAGGAAAGGGTGGGGCAGGGCAGACCAATCTCCTTTTTTGCATTAAAATTAAAAGGCCTGTGACTTAATTTTACTGTGAGTGAGATGAGGATTTTGAGCAGAGGAGTGATACGATCTGATCTCTATGTATTAAGAAACACTGTGGCTCTGTGACAGGGACCTGGCTGAGTTACTGGGGAAAGAAATGCTGGGATTCTGGATCTACTGTGAAGGGAGGGTGAAGGGTATTTGGATGATGCCTTGGTTGTGGGATGTGAATAATAGGAAAGTTGCAGTTGACTCCAGGTTTTTCAGTGTGAGCCACTGGATGAATGGATGGGTTGCCTTCTACTGCTGTGGTGAGGCGGTTTTGAGGGATGGGAGCTGACAGCCCTATGTGGGGCATAAATGGCCATCCCAGTGGAGATGACAGCCAGGCAGACCCACTGTCAGGACTCTGCAGTTCCAAGGGGAGGTCTGGGCTGCAGACGCTCTGGGGTTCCCGAAGTAGAAACGTCGCATAAAGGCAAGGTACAGTCAGTACTTGGGGAAGTGTAGCTATGAGCATGCAAGTTGATCCTGAGCTCCTTGGAGGACGGTGGAACATGCTGACACCACAAACAGAGTTGAAAAATAGGGGTCTCATGTGCATCCCTTTTGTCCTGCTTGGTTTCGGTGTGGGTGGAAGTGTGCTCTCCATGGACCGCAATCCTTGAAAATTCTGGCTTCAGTTTTGCTCACCAGATATCACCCCTCTCCTCACCATGCCTGTCTTCCCAGGAGCACTATTTCAATGAGAAGCTGGGAGCTCAGAAGCTGAGCGGGGGATGTATCACTCTTAGGTGAAAGAAGGGGGAAGAAAAACCAGAAAAGGTCCTCTTTGCCCCAAGTGCTTTGCATGCATTAAATCTAAGGAGACAGGTGTCTTTAAATCTGGATTCTTAAATCAATCACTTGCTGCCAACATGCTTCCGTGTTCAAAGTCAGTTACCATGCGATGCTTCTGAAAATAGACCTGTGCTGACCAATCATGACTCTTATATAAGATTTAGTACTGACTTAAGCCTGCACCAGCCAGGAATGTGATGTGACAAGCTGGATGGGAGCAACTCCTGGTGATGGATTTCCAGCCAAATGAGAGGTGACTCTCTGGGTACACGGAGAGCACACCTCAGCAGGCAGGGCCTGGCTCTGGGGAGAGTTGGTGGCATGGATGCACAGAGCTTCATGGGGCTCTCATGAGTCCTCCTGAGCAGGCACCAGGAAGCCTGTTAGTCGCCTCACAGCTTCGATGTGGGCTGTGGCCAGTCAGAAGCAAGGCCAGCAGCAATGAACCAGGAGAGAGCAGAAAGCCCCTACCGGAGTCCAGCTTGGTGGGTCCATTGGCCCCAACAAATGGCTCTCCCCAGCCACATCCTGTCCAGGACTATGCCAGGGTCGTAGGTTGATTCCCTCCTTCAGGGCCATGGGAACATGGACAGGATCAGGAAGGAAGTTAGTCCCATGCTCCTTGCTGACCAGAGGAAGAGACATAGAACATTCTCCAACCCAAATGTGGGAGGAAGCCTGAGTGGGGCACCCTCACAGCCTCTGCAGGTAGCACCTTGGCCAACCTCCTTCTGCAGAGACTTCCCTGTCCTTGTGCCAGGCTTGACACTGACCAAGGCAGGTGGGGCAGAACCACCCCAGGCCATGCTGCAAAATTCTACACCAAACGTCCCAGTCCTGTTGGGTCAGCCAGCCCTGAGTTCTTAGCCCCGACCACTGCACCTCCCCCGCAGTGCCCCTCAGGTCCTCTGCCAGCAGGTGCCAGCAGGATGTCTCAAGTGCAGCTCAGATCACTGTGCTCTGCCTAATATCCCCACTTCTCCTGTGTTGGGTCCTGAATGCCTTGCCTTCTCCTTGGGCAGAACACTGATCCATTCCTGCTCACCTTGGAGGCCTCAACATGCACAGCTTCAACTTCAACATCTTCATTTTCATCTTCTTCTTCTTCATCTTTATCTTCATCTTCATTTTCATCTTTATTTTCATCTTCTTCATCTTCATCTTAATCATCTTCTTCTTCTTCATCTTCATCTTCATTTTCATCACCTTCATCATCTTCATGGTCCACATCCAGCCACCTGGTTTACCAGAGAGTGTCCCCGAATGAGTCCTGCCCTCTCCTGCTTTCTGTAATTACTGAATGACCCCAAGTGGGTTGGTTGATGTCTCTGGGCCTGAGTTACCTCTTTTTACTGCCGGGATGATTGATAGTGTGTAACTTCCAGGGTTGTTTTATGATATGAATTAGAAATAATGACTGTAGGGCTGGGTGCGGTGGCTCACGCCTGTAATCCCAGCGCTTTGGGAGGCCAAGGCGGGCAGATCAACTGAGGTCAGGAGTTCGAGACCAGCCTGACCAACATGGAGAAACCTTGTCTCTACTAAAAATACAAAAAAATTAGCCAGGCGTGGTGGTGCATGCCTGTAATCCCAGCTACTCGGGAGGCTGAGGCAGGAGAATCGCTTGAACCTGGGAGGCAGAGGTTGTGATGAGCCAAGATCGTGCCATTGCACTCCAGCCTGGGCAACAGGAGCAAAACTCAGTCTCAAAAAAAAAAAAAAAAAAAAAGAAATAACGACTGTAAATACTGCTTAGCCTAGTGCTTGGCGTACAGTAGGAACTCAATGAAAGGGGGTCATTACTATTGGCTGCTCAGCCCCCCTCTCTGCTGTATGTGGCTGCCTCTTTATTTGTACTTTAGTACTTGGCTTAGAGAAATCCTCCTGCAGGGAGGCTTCTCTGATTTCATGAGACTGAGGTGGGCTTCTCCCATGGCCTCCCACAGCCTTTGCGCCTCTCTCTTGTGCAGTCCAGGTGACATGGTGTCGTGATTGTTCACTAATGGATCAGTCTTCTCACCACAGGGGGCTGGAGGGCAGGGGCCATTACTTTTAAGACTCTGTGCAACACGCTGATCAGTCACAAAATGCATGTTTGTTGAATGAATGAAAGAAATACAGCCAGCTGTCCCTGCTCGATGAGTTGCTCCTTGGTTGACCTTTCCCCTATGACACGACCTCTGAGGATTTATGCCGATCTCCAGACGTACAGGATGGTTCACCTGGTTTCTGCTGTAGCAAACATGCTGCTAGCTGGAGTTTGTTTACGGAGAGACTGTCTTAGAAGGGGAGTCTCTGAGTGGACACAGCTGAATTGTGGACCTCATTTGGGTGTTTCCTTCATTCATTCATCGATCCTCTACAGAACATAAAATTTGAGTCAGTGTGGTGCCCAGCACAAAGTGAGTATTCAACGGGTTTTGACTCGGTCCAATTCATTCCTGCTTTTATAATTTTCTTTTTTTTGAAGGTGGAGAGGCGGGAAGGTCCCCAGTGTGTTCATGGGAACGCAGGGCATGCCTCACTGCCTTTGGACTTGCCGCTCCCTGGGTTGGGAGGGAGACCTCTCTGACAGATGCCCACCTTATGTTCTCAGCGACATTTCCCTCACCATTCCCTCTACCCCTTTTTTTTAAAAAAAAAAAGAGACATAACTCATATACTGTAAAATTCACCATGTTACGGTGCAGAGTTGGGTGGGTTTCAGCGGATCCACAGGGCAGTGCAGCTGTCACTTCTCTCTATGTCTGGAACATTCCCATCACCCCAGAAAGGAACCCTGTTCTCTTAAGCAGCGTCTACCCATTTTCCCCTCCCCCATAATCCTGGCAACCACAAATCCACTTTCGGTCTCCATGGATTTGCCTCTCGTTGACATTTCACATAAGCGGGATCATTCTATAAGTGAGCTTTTGTGTCTGGCTTCTTCCACTCAGCATCGTGTTCTCAAGGTTCATCAGTTTGGACCAGGTGTCAGTGCTTCCTTCCTTTTTCTGGCTGAGCAATATTCCGTTGTGATTTAAGGGAACATGAATACACAGCATTTTCTTTATTTACTCCTCCATTGATGGACATTGGGTTGCTCCCACTTTTTGGCTCTTATGAATAATGCTGTTATCCCTATTTGTATTCACATTTTTATATGAACACAGGTGTCAGTATCTCTGTGCACATTGTAGTGTGACATCTGGTAACTTCGTGTTTGACATTTCCATGAAGTCTCCACCAAGGCTGCACCATTTTTCCATTCCCACCAACAGGGCGGGAGAGCTCCCGTGTCTTCACATTTTTGTCAATGGCTACTATTTTCTGGATTTATGTATTTACTTATTAATTGTAGTCCTCCTAACAGGCATGAAGTGGTGTCTCATTGTGGTTTTGATGTCCACTCCATCTTAACGGGTAAACTTGCTCTAACTCCTTACCCAAATCTCTAAACCATTTGTCACCCTCTGGATTTGTTCATCTGTCCATCCATCCATCTGCACACACATACACACTGTATACACATACACACTGCACACACATACTGTATACACATGCACACTGTGCCACATACACACTGTACACACATACACACTGTATACACATACATACTGTATACACATACACACTGTACACACATATACATAGTATATACATACACACTGTACACACATACACACTGTACACACATACACGCTGCAACACGTACTGTATACACATACACAATGCATACACACATACAGTGTATACACATACACACTGCACACATATATATACTGTATACACACACTGCACACACATACACACCGCACACACACACTGCACACACATACATGCCACACACACACTGTACACATATACACACCGTATCTGTGTGCATCAGGATACATCAGGAATGCATTTCTCTGGCCCCTCCTCTCCACTCAGGCCCCTCTGCACCTTGACCATCCCATGCCACATTTTTCCACTTTGCATTCCACATTCCAGCCCATCAGAACCACCAACAATTCCACACTTATGCCCCATTGAAGTCTGAAGATGCCCACCCTGTGCTTGGCTCATCATTACCCCCCACCAGCCTGCAAAGCTCCTGCTTCTCCTTGAAGAAACATCTGCTCTGGCCATGCCTTGACAAAGTGGGGACCTGACCACCAAGGAGGGAGGGGAGGAAGGAGGACAGCATTTATCCATCATCTGTGTCTGGCCCCATCCCAGGGGGATGGAGTGCGGGCAGGGTTGCAGTAGGAACCCTGATCACACCTTGGTCTTCAGGCTCTTGTGGGTGAAAGAGGCTGGCACGTACCCACTGAATCCAGGCAGGTGTTCGGGAGTGGGCAGGTACACTCAGCCTGAAATGATGGGTGTATTTTGCAGAAACCAAAAGGGATCCCTGTTGGGAAAAGCCTGAGGAAGGTCGGGAGAGGCATGGGGCGAGCTGCAGATGGTTGGAGGCTCTTGGGGAGAAGTTGTGGGCTGGTCAGGTTTGGGAGGGCAGGACATGAGGTTGGAAGACACGTGTCTTTGATCTCCCAAATGTGTGTTCTGAGCTCAGGCCCCACGCACATGGCTTCCCAGTTGACACATTCCTATTTCAACATGAATATTTTAATAAGGCAGAAACTTTCATTTTTCTCTCTTTTTAAAATCAAATCCATTTCTTGTGATTTATTGATTTTTTTTTAAAGTAAATCAATTTTTTCGTTTTCACAACTTATTACCAGATAGTGGGGTCTGGAACATACCGAGCAAGAATTCTGTTAAAAGTATTTAAAAGTATTTTCAAATCAAATCGATAAAACTACATGGATATGTTTTTTAATATTACAAAGAACAAATGTGGAAAAGTTAATCAAAACATGCTATTTGACACCAACACGTAGAACAGCACAGCTTTGATTTGAACAGATGTTCTAAACCATGAGGACTGTGCAAGAGAAACTTAAGAAAAATAAGCATAAGCCTCTCTGATACAAAAACAAGCAGACTCGGTTCTGGGTCTGGGTAAGTTGGGTTAAACACACTCTCCAAATGGCTACACCTAGAAAAGCTGGACAGAATACATGGAACAACTATTTAAAGACCCTGGAAAGCGAACAGCAGCAGGAGGAAAGAACTCCCAAATCCAACATTCCACCAGATTAATGCAGTTTACTCTGTCCCCTACCTGATCTCTTCAAGTCTGAACTCAATGCCCTAGAAACCCAGAAATGGACACCAAGGTGCAGGTAGAGAGAATTCCAGGAAAAACTCTTTCTTTATGGCCCAAGTAGCAGGAAAACAAACTCCCATCAGAAATCCCCATTTTCCTTTTTTTTTTTTTTTGATGGTGTCTCACTCTGTTGCCAGGCTGGAGTGCAGTGGTGCGATCTCGGCTCACTGCAGTCCTCAACTCCCTGGTTCAAGTGATTCTCCTGCCTCACCCTCCCCAGCAGCTGGGATTACAGGCATGAACCACTACGCCCAGCTAATTTTTGTATTTTTAGTAGAGATGAGGTTTCACCATGTTGGCCAGGATGGTCTCGATCTCCTCACCTCATGATCTGCCTGCCTTGGCCTCCCAAAGTGCTGGGATTACAGGCGTGAGCCATCATGGCAAGCCTAGAAATCCCCATTTTCTTTTCAATGTTTTCCTTCTGTTCTCTCTCACCACAACCCCTTAAGCAATCACGTGGAGATGGTGGCAGCAGAGAGTGATACGCGCCCACAGGTGCAGGGCAGTCATCCTCTCCGTCCTGCAGACCTGGTGTTCCAGGAGGCGAGGCTGCACCTCACACATCCTCCCCTGGGTGCTTCTGAGCTGCATGACCATGGACGAAGGGATGACTGCAGAAGTGCTCCACAGAACAGGGTAACTCACATCCCAAATTTCCAGCCAGAGGAACTTGGGAAAGGCTGTTTGCAGACTCCCGGGCTCACGGTTCCCCTGTACACACAAAGCTGTGCACACATGGGTGTTGCCTCATGGAGCATTTCAAACGTCATGAAGGTTAAACTGACGGAGCACTCACAGACCGAGTCCTAGGTTGGCCTCTGGATGGCCACTTGTGGGACAGATCTGGACAGAAATGCAAAGCTTGGAAAGTGGAGCTAACCATAAAACCACAGCCAGTCCAGAGAAGGCACGTTGGAACTTGTGGCCTGGGTGTGAGCAGGTTAGCTGCCTGCAGAAACAAACACTGGGCATTGCTCATTCTCCCTGCCTCATAACATACCATCCAGAATGCCCAGGATACAATCCAGAATTACTTGGCATGTGAGGAATAAGGAATATCCCAATTCTCATGGGAAAAGATGGTCAACAGACAATGATACTAAGATGACACAGCTGTTGCAATTATCTGACAAAGACATTAAAACGGTGATTATTAAAACATTCCAGCCAGGTTCATTGGCTCACACCTGTAATCCCAGCACTTTGGGAGGCTGAAACACGTGTACAGTTTTGAGCTAAGGAGTTTGAGACCAGCCTGGGCCACATGGTGAAACCCCATCTCTACTGAAAATACAAAAATTAGCCAGGTGTGGTGGCATGTGCCTGTAGTTCCAGCTACTTGGGAGGCTGAGGTTGGAGGATCCCTTGAGCCCAGGAAACAGAGGTTGCAGTTAGCCGAGATCACACAACTGCATGCCAGTCTGGGTGACAGAGTGAGACCCTGTCTCAATAATAACATTCCAAAAAGTCATTGCAAACACATTCAAAATCAATCAAAAGTTAGAAAAGGAAAATTTAAGTCCTGAAAAAAGCGTGCATGCATGAACGTGCACACGTGCACACACACATACTCACACAGAAACCTCATGGATAGGCTCAATAGCAGACTGGAGATGAGAGAGAAAAGAGTTAGCAAACTCAAAGACAGACCAAAAGAAATTATCCAATCTGAAAAACAAAAAGTTGGAAAAAAAAAATAGACTAAGCCTCAGGGACCTGTCAGAGAACAATAAAAGGTCTAGTATTTTTTCACTGGAATCAAATTGAGGTGAGAGTGTGATGCTAAAGAAATAAATAAATACATAAAAATTTCAAGAAAATTTGCTGAAAACTCTTTACATTTTGGAAATTACCTAAGCCACCAGAATCAAGAAGGTCAGCAAACCCCAGAGACAATAAGCCCAAAGAAATCTATGCACAGACACATCATAATCAATCTGCTGAACACTAGACACACACAAAGTTTTGAAAGCAGCAGGAAAAAAAAAAAAGATGCATTCCCTAAAGGGAGAAAGCAATTCAAATGGCTGTGACTTTCTTATCTGAAACCGTGGGGGTCAGACGGAAGTGGCACGGCGTTTTTAAAGTTCTGAAAGACAATAATTGCCACCCCAGCAGTATATATCCAGAGAAAATACCTTCAGGAATAAAGATGAAATAAAGACATTCTCAACTGAAGGAAAACAAAGAGAATTCATTACAGCTGAACTGCTCTAAGAGAATTCCTAAAGGAAGATCTCCAGACAGAGAGGAAAGGATAGAAGGAATCTTGGAACATCGGAAAGGAATGAAATGACAGGAGTGATAAATATGTGAGTAAATGTAACAAATTATTATTCTCTGCTTTGAATTCTTTAAAATATGTATGAAGATTGAGAGCAAAAAATTGTACCATTGTCTGATGATGTTTTCAGTGTATGAACACAATGTATGTAATGCATAAGGCAATGATCACATAGAGAGAGAGAGGGTCTGCAGGTCCCCATGGAGGAAAGTTTTCTGTTTTGTTGTTGTTTATTTATTTTATTTTATTTATTTATTTATTTTGAGAGGGAGTCTCACTCTGTCACCCAGGCTGGAGTGCAGTGGCGCAGTCTCGGCTCACTGCAAGCTCCGCCTCCTGGGCTCATGCCATTCTCCTGCCTCAGCCTCCCAAGTAGCGGGGACTACAGACGCCCGCCACCACACCTGGCTAATTTTTTGTTTATTTAGTAGAGACGGGGTTTCACCACGTTAGCCAGGATGGTCTCGATCTACTGATCTCGTGATCTGCCTGCCTCAGCCTCCCAAAGTGCTGGGATTACAGGCGTGAGCCACCACGCCCAGCCTATTTTATTTTTATTTTTAATTTTTAGGGTACATAGTAGGTGTATGTATTTATGGGGCACACGAGATATTTTGGTACAGGCATGCGATGTGTAATAATTACATCATGGAAAATTGGGTATCAATTCCCTAAGCATTTATCCTTTGTGTTACAAACAATCCAATTATATTCTTTTAGTTATTTTAAAATGTACAGTGAAATTATTATTGATGATAGTCCCCCTATTTGTTGTCATATAACATGGAATTTAGAAGTAAGCAATCCGGCCCTAGGATGAGGGCCCTGTGGTGGTGTCAGGATCCGGTCTCCTTCCCACTTCCTGCCATGCCCTCCTTTACCAGTGGTTTTCAGGTTATGGTTCCACGGTGGCTGCCCACCTCTGCTCACTGCATCTGCATCCCAGGCAAGACAACAGGAGCACTCAACACAAATGTGCACGGCCATGGGAACAGGCCAGCCACATATTCCTCTTCAAAAGGCCCTCCCAGAACTACTAGGCAGCATTTTCTCCTTCCTATATTGACCGGACTTTGTGATACAAGAGAGAAAAGAATTTAGCGAAGTATATTTACACACTGAACAAAATCAGGGTCATATTAGCAAGGAAGAAAAGAAAAATAGACATAAGGTAGGCAAGCCATAGTATCTTTGACAACAGTTATTAAATATTGTATGCAAATTTTATATATTATATAATACACATATATGTATTTATGTATGTGTATGTAGATAGCATGGCCATTCTATGTGAAGTGACATTTTCTAAGTAGACTGCAAAGAGTTAAGTATGATCATTGCAAACCTTAGAACAATCAGTGTTTAAAAAATTAATCTCTATAAAGAGATGTAGTAAGAAACACAATAGATGATGCTACATATGTTCAAATAACCCAAAAAGATGGCAGGGAAGGGGAAACAGAAGAATGTCAAATGGATGGAACAAACAGAAAACAAATAGCAAAATAGTAGAACTGAACCCAAATATATCAATCATTATAGTAAATGACAATGGTCTACACACACTCTTAAAAGACAGAAGTTGTCAGAATGCATAAAACAACAAGCATTATTCATATGCTGCTCATAAGAAACTCACTGCAAATATAATGGTGCAGGTATATTAAAAGGAAAAAGATTTAAAAAGATTATCTATATGAACACTAATCAAAAAAGCCAGGTTGGTGATATTGATATCAGACAAAATGGACTTGAAAGCAAATATATTTACCAGGGATAAAGTAAAACATTACATAATGATAGAAGAGTCAATTCATCAAGAAGACATAACAATACCAAATGTGTATGCATCTAACAAAAGAGCTTCAAAATATATGAAGCAAAAACTGAAGAAACTGAAAGGAGAAATAGATAAATCTCCCATGACAGTTGGGAACTTCAGCACTCCTTTATTAGTAAGATATAGAACTGGCAAAGAGAATCTGCAAAGATAGGGAAGGGAACAACACCATCAACCCTCTGCATCTAATTGACGTTTACAGAACACTCTACTTAATAAAAACAGAGCTCACATACTTTCAAGTCTGCATGGGGCATTCACCAAGAAAGATCATGGAAATCATACCAAGTATGTTTTCTGATCATAATGGAATTAAAACAGAAATCAACTACATAAAGATAACAGAAAAATCTCCAAATACTTGGAAATTAAACGACACCTTTTAGATGATCATTGGGTCAAAGAGAAAGTCTTAAGGGAAATTAGAAAATACTTTGAACAATAAAAATACAGCATGCCAAAATTTGTGGGACGTAAATAAATCAGCGCTTTAAAAAATTAAGGCACTAAACTCTTCTATGACAAAAGAAAGATTGCAAGTGAATAATCGTCTTCACCTTAAGAAACTACAAAAAATAAAGAGCAGAATATGCACAAAGCAAGCAGAAGAAAGACGAGCTGAAATCAGTCAAATTGAAAATAGTAAAACAATACAAAATATTAAGAAATAAAAGCTGACTCCTTGTTAAGATCAATAAAATTAGCAAACCTCTAGCGTGGCTGACAAGGAAATATAGAATAGAAGCTAGAACTACCAATATCAGAAATAAAAGAGACTTTTTTTAGTGCATCTTGCAAACATCAAATGGATAAGGAAGGTATACTTCAAACAACTCTCCACATACAAATTCAACAACTTACATGAAATGGACTAAGGCCTTGAAAACCACAAACTGCCAAAACTCCCCCAAGATGAACTAGATAGCCTGCATAGCCCTATTAGTAAAATTGGATCTGTAGTTAATCTTTGAGAAAGAAATCTCCAGCCAGGAGCGGTGGCTCATGCCTGTAATCCCAGCACTTTGGGAGGCTGAGGCGGGCGGATCATGAGGTCAGGAGATCAAGACCATCCTGGCTAACATGGTGAAACCCTGTCTCTACTAAAAATACAAAAAATTAGCCGGGCATGGTGGTGGGTGCCTGTGGTCCCAGCTACTAGGGAGGCTGAGGCAGGAGAATGGCGTGAACCCGGGAGGCGGAGCTTGCCGTGAGCCGAGATTGTGCCACTGCACTCCAGCCTGGGTGACAGAGTGAGACTCCGTCTCAAAAAAAAAAAAAAAAAAAGAAATCTCCAAGCCAAGGTGGTTTACTGTCAAACTCTACCAAATATTTAGAAAGAAATAGCACCAGTTATATACAATTTCTTGAAAAAAAGGAAATGTTTTCTACCTTATTTGATGAGATAAGCATTACCCTGTTGTCTAAGCCAAATAAAGATAATACACAAAAAGAAAACTACAGACTAATATTGTTCATGAACACATATAAAAATATCCTTACAAAACTATTAGTAAATTTAATCTGGTGATGTATAGTAAGATGAATACAAGACCATCAACTTGGGCTTCTTCTAGGCATTCCAAACCAGGTCAACATTCAAAAATCAATCAATATAATCAACTGTATTAACTGTCTCAGAAGTAATATCACATGATCATATCTATTGGTACAGAAAAGGCATTTGATAAAACTTAGAATCCACTCACAATAAAAACTCAAAGCAACCTAGGAATAAAAGAAAAATTACTCATCTTGCTAAAGGGCATTTACAAAAACTTATAGCTAACATTTTACTTAATAGTGAAAGATGTAATTTCCCCCGAAAATCATAAAAAAAGGCTAGAGAATCCCCTTTTACCCATTCTATTCAGCATTATAATGAAAGTCCTAGCCTGTATAATAGGGCAGGAAAAAAATAAAAGCATGCAGTTTAAGAGGAAAAGATAAAACTGTTCTATTCATAGACAACATGACTGTATACAGAATCCCAAGAGTAGCCAAAAAATCTTCTAGAACTAAAAGGCAAGTTTAGCAAGGTTAAACAAGGTCAACACACACACACACACAGACATTTCCATGCATTAGCGATTGATAAACTGAAAACCAAAATTTTTAAAAATGCCATTTTAAATAGGTCGAAAAGTGAAATATATAAGCATAAATATAGCAAAACATGTACAGAATTTGAATGCTGAAATAGAAACAACACTGATGAGAGCTTTCAAAGAAGACATAAATCAGTGAAGAGCCTACTGTACTCAAGATTCCAACACTGTGAAAATGCTGACTATTCCTAAATTGATGTACAGATTCAAAATAATTCCAATCAAAATCCCAGCATGATTTTTTTAGACAAAGACAAGGTGATTCCAAAATTTATATGAAATGTCAAATGAATTTGAATAGATAAACTATTTTTTGAAAAATAAAACGGGGAATTAAATTCCTTGATTTAAGACTTACTCTTGAGCTGCTGTAATCAAGCCAGTGTGGTGTTGGCAAAGGGTTAGATCCACAGATACGTGGAAGGCCATATAGAGTCCAAAAATGGACCTACACAAATACAGACATTTGCCTTTGTTATAATGGTGCAAAAACAAGTCAATGGAAAAAGCACAGATTTTCAACAAATGGTGTTGGGGCAATTGGTCCCTTATATGCCAAAAATAAGAACCTCAGCCTAAGACTCGTACCATATTCAAAAATTAACTCAGGATGTATTATGGATCTACATATAACATGCAAACACTGGAAAACCTTTAAAAGAAATCACAGGAGGAAATATTTGGGATCAGGGAGTTGAGGAAAGCATTATTAGATGTGACTTAACATCAAAAGCATAATTCATACAAGAAAGCAATAATGTATTGGACTTTATCAAAATTAGAGCTTTTGCTGCAAAAGACATTGTTAAGAGAATGCAAAGGTGACTGTTATGGGTTGAATTGTATCCTCCCAAAATTCCCATGTTGAAGTCCTAACCCCAGTACCTCAGAATGTGACCTTATTTGGAGATAGAGTCTTTGCAGAGGTGATCAAGTTAAAGTGAGGTCATTAGGGTGAGTCCTACTCTAATCTGACTCGTGTCCTTATAAAGAAAGGAAACTATAACAAAGACACACACAGATAGAAGACCACAGGAGGACACAGGAGGAAGACAGCATCTCATCTACATGTGAAGAAGCAAGGCCTCCGGAGAAACCAATCCTGCAGAGTCACCTTGATCTCAGACTTCTGGTTTCCAAAAAAAGTATGAGTGTATTAGTCCATTCTCACACTGCTGTAAAGAACTACCTGAGACCAGGTAATTTATAAAGAATAGAGATTTAATTGGATCACGATTCCACAGGCTGTACAGAAAGCATGGCTGGGGAGGTCTCAGGAAACTTACAATCATGGCAGAAGATGAAGGGGAAGTAGGCATGTCTTCATGTGGCCACAGAAAGAGGAGGATGGTGAAGGGGGAGGTGCTACACATTTTTTTTAAAAACTGGACCTTGTCAGAACTCACATCACGAGAACAGCAAGGGGGAAATCCACCCCCATGATCCAATCACCTCCTACCAGACCCCTCCTCCAACATTGGGGATCACAATTCAACATGAGATTTGGATGGAAACACAGAGCCAAACCGTATCAGTGAGATAGTAAATTCCCTTTGTTTAAGCTCCCCAGCGTGTGGGACTTTTTTAGGGCAGCCACAGCAAACCAATACAGCAACTTGCAGACTGGGCTAAAACATTTGCAAACCACATATCCAACAAAATACTTGGATACAGAATATGTTTTTAAAAGTCTTAAAACTTAGCAGTAAGAAAATAAATGCACCAATTAAGAAATAAACAAAAGACTTAATTACACGAAAAAGCTTTTGCACAGCAAAAGAAACAATCAACAGAGTGAACAAACAACTAGCAGAGTGGAAGAAGATATTTGCAAACTATCCATCCAACAGGGACTAATATCCGGAATTTACAAACAACTCAGACAACTCAACAACAACAACAACAAAACCCCAAACAATCTCATTGAAAAGTGGGCAAAGGATGTGAATAGATATTTTTCAAAGAAGATATGAAGACATACAAATGGCCAAGAAGCATGCGGAACAATGCTCAACATCACTAATCATCAAAGAAGTGCAAATTTAAACCATAATGAGGTTCCATCTTAAACCAGCCAGAATGGCTATTATTAAAAAGACAAAAAGATCACAGATGTTGATACAGAGAAAAGGGAACACTTATACACTGGTGATGGGACTGTAAGTTAGTGCAACCTTTATAGAAAGCAGTATGGAAATTTCTCAACAAAAACTACCATTTGATCCTGCAGTTCCACTACTGGGTGTACACCCAAAGTTAAAGAAATTGTGATACCAGAAAGATACCTGCATTCATGTTGACCGCAGCAGTATTCACAATAGCAAAGACAAGGAACCAACCTAAGTATCCACGAAGGGATGTTTGAGTAGGGAAAATGTGATCTCTATATACAATGGAATACTATTCGGCCATGAAAAGAATGAAATCATATCTTTTAGCAACAGGGATGGAACTGGAGGCCATTATTTTGAGTGAAACAGCTCAGAAAACAGAAAGACAAATACCACACGTTCTCACTGATAAGTGGGAGTTAAATCATATGTACACAGGGACGTGAAGAGTGGAATGAAAGATAACAGAGACCCAGGGTGGGGAGTGGGATGGAGACAGGACAAGAAATTACTTAGTGGGTACAATGTACATTATTCAGCTGATGGATATGTTAAAGCCCTCACTTCACCACAATGCAATATATCCATGTAACAAAATTACACTTGTATCCCATAAATTTACACAAAACAGAAATAGGCAAAAGATGGAAAAAGACATTTTACCAAACGATCACAAGGAAGGGAAATCATCACATAAAAATATTTTCCCTCATTTGCCGTTGATGAAGTGCAAAATAAAACCATAATGAGATGCCGTTGCACATCAATTACAATGGCCAAAATGAAATTACTGAGAATGCCAAGTGCTAGCAAGACTAGAAAGACTGGATCTCTCATTTCCTGCTGGTGGGAATGCAACAGGATGCAGCCACTCTGAGACATAGTTTGGCAGCTTCTTCATGATTAAGCAGACACCGTATGGCTGAGATCCTGCTCCCGGGGAAAGTAAACTTGTGTGCACACATGTAAGAAAATTTCATAGCAATTTTATTAATGATCACCCCAAATTGGAGCTAATCCAAATGCCCTTCAGCAGGTGAATGGATAAACAAACTGTGATCCATCCATACAAAAGAATGTTACTCAGCAACAAAAGGAAATGAACTATTGATAATATGCAACAATTTGGATGAATTTCAAAGGCATTATGTGGAAAGAAGGAAGTCAATCTCCAAACTTTATACTCTGATTCTGTATGAAATTCAAAAAGCTTTCTGAGCTTGACCTCCTTCCTTCTGCATAATGTCTTTGAAATTCATCCAAATTGTTCTTCTATCAATAGGAGGGCGTGTTTTAGAGTGATGGAGCTGTTCTGAATCTTAATGGTTACAGTGTTAAAATTCATAGAACTGCACATCAAAAAAGTTATTTGTACGGTGGGACGATTTTTAAAAAATAATATAAAGAACCATCAGACTCTTCCAGTCTTGCTGAGGACTGGTGGGGTTGTGATATTGAAGCTGTGTGCATCAGAGCCCTACGGAAGGCCAGAGAAAGAGTGGCGTCACCGTGTGGCCGTGCCTGAATTGCCCAGTGGTGCAGAGCATGAGGCCACAGATCAGGCCAAGCCGTCCTCCCAGAGACTCACTTCTCAGCAGGTGAGCATCAGGCTGTTGTTGACCGGCTGAGCCAGGCCCTCCTCGCCTGTCACCTGAACTGTTCATCCTGTTATGGCCCCTCTGCCTGACTGCCTTCATTCTCTCTCCCTCCAACCCGTCTTTTTCCCTGCAGCCAATGTGGTTTTTCTTAACTGTGCATCCAGCCCACCACACCTCAACTTTAAATACTCCAGGAGCTTCTTTTCTAAAGAATGGTTCAAACTCCATTTGCTTACTGTGCAAAACACTTAGAGCCCAGGCTGCATTCCCGCAGCTGCCTACAAACCTCATCCCTTCACGGATCTGCTGTGTGACTCTGGGCAAGCCACCAAGCCATGCCCACTCTGCTGGTACTTGTCGCCCTGGTATGGAAAATGGGGTGACTATAACAGCCATATCCCAGAGTTAGCATAGGGAGGAAGTCACAGTGACATCGAAAGGGCTCACCAAAGGCTCCTTGCTACTGTTTTTATTCGGGGCTAATCCCATAACTGTTGTTATTACAAACAGATACAGACATCCAGTGCCCACTCCGCCACGGTCACCACGAACGTGGAATCCGGGTTTTATTCTGACTCTACCATACTATTACTTAGAACCCTTTCTTTACAAAAAGGAAATTGCGTTTAAATTGCTTAAACAACAATAACAATGAAACATATTGGCTCATGTAACTGAAGAGTCCAAAGAATGATTTGGCTTCAGGCATGGTTTGATCCAGAATCTCTAAAGACATGACCAGGACTCTTGTTTTTTCTCTCCCTCCATTGGTCCAGCTTTTCTTTGGCTGCCTTTTCAAAACATCTCTCTCTGCATTGGAGCCAGATGGTCACCAGCAGCTCCCAAGTCCACTGGACCAGCTGTGGACAGGGACACCCTCTCCCAGTAGTCTGTCTGGACAGTTGCAGGAAACGCCCTGCTCAGGTCACAGGCCCATCCCTGACCCCAGATACTTTCTCAAGAATGTGGAGTTCTTGTCCACAAGCTGATTGTCCAGGCTGAGGTCATGTGGCTGCCTCTGTGGCCTGATGTCTGAATGGGGGTGAGGAGAGGGGTTGGGTCAGCATCATCTAGATGGCATGGAACAGGCAGGACTGGGGGTCTTCATCATGGGCCCCCACACTGTGGGCTCTAGGGGTTTCATTGTTGAGAGGGAAGTATGGACCACTGGACAGACCAGTGACCACAGTGTCTGTGGCTGTGTGTCCTGGGACAGTTTGTAAACTTTGGTGGCCTCATTTGTGACACGGGATGACAGCAGTCCCCGCCCAGGTCTGCTGGAGCTCTGAGAGGATAAGGGTACCCACAGCACTTTGCAAGTGCCTGTCATTAGTGAGAACTCTGAAACTGTGCCTTCCACAGCTACATTGTGTTATTGTTTTGTGTGGTTGCTTTCGTATTGCCTAGCAAATGACCTAGTCATGCTAAGAACTAAATTGATATTAGTTCCCTTCACTTTGCAGTCCCACGGACATTTCAATCACCTTATAACTCAGCGTGTTTGCAAATTCTATCCCTTCTGCTTGGGAAGCTCCTGTTCCAACCACAAATAACACCCCATCGTTTAGTAGTAACAGCATTTTAAACAGCATTTGTGTGGCTCTTGCAGCTTTTTATGCTCTCTTCATGCCCCCTCATGGAAGCTTCGCACACACTCTTGGTTCTGTCGCATGGTTCCCTTTTGACATCGGTGGCATCAGAGGTCCACGGAGGAGCCACAGGACTGCCTGTCGGTCTAGCATTACCTTGTGCGGCTTACCTTGTCTGTTTTGGCTCCCAAGGCTCCAGAGGGCAGGGCCCAGGGCTCAACCCTCACATGTCTCAAGAGCTCAGTACACGGCGGAGATTCCCGGGAAATGCTGCAGTGAACTGGATTGTGAGGCAATGCACAGAACACAGCACTGCGTGGCACCTAGCAGTTATGACGTTTATCATCCCGGGTTTCTACCAGTGCCAGGAGAGTCCTGGGAAATGAGAGTCCACTGAGAGGTCATGGGATGGAAGGAACTCACAGACTTGGGGCACAGATGGCTTCTCTGTGCCTGTGTCACCCCCGCCTGCAGATCCCATGTCCATCCTGGTGCCCGAGAGTCCCCATCCTGCATGCATGGCTTTGAACCTGCTCTGGGCTAGGAATGTCAGGCAGTGCGTCTGAGCTTCAGCCTCTCCATCCATAAAACAGGAATAACATTACTGCCTATCAGGATTTCATGAGGATTAAATAAGGCTGAATGAGAAAGAGGCATATAAACTTGATTTTTACATGCCTTGGAATATAAATGCTTCTTAAAAATTTCAGTGATGCCTTTTACAATTCTGAAAAGTTAGTATAAAAAGTTTGCCTGCCCTGCCTTTCTCCTGAGACTGCATGTGAAAATCAAATACAACAACGAAAGAAAAAAATGAAGTGAATGTATCATACCAGCTCAGCCAGCGTGTTTTGATGGCTTGAACTGAAGACATACCGAGATGTCACAACTGATGCTGAGCTGTGTCCCCCAAGCCAAGCCATTCTCTACCTTGCAACCAGAAACTCACAAACACAAGTCTGACCATCTCCCCTCTTTGCTTGAACTCTTGGGTGGTCCCGCTTGGCCATGGTGCTCAATGCCATCCTGGCTTCAGGATGATGCATGCCACATTTTCTGAGATCTGGTCCCAGATACTGCTTCTACCTTGGAATGTTTTTCTTCTCAGAAGAAACAAGGATACTAAAAGAAGCAAGTAAAAGCATTGCCCTATGACGGCTGACAAGAATAGACAGAAGGACAGAAGGTGCATTTCATTCAATCACCCAGAGAAAACTGTGCTCCTGGAGACAGAGGTAACACCCCCAGCTTAGCACAAGACACAGGGCAGTCAGTGGCGAATCCTGCCCTGGTAAGGTCTCCAGGCACCCGAGGCCTGGAGGTTTGTAACAAGAAAAGGAGCCAAGTTCCCTGTCCCCAGGAAGGAGCTGGACTCAGATGAATAGTGTGAGGGGGATAAAGAAAAAGTGTGCTCTCCTCCCGCCGAGAGGCTTCAAGAGCCCCTGCAGATTCGGAGTGATAAGGAGCTTAGACCAGCAACTGCTGTTTGATGAAGTTGCCATCTGTGGGATTTGCTGACTTTGAGCAGGACTCAGGGATATCTCTGTGTTACAGCCTGGTCAGGACTGTGCAGACGCGCTTTATCTGATCCTCGGGGAAATCATTTTCTGAGTAAGCTAAGCTATGATGGCTTCTAGAGACTCTGCCAGCTCCCCCAGTGGAAAGGTCAATGAATCTTCCACCAAGAAAAAATAATCGTGGGAGGGACTCTGCACATTAAACACCACTTCTGAGTTCCAAAGAATGTTCACAAAATAGCATGGCAAAAATGGAAAGAGGTGAAGCAGGTGAAGTTTGGGGTTCCTCTGGGGAGACATTTCTGGACCGTGCAAGCTTTTGAGGGTTGAGATTGGGCCTTCTCATGGCTTCATCCTGTGACAGTGTCCAGCACCTGGTGATGATGGTTTCGTGGTGGTGGTAGGCACTCAAGCTGTGTCACCAGGCACCATTGTTTGGCGAATTTGCCATCATCCAAGGTATGGCCATAGCCACCTGGGCCCAGATGCTGTCTTTTGTCTGGGGCTCAGACTTGATCAGACACAGGTGGGAAGCTCATGAGAGACAAGCACATAATGAAAATGTCAGTGTGCTGGTTTTCAACATCACAGGGTGGAAGGAGGAGCCTCCTGGCCATTCCCTACTGAGATGGGTGTTGTTTAGAAACTGACATTTGATTCCCTGCTACCATCACACCATTGTTGAGAGCACTCACTCTTTCTAAAGCCTTGGTGAGAGCCTCCTCGTTCCCAGACCTGCCTCACCTTGCTCACCCTCACACCATCCTCCATCCTCTGTCGGGCCAGCGAGCCTGTTCCGTGTGGGACGCAACCCCCTGACGATGGCGGTGTCTTACCTCCTCACCATCTGCACGCTCTTCTAGCTCTGCACTGCACCTGGAGCGATGGGGCCGAACATGACCTATTAGCAAGACTCCCCCTTGCCCCATAGAAAGATGAGATCAGCCTCCTTGTCATGAGGTTAGGGCCAGGACACCACACACGTGGGTTGGGTTCCACAACATGGAGTCCAAAATGATAGAAATTTCACGACATTGCAAACTCCTTAGTATTCTGGCTATGCAGTGATGGGGGCAGCTGGAATTCTGACCCCAGGCACCAGCCCCTCAGTGGCTCTGCCCAATGCTGGCCGGCCTCAGTTTGCCACAGGAGCCCGAGGCCTCTCTGTGGCACCAAGAACAGCTGGGTCACTGTGCATGTGGTCAGAATGCCACGTGGTTTATGGCCTCAATTTAAATGATTACAAGTATTAATTAATGGATGGTTGGAGGATGGAGGATGGACAGGACTACCCAATATTTACTGAGCACCTGCTTTGTGCCAGGCACCCTGAAGCCCTGATGGGCACTGCACTTGCTCCTCCAAGCACCTCTCTTTCCATCTCCTAAGTGGCCGAGCAGCCACAGCCATTATTGCCCCGTGCCAGATTCAGTATGCGGAGGATCAATGCGGCAGCAGAGCGTCCATGCTCTGAGTGGCGCGGGCTTTGGGTGATGGCATTTCCCCAGCTGTGTTCCCTGGCAGAGACTGTGGTGATATTTCTGGCTTTGTTGCTATGTCAACCCCCGATCTTGTTCTTGCCTCCTGTCTTGCGTCAGGCTGGAGGCAGCCTCTCCCGAGCTCTCCCTGTCCCTGGTGTGCACGGGAGGCTGCAGGCTGTGAGCAGCCATGCCGATGAGCCTCACATCACACAGTGAACTTCCCCTTGCTTGGATGTCTGACCACCACCATGAGGGGCCTACTCTTAGGCTCCAGGGGCAGGCTGGGCACCCCCACTGAGTTCTCACCTGAGGGGAGAGACCTGGACATTAGTGGGGTGAAGAACGCGATGAGGGTCCTGAGACAGAGGCCTGCTTGAAGAGTAGGATAGTGTCTCCCGCGTCACAGGTGACAGCAACTCATTGTTGAATGAGCAGTAGCTGAGCGAGTGGACAGATGCATGATGACATGTAACGATCTGGACTTGTTCAACGTAGGAATGGGGCCAGGAACCATAACACCACGGCAGCACAATTGCATAGTACAGCAATAGCATCTAACATGAATTGGGTACTTACTGTGTACCAGGCACCATTCCTAGCATGACGTGCAGGAAGGTGTCCAGTCCTACAGCAGATGTAATGCAGGTGTATCACTGCCGTGGTGCCGTGCACCGGGGACAGCACACAGGGAAGCTGGGGTCACGGAGACTACATTGAGATTTACCCACCTCACCGTGTCCAAAGAGGGTGGGGACCACTTTCTATGCGGAAGAACTATCAGCTTCATAAATGGTTCCCTGTCACTGGAGCAATTGGGAGCTGGTCCGTGGTATGGGCAGGAAACCATGGATGTGCGCGGTCAATGGCTACAGGGACGGAGGGCAAGGGTGGGCAGGCTGAGTCATCAGGAGGTGAAGTGGCAGCGCATGAGGACTGTGTGGACAACAGGGTGGAGGTGGAGGAGACCCCCATGCCTGGGGGAGAAGGATCGTGTGGGGAGCTGCTGTAACATGCTCAGGGAGCACAGAGGGTATGCACTCCTGAGCCACGAGGAAGGTGGTTCCAATTCTCACAAAACCTCCAGAGCAGGAGAGGAGAAGCTTGCCAGGGGCAGTGTGGAGTGGGGAATGGGGAGTGCCTTGGAAGAAGCCTGAAGAACATCCCTGCTCAGGAGGGAGAACCACGGGGAGTGGAGATGACAGAGGACGAGAGGCCATGGCTGCAGAGGGTCTTCCTCGGGCTGACTCAGGTGCATGCTGGGAATTGCATCAGGGAGGTCTCTGTGGGCTTCGGTGACAGCTGTGCACGACGATGGGGGAACTTGGTGGTGAACGCAGGTAATTACGTCTGGAAGTTTAGTGTGAAGACAAGGAAGGAAACTTGATTGATGCAGGAAGGGGTCATGGTTTGCAAGGTGCTCTCTTGCCTGCGGTGCCCCATGGTTGAGTGGAGCACCTTCTGTGCAGGGTGACAGGGCTGGGAGGGGACAGGGGAAGAGTGTGTGGGGTGAGGCGGCTTCTGGGCTCCTGATCAGTCTCTGGGGTGGCTGTCTTCGTGGATTTCCTTTGAGGTGTGGGGCCCAAGCTGATCCTGGCCTCACTATTGGAATGAGGGTCTCAGGGTGGGTGTGGTACCATGTAAAGGTGCCAGCAAGTCCTCACAGGTAGGGATGGCCTGGCTCCTGACAGGTAGACCCCTGAGGTGCAGGAAGCCTCTTCTTTGAGACCAGCAGGCTGGTCTCCCCAAGGAGGTCTGAGGAGCAGCCATGTCAGACCCGGCTCTGTTCCGAGCCTGCAGCCAGAGGGCAGGTCCCACGTTCCAGGCCTTCTTCCCTCCTGGCCCCTGTCCTCAGTGTTGCTCGAGCCCTGAGTGTGCCAGGTGCTCACTCAGGGGGGCCTTGGAGCACCGGGGGGCCATCCCCTCCACAGGGAGGAGGGAGATGGGCTTTTCTCCCAGGAAACGTTTTTTTTTTTGAGATGGAGTTTTGCTCTTACTGCCTAGGCTGGAGTGCAATGGTGCGATCTCGGCTCACCGCAACCTCCACATCCCAGGTTCAAATGATTCTCCTGCCTCAGCCTCCCAAGTAGCTGGCATTACAGGCATGCGCCATCATGCCCGGCTAATTTTGTATTTTTTTTAGTAGAGACGGGGTTTCACCATGTTGGTCAGGCTGGTCTTGAGTTCCTGACCTCAGGTGATCCGCCCGCCTCGGCCTCCCAAAGTGCTAGGATTACAGGCATCAGCCACCACGCCCGGCCTCTCCCAGGAAACATTTTAAAATGTACTTTACTGATACCGCTAATGTCTGTTTTATTTTAAAATAGAGAAAAAAAGGAAGAAACCACCCCCTGCCTTGAATAGTTACACCTGCACTTGCCGTCCACTGTGACTCTCTGTGAGGTTTATTTTTGTGACATTTTCCTATGAAGTAAGTGGAGAAGATGGCACTTCCTGGGTAGGCAGGCACCTGGCAGGACAGCAGGGGGTGCCCAGGTGCACAGAGGCTGCCCAGGGAACGCGGTTTCCCCCACAACCAGCTCCGCCTTCCCACAGCCACCCCTGGCTGGAGTACAAGTTACTGGGGCTCAGTTCTTAGGATTCCTACAAAGCCCAATTTGGGTCACCTGACTTGTTAAGTCAGGTGAAGGTGACTTACCTGAGGGGCCTGCAGGATGTGGGGTCAGGCTCTGGCACTGGGTGCTCTCTGTCCTCCTCAAACGCTCTCTATGCTCACTGGCCTTCAGGGTTCTTGGGGGCTCCTGTTTGCTCTTCGGGCGTTGGCATCCTCCAGTGGACTCCAGGGAAGTTAAATAAATGCCAAGAGGATTCACGTGGCAGGGCCCTGGAGGTGGAGAGGAAGGAGCACAGGAGACACCAGGTGCTCACTGTCCAGCGGGGATGCAGGCATGAACATGGCAGAGGCAGGCAGCACCCCTCAGAGCGCTGAGCTGTCGGGAAGCCCCCGGCCCTGGTCACTCCCCACGCCTGCCCAGAGAGGCCGCGCCAGATCCATTAAAAGTGTTTCAGCAGCTTCAGAGGCCCCCATTTGTACTGCCCATTCTGGAGACAACAGCGCCCTCTGCAGTGCCCTCCTTCAGCCTTGGGGCATGTGAAGGAGCATTGGGGCTGGCAGACAGCCTCCGTGGGCTGGGAGAGAGGTGGACCCCCGGGTGAGAGGATGCAGGGGATTGTTGTGCTCTGCAGTTTTGGGGCAGGTGTAGCCTGACCTCAGGCTCTTAGAGGGAGGAGTCCAGGGCCAATAACCTGACCCTGTGAAGTGGGGGCTATGTGACCCTCACAGAGCCTCTGCCCTGTGGGCTCCAAACTGAAAGCTTTCTAGGCTGAGTCCAGAAGATATTCTCTGTGGTCCCCATGTGGAGCTGGGGGCTCGTTGCTCACCAGGAGAGGGACGCTGGGTGCTGGGGCTGGGGGGCCCTCCTGGGATAGCAGCAGGTTCATATCTTGCTCTGGACACCAGATACTCACCTGCTCATCCTCTACAATGCACCTCTGCATGCCAGGAAGCCCACAGCGTGCAGATGAGAAGACCAGGGCTGAGGTTGGCTCTGTTTCCCAAGCAGATGGTGGAAGGCAGATCTGAACCCAAGTTCTGTGTGATTCCCAAAGCAGAAGGACAGACAGCTGCCCCCCTGAATGGCACTGATGCTGCCAGGGGACAGGAGCGACTCCTGCAGCCACCTTTCCTGAGCACTGAGGCTGAATGTGGGAAGCAGGGGAGGGTGCCAGGCCCCAGGAGACCCTGAAAGCTGGCAGGAAAAGCAAAGCAGCAGTGCAGGGAAAGCCTCTTGGGGGCACTGTCCTGGGGGGAAGGAGAGCACAGAAGGTGGGTCCTGAGCTTCTACCATTCCAGGGCTTCCTGAGGAGGCCCTGCTTCTCCTTAATGAATGAACATAGCTGCTATTCCAATCTTCTGGCATTCCTCACCATATCAGTTCCCCCTCTGGTTGCTGCCTTCATAGCCTGAGGAGCCCCTCTTGCTAAGGGTAAACCCACCAGGAGGTAACGGGAAGAATGGGAGGACTTCCACCAAGGTCAGCTTGCCAAGTGATGCTGCTCTAGCCACAGGGCCCCTTGGCTCTGACACAGGACAGCATGACCATTGTGCAGCAAGGTGACACTGGTGAGTCCTGCACCAGGGAGAGCCTGTCACTGGCAGTGCCAGAGGCTTAGGATCTAACAGTTCCAGTGTAACTGAGAGGTCCTAGAGTGCGAATGAGGGAGGTTCCCACACTGCGCAGGTTGGAGAGATGCTGCGTTACCGACGCTGAAGTGGTTGATGCCAGGGGCAGGGCCATTGCTATTCTAGGATGGTTCAATCCCCAAACCTCATCCTACCACATCTCCTCCTGAATGGCTTCTTGATGTCCCTTGAATGTCACTTTGCTGTGGCTTGTGCTCCATGGAGAAGCAGCCAGTCATTGATCTGTTGGACGTCTGTGACTCTTCCTAATTGAGTGTCCTCGCCCGAGTTCTTACCCTGCCCTGTAGAGCCACAGAGCAGTTTGTTTCTGAGGACAGCGCTTCCCATGTGGGAAGAGAGTGGATTGGTGCATCCAGGCTTGTTCTCCAGGGGTGTCCTGTGACATGTGTCTGGGTTATTGCTTGTATTAGTCAGCTTGGGAGGCTGTAACAAAGCACCACAGACCGCGCAGCTTAAACAACAGACATGCATTTTTTCACTGTTTTGGAGGCTGGAAGTCCAAGATCAAGGCATTGGCAGGGCTGGTTTCTCCTGGGACCTCTCTCTCTTTGGCTTGTAGATGCAATCTTTTCCCTGTGTTCTCACACAGTCATCATTCTGTATATGTCTGTGTCCTAATTTCATCTTATGGGACACCAGCCATGTTGGATTAGGGTCTATCCATATGATTTTATTTAATGCACTCACCTCTTTAAAGACACCCTTTCTAAATGCAGCCACACTAGGAGTTAGAGCTTCCACATATGGATTTTTCAGAAGGCTCGATTTAGTCCCTAACACCCCTGCCTTGGCATCCTGTGGTCATTCACCTCCCAAACTTTTGCCTCTCCTCCCTCCTGACTTCCCTATAGCCATTGGGATCCATCCTAGGATGGGGTTTGAAGGCAAACATATAGCCCTGGCACAGACCAATGGGGCGAGAGTCATATCTCCTTTCTTTTCCTGTCTTTTCACCATAGAAAACCTACCTAAACTTAAGTATTTGTTTCAAGATCAAGATCTCCTGTTGGGATGCCTGTGGGAAGCATTGCTCAGAGGCTGTTCTCCAACCTTGTACCCTAAATCCCTCAATAGGGTACAAGAAGCAGGAAGTGGAGGCCTGGGAGCCAGGCAGAAGCTGGGAGGATGCAGACACATCTCTGAAAGAGGGGGCCTGCTGGGTTTTAATCTTTAATTTGCTTTATTGGTGGGCTTCAGGCATCTAATGAGATACATGAGCTTTCTCACACAAGAGGATAATTTTAGTTTTGACCACAGGAGAGAAAAACACATCCCTGGGCTTGAGACAGACAGTATTTTTATGGTATTTTTTAATGCTTTTGAGTATTAAACTTTTATGGGTGTTTTTAAAAATTCAGGAAGGAACTTCCAAACTCTCATGCATCCCGTGGCCTTTGATTGTCAGAGGTGCAGCACGACGGCGTGGTAGAGGGGGTGGGTGTGGACGTTAGCAGCCCGGATTCAGATCCAGACAGACCCCTGGCTGCGACTCCAATTCCACATCAGTAAAATGGGGTAATGGGGTTTGTGGGGCTCTCTGAGGACTGTGTGTCACGCCCATTCTGGAGACAACAGCACCCTCTGCAGAGCCCTCCTTCAGCCTTGGGGCAGGTGAAGGAGCATCAGGGCCAGCAGACAGCCTCCCTGGACCGGGAGAGAGGTGCACCCCCGGGCGAGAGGATGCAAGGGACTGTTGTGCTCTGCAGTTTGGGGGCAGGTGTAGCCTGACCTCAGGCTCTTAAAGGGAGGAGTCCGGGGCCAGTGACCTGACCCTGTGAGGTGGGGGCTCACACTGCAAAAGTGGCCTGGCTTAGCACTGCACTGAAAGGGCTCAGCAGATGTCCCCATGGATTGATCATTAGGTCAATGGATGTAAAACATTTCTGCTCAAATCAAACCACTAAAACGGCTTGATTTTTTTTCACTCAACAACAGCTGTTTCAGCTCCAGCTGTGGCTGAAAGGGGCCAAGGTACATCTCAGGCCATTGCTTCAGAGGGTGCAAGCCCCAAGCCTTGGCAGCTTAGACATGGTATTCAGCCTGCAGGTACACAGAAGTCAAGAATTGAGGTTGGAGAACCTCCACCTAGATTTCTGAGGATGTACAGAAATGCCTGGATGTCCAGGCAGAAAATTGCTGCAGGAACAGTGCCCTCATGGAGAACCGCTGCTAGGGTGGTACATAAGGGAAATGTGGAGTTGGAGCCCCCACATAGAGTCCCCACTGTGGCATTGCCTAGTGGAGCTGTGAGAAGAGGGCCACCGTACTCCAGACCAAAGAACGGTAGATCCACTGACAGCTTGCACCACGCACCTGGAAAAGCCACAGACACTCAATGCCAGCCATGAAAGCAATGATGGTGATGAAATGAGAGAGCTGCTCTCACAGAAGCAGGAAAACCATGGCAGAGCGAAGGGACTGGGAACACAGATGCCAGGAGACAGGGACAAGTCTTTCCAGACAAGGGGCACCTGCATTTCACTCTCACACTCCTTTAATGAACAAAGCGAATTCCTCCCATAAGGGAAGCATGCGCTGACCCCTGCCCTTTGAGAGGCGGGGAGGCTGGGAAAGGCAACAAGACACCAGAGAGCAAAAGCAGTGCAGCACGGGGGTGCACAGCCAGCCAGGCACTGGAGCTGGGCAGGGCCGGGTGGAGAAGACCTGCAGTTGGTTGAGAAATCAGGAGTGTCTCAGTGGAGTGACTAGTGTGTGGAGCCTACCTGGCATATTTAGGAGCTGAACTTCACCACTGGGGCAGGGACTGGCTGGGTGAATAAAGGCCAGGGGAGACCCCAGGGTAAGATGGGGAGGCTGGTACAACCCTAAAGGGTCCCCTGGGCTGAGTTAGGTGGTCCAGACCAGGTACTTGAGTCACCAGGAGCTGCAGAGCTCTCTAAAGAGGTCATGGTACCTTTGGGAAGATGACTTCAGGACCAAAGCAGTCCACCAAACAGAGCAGTCATGTCCTCTGCCCCTAAAAATGCCATAAAAATGACAGAAAAAGGTAGAATAAGTGTATAACCAGCAAGAGATACCATGAAAGAGACAAAGAGGCTGCAGGATTTCTCAGGAGGAGGGGTAGGATCAGACGGGTGGAGAAACCAAAGCGAACCACACACAAAAAACAGCAGGAAAAGCTACTGCAAAGATGAGGCCAAACCCTGTGCCCAACAGGCAGGCAGAGACGGGGCATGGGCGCAGTCCTCAGGGCAACTGAACAAGTGGGCACAGGAAGAACTGGCTTCTGAACAAAAGGAAGGGCCGGAGGCTGCACGGCGCTGCAGCAGAGTCTGTGTATTCTGGAGTCTGCCTCCATGGGCCTGAATTTGTTCTATAAAACGGAGATCGTGAGGATGTCACTTTTCAGCTTCAGCCAGTGCAGTTTTTATCATGATGTCGTGATGCACACTGCGTGGGGGAGGGGCAGGGGGCTACTGGTAACCCAAGAGTGAAGCTGAACAGGAAGGCGGAGCAGAACCAGCTGCAGTGTTCTAGTGTTCAAGAGAACAGTAGGGAAATTATAGTTGACGATAATTTATTGTCTATTTCAAAATAGCCAGAAGAAAAGAATTGTGCTGCTCCCAACACAAAGAAAAGATGAATGTTTGAGGAGGTGGATATCCCAGTTACCATGACTGGATCGTTACACACTGTATATGTGTATCAAAATATCATATGGCCTCAGAATATGTACAGCTATGATATATCAATTAGAAATACAAAACAAGAGAATGGAATGGAAGGAGACATGGAAGGGAGGGGCCCTCTGCTGTCTTCAAGAAAGCTGCCAACCTGGGGGTATTCAGGATAAATTCACAGGTTACAACCTGAGAAGTAAAAAGAAAAAGAAAAAAAACATAAGGAATAAAAATTATCAGAGTTCTTGGAAATTTTTAAAATACCTGAGATATGTCTGAGTAGCAGAATGGCCAAACACTGAATCATTCGTCTAGATGCCTGGGTTGTGGAGTTTTACCAGAAGAGAGTGAGACAGAGGAGGAAAGAGATTAGAAGAAAGGAAATGCTCACAGATGGAAAGAAGAATGTTTCCCCGAATTGAGGAAAGTCGTGCATTTTTAGATTAAAAAGAGTCTATTTTGGGACAAAAGAGATTAAGAAAAAAATGCAAGCACTTAGATACATTCTAAATAAAGAACTTCAAAAGTTAAGAAACTATCCCCAAATCTTTTATAGCGTGACACCACCAAAAAGAGATTCCTAGTATGGAACAAGCTTCTTACTGGTGACAAATTTCTAATAGCCACATCACACCTTCAGAGAAAATGACTTCCAAGATCTGAAAATATTTTGAGTCTGTAATTCTATGCCCAGACAAACTATTATTCAAATCGAGGAGCAAAATAACCAATTTTCATGCATAAAAAACCTCAGAAAATCAATTTACAGTCTATGGGCTCTTTTGAAAAATAACTTGAATATACATCTAAACAAAACAGTAGTAAACAAACAAAAATCATGAGCCCAATAAGAATAAGGACCATGGGATGAAGAAGAATGACAAGAAAAGAAACAGCAGAATGTTGTAGTTAATTGTAAATTGATTTCTAGGTAAAATATATAAAACTAGGAACATATTTTTATACTAAAAAGTAGGATCTTAACATGGCAGTGGTGAGAATTGGGCAGGAAAGGAGCGAGGAGAAAGTGAAAGTATGCTAAATGTCTAATTTTCTCCAGTAGAAGGAAAACTATTTATTATGACTTTTAGAAAAATGTTAGGCTGAATATATGTGCTAAAAAAATACGATGGTTTCTGACCAGCTATTGATCAATTGGATGTCTACATCAAAAAAAAAAAAAAAAAAAAAAAAAAAAAAAAAAAAAGGATTTTAAGAACTACTTTGTACCATACTCAAAAAACAATTTGTTAGACTTGGGATCTAAATTTCAAAGTTAAAAATATATATCTTTTAGAATTAGCATGGTAAAATATCTTCATAAACTTTGAGTAGACAGAGTTAAGGGTAATCATTACGATCATATATAGAGAATTTAAAGAGGCACATTTAAAACAAAATGATATAAACAGAAGATATTTCAATGGAAAAATATATCCAGGAAAATATATGCATATGTTTTAAAATATAAAGCAGGTGTGTTAATATTAATGTCACACAAGGAAGACTTCAAGGCAAAGATCATAAAACACCAGTTTAGCAGTAATGTTTTATTTCTTTCATTAAAAATAGAAAGTTGAAAAGTATCATAAGCATTCAACTCAGTCAGTTAGCAGAACAAACATTAGTCTGAACACACACATACGCACACACCCCAAAACAAACAGAACAAAATTTAGAAAAATGGAAGTTGTGAAATTAAAAGCAGAAATTAATAAAATATGAAAAATAACAGAGAAAGCCCAGAAAGCTAAAAGAAGCTTATTTGAAATAATTGATGAAATAGATATCACTCTGTGGAAAGCCGTGAATCCAAATGGGGAGAGATAACAAATACAACCTGTAAGAATGAACCCTCTCATAGGTACTGTGGACTTTCAAAATAGAAGAGAATACTGCCTTAGAGTCTATTTTGTGCCTATGGATTTAATATCTATGATGAAATGGAAATTTTATAGAAAACTATAAAATACCAAAATTTACTAGAGGAAAAACAAAATTTCAGGATAGACCTGTAACTATTTTATAAATTGTAGCATTACTCAAAAATCTTTTAATTCCCTTTCTCCCCAGCACCAAACACCAACAAGGCACCGCAAAGGGGATTTTGAGGGTAAATTTCTCAAAACCCTAAAGGGACAAATAATTCCTTTTCAACACAGAGGGAAATAATATCAGAAAGCTTTTCAGGCCTTTCTAGAAGATGATGTCCTTGACACCAAAACTGGACAAGGATAATACAAAAAATAAAATGCTACATTGATTTCTGTTGTGAAAGTTGATGCAAACATGGTAAAAATATAATAAATTGAATTCAGGACTATGTAAAATTTATATACATGTGTATGAATATATATAATTATATATATGAATATATAATTATATATATTAGTATTTATTCCAAGTTTATTTTATGCAATGAGTTTATAACATTAGGAAAAATCCATTAATATAATTGATCATATTAAGAAATTAAGAAGAAAAAATACTTATCATCACAATTGACAAAAGAAGCATTTAATAAAAGATGTAACTCCATAGTATTTAAAGTGACTAATTCAACCAACCAATGCATAATATCAATATCTTAATATTTTAGCAGATTGGGAATATGACATAAGGACCCTGAATACAAAAAAGTGTTTGTAACCACCCAGATATCATGTCAATGGTGAAACTCCAGGTCAGTTGTTTTCAAAGGCAGAGGCAAGATAAAAGATTTTCTCTCAACACTCTCTTGAAGAAAGAGGGTAGGGTGGATGGTTTATGAATCCCAGAGAGGAGGAAACCAATTTGCTATTATTTGCAGATTATATGAATGTTTATATAGAGTAGGTTTACATAGAAAAGGAAAGTTCACTGAGATTTCTAGGTACAAGATCTAGCAACATGCACAAACCAATATTGTTTATGTATAACAGCTTCAAACAATTAGAAATTGTAGTAACCATTATGAAAGTGATGAAAATTGTATTGCTTAGTATTCTACCAAAATTATTAAGTAATTTTTTTTTTTTTTTTGAGACGGAGTCTTGCACTGTCGCCCAGGCTGGAGTGCAGTGGCGCCATCTCAGCTCACTGCAAGCTCTACCTCCCGGGTTCACGCCATTCTCCTGCCTCAGCCTCCAGAGTAGCTGGGACTACAGGTGCCCACCACCACGCCCGGCTAATTTTTTGTATTTTTAGTAGAGACAGGGTTTCACCGTGTTAGCCAGGATGGTCTTGATCTCCTGATCTTGTGATCCGCCCGCCTCGACCTCCCAAAGTGCTGGGATTACAGGCGTGAGCCACCGCGCCCAGCCTTAAGTAATTTTTAAAGAAAATAATGAACTTCCATTGAGAAACTTAGAGGAGAACTTAAAGAAATTACAGACATACACTCTGTTTTCCCAATGTTTTAACGATGAGAATTCTCCCCAAGTGGAAATATCAACTCAATTATATGTGGTTGAGAGATATGCTGTACATACACCGTAGGATTCTATAGTGTATATGGAATAGGATGTGTTCTCATTTATTTTTATGGCTGCGAGTAGTCCATGGCATAGTATAAATACGATGGTGTATATTCTATATACATCATGGAATACTCTGCAGCCATAAAAAGGAATGAGATCATGTCCTTTGCAGGGATATGGATGGAGCTGGAGGCCATTATCCTTAGCAAACTAATGCAAGAACAGAAAACCAAATGCCAAATGTTTTCACTTATAAGTGGTAGCTAAATAATGAGAATACATGGACACAAACAGGGGAACAACAGACACTGGGCCCTACTTGTGGATGGAGGGTCGGGGGAGGGAGAGGAGCACAAAAATAACTATTGGGTGCTAGGCTTACTACCTGGATGACGAAAGAATCTGTACAACAAACCCCATGACAGGAGTTCACCCATATAACAAACCTGCACATGTACCCCTGAACCTAAAATACAAGTTAAAGAATAAAAACCAAAAAAACAAAATTGTAACAGAATTTTTCACATCAGAGGACAAGTTGATTCTAGTATCTGAACAGACTAAATGACTAGAAAAAGCCAGGTCAAAATTAAAAAAATAAGCATAAAAAGGAAGGAGATTTGTCCTACTAAAATAAATATTTCCTTACAAGTTTCAGGAAATAAACAGCATGGTATCATTGCTGGTGTGGACAACGGATCCACTGATGCCGTCATCAAAGACGCATCAAACACGCAAAGCAACACCACACACCAGAGGCCTGCTATTAGCAACTGGCTTTCCCTATAGAACAAAAAGAAATTATTCTGGCAGGAAAAGCTGCTCTGAAATGCCATGAAGTGATAAATAGCCGTTATTTATCCTGCGTGTTGGGGCCACTGATGTGTTTTGCTGCAGGTGCATTAGATGCGGACGGAGGGGAGTTTGCCTGATGCAGTTGAGGACCTTGCGGGGCGATTGCACCTGTTTCCTTTTGCAGAAGACTGACTCTGAGATGCATCTGGTCCAGGTGTTCAGGTGGGAGGTTGTGGATGGATGTGCACGAGGGCCTTAGGTGCCAGGAGAATGAATGCTGATGCTTGCAGTTGTGCATCTTGAGAAGGGGCCGTGGCCAGCTCACTTTTCGTGTTTCTGTTCTGAAAAACCAGCCTTGAGAAAATACTTTGCCTCTATGACATCAGACCACTGCCGCAGAGCTTGGGGATTCTTGAAGCAGAGATGCAAAATATGTTTCAAAATATCCAGAGAGGGACCTGCTGGAGTGCCCTGCTGCTCTGGATGGTGTCCTTTCCGCAGGCTGAGATCTGTGGCCTGAAGCACCTTGTCCTGAGAGAGGAGTGGCTCCTCTGGCTCCCCCGGTTCTGTGGCTTAAGTCTGCGGGGTCCCAAGCGGGTGCCCATCTCGGAGAGGTCGGCATTGCATCTTTGCAGATGGAAGGAAGCCCCCTGGAGTGGCAAGTCGGGCCGAGCATCTGGGTGGATGCTTTCTCTAGGGCTCTGGGATTGGAAATGGACCCGTCCAATGTCGGTGCTGTGTCCCCTTGCCCATCTCCCCATCAGCACCTGTGTTGTGCCTGCCTGGCTCCCACCTCCTGCTCCCAGTCCACACCTTTCCCTTCCTCCCTCCCTTCACACCTTGGCTGTTCCCAAGGCTTTCCCACTTGCTCCTTCCTTATGGTGAAATTCACAGTTGTCATCCTTGCTCAGAGTTCCTCAGAGCCACTAGCCCAGGTCCAGTCACTGGTTTCAGCCACCTTTGCAGAAATCAGGAGACATGTCTCACTAACAACTCCGAGAAAGTCGAACTCGTCTGGGCGTGGTGGCTCACGCCTGTAATCCCAGCACTTTGGGAGGCCAAGGCAGGCGGATCACCTGAGGTCGGGAGTTCAAGACCAGCCTGGTCAACATGGAGAAACCCCGTCTCTACTAAAAATACAAAATTAGCTGGGTGTGGTGGCGCATGCCTGTAATCTCAGCTACTCAGGAGGCTGAGGCAGGAGAATTGCTTGAACCCGGGAGGCGGAGGTTGTGGTGAGCCAAGATTGTGCCATTGTACTCCAGCCTGGGCCACAAGAGCAAAACTCTGTCTCAAAAAAAAAAAGAAAAGAAAGAAAAAAAATTGAACTCTCAATCCCTAGATGTAAAATCAACCTCGTGTTCTTGATTTCACCAGTAATTCATAACCACAACTGTTGTGTCTTGAACACTTACTATGCTTGGCATACTTATAATTTTTATTTCACTTTATCCTCAAATTTAAGATGAAGTTTCTCCTACTGACTCCATTAAATGCATGCCAGGATCAAGGATTCTAGAGCTGTAGGGACTTGTCCAAGTCACACGTTGTGGACAGCAAAGCCAGTGTGTGAGTCAGAGCCTGAGCCTGGAAGCCAGAAACTCTAGGCTGAGGAGTCTCTCTGTCACCCGTGCCTGCCCAGGTGGCAGGATCCTGCTTGTGACCTCTCACCCTGAGCTGCAGACCTTCTGTTTCGTGATCCGCGTGCCTGGACTATCACTGCCGGTCATCACGGCAGGTGTTCCATGCTGCCCATGCCTGGCCGGCCTCAGTCCCTGCCGGGGAGGTCACTGAGTGTCCATTGCATCCTGGGGGTACATGGACTCCCTGCCATGGTCTTTCTCGTCTGCCTGTTCTTGAGTCTTCTGAGCTTGTAGGTGGGGGGCGTGTGGAGTAGAGCTGCAACAGCAGCCTTTGTAGAATGCTCACTGCACACCAGGCATGGTTCTGGGAGGCCCATTTCCATCCATTTGATGAGTTTGTTTCTGCAATAGTGCCAAGCACAGTAGAAGGCAAATACTCAGTGGCTCATGAAGACATCTAGAAGTATTTCTGTTGCTTCCAAACACAAAGTATCCTCTGAGCTATGCACAGTGGTGGGTGGTGCCATTCACGGACCCTGTGTTCTCTCTGAGCAGAGCTTCCTCTGTGGAGGAGGTGATAATGGGGTCACATAAATTCCTTCACAGGTGACAAGAGCCAGCAAGGCTCTCCATGTGAAGCCCGTGAGGACACGGGATCCCTGAGGCCAAGGCCAAGTCTGATGTCCCTGAGGCCGGGCCGATGGTGGGCATGTGTGCTGAATAAATAAAGAGTGCTGCTAAGTGCTAAGATGAGGGCATGAGAAGGGCTTCCCCTTAGCTAGAGTCTGAGGGCCAGTGAGGACTCACAGGTGACCCCTCCTGGCGATCAGGCCTTGTGTCCCATGCCGCTCTCTTCCATAGGGTGACAGCTTCAACAGCGTCTCCATTCCCCCTGGGCCTGTCTCCTGTGAGCCTCCTGGCTCACAGCTCCTGGTTGGCTCCCTACCCCCTCCCAGGCAGCACAGTCCAGCTGTGGACAGTCCAGTACAGTCCAGCGTCACCACATGGACACTGAGGGTGGTGTCCCTGGACCCAATGTCTGGGCAGTGATAGGATGCAGACCACACCAAGAGAAGCCCGGGGTCCCACCAGCTGAGGGGTGGTTAATGGGGGTCCACTCCACAGCTGCAGCCTGGAGACCCCCACTTGCCAGCCTGGTGCTGTCAGCAGTTCTGGGACAGGTCCACTGTGGATAGACAGGGAAGGAGAGAGGGCTCAGGTGCCCTCTGCAGAGCATTCAGGGTAAGCGAGGTCTTGAGGGACTGGCCAACTTTGGAGATGGGATAACGAGGGATGGACGCTTCTCCCAGCAGGGGAGCATGGCCGCCATGGCCCCTTCTTTGCTGGAAGGGCCTGATTTACTTTGGATTTCACCCTTCTGTGCATCCAGGAAGGGCCGCGCCCAGTCTTGGGAACTGAGGGGTCAGAGCAGTTATGCCCAGTGTTCATGGGGACACAGGGCATGGTCCCACGTGGGCAACTGCAGGCAGAGGCTGATGGTGTAATGGCGTGTGTGGGAGGATGCACCTCTCTCTGTGTTGGGGCTCACATGTTTCCTTGGACTCCAGCACTGCTGAGGCCACCCGGGGACCATCCAGAAAGATGAATAGACACTCTCAGGCCCTTGATGGCTCTGTTGTGTGGCCCAGGTAACCCATCCTCCCTCTGGGCTTTCCTCCAGTTTGGCTGAGGTGGGGGTGGGGCTGGACAGAGGGGAGCTGCTGGGACTTGGGGCCATCAGTGCCAGGCCAAGGGGAGCAGCCTCATGAAGAAAGCACCAGAAAGCAGGAGTTGGGCACATAGGCAGCGTGTCCCACCTGCAGGAGAGGCCTAGAGAGGTGGTCAGAGCTGGGGGCCAGCTTGCCGCACTGACCCAAGGCTCAGCTATCAGGAATCAGGAGGGAAGCAGTCCTTTCCACTCACTGGCCACACTTTCTGTAATTCCAGCTGTGAATGGTTGGGGCCTGGGCTTAGTCTAGGCCACCAGGAAGAATATGACGTGGTACCTGAGGGCCTGCCTGCAGGATGCCTTTTGGTTCACGAGAAAAAATGATGGGGTCTAAGCCAATGAGAGCATGTACCTATGTGTTGTGAGTTGATGTTCCAGCCACAGAGCTAGGAAGGAGTTGGATTAAGTCCCTGGAGCAGGAATGGCTTCCTAGAGGAGGCCAGTATAGCAGTGGGAGAACCCAGTGGTACATTTTCTCATTGTTAAGGGTGAAGGGTACATCGGAGGAGAGACCTCTCCATAAAAATATCCATGCAGCAAAAAGTGGTCCAAAGCACCTGCTCTCTGTTTAGGCAAGCATACCTGAAAGAGGTGGCACAGTCCTCTCAGGGCAGTGGAGGGATGGGGGCTCCCCCAGCAAGAGGATCTGGCAAGATACACAGCTCTGGTGACCCATGGGCAGCTGCTAGGGAGCCTTCTCTCCACCCTGAAAATAGCTTCTGGCTGCTGGGTGAACTATGGAGAGAAAGCGTTTTATTATTTTTCCTAGCCCTGTAATGCATTGCTTCACTGTCAGCTTAGCAGGGAGAGGAGAGCAGCCAGGATCACATTGACCTCAGCTCCCAGGATGCAGGATACTAAATCAATCAAACTAGATTAAAAGCTTTGGACATATCTTGAACTCAGGGTTGGGAGGCAACCCTTTCTTCTTATTCCAGCTGCTTCCCGGGAGGATGCCCAGCATGCGGGGATCTGCAAGGGCTCAGTGCTTTGAATTATTTAAAGATGGAGCAGGGCTGGGATATGGGAAAGTATCCTGACTTAGAGCTGCAGTGCGTTCTGCCACAGAGAGCCATGGGGATGCCCTGCTGATGGTGAAGACAAAGTGCAGGCGGAAGACAAAGTCCAGGCAGACTTGGTTGTCACCATAGTGGATTTCCCAGTTTAAGAGACTCTATTCTGCAGCCAAGGGGCTGCTGCCTTTTGTATCCACCCCTCCTCCCCAAACCAAGACCAAGAAATACTCCTTCTACCTGGTCTTTGAGGCAGCCCTGCCCCTTTAGAGGAGACGGAAGATTGGTCAGAAGCTGTGGGTTCAAATCCCAGCCCCACTCCTGAAGCTGGGCAACACCGGGAAGCTGATTGAACTCTCTGGGATCTCCCTCCACTGTGAATGATGTTCATTCTTACCAGCTTTATGGGTCCAAGTCATTCCAGGCACTATCCTGGGCTTTATCCTCCCACTTGTGAATAAAGCACATTCATTGAGCGCCTGCTATCTTACAGGTTTACATCAGGAAAACAAAACAGATGACATCCATGGGCTCTCAAGGAAATTGCAATATAATGACAAATTTCTCTCAACTGTTTGGCTTCTCTGGAGGAAATACGCAGGATATGCAGTAAGAAGTGAGATGGGATCGTCAGGTAAGGCTGCCTGGAGGAGGTGGCATGGAAGCCAAGGCTGTAGAGCAAGTTGACTAGGCATTGCACAGGGGGAACTGCATCCTTGGTAGAGGGAAAGGAATGTGTAAGCCTTGAGGTAGGCACCAGCTCTCTGGTTAGAGGAAGAGACGGTAGGCCCTCTCCAGGGCAGCTTGAGCTTAGGGAAGGAAGATAAGTATCATGACAAGAGGACGGATGGGCCTAGATCTCACAGGATTTGTGGGTCAGGCTTGGATTGGCTTATTCTAGGGCTAATGCAAAGCCAGGGCTGAGGTTTCCGGTGGTGATGACCTGCACTGTGATGGGACCTTTTGGCTGCTTCTGGTGCAGGCAATTGTCAGCCTTCACCTTTGCCCCATCAGCTTTGCCAGAAGTTTGGCCAACTTCCCTGAAAGGCCTTTTCTAACCATCTCAGTTAAATTGCAGTCTGCATTTCATAATCATAAAGAGGTCAATTATCTAAGAAGACAGAGCAATACTTAATGTGCATGCACCTAACAACAAAGCATCATAACACGTGAGGCCAAAAACGATAGACCCGTGAAGAGATGCATCCACTACTGTAGTAGGAGACTTAAAATCCCTCAGTCAGCACAGGACAGATGTAGCAGGCAGAAAATCAGTAAGGATGTGGTTGAACTCAATGGTACCATCAATCAAGTGGATATAATCAATACCAATAGATGACTTCATTTAACAATAACAGAGTACATATCCTTCTCAAGATCACATGGAACATTCACCAAAATGGATGAAAGTCTCGGCCATAAAACACATTTAACACATTTAAAAGAATAGAAATCATACAGTGTGTGCCTTTAGGCCACAGTGCAATTAAACTGGAAATCAATAACAGAAAGCTGGAAAATTCCAAAGTACTTGCAGATTAAACAACACACTTGTAAATAACACATGGGTCAAAGAAGAAATCTCAAGAGGAATTTTAAACATATTTGGAACTGAATAAAAATGAAAAGATAACATCACAATTTGTGAGATGCAGCAAAAGAAATATTTAGAGGAAAATTTATAGCTTTGAATGTATACATTAGAAAAGATGAAAAATCTAAAATCAATCACCTTAGATGTATATATTAGATTGGATGTAATTTCCAAAGCATAGGAAAATAAATAAAAATTGGAACAAAAATAAATAAAATTGAAAATCAGAAATGGACAAAACCAAAAGCTGGCTTTTGAAAAGATCAACAAAATTGATAAGCCTCTAGCCAAGCTAACTAAAAAAAGAGAGAACACAAATTACTTTAATGAGAAATGAAAGAGGGAACATCACTACCGATCTTATGAACATTAACAGGATAGTAAAGGAAACTATGAACAACTGTATGCCTCCAAATTTAATAACATAGATTAAATGGACCAATTCCTTAAAAGACACAATCTGGCAAAATTCACGCAAGAAGAAATAGACAATCTGAAAGCCATCTATCTATCAACAAAATTGAATCAATAATTAATAACCTTCAAAAAGAGAAAGCACTAGGCCCAGATGGGTTTATTGGTGAAATCTACCAAATATTTAAGGAAAACATTACACCAAATATCTACAATTCCTTACAGAGAATAGAAGCAGAGGGAATTCTTCCTCTCATTCTATTAGGTCAGTCTTACCTTAATACCCAAACCAGACAAAGATATTTTTTAAAAAAAGACAACAGACCAATATCTCTCATGAGTATAGATTCAAAACTCCTCAATCAAATATTAGCAAATTGAGTCATGAATAGAAAAATACATAAAAATAATTATATATTGTGACCAAATAAGACTTATATTAGGTATGCAAGGCTGGTTGAACATTTGAAAATCAATTAATATAATCAATCATAATGGTAGGCCAAAGAAGGAAAATCAAGTGATCACATGAAAAATTGCAGAAGTACTTGATATTGTAAAACTCAACACCCATTCATTATAAAAACTCCTAGCAAACTTAGGGCAGAGAGTAATTTCCTCAAATGGATAAAGAACATCTGCAACATACCTACAGCTAATATGATATTTCATAGGTGAGAAACTGGAAGATTTTCTGCTAAGACAAGAAACAAGGAAAAGATGTTCCCTCACCACTGCTTTCAACATTATACCAGAATTTCTAGCTATTGTGATAAGACAATAAAATAAAATAAAACGTATATGGATTGGAAAGGAAGAAATAAAACTGTCTTTATTCACAATTGACATAAACATCTATGTAGAAATCCAAAAGAATGCACTGAAATACAAACCCTGAAATTAATAAGCAATTATAGCAAGGTTGTTGGTTATACAGTTAATATAAAATGTTTGCGACTTTTCTATTTATCAGCAAAGAACAAATGGAATATGAAATAAAAACAAAACACCATTTACATTAGCCTTCCCCAAATGAATTACTTATACATACATCAAACGAAATATGTACAAAATGTACATGAGAAAAATTATAAAACTGTGATAAAATAAAGAAATAACTACATGGGGAACTATTCAATGTTTATTATTAGGAAGACTTGATATTATCAAGACATCAGTTCTTCTCAACTCGATCTTCTCAATGCAATCTCAATCAAAATACCAGCAGCTTATTTTGTAGGTATCAGCAAAGTGATTCTCAGGTTTATTTGGAGAGGCAAAATACCCAGAGGAGCCAGCTCAATATTGAAAAAGAACAGAGTTGGAGGATTGACTCTACCCGACTTCAAGACTTACTATTAAGCATAGTAATCAAGACAGTATGGTACTGGTGAAAGAACAGGCAAATAAACCAACAGAACAGGGTAGAAAGCCCAGAAAAAGACCCAAATAAATATAGTCAACTGATCTTTAAGAAAGGATTAAGGGCAATACAGTGGACCCAAAATAGCCTTTTCAACAAATGGCTCTACAACACTTGGACATCCACATGTAACAAAATGAATTTAGACACAGACTTTACACCCAGCCTAAAAATTAACTCAACATGTATTATACATTTACATTTAGGCTAATATGATACTAAATGTTGAGAAACTATAAGTGTAAATATAAAATGTAAAATGAAAATCTAGAAAAATCCCAGAAGATAAGAGAAAATCCAGATGACCTTGGGTGTGGTGATGACTTTTTAGACACAACAGAAAAAACATGATCCATGAAAAAAGTAATTGATACGTTGGACTTCATTAAAATTAAAAACTCTCTCTATGCCCTCTTCCTTGGTGGACTCACCCTGAGCTTCTGTCTTAGTCCCTGGCTCCTGGTTGGGCCCCATGGCCCTGCCTGAGTCCTTGTGCTGTGGGAGGCTGCACTCTGCCAGGGTGGGGGCCGCACACCCCTCTGGCTGGCCCCTGCTTCTCATCCTCCCCATCCCTGGCCAACTGTAGCTTCTGGAGACAGCATGGCTGCCTGCGCAGTCATCAGCTACACAGATCCTCAGCTGAACACTAGGACTTCACGCGGCAGTCCAGCTTTTCCCTACTGCTGGCTCTCTCCTGATTGGCAATGCCCGACTGCTGGACCGGAGGTGCTGGGTCCCAGGCATGAGTTAAACCATGTGCCCTTTGGGTTCCTCAGACTGTTCCAGGCAGGGGCATGGGCCTTACCCTCCTCCCTGTCTCCCAAGTCTCCTGCCCCCTTGCCTGGCACACACAATGCCACCCTTTCCTGCCCCTGCCCTGCCTTGTCTGCACCTTCTCTGGGTTGCAGCAGCAGAGAGACCTGTGCACCTGCCCCTCCAGGTATGGGGCCTCCCAGCTCAACATGTAGCCCTTTCCTTGGAAACCCAACTAACTGGTGAGTGCACGTCCTCAACTCCCCAGGCACCCTCCCTCTGGCCTGCAGACACAATTGTTCTTGCCACATCAGATCCCAGCGGGCTCCTTGGTGCTCAGTGCTGCGGCTGCCACGGGGCTGTGCATGCCCTGCCTGGCCCTCCTCTTAGGAAGACAAAGAGAACTGCAGGCTTGGGAGAGCCTTTTACATGACTCGGTGGGTTCTTCCTGTTTCCCTTCACAACTAAAGCCATAGGATTGAATGTTTCTCAAGAAAAGAGCGTAAATCAGGGTGTACAATTGCTGAATTGCCTGTTTCCAAGTGGAAGGGATAGAGCCGTGGGTGCTAAGAGACGAGAACTTTATCCTAGTCTTACCTCCCTGGAGTGACCTCGGCAAGGGAATTAGCTCCTAACTGTGGTTTCCTGAGGGTGGAAGCACAGCGTGGCTCGTTGTTGCTAAGTGCTTTTCCTGTGGTAACGAGTGTGGTCATTGTGATTTATTGGCGTGGCTGAGTGTTGGCTCTGACTTTGTCTTCCCTGTGCTAGTCATCTGGGGACAGAGGCCCGTTTGGCCACTGGGGGGTCTTTGTGGAGACGGCCCACCAGCATCCCGGGACAGAGGCTGCTCTGGCCCCCCTGAACGCGTGTTTCCCACGCTGTCCTGCAGGTGGGTAGGTCTGCGGCTTCCACGCGCTCCCAAGCTCCAGCATGGTCTCTGGCACAGAGCAGGGCCCTGAAGCTTTGGGATCGTTCAGCTATTCCATCCTAATCCTAGAGGCAGCATGTCCTGGAGGAAATAAATCAGGCTCAGGACAAGAGCCTCTGAGCTCAAAGTCCTGCCCTACCATTTCCAAGCCTCTACCTTGATCCTGTTTAATTTAATTTAATTTAATTAATTAACTTATTTATTTATTTATTTATTTTGTGACAGAGTCTGACTCTGTTGCCCAGGCTGGAGTGCAGTGGTGTGATCTTGGCTCACTGCAGCCTCTGCCTCCTGGGCTCAAGCGATCCTCCCACCTCAGCCTCGTGAGTAGCTGGCAGTACGGGTGCACACCACCACGCCTGGCTTTTTGTATTTTTAGTAGAGACAGGGTTTCGCCATGTTGGCCAGGCTGGTCTTGAATTCCTGTCCTCAAGTGATCCACCCGCCTCGGCCTCCCAAAGTGATGAGATCACAGGCATGAGCCACTGTGCCTGACCCTCCTTTAGTTATGTTTTTTAATGTATAAAATCAGGATGATCATAATTCTGGGTAGAGTTGTAACCACACCCAAGTTTGGCCACTCACCACTCAAAAGCCAAACATGGGAGACTGGGTTGTGGGAGGAAAAGCAGTTTTGTTTGGAAAGCCAGCAAACCTGAGAAGATGGTGAACTAGTATTCTAGAGAAACATCTTCAATTGTTCAGGCTGGCTGGAGGATTTTTCTGGAAGGGAGATGTGGGGAAGAAGAGAGGGGTGGTATCAAGAGGTGACCAAGGACCACAGAGATCTGGTGCCAGCGAGGGGCCGAGGAGGATGGGAACTTCTTTGTCCTTGCGTCAAGATGCTTCTGTGAATCTTAAACAAAACATAGTTAGTTGTTTATAGACTTTCCCTTTACTTAGTTTTGAAAACTACACGATTGTGGTTTTTGCATTATTATCTCAGTGCTCTAAAATTATCCTATCCTATCCTACGTGCAAAAATGAGTAAAGACCCCTTCAACAAAAATTGAGTGAGTGCTGTGAGTTCTTTTGCTGTTTCACTGTTGCAGAATGACTGGATATTACAGATGTTTGCAAAATGCCTTGAACATATTAGAAGTTCCCTAAAAAGCCGTCCTTATTATTGTTGTTTGTTTGGCACTTTCTGGCTGAGTTTTATTTCAACAAATTTCTAATGGCAAACTATTTTTATGTTCAAACACTGAAAGCACAATGTAACAAAACGGCGATGTTCTATAGACTTTGGTGTGTACGTGCAGCGACTGGAGACAATAGATATATTTTCTTGCTTTTAAAAGGAGTTGTGTGCTTTAATTAAGAAAAAGAGAAAGTTTTCTCTTAGCATATTAATTATCTCGCTTGTCATATCAGGTATTTGTTCCGGATGACAGGTCATAATTAGTGCACAGAACAGACTGAAACTCCCAACGAGAAGACAGGTGTCTTGGGGAGCTGGGACTGATGGCGTTCTCTGGCGTTTCACCAGGCGCGGGAAGGGCATGCCTGGAAGCAGGGTCTCTTTGGGGTCAGATGTAGGGAAGAAAAAGCAATTCATCACTGCCTCTCTGAGGGCCCCTAAGATACTGTGCCTTTTCCTTAACCCTCCCTGGGACAGTTACTCTTTCACACAGCTTTGAGGCCATGCAACAGATAAGAACGGTAGAAAAAGTCAGCACTTTGGTTCCATTCCCAGATCTGCCAATGACGATGCCAGTGACCTTGGGCAAGTTACTCAGGAGCTCTGTGTCTCTCCTGCCACAGTGCGGTGGATTGACCGGGATGGGGGCACAGGGTGCCAGGCACAGTGTCGGCTGCACGGTAGGAACTTCATAATCATAAGCCCAGCTTTCTTCCCCACTTACCACATTCAATCAGAGTTAGCTATTTTATTAATTCACCCACACAAAGATTCAGAAGTCCCACACTGGATGCCTTTTCTGTGCTGGGCATCAGGGCAGAGCCGTGAATGTAACCTACCCCCTGCCCTGGAGAGATCTGTGTGCGGACAGACATTGGAGGAGTAGGGAAAATGCTCTGGCCCACTGAGCTCCGTCATTTTCCTCCTGGCAGGTATTTTCCATGCTGTCTCATAGATGGATGGGGCTGAGCATCTGACTTGTGGCCAAGAGCCATGAGCAACGGTGGGGTTCACCGCTTCCAGACCTGCCTCCTACAAGGCCTTTTTATCTCCCTGCCCCTTTTCTTTCTCCATTTGCCAGCTGGATGCAGAGGGCAAAGTGGAGTTCCCTGAGGCCCAGGGAGGATGTGAAGCCACCAGAACAAAGAGGCCTGAGTCCCTGAGTGACCATGTGGAGCAGAGCACTCTCCCAGTTCTTGCCCGCTGTATTAGCTTGTTCTCGCATTCTATAGAGGAATACTCAAGGCTGGGTAATTTATAAAGAAAAGAGGTTTAATTGGCTCACAGTTCTGCAGGCTGTACAGGCATGGCTCCAGCATCTGCCCCTGGTAGGGCCTTTGGAAGCTTCCAATCATGGTGGAAGATGAAGGGGGAGCCAGTGCATCACATGGAAACAGCTGAAGCAAAAGAGAGGGTGGAGGAGGTCCCAGACTCTTTTAAACAACCAGATCTCATGTGAACTAACTGAGCAAGGACTCATCACCAAGGGTTGGTACTAAGCCATTCATAAGAGATCCACCCCCATGATTCAGGCCCTACCTCTAATACTGGGAATCACATTTCAATGTGAGATTTGGAGGGGACAAATATCCAAACCATATCCCTAGCTTAGGTGACTGGTTGTTGCATGGAGCCGCTGAGATATGGGAGTTGTGTATTGCAGCCATTACATGCTCTGGTGGGGGCCAGCCAGTGGGGTGCCTGGGTGGGCCTGGAAGTGAGATGCCAGCCCCTCCTCCTGGTGCAAGAGCGGCTGAGAAAAGCCCTCATCCTTGCCTCCAGTCGACATGCACAGTGCCATGTGGTGAGGGCCCAGTGATGGGATGAAGGAAGGAGCCAGGGAGAGCCCATTCCCCGAGAAGGCTGGGCCTTCCTCTTTGCTGTTGTGGACGCTCGCATCAGAAACCCATACAGTCTTTGAGAGTGGGACACTCCATCTTCTTGGTGCCTGTGTCCCCTGGATTAGCACAGGCCTGTCCCAGGTAGGCCCTCCATGTGCTAGAGTTGAGCACAGCAGCTTCTGGAAGGTGGGAAAGAAACTGGTAGAGACCAAAATGGTACAAAAGTTCCTTCTTTCCCACACACAGGACTCACTCCCAGCACCTGAGAAGGGAAGTGGGCGATTACCTGAGTGAGATGTTCCCATCTCAACACTGTCATCATTTAAAGACTGTTGTTTGATCTTATCATCACAACTGGTACATTACAGCACTTATAGGCACTTACATTAGACAAATGTTAAATACATTATCGAGTTTAAAATGTTATTATGGTAATAGGGTGCCTGATTTCACTGCAGTTCATCTGAAAAGGTTTCAGTGCTTGAGAATATTTCTATTTCAAGGTTAATTAATAGATAATCATGCTGATTTGCCTCAGAGGGATCTCCTTCGCACACCCGGGCCACTGTGAGTGTCAATTTTTATTATCTGTAAACCTTGTTGCCGACACACCCTTCCCCTGGGTCCTCCTGCCCCAACACATTCAAGCAAAGCGACTCAGTGCTCACAAGGAGTTTTGACAAGACATGGGTTCCAACACATTTTATTCTGTTCACAATGTAGAAAAACCACTGCTTCAGAACACATGTTTTAAATATTAAAGTGCTGAAGGATACATTCAAAAAGTACAAGAACACATAACATAATCATCTCCTCAAGGTAATATTAGCACTCAACGGCCAAAAATTGCAGCAAAGAGAAATGGTTGCATCCTTGGAGCTACGTCATCCTGGTTGCCCAAGGTCTGTTAGAGCAAAGGTCCCTTTCTCTGCAGGGCAGGTCTTTCTTCTGAATCACAGAATGTTGGTTCTGCCATTTTGACCAATAGATTAGTAACCAGTTAAACCCAGACTGAAACAATGAGCTGCTAGAGTTTAATTTTTCCTGGTAGGAATTCAATGTAGGGCACTCATCGGAGAAAAAGTCAATTACCCTCTGGCATCCGCTGCTTGGTTACAGCAGTCACTGCCTATCCATGGACTAATTCAACCAGTAAAACATTTAATGACCATCTACTTAAGGCAGATGCTTGCACAAAGATCAATCAGACCCAGACCCAGACCCAAACCCAGAGCTCCATGCCTGGAGCCATCGGAACCTGCACAAAGACGGTGCGGCTTTTGGAGGGAATCTCTTCTAATCCCCAAATTGATGACCTCTGGAAGAATGTGAGGGAACTCCGCGATCTCTGCTCTGTAAGAACATGGGCCTCTGTGCCTTGGTTCCTGGCTGGTGCCTGCCTCAGACTTGCTGCCTGGGTTCCCCCGTGTCCCCACTGCTGCCTCTGCATCTCACTGGCATTTCTCAAGGGCCCACCCTGGCCCAGGCCTCTTCTAGGAGCTTTCCACGCACTCTCTGATTCCTCCTCCCCACAGAGTGCTGCTGGGTGCTGAGTGGATGGATGGAGGTTGCTGTCACGAGGAAGTGAAGCAGCATATGGAGGAAATTTGCAGTACCGCACCCCTCCTAGGCATCCCCAGGCCTGTAACATCACTTTCCTCCTCTCCTCTCTTCCTCTCCGCACCCCTCCTAGGTATCCCCAGGCCCATAACATCACTCTCCTCCTCTCCTCTCTTCCTCTCCGCACCCCTCCTAGACGTCTCCAGGCCCGTAACATCACTCTCCTCCTCTCCTCTCTTCCTCTCCGCACCCCTCCTAGGTGTCCCCAGGCCCGTAACATCCCTCTCCTCTCTTCCTCTCCGCAAGCACACTTTACAGCTTCCTTTGCAGAATGTCGGGGGAGTCAATTTTAGCTGTGAGGTGTTGAAAGGCCTTCCTGAAAGAGGTTGTTGGAGGAGGAGAAGGAGGAGGAGGAAGAGGGAGACACCTGAAAAGGAAGGGGAGGAGGAGGAGGAGGAGGAGGAGAGTTGGAGCACCCCAAAGGATGGGGGTGGGGGGCATTTGCATGGTAGGGATACTCCAGAATCAGCATGTGCAAAGGCTCTCGAGGGGGTGGGGGTAGGTGGAGTGGTTCAGGCAGGAACATTCTGGAGTCCTTGGTAGATGGGCATACTGTGGTTGAGGGAGTAGGTTGGCTGGATGGGTCTCTGCACAGAATATGTAGAGCAGCTGCCTGATTCTTTGAGGTTTATTATTCCGAGGGGCAAAGAAGCAATTGCGTCTCTCTTACCATGCGCTGCCTTTGAACATTGCTGCTGCTTTAGCATAACATTAGATTAAATGTGCTCTTTGTCTGTCTTTAAAATAAACTCCCTGAAGGATTAGGTTGTGATTTTGTTCCCAAGTTAACTCTCATTTATCTGAAATCCTGTCTGTGGTAGCTCAGAAATCTGGGTCCATTCCTTCACTGACATTTCCTGTTTGTCAGCCTGGCCTAGCGTAGGGGAAGAGTTGTTAATGCCCATCCATCCCATCCAGTGGCCGTCAGAATACCAGAGCAGGGCTTACGAGCCTGTGTCAGGGCCTCTGAAGGATTTAGACACACCTTGGGCTGTGGCCTGGAGCAGTCAAAGTGCAGGGCGGGAGCCCTCCCCACAATCCTTGCGTTCTCTCACCCCCTAAATCTGTGCCCATTGGAGGCTGGACACAGTCCTGGTGCAGGAGGCACAGTGGTGAAGATCAGCAAGCCAGTGAGGTGCCTGGGTGGGCCTGGAAATTAGATGCCAGCCCCTCTTCCTGGTGCAAGAGGGGCTGAAAAAAGCCCCCATCCCTGCATCCGGCCAGCCTCCAAGAGCCACATCGCCTGAGCTGTGCAGCATTGACATCTTTCCAGAGTTAACACAGATACCCTGCCCAGTGGGGCGTGTGTGAGAAACAACGTTGAGGGAATGCACACCCTGGAGCAAGGGACAGGGGTCACTGGAAAGGCCCCTCCACACATTGCTTCCACCGCAGGGGCCTCCTTGCGGGCAGAGGCTGCACGGGATGCATCTTTGTCCCCAGATCCCACAGATAAGGACGTTGGTGTCTGCCCTAATGGAGAGTTTTGCTGCTCTGTGAGAGGCACACAGAGCTTCAGGCCCTGCTCAGGCTTGGTACTGGCTGCGGAAGCAGGGGGTTCAGGCTGCAGGATTCTCCTGAGCGGCAGATGTCCTCGTGCTTTGCTTTCTCTCTTAGCCACTGGGGTCACAATGCAATGTAATCAGTGGTCCACACTGACCAACAACAGGGCTTCCTCTGAGCAGCTCCTGGACAGAGCAGGTCCTTGGTACTGGTCTGAGGCTCTGGGTCTGATGGTCAGATCTACCCCCGTATTGCAATCTGGGACACATATTTCCCCAGGAAGCTGTCGGGAGTGCAGACCAGCCTGATGCTGAGGGTGCAGCCCTGAGGTTGCTGGGGTCTGCTTTAGCCCCCGATCCCATGACCTGCACCTCTGCCCTGCCCACTGTCCGGCTGCCTCTCAGCTTCCAAGGGAGGCCTCTGGGAACCACCCAGGCTTCCTGTACGGTACTTTCCTTTGGAGCCTGGATCAGTCAGGCTGAGCCTGGCTGTGCTGTAGAAACAAACAAACCCCACTTTAAAGATTTCTCACTCAGTTAAGTCCACTGCGGGTCTGCAGCTCCCCAGGCAGCTCCCTTCCACTTGGTGACTCAGGGATCCAGGAGGCCTCTCTGAGGATCCTCATCTTGCTGGGAGAGAACTCTGGACACTCACCTTTCTCCACTGCCACCGGCAACTGGGAAGTCTTTCCATGAAGCCCAGGAAGGAGCGTAAAATTGGATGAGATACTGTAGCAATCTCCATGCAACATCCAAGCTCTTCCAGGAGAGAAGGACAGGCTGAGAGGCTGGGCAGACCCGGACTCTATTCCTGCCCCAGCACCCTCAGGAGTGTGTGCCGCTGGGTGGGTCCCCTTCTGTGCAGAGCAGCAATTCTCCTGAGCCAAAAAGATGTCAGGATCAAAGTTCAGCTGTTCCTGAACTTGCCAGCCCCTGCTCACAAAGGCTGCAGAGCCAGAACAGAGACGAAGAAGCTCCTGATGCCTGTGCCTCTGTTTAGGTGGTGTGTGTGTGGGGTGTATGTGTGTGGTGTGTACGTATGTGTGTGTGGTGTGTGTGTGGTTTAGGTGGTGTGTTTGGGGGGGAGTGTGTGTGTGTGGTGTGTATGTATGTGTGTGCTGTGGTGTGTGGTTTAGGTGGTGTGTGGGGTGTGTGTGTGTGTGGTGTGTACGTGTGTGTGGGGTGTGTGTGTGGTGTGTATGTGTGTTTATGTGTGTGTGGTGTGGTGTGTGTGGTTTAGGTGGTGCACGTGTGTGTGTGAGGTGTGTGTGTGGTGTGTGTGTGTTGTGTGTGTGTGGTGTGTATGTGTGTGGTGTGTGTGTGTGTGGTGTGTATGTATGTGTGTGTGTGTGGTGTGTGTGTGGTGTGTATGTATGTGTGTGGTGTGTTGTGTGTTTATATGCCTGTGTTAAGGTTACCGGAAGTAATGCAGCATATCTCTTTAGTTTCAAATTCTAGATAAATAACAAATACTGGTTTTCTAGTGTGTGCTATGGAATATTTGAATGCATTTATACTAAAAATATGAGGATTGTTTATGCTGTACTTTTACTTGCTAACTCTGACAAGTCGTGTGTGTGTACCTGTGCACAACATTTCAGCTAATCTTCAAAACAACTCGATAAAGTAGGTACTATTGTTCTACCCATTTTATAGATGACGAAACTAAGGCACCCAGAGATGAACTCACCCGGGACCAACAGCCTAGATCTGGTGGAGCCAGAAGGCCCCTCACACAGCCTGGCCGCAGAGGCTGAGCCCTCAGTGGGCGCCGGGACCTTCTGGCAGAGGCTGAGAGTGTTGGGGAATTTCAGATCCATCCTGGAGGGAGCCTGACTGGGCTTTAGTGGGGTGGCTGCCGGTTGGGGTTCTGAAGGGACGGGGGACCCTTGCTCCACAGCCAGGGGCTTCTGTTCCACGGGGCTTTTCCAAAGCCTCCTTGGCCCTCCTGCTTCCCTTTTCCCTCCTCCACTCCCCACGGTGTGGCCAAGCGGGTGAGGAAGCTGAGCCACAGGAATTCAGACTTTCCCACGGTGCCCCCTTAGGCGGTTCCTGAGTCCGGGGTCCCATCTGTAAAACCCTAGCATTCCCTCTCCTGGGAGGGCTCCTTTCGAGAACTGAATGCTGTCATAATTGTGTTTGTGCAGCCCCGTACAGAAGCCCAGATTTTGGCCTCTCCATGGCCCACACACCCCCTTTTGCCCTAGGAGTGGGCCGCGGTGACACCTGCCGGCTCTCCCTTCACAGACCCTGCCCCATCCATCCTCAGTCCCATCTACCCCGGCCCCAGAGGGGTCCCTCGCCCCTCAGCATCAGCTGGACCTCCTCCAGCCTCCCTCCAAGGCACCATTTCTGGTTCCCACAGTGGGACCAGGGATCTCTTTTTCCTTCTCTCACTGGCTCTGGTAACATCTCACTGAGACCCCAGCGGGAGTTGCAGCTTCCTGATCTGGAATGATGTGTGTGTGTCTGTCACCAGGGGGGCCGAGCTCAGATGGGCAGGGATCATGATGGCTGATGCGTCCTGGCGGCTCCCAGCACCCTGCCTGCTTCTGTGTGTGCTGAGTGTTGACTGGCATGAATCCTTACGGATGGTTTCCATATGCAAATCATGCAAAAACCCAACATCCCCAGCCCCCTGTCAAACCCAACTTTCCCCTGAAATAGCTGCCTCTAATTGCCCTTAACACACAGCAGTGTGGCTGAACGATGTTCCGTAGCTGTGGGCATTCCGAAGGAAAATGTGTCCTTATCCCCAGTTATAAGGGGTGTTGTGGGCCAAATTACGTACCCCAAAAAGTCTTGTCCAAATGCTAACCCGCAGCTTCTGTGAATATGACCTTATTTGGACATGGGGTCTTTGCAGGTGTGATTAAATTAAGAATATGGAGATGAGATCATCCTTAGGATTTAAGTTCAAATCCTCAAATCAGATGACAAATTTAATTTAATTTAATTTAATTTATTTATTTTGAGATGGAGTCTTGCTCTGTCACCAGGCTGGAGTGCAGTGGCACGATCTCAGCTCACTGCAACCTCCGCCTCCTGGGTTCAATCAATTCTCTTGCCTCAGCCTCCTGAGTGGCTGGGACTGCAGGTGCAGACTACCACGCCCGGCTAATTTTTGTATTTTTAGTAGAGATGGGTTTCACCATGTTGGCCAGGCTGGTCTCGATCTCCTGACCTCATGATCTGCCCACCTTGGCCTCTCAAAGTGCTGGAATTACAGTGTGAGCCACCGCACCCAGCGTGGATGACAAATTTTTATAAGAGAACAGGGAATACTCAAACACACAGAGGAGAAGACCACGTGTCCTTGAAGACAGAGATTGGAGGGATGTGGCCACAGGCCAAGGATCACCTGGAGCCAGGAGGAGCTGGGAGAGGCAGGAAGGATCCTCCTTTGAGCTTTTGAAAGAAGCGAGGCCTGTCAACTCCTTGATTCCAGACTTCTGGCGTCCAGCACTGTGAGAGATTGAACCATGAGTTTGTGGCAATTAGTTGTGGCATCGCCTGGAAACTGATAGGAAGAATACAAACTCTTCAGAGAGAGGGAAAAAGTGCATGGCATTAGCTGGGTTTTCATTGTCTGCTCATGGACTCAGATTTATTGAACATCTATTTGTATTAGTTCCAAGAAATAGAAATACTAAGAATACAAAGCCCGTGCTCTGAGAAATACATCAGGAGAAATTTAGTACATCAAAGACAGCTACTAGCTCCAGGGACACAGGTGCCAGGCAGGGCTTCGATCTGGGTCTTCACTAATGCCCTTGTCTACAGGCAATCCCAAGGCACAAGTCATCTACCCATGAGCAAACTGAGCCGCAGAGCATTACACACTGGTGGTAATTTAAAGAAAGAGTGTTTATGCTTAACCCAAGAGGACCTCTTCAGTTAGGTGGTACTTGACTTAACTCTTTTTTATTTTTTATTTTTTTTTTCTTTTGAGACGGAGTTTCGCTCTTGTTGCCCAGGCTGGAGTGCAATGGTGCGATCTCGGCTCACTGCAACCTCTGCCTCCCAGGTTCAAGCGATTCTCCTGCCTCAGCCTCCTGAGTAGCTGGGATTACAGGCATGTGCCACCACACCTGGCTAATGTTTTGTACTTTTAGTAGAGACAGGGTTTCTCCATGTTGGTCAGGCTGGTCTCCAACTCCTGACCTCAGGTGATCTGCCCACCTCAGCCTCCCAAAGTGCTGGGATTACAGGCGTGAAACACCGTGCCTGGCCGACTTAAATCTTAACAAATGGATGGAAGGCAGCCATACACAATGTTGGGGACAGGCCACCTGGTTCTGGGGGCAGGAGGAGCAGGCAGGGGGCCTGGGTGCAGGTGGTCTGCGAGGAGGCAGCATACAGAGTGTTGTATGTGTCGGGGAGCTGAGGGGGAGAGGCCACAGACATGGGTACAGACCAGGAGATTCAGGACAGATGCTGTGATGAGATGGGATTTCTTCCTACAGAAGTCGGGAGAGCCTCTGAAGGGTTCCAAGTCGACAGAAGGACTGGGTTTGAGAGAGAGCATGCCTGAAGGGGAGAATGCAGGGAGAAGGGAGGCCAGGAAGAGGCTCTTCTCCACGTGGGATGGTGAGGGCCGGTCTAGCAGCACGAGGTGAGTGATGGAGGGCAGCTCTAGGAGGTCAGGCTGCGTGAGGGACACAGGTGGCCCAATGGATCCCCGAGAAGCCACATCAGCTGTCAGGAGCTTTGTGGACGAGGTAGAATGCTTTCTGAATCCTGAGCACTGTGCAGGACATGGGTCCTTTGTCAACTACCATCGAAGAATAAGTGGTAATTTTCGGAGATGCAAAATGTTGGGTGCAGAATGCGAGTCCCCCTCCCCTGCGGGCCGTGGGCTGCTTGGCTGCGGGGTGAGGGTGGTGGGAGTGAGAACAGTGCTCCCTGTTTTGTGCACATTGCTACTCACTGTCGAGTTCAGCATGAGTGTGGGGAACAGCCCAGCCAGGGATTTGTCTCGGGGACACAGAATGATGGGGTGCGCAGGGAAGAGGGTGCCGGGCCACACCCTGTTTTCTAGCGGACGGTCGCTGTGGGGTGATGACTGCAGGCCCCGGTGCAACCTTCCCTTTTAAATCATCTGAGGCGGCAGAAGCATCAGCTCCACAGCCACGCTGCCCTCTTCTGTTCTCTCCTTAGAGGGGAGAAGGATTCATGTCTGACTTTTGAACCCGTGTCACCTGCTCCCATTTCGCCTTGCCACAGAGTGCAGCACCAGGATAGGAGTGATAAAGTGGTGGAAGGTGCCGCTCCGACTTGGGACCTGCCACATCCCACATGGATTCTTTCCCTACAGAAATTCATCGCCAGGAAAAATGACCTGGTCAAAGTAGGATCTGGGCATTCAGGGCACCTTGGACATAATGGTACCCTAATATTCATTTGAATACTGTGAAACTGCCAATATTCAACCATTGTTATCTGCTAACATGGCAATTTCTGCGGCCGAGTCTGTACCAGCCAGTAAGGCTTGTGTCTCATGTTCACCTCAAACAAGCTAGAAAAGAGAGAACATAGGAGGTTCAGGCAAGAAAAGATGCCTGGTGTAAGACTATGCGTGTGTGTGCATGTGTGTGCATGCATGAATGTGTGTATGTATGTGTCCATGCAAGATCATGTGTGTGTGCATGCAACAGTGTGTGTATGCATGTGTGCATGCATGAGTGTGTGTGCATGCATGACTGTGTGCATGCATGACTGTGCATGCATGATTGTGTGTGTGCATGCATGGTTGTGTGTACGTGTGTGCATGAATGTGTGTGTGTTCATGCATGATTGTGTGTATGCATGCATGATTGTATGTGTGCATGCATGGTTGTGTGTGAATGCATGATTGTGCATGTGCATGCATGATTGTGTGTGTGCATGCATGATTATGTGTGTGCATGCATGTGTGTGCATGCATGGTTGTGTGTATGTGTGTGCATGAATGTGTGTGCATGTGTGTGCATGCATGATTGCATGCATGATTATGTGTGTGCATGCATGACTGTGTATGTGTGCATACATGATTGTGTGCATGTGTGCATCTGCATGTGAACAGGGCAGGGTGTGTAACTTTCCCAAGTCCCTTTGAGAGGGCAACACACACAGCTACACTCTCAGGGAATGGAGGAGGCAGCAAGAGGGAGCTAGTGTGAAGCCACTTGCCTTGGAGCCTGGACGGTGGGTCCAGTATGAGCTGCCCTGGGCACAGGGGAGTTGGCTTAGCACTAAAGTCGGGAGCTGCCAGCACTGGATTTGCCCTAGCATGGGTCATTTTCTGATGCACTATGTACCTGCATGTTGTATCTGCTGTTTCCTTGCTAACTCACCCCTGTTGCTAACTCACCTCTCTGGGATATGAGTGCAAGGACATTTTTCCATCCAGGCCACTGATGTAGCCCCACACCTAGAACAGCCCCCGAAGGACGAAAGCTCTCTGGAAGTATTCATGGAGTGGCCGATGGAACTAAGGGTGTGGGCATTTGAGTGTAGCTGATTTGGGGAGTGCTATTTATATCACATGTGCTTGACATTCATTCTTTGCTATTTTTTTCTCATGGAATAAAACAGTGTCTGGCACATAGTAGGTGCTGGGGAAATCGTTGTTGATTGAATACATGAAATAATAAGAAGGAATAGATATCAGATTGTTTTGTTTCTAAGATTGAGTTGCCATATTAAAAAAATAACAATACAGGGTGTACAGTTAACTTTGAATTCCAGATAAACACATAACTTTTTAGTATAAATATGTCCCAAGTAACATGTGGGATGCACTCATACTGGAAAATTAATCTGAAATTTAAATTTAGCTGACGATCCTGTATTTTATCTGGCAATTCTACTCTAAGACCATGTGAAGTATATAAATTCATTGTTATTTCAGGAAAGGGAGCTGAAAAGCTTGGACAACATGCCTAGAATCACAGAGCCAGCAAGAGGCTGGTCCGCTGACTGATGCCCCTCCCCGTGCCTCCTGCCTTTAAAAGGGGGCCCAGGGACAGGCTCCCGCACATCCCTACATTTCCCAGGCAGGAGACTCAGGGGCAGAGAGGCGGGAGGCTCGCTCAGAACTCAGCGCCAGGTTAAAGCAGTTCTGGGTTGGACCCTGTGCTCCTGCCCCTGCCCAGTGGGCTGGCATTCTTGCCACTACCCTGAACCTTCATATATTCTTTGCCCGATTTATTGAATCTCTGAGGCGCTATTGCGGGAAAACGCCACCCCACACCTCTGTCTGGTTTCCTGGACGTTGCCTGAAGGCCAGGGTTCCTGCTGGCCGTCTGACCTTTTCTCTTGTTCTCTTGGCGGCCTTTTTACAGAAGATACCTTTACAGCCAGCTACCTGGGAATCGCTGTGCACTTTTGGGCCACATCTGCTGGGGACAGGCTGCAAGCTGAGCAAAACCTGCTTGTTTGCTTGAGCTGCTCCAGATAATCTAATGAAAGAAACAGGGCTGATTAATCCCAGATACTCTACTGGCGTTTAATCCCAGTGAATGTTAGACAACAATCTCATTATGTGCTTATGTCTTCAACATGACAGGCAAGGAATGAAATTAAGCCATAAAATCAATTATTTCTGCAGAAATTGGCATATAAGACAAAACATCATCAGGAGGCGAAAGCAGTGATGATTAGGCCTTCATTTCCCCCGTGCTGATTGTGGAGCTGGCACCACACTCGCGATGCTCCCCAAACCATCCCGTTGCAAGGCTGGGTCCTGGGCACAAAATGGGGATTTGAGAAATGTCCTTCACAGATAACGCTCTCTTCTTGCCACTTCCTCTCCCTTTCTCTCTCCTTCTCTCTCCCTCTCTTCCTATCTCTGTGTCTCTGCCTCTCTATCTCTTTCTGAATCCTGGTGGACATTGTGAGCTGTTGCGGCTGCGTTTGGGGAGTCTTATGACCCACGGTGGGTCTCCTGTCCTACTGCGTGGCATGCCGGGTCCCAAGGGTTTGCAGAGGGACTGAGGAGAGCGTGACTACATAATTGTACAATAAAATTGTTATAGACACCGAGGAGTAGTGAAAGTAAAACAGAACAAAACATTGACTCAGAAGTCAGAAGACGGGTGACAAAGCTGTGTCACCTCCCACCTCTTGAGTTCTTGGAAACTTTTCTGCCAGAGGCTCAGTTTTCATGTCCGCACAAAGTGGAGATTGTGGGAGGTAGTTTTTCAGGCCTGGTGTGACATTCCTTTAGAACGGATGCTGGGGCCGTGTGCTGGGCAAACCTCTACACAGTAATTAGGTAGCCAGTGAGCACGGCTGCGAGGGCGTTTGTCATCCCAACAGCCCATATTCTCAGAAATAATCACCCAGAGGAGCCTCGGTACAGAGACGGATAGGGCAGGAACCACCAGCTCCTGACCTCAAACGGAGGTGTACAGACATTCATCAGAGGTGGCAGCCAGCTCCTGCTGCCTCATGGTGCTTCCAAGGTTGAAAAAATAACCTTCCAACACCTCCTGCCCTGACACAGGGTTACTTCTGGTAGAGGTGGGGAGAGGAATCGATGGAGTGAGAAGCATCCTATGACCTCTATATGACCTCTATTACTGGGATTGTTGACAAGAAAAATTCTTTAATTTTTTACTTCTGTAATTCACAAGCAAATATAAGTATCGAGAACAAGGCTATTTGTAGTTGTGGTTTCAAGAATCCACGCCAGTGCTGTGAGTGACCTGCGGGTGGGAAGATCTTTGTGCTGGGTATGAAACCACAATGACGACCACAAAGGAAAGATGGCATCTACTGATGTTAGAGGCACTTGCTTTTATTCTCATTAGCATTTGCCCAACAAGAACTATTCAATCCTTTTGACAGAAGAAGCAACTGAGGCTCCAGAAGGCACAGTGACTTTTCCAAGTCACACAGCTAAGGATAGAGGCGCCAGGAAGCTGGCCCAGGATGAGAGATGGAGAGCTGAGATTTTTTCCTTTCAGGTACCACTGCACACACCCATGAGGAGAGTACATCTCACCCATCAGGCCTGGGAGGGTACGTACAAGGCAGGACGGGCCTGAGAGAGTTCCCCAGCAGCCCCTCCCTGTTGCCTAGATCTAGGTTATATCAGTCCTGGACGAGGGCAAACAAGAAGGACTTTAACACAAGACACCCAGATCTGATGCCCCCTGTTTCCTTGCCAGGCAGGCAGCTGGTGGTGAGGAAGGGTTGCCGGTCATCCCTGGGAACTTCACCCAACAGTCAGGATGGTCAGGGTTGGATCGTCTTCCCTCACTTAAGCCCCGCCACCTTCTTTCTCCTGCGAGGGGCTCGGCCCCCTGCCCCACTGGAGCTCCCCTATCGCCACAGTATTGGGAAGTTGCCATTGATTAAGATTGTACGGTTTGTGCAGATGGACAAGGAGTCACCATTGACTGCAAAAGCAGATACAGCAGCAGGGCCCTTGGTGTGCTCTTCTTCTAAACATATGACGCCTTCATCTTCCAGCCAGCACCGGGAAAGCCATCTTTTTTCCTTGGGTCTGGATTGAGGCCAGGCTGCCCTGCCCTCTCAATCCTGCAGAGTGATGGAAGCATGTCTGCAGAGGGCTGTGTTCCACCTGCCCCTCACCCACCAAGAGCCTACAGAAAGCTGGCGGTGACTGGGGAGCAGTGGAGGATCCAAAGCTCAGCAAGAAGTCCAGGCTGGATGCCTGCAAAGGCAGAGTCTCCATTGTCCACTCACAACCACGGCCTCACGCATGATGGGCCCTGCCACATGCCTACCGAATCCCTGTCCTCAAAGGGAAGCACTTTGGGGTGCAGGGAAAACCAAGTGAACACAAACCATCTGCAGAAGGTACCAGAGCAGCCTGATGGGAGGACAGAGAAGGCACAGGCGGGGGCTCTGGGACAGCAAGGGGACGGCCCCTGGAGAGAGCTGCACTGCGGCCAGGTGGGGAGACGTCAGGGCGGGGGCTGCAGAGGCAGAGGAGCTGGAGCTGCACCTGCACCACAAGGCTAAGGGCAGAAAGTGCAGGCACATGGGGGACAGCATGATCTATTTATCGATTCATTTAAACATTTATTGAGTGCCTACTGTTTGTTAGGGACGGTGCTATAGCCACTGGAGGAAGAGAAATGAAGGAGTCTATTGGGGAAAAAGAAAAAGAATTAACCGCACTTAATTATCCTGCAATGATCATTACAGTGAGAGAAAGGTTTGCACAAAATGTTCTGGTAATCCAGGGGAGGAAGAGATTGAATCCAGGGGGAAAGACAGGATAGTAGATAAGAGTCTAGGACCTGGACTGGAGGGGCACATTTCAAATCCCAGCTCTGTCACTCAATAGCTGTGTGATGCTGTGTAACTTGTGTAGGCTCTCTGGCCTCTGCTTCCTCATCTTTAAAATAGGGATAATAAAAATTATACCTGGTGTGCAGTATGGTGTCTATAGGTAATAACACTGTATCCTATACTTGAAATTGGCTAAGAGTAAATCTTAAGTGTTCTCACAGAACAAAAGAAGAAAATGGTAACAATGTACGGTGATGGCTATGCTAATTAGCTAGGTGATAGTAATCATTTCACAATGTATCAGGCATCAAGTTATACACTTTATTATTTATTTATTTATGAGACGGAATCTCGCTCTGTCTCACCTAGGCTGGAGTGCAGTGGCATGATCTCGGCTTACTGCAGCCTCCATCTCCTGGGTTCAAGCGATTCTCCTGTCTCAGCCTCCCAAGTAGCTGGGACTACAGGTGTGTGCCACCACACCCAGCTAATTTTGTATTTTTAGTAGAGATGGGGTTTCACCATGTTGGCCAGGCTGGTCTCAAACTCCTCTCCTTAGGTGATCCATCCGCCTCGGCTTCCCAAAGTGGTGGGATTACAGGCATGAGCCACCGCACCCAGCCTGTACACTTTAAATACGTACAATTCTAATAGTCAATTACACCCCAATAAAGCTGAAAATAAGAAATAATAATCATACCTGCTTCATTAAGGTTATTGTAGTGGGGTGTTGGTGTTAACCAGCTCTCTTGAAAAAAAAAGATATGCATATACATCTATATAAGCTTATTATAAATTTTACTATAAAATAATTTCAATCCAATTCAGAAATAAAGTTGCCCACATCATTGACTAATGGCTGTGGTTCCAACAGGAATGTTGGCAGTTGGCAAGATTGCCTCAGTCTCCCAGGTGATCCCAGCAGGAGGTGCTCTTAGCAGATTTCTGCATTAAAGTAGACAATTACTGTGGAAGATGTTAAGCTGTGCCCATGATTGCCTCAGCGGTGTACATGACCTCTGACATGACCTTCCCCAGTCCTGGGCTTCCACTGGGTTCTGAATTTTCTCGGACTTGAGTAAATTAAACCCTCTTTCTAAAGCAATGGGCTCAGCCTTTAGGGATGCATTTCTCTCATCTTGTTTCCTCCTCTTCTCTGGTGGAAATCTTGTAACAGTTAATTTGATCTGCTTCTTAGGCTGATTCTGCCTACCTCACCAACTGCAGAACCAACACTGAGAGCTGAATCATTAAACTTTTCCCTTCTTTTGGGTCCAAGCTCAAGAGTTGAGTTTCTCTACTGTTCATTCTTCTTCCATTATATGGCCCTTGCTGGCACCTCACGGTGCCTAACTTGAGACCATCTGAACATTTATTAAGTGGTTTTCATTTATGTATGTATTTATTTTATTTTTTTGAGACAGAGTCTGGCTCTGTCACCCAGGCTGGAGTGCAGTGGCATGCTCTTGACTCACTGCAACCTCTGCCTCCCAGGTTCAAGCAATTATCCTGCCTCAGCCTCCCGAGTCGCTGGGATTACAAGCGCCTGCCACCACGCCCGGCTAATTTTTGTATTTTTATAGACACGGGGTTTCACCATGTTGGCCAGGCTGGTCTCGAACTCCTGACCTCAGGTGATCCTGCCTGCCTCAGCTTCCCAAAGTGCTGGGATTACAGGCATGAGCCACCACACCGGGCTGAGTGTTTTTCTTTGTTGGACAACCTGCACATGTTTTCTCAGCCTCAGATAACCTCAGGGGACATGGGCTGTCTTTAGACTGATTTCACATAGTTAATATTACTCAGTGGTAATTTAAATCTTTATTTTTCATGAAAACAAATTCTTTATTTTTCATGAAAACAAATGCAGATATGAAATGGAGTGGAATGTTCAGGAATTTAAGGTAAATAATATCATTAAGAGCTCCCATGCCCTAAGAGGCTCCTTTAGGTTGTGTGGCTTAGATCATCTCCCCCATATTACACATTTACTTTTCTTCTGATAGAAGTAGTTTTAGGAAAACATCTGAAGCAGTGATAGAGAACAAGCCTAGCAGACAGAACTATGGAGCATGAAACTGCAGAGGCAGGGAGAACCAGGTTGCCAAAGAGGCAGAGAAGTATCCTCAAATGGCACCGAAGATACTCATCAGGGAAAGGTAGTGCCTAGTCCACTTCTGTTGCTATAATATAATACCACAAAACGGGTAATTTATAAATAAGTTTATGTAGCTCACAGTTCTAGAGGCTGGGAAGTCCAAGAGCATGGTGCTGGCATCTTGCAAGGACCTTCCTGCTACAGTATGACATGGCATGAGGCTCACAATGTGAGAAAGCAAGAGGATGAGTGTCAGCTCAAGTCTCTTCCTCTTCTTATAAAGCCACCAGGTCCATGATGGGGACACCACCTTGATGACCTTATCTAATTCTAGTTGCTTCCCAAAGGCCCCACCTCTAATCAATGTATGATTTAGGGATTAATTTTCTAACACATGAAATTTGGGGGAGACATTCAAGCCATAACAGGGAGACTCATGGGAGCCCTGGGCTGGGGTGTGGCCTGGCTTGGTCAGGGCTGAGCTTCTGGAAATGGCAGACAAGGTCGCAGACAGTGTTGACATGCAAAGGGCTTTGCTGCCCCACCATTCACAGTTCTGCTACCATGAGCGTGGGGCTGTTTTTGATTATCAGGTACTCTTTATTTATTTATTTTTTCTGAGACAGAGTCTCGCTCTGTTGCCCAGGCTGGAGTGCAGTGGCACAATCTCGGCTCACTGCAAGCTCCGCCTCCCTCCTGGGTTCACGCCATTCTCCTGCCTCAGCCTCCTGAGTAGCTGGGACTACAGGTGCCTGCCACCACGTCCAGCTAATATTTTGTATTTTTTAGTAGAGACGGGGTTTCACCGTGTTAGCCAGATGGTCTCGATCTCCTGACCTGGTGATCTGCCTGCCTTGGCCTCCCAAAGTGCTGGGATTACAGGTGTGAGCCACTGCCTCAGGTACTCTTTCCTTCAGAAACAGGCTCTCTTTTGTTGCACACATTTTTCTCATCACAGAGTAAAGTAAATCAGGAAGCTCTCGGAAGAAAAGAGATGCCCACTGTAGACAAGCTGAGCAGCATTTAGTCTTCAGAGCCAAGAGAATAAACTGTTAGTCAATGATTTAATTCAACTGCCTTGAATCCTAAACAGTGTTGATGAGGTTACATTACTATTTTGGATTCAGGCAGAAGGGGCCATACATGGAAATTAAGAGGGGAAAACCAATATTGAGTCAAAATGCTAGGCTCACTTAGGAAACAATTAAATAATATCTAGAGGGAATTGAATATTAAAGTCAAATGCATTCTAATGGGCTAAGTGGCCTTTTGAGCTTGCTCTCTCCTCAAATCATATATTCATATATTTCCAAGTCTTGCAAGCTCTGAGGCATTCACACTAGGGACAGCGCATGGTATTTGCAGAATATTAAGGGCATGATGATGTTTCTCAATAGTTCACAAATAATTCAGGAGTTGAGCTGCTTAAATGGGAGCTGTCGTGCTGCAATGTGGAATGCGGTCTCTGTGTGGTATGCTGGTCTGCAGGCTTTTGCTGAATGCAATGCCAAAGCATCAAAATCTAGAACAGGGCAGGAGCCTTGCCAGGAACTGCTTCAAGGCAGGAGCAGACTGAAACTGGAAGAAGGTTGCAGACACATCTTTTGAGGTGCAGAAAGCTGGGGACAGGACTGGAGGGGCAAAAGCATTTCCTAGCAATCCACAAAGCTGGCAGATTGGTTGAAAATCAGGAAAAGAGATTCCTATGATTTGGAAAGTTGATATCTGGGCCCCAAGGCACAAGGAGAGTCCTGGAATCTCACTGGTGCTCAGATCACAGGACATGCTAAAGGAGAGGTCCTGATCTCACCCTCAAAATGTTCCAGTCAAATGATGAACTCAATCTAAAGCCCAGGCCCAACTCAACTACTGAGTGGATGGATTCTCCCCACACCAACTCCCCACACCATGGTCGGGCAGGAGCAGGGTATGCTTTCTTCTGGAGCTAAACGTTATTTACTTTGGTCTACTTTTTTTTTTTTTTAAACAAACAGTCTCCAGAATAAAATAAATTTGACACGACACATGAAGAAGAAATAAGAAAAGGAGACCCACGGTTATGAGGAAAAATGGCCATGAAATGTCTAGAGAGGGCCTGGATGGTGGCATCATCTAATAAATAAGGCCCTTTAATATGCCTATGGCAGCTATGTTAAAGGACCTCGTAGAGAGGTAGAAACAAGCTGGAAATTTCACCAGATAGATGGAAACTATAGAAACATCCAAATGGAAATGACAGAAATGAAAACTGAGATCCAGAATGAAGATTAATTAAATGGGGTCACCAGCAGATTGAGCACAGCTGGACATTGCCTGGTGTGGCCCCAGGCCATTCTTCACTTGTCAATTCTCCTTGGACTCCTGGGATGGTTGGAGCGTGTCCCGTACATGGCAAATGGATAAGCAACAGAGGACAATGGACAACGCTTGCTGTCTGATATTGTCTGGCCCCATGTCCCTACCCAAATCTCATCTCGAATTGTAATCCTCATAATTCCCACGTGTCGAGGGAGGGACCGGGTAGGAGGTGATTTGATCATGGGGCTGGTTTTCTGCATGCTGTTCTCGTGATAGTGAGTGAGTTCTCATGAGATCAGTTGGCTTTATGTTTGAAGTTACTCCTTCACATGCCCTTCTCTCTCCTGCTGCCTTGTGAAGAAGGTGCTTGCTTCCCCTTCGTCTTCTGCCATGATTGTAAGTTTCCTGAGGCCTCCCTAGCCATGTGAAACTGTGAGTCAATTAAACCTCTTTCCTTTATAAATTGCCCAGTCTTGGGTATTTCTTTATAGAAGCATGAAAATGGACTAATACATTGTCTCATAGAGTGTTGAGTATGTGTGGGTCCCCTGTCTCATTCTCACGTGTCATTTCCAAAACAGATCATGAGCCGAACCAAACATGATGGCATGGTGAAATATACTCCTCCCCTTCGAGTAGGAGGAATTACAAGGTTATGTAGCAAATGGCATGAATTAAAATCCTGTTAAGGAGGGATTGAAGAATTAGTGAAGAATTAGGAATGATAATCTAGGCTAAACCCCAAAGAAGGCAGGCCAGTGAATGAACCTGAGTGTTGTAAGACCTTGTGTTGTTCAGGAGGTGGTAAAACTACTAATGTAAGGTTGGTAGTAATATACCAATTGTTTCTATTATAATATATATTTTAGTCACTAAAATAATAATAAATAGATATGTAACAAACTAATAGCAAAGAAAATGGAATAATAAAACATACTGAAATAAAATTGTGGGGTGGAGGGAGGGGGGAGGGATAGCATTAGGAGATATACCTAATGCTAAATGACCAGTTAATGGGTGCAGCACACAAACATGGCACATGTATACATATGTAACAAACCTGCACGTTGTGCACATGTACCCTAAAACTTAAAGTATGATAATAATAAAATAAAAAAGTAGCAAAAAATAAAATAAAATGAAATAAAATAAACCAAGAAGAGAAGGAAAAAGGAAAAAGCCAGGAACAGATAGAAAGCAAAAGATTAGACTATAGATTTAAACCAACTACGTAGTAATTACTAGGTTGAAGCATATGAAATTATCTCTTTTTTGTTTAAAAAATCTAATATTGCAGTTCCACATGGTTCAATCTAATGCACTAAATGAAAATTAACTACATACTCCAAATAAGAAGCAAAGATGATCACATAGGATTCAGAAATCTCAGATAACAACAACAGTAGCAAGTAGCAGAAATTAAACTGAAATGGAGCAAAGAAAGGTGAAGGTAAAACGATACCAAAAGTACCCCCATGCCATCACTAACTGAAGAAAAGCTTCCACAGTTTAACTAATATCAGACACTGCGGACTGCAGGTGGTGAGCGATGTTAGAGGAAGAGAGGCATTTCATAACCACCCAAAGGCCAATTCAACAGGTAGATAAAACAATTATCAATAACAGAGCAATCCACTTCATATAATATCAAAGTATGTGAACCAAAAAGTTACAGAACTAAGAGACAGACTCATCCACAAGCGCAGACTCTCAGGGGCCGCTGACCCAGCGTTCCTACTTCTGGATCTGTGCTCAACAGAAGTGTGAATACATGCACAGCAGAAGGAGAAAAGAAGCTTTCATTGTAAAAGCCTAGAATTCAGAATGTACCCAATGTCCACTAACAGTAGACTGGATACATGAACTGTGGCATATTCATATCATACAATATTATATACGATACAACAAAATATACAGCAACACAAAGAACAAGATATGGCTAAACACAACAAACAAATGGACCTTACAAATACAAAGTTGTGTATGCACCATATCATTTACGGAAAGTTCAATGGTATTAACCCTGAGAGAGTCATGAGGAAGGCTTATGGAAGGACAGTAACATTTAATTTTTTATCATCTGACTCGACACATTTCCCTTTATAAAAAACCAGTGAGCTATAAACTTGATTTGTACAGCTTACTTCATTTATGTTCTGATTCAATTAAAAAGCCTACAAAGAAGTTCCATCAGGATTTTTGAATAACCATATCAGACAGGTGATCTGACTGCCAGAAGAAAGTGGATGGCGTGAAGTTAAGGTCTTATTCACATGAGCCCATCCTGGATTTCAGCTTCCATAGCAAGCATGCTCTTCAAAGGAATTAAATGCAAACCAGCGAGGATGTTTTACAATACCAAGGGTGGAAATCCAACCCAACTCCCCTTTTGTAAAACAAAGCAGTCACTGGGATCGATCATACACTCAGCATTCAGGAGTATCTGGAACCCAGAACGTCAGCACCATAGGAATGCCTTCTCTCCCTCACCCGTCATATCTGGAACCCAGAACGTCAGCACCACCGTGATGCCTTCTCTCCCTCACCCGTTCCAGGTCTCATCAACAGACCCAGGTGGTAACAGCGCTCCCAGCTCCTCTCTTCTCTCAGTAGGGATTACTCTTCCTCACCCGATGACATCAGGCTTATCAAGACTTGTCTGGCCCATGGAATGTGGCAGCACTGACTCCCTTGGCCTTTGACAGGAGCCTTAGGAGGCACTGACTGGGCCTGCCTCATTCTCCATCGTCCTGGCTCATGGGTCCTTCAGACAGAGACTCTTCTTTCTGCTAGAATCCCAGGATGAGGAAGCACCCGGAGCAGCGACCCTGCAGCTGATCTGTAACATAAGAAACAAAGGTTTCCTATCTCAAGCCATTGACACTTGGAGATTGTTTGTTAATGCAATTAAAAATTAGCCTGTTTTTGGCCAGATGTGGTGGCTCACTCCTGTAATTTTAGCACTCCGGGAGGCTGAGGTGAGCAGATCACTTGAGGTCAGGAGTTCAAGACAAGCCTGGCCAACATGGTGAAATCCTGTCTTTACTAAAAATACCAAAATTAGCCGGAAATCTCTTGAACCCAAGAGGCAGAGATTGCAGTGAGCTGAGATCATGCCACTGCACTCCAGCCTGGGCAACAGAGCAAGACTCCATCTCAAAAAAATAAATAAATAAAAATAAAATAGTCTGTTCTTTTTGCTTAGGATTGTCTTGGCTATATGGGCTCTTTTTTGCTTCCATATGAAATTTAAAGTATTCTAATTCTGTGAAGAATGTCAATGGTAGTTTGATGGGAATAGCATTGAATCTATAAATTACTTTGCGCAGTAGGCCATTTTCATGATATTGATTCTTCCCATCCATGAGGATGGAATGTTTTTCCATTTGTTTGTGTCCTCTCTTATTTCCTTGAGCAGTGGTTTGTAGTTCCCCTTGAAGAGGTCCTTCACATCTCTTGTAAGTTGGATGCCTAGATATTTTATTCCCTTTGTAGCAATTGCGAATGGGAGTTCACTCATGATTATGCTCTCTGTTTGTCTGTTGTTGATGTATAGGAATGTTTGTGATTTTCGCACATTGGTTTTGTACCCTGAGACTTTCCTGAAGTTGCAGGGAACAACACACACCAGGGCCTATCGGAGGGTGGGGAGCAAGGGGAGGGAGAGCATTAGGGCAAATATCTAACGCATGTGGGGCTTAAAACCTCAATGACGGGTTCAAAGGTGCAGCAAACCACCATGGCACATGTATACCTATATAAAACTGCATGTTCTGCACATGTATCCTGGAACTTAAAGTAAAACTTAAAAAAAATTAGCCTGAACACTGCATGTTCTCACTTACAGCTGGGAGCTGGACAGTGAGAACACATGGACATAGGAAGGGGAACAAAACTCACTGGGGCCTGTTGGGGAGGGGCTTGGTGGGGAGAACATCAGGGAAAAGAGCTAATGCATGCTGGGCTTAATACCTAGGTGATGGGTTGACGGGTGCAGCAAACCACCATGGCACACGTTTACCTGTGTAACAAAACTGCAGATCCCGCATATGTATCCTAGGACTTAAAAAATAATAATAGGCCAGGCGCCGTGGCTCATGTCTGTAATTCCAGCACTTTGGGAGGCCAAGGCAGGTGGATCACAAGGTCAGGAGATCAACACCATCCTGGCTAACACGGTGAAACCCCGTCTTTACTGAAAATACAAAAAAATTAGCCAAGCGTGGTGGCGGGTGCCTGTGGTCCCAGTTACTTGGGAGGCTGAGGCAGGAGAATGGTGTGAACCCGGGAGGTGGAGCTTGCAGTGAGCCGAGATCCCGCCACTGCACTCCAGCCTGGGCAACAGAGCAAGACTCTGTCTCAAAAAAATAAAATTAAATTAAATAAAATTAAAGAAAATTAGCCTGAACTGATTGATACAACTTGTACCACATACAGAGACATGAAGCCTGGAGACTCTGGGATTACATCCTAATAACTCTGCGGCCCGGTGAAATAGGCCTACCTGCCCTGTAAAGTTTATACCATCCCGGGTCTGTAAGGGCTCATGTGTCCACTTCCAGAACAAACCTCTGGCAAGGATGGATTTCTGTAATTACTCTGGGTTAGTAGTGTGACAATCTTGAGGTCAGAGGGAGCAGTCTTCTCTGTAAATTCACAGTTTGAACAAAGCCTTCTGAAAGAGATCATTGTTTTGCTTTGCATGTACAAACAATAAATGTACACTGTAGTTATCACATGGAGTTATGTAACCTATTTGGTGGTTATTTATTTTGTGAAATACCAACCAATGGGACAAGATCCCTGGGCATGGTCAGGGAAAAGAACCCAGACATCTCATAACCTAAGGGATTTCAAACACTCATAACACTTCTCACTGTGAGTTAGGCTGGTTCTGAGGAGTTTTCTCATTCCACGATGTGCTGCATAGCATGTGGACCAGCCAACTGATCTTTGCCTGTAGTATATACATTTTTTGAGACAGGGTCTCGCTCTGTTGCCCAGGTTGGAGTTGCAGTGGTGCCATCTCAGCTCACTGCAACCTCCAGCTCCTGGGCTTGAGTGATCCTCCCACCTCAGCCTCTCAAGTAGCTGGGACTATAAATGCACACAGCCACTCCTGGCTCTGTTTTTTTGTTTTATTTTATTTTTTAGAGACAGGGCTTACTATGTTGCTCAGTCTGGTCTTGAACTCCTGGGCTAAAGCTATCCTCCCACCTCAGCTTTCCAAAGTGCTGGGATTACAGTCATGAGCCACCGTGCCCAGCCTGGCTATACTATTGACCTCAGGACTGCCACCATCCATGGCTACTGAAGAGTTGGATAATTTCGTCTACAAAATTGAATACATGTTTGTCCTTGAACCCAGTTGTCTTTATTGTTTATCAATGAATGCTCCCAGGACAAACCCTGCTTTCCAAAACTGAAATCTGAGATTCACTCTACCCCTCTTGCTACCAGAGCCCATTGCATTAGTTCTCTGTTGCTGCTTTTACAAATTACCCCAAATTTAGTGGAGCAAAACAACACAAATTTATTAGCTTATAGCTCTACAGTCAGAGGTCTGATAGAGTCTGAAGCATCATCAGGGCTGCCTGCCTCTCTGGAGACATTGAGGGAAGTCTGTTTCCTTGCTGTTTCCCGTCTTAGAGGCTGTCCACATTCCTTGGCTTGCAGCATCCACCTCTATCTCCAAAGCCAGCAAGACAGGTTGAATCTTTTTCACCGTGCTTTACGGTGACCTTGCTTCTGTTGTCCTTTCTCTCTCGGACTTTCTCCTCTGCCACTCTCCTCTTTTGAGACCCCTGGATTATGTTGCCTCCACCTCCAGGGAATCCAGGATAATCTGCCTATTTCAGTCAGTTGATTAGCAGCCTTAATTCCTGCAACCTCGATTCCCGTTTGCCCTGTTATGAAACCGACCCGTTTGCAGCTTCCAAGGAGTAGGGCGTCGGCCTCCTTTGGGCGTTATTCTGCTGAACACACCAAGTGAACACCAACACCTGCCGACCCATCTTCTTAACATCCTGGGTCCTGCAGGGGTTCCCACTCACAGCTCCAGTTCCATTCTCCACCCTCCCTACTTTGAGCTGTATGTTTAGGGAACCTCATTTCCAGGTCTGCCTGGGTCATGGCTCCTTTTAGTCTCAGCAGATCCTGGTTTGGATAATTAATTAGATGGTTACTCTATCCTGCTGCACGTGCCTGGCCACTTAATAGTTCCCCAGCCATGGGGAGCCGCCTCACATCTACGGCCTTTCTACTGTTCTGCCCTTCCAGGAGATCTCTGCATTCCAACCCACATCCATGTGGAAATATAACTTATCTTTCAAGGGTAAACTGCTGTGTCCCATCTTTTGTGAAATTGTCCTGTTCTGTGGAGGTTTATCTGATCATATCTGCTCTTATGCTGAGCTTGCATCTCACATGGCTCTGATACACAGTGTCGAGTACAATGGAACTGTGTTTGTTATTTCTCCTCTCCTGACGCCGAACTTCTTGAAGGCAGAGGTAGCTCAGGTCTCCAGGCACAAATCAAAGAGCCCTGCATGAGTCAAATCTCAGTAAGCAATGGATGGAGTTGAACTAACTTGGCGTCCACCCTCTTTTATAAAAAATGAAAACCCTTAGAGAGACCCAGTCTCCTCCCTCCATTGCACATAAAAATCAGTTAAGTCCGGGCGCAGTGGCTCACGCCTATAATCCCAGCACTTTGGGAGACTGAGGCAGGTTGATCACGAGGTCAGGAATTCGAGACCAGCTTGACCAACGTGGTGAAACCCTGTCCCTACTAAAAATACAAAATTAGCCAGGCGTGGTGGCATATGCCTGTAATCCCAGCTACTCAGGAGGCTGAGGCAGGAGAATTGCTTGAATCTGGAAGGTGGCAGTTGCAGTGAGCCAAGATCGTGCCACTGCACTCCAGCCTGGGAGACAGAGCGAGACTCTGTCTCAAAATAATAATAATAATAATGTTACTGTACAGAGATATCACTAAGTACTTATTAGGGTCTTTTTAAGTTTTATTCATTAAAAACTATAAGCTGTTAAGTTTAGAAGAATTATATATATCTTAAAAATCACTGTTATGTCAACCCAAAGGAATTGATTGACCTAGGCAATGATCATCAATGGATACATTCATTAGATGAATGATGGGTGGAGAATTTGACAATGGACAAATTAAATTGCTACCACCTATATTCCCTGATTGTCCCTCAGGATAGGACAACCATAAAGTGTGTCCCCAGTGTGAAAAGTACTCTTTAGTATCATATTTAAAGTATTCATATTTAAAGTACTCTTTAGTATCATATTTAAAGTATTCATATTTAAAGTACTCTTTAGTATCATATTTAAAGTATTCATATTTAAAGTACTCTTTAGTATCATATTTAAAGTATTTTAAAGATGCTAAAGTATCATATTTAAACTATTCTTGCTCAAAACATTACATCTTAAACTACTCAAGGTTCTACCTTCCATTTACAAAAACATGGGGAATAGAAGATGAACTCAAATGACACCACAAGGAACAACCAGACAAATCATCTACGGCTGGAATGTACAGGACAAGTAATATAATGTTGGGAAAAAAGTTAATGCACAAAACAAAAGGGGGCCAGGGACTTCTGAGCAATAAAGAGACTTAAGAGACTCCACTTGAATCAATGTGTCTACCTTGTTGGATTCTGATTCAAACTGACCGACTGGATAAAGATGTTCATGAGTGGGCAGAGAGGCATGACTATGGGCTGGGCATGGGGTACATGTAAGAATTTATTGTTCATTGTGCCAGATGTAATAATGGCATTTTGGTTATAGATAAAAACTTCTATTTTTTAGAGCTATACACTGAAGTCTTTAGGAGTGAAATGATACAATATCTGACATTCATCAAAAACAGATGCAAAATGTTATAAATGAATAGATGAAGCAGTTATGAAAGATAAAACCTCTCTACCTTTAAGCACGTTTGAAATTTTGCACAAACCCCTTTTTTAAAAATAGAAATCATTGATTGTATGTCTAAAATGATTAAGTTAGTGAATAAAATAGTTTTCTCCCAACTATGCAGCAAATATTTTCACCAGTAAATGGGGAAGTCAGACCTGAGAATCGGGGAAGGCTGTTTGAGCTAACTCTGTCATGATACATAATCACCTAGTGCCGTCCTTATTTTACACTTGACAGGTTATGTGGCCAAGCAGCTTTCGTGAGTTGCTGTAAACTCTGTTTCTGGTCTTTCCAAGCAGCAGGCCAGCTTCCCTTTCCCCTCTACCCTCCACAGTGCCTCCCACAGTCTTCTTCACACAATAGATATTCAGCACTTACCCTTCGAGTGAATGAGGGGATGGATGGCTGGGTCTTTGCACACTTGCGATACCATAGCTTATGAATGAATGGATGAGGCTAATAAAAAAGACCATGTTTTGCACTGAAATTGCTTCATGGTCCTTCTGGGTCCAGAGACTCTTTATCTATAGACATTGTGTCTATAAATCCATATCTACCAGGCCAGGCTCTTGAGTGAATGACTTACCAACATCCCACTGCTGCCCCAAGGATTCTGAAAGACGAAGAGACCATTCAAAATCAAAGGGAAGATTATTTCCCCACTGAGAGCTGCATACACTGAAAGGTAGGGAGCTGAGGGTGAAAAAACTCACTACTACTAGATCTGGTGTAGTTCAAGTTCATGAATCTCAGCACTGATCTCTCAGCCTGTTTCTTGCATAAATAAAACAGAGGCACTGGTTTGCATGAGAATCTCATAATGCGCTATGAAATCCATGCCAGAGTCAGGCATCTAATTTAAGAATTATTTCTCGATTTTGTGTCTCACATCCTGCTTCTGCCTCTTTCTGCTGATTGGATTCTTCCCTTCCCTTTCCCTAACAAGCTTGTCTCCCCCTCTCCCTGCACCTCCTCCTCTGATCTTTCCCTCCTGCCTTCACCTCTTCCTCTCTCCCTAATAAAGTGACCCTGGCCTGGCTAGATATCTGTGAGTTGGCAGAGAGGTCAAGACAGGTCATATGCCAAATGCCCTCTCCACCAGATCTGGGGCAGGTGGGTTGGGTTTAGAAACACAAGGAAGAGATGTGGGCTCAGCTTGGGTTGGGTCTCCAGAAGTCTGGGTGCTGGCACAGGCTCTGTGACTGACAAGGAACAAAGCACAATCTGTTGTTTCTGAGCCTTGTCTCCGCCTGAGGACCTCATGCTGGTCAACCGTGTTTCTCTCTCTTTCCACCGATTCTGGAGACAAGGCTCACAGCTGAGTAGAGAGGAAGCAGAGCAGTAGCAAGGGTGCTGCTGATGCTGCTCAGATACCTTGCCTGGTTCTGACAAGCGGTTTCCACTCCCCACCCAGTTCTACACGTGTCCCTGCACTGGGGAAGGCTCTCTCTGGGGTCACGGTGGGTGGGGGACAGCACAGCCAGAGTCCCTGTATTCCGAGGACTTGGGTTCTTACGAAGGGAGACGGATAATAAACACATTAGATAAGTACATGAACAAGTGGATGTCCAGCACTTACTGCGCTTTGGGAAAGATGAAGATGAAGTAATGCCTCAGAGAATGTTCCTGGGGGTAGAGAAGGAGGAGATGCTGAGAAAAGCTCCAAGTCTCCGGGAGAAGGTGACAGCTGGCCGTGGCCTCAACGAGGAGCGGCCGCATGGAGATCCAGGAGAAAACGTCCCAAACGAAAGAACAAGCGGTTGGTGCCCTGGATCAAGAGTGAGTCTGTGGGCTCCAGGGCCAAAGATGTGGCCAGCGTGGGTGTGCATTGTGGGTGAGGGGAGATACAGAGGAGGATGGAGCCAGCTGGGGTCAGGCCTGGATTCATGGGCTACTATAGCTTTTATTCTGAGTGAGGAGGTTTTACGATTAAGGTGTTGTGACCTGGAGAGCCTTATGCTGCTTCCAAAACTCCCGGGCTGGTGTAGAAAAGCAGAAGAGGAATCAGGTGGCTAGAGAGGGGCTGTCCTGCCAATGTGGGCACAGGGGATGCTGGCTTGGAGGAGGGCCACAGCTGTGAAGGTGGATAGCGGTGACGGGCTGTGCCAAGGTTTTGTACATGAGCTGCAAAGAAAAACACCATTCAGAGACCACTGACTTCTGGTCTGAACATCAGGTGCTGGTCTATAGTTTTCCAAAACAGAGAAAACTAGAGGAGCCACGGATGTACAGGATAAAGTCAACGGCTCTGCTTTTCCAGGAAAGACTGTGACACATGGAAAACATCCAGGTAGAAGTGTCGTGGGGTAGCTGGATGCACAAGAGTCTGAAGCTCAAAGCCAGGGCTCGGGCTGCAGATAGAAACTTGAGAGTTCTCAGCACGTAGACGTTCTCTAGAGCTGGGACTAGGCAGGTCACCCAAGGAGGACACACAGCTAGGGACAAAGGAGGGATGAAGGAGGGGCTTGAAGTGGTTTCCCTGGAGCTGAGATTGCAGAGAGGAGACGGGGCCCACAGAAGAGATGAGGAGGGCTTGTTCCAGACAACATGGTGCCTCTTTATCAAGCACAGCCATGAATCCTGGAATTCATGTCAGAGGGAGCCACTGCAGAACTTGGAAAAGTGGCAAGAGGAAGGCGAACTGTCTGGAAACCAAACCCGAGTGTCGGAGGAAGAGCAGAGTGGAAGGGTGCCTTCTGCCCCCAACCCAACAGAAGCAAGGGATCTGGCCTTTCCCATCCCCCAGGTTGGCAATGGAAGCCAGCCTTGGTGGACTCATTCCTGTCCTAGACCCAAGCGGAGTCCCTCCTATAGTAACAGGTGAACCCAGACCCGCCACCAGGTGGATCAGTTGGGAGCTTTGCCAAAAGTAAGTGGCCTGCGGAGACTCCTTCCCTATCAGGCCTGAGACCCCCCCTCCCCAACCTAGAGATGCAGGCATAGCTGGGACAGTGGCAAGAGGGACAGCCAAAAGGAATGGTGAAGCCTGGGAATCACCTCTGCCCTGCAAGCCTGAGACTCCTCTCCCCACACGGACAGTGGGGACCCGGGGGGTGGTCCCAGTGGGGTGGGGAGATCCCACCACAATGACTATCCAGCCAAGGAAGCCTGAGACTCTCCTCCCTCATGGAGAGATGCGGATGACCTGGTCTGCAGAAGCTCCTCCTGCCCTGAGGTCGCTCCCACAGGGACCCACGGAAGCTCCTCCAGCACCAGATACACCAAGCAGCTCAAACAATAGCACAAAGACTCTGAAAATTAAACTGTCATTAGAACCCCAGCCCACAAAAGTAGGCAAGAGGGAAACTAAAAGAATTTGTGGCTTGCAGATTTACTTTTAAAGATTGGATAAAGAAAACTCTTTCAACAGAAAAGAAATAAAAAATGAAGAAATCATGAAACATCAGAAAGGAAGAAAACAGGAGCATGGGTAGGTATCATGAGCACACTATTCCCTTCCTCCTGAATGGTCTAAATCACACACGATGATTGAAATAAAAATCACGTTACCATCTGATACTCAAGACGATATTTAAAACTGGTGAGGGCAAAGGTGCCTGAATGGAAGTAAGGTGTTCACACCTCACATGAAGACACACTGATACTCATAGAGAAAAAATGCAAAGCAATTGGAAGGCTGGGCTTTTCAACAAATGGTGCTGGAGCAATTGTTCATCCTTAGGAAAATTAAATGAACCCCCCAAACTAAACTTCACGCCTTATACAAAAATGAACTGGAAATGATTCATGAACTTAACTGTAAATGAGAAATCTGTACAACTTTTAGAAGAAACAATTTAAAAATATTAGGAATCTTATGCTAAAAAAGAATTCTTCAACAACAGCAAAACAATCCATGAAAGAAAAAATGTTTAACTGAACACTTTGGGTCAAAATGATGATTCTTTTTTTTTTTTTTTTTTACTCTGAAAAAAAGCCATGTGAAGAGGATAAAAAGACAAGTTACAAACAGGGAGAAAATATTTGCAAATCACATATCTGACAAAAGATTAGTATCTAGAGTTTATAAAGAATTCTTAAAATTCAACAGTGAAAAAACAACCTGATTATAAAATGGGCAAAAGGCATTTGGAGACAATTTCATGTAGAGTATGTACAGATGGCAAGTAAGCACATGGAAAATGTTGAGCGTCATTAGCCATTGGAAAAATAGAAATTAAAACTACAATGGGATATCGCTGCATCTCTACTAAAGTGGCTGAAATAAAAAAATAGTGATGATCCTAAATGCTGGCAAAGATACAGAGAAGCCAAATCACTCAGACATCACGGGTGGAAATGCAATACAGCCACTCCGGAAAACAACCGGGCAGTTTCTTACAAAACATTCAGTTGCATTCTTGGGTATTTACTCTAGGAAATCTTATATTCACATACAAACCTCGACATGAATGTTCATAGAGGCTTTATTTGTAATAACCACAAACCAGAAACATCCCACGTGCCCTCAGTGGTTAAACAAAGTGTACCTAATGCCATGGAAACCACTTAGCAATAAGAAAGGAATTCTTGTGGTGATAGACTCGTTCTGTGTCTAGACTGTCCTGGTGCATATGTGAACCCAGCATGTGGCAAAAATGTGCAGAACTAAATACACACACACACACACACACACACGAGCAAGTAGAACTGGAAATCTGAATAAGATCTATGGGTTGATCAGTCAATACCCTGGTTGTGATGTTGCACTAGTTTTGCAACATATTTTCTTTGGTGGAAACTGGGTAAAGGGTACACAGGATCTCTCTGTATTATGTTTTACAACTGCATGTAAATCTGCAATTCAATAAGAATTTTTAAAATTTTTTTTATTTTTGAGACGGAGTCTCGCTCTGTTGCCCAGGCTGGAGTGCAGTGGCGCCATCTCAGCTCACTGCATCCTCTGTCTCCTGGGTTCAAGTGATTCTCCTGCCTCAGCCTACCAAGTAGCTGGGATTACAGGCATGCACCACCATGCCCAGCTAATTTTTCTATTTTTAGTGGAGATGGGGTTTCACCATGTTGGCCAGGCTGGTCTCGATCTTCTGACCTCAGGTGATCCACCCGCATCCCAATGTGCTCGGATTACAGCTGTGAGCCACCACTCCCGACCCAAGAATATTTCTAAAAATGAAAAGAGAGAAGAGCGGAGATACAGGACTCCAGTTGAGTAGAGTGACACAGAAGAAACAAGATGAGAACAAATTTACATGTAGAAACACTCATCAGGTATGTTCTCAGTGCTTCCTGTAACTCGCTGAAACTTCACAGGATCCCATGAGATGAGAAATGCTATTTTATTTGGCAGAGGATGACCCTAAAATGTAGAGAGATTAAATAATGTTCCCACAGTCACACAGTTGATAAGCCCTGCTTTCATGGGCAGCACAGCGTAGTTGTGGAAGGAAACATTAAATAGTCCACCAAGTGACGTGTAAATGGTAAGTGCAAGACAGTAAGATTCCTGAGGGCAGGAACTCAGTGCATTTGTTCGCTGTTGTATACTGAGCACTTAAGAAAAGGCCTGGCATGGGGCAGGTGCCAGGAAAAGAAGCAGGAGCCAGCAATCTATGGGGAACAGGCTATCAGTTGAGGAGCGGAGTCAGGCATGTTTTGGCAAATGACATTTAAGCAGACATTGGAGTGATGAGTAGCAGTTGGCTAGATCAGATCCTCATTCCAAACATTCCAATGGGATTCTATCTCCCTTGGAATGAATCCAAGGTCCTTATCCTACAAGGCTTCTGGGACCTGGCTCCTGGCCATCTCTCTGCCCTCATCTCCTCCTGCCTTCTTCTCTTCCTGTAGGCTCCCTTCCTTGAACATCCCAAGCCCACGCCCATCTCAGGACATGTGCACCAGCTGTTCCTGTAGCCTGAAATCTCCTCCCTCAAACACACAGGACTCAACTCACTCCCACAGCTCCCTGCTCAAGTGTCGCCTTAAGAGAGGCCATCCCCACCCACCCACATAAAATCATGTCCCACCTGTGTCGTTCCACTTCCCTGACCCTGCCTTATTTTCCACTGTGCTTCTTCCCACCATCTGGAAGATATGTTTGCTCTCTGCCTCCTGACGCCGAAAAAGTTGTGTACACAGGGACATTTCTCTTTGGTTTGTCTAATGCTGCATCTTCATTCCCCAGAAGGGGGACAGGGGTGTGTGTGTGTGTGTAATGGTTGAAGAGAAGTGGAAACTGGGCATCAGTGCATGGATGTGCACTGACTCTGTGGCTCTGCCACTGCACGGGGAAATGTGGTTGGTGAGGTGAGGCAGTGAGGAGATGAACCCATGCCAGTCACAGTGTGAACTGAGAGCCCACATTTCATGAAAGCAGGGACCTGGGGAAAGAGAAACTACTTCCCATGGCCAAGGGAGATGCCAGGATCAGAGTCTTTGTGAAGACAAAATGGAAGTCTTCCTGGAGAAATCAAAACCTAGGCCTGCGCCTCCCCTGTGTGAATCTGTTGCCCCCTTGTGGCTGGGGATTACCTAAGCCAAAGAAATTTTCTTCTAGGTTCATGTGACCCCGAGATTGGCTGGGAGAAGTAAATGTAGAGCAGAGCTAGAAGAGAAAAGCCTTAATCAAATTATTGCATATTCTCACTGAAGATGAGCTCATAATCCCAAATTACAAAACATACGATGAGTGAGAGAAAACAGACAGTGTGAGCAGCCAGGTTTGATCAATCTGAACTAGAGTATAAAGAAGTATAATTACACAAATTAAGGGCATAAAAGTATAAAGTAGGAAACAGTAAGTAGAATTGCAATAGGGCCAAATAGAACTTCTAGAGGTAAAAATTACACACATACAGAATCTAAGGCCCTTGGTCATGTTGAACAGCAGATTAGATATAGCTGAAAGGAAAGAATTAATAAGGTGAAAGATAAAACCAAGGAAATTAACCAGGATGCAGCACAGAGAGATAAAGCTTTTGCCTGCAAATGTCTTTATTTTGTCCTCACTGTTGAATTATCGTTTAGATAGCTGGAAAGAGACTTGTATGTTTACTGTTATCTTCCCTTGGCACATTCAATATATTATAGACTTTATTCCATTATTGTATGACCTTCATTTACTTATCATTTACGAACATTTGTTGTAAACCTACAGTAATTAGGAGAGTATGATATCAATGCAGGGATAGACGAATGGGTAAATGGAACAAGGAAGGAGCCCAGAAGTAGATCCACGTATACATTGGTATAAAACAGAGTCAGCCTTACAATTCAGTAGGCAAAGAGTGAGCTATTCGCTAGTGTTGGGACGTAGGTTTTCCATATGAAATAAAAATACAATAGAGCTATAACCCACATCACACATACACTCCAGGTTGATTAAAGAACTGAACAACTAAAGCAGAACCCTAAACCTTTCAAAACTCAATAGAATATCTGTGTGGCCTCTGGTTAGAAAATAATATCTTAAATAAGACACATGATGTGCATATGCGATAAAGAAAAATTAAAGTATCAAAACTTGCATCCAGACATCTAAATCTCAAAAACATAATATGGATCAGGAACATGAATTTCAAAGTATACATAAAATACAACATAAGATATAAATGACTTTTAAAATTTAAAAACATGTGGAGCAACGAAATCTGTAGGTTCTGGATAAACATACATGTAAGAATGTTACACGCCCACAAAATTAACAATGCTGAATTCAGGATACCGGTTGCTGCTTCTGGAACTGGGGCACAGAGGCAGGTTTTGGGCTAGAAACAAGTGAATGAGGTACTTCAACCCTAACCCTTAACGTTTTATTTTTAAAAGAAAGTCATCCAAACCAAATACAGCAAAATACTGTGTTTTGAGAAATTCAAGTGGCAGGTATGAAATTATTCATGATTCCCTATATGGCTGCCTGAAATATTACACAGAAATAAAGGAAGAAAATGTTAAATATGTACATAAGGGTGCTGGAATTATTAACTGCGGATCTGAAGGTACCTGGAATCACCCTGGTGTGACTATTCCTTATTGTTTCTCTCCTCTAGAGAGTCTCTAAATGAGTTGACCTTTTTTTTTAATTAGTCAACTTCAAGGTGACAATCTGTTGCTTTCAACCAAGCGAGTGCTGACTGATGGAGAATCCTGCTGCTGCATCCTGCACAGGCGCTCCTGGCACAGTAAATCACCGACCTGATTTCTGGGCAAAACTCAGCACATTGGACTCCTTGTCTTACTGGATCGTGGACATTCTCAACAACCCCTGCGAGCCAGGGGATCACGCGGAATCTCAGCAGTTCTCTGGGATCCACTGCTCCTTCCTCACTCTCATCCAAGGGGCTTTGCCAGCACTGAGCAAGTGACACCCAGGTCGCCGCATGGCCGCTCCTCCCCCTCCGCTCCTGCCTCTAATCTCCTCCTGCGGAACGGGTGGGAGCTCTGGGCACTTACACTTATTTATGGTCATGTACTGCTGGAACTTAATGATACATAAATCTCAAATTATGAAGTCACAGCTCTCCATATTCCTGGCTCAAAATGATCCTCAGGATAAAATTACCAGGGAAGCAAACAGGAGGGCACCGTCTAGTGTTGAGGATTGCTCTGGATAGCTGGGGGAAACAAGTCTTTCCCAGGAAGCACATGATTCAAATGCCAGAGGATTTGCTCATTCTTGAATAAATGAATGAATGTGTGAAAGAAGACATCTGCAAAAATACATGTTCTTATTATTCATGTTTACAGAAGAAGGAGGCTCAGAGACACAATGTTGACAGGGCCGAGGCCTGGCACTACAGAATTACTGACGGACAGATCAATCACTTCTCTCTGAGGATACAGCCTGGGGAGCATTAGGATCAGCTTACTCAGGGCACCTCACCCTTTCTTGCTACCAGCTCTAGAGTCTTGTAGATGATCTTGAGAATCTCCCTAGGGTTTCTTGCCCCCACCTAATTTCCCTAAACCCTTCCTCCTCCTGACTTCCTTTTCTTCTCCATCAAGTCCTCAGCCTAGGTTCATTTTTCCTCTATAGACGCTGGTTTCTCCTTGCTCTGACCTCGTGGCATTTCCTTTGCCTTTCCTTCCTCGTCCTGGCTGAGATCCAGCTTTGTGTCCTTCATCCTTTCTCCCCTGCCCCTTTCTGCCTCCCCAGCTTCTCACGGTGGACAGAGACATTCCGAGATCCTTTGCTCGGTTTTCTCTTTCAGGCTGGAGTGCAGCAGGCTGGGCATGGCTGCCTTCCTTCCTCACATCCCCATGCTCTGGAAAGCCCTCAGAGGACCTGGGTCTCACCTCCACAGTCCCGTGGCTCCCTGCCCCTGCAGGCTGGACTCGCCCCTGGGCTTGGACCACCTCCAGCCAGACTCCAGTGGTGTGATAGAGAGGGCTCAGGATAGGGGGTTCTGCGAACTGACTCATCACCCCCAAGCAAGTGATAACCTCACTAAGGCTCAGTCCTAATAATCCTGCTATATTAACAACCTCTATACTTTTGAAACTGACCCCTAGTCCCATAAACAGTTTTTTGTTTTTGTTTTGATAAACATAGAAATGGATGCTTCTGGTCTTAAAGCTTGAAACTTGTATTTGTTTTATGAGTTCCTTTTTCAGGAAAGGGCCCCCAGGCCTCTCAAAAGCATCAAAGAACTGAAACTCACTAGATCATCTCATCCAGACAGTGAGATGTCAGACCCTTCATTCACCCTGATTGCTTCCTTACCCCTCTGAGCTCCTCTTTTCCCATACATTGTTACATTTCTTCCCTGCTATATAAACCCCTAATTTTAGCTGGTCATTGAGATGGATTTGAGAATCTCCTGGGCTGCAGCACCAATAAAGCTTTCTTCCTTGGTGATACTCTTTGTCTCAGGGACTGGCTTTCTGTGCAGTGAGCAGCAGGACCCAGAAGGAACCCATGATGTTTTGGTAACACCTGTTGTCGACTTGTCTCTAAAGTGTCATGTAGTGAGACCCCGTCTCAGAAATACACTAGGGACTCAGAGTGTTGCCATGTCCTCGGTAGCTTTTGGGATTAGTCTTCATTTCATTCACATATTAAAGGCTGTGGTTTTTGTGTTATTGCCTTGACAGCCAGTGCCTGGTTCCCTTCCCTGAGTCTTTTTCCTGTCTGGGTTTCCTCTTCCTCACCCTTCTGTTGTAGAACTCACCTTTGCCTTTACCCTGTTAAAGAAAACCAGAGCTGGGCAGTAGTTAAAAGCGGCAAAATATATTTTACTCACGACAATTGCAGCAGGGGAAAGAGACTTTGGCATAGAACTGGCTCAAGTCCAAACATAGCATGACAACCGGGGATTCACAGCCAGGGAGGAGGGTGGGGTCAGGGGATGGGAAGTCACTGAGAAGACATCAGGGTGAGGGGGAGTCTGGCTAAATGGACCTAATAGGATTCTTGCTGAAGACAGACCAAGGTGACCGACATCACCTGGGGGATGGTGGAGAACAGGAATTTGGTCAGATATTGGAGGTGATCAGTTATGGAGCTGGGGATTTTTGGCTAAACCGACTTGACGGAGTTTTGCTAAAACTGAGCGATGCAAAGATGAGCAGAGACACCCTCAAGGGTGGCCGAGTCTAGAAGAGGCTCAGAGGAGCCTGACAGCAGGCAGCCCCTTTCTCTGTTCTAGAATTGAGAGCCCTTTCTCTCCTTTGCAACCGACATGCCACATCTTTGTGTCCCAGGGCCCCAAGGGACCAGCCTGTGGCCTCGGGCTGTCTGAGGACCTCCCCACCCAGGCTTCTGTGAGTTTTCTGTGACTTCCCTTCCTGGCGTTTCTCTCCTCGGCCTCAGCGCTGCAGCAGACATGGTTCTTGGGTCCAGTCACATTAGTGATGAATGACCCTCTCCAGCCTCCACTGCCTGGCGAGGTGGAGCCCATGATCAAAGTTGCCCTGAAGGTGGAGCCCTGCAGCGGCAGCTGGGCGAGGCCCGGGGCATGTGCTCAGGAACTGCATCAGGAGGGGCCTCTTCTTTCTCCCCGCCTTCTGTGCCACCAGCTCTGTCCCTCTATGGGGCAGCCGACTCACACCCATAGAGTGGGCTAGGCATGTCTTTGCCAGTGCCATGAGCTCCCTGCCCCTTCTGCATGAGACTCTGTGGGGTGCAGGCAGCAGCTCAGTCATCCTCTCTACAGATGAAGAGAAACCCGGGATGCCCCATGGCCACACACCACACCAGAGGCCCAGCAGGAAAAAACTGGGCCTCCTGATTCCTGCCTTTCTTCATTCCATCACACGCAAACTGCTGGAGCGTGGTGCTCAGGAAGAGCCATCGGGTCCCTGAGCTGGTCCATGTCACTCCAAAGTGAGGGGCTCCTGCAAACATGGCGTGTAAGGAGCGGGTGTTTAAAAAATGGGCACTTGCAATGAATTTGGGGTCAGCTCTACTTGCAGTCCCAGTCAGAACTATCCCTCCCTACCTGCCAGCCACCACCCCACACCCCACCACCCAACAGCCCACCATACATACTCCTGAGACAGACATTTTAATATATTTTTTCTACTCTCTACCTTGGCTCCTGGTCTCTGGACGCTCCAGGGCTCTCCCAGCATAGCGCCAGGGCCTTCTTTAATTAGGAGCGGCTTCTCTGTGGTTCTATAAAGGTCCAGCAGCCCAGGGGTTTATATAAGATCAGGAATGGCCATCAGTGATGTTGATTTCAAGAACATTGGGGCTACTGTGAGACAGACCGAGGAGCTCAGCATCACTGGCATACACATTGGTCACAGGCACATACAACAGGCCACAGGTACACACACCAGGCTACCAGCACACATGCCAAGACACAAGCAGGAATGGTCAGGAGGGGTTGAGCCCCAGGACGAGCTGGATAGGTTCTTCCTTTCCCCAAAAGAACAGATAAAAGTAGCAGGACTTGTGCTCCAGGATCTGACTCTGGTCACCGCAGGCCTTTGCTCCTACCTCCAGCCTCCAAGGCAGGGGCCAGTCACCAGCAAACCCATTATTTTCAAGAGCATGTGAATGCATCTTCCAGCTTCAAATTCTTAATAATCATTTAGACTATGGAAGGTGACATTGGTATTCCCATTGTACAGATGAGGAAGCTGACAGCTCAGGAAGGCCAGTGATTGACATGAATTTACACAGCCCTCCTGTAGGGCCAGGTTTCGGGCCCTCTCCTGTCTGTTCCAGTGTCCTCTTTTAATTCTCTCCTTTGCAGAGAACCTACCACAATCCCTGCCCAGGGAAATCCGCTGCCGGCCACATTGAGGCACCCCTGGAGGAGGACGGGGAGGCAGGGAGAAGCAGAGTCTCAGCCCCGGCCACACTGCTGTCTGAGGCACCCCTGGAGGAGTACAGGGAGGCAGGGAGAAGCAGAGTCTCAGTCCCCAGTACCCCAAGTGAGGACCAGGGTGTGGAGACCAGCAGCTCCCCTGGGATCAAAGGCATGTCCTATTCCTGGGGGCCGTGCAGAGCCCTGACGACGTGCATGAGTAAAGGCTCACAGTGCCTCATCCGCCTGAAGGATGCTCTGGGGAGACAGCAGCTCATCTCCAAGTGGGTCAGAGCAAGTTCTGGAGACTTCCTCTCTCTCTTTTGCTCTCAAACAGGCAGCACATAAATTGAGCTCCCGGTGACCTCCAGGAGAGAGAGATCACCAGGGAGAGAATTGCTGGTGCACCCGCGGGTTGCTGGCAGTGAGAAGCACGGAGCGCGGCAGGGAGAGGGACCGGCATGAGGACTCCTTGGAGCCCTTAAGAAAGGTGCTGCTTCCTTTACCTTTCAAGTTCATAAAGTTTTGTTCTTCTAAGTTGTGAGAGAAAGGAATTTGTGATTTATTTGAGAAGGTTTTCTGAAAAATCTTTTTCACAGTTAGCCAAGAGCTGACCTGTTGGGAAGATAGATGAACAGCTCGAGTCATAAAGATTCCTAAGTGACGTTTCTGTGCAGGTTATTTTCAGGGGGGTCATTGCCACGGAATTGCAACTGCAGACCCGTACTTGGCACCTGGCTCTGTTAGGAAAGAAAAACAGGTGTGGAAGATCCAGCCCAGGGGCCATGTGCAATGAAGATTTTCATTTCTCCCGGTCCCTGGGAGATAGACACATTCATCTGACCTCTCAAACTCATAACTGGCCCCAACCTCCTGTGCAGGAGGGACAGGGCATAAGGCCAACGTTAGAAGACTAAGCACAGTCAGCACAGTCCTCCTCTACCGAGGCTGGGCAGCTAGGATGGACCCCACATCCCTCAGATCTGTGGTTCAGATCCTTGGTCCCCCAGATGCTCCCCAAGGGCCGGGCTCCGAGTCTGGTATTTTCCTTCTGAGATCTGGGCACAACCACTCAGGCCAGAAGGGTGCTATGGGACTTACAGGGGGTGGGGAGGAAGCTAAGGAATTGAATCTCACCCGCTTTCTTACTGCACTTATGTTCCACATCTGAAGATGGGCGTGTGCTGACTACGTTGCCTTGTTCGTAGTGGATTCATTTGCTCTAAGGTGTCACTGATTGTCATTGATTACTTATGTACCATAAGACAGGAAAAATGAAATTGTCAACGTGGATCAAAGCAAATGACCTAGGCAAATCTCAATCATTTTAGGTTTATTTGCCAAAATTAAGGACGCGCATCCAAGAGACAGATGTATGCCTTTCTCTGAAGATGATTTTGAGGGCTTTAATATTTAAAGGGGAAAGGGCAGGATACTGAAAAATACATAATTTCATGTGCCGGGAGGGTAGGAGAAACAGCCATTCATGCCTTTGTCTGCGTCAGGCAATCTGCATTTTTACATAAGGTAATGTAGACAAGAGGGCAGAGGAAGCAATGAAATATGCATTTGTCTCAGGTGAGCAGGGGGATGACTCTGAGTTCTGGCCTGTGTTCCTGTGTCTGGGAAGATAAGCGATCAATTTACGTTGCAGGATGCACTTCAGCAGAACTGTTTTAGGGTGATGATCTTGGGGGCCACCAGGAATTTCCTTCTGGGCAAAATGTGAGGGAGGTATGTAGCTTTTCATCTTTGTAGCCGTCTTTTTCAGGAGTAAAGATGGGAGACAGGTTTGTGTGGTCCAGTTCCCAGCTCGACTTTTCCCTTTGGCTGAGTGAGTTCGGGGTCCCCAGATCTATTTTCCTTTCACGCCCAATTAAATTTATCTATGCATTGCTCTCCCATAACTTGGAATTAGTATATTAGTATATATCACATACTTTAAACCTATATCACTTTTGTGGGTACATAAGGAAAACAGAAGTGGAATAAATTTGGTAATGTATTTGTGTTCATTTCTTATCAATGTGGTAACAAATTGTCACTAATTTCGTGACTTAACACAACACACATTTATTATTAGGTTGGTGCAAAAGTAATTGCAGTTTCTGCCATTAAAAGGGCAACAACCACAATTGTGTTTGCACCACCATAGTATCTTGTGGTTCTGTATGTCAGACTTCTGACATGGGCATCACCGGATGACAGTCTTGGTGTCACAGGGCTGATTCCTTCTGGAGGCTCCAGGGGAAATCCATTTCCTTGCCTTCTTCAGCTTCTAGGCTGCCTGTGTTCCTCGGCTGAAGGATCCTTGCTTCCCTTTCAAAGCCAACAGACACCTACCATCTTGAAATCTCTCTGACCTGAACTCTTCTGCCTCCCTTTTCTACTTTTAAAGAGCCTTTGATTACACCGGCCCCACCTGGATCATCCAGGCCACTCTCCCTATGCTAAGGTCAACTGAGGAGCAACCTTAATTCCTTCTGCAACCTTAATGCCTCCTTGCTGTGTAACAGCATTCACAGCTTCTGGGATTAGGTCATGGACATTTTCAGGGGCCATTATTCTGCCTACCAATCGTAGTATCCTTAAAACTTTAAACAAGTATTTACAACCCAACACTCTGAAACTTTTTTGATTAGGAATTGCCTATATTTCTGTTTTTCACAATCATCCTCTGCCCTCCAGAGCATCTGGGCAGCATTCATGAAGGGAGTGCCCCACGTGAAGATCCAGGATTTATTTCCCAGTCACTGCACCTGTTCTGCAAGCTTTGGCATGCATGCCTAGACAATGACCATTACATAAAGACCACTGTGTGGTTAACAGACATGGCAAGGACATCCAGATTTCAGAGGTTTTAAAATGTGGAAGAAGATGTATCATGGAATTGATGAAATATGGCATTCTTTAATATTACAGACAATGAGTATCAGAAAGCATTTGATACTTGATAGCATTTGATACTTAATCAGTTGTAATATCAGCTTATACTTAAAATTATCTGTAAGTAATATATGTAAGTAAGCTTTATGATGGACAGGAAACATAATTTTCTTTATGGTTCAAAGCTGTATCTGAAGTTCCTGGAAGAATATCAGGAACAAAGTAGGTGTTCAGGAAGTATGTGTTGAATGAATGAGACATATTAATTAAGTGAATGGGCTAATGGATGAAGGAATAAATGAATCCATTCAGTGAAATCTATTATTATTTTATTCAGATAAGAGTTATTGAGAGCCATTAAGTGTATTAAATTATAGAATGCTGCATGTTGTCTGTGTAAAGGATGCCCTTTGAGAGATAGTTATCTCCTCTTCTTGCCTCCCATTCATTCAGCAGGACAGAGTGACCCAGAAGAGCAGAGAGGCCAGTGGTTCCTAGCCCCTCGCACACAGCATGTGCTCATTGAAAACTGTGAGTGAATGGAGAGTGGATGGAGCCATGGACACTTGGACAGATGGATGGATGGTTGCACAGATGGATGGTTGGTTGTCAGCATAAAGAAATGCCTGTTAACGGGGCCTCTGATGCTTTTGGTTATCCTCCAGTAGGAAGGATTATGGATGATCCGTTTTACTTGCCTTGAACTCTGGGTGGCTTAGCACACATTCTTGGAAACAAAGACCCATGGATACCCTCATGAGATGACCCAGAAAGTCAGGACTTTCCAGAGGGAGAAGGCTGAAGAAACACTGAGCCATAAAGCTCAGAAGATCCCAGGCTGCAAAGCCATCGACTATCTGAAGGAGGCCGGCCCCCTTTACTGCAGGCACTGCTGGCTCTGAGTGTGTCTGTGCCTGCTGGCTGATTCCCTGTGTGTCAGACCCGGGACACATCACCTCGGGGTGAGAATGTGTAACATCTTCGTGTGTGGGTGTAGCAGCTGCAGTGGGAACATGTCTGAATGACTTTGCACAGTTCTGGATGGCAAATAAATGTTTAAATAGGTGCATCCTAGGAGGTACACTTCAGATCAGCTCTCACAGTCTAAGCATCACTTCCTCATGCAAAGCACTCTCTGCTGGGCTTTGACCTCTTGAGCTCCTTCCCTGTTATGTAATAGTATCTACCAACCAAATGAAAACTGGGGGTGCCCCCTAAGGCTCCAGCCTGTGAAGGTGGAGAGCCTCCTGCAGAGTCACATGTCTGCAACCTTGTTAGGTTGTGACTCTGGCGATTCCATGAGGGGTGAGAGTTATGGCTGGTAACTTAGTAATTTGCATGCAGGGAGAAGCACCCAAGATCTGTTGATTACTCGGCCCATTCTTTCTGACCCAGTCAAAGACGAGCCCTTCCTGGAAGAAGCCACGTGGGCCCCGGGGAGGGAATTGTGTTAGTAAATTTACCGGCTCATCCTCTTCCACATCCATGACTCTGTGGGCAGAGAGAAAACTCAGAGTCCCAAAAAGGTGCCAGCAGATCAAAGGGAGGTGTAGACTTAATTTCAGGATAACATATTTATACAACATCTTTTATTTTTAGAATTTCATATTGGGGTCTAAAACCTCGAACTCCAGTGGAAGAAACCACTTGCATTTCCAAGGGGGTGACCCTCGAAGTTCTTTTTCCAGGGGAAAGACATTTAATTTCATCTTGTCTTCCCATATTTGTTCCTGTTAGATTACATTAAACGAGTTATTTTTAATCATTGTTCATAAATCACAGCAAGGGTACGCCCTGAGGCACAAAACATTTGCATAAAAATATTAATTGCCACTATCTCTCCTTTGGGGTTCGTGGGAAATTAATGTGCAGGCAGCCAGTGGCAGGCACGAGGGCGGATAGAGGACAGGATGAAGGAAATGGCCTCCCTCAGGCTTTATGTCCTCCCCTGAGAAGTCTCCATCAGTTCACAATGTGCCACTCAGAACTTCAGGATTCTCCTCAGATGTCTCCTCCTACATGGAGCCTGCCTGGATTTCTCCTGTGTCACCTGTGCGCCATGACTGAACCCCTCTTAGGAAACTTGAACATCCTTCCGATTTCACACATCTGCGGACGTGTCCCCACGTGGACTGGGAGGCCGCTGCCTGTGGTTCCTGCCAGAGCACAGAGTGACCAGCAGAAGAATGAGGTGGGGCTGCCCTCTGTCTCCTGCACAGGCTTCCCCCACAGTCTGTGCTTCCTGAATACAGGCGCACATGATGTTCTCTCTGAATTTACCCTTTTAATTAAAAACAGGAGTCATTAGACCATGAGCTGAGCCCAAGTCCCCGATTCCAAAACAGAAAGCAGACTGTTGTGTTCTGCTTCTATAAACCACCATTGCAGCCTGCATCTCTCCCACTGCATTGCTCACCAAGAGCAAGGCACGCATTAGGAAGCATGGCAACGTGTCTACCCAGGCCAGGAATTCTGTAAACCAGAGCCTTAATCTCCAAAGCAGGCCTCACAGCAGGAGGTGAGCAGTGGGCAAGTGAAGCTTCATCTGTGTTCATGGCTGCTCCTCTCCCCATCACTCACATTACCGCCAGAGCTCCACCTTCTCTTAGGTTAGTGGCGGCATTGGATTCTCAGAGGAGCGTGGATCCTATTGTGAACTGCACATGCCAGAGATCTAGGCTGCATGCTCTTTATGAGACTCTAATGCCTGATGATCCTTCACTGTCTCCAATCACCCCCAGATGGGACCAGCTAGTTGCAGGAAAACAAGCTCAGGGCTCCCTCTGATTCTACATGATGGTGACTTGTATAATTATTTCATTACATATTACAATATAATAATAATAGAAATAAAATGCATAATAAATGTAATGTGCCTGAATCATCCCAAAACCACCCCCCCTCACCCTAGTCCAAGGAAAAAAAAATGGTTGGGGACTGCTGCTGCAGACCATGTGTCCACTCAGGAGTGCAGATCCAGAAGAGAAGGGAAGGGAGAAGGCAGGTGGGGTTTGGACGGCTGTGCTGGTTTATCCACTCTCCATTGCCCCATGCCCGTGGTATAAATACCCCTGCTGTGGCTGAACTTGGGTGACCATCAGGGTATCATTGGCCTTGTCATCGGCTCTCCTGAGCTCCTACACGTGGGCTTCCATGCACCACCCGGATGAGTACTGGCTTCTTGTTTCTTTTAGTTTTCTTTGCTTATTTATGTGTTTTTGCAAGAGGAGAGGCATAGCCCTGAAGTGACATCTGTTGTGCTGCAATCGAGATTCCAGTGCCAAGTTAAAGACAACTTCCAAATATAAGGGTTGTTACATATTTAGTTCAGGGCTAGCACAACAGCACGGCAGTTTGACCCACATTACAGAAACTTTTTTGTATGTAAGTGAAAGGTATTATTGACAGTAAGTTTATAAGTGACTAGAAGGGCTTTGGCTAGAGAAGATTCACAGTATTGCCATGAGATCTTGTGAAGGAAACAGAGAGTGACTGAATTTGGCTGACATCATGAAGGTCTAAGGCAGCAGATAAGCTGCCTTCTTCTGCTTCCATTTTGTTATTTTATTTGTCCATTCATTTATTGATTCATGGGTTGTTGTGTTCCTACCATCTACCAGTCACGGTATTAAATCTACCAGTCATGGTATTAAATCTACCAGTCATGGTATTAAATGCTGTGACTTGGAGGTGAAAACCGAGGCACAATGATCCCTTCTGCCATTAAGCTTGTCATCCTGGAGCTTGGTCTCACCACCCAGGAACCTCCTACAATGAAATTCCCACATTTAGAGCGCCTGAGTTAATGGTATGATTGTGTGTGCATGTCAGTGTGGGGGGGGGGTACCATGACAACTAATGAATCTTAGAATCACTTTACTGGCTCCATCATAAATTATCCTAAACTTTCTTTGTTCATATTCATATTACAAAGTTAGACTATGCTGCCTGGCGTTGGAATCTGATAAAAATCTGATTTTATGTCAGCAACCAGCAATCTTCCCCGGTGGTAGATTGTCCAAGCTGGCCTTTGGTTTCTTGTGCAGTCCAGACTGAGAAGAAAGTCTTGGCATTTCTGAGACTGTAGGGGGTTGTTTCAGCCCATCTGAGCATGGTGCACAAAGGCGGAAGCAGGCTGGTCCTCAAAGGACTACTCTGAGAAGGAGAAAGCAAAGGCTATGGGCTAAATGTCAGGGTCAGAGGAATGGCTCCAGCCCTGCAGAAAAAATTATGTGTCTCTAGCAACAACCGAAAGGAAACAGGAAAGGAAAGAAAAATCCCTGAACACACTCCAGTCTCAGAGTGGGACAGGGCTGAGCTCCACTGGGCAGTTCCAGGTGGGGGGGTGGGAACATGATCCTGTTCCTGGAAAAGTTCCAACAAGACAGCAGGCTATAGCCAGCCAGCTGCCTTGGGCACAACACAGAGCTTCCTAAAGACCTCAGGAGGTAGGAAAATCCTAGATGCTGAGAGACTCACTCAGGAGGGGGCTGAGTGGACAGAGGTGGATTTGAAATCTGAGACCCTGGTATCATTCCAAGGCCTCTGGCCCTCAGCCTCAAGAGGAACAGAGCTTACTCTTCCCTGATAATGTATGGACAGGAAGCTGCTAATCCCCTGTTCAGTGAGCCACCCTTCTGCCCATGGGCTGAGGCAGCAACTTTGTCTCTAGATCACCAGGCAGGGCTCCCTTAGATGAAGACTGACCACAGCCTGAAGCCATGGCCCCAATTGCGTGGGCTCTGAATGATGTTGTTCCTCAGACAGATATTTTAGGTAGACTGAGACAGCAACTTAGTGTATTTAAAAGAAAACAGGCTTGAAAACGGAGGGGGCTCCGTTCAAGTCCTGGCTAAACCTTGCCAACTCTCTGACCTTAGAGAACCAACTACTATTTCTGCATGTGGACGTCTTCATTGGTAGCATAGAGATGCCCTGATCTCTCCTGAAGGGCTGAGGCAGAAATGGGAGGCCAGGTATGCCTGTATCTCAGGCACTTCACAGACAGTTGAAATTAACACATGCAGGCTAGTTGGCTGAATGGAACACAAAACTCAGGCCGTTTTCTCTGGTCTTTTGATCCAAACACTTTCATATCTGAAATACCCAAAGGAAATGAATATTTTGCAAGCATAGGAGCAATAGGGGGGTCAGGAGTTGCCTTTGAATGCTCTGGAAAAGCAAAAGCTTCCTTTCCTCTCTTTGCTTGGCTGAGGAGCCCAGATCAAAGGTCCCCACTCTCCCCACAGTGCTGTTCTCTGGGGACATCATTACCATGGACCCAGCCATTTGTTGGTTTCAGTGCGGTGGTGTTTACACAGAACGACTTTACTGGCTATCCCTCCTCTTGTCCCAGGAAATGTCTTTTGTTTTATCAGGCAGAGCAACAAAATCATATGATGAAATAATCATCAGGATAATTAACCCCTTTCATCAAGAGAGCTAAGAACACACATTTAAGGACCACATATTAATAGCAATAATATTTAGAACTGGAAAAAATGATTTTATTGCTGCAGAAAGACCTGAGGAGTAGGTTGGCCCCTCTAATTGATGCTGAGTGTGAATCTGCGAGTTGGGCAGCACACAAACGTTAATTAGTTTGTGCTCGGGCACACACCAGCTCCAGTACACTCAAGTTTCATCCCAAATTGCTGCTACCATTTCCCACTTTCTTCCTGGTAGACATTATTACATTTGTGATGATTCAAATAGATTTTCTGCAGGCATTAAATTTTTAGTAAACAGACCCAAATTAACAGCTATTTATGACATTTTACTCTAGGGATCAAATCAAAAGCACTCATTTCATATATAAATATCTCTTCTTCTCTGCTTTTAATGAACGGGTATTTTTGTTGCTGCTGTTGTTGTTGAAGGCAAAATTAGACACATGCCTCACCCCTCCAGGCTGCCTAATCATACGTGCTCCGTCCCTCCAATTGAGAGAACGTTATTACCTTTAGGAGTGAAGACAGAAGCATGTTAATTTTCCATAATTCAGTGAAACAAAGCATAGATCTGAAATCTCCCTCTGTGGAACTCCTTTCTCATCTACAGTAATGGGCTGCCTTTTAATGAAAACAATTCAGCCTGTTCTAATGTCACCATCAGGGCAACACGGACTTCACTGGATCCTGATTTGGGAAGACGGTCTTTTCATTATTCTTGGTGTTGTGCAGGCAATAAAGGAACTCGAGTGTCTATGAGTGACCTTGCTGGTGGCAACGTTGTGTTTAGTGCTAATGAGGATGGCTTCACGGTGCAAGGATGAAAGGGCTGGTGGAGGGGTTTTGGCAGCCGCGAGCATCCGTCCGCTTCCCGCACTGATGGGAGGTGCTCACAGCTTATTTACTGCGTGCAAAGATGAAATACTGTCATACCTGGGCAAAGCTAACTGTCTGTTGGCATAGAGACCAAATTTTGGACTCCAGTAAATTTTGCAGAATCACAGATGACAGGTCAAACTGTGTTTTTTCCCCTTTAATGGGGAGAAATTACAAGTTTTCATTCACATTTCACGAATGGACAGGCAAATGGGCAAGGTGTCATTGATACCATGTTGATTGAGAAATGTCTTCTAGATGAAGATGGCAAATTTAACACACTCACTTAGCTCTTTCTCTTCTCAAACCCTCATTACAATTACGACAGAAGGATTTTTCAAAAGGCCTAAGCCCACATGACAAAGGGAACAGATGAAGACGACACAATTTTGAAAACGGGAAAGAAAAGGCTCAGTGAAAGTGACTTAGTACACAGTATCTTGGTTTGGGGCCTCATCAAGGTGAGGCTTCAAGTACAACTAGCTTATTCAAAAGGTGAAGAGAACTCCCACAGGGATGCGGGAAAGTGAGACGGGGAAAGGAAGTCACCAGGAATGGGCGCATCTTCAAGCCAGTTACCACCAGGGGCAACTTGAACCCGACCTGCTGGGGAGAGTCTGGAAGCCAGGGTAGAACACCTACCTTCCTTCATTAGTAGGGTGCAAGAAAATTCTGAGGGAACCTTTCAGAAACTAACAGTACAAAGAAATGGAGAATAGCAGAGGAATAAGAAGAAGGAGAAGGAGGAGAGGAAGAGGAAGAGGAAGAAGAAGAAGGAAGAAGGAAGAAGAAGGAAGAAGAAGGAAGAAGGAGAAGAAGAAGGTCTGTCCAGGACTTCACATATCGTCATGGTTAAGCTTCAAAAGGAGAGACTATCCATGTGGAAGGGAGGGGAAAATAGCAAAGAAATAATTTAAGAACATTTCCCAGTACTGAGGTCATAAGTTTCCAAATTGAGTTTTCTCTTAACCCCCACTTTTCCCACCAACTACTACATTTATTTTTACTCTGTTTTGCAACAAAGATTATTATCTGTGACCTGTCTCTCATTCTTTTCTAAACTGACATCAATGAGGCATCCAGTCACCAGTAACTTTCATATTGCTAGACCAGCAGTCAGTTCTCAGGTGCCGTGTGGTTTGCTCTCACAGCAGAGCTTGTATGTGCTGTTTGCATGGCTTCCCAACCTCGCCCCCTCTTGCTCATTTTGTCTTCTCCTTCCCGCCTCACTGATTGCTCTTTCTCAGCCTCCTGTTCTGGCACCTCCTATTCTCTTTGAGCTTTAATTGTTGGAGTGCCCCAATATTGGATGTTCTGCATGAGGTCCAAACTCACCGTCTCCATGGCTCTCATTCAGGGCAAGATCTTGAAGCCCATCCCTATTTTAAGGACTCTATGTCTGCAGATTAGAACTTTCCTCCTAATCCCAGACTAATCTATCTAGCTGTACTTGTCACATTCTCTGGATGTCTGTCATCTCAGACTCAAAATGTACAAAATTAGATGCCTCACCATCCCCCCAAATTCCACTTCACCCACAGCCTTCCTCATCTCAGCAATGCTACGTCTACTCCTTTTAGTTGCTCAAGCCGAACATTTTGCAATCATCTTAAGCTCCTCTTTTTCTTTTTTCTTTCCACCTCCAATATAACAGGAAATCCCACTGGCTCTGCCTTCAGGATGTATTTAGAATGTAACCAGTTCTCTCCTTCACTGCTGCTGCTGTACTGAGAGCATCCACTTTGTCTCTCGTCGGCACTGCTACGGGTCTTCCCAACAGGCCTTCCTGCTTCTACCCTCACACAGGCTGTCCTTAACTCCGGAGTGACAGTAAGACTGTAAAGCTGTGTTAACTCATTGTCACTACTCTGCTAAGAGGCCTGCTTGGGTCCCTCTATAACTCGGAAGAAAAGTCAGAGCACCCCATCCCCACTCCTAGAAGCTGATAAGGGCCTCATGATCTCTCTGTCTCATCATCTACCACTCTCCCTAGCTGTCAGTCTACCCCTGCCACTCTAATTCCCTGATGTTTCTTCAACATTGCCAGGAACCTGCTTACCTCAGAGCCTGCTGCGGACTGAGTTGTCTTCTCCAAAATCCATTTGTGGAGGCCCTCATCCCCAGTGGGAGAGTATTTGGAGATGAAGCATTTGGAGGTGATTAAGCTTAGATGAGCTCAGAGTGGAGCCTCAGGATGGCATCGATGCCCTGGTAAAGAGGGACACTGAGACCTGGCCCTCCCTTGCTCTCCACCGTGTGAGGACACAATGAGATGGTGGCCACCTACAAGCCAGGAACTGAACCCTACGGGGCCTTGACACTGGCCGTTCCAGCCTCCAGAATGGCTAGGAATAAATGTCTGCTCTTTAAGTCACTGGGCGGTGGAGCTTTGTTATGGCAGCACCAGGGGCTGGTTGAGAGCCTTTGCATGGCTCTTGTTCCACCTGGAATGAGATTTCTAACTCTTGGCTACCTCACCCCCTTACCTCATTGTTTCATGTTGCAACCACCCACCCACTCCCCATGTCTCTGGCATTCTCATTTATTTTTTCTTTGATTTCATAGAACACATCACAAAGCCATTTGCTCATGCATGATGTTTATTGTCTATTTTCTATCTCCCTGCTAGAGGGTAAGATGCTCAAGAACACTGCTCTGTCTGCCTCCCTGGACCCAGAAAATGCTTGGCGTGTGGTAGAACTTAGATATATTTGTGTTGAATAAATTAATTGAAGGGGTTTGCAGACTATTCAGTACAATCGATTATAAAAACCCGAACCAGCCCCATCATTGCTAAACTTTAATGAGGCAAGTAGGATATCATTTTTAGTGGGAAAAATCAGGTTCATTCAAAGTGTTGGGGAATCCAGTGCTATCAAACTTCTCAACAGCAACCTTGAAAGCTAGGAGATAGATAATGCCTTCAAATTTCTAGAGGAAAATATCTCTCACGTAGCATTTTCTTTTCTTTCTTTCTTTCTTTTTTTTTTTTGATGGAGTCTCGCTCTGTCACCCAGGCTGGAGTGTAGTGGTGGGATCTCGGCTCACTGCAAGCTCTGCCTCCCAGGTTCACCCCATTCTCCTGCCTCAGCCTCCAGAGTAGCTGGGACCACAGGCACCCACCACTACGCATGGCTAATTTTTTGTATTTTTAGTAGAGATGGGATTTCACCATGTTAGCCAGGATGGTCTCGATCTCCTGACCTCGTGATCCGCCCTCCTCGGCCTCCCAAAGTGCTGGGATTACAGGCGTGAGCCACCGCACCTGGCCTCACATAGCATTTTCTACTCAGCCCAACTTTCATTCACATAGGAGGGAAGAATAAAGGCATTTTCTTACATGCAGACTCTAAGCAGATATTACTCATTTGCCTTTTTTGGGGACAGTCCTGTAGCATGTGATTCAACAAAACACATCCATAAACCAAGTAGCTCCAAGAAACAGTGACTACACCCAGGAAGGAAAGGAAGAGGCTGTCCAGGATGGTGATGATGAACATCCAAGAAAGCAATTATCAGACAAAGGGACATACATTGACAGGGGCGTGTGCATCGGCAGGGGAGTTGCAGGATATACCAGTCCTAAGCACATTAAAATCTCAAAAAAAAAAAAAATATATTTCAACAAGATGATTATCCCTGAAGAAAACAAAGTTCATTAAAGGAGATGTAATTATAGTGCATTAAACGTTCTAGCCAAGAGCACTATTTACATAATGATGATGATATAAATATGTAATCATCATCCACCACAACTATGTTGGGGAAAGGTGAAGCCAGTGTGAGTGTGTGAATGCCTGTGAGAGAATGTGAGTGAATGTGTGTGTGCTAGTGTGTCAAGTGTGTGCCATTGTGTATGAGTGTGTGTGAATGTGTGTGAGAGTGTGTGTATGGGAGTGTGCATGTGATGAGCCACATCCATAAGCTGAATCATCTTCAAAAGATGAGACCTAAACCTAACAATTCAAGTAACAGGATGAAAGTATGTGACTTGAAAATATGGAGTTAAATATCAAAAAAAGGTCCTTGCATCTGGGAAGCAAGAATCAAAGGTGGATGAGAAGGGGCACAAACTGCTGTTTTAAATTTTAAGCACTGTAGCATCCTTGTTTTTAAACAACCATTTACATGTATACGTGTGTGTGTGTGTGTGTGTGTGTGTGTGTGTGTGTGTGTGTATCTTAGACAAAATTAAGACTTTTTTTCTGCTTTGTTTCCCCCCCCCCAGCTTTTCTCAAGAGATCCACAATCCGGAGGGAAGACCCACAGGCTTCCCAGCATTCACACAGCATCATTCCCTTTGCCTCCAGTCCCTCCTGATAGTGCATGACCCCACTGGCCGTCCGGATGGATAGGCCTGGGACTCTGTTATTCCAAACCCACCCAACCTCACACATCCTTTCCCTACATCTCTGCATGTCTCATTCTTTCTTGTCTTTCAAATTCAGGGCACACCTCCGTCTGCTCCCTCATAGAAAGGCCATCTCTCTCTCTGTCTCTTAACCTCTCTCTCTCTCTCAACCTCTCTCTCTCTTTCTCTCTCTGTCTTCCTTAAACTGTTATTGTGCTTGCTCCATGTCTTCTATGGTCTTTGCCATTTTCTAATTGCAGTTATAACCATTTGTGGCTGTGTCTTATTCACTCCTCGTTAAGTTCTTCAAAGTCAGTTTGAAATTCTAGAATATACTACATGGAGGAACACTATTCTATTAGTACTTTTTAAGACCCACTCTTTTTTAATGTCTCTTTTTTAAAACTTTTATTCTCATTATAATATATCCTTATCTCTGTTTTGTTTGGGATTATTCTTCTGTACCTCTTATAACTACTTAACTGGGCACTTAGATCATTAGTGTATAGGCTCCTTATTTCCAGATTGTAGGTTTGAAGCTTAAATTTTTCTCTCAAAACTGCTTTTTCTAGATTATGTTAATATTTGGTGTAGTATTTTTATCATTTACTTTGAAATGTTTTAATTTCCCTGATGAGTTCTTATTGACTTGTAGCTATTATTAATACACATATTTTAAAATGTGTGAATATTGTTACAAACTTAAAATATTAATGTGCTTTGAAAAATGATCCTCGTGATAGCATCTCACTGCGATTTCCCAGACCTAGCACATGGCCTACCTTGGTCTATGCCCCACATGAGTTTGTTTTCTCTAATAAGTGGGTACATTGATCTGGTAAATGAATCACACTTTAATTGCATTTTTATATATATATATTTTTATTATACTTTAAGTTCTAGGGTACATTATTTCAACAGTTGATACTTTCTTTATTTGGTTTGTTGACAATCGAGAGAAGAATGTTAAAAACTCACACTTTGATTATATATATATTAATTTCTCCCTGTAGTTTTGAAATTTTTTGCTCTATCAATTTTAGGTGTGTTTTATTAAGTGCAAATGAGCTTAGAAATGTGATATCATTATCATAAGTAATAACTTCAATCATTTTGTATAAATTGTTATCCTTGACAATTATTTTGACTCAATATAGACATACTTTCTGCATTTTTGTAGAGCTATCTCCTCTTCTTTTTGGTTCCTATTGCCTGCTGTGTTTTTTCCCATCTGTTTTGTTAATAGTTATCTAAAGCTGCATAACAGATATCCTAAAATTATGTGGCTTTAGAACAACCTACCCCTTGTTGTCCTACAGTTTCTTTGGGTTAGGAATCTGGGAGTGGCTTAGTTGGGTACCTCTGGTTAGCAGTGTCTTACGAGGCTGAACTGAAAGTAGTGGATGTGGCTGTGGTCTCATCTGAAGGCATGACTGAAGGAGGACTTGGTTCCAAACTCACTCACCTGGTTGCTGAAAGAACTCAGCATCTTACAAGCTGCTCACTAGGGACTTCTCTCAGATCATTGACCCATGGGATTCTTTTCAGAACAGCTTATAAAATGGCATCTGGCTTCAATCAGATGAACACTGAGGAAGCAGAGAGTGAGCAAGCTGGGAACCTAATCTCAGAAGCAGCATCCCTCCAACTTTGCTGTATTCTGTGCACTAAAATCAAGTCTCTAGGACCAGCCCACAAACAAGGAGAGGAGAGTGTGAAGATTGTGGGGACCATTGGAAGTCCCCTGAGATGTTGCCTACACACAGTCTCTTCACTCTCAAACTTTCCATCTCTGTATATTTTTGGCAGGTCTCTTATATTCATATCCAAACTATGACATCTGTCTGTTAACCTTTTCTTTTTTTTTTTTTGAGATAGGGTCTCACTCTGCCACCAAGGCTAGAGCACAGTAGTGCAATCATGAGTCACTGCAGCCTCCACCTCCTGCTCAAGCAATTCTCCCACCTCAGTCTCACAAAATATTGGGATTACAGGCATGAGCCACTGTGCCCAGCCTCTATTAACTTTTGAGTTTTATGATTTTTCATTTATTTTCATTACTGAAAACTTTGAATTTTTACCTTATTCTATATACAAATATATAAAATAATATTTATAAATAACACACATATATACATAATATATACTATATATAAATAATATATACAATAATATATCATATACAAGTAAATAATATATAAATAATATATAACACAAATAATATATAACATATATAAATAACTATGTATAATATATTAAAATATATAATACACAAATAACATATATATATGTAATATATATATATTTCTCCCTTGTCTTACTGACATAACCCCAAGGTAAGAAAGCAAATGTGATTTATTCATCTTTTTTTATTGATATCAAGGGAAAAAATTTTATCCAGGCCAGGAGTGGCATGTAGGAATTAAATCTCTGCTGGTTTGCTCAACTAAGTTCTTACATCTAGACCAGCAGCAACAACCAGTGTTTGGTCCTTACGCATGCTTCTGGCTTCTGGTCACACGGGTAGTTAAACCCGCAGATGAGGCAAAGCATCCCCTCTGTACCTCCCCAGCCTCAGCTGATGGTACTAAGTTTCTGCAGCCCTTCATGCTTAGGGCATTACTTTCGTTTTACTATTTTCCTTGTGGAAGGAAACAGTTCAAGAGTTACACTTGGCTTTTTCTGCCATAAGGACTTCACCTCCTGGGTCAGAAAAACAATTGTGTGATTGTGCCACTTGCTATGAATGTCTATTGCAACTCTATACTCAGGAACTGGATAAAGAACCACAGGATGCTCTTGCTGGCCTGTTAGACCCAGAGTGAGACTAATTCAAATCAAGTTTCATGCATCATCTGACCCCCATAAACCCCGACACAGACGGGTTGGCAACTGTGGTGTTTGGGGTCTCCAGGGATTAGCATCATCAGCTCAATAGTGTCCAGTAATCCCAGAGGTTGGAGTATGTCTCTTTCTGAACAGTCACCCTGGTAAATGACCACATTTCCCTCTGGGAGAGGTTTGGAAGAAAATTTAAAGCATACATGTGTAACTACCTTGCAAGGTGATTCTCCAGAGGGACTGAACCTTCCCCCGAAAATGATCTGAAGCGTGTAAAGTGGCATAAATTACAGGGAACTTGTAATCAAATAGCCACTACCACAGTTCCCTGCAGATCAAACACTGGAAACAGCTCTGTGATCTCCTTACTCTTTTTTTTTTGAGATGAAGTTTCGCTCTTGTCACCCAGGCTGGAGTGCAATGGCGCCATCTCAGCTCACCACAACCTCTGCCTCCCGGGTTCAAGCAATTCTCCTGCCTCAGCCTCCTGAGTAGCTGGATTACTGGCATGTGCCACCACACCCAGCAAATTTTGTATTTTTAGTAGAGGTGGGGTTTCTCCATGTTGGTCAGGCTGGTCTCCGGCTCCTGACCACAGGTGATCTGCCCGCCTCGGCCTCCCAAAGTGCTGGGATTACAGGTGTGAACCACTGAGCCTGGCCTCCTTATTCTTAATGACCACTTGGAATCCAATGACAGAATCTGCCACCACAACTTCCAGCCTCCAGGGGACGGACACCCACTTTCAAGGATTTCTTCCCAGGTATTCCAGGATTTATTATTATTATTATTATTTTATTTTATACCATGTTCTTGCACTGTTACCCAAGCTACAGTGCAATTGTATGATCTCAGCTCACTGCAACCTCTGCCTCCCGGGCTCAAGCAATTCTGCCTCAGCCTCCCGAGTAGCTGGGACTACTGGCACATACATGCACTGCGTCTGGCTAATTTTTGTACTTTTCGTAGAGACGGGGTTTCACCGTGTTGCCCAGGCTGGTCTTGAACTCCTGAGCTCAAGTGATCTGCCTGCCTCAGCCTCCCAAAGTGCTAGGATTACAGTGAGCCACTGGGCCCTGCCTCCCCAGGGTTTCTTAATGCCTTGGTGAAGAAAGTGCTCTCTGCACCTCTTAGTCGTATGGTTTAGAGGTAGCTGAGCACGTTGCAAATAAGGAAGTTGCTCAGTTCTTTTGAGCCACCCAAATACAACAATCCTTTCGAGCCTTCAGACTAGGGTAACCAACTGTCCTGGTTTACCTGGAACTGAGGAGTTTCCCAGGATGCAGGACTCTCAGTTTTATAACCAGGGACATTTCAGGCACACTGGCTCGAGTCAGCTACCTCACTTCAGAATTCTGACTCTAAAATACAGCGGGAGAGATTCTGTGTCTCAACTTCAATGCACGTTCGTCACAGCTGAGCCCAGACAGAACAAGGGATCAGGACTTTTCACAGCTGCTCTAGTGAAGACTTCTAGGTCCTTTTCAATACCTACGGTCTGATCCAATTTAAATTTCATCCATTTTGGTCAAGCATGCTCAGAATCCATCCTTAAGCCAGCTCTCAGGTCCTTGCTGATCCAAATTGATGACAGCTTGCAATTCCTTTGCTATGTAGGCTACCTCCTCACAGAACAGACCTCACGGGTCTCCCTCTCCGCTGAGCTAGGACTTTCCTACACTATGAGGTGCCATGGGCCTTCGCTTATGAGGAAACCCAGGTGACGTTACTGGAAGCTCTTCATGCAGCAGGATATTAATTTATCAGAAACAGTAGGAGGGGTGGCCTCCACCAGCAAGAGATCTTCATGGGAATTTGGAGAGTCAAGGCTCCCAGCTCCCCTTTAGGCTTTAATCTTAATATGGAGACTAGCACAATTTGGAGATTTAAGTCCCTTATTCTTATTTAAATCCCGTTCTTGTTCTAATCTCTCCAGGGACATGACCCTATGCCAGCCCACACCACAGTCTTGGTCATCACTCCTGTTTCCATGGTGTTAACAGCAGCAGTTACTTGGTTACGGAGAGCTTTTCCTTACGCCAGCACCCTATCCATATCGCTTGGACAGTACGTACACAATGGTGATGTTATTGCTCGTCATGTATTACTAGTAAGAGCTTTGTCCCAGCAAGGAAGCCACCCATGCATCCACCAAACATGAGAAACTCAATCCCCAAATCTCGTTTTGAAGTTCTGGTTCCTAGTCCATTCCTAGTAGCCACAATGAGATCAGTCAGGGTCTTAGGAGGAAAAAACATTCACACAGATGTTTTAAATGAAGGGACCTTAATGACTAAACTACTAACAGACCTGTTGGCATATTAAGGAAAGAAATGAGAGAGATGGGGAAACTAAGGACTGGTAACAGCTGGAAGGCTTTGCCACCCTAAGAATCAAACAGGGAAGGGAAAGATGCAGCGTTACCAGGTCCTGTGTGAGCTGGCATGAAGCCCGGGAGGTACCACCATGGAGGCATGGGGCTTCCTGAGAAGTGGTGAGGAAGAATGGATGGAGCAGGGAAGCAAGACCCCTTCCACCCACCGGCCCCCTGCTGCTGACCTCTTGGCCAAATGGGACAGAAGCCAGCTTGCAGGGGCTGCTATTCCGCCTGTGGGTATCAGGGCAGAAAGTGGGCAGTTTCAGGGCAGGTGGGGTCAGTCAACAATTCAGTTCATCTTTTTCAGTTTTCTTTCTGGATGATTTTCAGATGCTGTCTTGTGGTGTTGGGACTGCAGTTTCATGAAAATATGTCTAGGTGTAGAGTTTGTTTTATTCTGCTTAGATATAGAGTGCTTCCTATGTTGGTGGATCCATCTTTTTTGACATTATGGAAATTGTCTCTTTAAGTGTGTCTACTGCTGTATTCTTTTTTTTTTTTGTAGGAAAGCAAATATATGCGACTTTTTCATTCTGTTATCTAGAGGCAGTTTTGAATGGTGATTAAAAGCATGATTTCTGAAGAAGACTGCCTGGGTTTAAATCTTATTCCCCAAAGTTCCTAGCTGTGTGACCTTAGGCAAGTTACTTAAAATCTCCGTCCCTCTGTAATCTCACCATGTAAATGAGGGTGACATTAGCACGGTGCAGGTTTGACGTGAGGATTGAATGGATGAATGTCAGGAAAGATCCAGGACATAATGGAAAAACTTATGTCTTACCTATTGTTGTTATTGCTTGATATTAATGTTGTCTTCTTTATTATAGTAAGAATGCAACATAAGGCAGGGTGCGGTGGTTCACGCCTGTAATTCCAGCACTTTGGGAGGCCAAGGTGGGCGGATCATCTGAGGTTGGGAGTTTGAGACCAGCCTGACCAACATGCAGAAAACTCGTCTCTATTAAAAATACAAAATTAGCTGGGCGTGGTGGCGCATGCCTGTAATCCCAGCTGCTTGGGAGGCTGAGGCAGGAGAATCGCTTGAACCCAGGAGGCAGAGGTTGCAGTGAGCTGAGATCACGCCATTGCACTCTAGCCTGGGCAACAGAGCAAGACTCCTTCTCAAAAAAATAAAAATAAAATAAAAAAATTAGCTGGGCGTGGTGGTGGGCACTTGTAATTCCAGCTGCTTGGGAGGCTGAGGCAGGAGAATAGCTTGAACCTGGGAGGCGGAGGTTGCAGTGAGCCGAGATCATGCCATTGCACTCCAGCCTGGGAGACAGAGCAAGACTCCGTCTCAAACAAACAAACAAACGAACAAATAAACAAACAAAAAAACACAATGTGAGAGCTACCTTCAACATATTTTTTAGGGCTCAATACTGTATTGTGAACTATAGGCACAAAGTGTTGTACAATAAGAGCTCTGGGGCTTGTTCATCCTATAGAACAGAAGCTTTACACTTGTTGAACAGCAACTCCCATCTCCTCCTTCCAGCCCTTGGCAACCACGTTCTACTCCTCGTTTCTACGAGTTTGGCTATTTTAATACCTCATCTAAGTGGAATTGTGCTGCATTTGTCCTTCTGTGACCGGCTCACCTCACGTAGCGTGCTGTTCTCCAGGTTCATCCATGTTATCCTGTTCAGCAGGATTTCCTTCTCTTCTGAAGCTGAATCATAATCCATCGCTAACGTTATCTTGTAACTCTTCTATTAAACTCTCTATCTCCTTATCTCTCGAAGCTGCATTGAGTTATTTCTTCAGATACATCTTCTAGGTTCATATTTATTTTTCCTTTTTTAAAAGCAATTTCTAATTTGTTTTAACCATATGCATTAACTTTTTAACTTAAACATTGTTTTTTATGTATAAAGGTTATTTTTAGAAAATGTTTGTTAATTTTGTTTATAAACTTAAATTTAGTAAATTGCTGGCTGGGCACAGTGGCTCATGCCTGGCATCCCAGCACTTTGGGAGGCCAGGGCAGGCAGATCACTTGAGGCCAGGAGTTTGAGACCAGTCTGACCAACATGGTGAAACCCCTTCTCTACTGAAAATACAAAAATTAGCTGGGTGTGGTGGTGGGCACCTGTAATCCTAGCTCAGGAGGCTGAGGCAGGAGGATCACTTCAACCTGGGAGGTGGAGGTTGCAGTGAGCCAAGATCGTGCCATTGTACTCCAGCCTGGGTGACAGAGCAAGACTCTGTCTCAGAAAAAAAAAAAAAAGAAACAGAATATTGCTGACACCGTAAAAGCCTCCTAACTGCCCTCCTTGTCAATAATCCCCTGAGAATAAAAAGAGATGAGTCTCCAACTTCAGGAAAGGAAATAGAAGGCTGGCATTCTTTGGCCCTAATTACAAGCTGTAAACTAGTAAACAAAGACCTAGTTTAAAGTGGCCCCAATAAACTAGCAACACTCTAGGTACAAAAGTCCACCAATCCCTAAACTCCACACTTTCCTAAAATACTTAAGTGATAGGAGCTTTCTGTTTTGCTTGATAAAGCTGTTTTTTGGAATCTGGCTTCCAACATCAGCATGCACCTGCGATCATATCTGCGATTCATGCGCGTTGTATCAGGGTTCTCCAGAGAGACGGCACCTATAGGATAGATAGTTAGATATATAGATGATTGATAGGTAAATAGATAGATAGATAGATAGATAGATAGGGAGAGAGTTATTAGGGGAATAGGCTCACATGATTATAGTGGCTGAGAAATCCCATGAAAGGCCATCTGCAATTTGGAGAAGCAAAGAAGCTGGGAGTGTGGCTCAGTCCAAGTGCAAAAACTTCAGAACCAGCAAAGCCAGTGGTGTAACTCTCAGTCCAAGGATGAAGGTCTGAGGACCCAGAGGACTGCTCTTGCAAATTGTGGAGTCCAAAGGCCAGAGAACCTGGAGTTCTAATGCCCAAGGGCAGGAGAGCCAGTGTGCCCCATCTCCAGGAGAGAGGGAGCAAGTAAGCAAACTCTTTCTTCCTCTGCCTTTTTGTCCTGTTCAGGCCCTCAGCCAGTTTAATCGTGCTTGCCACACTGGGTGACAGAGGATGTTCCTTACTCAGTCCACAGATTCAGATGCCAGTCTCTTCCAGAAACACCTTCACTGACACACCGAGAGCTGATGCTTTACCACTATCTGGGCACCCCTTAGTTCAGTCAAGTTGATCCCTAAAATTACCCATCACCCATGTTGATGCTATAATGGGAGTTCATTGCTATAGTAGGAATAGTGCAAGGATTCAGCACGATTCATGAACCCATTACACTGTTGATGATAGGCATTTTGGTGCTTGCTAGTTTTGGACTATGACATCTAAAGCTTCCGGGAACACGCTTATGCATGTCTTGTGGATAGTATATGTAAATATTTGGGCATGTATCTAGGAACAAAATTGGTAGGTACAAAGTTATGGGCATGTTGAGACATATCACATATTGCTACATGGTTTTCCTAAGGAATTGCTCAAACATCAATTTACATCATTAAGTATCAGAGTTCAATCACTCCATATCATTCCAATGTTGGGTACTATTGCTTTTTTTTTTTTTTTTTTAATTTAAGCCAGTTTAGTGGAAGCAGAGTGGCATCTCCTTCTGGTTTAATTTGCATTTTCCTGGAGACAACTTTTTTCCTTTTAGCCATTCGGGGATCCTCTGTTGAGAAGGGCCTATTCAAGTCTTTTGTTCGTTTTTCTCCGGGTGGGGTCTCTCTTTCTCATTATTTTGTAGAATTCCTGTTACATTTTAGTTATCTTTTAAAATATATTCAAATATACTTAATATATTTGAATTAGTACATTATCAATCAATTATTAATTAAAATAAGTTAAATATATTTAATTAAATATATTAAAATATATTCTCTCATAATATGGCATGGATTTTTGTTTTTAATTTTATTAAGCCCTTCTTTTCAAATGGTGTAATTCACAGATATTGAATATATGCTTTGTTCTTTAAGTTTTGACAAACACATGTACCAGCATGGCCTGTACCTCTATCAAGATACAAAGCAATCCCATCACACTGAAGGTTATGTTTTAGCCCTGTCCTGTCACTGCCTGCACTGCCCCTACTGAGGCCATTACTGCCTGGATTTCTAGCAGCATAGATGAGTTTTTCCTGCTCTAGAAATTCATATGAACAGACTCTTACAATAGATATAATTTTGTGAGTGGCTTCTTTCCCTCTGCGTGCTTTTGAGCTCCATCGTGCTGTCCAATATATTAGTAGTGTTATGCTTCTTGTTGCTGTGTGACTTTCCATTATATGGAAATACCGCAATTTGTTCATCCATTGTCTTGTTGATGGATATCTGTGTGGCTTCCAGTTTTGGACTACAGTGTTTAAAGCTACCAGTAACATTCATGTAAAAGATGTTTTATAGAAATATATTTTCATTACCTCTCTAAATAAAACCAGTCAGTAGCTAGGTGGCTATATGTTTAACTATTTTAAAAAGTTTGCAAGCCACTTTACAAAGGGGTAGTTCTATTGTGTATTCTCACTAGAAATATATGAGCAATATTTTTGTTTGAAATCTTTGCAAATATTTGTTGTTGTCAGTATTTTTCATTTGAGCCAGAATTTTTATTAAGAGATAGAATCTTGCTACATTGCCCAGGCTGAAGTGGAGTGGCTCTTCAGAGGTTCGATCATAGTGCACTATGGTCTCAAACTCATGGGCTCAAGCGATCAATCCACCTGCCTTAACCTCCTAAGTAGCTGGGACTACAGGTGCACATCAGTGTGCCTGGCTTAATTTTAGCCATTCTTATGGGTGTGAAGTGGTTCCCACTTGGTATTAAATTGCAGTATATATATATATATATACACACACACACACACACATATATATATAAATATATATAATGTGTAAATTATATATTTATACACAATACAAATATATATATTTGTGTATTCTTTTTTAGATACATGTATCACAGATATTTTCTCCTACTCTATTGTTTCATTTCTAAATTTTAGTAGTATTTTTAAGAAGCAGAGTTTTTTACTTGATGAAATCTTTAAGAAAGTTTAAAGTTATTGCTGTTTATCTTCTCTAGAAAATCATTGCCTATCCAAGATCTAGAAAATTTATACATTTAGCTTTTCTCAATTTCTACAAAACCTTTAAGGTTTGATTAAGATTGCATTGAATCTATTCATTAATTTGGGGGATACCGACATATATGAATATTTAATTTCCTAATCCATGAAGAACATGTATGGTTCTTCATCATTACACCTTTTGAAATTAATCTCAATAATGTTTTATAGTTTTCAGTATAGTGATTTTGCAGATATTTCTGGTTTATTTATTTCTAGATATATTTTATGCTATTAAAATGTAAATATTTTATGTCATTTTCCATTTTCTTGCTGCTGCTCTAAGGATATGTAATTGACTTTTGCATATTGGCCTTGTTTTCTGCATCCTTGCTGAAATAACTTATCAGTGTTATATTTTTGTTCTGATAGATTTCTTGCTTTTCACATAACAATTATGTCTGAAAATGAAGAACGTTTTGGTTTTCCTTTCAAATAATTAAGAGTTTATTTCTTATCCTTGCCTTATTATACTGGATAGAACCTTCTGCACACTATTCAATGTAATGGTAAGAGTAGAGTAGACATCCCTGCTTTGTTGCAAACGTCAGGAAAAAAGTGTGCAATATTTAACCATTAAGTATGATGTTAGCTCTAGGTAATGTTTGTAGATACTCATTAACAGATTGAGTCACTTTCCTGCAAGTAGTGGTTGGCTGAGAGTTTTCAATATGAATGGATATTGAATTTGGCCAAATACTTTATCTACATCTATTGAGATTATCATAAAATGTTCTTTGTTCTTTTAATGTTAATCAATTAATGTCTTAATGTTAAGCCAACCTTGCATTCCTGTGATAAGCCTCACTTGCTTATAGTATATTTCATATTTATATATTGCTAGGTTCACTTTGCTAATAATTTATTAAGGATGATTGTTTTATTTATGTTTCTGAAGAACATTGTTTCTGAAGAATAATTTTCTGCTTTTGTTTTGTAATGTCTGTCAACTTTACTAAGTCATATTTTCCAAGGTATTTGTCTCTTTGATTTCAGTTGTCATTGGTGTAAAGTGTTGGCCATAAATTGTTTATAACATTTTAATATCTGTAGGACATGTAGCAACATCTATTTTTTTATTCTTTACATTGATATAATTTGTGTTTTCTTTTTTATTGATCAGTCTTGCTAGATGTTTTAAAATTTTAGCTTCTTAAGGCATCATTTAGATAATAAAATTTAAAATCTTTCTTGTTTTTAATATGAACATTTAAAACTCTAAATTTTCCAAAGGCACTGTATTTGTCTGCATTTTGCGAACTTTTGATTTGTTGCATTTTCATTATGACTAAGTTTTAAAATATTTTCTAATGGCCCTTGTAACTTCTTTTTCACTCACGTTTTATTTAGATGTTCAGAGAATAGAAGATCAGTATATGAAAATCAATCATATTTTTACTGACAGCAACAAATAATCAAAAAATGAAATTAACCAAAAAATTTCATTCACAATAACACCAAAGGAAACAGTTAAAAATAAATTTAACCAAATGATATATAACTTGTACAATGAAATGTATAACACATTGCTGAAAGAAATAAAATACCTAAATAAATTGAGAGCTATTTCATGTCTATGGATCTGAAGATTCAATATTGTCACAATGAAAGTTCTCCTCAAATCCATTCATAAATTTCACAGAATTCCTCCCAAATCCCAAGTCAGGTTTTTGTGTAGAAATGGACAAGCAGATCCTAAAATATACATAGGAATAGAACAAAAAGAGAGACGAGGGTATACATGACTATATTTCAAAACAGTATAAAGCTACAACGATTGAGACGATGTGGTTTTGCTTTAAAGAAAGGTATACAGGTAATGGAACAAAATTTAGGGTCAAGCAATCTAGCCTTACATTTGTGATCAACTGATTTTTGACAAAGATGTCAAGGTGATTCAATGGAAGAAAGAATAGTCTTTTCAACAGATTGTGCTGGGACAATTGGATATGCACATGCCTAAAATAAATTAACGTAGACCCTCATCTCAGCCCATACAGAAATTAACTTAAAATGCATTATAGTCTAAACTGTGTAACCTATAGCTAAAAATCATCTAGGAAAAACACAGGTGTAATACCTTGTAACCTTGAGTTGGGCAAAGAGTTCTTTGATATGACAGCAAAGGCATGATCCATAGAAGAAGAAGAAAAGGTAAATTGGACTTCATCAAATTAAAGACTTTGGCACTTTGAAAGCCTGTTGAGAAAATAAAAATACCAGCCACAGACTGTGAAAAAATATTTGCAAATCATATATCTGTTAAAGGAGTTGTGTCTGGAACTCCTACAACTCAGTAATAAGAAGATTAATAACCCAATTACACAGTGGACAAAAGCTTTAACTAGATACTCACCAAGGAAGATACGCATACGGCCAAAAGCACATGGAAACATGTTCAACATCATTAGTCATTAGGAGAATGCAAGTTAAAATCGAAATGAGATGCTACTTCCTGCCTATTGAAGGTCATGAAGGCTGACAGTACCAAGGGCGGCTGAGGATGTGAGAAGCTCGGCTCCTCCTAGACCGTCCACGGGAAAACAACACAGGATGCCCACTTTGGAAAGGAGCTAGGCACTTCTTTAAAAAGTTCAATATACATCCCAGCAATTCCACTCCTCAGAAGCTACCCAAGAGAAGTGAAAACATATGTCCATGCAAAAATATGTACACACATGATGAAGCAGCATTATTTATAAGAACCCCTAAGAGGAAACACTTTAAATGTCCATCAGCTGGTGAATGTATAAATAAAATGTATCCATGCAAAGGAATATTATTCAATGATTAAAGGAACAAACTGCTGATATGTGCTCCAAGATGGATGAATCGCAGAAACATTATTCCAAGTGAAGGAAGCTAGACACAACAGATTATCTATTGCATAACTCCTTTTATATGAAACATCCAGAATAAGCAAATGTATGGAGACAGAAAGCAGATGGCTGTTTGCCAAAGGCAGGTGGTGGGAGTGGGGATTAACAATGAATAGCCATGAGGAAAATTTGAGGGCTTTAATGAGTGTTTTAATGTGGGTTGCGTTAATGTTTGCACAATTCTATAAATTAACAAAAAGAGGAATGCATTGTTACATTTGCAAAAACTTGGGGATTTTTAGGAAAGATTTTTGTTGCTATTGAATTGTAATTTAATTGTCTTACAGTCAGATAACATACAATATAGGATTTTTATGTTATAAAATTTATCGAGACATTTTCCAGCCTACCCAATGACCTTTGCTGGTGGCGATTTCATGCACACCTGAAAAGAGTATGTATTGTGCCTGGCAGTGTTTTCTATAAATGCCAATCAGATAAACTCTGTGGATAGTGCTCTTCAAAGTTTCTATATCCTTACTGTGTTTTGAAAATGTATTTTAATTTGTTTTTGTTATGTGTTCTATCAGTGACTGAGAGATGGGCTTCAAAATTTCCAATCCCAAGTGTGGGTTTTTCTATTTGCTTCTGTCAGTTTGGGCTTCTTGTATTTTTTGGGACTGTTATTAACAGCACTCATGTATTAATGTTATCTCTTTGTGGCACACTACCTATTTTACCATGATTACACTCCCTTTTTAATCTCTAATTATAATCCTGGTCTTGGATTGTACATTGTCTTACATTATTATGACTATACCAGAAGTCTAATGTTTGTTGTTTTCGTGATATATGTTTCCCCACTATTTTACTTTCAAATTATCTGTCTTTATGCTTACAATGTTTCTCTTGTAAATAGCACATAGTTGAATCTTGCTTTTTATGCATTCTGATATTCTGTCTTTCAATTATTGTATTTTATTTATATTTCATGTAATTATTGATATATAATTTATCAAGCATATTCTTTTTGCGATTTGTTCAATCTGGTTTTTGTTTCTTTATTTTTTTTCCTGTCTTCCTCAATCAAATATATTTTAGAATTTTATTTTATTTTCTCTATTGACATTTTAGTTTGACTTTTGTGTTTGCATGTGTTTAAGTGCCTGGGGGTTCCAATATGCATCCTTAATTTATCACAGTCTCTGAGAGTGAGTATTAAACTATTTCACTATTTGTTATAAAACTGAAGAATGGGACAGTATATTCTTCTGTTGAAGTCTCTTCCTGTCCTCGGCCACACGCTTTCCGTCTGCACACACAGCACAATATACTTCCAAGGCTACTTCTTTCAACGCTCACTCACCTGATGCTCCGTAATTCTGTCTGTACATCTGAGTGTTCCTCCCATATTCCTTCTTCAGTTTAAAGAATTTTCTTACAGCATTATTTCAGTTTTGGTTCATTGGTGACTAATTGTTTCACCTTTCTTTTATTAAATATAATCTTTATTTCACATACGTTGAAGTATGTTTTCCTGGTTATATAATTCTAACTTAAGACTTCCTCTTATTTTCCCCTCAGCATTTCAGTTTTTTATTTTTGTTTATTTATTTATTTTGAAACGGAGTCTTGCTCTGTCGCCCAGGCTGGAGGGCAGTGGCACGATCTTGGCTCGCTGCAATCTCCGCCTCCCGGGTTTAAGCCATTCTCCTGCCTCAGCCTCCTGAGTAGCTGGGACTACAGGCATGTGCCACCATGCCTGGCTAATTTTTGTCTTTTTAGTAGAGATGGGGTTTCACCAAGTTGGCCAGGCTGGTCTCGAATGCCTGACCTCGTGATCCTCCTGCCTCAGCCTCCCAAAGTGCTGGGTTTATAGGCATGAGCCACCATGCCCAGCCCTCTACCAGCATTTTAAAAACACTGCCAATCTTCACCTGCTCTCCAGCATTTCTCATGAGAGGTCATAGTGTGATTCCTTTCTATGTGACCAATCTACTGTTTTTTCTCCAGTTACTTTGAAGATTTTCTCTTTCTCTTAAACTTTGATTTTTTATCCACGTTTGTGATGTACGTAAATAGAGTTCTCTCTGAATTTATCCTTTGTGGGATTCGTTGATCTTCTTGAATTTAATTTCCATTAAATTCAGAAAAAATCTGGTGATTTTTTTTTCAGATATTTGTTTGTACTCCATTTTCTCTTTTCTGTCCTCATGAGACTTCAAATATATGAATGATCACTTCATATTATATCATGGGTTTCTCAGGCTCTGTTCACTATTTTTATAATCTTTATCATTGTTATTCTTCAAGTTAGATAATTTCTGTTGATTTGCCTTCAAATTCGCACTTCCTTCTGCAATATACTATCTCTCTCTCTTAATCCCTTCTATTAAGTTTTTTAAAAAAGTGATTTTCAGTTATAGAATTTCCTGGTTACTTTTACAGGATCTGTTTCTCTGCCGAGATCACTGTTCACTCATCATGACCATTTCTCACATTAAATCCCTGCGCCTATTGAAAATAGCCACGCCGGAGCCTATGTAGACGGTTGCTGTCTTCATATCTAAATTCCTCAGCATTAGTTCCTCTTGATGGCTTTTTCTTTGCCGAAGGGTAATTCTTGTCATGACTAAGACTATTTTTATTGTACTGTGGACACTGCGGTGACATATTTTAGGAGGAGGAGATTGTGCCCTTTCAAGAAGTTTCCGTGTTTTGTTTTTGTTTTTCTAGAAGGCAGATCAGTTGTAGGTATTAAGCTTTCTTTGATTTTGTTACAGTAATTAAACTTCGGCATGGTCCTTCATCCCAGCGTGTGGTTCTCACGCTAAGGTGTGGTCCTTACTGTTTGAGCTAAAGTCTCTCTGGGTTCTCAGCTGAATGCCCGAGATGTTCAAGTGAGGTTTCTACACTGGCTGCGGCAGGCCCTGAGCTTTCCAGCAGTCGGGCCCTGAAATCTCAGGTTCCCTCCCAGCCCCAGCAGCAGCTGTCTCTGAGTCCTGCACATCTCACTCCAGGCGTGTGCCGCCCAGCCTTGCTCTCTGCTGTCTTCCGCATTTAGGCTCTGCTCTGCCTGGGCACCTCTCCCCAGACCTCGGGCAGAAAGCTGGGTCCACAGCCGACTCCAGGCTCCCACTGGCTTTTCTCCAGAATCATGGTTCTGCTGTGCCTTCAGTCCCGGGTCTGGAACCTGGTTCGTAGTTACAGGGTGAAAGGGCAACTCCTTCACCAGTTACTCTAGGATGGCCAGGAGCAAAAGTGTGTGTATTGATTCCTAACTTCCTCGCTGGTACCTTTTGAAGGAAAGAAGCTGAGCTTTTAGAAATGTAGTTGGGTTAATCTTTTTTCGTTTATGTAGAAGCCCTCGTTTGCCATCCCCAACATCTAAATGCCTCAGCGTCAGTTTCTCCTGATAGCTTTTTCTATTGCTCAAGGGTCATATTTTCCTGTTTCTTAGCATAGTTAATTATACTTTTTTTTTTTTTTTGCTAGTAATATTTTCATTCTACTCTGGACATTGTGATGATACGTTCTAGGAAGAGTTATCATATTTTTGTCCCATTTAAACAATATGCTTGTCTGAAATTCAGAAAGACATGGTCTTATGTTTTTTTCTAGAAGCCTTTTTAAAAATTTTAAACTTCAGAAGTCTGTGATGCATCTGAAAATATTTGTTGGACAGGAGAGGGGTCAGGTTCATTGCTGTTTCCCACTGCCCCCCCACCCCCTCTAGATCTCCAGCTGGTCCAGCATGACTGGAAAGTCCATCTTTCCTCCACGGAATTGAGGTGGTATCATCGTTGTAATTCAGACAGGTGCATAGATCTATTTCTGGACTTACTCTTCTGCTCATTTGTTCTACTTCTCTAAACTTGCTCTAGAGTCTTGTAACTGTGGCTTTATAACATACCTTGATCAGCTACTGTAAGATTTTCGTTTTGTTCATTTTCTTTGAGGTTTCCTTGGCTATATATATATATACTTTTGTGTTTTCACATATACTTTAGAAGAATTGCATCAGTTTCCATGGAAAAATCTGTAGGGGTTTTTTGGGGGAATTGCATCGACTATATACCTCAGTTTAGGGAGAAGTGACATTGTATAATGAATCTCCCAGTAGGTGAGTATAGATAGCTTTCCATTCCTATAGATCGTCTTTAATTTTTCTAAGTAACATTGTATCAGTTTCATACTGAGGTCTTCCACAACTTCCTCTAGGTTCATTTCTACTTATTTGATTTGTGATGCTATTTTAGTTAGTATCTTTTTAAAAGTTTATTTTCTATTTCATTGTAGCAGGCATACAGAAATGCACTACTTTTTGTTGCTGTTATTTTTATACAACAGCAGTACAGGACTTCACCAAATTCATGTGTTATTGCTAATGTTTTGTCAGTAGATACTTTGGACTTTTTATGTCTATAATGACTTTCCTTTTTCTGTCTTTATCTCTTTTATTTCTGTTTCTTGCCTCATTGCACTGACTAAAGCCTTTATTCCTATGTTGAATAGAATTTGGAATAGCAGATATAAGAGCTTTTTTGATGTTACATGCAAAGCTTTCAGAAATTAACCTTTAAATGTGAAGTTTGTGGTAGGTATTTTGTAGATACATTTATTGAAATATTGAAATTCCCATCTCACTCCTGTTTTCTGACAGTCTCTAGTCTGACTGTGTGTCAGAGTGTGGCTAATGTGTGTGTGTGTGTTGCACAATTTTAAATGATATATAATTTGTCTTTTCTTTCATTCTGCAAAGTGCATTGATTTATTTTGAAATATTTATTAACTTTGCATTCCTGGAATACATGCCACTTGGTCATAATGTATTAGCCTTTTTATTTACAACTGAATTATCATTCTGTATTGATTTTAGTGTCTTTGCGCCTATGTCAATGGGGGAGATAGGTTTCCAATTTCTAGTACCTTTGCCAGGTTTTATGTAAAAATAGTAAATTGGACTCATTATGGATACCGGGAAGCTTTCTCTCAGTTCCTATCTTTGTAAGATCTCACATAATATTAGTTTTACGCTTTCTCTCAAAATTTAAAATTTATTTTTACCCTTTCCCTCAAAATTTACTTGTGGGTTATTTTGCGCTTCTAGATTTTTGTTTTGTTTGGTAGATTTATATAGGTGGGCATGGGGGGAGAATTGTAATAGGTACAATTTCTTTACTGAATATGAGGCTACTAAGATTTTTAAATTTGTTCTTGTGACATATTTAGAAAGCATTTTAAAAATATTTTTCTCATTTCATTTAAACTGCCTAATTTATTGTTGAAGTAGTTTATAATAATTTTTCTTTTAATATCTATAGGATCTGTAATAAATTTCCTTTTATCATTCCTGATATTGGTAATATTTTATTTGATAAATCTTGCTCAGTTTAACTGTCTATAATCTTTTTTTAAAATAAGCCATTTCTTCGCTTTGCTAGTTTTTCTTGTTTTTCTTGTTTTTTTTCTTCTATTTCATGTTTTTGATATCTCTGTCTTTCTTTTCTTTTCTCTACCCTCACTGACTTTGATGTGTTGTTCTTTTGCAAGATTCTTGAGATCCAAACTTCGATGACTGATTTTATTTATTTTCTATATATGCATTTAAGGCTATTAATTTCCCTCTCTTAGCTTGACAATAATACATTCTGTGGCAATTCTTATGGTGGCTACCTTAGTTTTTCTAACATATGTCTTGGAACTTTATGGCCCAATAACAACTGTGTCTTATACTGAGATAGTTAAAAACATCTAGAGAAAGTGAACATGTGGTTGTCAAAGTAGCAGTAACAAGACTATGAGATAAATGCCCAATATAAATGATGGAAGCAAGAAGTCACCAGAATTGCATGCTATTCTTAAAGTTCTTTTGAAAGTCCCAAGGTAGAGTTTTATACAGAGTTATAGCATCATTGTAAATGAAGACAAAATAAAGACATCTAATAATGTTAGACATCCTAAGAATATTTCAGTATCAATTACCTCCTGCCCTTTGCATGTTTATTGGCATGAATTTAAATTATATACACACACACCTACACACACACACACACACACATAAAAATTCTAGAGGGCATTTATTATTTTGTATAATTCAATTCATGTTTAACTATTTTCTAATTAAATTATACCCATATTTTGTTTTTTTCTTTGTGTTTCATTCCTTTCTGTACTTTCTTTTTTTCATTTCATTGTCCAATCTGACAATTGTATAGACTTTGGTCTGTAGGCTAAAAACTGTTAGTTTTTGATTGACTAATATGTCTTTATTTTGTCTTCATTAGTTTTTGATTGATGAATATGTCTTTATTTTGTCTTCATTTACAATGATGCTATAATTCTGTATAAAACTTTACCTTGAGGCTTTTTAAAGAACTCATATATAGCGTGTAATTCCGGTGCCTTCTTGCTTCCGTGGCTTATATTGGAAAGTCATCTTTCAGCCTCGTTACTGCTACTTTGATGACCACATGTTCACTTTCCCTGGGTGTCTTTAAGACTTTTTGTCTTGTTCCCCCAGCAGTTTTCCTGCAATATGCCCATGGGTCAGGTTTCCTTTGAATGTATCCATCTTGGCTTAACAGATCTTTCTGAGTCTCTGGCCTGATGTCTACCTTCAGTTTTGGAAAAAATCGTGTGCTGTATCCCATCACATTTTGCTTCTGTTCAGATGTGATTTTCCCACTGTTGTCACTCCACGTTTCCCCCATGGGCTTGCTCTGCCCCTCCCATCCACAAACTCACTCCCGTTTCTACTGTCGCCATCTGGTCCGGGCCACCACCGTCACTCCCTTGGCCTGCTCAGAGGCCTCCTAACTCACCTCCTTATTCCATTCTCACCCCAGATTATCTGCTCCACAGAAACAGTGGCCAGGATTATACAGCGTATAACAGGCACGTTCTTCTCCTGCTTCCAACACTTCTGTGGTTTCCATTACGCTCAGAGCACAAACAAAATCCCCGTACCACACTAAGCCCACCGCCTCTGGCTCTTGCCAACTTCCCAGCCTCCTCACCTGCCCTTTCCTCCTGCTCATCATGCTCCAACCACAGTGCTGTGTGCCTGTGCCTGTGTGTGCAGCACGGATCTATGTGTGCATGCATGTGTGTTTGTATTTAGATGTGTGTTTATGCACACTTGTGTGTGTACGTACATATACATGCATGTACCTATGCGTGTATGGGTACATACTCATGCATGTGTGAGTGTGTTACCTCAATTATTCCAAGGGGCTTGGTCTCAAGCCCTCTTCCCCTGAGACCCCGTTCCCCTTGCCTGCTTGTCCTCTGTCCTCAAGTGGCTGGATCTTGAGATGCCCGTCCTCTGGCCGGGCCACCCATTCTGCCCCCTCACTATTGTTCTTCGTCTTGGTGCTGTGTGTGTTCCTCACAACCCTCATCTCTGCCACTTTCACTTGTTTCTTTGCCTAGGTTACCTAACTCTGTTTGCTTTGTGTGTGTGTATTGGGTGTAAGCGTCTCAATAGAAAACAGACTTCACAAGGCAGGGCCGGTTCTGTTCCAAGCTCGCTGTCTGCACCTGCTGAGTATTTTGAACACATGGATAAATGATGGCTTGAGGCTCAATAGATATTTGTTGGATTGATCGATGGTGTAATGCCTGTCTTTAAGTACAAACTGCAAAGTGAAGCCACCCAGATTTATTTCCTTTCTCTGGACCAAGTGTCCCAAACTGAACACTGAGACTGAGGCAGATTTGAAATGATCCAGCCCCTTGGTTCCCACCCCTGAGTGGTCTCAGAAGCCTTCCCCTTGAGCCTCCAACCCTTTCAGTCCTTCCTGAGACTGCGATCTTAGCAGACACCCTGGGGCTAGTTCAAGAGGTAAAAAATCCACTGAGATTTTATGCTGGTTCCGAAGTTCTTTATAGATCATTCCACGGCTTCTGATGTCTACGTGTTTATCCTGAACATTTCTTCTGTGTCAGAACAACAAACACATGCTTCCCCTTTGCATGCCCAGCGGGCACCATGGATTAACAAGCAGCTACTGGGCTGGGCTGGGCCAGGCACTGCCCGTGTATGACACAGAACCTGCCGGAAGCATGTGCTACTGTGGTTCCCACTTTGCATCTGAGGAAAGTGAGACTCCAGTTTCTATGCCCAAGGTCATGTGGCAATGGCCCTGGATCCAGGTCTCTGGGACACAGCCCAAGCTCCTCTCCGCTGGCCTAGACTGGCCATGGCTCTGTAGCATGATTGGGGGGGGTGACCATGTGCACCCTCAGCCCAGTGACTGACCCCTGTAGTGGTACCTCCGAAGGTGTCTTGTTAAACTTGAGTCTGATCATTTTCCCTCCCTGCTTAACTAGCCTTGCAGCATTCCTGTTCCTGGAGATCAAACGTAAAATTCTTGGCATTGCCTGGAAGACTGCACATGACTTTTTTTTTTTTTTTTTTTTTTTTTTTTTGACGGAGTCTCTCTGTGTCACCAGGCTGGACTGCAGTGGCATAATCTCGGCTCACTGCAACCTCCACATCCCATGTTCAAGCGATTCCCCTGGCTAGCCTCCTGAGTAGCTGGGATTACAGGCACACGCCACCCCGTCCGGCTAATTTTTTGTATTTTTAATAGAGACAGGGTTTCACCATGTTGGCCAGGATGGTCTCGATCTCTTGACCTCGTGATCTGCCTGCCTTGGCCTCCCAAAGTGCTGGGATTACAGGTGTGAGCCACTGCGCCCAGCCGGCGTCTTTCCCTACTGTATCCATCTACTTGGGCTGCCATAGTTAAGTATCACAAGCAACTTAGACAACAGAAATGCAGCTTCTCGCCGTTTTGGAGGCTGGAAGTCTCAAATCGAGGTGTCAGCAGGGTTGTTTCCTTCTGAAAGCTGTTAGCGAGTTCCAGGCCCCTCTCCAGTTTCTGGGGGTCTCAGGCACTCCTTGGCTAATCGATGGTCTTCTTCCCCCTGTGTGTTCATGGGGTCTCCCGTATGCGTGTCTGTCTGTCCCCATTTAGCCCATGTATAAAGGACACCAGTCAGATTAGATCAGGGCCCACCCTTATCACCTCATCTTGACTATCTGCAAAGACTCTACTTCCAAACAAAGTCACATTTACAGGTACTGGGGGTTAGGACTTCGGCATATTTTGTGAGGCATGATTCAACCCATAACACACACCCCTTCAGCCTCTGCCCTGCCCCCTTGGCCTTATTTTTGTACCTGCAACCCACAAACCTTTCCTGCCTCAGGGCTTTTCCCAGCCTGGAACTCACCCCTCCCACCCAGCTCATTGCCTCTTGGCCCTGAACTCCCCTCTCTAATTTGGATCCACTGTTCTTTGTCTCCATGCCATGCTCTCCTTACCCTTCCCAGTTGGAGGCATTTATGCATTTAATGTCAGGGTCGGTGAATTGTATACTGAGGCCTGGGACCCTCTCGTTCTATTCACGATGGCTTCTCCAGGCCTGAAGTGGTGTCTGACACACAAAGCACACTCAGTATAGCAGATGGAATAGGCATTGGTATGAGCTGGTGGAATTAAACTCGCTTGCTCGTTCTGAGACTGAGGACGCGCTGGTTCACACCGCCGGTTATGACGCGACACACGTAAACACAGAAAGGAAGCCAATATTGTGGGTGATGGCCCAGTGCCCTGGGGGACCCACACGGCTGCAGCGTGCATCCGCCGTCCCACCAGGGGCCACTCAGCCCTTCTCGGAGCTCTCTGGGGACACATTTCTTCGGGACATCAGAAAACGAGGTGGCGTTGTTTCCTTATAGAACAAAGTCAATTAGAGGGTCCAGGCGAACATCAGCAGTTTCGGTGCCTTATTCCCCTCGGGAAGGTGTGTGCCACATTCATAAAACCTGAAGGGCGTCCGGGAGCCGAGAGCTACAGATGGCTACTGTCTGTGCCAGGCAGACTGTGCAGCCTCAGAGGAAGCCCGGTGCTTCCAGGGTAGAGGAGAGGCCCCATCAGGACTCATCCAGGCCCCGGCACAAGTCCAGGGGTCAACCTGGAGGCATCAGGCACCATTGGTCAGAATGCTCTGCTGGCCAACAGTGGGCACCAAATTCAGAAGTGGGCAGCTACATTAAAAATGGGGAAGCAACTTCGATGTTCCTCAGCAGAAGCTTGTCTAAGTCCTTTACTGTCCACCCACAGACCAGAGTCCTGGCCAGGCAGGACATGTTTCTCTCAGAGGGACAATGAGTGATGTGGAAAGTGTTCACGGGTATTTTATGTGAAACACATTACAGCACATTCGAATGTTCCAGAGCCTCGGGCACATCTGATTTCAAGGTTGATAAAATGTTGTCTGCATCAACCATAGGGATCTGCACACACATATGTCATCTACGCACGTATGTGTTACGTATATATCAGGTGGAAAAATAAGGCTGGGATGATTTAGCGAGATGACTTGCTTTTCTAGCTGACCCTTTAAATTTATTCAGCAAGGTTCTCTTTTCTCCTGCCCTGTATGAAAACACAGGCAGCACCATGAATTTCCTTGTCACTCTCGGGTAATAAAAGATACCCAAGTTGGTTATTAGTATGCTCAGTCCAGTGTAATAATCAAAACTCTGAACAGGATTGAAAGCGGGGGCCTCTCCCATCTCTGTATTCAGACCTGCTCCGGGCAGAAAACCTGCAGGAGGCACTAGGGGTGTGGCCAGCTGTCCCCTTCCTCCCCACCTTGTGTTCTCCCTCCTCTCATCTTGTTAAAGTTTCACCCCATCAGGGTTCTTATTTGAGTGGTACTCCAGTGAGTTGGGTCTGGAAGGGGCTCAGAGCTGCCTGGTGGGCCCATGAATACATTTTTTCTGAGGTCCTTTCTTAGCAGCTGGGGGCTCCTGTGTGGCACGCGGAGGAGGGCAAAGGTCTCTGTCCCACTGCCCATTCTTCTGTCCTCAGCCCGGGGCCTCCTGGGGCCTCCAGCTGCTTTCTGCTAAGGTGATTTTGACTATCCCAAGGACATGGGCTAGGATGACCCCCTTTTGCTTGCTTTTCCCTCTGCCCACATCTGTGCACAGCAATCCTTTTTATTTTATTTTATTTTATTATTTTTATACTTTAAGTTTTAGGGTACATGTGCACAATGTGCAGGTTAGTTACATATGTATACATGTGCCATGTTTGTGTGCTGCACCCATTAACTCGTCATTTAGCATTAGGTATATCTCCTAATGCTATCCCTCCCCCCTCCCCCCACCCCACAACAGTCCCCAGAGTGTGATGTTCCCCTTGCTGTGTCCATGTGTTCTCATTGTTCAATTCCCACCTATGAGTGAGAATATGCGGTGTTTGGTTTTTTGTCCTTGCCATAGTTTACTGAGAATGATGATTTCCAATTTCCTTATGTGTCCTTTGCACCCAAAACTTCTGGAAAAGCAGAGTTGATTCAGGGCCTGAGATCTTCAAAGGCTCTTTGGCGATTCAGTTGTGTTTCTAGCTTGGAAATGGCTTGCTCACATCTCACTTGACCTAGGTTTTGGGGCCAAGAGGAAAAGTTTGAGACTCATGTGGGGGTCAGGGAGTTGGCAAGGAGTGAGGGAGGCTGTCTGAGCTGCTTTAATTTTAGATTTTCCTTGACTAGGCAAAAAGAGCGCTCCCTAAGATGAAGCTGAGCTCACCAGGGCCCTTTAGTGGGGTCTGAGTCTTCAGTGCAATAAAACGTGTTCATTTGCAGGTCATTATCTCCTGGGTGAATTGGTCCCTCAAGGGCAATGAGGGGAGGGATAGCTGTAACTGGTTCTCTGGGGTGTGCTGGCTGTAGCTCTCCCTCATCACTGGTCACCGTGAGGACCACTCAGTAGTGTGTTCAGGGAGAAATGACACAGATAGCCAGATTGTCACTGTAGAAAGATTTCAGTCTTGGTGGCCTAACTTCTGTGGGTGATGGATGGAAGAGCTATCTAACTATAAGGTGACTTCTTTGAATAAGATTTTTTTTTTTTTTGAGACAGAGTCTCGCTCCATCGCCCAGGCTGGAGTGCCTGCACTGGAGTGCAGTGGCGCGATCTTGGCTCACTGCAAGCTCCGCCTCCCGGGTTCACACCATTCTCCTGCCTCAGCCTCCTGAATAGCTGGGACTACAGGCACCCACCACCACACCCGGCTAATTTTTTTGTATTTTTAGTAGAGACAGGGTTTCGCCATGTTAGCCAGGATGGTCTCGATCTCCTGACCTCGTGATCCGCCCGCCTCAGCCTCCCAAAGTGCTGGGATTACAGGCGTGAGCCACCGCACCCGGCCTGAATAAGCTATTTTTTAGAACAGTTCTAGGTTTGCAGAAAAACTGCAAAGATAAGGTAGAAAATTTCCACATATGTCACATCCAGCTTCCCTACTATTAACATATCCCAGTAGAATGGTACGTTTGTCATAATTGATGAACCAATACAGACATGCCTTTATTAACTAAATTTCATAGTTTATTTTGATTTCTCTATGGTGTTTTGTTATAAATCTAATAAATCTAATGGCCTTTATTTTTCTGTTCCAGAATCTCATATAACATTTAATCATCATGTCTCCTTAGATTCCTACTGGCTGAGCCTGTTACTCAGACCTTCCTTGTTTTTCATGACCTAGACAATTTTAAGGAGTGTCAGGGATTTTGTGGAATGTCCCTTAAATGGGGTTTGTCTGATGTGCTTCTCGTGGTTTGACTGCGGTGACCACAAGGGCGTGGTGCCCTCTCATCACACTGTGCCAGGTGCTTGCTGTCAATGTGACCCTCGCTGGTTGGTGCTGACCTTCGCCACCTGGCTGAGGTGTATTCATCAGGTTTCTTTACTGTAGAGTTCATCTTTCTTCACCTCTCCATACTGGACTCATAGCAAGGAAGCCACCATGCCTAGCCCAAGTTAAAGGGGGAGTAACTCCATCAATCATTTGAAATTCTTCTGCACGTCAGATTTGTCTCTTTTCTCCTACTTATGAATTTATGCAGTCATTTACTCATCAGCGTGGGTTCATGGATACCCATTTGATCCTCTGGGTTACAATGCGGAGTGACGTTCTTTTGTTGCTCACTTGTTCCAGCGCTGGCTATCGGGTCCCCTGGATGCGCCACTTCACTGTGGGTGGTGTGAGCCCTTCCTCACTTTCTGGCCCTACAAGATGCTCCAGGCTCAGCTTGTACACTCCCTGCCCAGCCCTAGAGTCAGCTGCTTCCCCAAGGAGCCCAGGTTCCTTCCACTGGATCACGGAATCGGAAACCAAAGTAGATGGGGAAGGAAGCGAGCGTATGAGACTGAGGGGAACAGAGCAGGACGTGAGGGCAACGGCGGGGCAGGGCCCACCCTTTCTGTGTTCAGACCCCTCATCTTCAACCTGAAAGTCATCACAGTCATTGTCCCTTCCCACCAAGGAGGGGCCCTGGGGAATTCCTTCTCCTTGTCCCCATAGATCTGGGCTTATGTCCTCTGTACCAAGACTTTCCCACCACTGTCATCCTGAAAAGGGAGACCACAGCACTGATGTAAAGCAGAGAGAGATGCCCTGCGTGGGGAAGAAGGCACAGTGGGCAGAAGCTGGGAGGTGGGTGCGGGGCAGCGAGTGTCATGGGGGCAGCGAGGGTCACAGGGGCATCCTGTCCCAGCGAGGGCAGGCCAGGAGCCACGGCCTTGAAGCGTTTCGGGGACAGCCACTTCCAGTGGTCCTGCTCGGTGTCTTCCATACTTGACTTCCGTGCCACGGCTTTCCCCCATGCCTTGTCCTAAACTCACCCCAGGGTCAGGGGGACTTTGGCACCGCCAGGCCTCACTTGGTGCAGACATCTCTCTCCTAAGTGCTCTCAGATGGACAATCTCATTTGACCCTGAAGTGGTTTTGGCATTTGCAGTGTCTGATGAGGAAACTGAGTCCCAGGGAAGTTGAACAAGTTGTCAGAGGCCACGTACGTCTTCCACAGCAGATGCAGGATGTGAGGCGCGTTCATGGGGGTTACAGAACTTTGCTGTTTCACACGGGGAAGCCGCCGTTCAAGGTCACGTGTCTAGTAAGTGATGACGCAGATCTCCGTTTTCTAGTAACTGTGCAACCCGATGTTTGTTGATTTAATACAATTCGAATCATCGGGATTTTCCAAAGCTCTTTTGTTGAGGCCTAGAGTCATGACGTCACTCAGCTCCGTCCACAGGGAGCCATGCTCAGGGAGCTGCCCAGGCAAAGTGGGACTCTGCCTCCATTTTGGCCCATGGAGAACCTTCTCCTGGAGGCAGGCAAGGGTGGGATCTGGGGCCTCCCCCACCTGCAGCTGATCAATATCTCCTGGGCTTCCTTCCAACAGAAGAACACTTAGAACTTTTGCTGCAGCCGGGGGCCATGCCCTGGGGCTGTCCTTCCAAATTCTCATACCTGCCAAGGACCCCTGGCTGCTGCTAATTGAAGAGCACCAAAGGTTAATGGTGGAAGGTTAACAGCAGGGCCTAGTGCTTTGGGGCTGAAAGCCAAGTCTCAGATGATGAAGGCTGGGGAGACCTTCTAGACGCTTCCTTTTATCAGCGTGGGTATTTATCAGTTCACCTACAAGTGGGGGGCAGGGGTGACTTACTTCAACCCTGTGAACTGGCTTTCCCCGACAGCCACTGCTGTAACGACGATGAAGTTGCCCTGGAACGCGCGTGCGTCCACATTCATTGCACCCCTTCCCAGTAAAGTGGATGAACAGGTGTGACTGCTGCAGGACAGATGAGGATGCTGGCTGAGAGAGGTGCAGCGGCGAGCCCAGGGCTGGACCTGAAGCCATATTCTGTGCTTATCCGTGCCTGTCTTCCCAATGCTCGGGCTAAGTCTCTGGATTCTGAATGATCGCCATTTGCCTGTACTTGGCTTTCTTGTGATTTGGGGATTCTGGGAGTTCCCACGCCTTTGCTTCTCTGTGTGCACCTGCAGCCCAATGCCAGCAGCCACAGCAGCACCATAGAGCAGAAAGCAGAGTGCCAGCACCATGGACCAGCACCCATGCACCCGCCCCCTGCCCACCTGGAACACTCCAGGCTCCCTGAGCCTACTCCAAGCCTCTGCTCAGCCAGTCTGTCCCTTTCTCTGCGTCTTCGCCTGTGCTGAGGGTCCCTCTGCCTGAAGTACTCTGACTGCGGCCCTGACCACCCCCAGGCTCCTCTCCATCTGTCTGCACATGCCAGGGCCTTGTCCTCCTTCAGCCCCGGTCACCTCCAGAAGCCTCAGCTAGCACAGCCCTCCCCTGCACACGGCTATCACAGCCCCGTGTGCCTGCCTCACAACATCTCCCCAAACCCCAGAGGCCTTTTCCTGGTTGTCCTGGCTTCCTTGAATGTCAGTTCTGCTGGAGCTGCCAGAGGCGGCTGGAGCCCTGACTTGTCTCCCTGTCTCGCCACTGTGCCCGGGCCCTGGAAGAGTCCCTGGTGATTCCAGGCAGGCAGTCTTTATCTCCCCAGGAACAAGGATGAAGGGATGAGCGTGGATGTGGTAGCGTGCACCTGCTTTCTGCTTTATTCCGGGACAATGGGAAGTGGATGGCAACCTCCTCATAATGGATGCCTGTGAGCCCATTGGGGGCCGGATGGAATCTCTTCCTTAGATGTGTGCCTTGGGAATGTTTGCCCCAACTCTGCATGTGTGAGACAGAGAGAAGGAGGGGTGGGTTTAAAATGAAAAATTATATATCCTACCTATTAGGTCACGAGAATATGACAAAGAAAAGTAAAGCAGACTCAGGCATAGTGACAGGAGTACTGTTTTGAATTTACTGGGAAGGTGATATTTTATCAAGGGTTCAGTTGAGGACAGGAGTGTGACATGAAGGTATCTTGGAGATGAAGAGTCCAGGTCAGGGGAGTGACTCATGCAAAGGCCCTGGGGTGGGAGTGTAGCAGAGAGATGGGAGCAGAGAGAGGAGGGCTGAGTGGCTGCAAGTGGCTAAAGGGGCGACAGCAAGGGGATGGATGGGAGAGGGGCTGTGGCCATGGCAAGAATGGGGACTCTATTCTGGGTGAGGGGCAGCCATGAGGGGCCAAGCCAGTGAGGCAGGGTGGGACACACTTTGCAGGGGTTCCCCTGGCTGCCGGCTGCATGGAGAGCAGTCCATGAGGCACCATGTTGCTGGCCTGGCCATGGGTTGCTCTAACAGAGGCATGCCTGAGTGACTGCCCAGATATTTTACCTCTTTTGATTCGATGTGTTAATTTATATTTTCTTACTAAACTGTTGAATCACACAGAGTCTATTAAAGATGTCTCTTACATCCTTTTTACTTTCCCTTCATCTATTGTCATAACCCTCTTCTGTGACTTTTTCTCTTTTTCTGAGTTAGGCTGGAGAGTTGTTGATTAAAAAATATCAGTCTATAGATTTGCTTCATTTCAGTGTTATTGTTTTGCTATTATCTATTTAGTTTTGCTCTGACCTGTGTTAATTTGGTTTTGTTTATGCTACACTTCTTTGTTTCTCTTTTATTAATTTGTTGAGTTGAATCTTTATTTTTTATTTATTCCTGAAATGGAGTCATTTCTCAGAGCTCTATCGACGTATTTACTTTGTCTGGTATGTGAGATTCCTTCCCACTTGCCAAGGTCAAGCAGATTTCCTCTTATTGAGCTTCTTTACAGGGTTCCTGCTGCCATTGATATGTTGCCTCTTCAACCCCATCAGTTTCCTGCCCCTGAGAATCACACTGTCCCCTCTTTGTTTTCGTGTTCTTCCTGAGGTCTTTCTTCATTGTGCCCTTTCCTCTTCATTCTGTGAAATGTTCTCGAATCTGCCTTTGATAGCATTATTTTTATTTTCTTCAGGATCAGTTCTCATCTTATTAAACTTGAATGGATATTATGTCTGTGAATTACCTTTTTTAAAAATGTCTTAATCATTAATTCATCTCAGAATATCCTTTGACCATGATAACATTTGTCTTATTTGATAGACACTGTATTTTCTTTCATATCCTAGGAGGTCAACTGCAGAGGCTGCTCACAGTTACATGCGTGTGTGCTGTCAGTCAGCAGCAACAGACTCAGGGCCTCCCGTGGGTTCAGGGGACACAGCAGAGAAAAGAGAGGCTGGCCCTGCTCTCCTGGAGCCCCCTTCTCAGGAAGAGACAGACATGCATGCACAAGGGAGATGTGATTTAAGATTTAAGGTGGAAATAAATGCAACCAGGGGAGGTGGACCGTGTGACAGGGGCCTCGCTGGCTTCTGTGCTGGTCAGGGCAGACTTCCTGGAAGTGTCAGGGGTGCAGAACATGAACCACACAAAAGATCCACCCTGAAAACCAGCTGAGGAGGAGGATTCTGGGCAAAGGGATAGATGGGTAAGCTCCCAGGCTTGTGGGAAAAAGCATAGCCAGTGTGAAAGTCTGAGAAATACAAGTAGGGATGATGCCAAACAAAACTAATATTCATTTAATCAGTTGAGCACAAAATTCCCTACCTGAGCAACAACACTGGGAGGTGGAAGGGGGAAAGAGGTAGGAGGCAAAAACAGGACAATTCTCATTGTGCTTTGCATAGGAAGGGGCCAGTAAATATGATTTTATTCTTGAGATTGATCTACAAGAAGAGGGTCAACTGAGTGGCTTACTGGAGAGGTAAGCACTAGTAGAATAAAAATGAGCATAAAGAAGAGTATTTTTCATCTATCTGTCGTATGGAATTCACTTAAGCTGCATCATATTTTCATGTTTTTAGTTTTCTCCTCTGTTCACTTATCCTTGAATGAGGGCCAGATCTACTGAGGCCTGCAGCTGGCTGTGAACACTGTGTGTGAATCCTCTGGGGGCCTCTCTTTGTTCAAAATATTCATAGTACTTAACATTTCAAATTCAATATTCAGGAGCCCAAGCAGAGAGGAGGGAACCAGGTCTGTGTGCCTGGGCTGCAGAGCCAGCTCTCCACCTGTTTTCCATTTGGTGTGGGTTCCCAGCATGCATGAAACATAACGTGGTGACATTCCGCCTTCTTAATGGAGTCCTGTCATTAGTCAGTGCTTTTTCAATTTCAGAGAGCGTTTTCTAACGTATGGTCCAATATGCTACTTGGAGAGAGCTGGGTCACCAGCAAACAAGCAAACATCAAAAACACTTTCCTCTTGGGTTTTCATTCAATTGAATTACATTTAGTGAATATTTACTGAGTTTCTGCTTATGTGTCTGGAAGTGACCCAATCTCAGATCTCTTTAAGTTGAAAAAGAGTCTTAGTGCTAAGCTCTTGATGGTAGGGCGGGCAGCCCCGGGGGCCTGGCATCGTGAGGCACTCTGCAAGTCAAAATGGGGGAGCAGAAAAGCCAGTGGCAAAGGGAGAAGCTCTGTCTACAGCAAAGCGGAAGAACGGACAGGAGTCCTGGAGGGAAGAAAACCAAGGAGACGATTTCTCCTTCAGACAGAGGTCATTGCCTTTATCTATGTGTGTGCCATGTCAGTCTGGCTCAGCTGCTGCAGTGCGTGGTCCCGGAAACGTGCTTTCAGAATCAAGAGGGACTGGTCATCGTGATGAAGTATGGGTTGTGTGGGATGTCTGGGATGAGTGCGTCTAGGCACCCTGAATGCTGCTGCCTCTGGATGGTCCAGGCAGTCACTGCAAAGAACAAAATACTCATGACATGCTTAAGGGCTTCGATGCTAAGTGCATCACTTACATCATCCCCTTATCACATTTCTTCCTGATAATATGCCTATGAATCACATTTATTACCGCATTCCGGGGAGGCACCTCTGGCTTGAGAGCTCTGGCGGGTCTTGGTTGTGTGGCTCTGAAGGCTGCCCCACTTTAAGACTCCAGGTCTTTCCCATGTCGATAACTCGGATTTCTTTTGTGAGCTTTTCTGTGTCTGATTCAGACTCAGCTGTCGCTTACCAGCCAGTGTCTGGCCTGGTCAGGGTTCAGGATAGCGGATCTGCACCAGGTTCCCTTTTCAGCTTTCAGTAGCCAGAACCACGTGGCTTACTGCCCCCTTTTGGGATGTGGCTGTGTGTCTTAGATTGTTTGGGTAGCTATAACAAAATATCACAGCCTGGGTGGCTTTTAAACAGCAGATTAATTTCTCACAGCTCTGGAAGCTGGGGAGCCAGGATCAAAGTGCTGGCAAATTTTGTGGCTGGTGAGGGCCTGCTTCCTGCTTCATAGATGACACCCTCTCACTGTGTCCTCATGTGGTGGAAGGGGGAGGGTCTCTCTCAGGCCTCTGTTATAAGGGCACAGGTATGGTTTGTATCTGTGTCCCCACCCAAATCTCACGTTCAACTGTAATTGCAATGTTGGAGGTGAAGTCTGGCGGAAGGCGATTGGATGATGGGTGCGGTTTCTTGTGCTTTAACACTATCCTCCTTGGTGCTGTCATCGAGATAGTGAGTTCTCACAAGATCTGGTTGTTTAAAAGTATGTGGCATCTCCTCCCCCTCTCTCTTTCTCCTGCTCCAGCCATGTGAAGTGCTGGCTCCCCTTTCAGCTTCCACCATAATTGTGTTTCCTGAGGCCTCTCCAGAAGCAGAAGCTGCTATGCTTCCTCTACAGCCTGCAGAACCATGAGCCAATTAAGCCACTTTTCTTTATAAATTACCCAGCCTCAGGTATTTCTTTACAGCAGTGTGAGAATGGAGGAATACAGGCACTAATCCTATTCACGAAGGTGGAACTATCATGATTTAATCACCTCCGAAAGGCCTCATCTCCAAATACCATGACCTGGGCGGGGTTGGGGGTGGGGGCGGTTAGGATTAAAACAGACGAATTTTTGGGATACACAAACATTCAGACTTCCATGAAGATCCAGCCTGGAGGGAGATGTGCCTTGTTTTGGCAGAGCCCACTCTCTTTGAGCTAAGGTCTAATGTGCTCCATGAATAAACTGGAAGGATCAGCGTCTCAGACCAAGACTTGCCTTGACGCGGGGAGCCCACTCCGATGATTGAAGAAGTGGAACGATTGTGCCAACCTTCCTGGGAAATGATGCTCTAAAAACGTTTCCATGTCATCTCTTCTTCTGGGCTGCAATGAGTAATTTGCATGTCATTCTTATCAGCTCACGCAAGGCAATCATTGCCAATCGCTGCCAAGCCCACTGGCTGGCCTAGGAGGGAGCCAGCCAGATGAGTTCTAACTGTTAATCTTCCAGAAACAAATACAACAGAATAAAATAAACCAGCTCTTGTTTCTGATCCCGGGTAATGGCTCTTTGAGGGTCCTTAGAAACTGTCTCTCCACCTTTCCTTTTCGCAGGTGAGAGTACTAGAAATCACAGACACAGCAGGATGGTCAACATTGTTGGTTCCCATGGGAGGAGAAGGAAAGTGGATGAAAAGGTCTTAAAAATAAGTTTCTGCAGAAGGTTTCCTGGTAATAACCCTGCAGGCATGTGAAGAAAATGCCTCTTTTCCAGGCCGCCAGCTCCCTCGTGGCCTGGCTGTGTCACATGCCTGGTTTTCAGACGGAGTGATCCAGACCCTCAGTTGTCATTCAGTGACTTTTACTTGATCTTGTCGCAGGTGAAGCCTGGAACACACATGGTGCTGTCACTGGGGTCCACCCAGCCCGGAGCAGAAAAGAAATGGTCCCCTGTGGCCTCTTCCCTCTCACTCCCTCGCTCCTGTGCATCTCAGGGACGGTAGACCGTCCTTCCGTTTGCCTCCCACTCACAGTTCCAAAAAGTACCACGTCCAGGGCTTTTGATCAGGCTGAAATCTCCTGCTCTGTGCAGGGACTAGAATCAGAAAAATGCAGGATTCAGGGCTGGTTCTGTGTGGTGTTATTCACCTCAGTTTCCTCATATGAAAAATGAAAATTGAGGTATTGCTTACACATTTCTTATTAGAACTTGAAGGCTGGGCATGGTGTCTCACGCCTGTAATCCCAGCATTTTGGGAGGCCAAGGCGGGCGGATCACGAGGTCAGGAGATGAAGGCCATCCTGACTAACATGGTGAAACCCCGTCTCTACTAAAAATACAAAAAAAAAAAAAAAAATAGCTGGGCATGGTGGCAGGCACCTGTAGTCCCAGCTACCTGGGGGGCTGAGGCAGGAGAATAGCTGGAACTCTGGAGGCAGAGGTTTCAGTGAGCCGAGATCGCACCAATGCACTCTAGCCTGGGTGACAGAGCAAGACTCAATCTCAAAAAAAAAAAAAAAAAAAAAAAACACAACAGAACTTGATATAATGTAAATGTAAAACAACTGACTATAACATGCAGTGCCCGATAAGTGGTATATTTAATTGTTACCACATAAAATGCTGCCATTGCAGGTGCCTCTTGTTTTAACCTTGTGCGTTGATTTTTGTTCGAATCCATTCATCCACCCATCCATTCAATGACTGTTTTAGATGCTCACCACATTCCAGACACTGCTCACTGTTGTTTTCCAAAAACAAATGCTTCTTGCTGCCAACCGTGCATGTCTTTCCACTGCTCAAGGAGCCTGGCGCCCCTCTCTCGGTGCATTACCCAACACCACACACAGGAGAGCAAACAGCAGCCTTCATAGGCCTTCCTCAGAGGAAGCAGAGGAAGAGGAAAGGTCAGACCTGCTTTGACAGCTCTTCATTGTCTTGCCTGCACTGCCCAGCCTATTCTTAATGAAAACTAAGCATTTGTTCCCCAAATATTTACTGACTTCATTTGCGTGCCATGCCAAACGAAAGCTCTTGTTCCAAGATATTGTTTCTAAACGTGCAGCTTTTTCCTCACTAGCTGTTTCTGGGGTTATAGTCACTTGTAGTGATTGCTGGCTGTCCTGGTGTCCCCCTGCTGAGAAGCAGGAGCCATTGCTAGGTTCTAGAACCACAAGTTGGGCAAAGCGGAGGCTTCAGAGATAGAATCCCCTACTAGATTGCTTTTTCAATGTCACCCAGATCGTTACTATTTGACGTCTTTTTCCTTCCTTGGAAAACAATGCTTATGATACCTACGTTAGGGTCAACGTAAGAAGTGAATGTGTTAACATTTGTAACTTGAAAACACAGGGTTTCTGCCAAAGAAAGAAGACTAAACAGAGGTTGAGAGTCCACTAACTCTGCTTCGAACACAGAAATGTTGGATTAAACATGTTGAATGTAAGAAATATAGGTCAGGTTGAAAATAAGGAGAATCACCGCATGCTTGAAATATAGATGTGCTTTCTAGCCAAAAAGTCAGACAGAGTCGCAGAGGCGTGGCCCTCCACTTGGTGCTGACAGGCTCATCAGGATCTGAGGTGGAGCGAGTTAAAGGAGCCATGTCGAGAGGGGCTTCCTGCATAAAGTGCTGCGTCCTTTGTGAAAAGGGCACTGTGGAGTTTACAGCTGGTGTTTCCTGTCTGTCCACTCAGAAGCAAACCATCTTCCCAAGGCCACGGGTAAAAGCAAAGCATCTCCAACAAAACAAAATCTGAGCCTGTATTGTTAGTATGTGAGAGACATGAATTTCCTGTTGAACGTGGTGCAGAAACCCTGAGTGTGCTCATATGCACACTCACACTCACACACACATTTATCCTAGATCAGTGGAACCAATAGGGCGCCAATATAAGCAAAGCTTAAACTCTGAGTAACACATAACTTTCACTGAGAATAAAAAATACAGAATAAAAAATACAGATTCGCTTCAGAAATCCACCCAAGAAAATGAATAAACAAGGTCATCTCATGCAATTTGAAGAAGGTATTTAACATCCTTAAAAAGACAACACAAAGAGTAGATTACATTAAAAATGAAAACATGAAGATTAGTGTAGAGTTTTACTTTTGGTTATAATAAAACAAATAATGTGGACCGACATTCCTATTGCAAAACAACTAGAAAAAGAGGCAAAACTTTTGGAACTGCATTGATGGTATCAGAGAGCTCTCGAGGCAGAGAAGCATTATGGGGCCAAGATGTGGCGGAAGAAGAAAACTCACAGAGGTGGCCCTGGCATGTGGAGTCAGCATTTGCTCCATTCCAGCACCATCTGATGACTTGTTCTGTGTTGATGAAGATGCTGTATGTCTTCTCTGTCCACTGAGGCAGCCACTAGCCACACACGGCCACTGAGCACCTAATATGTGACCACTGTGGCTGAGAATCTGAATTTTAGATATTATTTAATTTTAATTAACTCAATGTAACTAGTGGTTGCTATATAGGATAGCACGGCTCTAAAAGCATTTGCCAAATTTGGACAAAGCAGCTGAGAGGCTGGGAGGCTAGTAGGAGCTTTCATCTGACAATTGGAACGGGGGGACAAAATCGCAATATTAAAGCCCAGATCTGCTCAGAATGGGGATGAAATGGATGATGTTATGAGACGCTCAGCCTCCCTTCAAGACACAATATTCTTTGTGTTGTCTATTTGAGGCCAGGGGTCAGCAAATGACAGCTCATGAGCCAAATACGGCTCACTGCCTATTTTTGTAGATGACGTTTTAGAGGAATGCATCCACCTTCATCTGTTCTTTAGAGTGGATGGCTGCTCTCACACTGCACCCGCAAAGATGAAGAATTGTGACAGCCCGTAGGGGCTGCAAAGCCTTAAATATTTACTATCTGGCCCTTTACAGAAGAAGCTTGTCTAGGTGCTGACTCCCCAGGCTTCCAGGAGTGTTGGCAGGTGACAGGTCATAGATGACTTGCTCTTAGCTGAAGGGAAGTACTTTCCCCAGGGCTACACATTCTGCCTGGGGCTGTACAGACCCATTGCCTGGTGATGCACGGTAAAGAGTTGGTCCCCTCACATAAATTGAGGACAGCAATTAAGGGCCACTGCAGCTCCAGAGCTCCCACGGGATCAGCCAAGGCTTCCGATAGAACTGCATCCCGGTTCTTTGCCCTATCCTGCCTCCTTTCCTCTCTCATAGCCTTGTTCCCAAGAACACTCCCCCAAAATCTTCAGCAAACAAATCTTTGTCTCACAGTCAGTTTCCTGAGAGCTCTGCCTAAGAAAGGAGTTCAGCAATTCTCCTCAAAACCTTTGATTGGTGACTCAAAGGAATATATTCTAGGAGTAAGAGTAAAACAGAAAGAGAGGATCTTAAAGGGGGATAATGCCCAGGTTCAAACTGAGCTTGCCTTGACTAAAGACCCTGAGATTACTAGTGTTTCTAGTGTAGCCACTGGCCGGAAGCAAATATAATTCCTCTCTAGAAAAAGACAACATTATCTGAAACATTAAGCTCTGAACTTTTCAAATATAGTGTCCAGCATTTACTAAAAGTATCCAGGCATGTGAGACAACAATACAGCTGCAAACCCAGAAGAAACAATAGGTATTAAGAGCAAATTCCTAGGAGATTAAGGTGATACATTAGGAAATATTCCTTCAAATAAATATATTTTATATTCCCAAGGAAATAAAAGACAAGATTAAAAAGTTATGTAGAAAATTGGCAACTAATAAAAAAATTTAGAATTATAAAGCAAAGGAAACAAATCATCTAATGGAAGGATTTACATCAACATTAGACACAGCTGAATAGAAAATCAGAAAACTGGAAGACAGGCCAGAAGAAAATATTCAGGCATGTGCTTAGTGATAAAAAGACTTTAAAGATATATAAAAAATAATTAGAAGCATAGGGACTATGGTGTAAAAATTTAATATATGTGTAATTAAAGCCCTACAAGTAGAGGGAAAAGAATACGGTATAAGACCAATATTTGAAAGCAATAGGATGAGAATTTTCCAAAAGTGACTATAAATACCAAGTCATACCAAACATGAAACCTAGGCAGAACAAATGAAAAGAAAAGCACAATCACAATATAGAAAACCTCTGCACCAGTAAGAATGGCAATTATTAAGAAGTCAAAAAAAAATAACAGATGCTGGGATGGTTGCAGAGAAAAAAAGAATGCTTATACACTATTGGTGGGAGTGTAAATTAATTCAACCATTGTGAAAGACAGTGTGGTGATTCCTCAAACACCTAAAAACAGAATTACTGTTTGACCCAGCAATCCCATTACTGGATATGTATCCAAAGGAATATAAATTGTTCTATTATAAAGAAAAATGTATACATATGTTCATTGCAGCACTGTTCAAAATAGCAAAGACATGGAAGCAACCTAAATGCTCATCAGTGGCAGACTGCATAAACAAAATGAAGTACGTATTCACCATGGAATACTAGGCAGCCATGAAAAAATAAGATTATGTCCTTTGCAGGAACATGGATGGAACTGGAGGCCATTATTCTTAGCAAAGTAACACAGGAACAGAAAACCAAAAACTACATCTTCTCACTTATAAGTGGGAGCTAAATAATGAGAATACATGGACACATAGAGGGGAACAACACATACTGGGGCTTGTCACATTAGTGATATTTTCTCAAATTAGCTCAGTGGAGGGTGGGAGGAGGGAGAGGATCAGAAAAAATGGCTAATGGCCACTGGGCTTAACATAATACCTGGGTGACAACCCCCCATGACAAAAGTTTACCTACATAACAAACCTGCACATGTTCCCCTGAACTTAAAAGTTAAGTTAAAAAAAAAAAAGAAAAAAAGAAAACCTCTGAAAACCAAAGACAGAAAAGCTTAAGGTTGATAAAAAGTTAAAAACAACAACTACCCAGATTTCCTTCAAAGGAGTAAGAATAAACTGACAGCTCATTTCTTAATGGAAAAATGAAAGCCTAGAGATAATGGGTGAATGATGAAAGAGTTGAAATGAGAAATTAATAGCAACAAAATAACTAGAAAATCCTCACATATGTTAAAATTAAACAGCACAACTTTAAACAACTTTTTTTTTTTTTGAGATGGAGTCTCACTCTGTTGCCCAGGCTGGAGTACAGTGGCACGATCTTGGCTCACTGCAACCTCTGCCTCCTGGGTTCAAGCAATTAGCCTGTCTTAGACTCCCGAGTAGCTGGGATTACAGGCACACACCACCACTCCTGGCTAATTTTTGTATTTTTATTAGAGACAGGGTTTCCCCATGTTGGCCAGGATGGTCTCGAACTCCTGACCTCATGATCCGCCCACCTCGGCCTCCCAAAGTGCTGGGATTACAGGCATGAGCAACCGTGCCCAGCCTAAACAACTCTTTGGTCAGAAACATCAATATAAAACTTGGAGGCCGGGCGTGGTGGCTCACACCTGTAATCCCAGCACTTTGGGAGGCCAAGGTGGGCGGATCACGAGGTCAGGAGATCGAGACCATCCTGGCTAATATGGTGAAACCCCGTCTCTACTAAAAATACAAAAAATTAGCCAGGCGCGGTGGCGGGTGCCTGTAGTCCCAGCTACTCGGGAGGCTGAGGCAGGAGAATGGTGTGAACCTGGGAGGCGGAGCTTGCAGTGAGCTGAGCTGAGATCACGCCACCGCACTCCAGCCTGGGTGACAAAGCGAGACTCCGTCTCAAAAAAAAACTTAGAAAATATTTTGAACTGAATGTAACAAAAATAATACATAGCAGAAGCTATGAGATAAAGCTAAACTAATGCTTAAGTGCAAAATTATTTATGAAATGGAAATCTGAGAAAAGCAAAGTGTGCATTTGCCAATATAGGATGATAGAATATATTTTAGGTAATAATTTGTTCCCTTGATTTACAGTATGTAAATATTTATATCTATGCTTTGAAAGCCCTCACCTGCACTTTAACCCAGACCTAACAATGTTCTGGATGGTCTGATTTCTTAAAAAAAAAAAAAAAAAAAAAAGGCAATTGTATTACAGTATGACTAGAACATCTTTTAAATGAATGCTATTTGGTCACTGGATTCCTATAGTGAAAAAAAATTAATCCCTTTTATCACATCATATTAAAAAATAAGTCCAGATACACAATAGATTATTAGAATGTAAAATTTATCAGAGGCAAATTTTAAGTGAACTTCAGTACCAGAAAGATTTCTTAATCTAGACTCAGCAGCACTAACTGTAATGGAAAGGACTGATTTATTAGATGACTTGGCACTATTAGAACTTCTCTTTTTCAGTAGACTAAAAAGGCCATTCCATGAGTGGAAGGAAAATATTTGCTATCTAATATCCAGACCCTGGAAGAGGCAGAGGTTTCTTAAATAAGATGCAAAGATCATTAATAAAAAATTTGTAAAACAGAAAATTAGACACAATCGAAATTAAGAACTTAAGTTCATAAAAATTATATCAATAAGACAAGAAAATACACTCCTCAGATACAAATCAGAGAGCAAATTTCCAAACAACCCATAAACACAAGAACTGATGACCAATTCATGACTTATCAGGACAATAGAAACCAAGACCACAAGGCAAACTTGTCTACACCTAGCAGAATAGCTACAATTTAAAAAGCTAGGAAGTACCAAGTGTTGGTGAGGATACAGAGAAATTGGAGCTCTGTTACAGTAATGGTGAGAATTTAGTGATTACACTCATAGGTATATGACCCCAAAGAAACGCGTACTCATATAATCACAAAAAGCATGCCTAATAGATTCATAACAGCATTATTTTTGCGAGTCAACAACTGGAAATGTCCCAAGTGCCAATCAGCAGTAAAATGGATTAGTGCATTATGGGAAACTTATACAATGGTACATTAGAGCAATATATAATAATAATCTGCAGTTACATGGAATAATATGACTTGCTTTCACGCACATTATTTTGAGCGTGTGTGTTTTATAAACAGGCAAAAGCAATTTATTGTGTTAGAAGTCAAGATATTGATTAGGTTAGGTGAGGAAGGGTATTCATGGGCTGAGAGAATGAGAGATTTTTTTGAACACTGGGAATGCTCTGTTTCTTGGCTTGGGGTGTGGCTGGTCATACCACATGGATATAGGGATGTTTACTTTGTGATAATTTATCAAGTGGTCACCTTCTGAGCCATATATATACTCATACACATAATTCCATAGCCAGAGCCTTACATAACGGAAGTGGATGGAGGTGGTGGTGGAGTGGGGGGCAGGTACCAGAGCTGGTGGTGAACTTGGCACACATTATTTTAGGCATGAAGCATGAAATAGTTATTAACTTCAGAAAACGTTTTTATAAATATTATAACACAGTAAATGACTTTTTGTGCATGGCTCATATATGTTTACATCATGAAAATTATATGAATGTTATGTCAATATCGACTCTAAACCAATCCTGGGATTATTCTATGCATGCAGTAAAGAGTTTGGTTGGAGGGAAAGTGTGCATGTCGGTTTTAGAATGATTGTAAGAAAATCAAATCCCCAACTTCTCTGGTAGGATGGCTATTAATATCTAATGGTGACAAATTAAAAATTGCAGTAAAAGAGCCTTTCTTAGATATATGACATCTCAAAAGAAATTGCTAAAATAGATTAAGTTATTGTTTCTAGGAAGCAAATGAAGAAAATATTGATGCAAAGGGATTCTTAAAAAAAAAAAAAAACACCTTGTAGAACTTGTAGTTTTTAAAACTACTTATTATGTAATCCCAGCACTTAGGGAGGCCAAAGTGGGTGGATCATTTGAGGTCAGGAGTTTGAGACCAGCCTAGCCAACATGATGAAATCCCGCCTCTACTAAAAATACAAAAATCAGCTGGGGATGATGGTGCATGCCTGTAGTCCCAGCTACTTGGGAGGCTGAGGCAGGAAAACCACTTGAACCCAGGAGGTGGAGGTTGCAGTGAGCCAAGATTGCACCACTGCACTCTAGCCTGGGCGACAGAGCAAGACTCTGTCTCAATAAATAAATAAGTAAATATTTAATAAATGAAATCTATAACTTTATACATTTTTCTATAATATAAATAAAATCTGTAACAGTAATAGCTAAAGGTGCCATTTATATCAGTAAATGTCCACATAAATTTAATAACTCATACGTTCCATAAACTCTCAGAGAACGGGAAAGAGAGATACCCATCTCATTTCAATAATTGATACAATTATGACGTCACAGCTGAACAAGCAAGCACAGAAAAAAATGTATATTCAAATCTACTTTAAACAGATAAACAAATCCTAAATAACATTTAATATTAAGATCAACAAGATCTTAAAAGAATAAGACATCACCACCATACAGGGTTAATCAGAGGAATGTGAGAATGATTCAGGAAACCTATCAATGGGGCATTACACTAGGAGAATAAAGGAAAAACTTTAATTATCTCACTAGCTGCTGAAGAAGCATTTGATAAAAGTCAATGCTCATTCCTGATAAAAAACCACTTAGAAAACGAAGACAGTAATCAAACGCTCTTATCTCAATAAAAAGTATTTACCAGAAAATGGAAGCAAGCATCATACTTAATGGTGAAACATTAGTGATGTTTTCTCATATTAGCTCCGCCAGGATGTCCACCATATATCACCGTTTAACATTGCGCAGAAGGTTCTACCAATGTAAAAATGAAAAAAGTAACTGTAGCGATATGACAGTACATATATGAGAATATTCTTTCCCATAAAAATGCAAAAGCACAAACTGATAAATTGCTGGAACCGGCCGTGAGAGTTCACCAACCTGGAGCTGAATATATCAACCTATGAAAATCAATAGCTTTTCTATAACCAGCAACAATCAAATAGAACAGGTAATAGAAAAAAAAGCATTCTATTCCGGGCCAAAATAATAATACAAAAGAACTCCGGACAATTCTTACCTACTGGAAGAGTAAAAGTTGGCCTGAGTAGCTGAAGAGACATTCATTGTTGATCAGAGTAGATCAACACTCTAGCCAACACTCAAAAACTCTCAGTGGCTTAGCAAAATGGACATCCATTTCAGCTCACACGAATGAGCTGATGTTCAGCATGGACTTCTGGGATGTGACCTTCCATGTGGCTATTCAGGGACCCGGACTCCTTCCAGCTTGTGTTTCCTGAACCCTCGGTGGCCTCAGGTTTCCCTGCGAGGTCTCTGCTTGCATGTGGAAGGCAACCAAAGGAGATTGAGAGACAGTGCAGACGATTCCTATGGGCCAGACCTGGAGGCCAGGAGCATCATTTCTGCCCACGTTTCATCATCTGGAACTTAGTCACGTCGTCACACCCAGAGTGAAGGAAGATGAAAAATATCACTCCCTCTGTGTCCTGGAAGAAAAGGAAAGTGGTTTGGGAGAGGCTTCCGAATGTTTGGCAACCCGGGAAAGACTTAATGCTGAAAGGGTGTCATTTCTCTCCAACAACTCATGCATCCCGTCGGTATCTCCAACAAATTCCAATTGGTTTTAATAGGGAAACTGATGATCTGATTCTCAAGTTTGTATGGCCAATAAATGTATGGAAATAGCCAGTACAATTTTGAAAAAATGCACCATGGGCATGACTGTGGATGTGGGTTTGCCTTATTTGATGTGCCGTAGGTGGAACAATAAACACAATGTGACATTAGTGCAATATCAATACATAACGGAAGAGAAAAGGCGATCTGGAAACAAATGGACACATCAGGGGATTTGCACATAATCAGATTAAATTCATAGACAGTAAAAGTGACTTTTCAAGTTAATGAGGACTAAAGATCTATCTAATAAGTGATTTTGGAATATTTGACTACCCATTTGCTAAAAGAAATGTCAATGGATCATAACTTATATGTTAATAAATTTCAGTTTTATTAAAGATTTAAACCTAACAAATATCAATATAATCTGAGGCAGGAGAAAGCATAGTGATATGAATGAATTAGAAACCATATGGAGAAAGACTGACAAATTCCCCATGATAAGTAACACAGTACACAAAGTTAATTGATATCTGGCAGAATGACAAAAATATTTCAACAGAAACAGGCAGGATTTTAATATTCAGAATTTAGAAAGCATTCACACACATCAACAACAAAAAGACAACGCAGTAGAATGTAGTCAAAGAATATGGATGGCTGATTGACTGAACATTATTAAAATGGCCACTAAACACATTAAAAGAATATCAAATATAAACTAAAACAAGATTTTTTGCCTCTCGTATTAGGGAAAAAGCATAAAAAACCATCATGTGAAATGCTGGGGAGGAGGTACTGTCTGCATTTTGGTGGGAGCATGCATTGGAAAGGCCTTTAAAAGGGTAGCTTGTTAATCAACTGATTACAAAATCCATAGACTCTGATCCAGTACTTGTATTTTAGGAATCTGGATCAAAGAAGAGCCAACCCATGTTCATGAGACATGTATGCATGCATGTACAATTTGTTTTCTTCACAGCATTATTTGTAATTGCAAAAACATGAAAACAAATCGTCATTAAGACAGAATGGTTACATTAATAATCACAAATCCAATCAATGAAATGCTACAAAAGAGTTAGAAATGGAGAAAGATCTAAAGGCTGATTTGTAAAATTAATAAGATGTATAGCTAAGTGAAAGAAGCAAGTTGTTGACAGGGTATGATATAATTCCACTCATGTTGGCACACACATAGATACATATGAAAGAGAGAGAGAGACAGACAGAGTCGAAGAGAATGGTAGAGAGAGAGAAAGGGAGAGCACGTCAGGTTGCCTACTCAATGCATTGCTTTGAAGGCATTTGGTCAATGAGTACCAATAAGAATGTGATGATCTGAAGAGCACGTCCTAATTTGGCAGGGTATGCTTCCAGAATCCTTTTAAAGGAAAATGTATCAGCAAGTTACATACATAGTAAGTAACAAAAGACAAAGAAATTAAGCATGTAACTACCTCCCTTACTTCTTCCTTTCTCCTTTCTCTCTCCTAAGAACAATTCCTTGCCTGTATTAGCATCTCCGATGACAAACCTCCCCCGCTGCCTCCATGCCCCTTCCCCAACTCTAAGGTTCTTGGCAGTGTGCTGAGGACTGCAGCCCCCATCCCTATCACTTCCTATCAGTTGCTGCTGGAGCCATTGAAGGACCCACCCTCAGCTCTGGTTCTGTCCATGCATCCCCTCCAGAGGCCGCCGGAGAACTCAGGGAAGGTGGAGTAAGGAGGCTGCCCAGAGAGCAAAGCAGGCGTCTGCTCTGGCAAGACCAACCCTATGTGTCAGCAACACTGAAGCTTTCCCTTGGTGTCTCTCTAGGAGATTTTGGGAGACTTTGGAAGATCTCCCCTTGCCCTGCTGGTGCCACCCCGGTGACTCTTGCTTCCGAACTGCTCCTTGTTGTTGCCTGTGGAATTGCACTAGTGTGGTTGGTCTCCATTCTCTCTGATCAGTTGTTTTTTCTCCTTCTTTGATTTCTCTTTCCAAATGTTAATATTTCACATGCTTCGACGCTGCTGGCCCTTACTTCTTTTTTTTTTTTTTTTTTTTTTTTTTTTTGGAGATAGAGTCTCGCTCTGTCCCCCAGGCTGTAGTGCAGCGGCACTATCTGAGCTCACTGCAAGCTCTGCCTCCCGGGTTCACGCCATTCTTCTGCCTCAGCCTCCTGAGTAGCTGGGATTACAGGCGCCTGCCACCGGGCCCGGCTAATTTTTTGTGTTTTTAGTAGAGACAGGGTTTCACCGTGTTAGCTAGGATGGTCTCGATCTCCTGACCTTGTGATCCACCCACCTCAGCCTCCTAAAGTGCTGGGATTGCAGACGTGAGCCACTGCGCCCGGCCTGGTCCTTACTTCTTACTCATTGTCATCAATTGTCCAGAGCTTCCTCTGTGACACCCAGAATGTAATTTCCAACTCTGTCTCCAGTCCTGACCTCACTCTAAGTGCACAGGCGCTGTGGGGAGTCTCCACCAGTGGACCTCAGAGCACTGCTGTTGGGCATGCTGGCCAGAGCCCTGCAGCCTGCTTCCCTGGGTACCCCGCACACCCCTGTGGGGCTGAGGGCAACCCCGGAGAGATTAGGCACCAGTCAGCTCAAGGTCTAGAGTGGCAGCTGCCCTGGGGGTCTAGGGATCCCCACACTGCTGCTCCCACAAGACCCTCTCCCACTGTGGTCTCCACTTCCAGCGTTCTGGGAAATTCAGCCACAGGAGGCTTATGTACTGACATTTCCACTGTAGCAAGCTCCCTTGGGTTTCCTGTGCCTCACAACTTCTGCCCATAGGTATATCCTCCACATGTATTATACACACATCAATATGACATAGCCGTATCCTCCACATGTATCACACACACACCAATATGACAAGGTGAAATGGAGACCATACGTGTGAATGGAATGGAAACCAGCATTTCTGGAGCATCCACTGTGTGTCCTCTGCTATACGGGCTGCATCCCATGTAGAATCTGTAATTCTCACAATAACCTTGGGTAGGTGGATATTACACTGACTTTAGATATGAGAAAAATATGACCAAATCCTATTCTCAATTTTCACTAAAAGTATGGCCTCGGGAAAATTGCTTAAAATCATTTAGATTCAGTTTAGAGTTGAGGCAAAAGGTTGTCAACCAAAATAACAGAGAGGCCCTCTAAAAGAAAAGATGTTTTTTTGAGAACGGAGCATTGCAATGGAAAAGTGCCGCAGTAAACACGGTGCATATTCAGGGAGGTAAAAGAGAACAAAGGATTTTTACAGGTAAACAATGAGGAGGATTACATAATTGTTTTGAGATCATTGTCCTTGATTATAAGGATCAATAGCAAGGGTGACAGCAGTCCAAGGTTGGACAGGCAGTTGCTGGGCAGATGTCTTTGTGAAAGTAAATTTTGTTGGCTCACGCCTGTAACCCCAGCACTTTGGGAGGCCAAGGTGGGCAGAACACCTGAGGTTGGGAGTTCAAGACCAGCCTGACCAACATGGAGAAAACCTGTCTCTACTAAAAATACAAAATTAGCAGGGGGTGGTGGCACATGCCTGTAGTTCCAGCTACTCAAAAGGCTGAGGCAGGAGAACTGCTTGAACCTGGGAGATGGAGGTTGCAGTAAGCCGAGATCGCACCATTGTGCTTCAGCCTGGGCAACAAGAGTGAAACTCCATCTCAAAAAAAAAAAAAAAAAAAAATAGGAAGTAACTTTTGTGCAAGGTTGTGGGTTTTGTAGAGCATCTTTCATTATTAGGCATACAAGCATCCCTGGACTCCTTTGCTCTATTTTTCGCCGTTTTCATAGCATTAGTGACTCCATTTGATTCTGATAACTTTCACGAAGTCTTTGGAATTTGACCAACTTTTTACTGGCCAAATATTATGTGCCTTGGACTGTGCTAGGCAACGTGGATCAGACAGAGGTGGCCCAGACATAGCCCTATGTCGCCAATTATCCATAGCCTATCAGCAAGCAAATTAAATATACATACATTAAATGAATACAATCCTGTGAACAGGTATCAAGTACCACTGCCACAATGGACATGGTGGTAAGTAGCAAGGACACTGAGGTTTGTATTAAAAGTCACAGCACTATCCTGAAAACAGCAATTGACTTGCCATCAGGAGATGGCATCAGGGTCATTGAAATCCTGACGGTGAAAATAAGCACAAGTATTTTAACCATATCAGCTTTGTCAGAAAAGGGATACATTACTTCATCCACTTAGTCATTTCAGTGATTCTCAAATGCATAAACTAGATGATTTGAAAATATATGTTCTGAGCAGACACCATGGCTCATGCTTGTAATCCTAGAACTTTGGGAGGTCGAGGTGGGTGGACTGCTTGAGCCCAAGAGTTTGAGACCAGCCTTCGCAACATGCTGAAACCCTGTCCCTACAAAAAATACATAAAGTAGTCGGGCTTGGTGGCGTGCACCTGTAGTCCAGCTACTCGGGGGGCAGAAGTGGAATGATCACTCAAGCCTGTGATCCTGCCACTGCCCTCCATCCTGCACAACAGAGTGAGACTCTATCTCAAAAAGAAAAAGAAAAGAAAATATATCTTCTTAAATAACAATCACAGATATAGAGGATAAAATATAACAGAAATTCTTCATATGCACAGCTGAGTTTTTGTGAAATAAAGGCAACAAATTTAAAGAAAACCCAAAACAAGCATAGTTTTATAACACTGAAGCCAATGTTTCCTTAGGGGGCATTTTTACCCACCTTATAAACGTGACTTTTTTTTTTTCAGACAGAGTCTCGCTCTGTCACCCAGGCTGAAGTGCCTGGTGCAATCTCGGCTCACTGCAAACTCTGCCTTCTGGGTTAAAGCCATCCTTCTGCCTCAAGCCTCCTGAGTAGTTGGGATTACAGGTGTCCACCACCATGTCCTGCTAATTTTTATATTTTTAGTAGAAGCGGAGTTTCACCATCTTGGTCAGGCTGGTCTCAAACTCCCGACCTCAAGAGATCCACCTGCCTTGGCCTCCCAAAGTGCTGGGATTACAGGCGTGAGCCACCACACCTAGCCTAAAATACTTTTTAAAAAAACGAAAAGATAAATCTTTGAGTCCATGCAAGGATGGGAGATGTAAAAGTGGCTCACATAAAATTACTGGGAACTTGAGAAAATGCACATTCAGTAAAGTGCTACCAGAAAAAAAAAATCCATCTTCCAACATAGTGGAACACAGGACAGTCTCAAGTAAGACCCCAGGAAAATGCAGAAAACATGAGTCTTGTGATCATTGATGGTATGAATCATTAAATCGCCTAGACTGGGGCTTGACATTACATTTATTATCTGGTTTAAGAAACTCCAAGTGAAGCAATTAACATGAGGTAAGCCTTGACTGTTAGAACCTGAGGAAGCTTGTTAGACACAGACTAAATCGTTGCTCCCCAGTCTTTCTGGCACGGGGGTATGGAGCTGGGGGATGGTTTTGGGATGGAACTGTTCCACCTCAGATCATCGGGCATTAGATTCTCATAAGGGGCCCACAACCCAGATCCCTCACATGTGCAGTTCACAGAGGGTTTGCCCTCTCATGAGACTCTAAGGCCACCTTTGATCTGACAGGAGGGAGAGCTCAGGTGGTGATGTGAGCTCATGGGCTGCTCAACGCCTGCTGTGCCATCCAGTAACTAACATGGCGTGGATGGGTACTGGTCTTCCGCCTGGAGACTGGGGACCACTGGTCTAAATAAGCGCTGTAGAATCACCCTTTCCCTCATGGATGCTGCATGGTTTCTACCAGGTAAGTGTCCACAAACATAAGGCCACTCTCTAAAACCACAACACACTTCAGCAAGCAACTCACAACAGGAACAGGAGTCATCCCAAACAACAAAAGGCAGATCTGACCACTGAGAAGTTAAAATAACAGAATTTTTGGAAACAAAGTGTAAAACGTGTACACTTAAGATACATAAAAGGAAAGCACTAAAAACACACACACAAAAACACCCCAAGATATGATTTAAAAAACACCAGAGAGATTTAGAGAAACAGAAACAAAACAAGGAAGCATTTTATGAATAATACGTATAGTTAATAAAATTAAAACTTGAAGGATGATGTACTAAGTATTGGGTTTGGTGAGCCGGGCACGGTGGCTCATGCCTGTAATCCCAGCACTTTAGGAGGCTGAGGTGGGTGGATCACAAGGTCAGGAGTTTGAGACCAGCCTGTCCAATATGGTGAAACCCCATCTCTACTAAAAATGCAAAAATTAGCTGGGCATGGTGGTGCGTGCCTGTAATCCCAGCTACTTGGGAGGCTGAGGCAGGGGAATCGCTTGAATCCAGGAAGCGGAGGTTGCAGTGAGCCAAGTTCACAGAGCGAGACTCCGTGTCAAAAAGAAAAAAGAAATGGGTTTGGTGTAGGTAAAGAAAGAATTATGGAAATGGAGTCTAAACCTGAGGAAATTTTATATGGAGCACCTAAAGAGAAAGTTGAGGAATATACATAAGTGAAGTTGAAATGATAGCGTTTGAAATGTATAGCATACTATATCCAAAAATAGAAAATAGAAGAATGGGGGATAATTTTTAACCTTGGAGTAATAACCTTTAAGAAATTGGTGCAAAGATAATTAATGACATAAATTAATGTTAGTGTGAATAACTCTAAACAATTATTGGCTGTGTCAAATATTTTTAATAACTAATTTCTGAGATAAAAAAATATGAGGGACTGAAACACAGGGAAATTAACAAAATATTTGTAAGGGGAAATAGGATTAAGCCATTATAAAGTCTTTGTACTGTTAAGCATGAGGATAAAAATACTGAAAAATTTTAAACTTGGTAACGTGTAGGTTAAGTAAAGCCTCTAATTTCAAAAACAGTAGGAGTGTAGTAGATTTCAAAAACTTGTATTAAACAGAAATATTGAAGTAGCAGAGGCAAGACAAAAAGAAAGTCCAAAATATAGAAAAAATAAACCCAACTGTATGAATAATCAGAATAAATGCAAATAGATGAAACTCACAAGTTCAAGATAGAGAAGCTGAAATTCTAGAAGAAATGTCTAGTGGAATATTTGTCAGAGACACATTTAAACACACATAAATACTGAAAACTCAAAAAGTAAAAATAAAATAAAATAAAATAAGGTATATCAGACCAAAATGGAAAGCAAGTATAATACTGCATTCATCAACAATATGGTCCACATTTTTTCCTAAAGCTGGGCCATGGCAAACCCTCCCAACACCCTAATTTCCAAAGACTGAAATAAGTGTAACTTATCTGAATGCAATGTAATTCATCTAGGAATCAATTAAAAGAGAACTAGAAAACCCCAACTCCTTAGAACTTGAACCATACATTTCCAAATAATCTTTGAGTGAAAAATACCAAAAAGAAATTAAACCAATACTTTGGTTATTAGGATATAGCACATCAAACTTGGTGGAATGGAGCTAAAGTAGTGCTTGGAGGGAAATTTAAGACTTGAGTACATATTTTAGAAAAGAAGAAAAGAAAAATTTTAAAAGTGACTAAAGATTTAATAGAAGAAAAAGCAGTAATAATGGACTCCTTTTAAAGATCAACTTTCTGTCAATAAATGTCTAAGTGTAGACAAACACGAATAATGTTCCCAAAACATACACATCAGACCAATTCAGAATGAAAAAAGAAAACAGTGAATATTCTGATCACCATGAAAAGAACCAAATCAGTCATTAAAAACCCAGTGTGCCAGGGATCTCCACTTGTGGTTATGATATAGGAAGCTGTGAAAACCTTAACTCCCAGGATAACACCATGAAGAGCCTGAACAAACAAATTTGGTGCTTCTTTATGAGAAGAGTGAAAAGCGGTGGATGAAATCTTTATTAAGTGATTTCCAGAGAGAGATAAGTCCTTCATAGAAGTATAGATGGACAGATATGGGCTTTCATGTACCAGAGGCACGTGCCTGGCCTGAGCAAGGATGGGGTCCCATAAACTGAGAGACCCTGAAAGAATAAGGAAATATTAGCTCCGTTCTGGACGTCAGTGTGGGCTGGCAAGATGGAGTGGAGTTTGGAAGAACCCTGAGTTCAAATAGAGGTCTTCTGACCCACCAGTTACCTTCATGTGTCCCCTATGCCTCTTCCTTCAGAGGGTTTTCTTTTTACTCTTTTTTTTGTCGGGGGGACATGGGGAAGGAGTCTTGCTCTGTCGCCCAGGCTGGACTGCAGTGGTGCAATCTCGGCTCACCACAACCTCCACCTCCCAGGTTCAAGTGATTCTCCTGCCTCAGCCTCCCGAGTAGCTGGGATTACAGGTGCCCACCACCACACCCGGCTAATTTTTTGTATTTTTAGTAGAGATGGGGTTTCACTGTGTTAGCCAGGATTGTCTCGATCTCCTGATCTCGTGATCCACCCGCCTCAGCCTCCCAAAGTGCTGGGATTACAGGCGTCCGCCACTACACCCAGCTAATTTTTTGTAGTTTTAGTAGAGACGGGGTTTCACCATGTTAGCCAGGATGGTCTCGATCACCTGACCTCGTGATCCACCCGCCTCAGCCTCCCAAAATGGTGGGATTACAGGCGTGAGCCACTGCGTCCGGCCTTGTATTTTTAGTAGAGATGGCGTTTCGCCATGTTAGTCAGGCTGGTCTCTAACTCCTGACCTCAGGTGATCCACACACCTCAGCCTCCCAAAGTAATAGGCCCCTTCACAGAGTTTTGATAGGAAAACGATGGAGGAGAACAGGCTGGTGAGCAGGAGACTGTGTTACTACCCCACTGCCTCACCGTGCCCAAACAGTGGGCATGCACCCAAACTCCTCCAGATGCAATGTTGATAAGATAAAGAAATGCTCCAGCTTTGGAGGTTAGGGGCTGGGCGAATCACAAGTTACAACAGTCTGACTGGAGTTGCAGCCCAGATCAACTCCAATTGACCTGTGAGACTCCCTAGGGGTTGGCCTCACCCTAACCACAGACAGAGAGAAGGGTCTCTCTGGGATGCAAACCAGAAAGACCCAAAACATCAACACAGAACAAAATATGTCAGTCTCTAGTGCTCTTTAATATACAATGCCTGAAATAAAATAGTATGATATTTTCAAACAGCCACCAGACAGCAGCACCTAGAGGCAGGGTGAAAGATGTCTGATTCATTGTAATAAGCAGGCAAGGACCTTAAAACAGCTCTTGTCAAAGTTTAATGCTGTAAACTGAAATATGTATATAATGGCTGAAGAGATGGAATATTTCAGAGCAAAAGGGAAATTCTAAAAGAGAAACAAATGAAATTTTAGAGTAAAAAGCACAATATCTGATATTAAAACAAAAAAATTAAATAGGCTGGAAGTACATTAGAAATGGAAGGAGACAGTACCAGTGAAGTTGAAGACAAGTCAGTACTAATTTTCCAAAATGAAGCAGAGAGAAAAAATATTGAATTAAAAATGGAACAAAGCATCAGTAATGTGTAGTTTAAAGAAATCTGTCTAATATGCATAAAATTAGAGTATGGAAGGAGAGGAAATAAGAATGAGGCAATAAAGTATTTGAATGAATATTTACTAAGCTTTTTTTTTTCAATTTGATAAAATGGAAAATGAATCCACAAATCTAGGAAGTTCAGTGGAGTTCAAGAGAGTGAGTTCAACGCACCAAGGGTCATCAGAGTCAAAATACTGAAAACCTAAGAAAAAGAGAAAATCTTAAAAGTCATCAGTACAGAGGGAGGTTGCCACGTCACATAAAGCAGAACAATTATAAGAATGATAGCTGGCTTCCAAAACAATATAAGCCAGGGGAAGGAGTAACAATAACATCTTTAAAGTTCTGAAAGAAAGAAAAATACTTTCAACCTAGAATTTCATATCCAGTGAAATTATCTTCCAAAGTTAGAAAAATCAGATAAATGCAAACTGACAGACGTCATAGTCCACACTACAAAAAAATGTAAAAACAAATATCATGCTGAAGAGACATTTTGCCAGATGGAATCTCAGTTCAACAAGAAGGCATAAAATATGCCAAAAATGATAAATATAGGATTGAATTTGAAAGACTGTATGTTTTGTTCACTTGTCTTAAATATATAAAAGACAATTGAGTCATTGGAGGAAAAGTAATAGGTAATGCATATGGTGGGATTTATAACATACAGTAAAGTATATGAAAATGAAACACAAAGAATGATCAGGGATAAACAGGAGACACACTATTATGGTTTTACATCATAGTGATGCTAAAATGTTACTTCATGGTAGATTTGTTTAAATTAAGAATACCTGTTGTAATACCTACAGAAATCACTAAAAAGAAAGAGATATACCTAAAAACCAATTAAAAGAGATAAGATGGAATAGAAAACCACTTTATAAATAAAAAAGAAAGCAGGAGTAAAAAACATAGGATAAATATAAACCAAATTGCAACATGGTGGACTTAATCCCAACCATACTGATAATTACATTAAATATAAATGGTTTAGAATTTCTCCTTCCACCTTCCAAAGGAGTAATTGCTATAGTACTTGCCATTCACCATAAAAACAAACAAGAAAACTGAAATAATTTACAAAACAACTGTTTTAAGATAGACAATAGGTAGCACAGAACTGCAAACAATGATCAAAGAGAAACAAATTAGGTGAACCCAATGATCACCTTGGACTTCTGCTTGGAGGCAATTTCTAGACCATGGTGCAAGGAAGGAGAAGCAAACCCAGAAATCTTGAGTTGAATAGACAGGATACAGTCAGCTGGGGCCAAGGTGTCTGGAATTTTCAGGGCAGAGTACAGGATAGGAGGAAGTTAGTCAGAGAAAAAGCTCCAGAAATCTGCACAGAAGTTCCTGTGAGACATGGGCTAAATATCAGTTTTCAGGTAAAATGGAAATGAAGACTCCATGAGGCACGTCATAAAAGAAATGCCAGGGGGAAAAATAATAAGGTCGAGGAAATAAATATTATGAGAATTAAAAAAGGAACAAAACTCTCAATCACAGAAAATATTATGAGTTACATACATAACCAAAGTAATTTAAAGATAAAATATTGAAATTAATAAGAAATTAAAAGATGTAAAAGCAAAGACAAAATATCAACCGCATTTCTGTATACTGAAAACAGCAACAAATACACCAAAACAACAAAACCTAGGAGTTTGTAGGAGTAAATTTAGCAAAAGAAATGTGAGACTTTACTGAAAAATACATTAAAATTTATTAAGGCCATTAAAAAGAGCTAAGAAAGTGAAGTGATAAACCTGTGTGTAGATAGACAGTTGCAATATTATAAATATGTCTCTTTTCCCAGACTAACCTACAAAGTCAAAGGAAGCTTGACCAAAATTCTGTCAAGGCTCTGCATAGAATATGTCAAGTTGATTTTAACGTTAGTTTTAATTTAATTTATTTGTGTAAATTTAAGAGGTACAAGTGCAATTTTGTTACATGTGTAAATGTAAGAAGTACAAGTGCAATTTTGTTACATGGGTCTATTGCCTAGCATTAGAGTATGAGTTTTTAGTGTATCCCTCATCACTCAAATAATGTACATTGTACCCATTAAGTAATTTCTGAATGTTCTGAACTCTTTGCTATTCCACATAAAGTTAAAAATCTAGAAATTACTTAATCAATTTTAACTTTATATAGAAGAGCAAAGGGTTCAGAACATCCAAGAGAGTTTTGCTGCATCAGATATAATGATTTATTATAAAGGTGACCTGAGCAAGACCACGTGGTCCTGGCCACATGGATTAACTCATAGACTCTTGGGACAGAGAAAGAGGCAGCCTCCCTCTCTCCAACCCCCAGAAGTACATCTCACTTAATTAGAAACTTGGTAAGTGACAGAGACAGAGCTTCACACATTTAAAGAAAATATGTATGACATTATGGTGAATAACGCATTTTTACCTTAGTCTTTTTTTTGTTTTGTTTTTTGAGACGGAGTCTCGCTCTGTCGCCCAGGCTGGAGTGCAGTGGCGCGATCTCAGCTCACTGCAAGCTCCGCCTCCTGGGTTCACACCATTCTCCTGCCTCAGCCTCCTGAGTGCTGGGACTACAGGCACCCGCCACCAAGCCCAGCTAATTTTTTGTATTTTTAGTAGAGACAGGGTTTCCCTGTGTTAGCCAGGATGGTCTCGATCTCCTGACCTTGTGATCCGCCCACCTCGGCCTCCCAAAGTGCTGGGATTACAGGCGTGAGCCATTGCGCCCAGCCACCTTAGTCTTAAACTGCACAAATTATGAAGGATAATATAAACAAACTCAGTGACATTAAAATAAAAATGTTTGTATTTAAAAAGACACTATAGGACCGGGCGCGGTGGCTCACGCCTATAATTTCAGCACTTTGGGAGACTGAGGCAGGTGGATCATGAGGTCAAGAGATCCAGGCCATCCTGGCCAACACGGTGAAACCCCGGCTCTACTAAAAATACAAAACAATTAGCTGGGCATGGTGGCACGCGCCTGTTATCCCAGCTACTCAGGAGGCTGAGGCAGGAGAATGACTTGAACCTGGTTGCAGTGAGCCGAGATCACACCACTGCACTCCAGCCTGAGCAACAGAACAAGACTCCATCTCAAAAAATAATTAAAAAAAAGACACTATAACCAAAGTAGAAACACAGACTATACCCTGGAGAAGACATTTGCAATGAGCATAACTGACAAAGGTTTAGAATCCAGACTACAGATCAACGAGAAAGAAAATACAGTAGAAGAAAAAATGGTCAGAGGATATGGAAAAGGATTTCGGAGAAAAATAAACCATAACTTTGAATAAACATGTGAAAAATATCCAAACTCATTACTAGAGAAATAGATGTTATTATCTCAGTGCATGACACTGTACACCTGTCAGGAAAATTTAAGGGTACACACTCTGAAGGGCTGGGAAAGATGTGAAGAGGAACAGGTGTGTATGGTAGGAGTATAAATTTGTACAACTACTTTGGAGCTACATTTATCAATAACTGGTCAATTTAACATAAATATGTCCCACAACCCAGCAATTTCACTCATAGCTATCTATTTAACCTTTAGATAAGTGATAAGGAACCTATACAGGGTTGGCCATTGCAGTTCAAATTAGGTTGATATAAGAGAGCATCAGAAACAGCAGAAAACCATCAAGAGGAAAATGGATAAATAAATTGTAGTATATTCATGCAATAAAATGCTGTACAGAGAAAACAAATGACCTAGGATTTTGGGTAACAACATATATAATTCTCACTAACCTAATGCTGGGAAAATAAGCTGGTTGCAGGAAGAGTCACACATTTTAATTTCACGTAGACAGCTTTATAAATAGAGAAATAAAGCACAGTGCACAGGAATGCATGCAGACATGATAAAGGCAAGAGGAAGCACATGGAATCAAATGAGCATCAAATTCAGGATGGTGGTATCTCGAAAGAGGCGGTGGTGAAGGAATAGGAACAGGTTCATGGAATGTTCACCTGCACGTGGGAGGTTTTATTGTTTTGGCTGAGGAATGGACAGCCTAATTCCCTCTTTTTTTTTTTTTTTTTTTTTTTTTTTTTGGTGTCTTCTGCCCTTTTTTGTGCCACCTAACACTGTCCTGCGTGCCCACCGGGCCAGGCAAAGCCTCCCTGCCCCTCCCTGTTCCTCTTGCCCTGGGGCCCCTGCCTTGGCTGTTCCTGCCACTTCAGATTATTTACCCCCAGATGTTCAAACAAGCAGGCCTCCCTTCTTCCAAGTCTCAACTCAAACCTCACCATCTCAGGGAGGCTTCCTGACCTCAGCGCCCTCGTCACCCTAGGCAGTGTTCTAGTTTAATTCTCCACGCGGCAGTCAGCATTAGCTGGTAGTTCCATTTGACTTGCCGTAGTTCCTCTCTGGCTTTTGTTTACTCCTGTCTTCCCTCTCTAGAACACAAGCGCCTTAGCAAAGGAACAAGCTGTCCTGTTTTCAGCAGGGACTTGTGCTTGGTGCAAGGCAGGCATTTCACTGGATGAATGAATGAATGAGTTAGTGAGACAATATGAGAACCGTAATCATAACATGGAATATCCATATCAGTTTCTATCGGTATTTTTTTAAGCAATAAAGGCAGAGATTTATTGGAAATGAGGGTACACTCTATTGAAAACGAACGTACACTTCACAGGGTGGGAGCGACCAGAGTAAAAAGGCTCAAGGGTCCCTTTACAGAATTTTCTGGGGTTGAAATAGCCTCTAGAGGTTTCCCATTGGTTACTTGGTGTACACCCTATGAAAAGGAAATAGTGGCCCCACAATCAGTCTGATTGGTTGGTGGAAAGCAACCAATCAGAGACTAAAGTGAACTTACAAAGTTACACCCCTATGCAAACGTCTGATTGGTTGCGGAAAACAACCAATCAGAGATACTTTCAATTTTCCATCGGCCACACAGAAAAAGTGTGTGTGTGTTGGGGGCGGGGGGTGGGCGAGTTACAAAGGGAGTAGCCTCTGGTTCTTTTGTTGTTTAGGTGTGGAAAGTTAACTTTCCACATCTGTCAGCATTTTTATTAGAAGGAGAGTCATGGACAAACGTGCATAGCTAGGGGATCCCCAAGAATGAGGGGTCACAGTGCAGAGAGAGAGGAGAAAGGAAGGGGAAAAACTGCATGCAGGAGACTGTACTTGAGCAGAGCCTCGTAGGTCAGGCTGCGTTCCGATGGGTACAGGAGAGAGACTGAACAGCAGCACGCGGGGCGGACTATGCTCACATAGGGCAAAGCCATCGTGCTTCTGGGGTGGGGACACCTTGTGAGAGAAAGAAAGATGCTCAGAGTCAAGGCCAGGGTGAGGGCCCAGCGTAGGTGAACGGGTGTCAGGGCGATGAGGGAAAGTGGTCTCTCAGCTGATGTGCGATGAGCTTATGCGCAATGCCAATGGCCCATGTTGATCAAGCAGACCATATGTGACGACCCTGCACTAAGCACTTTACATGTAGTAACTCATCTCATCCTCTAACAACCAGGTGAGGTGGGTGATCTCATCTTCCCTAATTCTCAGATTAGAAAACGGAGGCTCGGAGAGGTTAACCAAGGCTCCAAGGTCACTTGGGCTTTGGATAATAGCAACCGATGCCTGTCCCCTGAACTCTGCCCCCTTTGCACAAAATACCAGAGAATATTGTGAAGACCCGGTGCTATTGAGGGATGGAGGAAGTAAGGACAGGGTCATACTAGAACCGCCTCTCAGATACATGCATCCAAACTCTCAGATGGTGGCTCATGCAGGGTGCAGCTGTGGCTGGGAGCTGCCTGGCAGCCAAAGCAGAAAGAAAAGTGTGTGATTCAGTGTCCATCAGAATAATAACTTTTTAAAATCTTCAGGAACAAGTGTGAGTTTTCCCATGCTGTGGCTCAGGAGAAACCCTTCCTGAGGCCTTTATAAACAGAATGCTGGTAACTGGGCTATTTTCTCAACAGTGCCCCCATGTGCCAGCCACAACAGTCGTGTAAATGTTGCTTTCTCTCATAATTTCCCATTTTGGAATTGTTATAATTCCTTCCCCACCTCCTGTAGGTGGTATGCTTGGGGTTCTGGGGGTTCTATGATATGTGCATATATATAGTATAGGAATGATACATATATTCCGATATAACCGTATCACAGGAATATATGTATGTGTGTGTGTATACGTATATATCTTCCTTCCTTCCTTTCTTCCCTCCTTCTTTCCTTCCTTCCTTCCTTCTTCTCTTTCTTCCTTTGCATAGGTACTTTCTGAGTGGCATTACATGACAGGCATTTGTATAAGGACAAGGGATATATGAGAAAAAGGTAATTCAGCAAACAGGATCTCTGGAATGTTCAGAACACATGGGGTAAACCACGTGTATTAGTCAGGATTCTCTAGAGGGACAGAACTATATATATATATATATATATATATATATATATATATGATGGGATATATATATATATATATATGATGGGATATATATATATGATGGGATATATATATATATATATATATGATGGGATATATATATATGATGGGATATATATATATATGATGGGATATATATATATATATGATGGGATATATATATATACGATGGGATATATATATTTCATATATTCTGTATATATATTCACTGAAATAAGGAAATATACATATTCCATATATTCTGTATATATACAGAAATAATTTTATATATATATAGATAGATATATAAAGGGGAGTTTATTAAGTATTAACTCACATGATCACAAGGTCCTACAATAGGCTGTCTGCAGGCTGAGGAGCAAGGAGAGCCAGTCCCAGTCCCAAAACTGAAGAACTTGGAGTCCGATGTTCGAGGGCAGGAAGCATCCAGCACAGGAGAAAGATGTAGGCTGGGAGGCTAGGCCAGTCTCTCTTTTCACATATTTCTGCCTGTTTATATTCTAGCCATGCTGGCAGCTGATTAGATGATGCCTACCCAGATTAAGGGTGGATCTGCCTTTCCCAGCCCAGTGACTCAAATGTTAATCTCCTTTGGCAACACCCTCACAGACACACCCAGGATCAATACTTTGTATCCTTCCATCCAATGAAGTTGACACTCAGAACTAACCATCACGCCATGACATAGGACAAGTTATTGCCTGGGACAAAAATGAGCTCATAAACAAAGAAGCTTCCTTACATACAGATTTTATAGATTCTCTAGTAAAAACAACTTCCAAGGTCACCTCCTCCTCCTCCCAGTCCTCTGTCCGCCCCCCCACAGCCTGAGCACCCACATCATAAATGGGGAGCAGCTGGTGTCCCAGATTTTGGGACCCTTCCCTGTCCTTGGCGTCTGATGCTCTATGGCTTCTTGGACATTTGTTTTATTCACAAACACTGAAGAATCAGTTTAATTAGACATCTTCCAATTCTATGTCAAGCCCTTGGAAATCCCAAGTGTTTAGCAGTTAGGAGGGAGGGTATAAAGGCTCCTGCTGAGGTCACAGTCTGGGGGCAGGATTGGGCCGGAGGGGCAGCCTTAGAGAGGATGCAATTAGCTGGTATTGAAAATAACAGAAGAAAGAAATCCTCAGGTGCAGGGCCACTCACACACACCTTGACGTAAGGGTCAGCAAACGAGGAAGGAGAAAAATTGAGTGAGTTCTCAGATGTTTATCATTAGCAGAAACCCACTGGGTAGGCTTAGATTATTAGTGTAACTCAGTGGCACTCACCCTGCACAGAACCATGAACAGGCACTGCTTCCCAAAAGCAATGGGCCCAATCCCAGGGCCCTCTGTAATCTGTCCTGATGCATGGTTAAAAGCTTAGTATTGCGACTCTTTAATTTAGAAAAATCAATCAAACTTTGACAATTTTTCCTTCTTCCCTCCCTCTCCTTCCTCCCTTTACTGCCTCCCTCCCTCTCCTTCCTCCCTAGTCCCTCTCCTTCCTCCCTAAGTCCCTCTCCCTCTTCTCTCTCCTTCCTCCCTGTCCTTCCTCCCCTCCTCCCTCTCTTTACTGCCTCTCCCTCCTCCCTCTCCTTCTTCCCTCTCCTTCCTCCTTGTCTCTCCTCCCTCTCCTTCCTCCTTCTCCTTCCTCCCTACCTCCCTCTCCCTCCTCCCTCTCTTTCCTCCCTCCCTCTCCTTTCTCCCTTCCTTCTCTTCTTCCTTCAGTTAGGAAGGAAGTGCCATTACATGCCAGGCACTGGTATCAGGACAGGGGATACAAAGAAAATGCCTAATTCATGCAAGTCATTTTAGCTTGCACCCGGTATGTCTTGGATTGCTAGTTCTGAGAGAAAGGAACCAGCGCACCAGGAAGACCCTCAGGCAGCCCCATGGACAGTTCTGTGCAGAGAGGGATCCAGGCCCCCAGCCAACAGCTGGCAACAAATGCCACTCATGTGGATGAGGCCTTGGAAGTAGACCCTTCATCTCAATCAAACTTTGATGACTACAGCCTGGCCAACATCTGACTGCAGACAGGAGAGACCCCAAGCGAGGACTACCCAGCAAACTCTTCCCAAATGTATGGCTCATAGAATCTGTGTACACGATAAAGGCCCCTAAGTGCTGGGGTGATCCATCATGCAACATTCGATAACTGCAACAGACACTGAGCCCAGTGGTTGGTGCACCATCAATGCTCAGACAGTGGTGGCTGCTGCTTCTGTCAAATAACAGCAGTTCCATGTTCTGACAGATGTCCTAGATTATTCCAGGAAGTCGCATGGCTCCAGACTCCCTCCACACCCACAGTGCCCCCTGAGGAAGCCTGGCCCCACAGATGGTGACTGGCGGGAGCCATCAGACCCCCTGTCTGATTGATTGCACTTGAGTGCTAGAGAGGAGGCCATGAGAGAAAGTCACACACGTGAAACTCACACGGGAAACCACAGCCTCTGCACCTCCGCAGGACACGGCACGGTAGCTCAGCCAGAGCCTTGGCGACCTTGGGTGCCCTTCGCGAGCTCCTGCTTCCGGAGCCGGCTCTGCAGCTGTTCTTCCTCCTCTTGTGTCTCTTGTAGCTTATAATAAAAATCTCTCTCTGGGAATTTCTTTGTTCTTTGAGCATTTCTTTGTTTCTTGCAGCCTAAAAGAGCCCATCTCAAACAACAAGGGTCTGGGTGGAGGAAGGGTTAAGGACATCTTATTTAGACTCAAAGAGCCCAATCAAGCCTTCTGCCTGAATGGAATGATTTGTGCAGTTCCTCGGTGAGACAAGAAGCTGCTTCTCTGCTCTGCCTACTAAGAAGGCCTGGATTTCCATACATAAGTAGATAAACACAACGTGCTGAAGGCAGACAGGGAAAGCAAGAAAGAACACACTATTCATTAACTTCTCCGCTTCCTAATAGGATCACCACGGGCTGAGCAACATTTCTGCTTGAGTACCCCAGCACAAAGCCCTGTCTGGGCCTCAGCCACCTGGTAATTCTCAATTAGGCTCCACGGCAGCACTAACGGCTGGCTGTTGGCTCCTACAGGTAGAGCTTATTCAACAAGGGGCCCGAGCTGTATGCCCGGAGATCACGCATGCCCAGCCTGCTGGGCCACCGTGGGCGCTGGGCAGTCTCTCTGCATTTGACCCTTTCATGATGCAGCTCCCAGTTCCCTGGGGTGGGGGCTGAGGAGCCTGGCAAGCCAGTGTGGCCATCCCCAAGTTACTCAGCACCACAGGCAGCAGCATTTTACAGCACATAGGAGGGAGCAAACCTTGCAAAAATGGATCGATAGAGACTGCTTATTGAAAGAACCTTGAACAAGCACATGTGTAAGGATTGAGAATGTGGTGTCTGAACTGGCAGCATGTGCCCAGAGCAGCACAGACCTCCCAGGAAAATGAAGAGAGGAAATCGAGGTCCCAGCAGCCCCAAGGCCCTATCTTCCTGTTTCTGCAATCACAGAGTCTTCACCTTGCCTTTTGCTCAAAGCACCGGACATCAACCTGTGGGCCATTGTCCACATTTGGCTGTCTGTACCTAGACCTGCACTGATGGATGTGGCATGCTCAGAGGTGGAGCAGATTCAGGCTGTTGTCAACAATGGTTTTGAACTCACCATCATGTTCTAAGTTAAATATTCCTCCGTGCATCATCCACCTGAATGGTTGTTCTGTGATCCCTGGAACAAGAAGATAGAGCTCCAAATGGCACAACCAGATAAGCATCACCCACCCCCGCTCAAGAATTCTGTTCGAAGTGTGCTTATTCCCACCTGGGCACACAATGTACCCATACAATAAAGCTTGCTGAAGTTGCAAACCTGCCCGAACATGGGGCTCTCCTACGTGACCATGCACCTAAAGGGCTCCAATCCCTCTGCCAATCACCCTAAGAAGTTTCCAACCTGCTCCATTTGGCTGAGAATCCTTTACTGGCTCCCCATCACCAGTGTGAATTAAGTCGCACCCCCTTAGCCTTCCTCCAGAGCCTTCTCTGAATTGACCCAGCCTGGATTTCACCTGTCAGTCATTCTTTGATATCCTTGTCTGTGAGTCCCTTATCCTGAATATGCTGAGCCCCTACTGAATACGCCCTCCCACCGTGAGGCAGGATAGCGCCGTGTGGAAGGCACAGGCCTGTGGATCAGACAGACCTGGACTCTGATTACTTAATCTGTTTGAACCTCAGTTTCCTCATCTATAAATTCAAAATACTCATCATCGTCTGTGCTGTGTAGGGTTGGCAAGAGGATTACACGTCAGTCCTGGAAAGCAGGACTCAAGGCCCAGCATGCAGTGCACACTAACCACCCGTCGACACTCCAGGGCCCCCCACTCTAAGCATGCCTACTGTGTGGTGAAGTCACTGCCTTCATTGCGGTTATGGCCATCATCCTCCTCACTTCTGCCTTTCCCGTGGTGACCTGGACTCCTTCTCACCCCTTCCTGCATGGCCCCTGCTCACCCCTTCCTTTCCCAGCCTCTGCTGGAGGCTCCAAGCTCCAGATCCTGATGTAGGGCCAGCCTTGACCATGTCTGCCTGAGCCTGGATTGCTGTTCTGTGGCTGGACTTTGTGGGGATTTGCAACAGCCGAGCCTCACCATGCCCAGCTCAGAGGCCGTCCTTAGCATGAGTCCTTTCATGTGACATCATTTAATTAAGTGTTATATTGTATGGGTCTATAAATGTCCACCTGAATTTAAATCTGCCAATAAAACTAAAAATCTCCTATAAAAGGAAGACAATGATTGTGAGCAGATATGGCCAAATGCCCATAAATCAGAAGGGGTGATGTCTCCAGGCAGAGGCTGGAATTGGAGTCACTAAGTCAGGTAGGGACCATCACCCACAGCCAAGGGGCCTTTCTTTCAGATGCCACTGTGTACATTTAGGATGTGATGATCTGAAGTGTGGAACAGTCACCCCCACAGTGCATGTAGCTGAGGGCACGCCAGGACCCTGACGCCAAGCTGCCCGGCCCCACCTGGGCACTCTTCCTACCGCAGCAGAAGCGAATTTCGGGCCTAGAGGAAATCGAGCCTGTCCATCCAGGGACAAACCCAGGCCTGGTGGGCCCTGTGCGGGAGTTTCCCAGAGGTAACCTGGTACCCAGCCAGGGGCAGACAAGTAACTGTGCTGGAGTCCCTGAAGGACCAGACGAGGGTGTTTCCCAAAGCAGGGCACACGGAGGCTCCTTCACTCGTGGGTTTCTCACTGGGACCCTGAGAGGTTCTGAGAGCAGGGAGCATCCCTGGGTAAAGGAGACATGGTTGCACCTGAAAGAAGGGTGCTGGGCTGTAGAACGCTGCACAGAGGTGAGCCCAGAGCTGAGACAGATTGCACCTGGGGCCTCTGCCCTCCAGCCCGGGGCCTGTTCTCCTGGGCAAGGCAGCAAACCTTGTAGCGTAGTTCTCTGTGCCCATCCAGTCTCGAGGTCACATGTAGAAAACTGCAGTTTTCTAAGAAAAACCAGGCTTCCAGTGGGTGTAAAGCCTTGAGCTCCCAGCTGGTCCATCAAGGCTCAGACTGGTTTCCAGCACAGTCCCATGATGGGCTCAGCTCAGCACCGAGTGTGCACAGAACGCCCACGCAGTATCTCAGAAAGTGTGGAATCCAGGACTGACAAGCGTGCCCTATCTCCCTCCAGCCAGGGTTCTGGCATCCACTCAGAGAGCCTCTCAGACCCAGGGGACCTGGAAATGCTAGCCTTTCCTAATCAACCCCACCTCCCTTCCACTCCACAATCCCCCCGTCACCTTAACCATCCCACCATCCTGGCTCAGGCCCTCTGCCTCCCTGTAGAGCTGTTTATACCCATGACTTTCCTCTTCCTGGAGCCTGGTTCCCCAGGACGGTCAGTGCCGCAGGCCTCCACCTGCCTCACCCCAGTGGTCTCAGGTGCTTTATAGGGAGTCTACCCATCCAATCTCCCAGCACCTGGCTGAGGAGGTGATTTCCACATTCTAAGACACCAGCTGCTGCTCTACTGTGCCATGAAATAAGATGCCAGCATTTTAATAAGAGCTTCCTGGGGGTGGGGAAGTAGGGCATAGAAATACAAGTCTCTCTTGGTAAATGGACACATGCATTCTGAGACATCTGACTTCAGAAACACACGTCTTAGGATTCAGGAAATGTGATATGGCCCACCTTTTTCAGGAAAGCAGAGAAGGCAGTGACTTGCCCATTATGGCTTCAGTGTCATGCCAGGTCACTGTGCAAGATGCTACTATTTACGGGAGACTTCCAGGGTCAATGTGGCTGAGTGGCAGAGCTGGGACAAGACTTGGGGGTAAAGCAGACCCTGGCCATAATGCCAACTCCGCCATCTATAAGCTGCAGGACTGGGGCGAGTCACTTGAACTCTCCTAGCCTCCGTTTGCCCATAGGCAGTGGGCAGGTGGTCCAGGTTCAACTTCCTCATTGCAATACCCACCTCCAAAAAGCTGTGAAAACTAGAAGCATTTTTCGAACTCATTCAATGATAAGACCCCACCTGACGTGACCTGGCCTCTTTGGTAACCAAATCTGACCTGAGCTACCTGCAGTTCTTTAGTCTTTGATGGATCAGATTCCCAAGAATATTCATATGTTTCATGTAGAACTGCTATATCAGTTGTGTTTGATTACAGGTGCTGTCCCCAACCCCTGGGGTGCTCCATGCAGATGGACTGGGGCCAGGGCCATCATCTCCATCCTATGGACTCTGATCAGTCACCTTCCCCTATTTTCAGGGGTGGTTAACAAGAGCCGGGACTGGCACAGCTCTCTGGGCTCTGGTCACATGTCCTTTGCTGTCCTACAAACTTTTGGGAGTGTGCTCCGGGAAATGGTGCCCTGGTGGGGAGGGCTGCTCCTGAGAAGCTCCCATGGTTTATTTGGCCACATGCAGGGGCTCTTGCCCTCTCAAGGGAAACCACACAGCAGGGATGAGAGGGCCGAGGGCCAAGTGCCAGAGGTACAAGTCCTGAGACAAGGTCTGGAGTCAAGGGTCGCGGGTCAGGGGAGCACTGGCGTCACTGAGTAACATCTTCATGAAGTGACTCTTCCAGAGCAGCGGACGTCAAGGGTGGGGCTGCCTCTGCCTAGGCCAGGGATTACCCTCTTGCTTCAGATTTGGAACTGAAACCGCTGGGATCGGCGCCTCCACTGGGGGCCTAAATCCCCTGTTACTCTTTTTCAATGCCTTGTCATCGCTGTCCTGTTTGATATTCTTGTCTGTTTCCTTTTGCTGGAACACAGAGGAAATTTATACCTCATTCTTAGAAAAAGGAAAAAAAGATAGTTGTGCGATTGTGGGCAGAAATAGTCAATTGTCAGCTGTTTACAGGATGGGGCATTGGCGGATTCAGACTGGGACTCCCACCCACTGTGAAGACCCTTGAAAGTGATACCACTGCAAACCTATAGGAGGGCCCCGAAGGAAAATTCTCCTTGCAAACTGTCCTGCCCCTGAAGCTTTGATTCCTTTCCTGCTGCTGATACCGCTGTCTGTCTGTTCCACATGAGCTCCTCTCTCCTCTGCTCGGCCGTCCTGGACTACACAAAATCTCAGTCCTGCCACAGCCTGATGCTCTTCCCCCACACCCCCAAGCACACACACCGCACAACATACTCAGCACCTAGATTCCCAGGCTGGGCCAGGAATAGGGCCTGAGTCTATGGGGTTCCCATCAGCATCTTCATGGGGGGATCCTACAAAAACAGCCATCCGCAGCTCTTTGCCCAAATATATAGGAAGTGACTTCTTTTCTTTTGTGCCTTCTCATCAAAGGGTGGCATCAGACTAATATGGGTTTTGTTTGCCACAGCTTTCTGTCAAAAGACCTTGGGCAAGTTCCAAATACATCCATCCTCAGAAGAGCTATATATTAAGGATTTCTGTATAGTAAATTATCACTGGATGCATTGGCTGCAAAAACAAGCATTTGTCACCTCACAGGGTCTGTGGTTCAGGAATCTGAGTGTGGCTTTGCTGTGTACTGCTGCCTTAAGTTCATTCACTTTCAAGATGTTGGGCTGGGCTGAGTCTCATCTGAAGGTTGGGCTGTGGAAGGATCGACATGGCTGTGAGCAGGATTCAGTCATCTATGGGCTGGCAGTCTGAGGGTGTCACTCCTCTGTCGCTGCAGCCAGATGTCTCTGCCTGTTCCTGGCCCCATGAGTCCCTTCACAGGCTCACAACCTGGCAGCTCGCTCCCCTCTGAGTGAACAAGGGAGGGAGAGAGTGAGACAGAAGTCACTGTCCTTTGGTAGCCTCATTTCAGAAGTGACATTCCAGCAGTTTTGGCCACATTCTGTTTATTAGAAAGAAGTCAATAGGTGCAGTCTGTACTCAGGGGTGGAGCTTACACAAGGGCTGAGTTCCTGGAGGGGGTTATCCCTGGAGTAATCTGAGAGCCACCTACTCATGCCAACTGCATGTATTTCAAGAGACACACACATACACAGAGCCGCACATATACACATGGCTTCTGGACACACTGTAAGAACCCAATAAATGGCAACTAACTTTTCTTAATTACTAAGACCAATTAACATTTGACTGTTATTCACCTGCCAGTTTAAGGTCCTTGAAACAAACTCATTTTTTAAAGTAGGGGCAAAATGTCTGTGGTTTGCCAGTTTGGCCACTGAGTCATCATCTGACCTGAGCATGTGCTCTCTGGCCCTCGGCATCCACACCTCGGAGATGCAAGGCTGCTCTGTCCTCTCACCTGCATGCATGCTGGACTGTGTGCCTTTTCCTGTAACCTGGCCAGACTTCACTGGCCCCCAGCTTAGCCCAGGTCCCCAGCTCTGGTGGCCTTCACTGGTCCCTGTTCAGAGAGGAGAATCTTGATTCTACAACTCCTGGCTCTTCCCAGGACCACATGACCTTCCACACCACCTCACTGTGTCCCATGGATCATCTTCCTCCTGTTACCAACTGAGGTCCTTACAGAGGAGGCTGGTCATATCCCTCAGGGGCCAGCAACTCCCACAGTGACTGCACAGGGCGGTATTCAGAGGACACTTGCTGGCCTGGATGCAGGCTGAGAAGAGATCACACCTAAGGTCAGCATGCTGCCATCCAGGATGGGGGAGGAGACTGGTCCTTCTGGGAAGAGCAAGTAGTTCCGTGTGGCTGGAGCATGAAGACCTGACCCAGGTCATCTGGGGCACTGAAGGAGCTCTCCATTCATCCTGGGAGTATATGGAACTTTGGCAGCTAATCCTCTCTAGCCTGCAGCCAGGGCCAAGCTGATATTTGTGTGTCAACAACAGGAGTGAACAGTTCCTCGGTGCTCACCACAGGCCAGGCTCTGTTCAGCATTTGGCATTTTTAATCAATTTGATTCCCACCACAGCCCTAGGAGGTAAATGCAATTATTATCCTCACTCCATAAGTGAGGAAACTAGAGCACAAAGGGGTTTGATGATGCATTCAAAGTCACAGGGCCAAGAAGTGATAGAGTCCAGGTTTGATCCAGGCCCAGAGTCCTAAGTGCTCTATGATTTTTCCTGGGGATGACACAACCAAGTCCTGCTGCAAGGCCTGGGAAGGCCAGCCTTGGAGAGGATGGTGCATAGGAAGCACCTTCACTGGTCTAGTTAGAAACAGGAGACCAAACGAGAGGATGAGGCCTCAGAGGGGATGGGGATTTGGGAATGACTGACAGGACATGAAGGAGGTTAGGATGGACAGGATCTGGTGGCCACTTAGCTGGGCAGGCACTCAGATGAGTGTCTGTGAAGAGCAGGACAGCATCTGTCAGAGGCTGTGCCGCCAAGTCTGTTCCTGATGTTCCTGACCACGTGATTTGAAGTCAAAGGGTCCGTTAGTAGCCACCCAAATGCATTCATCTCACCCACTGCCCAGGTAGAGCTGATTTGTCAGGAGAAGGGAATTGCAATCTGTATTAGTCTGTCCTCACTGCTAATAAAGACATACCCACATTTCTGAGACTGGGTAATTTATAAAGGAAAGCGGTTTAATTGACTTACAGTTCCCTATGGCTGGGGAGGCCTCATAATCATGGCAGAAGGCAAAGGAGGAACAAAGGCAGATCTTAAATGGAGGCAGGCAAGAAAACTTGTGCAGGGGAACTCCTCTTTATAAGAGTATCAGATCTCGTGAGACTTATTCACTATCATGAGAACAGCATGGGAAAGACCTGCCCCCGTGATTGAATTACCTCCCACGGGGTCCCTCCCATGACACATGGTAATTATGGGAGCTACAGTTCAAGATGAGATTTGGGTGGATACGGCCAAACCATATCACAATTGAAAAAGAGTTTATTTATTATTATTATTTTGAGACAGGGTCTCTTTTTGTCATCCAGGCTGGAGCACAGTGATTCAATCACAGCTCACTGCAGCTGCAACCTCTTGGGCTCAAGTGATCCTTCTACCTCAGCCTCCCAAGTAGCTGAGACCATGGGTGCCTGCCATCATGCCTGGCTAATTTTTAAAACTTTTTGTACTGATGGGGCCTCGCTATGTTGCCCAGGCTGGTCTCAATTTCCTGAGCTCAAGCAATCCTCCCACCTCAGCCTCCCAAAGTGCTGGGATAACAGGAGTGAGCCACCATGCCTGGTAAAGAAAGAGTGTAATACACATAGAGCCAGCTAACCGGGACACCAGGGTTGTATTATTACTCAAATCAGCCTCCCTGAAAATTTGGAAGATAGGGTTTTCTTTTTTAAGATAGTTTGGTGGGCAGAAGACTAAGAAAGGGGGAATATTGATTGGTTTGGTTGGAGATAAAATTAGAGGGTGTTGAAGCTGTCCTCCTGTGCTGAGTCAGTTCCTGGATGGGGGCCACAAGACGAGAGGAGCCGGCTTACCGGTCTGGGTGGTACCAGCTGATCTACCTGAATGTTTAAGGTCTGAAAAATACCTTAAACACCGATCTTAGGTTTTACAATAGCCATGTCATCCATAGGAACAATGGAGGAGATTTGGAATCTTGTGGCCTCTGGCTTCATAACTCCTAAATCATAATTTCCAATCTGTGGCTAATTTGTTGGTTATACAGAAAGGCATTCTGGTCCCCAAGCAAGGAGGGAGTTCATTTTGGGGAGGGTCTGTTATGTTATCATCTGTGTTTCAAAGTTAAACTCTAAACTCAATTGCTTCCAAAGTTAGTTCAGCCCACACGCAGGAATGAGCAAGGGCAGCTTGGAGGTTAGAGGTGAGATGGGGTCGGTTAGGCCAGCTCTCTCACTATCATCATTTTCTCACCGTTATAACCTTCGCAAAGGCAGTTTGAAATTTTATTTTGCTTTTCAAGACACCATGACACTAAAATTGTACATAGGATTTGGGGGGGGGCGTCTAGGGGAAGGGGGCGTCTTATCCTTGTGTTTCTGTCATATGGACGCAACAGGCCAAAGGAGAGAAAAACATGAGAAGCAGTGGGATGGGAAGGAGTTGACGGTTTTGAGCAACAGGGAGACCCGGGAGCCGGTGGAGCAAAGATCACAAGGAATGGGTGGGAGGTGGACACGGCACTGGGGGCTTTCTGAGCCACAGTCAGGGTTATTCTGGGCTCTCTCCTCAGTATACTGTGAAACCGCTGGAGTGCGAAGCACAGGGGTGAGGCTCCAGCCGGCTTGTACTGCCACATTCGCGTCGTCGTCATTCTCCTCACCACGGTGGCCTCCACCGATGCAGGGCCTGTGAATGTCACCTCCACCCCAGCCGAACATCCCTGCAATGGCTTCATCCATCCTGACAAATAGTAACAAGCCACTAGCACTTCTTGCCCCACACCTGTTTCCCCAGGAGACAGCATGGCTTCTCAGGAGCGTGTGCTCCTTCAGAGCGGCTCTGTCTGCTCTCTCGCAGGGCGCTCCCAGCACCCAGAGCTGCGACCTGTCCTTAACCAAGGGATCCGCTGAGCCCCCGGCTCCTCTTCTGTGTTTGCCTTGTCTGTGGGGCCTGTGATGCTCTCCGTCCGTGGCTTGACCCCCACCCATGAAAATGCTTCAGCACTTTCTCAGGAAAGACGCATGCCCTGTGTCCCCACTGGGTCCCATCCCCAGCCCCACCTTTAGCCTTGACTCAGATGCACAGAGATGCAGCTGTGGGTGGGCTCACCAATGTCCACACGCACCCCAGCCTGAAGCACGGTGCTACAGACCTAGTAGGGGCTGCAGAGATATTTTAAGGGAAAAATATAATTTACAGCTTCTTACAATAGTTTGAAGTTCGGAAAGAGTGAGATTGGGGAAAAAATAGAAGCAGTAGCGGCGGCACTGATTTTACCAGGCTCTCTATGGGCTGAATTTTAAAAACTTGCCTTTCAAAGGGACTTGGAACTTCTTCCCAATTCATTGTGTTGCTACTTTGCAAACTCCACTTGATTCCTGAGCTCATCATGAATTCTATAAATTTTGTATTTTTACACCAGGGCCCTTTGAAGTTGTACCTTTAAAGAGCAAAAACAAAACCAAAGTGACACTTTCTTTTTTTTTTTTAATAGAAAAGCGTGTGTAGCTGTGACATAGTTCACATTCCACAACCACTGAAGGGTTGAAACATGAACTTGAAAGTAAATAGCTTTGTGGAGATTCACATCGAGGAGCACTGTGCAGTCATTCAGAAGAATAAACTCCAGCTCTGCCCGGTGATGGCAGGGGTGTTAACAATGCAGTATTGAGCTCAAAAAGTAACTTGCTAAAAGGTGTGTTTGATGAAATTTATTTTTGCAAAACAATTACACAGGATAAAGCCTGCATTTTTGTGTGTAGGTTTCTATATGCGGATGTGTATTTATAGATCCATGTCCTGTGCGTCTCTGCATGAGTAAGTGCATCCAGACAGACGTGTGGAGTGTGTTCATGCCTGTGTATGTGTGGGGATAGAAACACATGTGTAGAAGTAAGAACTGGGAAGAGGCTGGGCGTGGTGGCTCATGCCTGTAATCCCATAACTTTGGGAGGCTGAGGCAGGTGGATAGCTTGAGCTCAGGAGTTTGAGACCAATGTGGCAAAACCCTGTCTCTACCAAAGATATGCAAAAAATTAGCCTGGCATGGGGCCATGCAACTGTGGTCCCAGCTGCTTGGGTGGCTGAGGTGGGAGGATCACTTGAGCCTAGGGGATGGAGGTTGTAGTGAGCCGAGATCACGCCACTGCACTCCAGCCAGGCAACAGAGTGAGGCCCTGTCTAAAAACAAACGAAACAAAACAAATGAGAATAATAGTTAGTACAGATTTCCTCGTGATGAAGTTGGCAGGAGGTGGAGAGGTTGTGGGGAAAGGGAAGAGGGTACAGTGACAAGAAATAAAAATTACGTATTTGGAAAAATAAACAACATGCTTTTACGCATTTTGTAAAGTATATATATGCGTATAAGTGTGTATAGAATAAGTCAAATTTGAAATAAAATGAAAATGAAGGCTGGGCAACTGTTAGTGGATGAAACAAAATGAAATAATGTCTAAGAAACTGCTTCCTAAATGGCAAAGTGACATTCTAACTGAAATTATTATCACAGTTGTCCAAATAACTATTACTGTTATTAAAAGCTCAGCTTCAGCAGAATGCAGGCTGTGCTGGCGTCTGTTCAAAAGCAAACCTTCTCACTGAAGTTTCCCTGCTCAGATTCCAAGCGGACTGGGACTCCTAGCTAAGCCAGCCCTCGGGGCCAGAAGTCAGGGGAGCAGTCCTATCTGAGCATCCCCAGCACTCATCCAGGCTTTCCTACCTTGGGGGAGCCCCAGCCCCATTAATGTACCCCTCAGAGAATAGTCTGCTTTCTCCTTCTCTCCTGCTAGCATGAGCCACGGTTGATCAGGGACCCCTAGTGTGGCCTGAGGTTTCCTCTCAGAGGAAAGCTGTCTTTCACCTGGAAGGCTGCTGGCCAGCAGTGGGCAGTGAGTGAGGCATGATGGGACAACCCCTGAGCTCCTAGAAGAAGACACCTGCACCCAGCTCACTGCCCAAACCAATATGTTCATTACTCATGACTAGATGTGAGTCTGTGCATCCTTCCCCGCTATCTGTGTTTGCTGTGAGTTCTCGCGTACATGCAAAGCTGGAGGTGGGTACTGAAAATCTGTGCTTCATAACAGCGCAGCATTCTATGGGGGCAGCAGGGAGAGAGGCCATCCTAACTAGGGGGTTCAGAGGACTTCACAGGAAGACGGGTGAGAAAATTAGCCATGCTTTCCCCAAGGCCAAGAATAAAAATGTCCCAAGGGATTTGGAGAAAGCATTTGAAGATGACGAAGGAAAGATAGATTGAGAAGGACATGAAAGACCAATACTAAGATCAGAATCATGTTTAGGGGCAATGGGAGCCACCAAATATTTTACAGCAGAGAATGATCAGAGAGATCCTCCTTTAACAGCAATACAGAAGAGGGCTGGGAGGGGTCAAGGCTGCAAAAGACAATGGAACATCAGGGCTTAATAAACCCCCATGGTAACAGGATTTACCCCGGAAATGTCTATCCTGAAGCTTTCTGGGAGATTCCAAGATGTCCTTATTGCCACTGTCATTAGGGAGGAAACTGAAAGCTGGATTAGGCAAGAGCCAAACCCTTGCTCTGCCTTTCGGGTCTGGTTTTGATGACATTTTGTCACCACCACATACCTACCCCCATTTCTGCATCTTTCAAAAAATGAGTTGCAAAGGTGGACTTCTCTGGGCTTCTGAGTGAAGAATTATTAAATCACAAGGCCCCAAAGACCCCAGGGTTGCTTCCTTAGGTTACTTGGGCTTGGGGTGGTCAGGGGAGGGCTCAGAGCATCATTATAAATGCAACAATGGTAAGGAACTTCTAGTTATGGAAATGCTGGAGGAGCAGGAACCCAGACTAGCCTTCCCATATAACATACAGGACAGTGGTTCCTGGCAGATAGGAAGCAAACAGGGTGAGTCTATGAACGCTGAAGCTGATTAGCTGGAGTTTTCAGGCTGCGTCACAGAGAGCGTAGCTCAGCCAGCTCCCTGAGTAGAAGAGATAGGATGGATCTTTCAGAAGGTCAAGGCTAGAGTTTGCAGAGCACAGTATTAGAGAGAGAAAAATTGCAAAGATAGAAAGCTCAGGAGAAGCAAAGAAGCTCCTGTCATATACTAGGACTGGGTACTGACCAGCTCATGCTAGGAGGAAACTACCCAAAGCCAGGGGGAATCAAATAATCAGTGAAAGGAATTGCAGAAATTCGCACAGCCTGGGCATAGTTCCTGTCCTCACCAGTCAGAGTAGGAAACTACATAACCTATGGAACATTCAGTACAGAACACAAAAGAATGTAACTTATTAGTGAGAAGAAATATCAGTCAGTAAAAACACACCTGGAGTTGACAAAGATGGTAGAACTCATGAGCAATTATATTGAGGCAGTAATTATAACTATAGTCCAAGGAGCTAGAGGAAAAATCGAGCATGCTACCTGAAGACACGGAAGATATTGAAATATGCAAAATCAAAGTTTTAGAGACAAATACGGTAATGTCTGACATAAAAATATCCCATATTGGGAGGCTGAGGTGGGCTGATCATGAGGTCAAGAGATTGAGACCATCCTGGTCAACAGGGTGAAACCCCGTCTCTACTAAAAATACAAAAATTAGCTGGGCATGGTGATGGGTGCTTGTAGTCCCAGCTACTCGGGAGGCTGAGGCAGGAGAATCGCTTGAACCTGGGAGGCGGAAGTTGCAGTGAGCCGAGATTGTGCCACTACATTCCAGCCTGGCAACAGAGCGAGACTCCATCTCAAAAAAAAAAAAAAAAAAAAAAATCTCATAGAGGATTAACAGCAGAATAGACAATGTAGAAGAAGAAATAATCAGTAAATTTAGAAACATACCTATAGAAACAAGCTAAAATAAAGCAGAACATCAGCAAGTTATAAGAAAATTTCCAGAAGCTTGATGTATGTGGAATTTGAGTCCCCAGTAGAGAGAAGAAAGAGGAAGGATAGAAAAAATATTTGAAGAAATAACAGTAGAAAAAAAATTAAATTTGATGAAAACCATAAACCCACAGGTCCAAGAAGCTCAAAAGCCCTTAAGTATAAGAAACATGAAGACAATTAGACCAAGCAGTATCAAAGTCAAATTGCTACAAAGCAGAGATTAAGATAAATCTTAAGAGTAGACATAAAAAGAGACTTTGCTCAGGAAACATGGAATAGACATAATTTTCCCTACTTCTGCTAAGTTCACCTAGAAATCCTGGCCATTATATGTAAAGCAAGCATGAAACAGTTCTAATAGGTGGAGAGAAGAAAGACTGGCTAGGGTCTGGGCGCGGTGGCTCACACCTGTAATCCCAGCACTTTAGGAGGCCGAGGTGGGTGAATCATGAGGTCAGGAGTTCGATACCAGCCTGGCCAATATAGTGAAACCCCATCTCTACTAAAAATACAAAAAATTAGCCAGGCATGGTGGCAAGTGCCTGTAATCCCAGCTACTCAGGATGCTGAGGCAGGAGAATCGCTTGAACCTGGGAGGTGGAGGTTGCAGTGAGCCAAGATCGCACTGTTACACTCTTACCCAGGCAACAGTGCAAGTCTCCATCTCAAGAAAAAAAAAATGGCTAGGGACCTCAAGGCCAACAAAACAACAGAGCGGTCAGGTCCCTGTGTTTTCTTTTTGCAGGGACCTCAAGGCCAACAAAACAACAGAGCGGTCAGGTCCCTGGGTTTTCTTTTTGCCTCATGTTTCCCAGACTTGGCACCAGAGAAGCCAGTTATCTGGATAACCAAAAGGCATGGTTGAAAAAGTCTGAATGAAACCCAGCTCTCTTTAATCAAATAAACAGCAGAGGGGGACCTAACAAGACAGCAAACTTTTAGACAATAACTGCACTGCTTCAGCAGACACCAGAGGAAAAGCTGTGGCCCCACCACACTCATGCATCAAAGGGAGGAGAGTGGAGATCCTAGACTTCCACTCTGGCCAGAAGTGATGGGTGTTGTTAGGCATCAACTTGACTGGATTAAGGGGTGCCCGGATCATGGTGAAGCATCAGCTCTGGGTGTGTCAGTGAAGGTGTTTCTGGAAGAGACTGGCCTGTGAATCCGTGGACTGAGTAAGGAAGATCCACTCTCACCCAGTGTGCCAAGGGCCATGCAGTTGGCTGAGGGCCTGAACAGAACAAAATGGCAGAGGAAGGGTGAATTTGCTTGCTTGCTTTCTCTTCTGGACACCTAGGTTCTCCTGTTCTGGGGAATCAGAAGTCCAGGCGCTCTGGCATTTGGGCTCTGGGACTAGTCCCAGTGGCCCCCCAGGTTCTCAGACCTTCAGCCTCTGACTGAGAGTTACACCATTGGTTTTCCTGGATGTGAGGCTTTCGGACTTGGAATGTGGCACACTATTGGCATCCCAGCATCTCAGCAGCTCTCCTCTTACATGCCTTCCCAGCCTCCATAATCACATAAACCACTTCCCCTAATAAATCCCCTCTCATATAGCTTCATCTATCTATCTATCTATCTATCTATCTATCTATCTATCTATCTATCTATCTAACTATCCATCCATCCATCCTATTGGTTTTGTCTCTCTGGAGAATGCTGACTAATACTCCAGATTATAACATGGTGTCCCAGTACTTCCCTCCACCCCAATGGCAGAGGATGTCGGAGAAGGCTGAGTAGGAAAACCCCTGTCTTCCCACTTCCTAGTGTCCTAGTGTCAAGGGAGAACCCACACCCACCCAGTGGTAATGAGAACCCCACCCCTGAATGGGGTAGTGTCAGAGAAGGATTGGTTCAACCAGGACTTTCACCACCACTCAGTGGAACTGAGGCCTCCTCCCATCCGGACCCTGTCAGTGGAGACTGTGTGGTGAGCAGTGAGCAGAGGAGGCATTCCTCCCTGTACCAGCCAGGCTGGTATCAGCGTAGGCCTAAGGGAGAGCTCAAACTCCCACCCCATCCACCAATAACGAGATGTCCCTCCAACTGGGTTTCAATGGAGGCAAGTAGAGATCCTGGACTTCCAGCAGTAATGGGGTGGTGCCCACCTTCCCCCACCAGAGGAGCTTCAGAGGAGGCTTACTGAAACATAAGATTTAAATAAGATTCAGAATTGCATAACATAATATCCAAAAGGTCCAGTTTTCAATAGAAAATCACTCATTATACCAAGAACCATTAAGATCTCAACTTGAATAAGACAAAACCACTGACAGCTGCCAACTTTAAGATATCACAGATGTTAAACTCGACTGAAAAGGATTTTAAAGAAGTCATCATAAAAATGCTTCAAAGAGCAATTTGGAACATCTAAGACATGAATCAAAAAAGTCTCTGCAAAGAAATAGAAAAGTTTAGAATTGAAAATTTTAGAAGAGAAAATGGAAATTTTAAAACAAAAAAAAAGCACTGAAAAACAAATCCTCAATAGTTTCAACAGCAAATTAATAGGACAGAGGAATTGATTATTTTTGACATAGAACAACAGAAATTACCTCATGGAAAACAGAGGAAATAGACTTACAAGAAAAGAACAGAGTCTTAGAGGCACTGGGGACTATAACAAAGGATTTAACATTTGTGTCATCAGTGTTCTAGAAGGAGAGAAGAAAGAAGCTGGAGCTGAGGCCAGGTGCAGTGGCTCATGCCTGTAGTCCCAGGACATTGGAAGGCCAAAACAGGAGGATTGCTTGAGCCCAGAAATTCAAGATCAGCCTAGGCAACATATTGAGACCCCATCTCCACACGCACACACACACACACACACACACACACACACACACACACAAATACAAAAATTAGCTGAGCATGGTGGTGTGTACTTATAGTCCCAGCTGCTCGAGAGGCTGAGGTGTAAGGATCACTTGAGTCCAGGAGGTCAGCTGAAGTGAGCTGTGATTATGCTGCTGCAGTCCAGTCTGGGTCTTTTTTTTTTTAAGACCCTGTCTTAAAAAAAAAAAAAAGGAAAGAAATTGAAACTTAAAAGTATTTAAAGAAATAATGGCTGGAAATTCCCCAGATTTGGTAAAACACATAAACAAATATCCAAATTTAGTAAGCTGAGGAAATCACAGCAAGGTAGATCTAAAGAAATCTACACCAATACACATCAGAATCAAACTTCTGAAAACTAAAGACAAAGAAAAACCCTTGAAATCAGACAAAGAAAAAAATTGCCTGTAAGGGTAATTTTAATGACAGTGAATTTCTCATCCAAAACCAACCCAGAAGGCATTGGCATTACAGTGCAGAAAGGGAATGACTGTCAACATAGAATTGTATATTCAGCAAAAATAGCCCTCAGGACTAAAGGCAGAACCAAGATATTCTCAGATCAAGGAAGCTTAAGAGTATTTGTTGGCTGGGCACGGTGGCTCACACCTCTAATCCCGGCACTTTGGGAGGCTGAGGCGGGCAGATCACGAGGTCAGGAGTTCAAGACCAGCCTGACCAACAAGGTGAAACCCTATCTCTACTAAAGATACAAAAAATTAGCTGGGCGTGGTGGTGTGCACCTGTAATCCCAGCTACTCGGGAAGCCGAGGCAGGATAATTGCTTGAACCTGGGAGGCGGAGGTTGCAGTGAACCAAGATTGAGCCACTGCACTCCAGCCTGGGCGAAAGAGTGAGAGTCCGCCTCAAAAAAAAAAAGAGTATTTGTCACTAGTAGACCTATCCTGAGAGAATGGCTATGGGGATATCTCTAAACAGAAAGAGGTTGATAAAGGAAGGAATCATGTAACAACAGGAAGAAAGGAAGAACAAAAGAGAGAGTAAACATATGAGAAAAATACCACAGGCTTTCCTTACCTGTGTGAGTTTTCTAAATTATGCATGATGGTGGAAGCAAAAATTATAATGCTGTATAATGCCGTTCTCAATGTATGCACGGGAAATATTTAAGACAATTATATTAAAAATGGGGAAGGGTAAAGGAACATAAAAGGAGTTAAGTTTTCTACACAACACTTTGGTTAAATGTTAACTCCTATACGCTATGATAAGTTATGTATATATCATGAATACTTAAGGGCAACTATTTAAGGACAGTTATGGCCGGATGCAGTGGCTTATGCCTGTAATCCCAGAACTTTGGGAGGCTGAGGCAAGGGATCGTTTGAGCCCAGGGGTTTGAGACCAACCTGAGCAATATGACGAAAGCCCTCTCTACAAAAAAAAAAAAAAAAAAAAAAAAAAAAATTAGCCGGGCTTGATAGTATGCATCTATAGTCCCAGTTACCTGGGAGGCTGAGATGGGAGAACCACCTGAACCCGGAAGAGTCAGGCTGCAGTGAGCCGTGATCATAGCATTGCTTTCCAGTCCGGGCAATAGAGTGAGAATATATGAGTGTTTTGAATGTATGAAAGATATATTCAAAAACATTATGGGTAAATGAAGATGGAATTTTAAAGTTTGTTCAGTTTGATCCACCTGCCTCGGCGTCCCAAAGTGCTGGGATTACAGGTGTGAGCCACTGCACCCGGCTGCCTGCTTTTTATCCTGGCCATGCTGGCAGCTGATTAGATGGTGCCCACTCACGTTGAGGGTAGGTCTGCCTTTCCCAGTCCGCTGACTCAAATATGAATCTCCTTTGGCAACACCCTCACAGACACACCCAGGATCAATAATTTGCATCCTTCAGTCCAATCCAGTTGACACCCAATATGAACCATCACAGTGGAGCAAAACAAATCCAAAGGCACAAAGCAGAAAATAATAAAAATAAAAGCAGCTATCAATGAAATTGACAACAGAAACAATACCGAATATCAATGAAACAGAAAGCTCATTTTTGATAATACTAATAAAATAGACAAGCCTTTAGCAAGTCTGACAAACACGAACAGAAAACACGAAACTTAGGAATATCAGGAAGGAAACAGGTGGTATCACCACAGGCCTTGCAGACATCAGGTGATAACAAAGGGATACCACGAACAACTCTATACATTAAAACTTGACAAAATGGATGAAATGGACCAATTCCTCAAAAAGTACAAACTGTTTTAACTGGCCCAATATGAAATAGTTCATTGAATAGCCCATAACTATTAAGAAAACTGAATTTGGCTGGGCGCTGTGGCTCACGCCTATAATCCCAGCACTTTGGGAGGCTGAGGTGGGTGGGTCACAAGGTCAGGAGTTCGAGACCATCCTGGCCAACATGGTGAAACCCCGTCTCTACTAAATATACAAAAATTAGCCGGGCGTGGTGGCAGGCGCGTGTAATCTCAGCTACTTAGGAGGCTGAGGCAGGAGAATCACTTGAAACCGGAAGGCAGAGGTTGCAGTGAGCTGAGATCACACCACTGCACTGCTGCCTGGGCAACAAGAGCAAAACTCCGTCTCCAAAAAAAAAAACCAAAACAAAACAAAACAAAAAACTGAATTTGTAATTTTTAAAAGCTCCAAAAGAGGTATCTCTAGGCCTGAACAATTTTACTGGAGAATTTCACCAAGCATTTAAAAAATAATTAATACTAATTTTAGACAATCTCTTCCAGAAAATTGTAGAGGATAAGACATAAATCAACTCATTTTCTGAAGCCAGTGATATTGACATCAAAGCAAAAGAAAGTAGAAAAAAAAACTAAAGGCAAATATTCTAATATGAATATAGATGCAGAAATTTTTAACAAAATACAATTTTTTTAACTAAAAACTCTTTAGAGTTCTTAACAAAATTTAATGATATGTAAAACAAAATATACACCATGACCAAGTGGAATTTATTCCAGGGATCAAGATTGATTCAATATTTTAACATCAATGAATGCAACACACCATATTAAGAAACTAAAGGGAAAAAATCACAATCATGTCAATTGATGCAGGGAAAAAAGCATCTGACAAAATCCAACACCCACTTATGATAAAAACTCTCAAGAAACTAGGAATGGAAGGGAGCTTCCTCAACTTGATAAAAAGCATCTATAAAAAAACGAACAAACAAAAATTCTACAAATGATGGTATACTTAATGGTGAAAGTCAAAATGCTTTTCTCCTAAGGGTGGGAACAAGGCCAGGATATTTGTTCTCACCAGTCCTATTCAACAGAGTGCTGAAACTGCTAGCCAGTGCAGAATAAGACAATAGGAAAAAAAAAAAAAGGCTACACAGGTGGGAAGAAAGATAAAAATGGTTGCCATCTGCAGATGACACCATTGTTTACTTAGAAATACCATAGGAAATCTGCAAAAAAAAAAAAAAAAACCCTAAAACATGTCCTTCATCTAATAATTGTGTTTCTCAGTATCACAGAATACAAAGTCAACATGAAAAAAAGCAATTGTATTTCTATATACTAGCAATGCCAATGTGGAAAGTGAAATTTTAGAAAGTACAATGTTGGTCAGGCGTGGTGGCTCATGCCTGTAATCCCAGCACTTTGGGAGGTTGAGGTGGGCAGATCACTTGAGGCCAGGAGTTTGAGACCAGCCTGACCAACATGATGAAACCTCATCTCTACTAAAAATACAAAAAATTTAGCCAAGCATGGTGGCACATGCCTGTAATTCCAGCCACTTGGGAGCCCGAGGCATGAGAATCCCTTGAACCCAGGAGGTGGAGGTTGCAGTGAGCTGAGATCTTGCTACTGCACTCGTCTGGGTGACAGAGTGAGACTTTGCCTCAAAAAAAAAATTATGATTATTCAAAAAGTAAAATATTTAGGTATAGATGTAATAAAACATGTACATGACTTGTACACTGAAATCTACAAAATACTAATGAAAATCAAAGAAGATCCAAATTAATAGAAAGACGTACCATTTTTGTTGAGTGAAGATTCAACATTGTAAAGACATTAATTCCATCTCTAATTGATCTACTAGTTCAATCCAATTCCTATCAAAATCCCAGCAAGATATTTTTGTAGATATATACAAGATTACTGTGAAATTCATATAGAAAGGGAAAGGAACTAGAAAATAGAACATTTGGCTGGGCGCGGTGGCTCATGCCTGCTATCCCAGCACTTTGGGAGGCCGAGATGGGCAGATCACGAGGTCAGGAGATCAAGACCATCCTGGCTAACACTGTGAAACCCTCTCTCTACTAAAAATACGAAAATTAGCCGGGCATGGTGGCGGGCACCTGTAGTCCCAGCTACTCAGGAGGCTGAGGCAGGAGAATCGATTCTTGAACCCGGGAGGCAGAGCTTGCAGTGAGCCGAGATCGCACACTGCACTCCACTCCAGCCTGGGCAACAGAGCAAGACTCGGTCTCAAAAAATAAAAATAAAAAATAAAAAAAAAAAAAACACTTCTGGAAAAGAAGAATAAAGTATATGAATCACTTTACCTGGTTTCAATACTCATGATATAGCTACTGTAATTAAGACTGTGGTATTGGCAGAAGGATAAAAACAGATTAATGGAACAGAATAGAGTACCTAGAAGTAGCTTCATACAAATATGGCCAATTAATATTTTATAAAGGTGAAATTGTACTGGAACAATTGGAAATCCATACACAAAAGAAAAAAAAAAACTCAACCTGAACCTCACAGCTTACATAAAAATTAACTCAAAATGGATTATAGATTTAAATGTTAAATGTAGAGTCATGAAACTTTTAGAATATTACATGGGAGGAAATCTTTGGGACATAGGGCATGGCTAAGTGTTCTTATAAATGACACCAAACACACATGATTCAAAGAAAAATGATACATCGGTTTTCATCACAATTAAAAACTTTTGCTCTGCAAAAGATTATGCTCTGTCCGAATTCCCAGCACTGGTGCAGATGGACAGTAGTTTCCCTCTAGAAAGACTTTCTACCTTAGTAGATTACAAACTTATTTCTTATAAGAAGTTGGATTTGGAGCACCTACTTCTATTTCTCATTGTTTCTAATTGCAGGCTCCTATTTGGAAATCAATTGTTTTTGTGTTTTGCACTTTGCTCCAAATTTTGCCTACATTGGGCCTGAATCTTGGCATCCGCTGGAACAAGTCAAGAGCAAGGCAACCTAAGGAAGTAAATGTGTGTGAGTGAGGGGCTTGTGTGATAGGTGTGTGAATGTGTATATGTTGTATGTGTACCTGTGTTTTTATATGCATGTATGTGCACGTATACATGTGAATGTGTGGTGTTCACATGTATGTGTGTTGTGTGCTCATGCACATGTGTGTATGTTTATGTATGTTGTGTGTGGTGCAGCATGCATGTGTGTGTGGTGTGATGTGTATGTGTGCGTGTATGTTGTATGTGCATATATGTGTGTAGGGAGGTGGTGATGGTTGCAACTTGGCATGATTTTGCTCCTGGCAGTCCTGGTGCAGGCTGCTTGGAAATTTTTTCTTGGGAAATTTGAACTTCAGGAAAGCATTTTATATTCCAGAACACATGCCCCCACATGAAAACGCGAAAGGTGTCAGAGGTAGCGTTTCTACCTGTGGGCCTGCGGAGAGCTACGTGGATCTTCCCCTCCCAACAGTCGAGAAGACTCGAGGCCGCCTCTGAGCACCTCCCCTGGCTCAGCGGAGTACAGTGCACCGTCCCCACAGCTCCTTCCTGAGCTTTCGGTCCACTTTAAATCAATAGCAGAAGAATGTATTTGATTATCAGGCTGATTTTACTCTCTGTGCTCTAATGAAGAGCCCATATTATGCAAATGCATATGATGATGACAGCAGGTTTTTAAACTGCAAATTCATTCTCCAAGCTCAAAATAAACTTTTGTTGTGGGGTGGGGGACGGTGTACTATAACACAAGGAAGATGGGAAAACTCATTTCAGAAAGAATGCATCCCAGGAAAAAAAATAATTAAGCTCCTTAGAATTAATTTGAAGGCTTTCGTATTTATCTTTTGTGACTCATTGTTGAAAGTTAGAAGAACCAATCAACCCTATTCCTTCATTCTGTCAAATTAAAGAAAAAGAAACTGTAGTCCCAATGGGAATGAAAAATATCATTTGTATTCAGGGCTCTTTAGAGACAGTTGCATTTGGGTGCGTGGGAAGACCTGGCCTCCTGCTCTGAGCCTTTCTTGTCCACCAGCCCGGCTGGAAACTGCAGGGATGGCAGCGCCCCTCCTGCTGGTGAGCAGCTCCTGAGGGGGCTTCACCTGGGTAGAAAAGTGAGGAGGGACCCCCAGCCCTTCTACCCATCCATGAGGAAGGGGAAAGGCAAAATCAAGTTTGTTTATTACTTTTGAGGCCAATTTTAAAATGCCAAGGGTCATTTTTTCTCCCCTGTAAAGGATAAAGGACTAGGCAGAGCTTGTGGGTACAAATGTCACAGCCAGCTGTCTTGCACTGGGGTGGGGGCTGGGACACAAGGCCAGGGGTGCGTGGATCCCTTGCAGCCATGTGCTGGGTCACACCTGAACCCTGCCCTACACGCACATCCCTTACCAGTGCCTTCCGCACCTATCACCATTTGACCTAGTCTCTGCTGAATTTGGGAAAGGTCTCCCCTTCCCGGGAGAATTGATTGTTGATTCTTTCAGGAGTGAGAGGTAAGACCTCAGGACTCCCTGAGATGGAAACGAGGCTCTTCCTACAGGTCTGCGTCGAGTTCCCATGTGCCCAGAGTGGTTCTTCTCTTCCACAGACTCCAAACCACCACATGGCTCTTCAGGACACACCTGTACCAGACATGAGCTCACCTGCCTGTTTCCTGGTACTCTTATCTTGAGTTGGTGGTAATCCAACCCAGACTCACCCCAGCCTAAAAAAGAAAGAAAGGAATCTGGTGGTTTAGCTACTAAAAGACCCAGTAGTCACACTGGGCTTAGGAGCTTGCAGAACAGGGTGGAAAATCTGTCTCTCTCCATTTCTCATTTCTCCAGAAAGGATGGCTGGTTTAAGGGGGCTTGGGGGAGGAAATTCCTTCCCTCTGTGGTCTCCAACCAAGTCAGAGTGAGACTACCACTGCCTTGTGTGAGTCCAATACCCATTACTGTTGGCGTGACCACTGTCTTTGTCTATCATCAAATTGCTATTTGTAACTCATTGTGATGCTTTGTACAGACTGTAACAAACATACTATTTTTGTAGGTGTGCATCTACCATCACCTGGGCATAATTCTGCCTCCAGCTGTGTATTTGATTTAGTCTGTTCTCATGCTGCCGATAAAGACATACTCGAGACTGGGTAATTTATAAAGGAAAGAGGTTTGATTGACTCACAGTTCCACCTGCCTAGGGAGGCCTCACAATCCTGGCAGAAGGTGAGAGGCATGTCTTACAGGGCAGCAGGCAAGAGAGAATGAGAGACAAGTGAAAGGAGAAACCCCTCATAAAACCATCAGATTTCGTGAGACTTATTCACTACCACAAGAACAGTATGGGGGAAACCAATCCCATGATTCAATTATCTCCCACTGGGTCCCTCCCACAACATGTGGGAATTATGGGAGCTACAATTCAAGGTGAGATTTAGGTGGGGACACAGCCAAACCCTATCAGTATTGTTTCTAGCTCATGGTGCTGTGTGGAGCCTTCCAGCGCATGAATATATTGCTTTGGTTCACTTTTGGTTGGTGGTGTTTTAGAAGGATAATACCAGGCATATTAATCCATTTTCATGTTGCTGAGAAAGACATACCTGAGACTGGGAAGAAAAGGAGGTTTAACTGGACTTACAGTTCCACATGGCTGGGGAGGCCTCAGAATCATGGCAGGAGGCAAAAGGCACTTCTTACATGGCAGCGGCAAGAGAAAATAAGGAAGAAACAAAAGTGGAAACCCCTAGTAAAACCATCAGATCTCATGAAACGTATTCAGTATCATGAGACTAGCATGGGAATGACTGGTCCCCATGATTTAATCACCACCATCCCCAGGTCCCTCCCACAACATGAGGGAATTATGGGAGATACAATTCAAGTTGAGATTTGGGTGGGGACACAGCCAAACAAACCACACCACCGAGATAATATATTCTCTCTTCTTCTGTCTTTCTCTTGAAGCGTTGACAAAAGAGTAGTGTCATGGCTGGGCTAGATCTGAAATGTTCAAATAGAACTGTTTCCTTCAAAGTTGTAGAGCTCCTCTAGCATCCAGAAGTTGGAAGTCAGTTTGACTTTTTGTCCGTGTTTGGCAGGCTGCTTCTTCCGTCTTCAGATTTGGAAGGTTGTTACTCCAGCCACCTCACTGTGTCATGTGTACCTAGGTGCTGTTCTTTCATCAAATTTGCCTGATAATGAGTGCTTTTGATATGCAGATTTGGATATTTTTTGAGCTCCAGAACGTGTTCTATTTATGTCTTTGAAGATTGCTTATTTCCTGTGAAAACCAAGAGTTCCTTCCCATTTGCAACCAAAGTGAAATCAGTATTTTCCAGCACAGTCATTTCCCCCTCTGCAGGCCTGGCCAGGATGCTGTCCCAGCCCTCCCTGCCTCCACGGCCCTGATATCCCCTGCCTGACTAGGTCGGCCTCCTCCCTGCTCCTGAAGACTGGCTCTGGAGAGGCTGTGGCCCCTGCCGTCCTCTCTGCCATGGACATTCTCCCCTCAGTCCTCTGCAAGGCTGCCTCTCACTCAAATGCCAAGACATTTCCAGAACATCCTAGCTGAAGGGGCACTTGCCCATCACAAGCCCCAGCCACGGGGTCTCACTCTTCTTATGGCATTAGTCAGTCACTGAGATGATCTTATTTTTCTCATATTTTTAGCACCCTCCACCTGAGGGCAGGGGCTCTGTCCCCTTGCTCTCTGCTCTAGCCACAGTGCCTCAAACACAGCCTGGTATGCAGCAGGCACCCTTGGGTAGGACACCTTTGGGTGGGGCTGCCTGACCCAACCCCACAGCAGAACCACCACTTCCCCACATGCTGGGTGTCTATGGTCTCACAAGCCCTCCCATGTACCTGGTGCAATTCTAGATTCTTCTGAAACGAGCACCCGTGTTACTGCTGGGCTCTCCCAAAGGTTTGAATCTGCTCATTGCTACCATCTTATAACTCTGATGCTGCTGGGTTTGTTGAAAATACCACTTCCTCTTCTCAGCTCCCTGGGTTTTCTTCTCGCCTTTCCACCTGCTCCTTCTCTGTGTTCTCATGAGTAAGAGCCCTCCAGCCAGCAGCAGCTCCCTGGCCTCTGCTTGATTCTTGTACTCAGTCCTTTGAAAAATAAGGTCTCCTCCCACCTGTTGCAGGAAACATTATTTCGGGGGTACATCAGTGGTTGGCTGGCCTTCAGGTTGCTCTGATTTGAACAATCCTTGCTGCTTTTCTGCGTGCCCTGCTAGCAGAGCCCTAACTCTCACCTGCCGTTAATTATGCCTTATCCCATTGTGCATCCTTTCCCTGCTGCCCCGCCCACCACCTGTGAAACGTCAGCTCCCTGAGGGCCTTTGTCCACTGCCAGAGCTCCCATGGAGCATGCGCCCAGCAAGCGCACGGAGAATGTTTGTGAATGAAGACATGAATGGACAAGTGAATGAGTGCATGGGCGGCAAGTAGCTCTCATTGAGTCCTACAAGATGTGGCCCCAAGGCCCTGTGACTTCTATACCCACCACATGCAAGCTCTGTCCCCCAGCAGCCACAGTGTCCCCTCCAGGCAGCCTCTAATAATGAATGAATGACTACATGAATGAATGAATGGTTATCAATTACTAATTAGAATTAGCATCTTCTTTGACTCTTCGCTTACTGCTGTGATTCAGTCCGGCCTTCAAGTACCCTCAGCTTGTTGCAGGTTCAGTGATTGAAGTGGACAGACCCTCTAGAGGCCCTGTGATCCTCACCCCCCAGAGTGACATATCCCCTTGAGTGTGGGTGGGCCTCTGACTTTGCCATAGATTATGCAAAGGTGATGAGATGTCACTCTCATGATCAGGTCTCCTAAGATTGAGACTCTGTCCTTGCTGAGACAGTCCCTCTTCACTTGCTCAGAAGAAGCAAGCTGCCCTGTTGTAGTGAACGGCCCTCAGGGGAGGGCGGGGCAGGATAGTAAGGACCTAAGGCCTGGGCTGACGGCCTACAAGGGGCAGAAAGCTGCCAAAAACCACATGAGCTTGGACTCTCCCAGCCGAGCCTCAGATGAGACCCCAGCCCTGGTTGACGCTGGATTCTAGCTTCACAGAGGACCTTGCTGGGCCTTGCCTGACTCAACCCACAGGAACACAACGTGTGCTGTTGGAAGAGGACATGTCTCTGCAACACTGCTGTGCAGCCCTAGATAACTAACACAGTGACCTGGTCACACAAAGCAATGGTCAGGATCCTGGGATTGGGGATTCCCAGCTCCAACATATCCCTTTCTGTTAACAGCACCTGCTCTGCCTGGGTCAGCCCCACTGGGGTGAGTCTCCTTCCAGCTCAGGGATAGCCCTTTCTCTCTGGTCAGCAGCCACTTTACACATGGCCCCTGCCGAGGCCCCAACCATCTCTGCAGCTGCTGTGGCTGCTGCGTCTGTCTGTGGAGCTCATGTAAACCCTGGGCAGAAGCCTTGGGCTATGAGAAGGAAGATGCCTTCTGCTTTCTGTGCAAAGGTGCTGCTGCCTGAGGCTCCTTGTCTGAACCCCAAAGGCTGTCACCTTCCTAACCCCCGATTTAACCCCAAGAAAAGCTGTCCTCTGAGTCCCATGGCCCTCCCTCCAAAGCTTCACTTCTCTCCAGGCCTACAGTGTCTGGGGCACAGGCTTTCTTCTACATATTAATGCTTAAAGGCATGATTTGCTAGTCATTTTTTTACAAAATTTTGCAAAAAATAATTCCTCAAATATTCAGCCATTTAGATTACACAGGTTTTTGCATACTTATATATGTTCTGGGTCACTTTTCTTTTTACAGTTGGACACAGGAGGAAAGAATCAAATGTATATCTTCATGCATTTTCCCAGAACCATAGAGAATCCATATGGTGTGTAGTCTGCTAACAGTGAGATAAACCCTCTGTTATTAGTCTCTGAAATTAAATACGTAAAGAACCAGGCTCAGAATTACCACCACCAAGCACGGGTGGAACCAAGTACTTTGTTATTAATCCCATCTGTATTTGCATATTCCAGTTGGGAAGACAGCTGTGTACATTGTTATCATTGTCATCATCTCTGTCATTATTTTGAACGACATTCATTGATCATTTCCTATATGAGAGCGCCTCTGCAAGGATAGATAGATGGGAGGATTGACTTCTCTTTTAAATCCCCATAACAATTTGGCACAATTCAGTAAATACACACTTTATAGACTTCCTGAAACTGCCTGGCTGGGTGCTGGCCCTCTGTGGATTTATCGCTCACCCCTGACCTGATCGTGTATAATGGGAAACTGCGTCGGCCTTTGGCTGGCTCAGAACAAAGGACCCACCTGTACCACAGCTGAGCTGAGAGAATGGAGGCATTTGTCCTTAACTCAGAACAGTCCCCAGACTTATTGATCTCAGAACCAAATGTCAAATACCCCACTTTCCGAAATAATTGTCTCTCTTGAAAGTTCTGTGCAAATTGAATTTTTATAAATCAAATTGTATTGTAAAGCCAGTAAAGAGAAGTGCTGCTTATGGGAAGCTTGTTTGCCTTACTTTATAAATGGAAGCAAACCGTGCTATGAATAAGAGCTGTTAGTTAACTTTGCTTATAAAGCCTTTTGAAAATGTTCACTTTTTTTTTTTATAATATTTGTTTTTTTGAAAGGGGGGTTGCCAGTTCTGCGACTGTATGTTTGGAACATCAATGAAGCGGGGGCCTTGAGAGTATCCGGAGTCGAAAAGGATTTCCCATTCCAGGGAAGGGTCTGGAATAGTAAAGAAGGCATGGCTTCTAGAGTCCTCTGCTATCCCCTCATGACACATTGATTGAGCACAGTCGGTGCCAGCCACCTTTCCAGTCTTGGTTCACTCCTGAGTCCAGTGGGTCTCCAGTGTGAGTGTGCACCACAGTCACCCGGGGGTCTATCAAAACACAGGCCTTGGTGCTCCCACCCCCAGAGTTTCTGACTCGGTAGGTCAGGATATAGCTTGAGAATGTGCATTTCTAGTGAGTCCTCAGGTGGTGCTGAGGCTGCTGGTTCTGACGCACTTTGAGAATCACTGATCGGTGAATACACGAAAGTCCTTCCCGTTCTGGGAGTTGATAGTCTCTACAGAACCGTGCCTTCCTTTTCTGGCCCTGTGAGTCTTAGCTGGCAATGAACACGGAAGCTGGCTTGTCTATGACGTCCCTTCGCGGTGCTGTAGGGATTTAGTATTCAGCATGTGGAAGGTTCTCAGTAAGACTTCTTCTTATCTTTGAGTTTGGAAACATGATTGACAGAAATTCAGTTTGACTTGTTGGGGTATGAATCTGTAGATGTGGGTCTGAGTTCTGATTCGGTGAGATCCGTCTGTATAACTCAGTCATCCTTTCACTGCTTGGACATTTATTTCCTTTTCTATGGAATGCATTCACTTCTTCATTCATTTCAACAGATAATCATAGAGCACCAACTCTATCTGCACCATGGATTTTGCAAGCTCCTGGGAATGCAGAAGAGAACATTACAGATGGCTTTGCTGGCTTTGTGGGATTCAAAAATAGCCATCAAAACAAGTCTGAAGCAACTCACACAACTAATTTTAATGGTGGCCACTGCCAGGGTAACCAGTTCATTGAAGAAATGACTCTCGGCAGGGATCAGAACACAACTTACATTCTGTATCGCTGTGCCTTCAATTATTATTATTATTATTATTTATTATTAGTTTCTTTTGAGACAGAGTCTTGCTCTGTCGCCCAGGCTGGAGTGCAGTGGCACGATCTCGGCTCACTGCCAGCTCCGCCTCCCAGGTTCACGCCATTCTCCTGCCTCAGCCTCCTGAGTAGCTGGGACTGCAGGTGCCCGCCACCATGCCCAGCTAATTTTTTTGTATTTTTAGTAGAGACAGGGTTTCACCATGTTAGCCAGGATGGTCTCGATCTCCTGACCTCGTGATCCACCCGTCTCGGCCTCCCAAAGTGCTGGGATTACAGGCGTGAGCCACCGCGCCCAGCCCTGCGCCTTCAAATTTACCAGTGTTGGGGGGAGATGCTTTCATCTCTCCCTTCCCCAGTAAAACTCAGCAGGTCCCAGAACTTTTCTGCTCAATAGAGACAATCCTACACTCCTGTAGGTTGCAAAGCACACTCTCACTTTAGGAATTAAAATGGCTAGTCTACCTATTATTTGCACTTTATTCAAAGGCAACATTTCCACTCTTTTGCACCTTCCCTGCTACCCCCTCAGGCAGCTGATGGTTGGGCCACTGCACCTGGGAAAAAGAGGCATTAATCAGGCTCCAGTCCAAAGCAAAATCCATTCCAGGTGTTTCAAGCAGAGGATGATTCATTCAGGGGAATGGTCACAGGTGTAGAGACTATGTTGATTTGCATCAATGACAATATCAGAACTGGAAGAGCAGCTGTGATTGTGTTCACCTTCTGTTCAATTTTAAGAAAATTGGGCCATTTTTCTCCAAGATTCATTTATCTTCTGCACAGGACAAGCTGTCAAGTTATATGGGGACATGGTACCACCCGCACACGTACATTGGCAGACTTTTGAGAGTGACCCTTCTCTGCAGTTCCCTGGGACTGAGGAATTCCTTTTGTTCACTCTCATAGTACAGAGTCCCAGGGCCTACCATTTAGTTTTTCCCACCACAAAATCTTGCACACTATAGTCCAGGGAGTCATGTGACTTTCTGCCAGTTGTCAAGGCTGTCTATTCTATTACACACTGAGAAACTGGGAAAAAAAACCTGTCAAGCCATTATCTGGATTGCCTGGGCCCATTCATTATTGACCACCATTCCTGGGGGATTTCAGTGGCATTTGAGATCCAAGGAATTGGCATCAATTCGGATGCAGGGTAGAGTGAAGAGAGAAGACGCAGGTCAGTTCTCTTTGTCAGAGCCGCATCTCACTCCAGTCAATAGCTGAAGGACCCTTTGGGAAAAGGTGAGAGGAATATCAACAGTATCCCCCTGTAAATGTATTTCGGAATCCTTCTGCACAGAGACTCAAATTCCCCTTCAACCAACCAGCTCTGGGTCTACAGAGAGGGTTCGATGTGGAAGCTGAGAGTGCATGACTCACCAGCATGTCCTCGACAGTTGGGTTTCTACCCACCAGAACCTGGAGATGTCCTGTATTTCCTATGTCAAATAGCATTAGTGAACTTTCCCTGTATTGCATTCGCATCAATGCCATGACCAGTTGTCAGTGCTGAAGATGCCTGACATGGCTCCATCTCTCACTCAGATGTTGCCTTCTGGTCTTTCCTTCTTTAGGACCCTATTATCCCAAGCTTACCAAAGAGCTTTCCAAGAACACTACTGCTCCTCTGGCAAATGCATCTCTTGGTAGTGTCTTCTGGGCTCTCCCAGGGAGGGTCACGGGGAAAGGGATACACAAGACATACACCAGAAGTCTACTCCAACGTTCCTGGGTTTCTCAGCCTTGGTATTCCATTTTCCGCATTATGCCGGGGAAGATTTGGCATCTCAAATGGATGTAGGTCATCGGTGAGTCCAAGTTTCAGTAAATCAATCAAGAAAACTGTTAGAAACTCTTTCAGCTTCTTGAGCTAACACATTAAATCCAGGCTCTCTGGTGAGTACACCGCTACCAGTAAATTTGGTCCGATCTCAATTTATCTTCCATCTTCTTTGGTCTGACACCCTTTAAATTCATTTCTACACATATTCTTCACATTTCTGCTGGTGAAAATTAGCAATATCTCGTGATTCTTTTATACTATAAACTACCTCCTCCCAGGGCAGATGTTACAGTTGCCCTCCCAGTGATGTATAGGAAGTTCCAACTCTGGTTATAGGTAAAAGGGGTGAAGAGGGTGGGTTTGGGGAGAATAGCCATCACTTTGCAAGTCACCTTCTTCAGGTGAGCATATTACAAGATCTCTGCACAAGGCTGAGTTATCTAGACTCCTCAGAGATCGAGACCAGGCATGCTGGCGAGGGACCCTCAGAGAGTTTCAGGTGTTCAAGATTCCCAACTTTATTTAAGTCCATCCAGATGTATCCATTGGAAGTCTCAAAATTCCATTTTTCCCAGTCGATCAGCTCTCTAACTTTCATGTAACAGAGTCAGCAGGTGTGTGAATTCAACTTATGTTATAATTCTGCAACATGTGCACATACATTGTGTTTCTGATTTCCAACACGTTTCTCACTGCAGCTACAAAAACAGAGATATTATTTTAGGGCTGCTCTGAAATCACTTTGGTTCTCTCACCATGACTTAAGCTGAGCCTTTCTAGCCCCAGGTTTGTCATTTTCTCTATAAGCTCTCCAGTATAATAAAAACTATACCCCCACAATCCCTGTAGTCATATGGTAAAAGTATCATATGACTGTCACTCCACAATCCCCGCAATCCCTGTAGTCATATGGTAAAAGTACCACATGACTCTCACCTCACAATCCCGCAAACCCTTGTAGTCATATGGTAAAAGTACCACATGACTCTCACCTCACAATCCCCAAAACCCTTGTAGTCATATGGTAAAAGTATCATAACGGTCAAGTGAAGCAGCCACCCTCCAGCATGGGATCCCACAGACACTGCATCATGATGAACAGCAGGTGAATGCTTCAATTGTGATGCCATGACACGCCATGAATTTAATGGTGTCTGATTGCCTAACGCTTCTGAGTTCAGCCTTGCATTTAAGACCTAGGATATGACCAAACTGATTCCAGAATCCCATCTTTGAGGGTCTATTTCCTGGGCTGGAACTACCTCTGGTACTGAATGACATAATGGCCAGGAGTCAATCACGGAAACAACCTCCACAGGCATTCAACAGATGGAATTTAATATAGGGTATTTTTTTTTACACAAGTATTGAAAGGGTGAAGACCAAGAAAGGAAAATCATAGCAAGCCATAAGTAATAACTGAAGGAAACAAAATACCACCCCTAGAGCTGGGAAAACAGCAGACAAGAAGCTAGGGTGTTTTAGTCAGGGTTCTCTAGAGGGACAAAACTAATAGGAGATATATATAGATATATAGGTATATAGAGATATATACACACACACATATATATGATATATGATATATATATCCTGTAATATATATAATAGGATATATATATATATCCTATTCTCCCCTTTATATATATATATATAAACGGGAGTTTATTAAGTATTAACTCACATGATCACAAGGTCCCACAATAAGCCATCTGCAGGCTGAGGAGCAAGGAAGCCAGCCTGAGTCCCCAAACTGAAGAACCTGGAGTCCGATGTCCAACGGCAGGGAGGGTCCAGCACGGGAGAAAGATGCAGGCTGGGAGCCTAGGCCAATCTAACCTCTTCATGTTTTTCTGCCTGCTTTATCCTGGCCACAGTGGCAGCTGATTAGATGGTGCCCACCCAGATTAAGTGTGGGTCTGCCTTTCCCAGCCCACTGAATCAAATGTTAATCTCCTTTGGCAACACCCTCACAGACACACCCAGGGTCAATACTTTGCATCCTTCAATCCAATCACATTGACACTCAGTGTTAACCATCACATGGGGTTACCAGATCCTATGGACACTGAAGAGGAGCTGCATGGAGCTGTGGACGAACGTTCTGAGGGTGAAGTATGTTCCAGCTGTTACTACTACCCCTGAGAGGGCACCACCTCTGCTCCCTTTGCCTGCCCCTTCTCCCCCACCCAAGACTAGAAAGCAGCATTTACCAACCTGGCTCCTGGAACGTTTGTATGCGTAGATCTTGTTTGAGCACTAGCAAGAAGAGGAGAAAGGCTGGGAAAGGCACACCCACTCTTAATCTGGTTAGGCACCATCTAAACAGCTGCCAGTGTGGCCAGGATAAAGCAGGCAGAAAAACATGAAGAGGTTAGGTATGTGTTTAGAACTGGTAGCAACCAGAGTGGGTTGATTTGCCATGGAGGTGAAATGTATCCTCCAAAGAGCAGAAAGACAAGAGCTCAGAGAATCAGGGCAATTTAGGAGTTGGAAGACAAGGATGAGAGAGAAAGAGGGTTACAGCCCCTTGTGAAAAGAATATTGAGAACAGCAGAAGTGAAGAAAGCATTTGGAAGGCATTTGGCAGGGAAATAAGAATATACTTCCCTCTCTCTGATGCTTTTTGAGAGAAATAACAGCAGGGATTTGAACTGCATTAAGATTCGGGCACACGGCAGTTTCAGGGGTTTTCAGTCTGCCTGGATGTCTATTACTGGGACTAGGCTAAATAACCTGGAGGAAATTCTCCTAACTACACTACTGACATTCTAGGTAGGAGCCAGAAGCAGTTGCTCTTTTTTTTTTTTTTTTTTTCCCTTTTGGACCTCAGGTGCAAAAGGGGCTCCTCACATCCTTGTTTCCTATCAAGCTCATTACTGTCAGCAGCTAAGACGGGACTCCCACTCCTCTTTCGGCAGTTGTTCTCCACAACCAAGCATCCCAGCCACCTTTGCCTCTCGCCCTGACATCTGCACTGGTGTGTGTGATATATGCGATTAGATAGATGTGTAACTTAGAGAAATAGGCAGTGTTGTGTATGCATGTACATAAATAAATAGATTAAAATTTATGTAAAATAGTGTGCTATAAATCTCATTTGGTTTCTTACATTTTACACCAAAGCACCATATATTCAAGATTTTCTTCTGTTGCTCTGTAGCTCATAATCACGGCTTCTGGCTCCTGCGTAGAATATCAGGAGTGCAGTTAGGAGAATTTTCTCCAGTGTTACTTAGCCGAGTCCCGGTAATAGTCATCCAGGCAATACTGCCATGTGCTAAATCTGTTTGTGGATTTCTCTAGGGTGTGCCTCTGGGAGAGTAATACAACACGGTATTTCTTGCTTGTTATTAAATTGAGATATAATGTACATGCCATAAAATTTGCCCTTATAAAGTCTACAATTCAGTGGATTTTAGTATTTTCACAAATATATTCACATTACCGCAATCTAATTCCAGAAGATTTTTGTTACCACATTAAAAAAATTCCTGTTCCCATTAGCAGTCACTTCCCAACCCTCCACCAACCACGGGCAACTGCTGCCCTACTTTCTGTGTGGATTTGTCTATATTTCTTTCCTTTTAAAAAAATGTTGTTTATTAAGTTATTGACTCTCTGATGTAGAAAGTTAAATTAATTATACATGTCAGACTATAAAGCATGAGCCTATTTTTTTTTTAAATGACCTAATTCCTCTCTGATCCCCACTTCCTCTCTCCCCTTCATTGGCACCTGCTTTGGAGTTTCGGGTTAACTGTGATGTTAACTATGTTAACTAATTATACTTAGGACATATAGAGTATCCTTTTGTGTGCATTTTTTTCACGTACACAGAGATATTGTGCTAGAGTTTCTTACTTTCTCACTCAACTCTACCATTTGGGATCCAGACAGAGGGTACAGTGCAGCGGCAACAGCAGCCTTTGCGGAAATACAGTTTCCCATGAAAGGGGACCGGAGCCCACTGGAGAAACTGGTGATTCCACGATAGGGCAAAAAAAAAAGTCCAAAAAGAGCCTGGAATATCTCTTCATACTTCCCAGCAGGAAAGCTATCAGAGGCCAGCAGGGACACACGAAATATCCTCAGAAAACAAATTCGAGATCAATAAAGATATAAACTGCCATGCACCAGAAAACATCCCATAGATTTAAATCTTAAGTACATACTAATCCTGGAAAAAAATAACTAATTGATCAGTACTGGAGGATAGCAGGGAATAGACGCATTTAATTTGGAAAGTGGAAGCATTAGGAAAACACCAAGCTTTGTTCTGCTTTACCTGCTTGAATTTATCTGAACATAACTAAACCATAGATGAGGGAAAGTTTCTGTCTACAAAATGATTTCAGCTAATGAATGAAAAAGAAATGATAAAGTTTGACTGTCTTTTGAAGCCCCTCAAATTGGGGCATAGGCTGGGAGGGTTCTTGGCTTTACCCAGGAAAGAATTCAAGGGTGAGCCAGTGGTATTAAACAGCAGCTTTTATTGAGGCAGCAGCAGAGGTTCTGCTCCTTGCAGAGCAGGGCTCCCCCATGGGCAGTGCGCTCAGAGCAGGAGCTCAGAGGCAGCTCTGCACTCATATTTATATCCACTTTTAATTATATGCAAATTAAGAGGCAGTTTATGCAGAAATTTCTAGGAGAAAGGTGGTAACATCTGGGTTGTTGGGGCGTTATCATGAAAGGGGGTGGCAACTTCCGGGTGTTGCCATGGCAATGGTAAACTGGCATGGCGTTTTATGGGGAGGTGCTTCTGCCCCGACCTGTTTTAGCTAGTCCTCAGTTTGGTCCAGTGTCCAAGCCTCGCCTCTGGAATCTAGTCTGCCTCCGACTTCATTATAATTTTTAGACTTTAATGAATTAGTGGATATAGGCAATGATCATAAGTAGCTGTTCACATAAAATGAGAAACAAACAGACATCGTGTAGTTTAGAGATAAAAATATCATCTCTGAAATACTTTGGCCTAAATAAAATAAAACAAAGCAAAAGAACCTAATCTGTTCAAGTTTCTAGACCTTTCAATTTCCAGGAAATTCAGGAGACAAGAACATCCTAAATTATTTCATGCAGACGTGGCTGCGAGAAACCCTATGGGACAAACATCCTGGTTTCTTCAACAAATGGAATTCACAGATTAAAAAGAAAGATGAGAGGGAGAACCCACGGAAAGGTTTAGAGACTTAATATACAGATAGACCAATAGAGATACACCATGTATGGCTGTGTGTGTGTGTGTGTGTGTGTGTGTGTGTGTGTATACTTTGTTTTATTTCATTTAGGCAAAAGTATTTCAGAGATGATATTTTTATCTCTAAGCTACATGATGCCTGGTTGTTTCCCATTTTATGTCAACAGCTACTTATAATCGTTGCCTATATCCACACACACACACACACACACACACACACATATATATATACACACACACACACATGCATACATACAAATATCATATACAAACACATACATTGCTGAAAGTCATTTAAGAACATTCAGGGAAATGTGAACACTAGCAGTATATCTGATGGAAGTAAAAATCGAATGTTGAAAATTGTGGAGTGGGCTTATAAGATTGTGATTGTTTTCACAATGGGAAAATAATTTATATTTAGGAATTATATTTTTAAGGATAAAATATTCTCTCTGGAATTTGCTTCAAAAGTAAAATGAAGCAGGATGATGGTGAGTGGGTGGAGGCCCAGAGGAAACACAGTTGACTGTGAGTTAATTATTACAAAGCTGAGGGATGACCACAGGGGGTCATGATGCTGTCCTTTTTATTTTATGTTTGAAATTTTCTATAGTAAAATAAAAGCAAAAAGAGCACAACTCTGGAGAAAACCCTGGTCTCCTTCTGGTCCAGCCACTGTGTGATGTGGGCCCCTACTTAAATTCCCAGACCTTCAGTTCCTTCATCTGTGAAGGAGAGATATGATTATCAATCTCTTAGGGTAGTTTGAGAATATGTAATCAACAGGTATAAAGCACATAGAGCAGTGTCTGCCCATTACTCTGTAGATCTCCAGTTTATTGCTTCTAACTTCTGCAGAATATTTCATAGAATGTCTCCAGTGGATTCTATTTGTCTATGCCTCCACTGCCACACTGCAACCATCACCAGTGAATATTTTCACACTTGTCCTCATTTATGAGAGAATTCCTGAAGGATAAACTTTGAGGAATGAGGTTGCTGGCTAATGGTCGCCACCATGTCTGCATCCCTGCAGAAAATCCCACCTCCCTTCATTCTAGCTCTTGGATAAAATTATCTTCCTTTCTATATTTTTCCATTATAAGGTCTTAATTGGAGGTAATGTCAGTATCTCTTTACCTCTCACTTAGCCATTCAGTTTTCCTTTTCCAGGAATTTTCTACCATATTCTTTGCCAAAATTGCCGTTAGTTTTCTTGGCTTTTTTTCTTGTGGATTTGCAGAAGTATCTGGTACGTTCAGGATGATATTTCATTTACAGTTTTAGACATCATGAATAACTTCCTTCAGTTTTTCATTTGTCTACATTATTTGTCAAGAGCGTTTTCCTTGAAAGAAAATCTAATTTTGATGTAACCTCAATCTATCACTTTTCCCCTTGAGACTTATGCTTCTCAAGTCTTCGTTAAGAATCTGTCCACATCAAAAAATTACAAATACAGCTCCATTATATCATTTTATTAGTTCTATATTTTATATGTCGTGTTTTTAAAATCTACCTGGAATTCATTTGTAAATATAAGGTAGAAGTACAACTGTGTTTTTCTCCATTTTATGAGTCATTGTCTTTTAAAACACAATCTGTAAAACAACCCATCCTTCGTCATTGGGTTGCACACATGGATACATGAATACATGTGTGAAGATTGCATAGTCCATGTGAAAGGATCTTCCAGGCATACAAAGTCACAAAATGTATGTTTGTATCATATTTTGCCCTGCTGCAGACACTGACAGGTAACTTTCTGAGTTCCATTGTCCTCCTTGCCTGTTTGCATGTCTGCACCATGATCACCCTGCTGCTGGTGTTTTTACATTGGCTTTGAAAACTGTCATTATACCTAGTAAGAAATAATCCTGCCTTTGTTTCCTTTCAAATGCTACTTAGCTGTTTGTAGACTTTCATTCTCTCATACAAATTGAGAAAATAAGTATATTGACTTTATAAACAAAATTATAATTGTTATTGGGACTGCTTTGAATTTTTAGTGTAAGATAGAAAAAAATTAAGCTTTATGGTGGTAAGTTAAATTACTCTGTCCGTGAAGAAGGTTTTTTCTATTTTTTGAACTCTTATTTTATGTTATTTGAATTTAATTTTCTTCTTATAAAACTTTTGTGCATTTCTTTTAGAATAATTTCAGTTCTTCATAATAATAATTGGCACTATGAAAGAAATCAATTTTTTCTATTATATCATTAGGTAATTACTTCTGATGTAGAAGAATGTTATTCACATGAGTAAATTGATCTGCAGACTTGTTGAATTCTCTTCATAATTTGAAGTCATACACATGCTCACACATGTACACACGCTCACGCATGTTCATTTTTATTCTGTGGTGTTTACAGTACATAATCATATCATTTAATAATTTATGTTTTTGGTATGAGTTTATAACATAAATCAGGGTTGAACTTTATCAAATTGTTTTCACGTACTTATTGATAGAACAACGTGCTTTTTGTTCCTCTATTAGTTAATTAGTGTGGCGTATCACCTTAGTACATTTTTCTCTGACAAAGATAAACTATATTCATTATGTTGTGTTAATTTCGATATACTTTTAGAGTTGGCTAACTAATATATTATATATAATGTGTCTAAAATATATTATTAAGCTTCATTAATCTACTTGTGAAAATATCCTGTTTTATTTTTTATTTTTTGATTCTTTATGTCAGTTTCTAAAAGAGTGGTGTTAAAACATTCAAGTACAATTATTGATCAATTTTCTTCTCTGAATTTCTTCATTGTTTTTGTTTTCATATATTTTAAAACTATATTATTAAAATCATATATGTTCATATTTATTTTGAAACCTTAATTGTTATCATTACCGATATATAGTATTTCTTTCCTTGATCTTAAATGTACTTTACCTCTTATTACACGGGCTGTTTCTAAGTTCAAAAATGTCTGTATTATTTGGTTTTAAGTGTATTTCTGGTAGACAACATATTATTAGATAATGTTTATTCACTGCATTCTGATAGTCTGTTTTATTACAGAAATTTTAGTACATTTACATTTATTGTAGTAACAGTTTATTTCCACTTATTTTAGCAATAATATTTGAAATTTTTAAAATATATCATATTTTTAATCAGATTTTTCTATTTTCACTTTCTTTTTTATTGTTGAGTAGAAATTTATATTGTGTATATACCAATAGCTGTTTATCCATTCATCAGAGGCTGAACATTTGTGTTGTTTCCAGTTTATAGCTCTTACCAATAAAGCTACTACAACATTCACTTGCCAATCTTTGTGCAGACATAGGTTGGTTTGTTTGTTTCCTCTTGAGTAAATACCTGCAGTGGGATTGATGCCATTCTTTTTCAAAGTTATTGTACTATTTGCATTTTCACCATCAATGTATGAAAGTATCAGTTGCTTCAGATTTTTGCCAGCTTTTTTCTGTTTTATTAACTTTTTCCCTTTTTTAAGGTTTTCAGTTTCATGCTATTGTGAGTTTAATGTGCATTTTCTTAATGACTAATGATATTGACCATCTTTTCAAATGTATACTTGCCATACTTATTTCTTCTCTGGTAAAACATCTGTCCATACTTTTGGATGTTTCTAAATTAGTTTTCTCATTTTTTATTTTTGAGTATTAACATGCTTAATCAGATATTTGTTTAATAAACACATACTTAGTCTATGGCTTGATTTTTTTCTCTTAAGAGTGTTTGAGAGGAAAACACTTTTAATTATGAAGTCTAAATTTTTAACATTTTATTTTATGTTTTATGCCTTTGTGTCTTATGTAAAAACAAGACAAAAGAAAACCAAAAAAATCCATGACTTATCTAAATAAAAAATAATGTTCTCTATGTTTTTCCCTAGAAATTTTCTTCTAAGAGTTTTAATTTATTCTTTTTTAGTTTTGTTTTGGGCATTCTTTGTCATTCGTAGTTCTATCAATTTTAGTTATCTTTTTGCCTTCTAAAATAATTGCTTTTGATTGAGATTTTGTTTCCTCTATAGATCAATTTGTGGATAATTTACATCTTCGTTTTAAAGTGTAGGTTTTATTATTATTCATGTATAGTGAGGCCAACAGATCAGGAGATCATTGCCATTGAAAAAACTGTCTGTTACTCACAGTTCCCAAGAGGAGGGGACATGCCACACCATTCAGGGCCACAGGGGAAAATACCAGGAGCAGTCAGGAGGCAGAAGGAGCTGGAGAAAAGCAGGAGCAGGAGCTTCTATTGTGGTTTCCAGGTGACAGGCAAAGCCAAGCCAAGTAAGCAGGCTTAGGATTGGCTAGTTTGAATAACTTCAGCAGGTTTTGGGGTATAGGTTGTCTCTTACTGGGCCCTGGGATGACTAGAGCAGAGGAATATTGTTTCCTGGAATTAAAGAACCAGATAGAGAAAGTGGTCCTGAGTATGGGCCCTGGATTTGTTAGTTTTCCCATGAAAGCTTTACTTCTGGGTGAATTGTTTGCTATCTAATTACTGGCTGGCCCTGGGAATCTCTCCCCCTTTAGGGAGTCCTCATAAGCTGGAGCACTAGGAATATAGAAAATAAGAAAATGTGGCCAGGCACAGTGGCTCATGCCTGTAATCCCAGAACTTTGGGAGGCCGAGGCAGGCGGATCACAAGTTCTGGAGATCAAGAACATCTTGGCCAACATGGTGAAACCCCGTCTCTACTAAAAATAAAAAAATTAGCCAGGTGTGGTGGCCCATGCCTGTAGTCCCAGCTACTCTGGAGGCTGAGGCAAGAGAATCGCTAGAACCCGGGAGGCAGAGGTTGTAGTGAGCCGAGATCGCGCCACTGCACTCCAGCCTGCTGACAAGAGCAAAACTCTGTCTCAAAAAAAAAAAAAAAAAAGAAAAGAAAAAGAAAATAAGAAAATATTAATGCAATTATTAAAATATTAAATTTTCAGTTCATGAACATGAGATTTCTTTATCTATTTAGGTCTCCTAAAATTTCATTGATTAGTGCTTTGTTGCTTATAGCACACATCTTGCACATATTTTATTAGATTTATTCTTAAATATTTCATGTTATTTGGAACTAAGATGGTCATTTTAAATCTTCAATATGGAATTTTTCGTGGCTAGTATATAAAAATAAAATAGATTTTGTATACTTACCTTGTATCCTGAAAACTTGCTAAGTTTATTATTAGTTAGAGTAGCTTTTTTTTTTTTAATCTTATTCATGTTTTCCTTGACCTTTTGCACTCCTGGCTTGTATTTATATAGTTGTTTTACTATCTGATTAGCTTATAGGTTATGCTTTTGTGTCTTATGTAAAAACAAGACAAAACAAAACAAAAAAATCCATGCCTTATCTAAACTAAAACAAAAAAATGTTCTGTATGTTTTCCCCTAGAAATTTTCTTGGGGAATCGTAATAGAATATTGATTCTATTATCTGTGTTCTTCCTGGTTCTTCTTCCATTGGCTTATATTTTTCTCTATTTGGGTTGATATTTTCTGCTTCCTTGCATGACTGGTAATTTTTGTTGGATTATGGACACTGTGATTTTAAATTGTTGGGTGCTGGATATTTTTGTGTTTCTGTAAATATTGTTGTGCTCTGTTCTGAGATGCATTGGATTTCCTTGATATAAGTTAGATTTATTTTCTTTTTTATGCTTAATTTTAACCTTTATTAGGGTATAGATAAATAAATTATAGTACAATTCTCCTAATAAATATTGTTTCTATGGAAGTCACAACTTCAAAGACTATCTAACAGATTGGGAATACACTGATTGTATAATGTTATACGAAAAAAAAAAACCTTAAGGCTATATGACCATATGTAAGGTAACCCCAATACTGTTCTTAAATTGATATCATATGTCTATAGATAACAAAGTTGATAAAAATATCCTGAAAATTCAGGTTTGTTGTTCTTGCTAAGTGGTGAGATTATAGGTCATTGAACATTTTTTAACATTCTTTTTTTCACATCTTTCCTAAATGTATGGGTATTTTTGTTGTTGTTAGACACAAAGTTAATACTACTAACAATAAAAAATACTTGTTATACTTTCAAGGTTAAAATTAAAATAACAGGCAATCTGAGCGTTGGCAAGAATGTAGAACAATTGGAACTTACATGCACTGTGGGTGGAAATGCACATGGGTATAAAGATTTTAGAACCCTTTAGGAGTATTCACTAAAACCGAAAATACACACACCCTTTGTGAGCCAGCAATGACATTCCTAGGAAGATGCCCAAAAGGAATACATGCAGCCATGCACCAAAGCCGTATGCAAGAATGTTCAAGGCAGCACTGTTTGCAATAACTACAACTGCTAACAATCTGAAGTTTCATCAATAGTAGAATGGAGGACTGGTCCCGGTGGCTCACGCCTGTAATCCCAGCACTTTGGGAGGCTGAGGTGGGCAGATCACGAGGTCAGTAAATTGAGACCATGCTGGCTAACAAGGTGAAACCTCGTCTCTACTAAAAATACAAAAAATTAGCCGGGTGTGGTGGCGGGTGCCTGTAGGCCCAGCTACTCAGGAGGCTGAGGCAGGAGAAAGGCGTGAACTTGGAGTTTGCAGTGAGCTGAGATGGCGCCAGTGCACTCCAGCCTGGGCGACACAGCGAGACTCCATCTCAAATAAAAAAAATATATAGTAGAATGGATAAATAATTGTAGTATAAGATATAGTGGAACACAATAGAAAGTGCAATAAGAGTGATTCTCACAAACACATTGTTGAAGAAAAGATTCTAGATGCAAAGAGTACATATAAAGTACAAAATGAAAACAAAACAAATTCATCTTTTAAGCCAAGACAACAGTTACCCTTGGTGACTAGAATCAGGCCTGTGGAGAGTGGGTAGTGCTATTTCTGGGCTTGAGTACTGGTTTCATGAGAGTTTATGCTTTGTGAATATCACTAAACTGTATACTTATGAGCTGTGTCCTTACCTGTATGCAAGGTGTATTTAATTTTAAAAAATATTGTTCCTAGTCAATATATTAAGGCATTTATATGGACCAAAACTCACTGGGAGGTGGTCTTGTTCTGGAAACGTACCTGTGGTATACCCCGACAGTCATAAACTCAGGGAAGCAAGTCCATTTTTAGCACTGGAATTTTTAATTTAGTTATCAGTCATCTACTCATAAATAAACCACAATTTCTCTATATTTTAATAATATTCAGTTTATATCTTTGTCATTTCTGCACAACTAGAGCCAAGCCTAGTAGTGACATGAAAAAAGTGCTTAAACATACGTGTTAGATGAGTGGATGAATGTAGATCAAAAATAATAAAACCTATACTTTGAAACCAAGATGTAAATTATCCCCAGATTCATCTGTATATTCAACAGAATCCCAGTGGATTTGATGTGAATGGATGAATGTGCAGATGTGTGGATGGATGGGTGGGTCGATGTATGGGTGGGTGAATGGATGGGTGGATGAATAAATAGACAACTTGGCCTTCTTTCTTGAAATTGTAGTTTTATGCTTCTCTGATCCACTCTTTCTCCCTCCACCACCTACCACTAAGATACCAGGATTTATATATCTGCCTGGCTTTATGAGAATAAGAGTGTTACAATTAGAGCCAATGTCATACAGTCATCCTCCTCTTCCTGCACCAGCCTGGACTCAGGAATAAACTTCTAACACAGTCCTAGTAATAATCATCTATTCCTCTATGCTCGAGGTTTTACTGTGTAACGGTTTCCTCCATTTTTATGTTAAAAATGTCAAGACAGGCCGGGTGTGGTGGCTCACGCCTGTAATCCCAGCACTTTGGGAGGCCGAGGCGGGCAGATCACGTGAGGTCAGGAGTTCGAGACCAGCCTGGCCAACATGGCAAAACCCCATCTCTACTAAAAATACAAAAATTAGCCAGGTGTGGTGGCACGTGCCTGTAGTCCCAGCTACTAGGGAGGCTGAGGCAGGAGAATCACTTGAACCCGAGAGGTGGAGGTTGTGGTGAGCTGAGATCCGGCCACTGCACTCCAGCCTGGGCAACAGAGGGAGACTCCATCTCAAAAAATTTAAAAAATAGAAAAATGCCAAGACAAAACACCAAACAAATGAGTCACTGTTAAAAGTAATTAAGAAGACAAGGATCTTCTCTACAACAGAATGCAAAAGTAGGAAAAGGTGACCAAGACCACCCAGTGTGTACTTGAGGCTACCTGAGAGCAAAGACATTTTTGCTTCTAAGTATTCAGTAGAAGAGGAGCTCAGTGAAGCTCTGGGAAGGTCCCAGGAGGGATTCCAGAAGAGTTAGCAACTAAAATAACGTATATTTGGGGTGGATTTCATCTGCAGAGGGGTAAGGGCTTGAACGCAAGTAGGATTTGGAAAGGCACTTAGAGGCAGCATCAGAGCAAGCACAGCCCTGATGGGGTGGGCTTCACCAATGCCAGTGGACCGAATCTGAGCATGTGGTTGGGGCAAAGGTGAGAATGCCAGTTACTTTTCTCCCACAGATTCTTATTTTAAAAAAGAGTCAAAGGAAGTAAAATTATAGGATGTTAGATCTTGAAGGTGCCTTCGCTAAGTCTTGGTGTTGTTTTACAGAATGAGTAATCAAAGCCCAGCGGAGTTGGGTGGCTGTCCCAGTGTCTGCAGCAAATCACTGTAGAATCTATATTTTAACGCAGGGATCCTGATCCCTAACTCTGCTGGCGGCCCCTCGTGATGAATTGGAAAGTCTTTTTGAAGCATAGCATTATGTAAGAGTTGAACATCTTTTCCTTGAGCAAGACCTTGGGGAAGATTATAATCCATGGTACTCCATTTAAACTTCCCTTCCTGTTTGGGAGGCTTAATAATCCCTTTTACATCTCAGAAGGCAACAAAAAGGTGGAGCATTTCTGCAGTTATTTTCTAAGTCAAACATGGACCAAACTCTGTCTAATGCTTTGGTATAGAACTGCACCCCACACTGGACACATCCTTATAGGCACTGAGACACTTCTGGGAGCACTGGCTGCAGAAACATTGGGAGAGGAGTACAAAAAACACAGAATCAGAAGTCAGAATGCTTGGGCTTTTGTCCCCTTGTTTGTGCAGCCCCCGCCATGCCCCATCCGCCCTCCATTTTATTCTCTTGCCGATGAAACCACGCACTGCCTGGCCTCTTGTCTCCTTTCCTGTTCTGATTATCTGCTAGCCCTGGATTTTGAGGAACTCTACAATCCCTCATTTGCAGGCATGCAGAGTCGGCTGGAACTTTTTGAGTGATATCACCATAGTTCGATAGAGAAGGAGAAATGTCAGATGGCAAAGAGGCAATTAAGTTCCAGGACAACTTCAATGATTTGTGTTTTAAACTTTCGATTTATCTAAACCTCAATTTGAGTCCATTTCCACGAACTCCAACAATTGCCTGACACAAAGCAACTGAAGAAAAACCTCCAGGAGCCTGAGATGGAAACAGATGGCCAGAGCAGGCAAGAATGGCCTACATTTGTTCCATCCAGTTGTTCCCAACGATGGCAAAAAGTCATTAAAAATGCACTTAAGAATCTAGCTTAATATTGATCAATGGCAGGGTTATGGGAGATGTTGAATCTTGACAGAGCAAGAACTGTATGAGGAACCAAATGATTTTTTTCTGATGGAGTATTAGAGAAAGCACTGTCATAATACAATTTCCCAGACAGATTCATCAATGATGTCAACTGTTACCCCAAGTTTTGAATGATGACTCAGATTTAAGAATTCTAGATTAATGGGTGGTGGGGGGGGAAATAGTCACGTTCTCGCTAATGGATAGGATGGAAACACCCAAAGTGACCTAAAGGAAGTTATTCGCCATGCAATTCCTGAAGACAAGAGCAATAGTCCACCTTCCCTGACTTGGAATCTCACTTTTTTCCCAAAGTGCCAGTGAAGCATCAAAAATTTATTTTCTGCAATGAAAGGCAGCCGTACTGAGGTCATCTGAGAAATGCTTTTCCGTCCAAGGAGTTGTCAGTGATGGAGAACTTGGGGTGAAGCTGTAAAGATGTTCCTGCATCAAAATGCACAGCTTGGCCGAGGCCAGCCAGAAAAATGTCTCTTCTGTCTCACTTTCTTTTGCATTCCCAGTGCCACTGCTGTCAGCTCTGTATTGCACAATTGCTAGAGCCCCTCACTAATCTCCTCACCTCAACCTTACCCCCTCTAAGTCTTTCTGGCCAGGTGACAGAAAGCCTCCACTGTGAAAACCTGACCACTTCATCCTGTGCTTACCTTTCTGCAATGACCCTCAGCATCTAACAATCACCCAGCTCAAGGTAGGGGCTCAAGACTTGCTCTCTGAATACATAGATCTCTTTCTTCCTGAAGGACAGAGGATGAACATGGCAGCATGGAAGATCTACAGGCTTGAATCTCACCATGTCTTGCAAACCCACCGGAAGGAGTCCCCCTGGGTGAGGTCAGGCAGTGTCGCCCTCTGCCACGCCATGTGGCTTTACCATCCATGTGTTCCAAGAACATTTCAAGGCAGCTTAATATCATCATGAGTTTCACTGAATCTGTCTGTGTGGGGCCCAAGAAAGACAGCGGAGGTCCACTGGAGTTGACGTTCTGAAACTTATCGTCTGCTCCCCTCAGTTTGCACACACCTGTTCCAACTTTACATGGAACTTCCTACCCCACCCCTACCACCTCCTAGACATGCATCTTGTCCTCCCACCAGCTACAGGCCCTGCCAGATTTTCAAATCCCAGTGTGGGGCCTGGTGTAGTGGGGTCAAAGGGTTCGCTCTGCAATTCAGAAGGCCAGGCAAGGGCAGGCTCTGCTTTACTTCCCGTGGCTGGCATGGTCTCTCTTGTGTCCCTTCTCCAGTGAATAGGGAAGGGGAAGAGGGCCGGGAAGGGGAAGAGGGCCGGGAAGGGAGGGTTTGGCAATGGAAGGTATCTGCTTCTCTTGGCTTAACAAGGTGTCTATGGTTACCTCGGTTTCTTTGGAGTTAATGCAAAATTCAAGACTCAGGTCTCTCGGGAAGGCGCTTCCTTGACTTACAACTTCTGTCTTTTCCCCTCTGTTTCCCTCCCTGGATGAAGTGGTGGGTGCTACAGGCAGGGTCTCCTCATGGGTTAGGTGACATCTGTGCTCCAACAGCAATGCGTGGCTGAGGTTTCTCACCCTGCTTTTCGCTGGTGTCCACCTAGGTTCTTGCATCCCAACCTGCTGGGGTTGACAAAGATTCTCCACTTCACCAAATGTTAGCCAGGCTCCTGCACCTCCCCCAGACCCACCTGTGCACTTCCTTCCAAAATCCAGGTTTACCAAGAACTTCAGTAAGTTACTTTACCAATAACCCCCACCTTCGATATCTGATCACCCTTGATACCTGATCAGGCTCCTGATCTTCCTGCAGCCCCCAGGTGATGCCAGTCACCCTGGCCTGTCCTCAGCAAGAATCCCATTAGGCTGCTTTACTGTGAGTCCTACTCACTGCTGATATCCCCTCTCATTCATGTTTCAGCCCCTGAACCCACCCTTCTCCTTGGCTACTAATCCCCACTTTCCCATGCTGTACTTGGGATTGAGCCCAATCTTTCTGCCTATGACAAGGTCTCATCCTGGTAGTCCCTCCACCTATTGTGATGGTCCTAATAAAGTCTTCCTTACAGAACTTTAGCGAGTGCCATTGAATCATTTTCTTTAACAGAGTGTCCACAGCTGATGCCTCCCTGACCTGTGGTCTTGGCAAGCACAATGCAAAAGAAAGGTCCTTACTCGACATCACTGTGTGCAGATCCGCGGAGGTCTGGCTCTAACCTTCATCCTCCCTTGGGCATCCACCCATCAACCTGTGGCTGCTGGATCCCCATGCCCTTGCTGGGGCTGGTGACCACCTGGCAAGCCCGCCTTCCTTCTCCTCCACAGCAACACGGGAAATTATGCATATGTTATATTTACTGTCTGTGATCCTGGAAGACTTGCTTAACCTGCTTGCACTCCAGTTTCCTCAGCTGTAAAATAGAGAGCACTAGCATCTATCTTGCAGGGTTGTACTGATGATTAAATGAATTGGAGCCTGTAAAATGCTGAGAGCAGTTCCAAGCACAGAGTAAGCACATTATCAGGGCCGGTTTTTATGATTGCTCTTCCTCTTGCTACAACTCAGTCCTCCCCGGTATACTGTTCACCTCTGCAGGAGTAGAAGAAAGCCAAATACAGACATGTGAGAAGTAAGCACACACAGGGTTATAGGTTGAATGGTGTCCCCCCAAAATGTATATGTTGAGGTCTTAACCCCCAGTTCCTCAGCATGGAACTTTATTTGGAAATAAAATCACGGCAGATGTAATTAGTTAACATGAAGTCATGCTACAGGAGGATGAGCGCTGCTCTAATGTGACGTTATCAAAGGGGGAAATTTGGACATAGAGACAAAAAACAGTGAGAACGCCATGGGACTGTGGAGGTGGAGACCAGGGTGATGCATTTATAAGCCAAGGAATGCAAAAGAGGCCAGCCAGACACGGAAGCTGGGAAGAGGCATGCACAGCTTTTGCCTCCCAGACACAGAAGGGACCAACACTGCTACCACCTTGATCTTCAACTTCTGGCCACCAGAACCATGGAACAATAAATTTTTGTTTTTTCAAGCAACCCAAGCTGTGGTACCTTGTTCCAGCAGCCATAGCAAAGCAACACACACACACACACACACACACACACAAAACATGCACACACATACACATACAAACGTGCAAACACATATGCACACATACACACATAAACATGTGCACACATAAACGTTCACACACATAAACATGCAAACACATATACACACAAACATGAACACATATAACACATATACACACACATAAACACAAACTTGCACATACATAAACACATATATACACACATATACGCACATATATACACACAAACACACACATAAACATGCATACATATACACATACACACATATACATACACACATAAACATATACACACATATACAAACACACACATACAGACACATACACAGACACATATGCACACATATACACACACACACATACACACACACACCTTTCATCTGATTTCACTGGTACATGGGCAAATTTATCATTATTATCGTTGGCCCCCAAGCCCATCTTTCCCTGCACTGTTAGCTGTGTTGTCACTGGCCTCTGAAATGCAGCCTTCTTCTGCTCCTGCACCTGCTGAGCTCCTATGCATCCCTTATCCACAGCGGCCATCAGTGCAGGTTCACTGTCTGCCACCTGGTGCTCGGCTAGGACCCAGTGCTGGGGAGACAAATACAAAGCACATGCCCTGCCATTCAGAGGCTCAGGGCCACTTCCTGCTGCCAGATTCCAGATCTGTCTGCCGACAACTCTCCCCTGCCTTTTCCTGCTCCACCCCAGCATTACTGGGGCCTTTTTGAGTCCCTCTTTATGGTTATCTCTACCAGGAGACCATACTCACTCATGAGATGACAGTCCATTTGACTCTGATCATGCCTCTCCAGCAGCCCCGATGGAGGAATAAGGTAGAGAAGCGGCTCTATAAATGTCCAATGGCTTGACCAAAGTTTCCGCTGGAAATCTTGTTTCTTGACTAATGAATACTCTAGTTTGAAAAATAATCCTGAAGAGCAGCTGCATATCAAAATGATGGGCAGTCATAGACAGTCAATGGATATTTGCTGCATTTAATGGAATTGGATTTCCTAAAAGCTGGACATTTCCTCTATCAAATATCCAATACATCCTGGCCATGTGCAATAGATAATACAGCATCCATCTCTAAGTGCATGCCTAAAGACAGACGTGGTTTGTAACCAATAAGGCCTCATTGGGAAAGGGGCTTTCCTGAGAGAAATGTGGATGTTTTAATTAGTTTAGTACCCTTGAAAATGATCTTACTTAACATAAAGAATAAAATAATCTGGGCCTTCAACCACCCTTAATACGTATTATTGAGGGGCTTTGCATTGCTTGCAATATTACATTTGTTTTTCCCTCTTCTTGGTAAAAAACACGGTTCTTGGCAGGAGGCACCACAGATTAGGTGATGCATTTACTTACTAGAGACAGTCCTTGAGGTCAAGCAAGGGGCAACATCGAGATCTTGGCCTCTGCTGCTTCTAATGCGCTTGCTACTTAGAGACAATTCATGAGAATGTAGATAGTTCACATTGCGCATAGGACCCTCAGATGACAGTGCTGTGAGTGAAACAGCTGGTGCTTCTCCGTTATGCTCTGCCCTGCATTCGGCCTTGGTCCTAGAAAAGCCATCCTTGCAGGTGAAGGGTAGAAACAGGTGGCTTGCAGGCCCAAGTCCCTTCCTATTTATTGAATATCTTTTATGTGTCTTATTAATTGCCAGATAAAATACAGAGTTCTCTGTTAAATTTGAATTTCAAAGAAGCAACAAATAAATTTTTAGTCTAAATAGGTCCCAAACACTGCACTTTTATTTGCTAGTTCTGGCACCTCTCATGGGTGTGATGGCTGCTTTTGGTCAATGGCCCTAGGCAGGTAATTGCATGGTGACTGAGCCCCTGATCTGGGTTTTGGGTGAACCAGTGTCCGCCAGCCCCTAAAGTCAAAAAAGTGACATAATCTCCCCAGGCGTACCCACAACACCATTGTGAGAATCAGTAGGGGTGTGAGAAGGCTTAAAATGCCTTCCTAATGCCCTGGGGTATCCACGCATTCATATAGCTGTCCGTCCACCCACCTGTTCTTCCTTCTGTCCACTCATTTATATAGCTATCTGTCCACCTACCCATTCTTCCTTCTGTCCTTCCATCTGGTTGTCCACCTCATTATCCATCCTGTTATTTCTTTCTTTCTTTTTTTTTTTTTTTGAATTTTGCTCTTGTTGCCCAGCCTGGAGTGCAATGGCACTGTCTCAGCTCACTACAACCTCCACCTCCCCGGTTCAAGCTATTCTCCTGCCTTAGCCTCCTGTGTTGCTGAGATTACAGGCTCCTGCCACACGCCCAGATAATTTTTGTATTTTTAGTAGAAATGGGGTTTCACCATGTTGACCAGGCTGGTCTCAAACTCCTGACCTCAGGTGATCCACACGCCTCGGCCTCCCAAAGTGCTGGGATTCCAGGTGTGAGCCACCATGACTGGCCCTGTTATTTCTTAATAGACACCAACTATGTGAAAGGCACTGCTCTGCAGGGGCTGAGTATCACGCAAAATGGTCATTCACTTTCTTGTGTGGAAGACACGAACGAAGTGACTCAATAGAAAACCAACAAAAGTACTGAAAAGCGGCCATCATAGGTGCTGCTGTGTCCTGCGCATCTCACTTTACTGGCTGACAACCCCCGGGTGTCCCCTTCTCTGGAGAACTGCCTTTCTCAAAGAACAGGAGCTGCCCCACCTTTCCATCCCCCGGCCTGTCAGGAGGACCTCAGCCAAAGCCCAAGGACATCGGTACAAAATGCTGGGACCCTGGCTTCCTAGAGGGATCAACCCTGCAGCACAAACTGCTCCACAGAGCTGGCCTGTAGGGCTGCACTCTCAGCCAGCTCCCCGCTATCCCCTGCTCCCTGGGCCCCCCAGGAACAGCCCTCTCCCTCAAGGCTTGGCTGGAAGGAGACTGACCAGACTGTGCTTCAGGAACAACACCTGTAACAACTTCTCGTTTCCTTAATTTTCATAGTGTCACAATTTATTTTCTCCTTCTTGTCTACCTATTGAATTAAAAAAGTAGGCAAGAGATACCTACTTTGCTTTATTTACACAAGTAAAGGCAACTGAACTCAAGGAAGTTAGGGAATTTGTGCCCAAGCCCACTGCAGGTCAGCTGAAGCCACAACGAGAATTTGATCCCCCAACCTGAGGACAATGTTCCTCTTGCCCTGAGTGGCAAATTCCAAGCTGCAGACAGTGTGATAGCTCAACCTTCTCTGAGTGTCTTCCACACTCCGACCTTGAGCTTAAGGCATAAATCCCATTTCAGTTGCAGCTGATGCTTCATGGCAAAGAATGGTTTACCACCTATCACCCGGTCCTGGGTGCTTCAGAGCTAGACAATGGGCAATGGATTCTGAGCTCTTAGTGAAAGGAGCCATTGAAATATAAGGCTTTATTCTGCTAATGTGTTTGAGACATAAATTGTTCTTATCTCAAAGCATTCTCCAAGGGATTTTTTTAAAATCTGCATTTCTCTGTGGAACAAAGGATGAAAGCTCAGGGGCGGGGTTTAGACACACAATGGGGTTTGAGGAGAGGGAAAGAATCCAGATCTGAGCCACCTGTCCTTCCAGGAGAATGGTCCCCGACCCTGTTGTCCTTGTGGAGGACTCCTGTGTCCCCTGCAGAGGCTGAAGGGGAATTCAGTAAAGGGGGCTTTGGGTACCACTTCTCTGTCCCCTCTGGGACTGATTTTATGACTCTGTACAATCAGCCCTTGGTATCCCTCAGTTCCACATCCATAGATTTAACCAACTGCAGATAAAAGATATTCAGAAAAAAACAATTCCACAAAGTTCCCAAAAGAAAAACTTGAATTTGCCTCACACAGAGTCCTACGTTGAATCCACGTGAATGGAGTGATGTGTAAGCATTGTAGTGGGTATTAAAAGTAATCTAGAGATGATGTGACATACACGTGGGCATATGCATAGGTCATGTGCAAATACTATCTCATTTTATACTAGAGACTTGAGCCTCCTCAGGGTTTGGTATCCATAGGAAGTCCTGGAACCCATCCTCTAGGGATACTGAGGAGTGAACCTAACAGGGTTCAGTAAGAGATGCAGCGTGGAGCAGCACTAAAGCCTCTTGTGGCCAGGCCTGGGGCGCATTCTAGCCCCATCACTGCTCAGCTGGGAAGGCTGCATCAGGGAGCTTCGTCTCTTCATGCCCCATTTTCCTCCACTAAAGTTGTCCTCTCCCAGCAGGGAGCCAACAACAGCCACATGTGACTATTTAAATTAAACTACAATATAATAAAATAATGTGCCACAGTCTTGCTAGCAAATTTCAGGTGTTCAACAGACATGTGTCAAACAAAAAATAAATCCAGACTTGGTGTAGGAGACCAGAATATGTCACCTCAAACGATGGCTGTAAGACACCAGGGTCTGATACCCAAAATACGCCTCTTTGACATAAGGATGATTTTGAGCTGATTCTTTTGAGAAAATGTAGACACAGGAGAAGCTCTGAGAAGAAAGTAGAAATGATCTTTTCACCAGGGAAATTTACATCTATAAAGGAGATCCCCATTTGTGAAGGTTCTCTCTCTCTGCACCAGAAAGAGAAAGACCCTAAATCACGAGACTTGCAAATGGAGAGGCACCATCACAAACTTCACTGTCCCTGCTGTGTTGGTCCTGGTCACCTCTCAATAACCAGCCCTCAGCACCCTTTTGTGCTTCTATTGAAGACAGAAGTGTTTAACCCTAAGCCCTAACCCTGACCCCCAAGCCACCTCTCAGAGCTGTGCTCATTTCTCTGGGCATCTCTCACATATGCATGAGGTTAATCAACTTCTGTTCATTCTTCTCTTGCTAATCTGTCTTTTGTAACAGGGATCTGTCCCCTCTAAGAACTATGAAGGGGAGAGGGAAAGTTATCTTTTCCTCCCCTATGTCAGTAAGGAGTTACTTTGAGAAGGATTATTGCTGAGGGGTGGGAGAAGAGGAGAGACTATTGCAATAGGAAGAATACTCTGACTATAAGGTCACCAAGAGTTTCAAGAGATGGGCAAAATGGATTTTTTTTCTCTAACAGAGAGGAAGAAAGCTAGAAATGACCAGTTGTGGGGGAATGAGAGGAAGGGGTGGCACACTCGGCTCATGGATCAGAGTTAGGAATGCACTAGGCTGCATCCCGAAAGGCGGCCCCAGCCCTGCTCTGAATCTTTGTGCAAGAGAAAGCACACTACCAAACCACACCAGGTGCATTGTCCTAAGCCACACTGCCAAACCAACCCCCTCCAGTCACTCCCCACTTACCCGTCCATTCAGGCTGCTTTAACAAAATGCTGTAGACTGGGGATGGGGTGGTGGGGGAGGTGGACTCATCAACAACAGGCATTCATTTCTCATGCTTCCACAGCCTGGAAGTCCTGGATCAAGGTGCCAGCAGATTCAGTGTCTGATGAGGGTGCCTCCTGGCTGCGTCCTCATGTGGGGGGAGGGGTGAGAGTGCTCCCATTCATAAGGATGCTAATCCCACTCCTAAGGGCTCCCCCTCAGGACTTAATCACCCCCTAAAGGCACCATCTCTTTACACTATCACATTGGGAATTAGGTTTCCACACGGGAATCTGGGGTGACACTAACATGCAGATCATACCGTGCCCAATCTGGAATTTTCCATTTTCCCAAATCACCCCTCGTCCTTTTTTTGTTCTTCATAGCCTGTTTATTCTGTCTCTGCTCTTGCTTTAAAAGCCTCAGTCACCTTTGTCTCAGTGGAGTTGAGCTCAGTTCACACTGGAGTCTCTCTCCCCTACTGCAATAGTCTGAATAAAATCTGCTGCCTCCTTTAACAAACGTCTGGTGCTGTCTTTCTTGGATGGCTCGAAGGCATTCCCTTCACAGAGCCACCTCCCCAGACATAGATGGAGCTCCCAAAGTATCTTCTTTCCTTCGGCACGTCCCACCCGTAATGGTACGTTGACACCATACCAGCATGCCCAAGCACTGCTGGAACGAAAGGACGCTGCTCTGTTACTCATCCCTGCGCCCTATGCCTCAAGATGGGGGTGGCATGTGCTATGTGCCCCTTAAACAGCCCCCAAAAGAATTCTCCCAGGAGGAATGCAAGGATGCCCACTTTAACCTGTACCCATTTGGTCTGTACCTGTACGCATTTGGTCTTTCTGACCTGACTCTAAGGCACCCTTAGGTGGGGTATGGAATGGGGCTTGTGCTCATGAGAGGCAGACTTTCCACAACGACAGCCCCAACCTAACACCAAGGCTGATTTGTGCTGTTTGTTGTTAGTTGTTAGTTTGGCAGGGGGTGGGGGAAGGGGGTGGAGGCCGGGGGTGGACTGTTGTGATGCGGTCTTCTGAATGCTGTGCAGTGATGATGCTCCCAGGAGGCCACTTCTGTCTCAGATGCTGCCTTCTTCTGCTCCCCTGAGGGAAACTCCCTGCCACTGAGCCTCCTCCCCAGGAACTAACTCCCTGCCACTGAGCCCCCTCCCCGAGAACTACCTACCAATCCATCTGAGACACTGAAGAATATCACCCGCCGTCTTCTGGAAGACAGAGCTGGTGTGCACTGCCTAAGTCACTCTCTTCCGTTTCTTGCTGGTGTATCCTGGCGTACCTGCCTCCGCTCTCTCTGGAGCTTCCTAATGCAGTGTTGGAGGCAGATGTCAGACAGTTGTGATCAGATCCTCATTCTTTCATTGTTTCCCTAATTTCATTTCAGAAATGACTGATGGGGAGAAAGATGCAGAGCACAGACTAATTCGCAGCTAATTCTTCTAAACAGTCATGACTGGCTAGACAAAATGTGGCAGATGCTTTTCATTTTATTTCCAAATTTGCAATGAAAGCCGAGAGTCGCGGTGGATAGGCTCTTTCTTCTGGCCCCTGACCTGTGCGATGACTCAACATGGCACAGGATGATGGAGTTAGAAAACCCCACGGGGACAGAAGACGCTGTAGACAGTCAGCTGGCGGGAAGGACTCGGACAACCCAATCGCACACCAAGATGCCCTTGAGCGCTGCTGTCTCCCTCACAGTGGGGGCGCCACCCAGAACACCAGGCACTTTGCTGTGGCTCCAGGGAGACGTGAGCTCTGGACAGAAGGAAATGTTCTCCTGAGTCCTTTCAATTCTTGGTGGCTGCTGGACTTGCCTGTTGAGGGGGATCTTGCTGCGGGTCATAGCCACTCCTCTCATGGTGGGGACACAGTAAGAAAACAAGACAGGTCAGGTAGAGTATTCACATACACACACACACGCATGCACACACACAATTTTAGCTGGCTATAACTACTTTAAAGAAAATCTGTAGGTTGCCAATAGAATGACAGGTGACAGTTAAGGAGGGATGGCCACTGTTCAGGGAAAGTCTCTCTGGAAAGATGACCTTCGAGCTGAGGACCAGAAAGGCCTGTGGCAGTGAGGCTTTTTTGTTGTTGTTGTTGTTTTTTGGTTTTTTTGAGACAGAGTCTCACTCTGTCGCCCAGGCTGGAGTTCAGTGGCATGATCTTGGCTCACTCCAACCTCTGCCTCCTGGGTTCAAGCGATTCTTCTGCCTCAGCCTCCCAAGTAGCTGGGAATACAGATGCGTGCCACCATGCCTGGCTAATTTTTGTATTTTTAGTAGAGATGGGGTTTCACCATATTGGCCAGGCTGGTCTCGAACTCCTGACCTCATGATCCACCCACCTTGGCCCCCCAGAGTGCTGGGATTACAGGTGTGAACCACTGCACCCAGCCGTCAGCAAGTTTTGTGTGTCGACTTGGTTAGGATGTGGTGCCCAGTTATTTGATCAAGCAATAATCTGGATGTCAATGTGGGGGTACTTTGTAGATGTGGGTAACATCCACCATCAGCTGATGGTACATAAAGGAGATACCCTGAATAGTGTGAATGGGCCTCATCCCATCAATTGAAGATCTTAAGAGCGTAACTGAAGCTTCCCTGGAAAAGAAGAAATTCTGCCTGAAGACCACAGCATCACTGCTGCCCCCGAGCCCTACGGAGCTCAGACTTGCCTACCCCCAGAGTCCCGTGGACCAATTTCTTGCAATCTCTTTTATTGATTCAAATTTCTACTTCTATTAAATTTATTTTTATTTATTTTATTTTTATTTTGTTGTACAATACACACAATATTCTACTGGTTCTGTTTCTCTGGAGAACCATGTCGGATGCTAATACAGGGTTCATAGTCATGCATCTTCTCTATCCATTTGCTCTGGACACATTAGTGGGCCTCATCCACACATGGTTTCAGCTATTCACATATGGCTGCAACTTCTGAATTTCTGTCTACAGCCTGGGACTCTCTCCTTGCACCACAGTCATAAACTCAGGAACCTGCTGGACATGACTACTCAAAGGCTCCCGCGTATCTCAAACCTAAGATGTCTGTTGTGAAATGAGAAAATTTACCCTCACCCTAAGCTTTTTTATTATTTTTTAAAAATTCTTAACTAATTTTTAATTGTAATGTAACATAAACAGGAACATGCATAAATCAGAAGCGTGTTGTGTGCAGAGCTCAGTCAATTTTCACAAAATGAACACACCCCTGAAGTCACCATCCTGATCGAGATGACCACATCCTCAGGGTTCCAAATATCCCCATGCTCATTCCCAGTCATGACCGCCTTCTTTGCAAAGTGTAACACCTTCTTCTGACTACTGGCCCCTATGTTACTTTTGCTTGTTTCAAATTTTATACAAATTGAACCATATAGCATGAATTATTTTATGTCTGTTTCTTTTACTCAATATTGTATTTGTGGGATTTATTCATGTGGTGTTGTATATTAATCATTTATGCATCCATATTTTATCATTGCAGAGTACCACACTGTGTAATTCTACCACAATTTGTTCAAACAATTCCACTGTTGGTGGGCGCCGGGGCTGCCTCCAGCTTGGGGCCAGTGTGTATAATGCTGTGTGATTATTCTATACATGTGTTTGGTACATATTTCCATGTGGCATTGTTGTGTATAAACCTGATTAAAATGACTAGATTCCACTTCCTGCATACGTCTGTCTTTAGTGGATGCTGACCACCAGTTTTCCAAACTGGCTGTAAAAGTTAACACTCTTGCATATATTATTTGAGTGTTCCAATTGCTCCATATCCTTGCCAACACTTCACATTGTCAGACCTTTTAAATTTTATCCTTCCATGAGTATGTGATGGTAACTCCCTGTAATTCTAATTCGCATTTTCTTGGAGTCTAATGAGTGTGAGCATTGTTTTACTTATTTTGGGTCCTTAGGAAAGCTTCTATTGTGAAGTGCCTGTTCAGTCTCTTGCTAATATTTTTACTGAGTATTTTTGTCCGTTTTTTTTTTCTTGTTGATTTTAGATTCCTGTTATACATTTTGCAGATATATTCTTTCATTCATTGGCTTGTGAATTTCCTCTTTTTGGTGTCTTTTGATGAACACAAGTTCCTAATTTTATGTAGAAATTAATGTCTTCTCCTGTATGGTTAATACATTTTGTGTCCTTTTAAAGAAATCTTTGCCAACTCAAGATCACTAAGACACTAAGATGTTCTCCTAATTGTCCTTCTTTCACACTGAGATTTACAATATCTCTGGAAATGAATTTTGTGTGTGATGTGAAGAGGGCAAGATTTATTTTTTCCATAAGCATATCCAATTGACTCAGCATCATTTATTGAAAAAACATCATTTTCCCACTGCTCTGGCATGCTATGATCATAAATCATCTGTCTATGGGGTGTGTATCTGTTTCTGGACTCTATTCTCTTCCACTGGTGTCCTTGCCTGTCCTTGCATTACAATGCTGTCTTAATCACTGTAGCTTTGCAATAAATCTTGATTTCTGGTAATGTGATTCCTCAGACTGCATTCTTCTTTATGATTGTCTTGGCTATCCTTGGTCCTTTGCACTTTCATACAAATTTTAGAATCAGTTTATAAATTTCCAACAAAAAAAGATGGCCAATCTTTTCTTTAGGATTGCATTAAATCTACATAATCAATTTGTGAAGCATTGAAATTTAACTATTCTGTATTTTAACTCATTATTTTCATTTGTTTAATTTCTTCAAATAATATTTTATAGTTTTCTATGTAGAGAATTTTGCATATAGTTTGTTTTCTTAAGAAGTTAGATTATTCAAATCACAATGAGATGTGCCTTTTTAAATTTTATTTTATTCTTAATTGTTCTTTGTATAAATAAAATTAAACTTTATATATTGACCTAGTATTCAGTGAACTTGGTAAATTTACTTATTGATTTTCCTGGGCTGTCTGTAGACTTCTTTGACTTTCTCACCTACAGTACACAAACATCATTAGAAAACAGTGACAATTTTTATTACTTTTATCCAATCTTACAACAATAATTTTTTTTTCTTGCCTTATTGCACTAGCTAGAATTCCCAGTACATTTCTTAATAGAAGTGGTGGTAGCTTGTCTTATCCCCAATATCAGGTAAAATGCCATCAATGTGATGCTTACTGTTTTTATTTTATAGATTTATTTTTAGATTAAGGGGGTTCCCTACTATGCAAGTTTTGCTAAGAGTATTTTTTGTATCATGAACGGGTGTTGAATTTCACCAAATGCTTGTTATGTATCTATTGAGATGACCGTTTGATTTCTCTTCTTAATTTGGTGATTTATGACTGATTTTCAACTGTTACTTATGCATTTCTGCACAACTTGCCCCCTTGCAAAAACTCGACTTGATTTTAATGCATTGCTCACTTTTATGTATCATGGATTTAATTTTCTCATATTTACTTTGGTAATTTTTGGATCCATATTCATTAGAGACACTGTTCTCTGGATTAGCTTCCTATTGTTGCTATAACAAATTTCCTCAAATACAGTGGTTTAAAACAACACAAATTTCTTGTCTTATAGTTATAGAGATCAAAAGTCTAAAATGAAGATATTATCAGAGCTGGGTCATTCTGAAGCCTTCAAGAAAGAATTCTGTTCCTTGCTTTTTTAGCTTCTTGAGGGCACCTGCATTCCTTGGCTCACGGCACCTCCTCTCATCACTTCAACTTCTTGTTTGGGTCATCAGGACTCCTATGACTGATTCTGATGTTTGTGTCTCTTACCTTGAACACACCAGGATAATCTACATTAATCTTCACATCTCAGATGCTCAACTTAATAACATCTGCAAACTCCACTATATGAGATAACACATTAACAGATTCCAGGGATTAAGCCTTTAGTCTTTTTGGGGGATGACTATAATTCAGCCTATTAGTCTCCAAACATTTTTCTCTGTAAAGTGCAGGGAAGGTTTTGCTATCAGGATGATTCTGGCCTCATCAAGACTGTTAGGAAGTGCTTCTTCTCTATTTTGTGGGAGAATATTTTGCATATAAGAGTTTGGTGAAACTTGCTATTCTGTAAATATTTAGAAGAATGTAAAGTCATAGAAACCTGGAGGGTCTTTTTTTTGGCATGGGAAATTTTAAATATAGATTTAATTATCAAATACTTTAATAAGTATGGAAATTTTAGATTTTTCTATTTCTTCTTGAGTCAGTTTTAGTCAATTGTGTTTTGGTATATGTAAATTTTGCCTTCCCTCTCTTCTTTTAAACTTTATTCAATGCTGTCTTTTCTTTTAAAAAAAAAAAACCTTATTTAATGTTTTCAGGTTTTGTCTAATATATTACTCTTTCTAAAGAACTAATATTTGCTGTTGTTTGTTTATTATAATAGTTTGCTTCTCTTTCTTTAATTTCTGATTTTATCTTTATTTTGTACTTAACTACTGTTTTAAACTTAATTTACTATCATTTTTCCCAACTACTTGAAATAAATATTTGGATTGATTTTTGAGCCTTTAATCTTTTTGACTTTATGAATTATGTTAATAAATTTCCCTCAAGGGGCAGCTGTAACTGTATCCCACACATTTTTCCTGTAGTTTCATCATCATATGCAGCAAAATATTTTCTAATTTCCTTTGTGAATCTTTTCTTTGATTCATGGGTTATTTAGAATTGTGTTGCTTATTTTTTAGTTATTTGGGAATTATCTACTCATAATTATCCTTTTTATTAAAAAAATTACTGGCTTCTACCACAACTCTACTGTAGTCAGAGAAAAATGTAAGATGCCTAATTTCAGTCATTTGTAGGGATTTGCTTTGTAGCTCAACATATGAGTAATATTAATAAAGGATCTGTGTGCGTATATAAAAGTGCATAATCTATACTATTTGAGTATAGTGTTCTTCATATGCCAATTAGAGTAGATTTGTTAAGCTGTCAAACTCTTCCACATAATAATTGATAGTTTTGTCTGCTTTTGGTTTTAGTTCCAAAGTAACATATATTAGGATCGCCATTATGATCATTTCCTTGTCAATTTCTGCCCCTAGTTCTATTGGTTTGGATTACATATATTTGGAGACTGTCCAGAGATGATAATACATTTAGGGTTATTTTATTTTCCCAGAGGAGCTACCCTTTAATTTCTATGAAATGTTTCATTTTAAATTATAAATCATTTCTATTTTAAAGTCTACTTTGACACGTGATGGTTATATCACTTTGTCATTATTATAATTAGCATTACTCTTGTTATTAATGTTTATATGATACATAATTTTCATTCTCTTAATATCAAACTTTATTTTAAAGACGTAACTCTTGTAAGCTGTATATATCTGTACTTTTTTCTTAATATAAACATCTTTTGTATTTTAATCTGTGTATTTAGTCCATTTACATGCAATGTAAACATTGGTATTTGGGGATGTGAATTTCCTGCCTTAATATTTTTGCGATCACCTTGACCTGATTTTATTTACTTTCTTGATTTCTTCTGGTTTTTTTTCCCAGTATTTTTATGATCCTTTTTTTCTTCTCCTAACTTATTACATATGCATTTTTGTTGTTGTTGTTTTTTATTTTGAGATGGAGTCTCACTCTTGTTGCCAAGGCTGGAGCGCAATGGCGCAATCTCGGCTCACTGCAACCTCTGCCTTCAGGGTTCAAGCAATTCTCGTGCCTCAGCCTTCTGAGTAGTTGGGATTACAGGCACCCGCCACCATGCCTGGCTAATTTTGTATTTTTAGTAGAGATGGGGTTTCTCCATGTTGGTCAGGGTGATCTCGAACTCCCAACCTCAGGTGATCCACCTGCCTCAGCCTCCCAAACGGCTGGAATTACAGGCTTGAGCCACTGTGCCCGGCCTATGTAGGCATTTTATTTTTACTATAAATTTATTGGTGGCCCTGTGGATTACTAAATATATTCTTGATTTGTCAGTTTCTATAATATTTTATCCCTCCTTAAACACAAAAACTATGATACTTAACCTCCCTCCTTACTTTTATGCTATATTGCCTTATTTTTAAATTATATATAATGTATATCTATTCCCACAATATAATTGTACCTATAATTATAATTATAGGTACAACTTATATTTTTCCTTCCTGAATTTTTCTGCTTTGACTGAGATTCACTGTCTATCTGAAAAATTTCTACATACCTTTTAGTGAAAGTTTTAGTAGTATCTAATTACTTCAGTAATTTTCTAATTATGTCTTCTTTTATTTTAACTTTTAGATTCAGGGGTACATGTGCAGGTTTGTTATATAGGTAAACTCATGTCACAGGGGTTTGATGTACAGATTATTTCACCACCCAGATACTAAGCCTAATACCCAACAGTCACTTTTTCTGCTCCTCTCTCTCTTTCCACCCTCCACTCTCTGGTAGGCCTCAGTGTGTGTTGTTCCTCTCTATGTGTCCATGTGTTCTCATCATTTAGCTCACACTTATAAGCAAGAACATGTGGTATTTGGTTTTCTGTTCCAGTGTTAGTTTGCTAAAGATAATAGCTTCTAGCTTCATAAAGCTAGAAGGACATGACCTTGTTCTTTTTTATGGCTGCATAGTATTTCATGGTGTTTGATATGGTTTGACTGTGTCCACACCCAAAATTTCATCTTGAATTAAAAGCCACATGATCCCTACATGTCAAGGGTGGGACCAGGTGGAGGTAATTGAATCAAGGGGTTTTTTTCCCCCATGCTGTTCTTGTGCCAGTGAGTGAGTCTCATGAGATCTGATGGTTGTATTAGTGTCTGGCATTTCCCCTGCTTGCACTCCTTCTCTCTCCTGACATCCTGTGAAGAGGTGTCTTCCTCCATGATGGTAAGTTTCCAGATGGCTCCCCAGCTCTGTGAACCTGTGAGTCAATTATACCTCTTTTCATTATAAATTACTTTATAAATTATAAATGTATAAATTTATACATTCATAAATTTATATATAATATATATTATATATATAATTATATATTATACATATATAAATTTATATATAAATTTATACATTATAAATTTACAATGTATAAATACATATGTATAAATATATATGCATAATGTATAAATATATATATTTATAAATTATAAATTTTATTTATAAATTACAATCTCAGGTATTTCTTCATAGCAGTGTAAGAACAAACTAATAGAGTGTACATGTACCAGATTTTCTTTATCCAGTTTACCATTGATGAACATTTAAGTTGATTCCATGTCTTTGCTATTGTGAACAGTGCTGCAATGAACATACGCATGCATGTGTCTTTATAACAGAATGATTATACTCCTTTGGGTATATGCTCAGCAATGGGAATCCTGTGTAGAATGGTAGTTCTGTTTTTATGTCTTTGAGGAATCATCACATATGTCTTCATTTCAACTTCACCTCTGAAAAATATTCTTTTACTGTATTGAATTTTAAATTCTGTGATTTTCTGAAACAGTATGAGGGTGATATATCAATGTCCATTGGACTCTGATATTTCTGTTGCACCATCTTTTTTATTATTGCTCTTTCGAAGGTAATGCGTTTCACTTTTCCTGACTACTTTTAAGATTTTTCTCTTTGTCTTTGATATTTATAAGTTTGACTAGAGTACGTGTGTGCGTGTGTGTATGTGTGTGTGTGTTTGATTTTTTGTAGTCAATTTTGGAAAAATATTAGACAAATATTTCTTATGTTCTATTTTTCCTCTTTGTCTGATTTTCCAGTTACTCATGTATTGGACTTTTAAAAATCATTTTCTAGGAGTCTCCTATATCCTTTTAAGATATTTTGTAACCTTTTGTCTTTGTTGTCTCAGTTTAGATATTTTCTACTGAATTAGCATCTCAGTTACTCATGTTCTTTTCTTTACCTGTAATATTTATTGATTTGGTTATCCAGACATATTTATGATCACATATAAATATCTGGTAACTTAGAAACACTGTTCTTAAGCATCTTAAATCTCCATTTCACAAAACAATTTTATTTAGTCTTTATGTTCCTCTTTGACATCAGTCTTTGTCACAATTCAAGTAGCATTTTGAGTAATGGGAGAGCATTTTCTCAAGTACATTGACATTACTTCCAGCTAAGTTGTTTTGAGATTTTTAAAAATTCTTAAATTCTTAAAATATGCTATTAATGAAAACTTACTCTGAGCCTCATATACCCACTTGCATAATATTTAGTAGAGTTGATTCTTTTACTCGTCATCTAGAGGTATCTTTGTGATCTCTACAAAATAACTTCATGACTTCTGCTTTTTATTTTTTGAAAATTGAGATAGAATTTACATGCCATAAAATTAACTATTTAAATGTGTACAATTCAGTGGTCTTCAGTATATACACAGTCATGTAACCATCACCATTATCTCATTCCAAAACACTTTTTGTCACCCCCCAAAAGCCCCATACACATTAGCAGTCACTATCTATAAACCCCCCAACGACACCCATCCCCTGTCATGCACTTCCTGTCTCTATGACTTGCCTATTTTGCACATTTAATATAAAAAGAATCATACAATGTATGGTCTTTTGTAACTGGCTTCTTCCTTCTAGCACAGGGTTTTCAAGGTTCATATATATTGTAGTGTACATCAGCTCTTCATTTCTTTTTTATGGCTCAATAATATTCTGTTGTACAGACAGACTACATTTTGTTTATCCATTTGGCTGATGGGTTTTGGGTTGTTTTAATTTTTTGGCTATAGTGAATTATGCTGCTATGGATATTTATGTACAAGTTTTTGTTTAAACACCTGTTGTCAATTTTCCTGGGCATATACCTAGGGGTAGAATTACTGAGATATATGGCAACTCTAATCTTTTGAGGAACTGCAAAACTGCTTGCTGCAGAGGCTGCCCCATTTTACATTCCCACTAGCGATATACGAGCATTCCAATTTCTCCACATATTTGCCAGCATTTATTTCTCATTTTTCGGTTTGAGGTATCCTAGAAGGTTTGAAGAGATATCTCAATTCATTTCCCTAATATCTAATGATGTTGAGTATATTGCCATGTGTTTATGGATCTTATATCTTTGAAGAAATGTCCATTTCTTTTTACCAATGTCCTTTGTCCATTGGTAAATTGTGTTATTTATTTATTTATTTATTTACGTTACAAGAGTTCTTTATACATTTTGGATATTAACGCCTTGTGGGATATATGATTTGCAAATAATTTCTTACATTATGTGGCTTGTCTCTTCACTCTCTGGATAGTGTCATTTGATTTAAAAAAGTTTTTGATTTTGATGAAGTTTAATTTATCTAACTTTTCTTTGGTTGCTTGTGCTTTTGGTGTCATATCTAAGAAATCATTGCCTAATCCAAGGTCATGAATATTTACACATATTTTCTTTTAATAATTCTACAGTTTCAGCTTTAACATTTAAGTATTTGATCCATTTTGAGTTAATTTCTGTACATGGTTAGAGGAAGGGTTCAAACTTATTATTTTGCTTGTAGATATTTAATTGTCCTTGTGTATTATTTGTTGAAAGACTATTCTTTCTCCACTGAATGGTTTTAACACCCTTGTAGGAAATCAATTGACCATAGATATATGGTTTATTTTTGGAATCTCAATTTTTCTCCATAGATAAATATGCCTATTCTTATGCCAGCAACACACTGTCTCTATTACTGTAGCTTTGTAGAAAGATTGGAAATTAGGAAATGTGAATTCTTCAAATTTATTATTCCTCTTCAAGATTGTTTTGACTATTCTGGTTCTCTTGCAATTATATATGAATTTTAAAATGTTTGTCTATTTTTGTAAAAAGATGAATTTTTATAGGAATTGTATTAAATCTGTTGATCAATTTTGGCAGTATTATGATCTTAATGATATAGGTCTTCTAATTTATTAACACATGGCATTTTTCTGTTTATTTGGGTCTTTAATTTTTTTAACAAGTTTTTATAGTTTCATGTATACAAGTCTTACACTTTTCTTATGTATATTGCTGAGTATATTATTCTTTTTGATGCTATTGTAAATTGAATTATTCCCTTAATTATATTTTTAGATAGTTCTTTGACTATTGAGACATGACTGATTTTTGTATATTAATCATGTATCCTGCAATATTACTGAACTTATATATTAGCTCCAATAGTTTTTTGGCAGGTACCTAAGATTTTTTTGTTTGTTTGTTTTTGTTTTTTATTTTATAGGTAAGATCATACTGTTTGCACCTAGATGTCATTTTCCTTCTTTTCCTAGATGACTTTTATTCCTGATTTTAGTAAATTAAGTCTTCTCTTGTTTTGTTTTATTGGTCAGGTTAGGTAAATGTTTGTCAAATGTGTTGATTTTTTTTAAAAAACTTTCATTTTCATTGATTTTCTCTATTGTTTTTGTATTCTCTATTCTGTTTATGTCTGCTCTAATTTTTATAATTTTCTTCTTTTGATTTAGATTTAATTTCCTTTTCTATCTCTAGTTTCTTAAGGTGGAAAGTTAGGTAAATAATTTGAGATTTTTCTATTTTCTTAATGTAAGCATTATAGCTATAAATCTCCTTGTGAGCATTGCTTTAACAGCATACTCTAAGTTTTGGTATGCTGTGTTTCTATCTCAAAGTACTTTTTAATTTTCACTGTGTTCTTCTTTGACCCATTGGTTATTTAATTTCCACATATTTGTAAAGTTTTCCAATTTCTTTCTCTTATTGATTTTTAAATTCACTCCACTTTCACTATGGCCAGAGAGCATAATTTGTATGACTTCAACCCTTTTTAATTTATTGAGATTTGTTTCATTGCCTAATATAGGTTCCATCATGAAAAAGTTTCCACGTGCACTTCTGATGCTATTTTCAATGGAACTGCACATTCTGTTGTTAAATGGAGTGGTCTATAGATGTCTTTTAGGTCTAATTGGCTTACAATGTTGTTCAATTCCTTTTATTTGCTAATCTTCTCTATAGTTGTTATATTTATTATTAAAAGCAAGGTACTGACATTTCCAGCTATTATTATTAAATTGTCTACTTTCCATTTTAACTTTGTATGTTTTTGCTTCATGTATTTTGGGACTTTTTTCTTAGGTTCATGTACAGTTATAATTATTGTCTTTTAAGGAATTGACCCCTTGATAATTATACCATGTCCTTATTTGTCTCTAGTAATGATTTTTGTTTCAAAGTCAATTTTGTTTGATATAAGTATAGGCTGCCTGTTTCTGTTTTGATTATTATTAGTATGGTGTGTCTTGTTTATCTTTTACTTCCAACCTATTTGTGATTTTTAATTTAAGCTGTGTTTCTTGTCGACAGCATACGGTTGGATGATGTCTTATCCACTTTGCCAATTTATGCCTTTTAATTGAAGAGTTTAACTTATTTGCATTTAATGTAATTAGTAATAAGGTAGAATTTACCACTGTTATTTTGCTACTTGTTTTCTACATGTCTTATGTCATTATTGTTTCTCTATTCCTCCATTACTTCCTTCTTTTGTGTTAAAAAGATATTTCCTAGTGTGTTATTTTAATTCCCTTGTTGTTTCCTTTACTATCCATATTCTAGGCATTTTCTTAGTGGTTGCCCTGGATATTATAATTAGAATCTTAATGTATAATAATCCAGTTCAGAATAAGACCAACTAAATTTAAATAGTAAATAAAAACCTTTCCTTTCTATAACTTCCTTTCTCTCCTTTTTTATGTTTTATTTTCTTATGCAGTTGTATTTTAAATCAGAAAGGAAAACAAAAGGAATTACAAACAAACAATACATGTATACTGTCCTTTCTATTTACCTCTGTAGTTATTTTTGTCTGTGCTCTCTATTTCTCTACAGAGCTTACAGTTTCTCTCCAGTGTCCTTTCATGTTAGCCCGAAGTACTCCATTTAGCATTTTTTTATAGGTCAGGTTTACTAGTAATAGACTCTGGCAGCCTTTTTTTATTTTATTATATATCTATATATATTTTTAATTCAGTAAGTCTTAATCTCCATCATTTTTGAAGAATAGTCTGGTGGAATGTAGGATTTTGATTGACAATTTTTTTTCAATAATGTAATTATGGCATCCCATTGCTTTCTGGTCTCATGGTTTCTGATAAGAAATCAGCTTTGAATCTTGTTGGTGTTCCCTTGTACATGACAAGTCACTTCTCTTTTGCTGCTTTTAAGATTCTGTGTCTTTGATATTTGACATTTTGATTAAATGTGTCTCAGTGTGGGTCTCCTTGAGTTTATTTTACTTGGAATTTACTGAGCTTTTAGAATGTAACATTCGTTTATTTTATAAAATTTTTGAAAAGTTTCAGCCATTACTTTCTTAAATCTACTTTCTTCCCCTTTTTCTTTCTCCATTCTTTTTGAAACTCCTATTACACATATGTTGGCTTGCTTGATAGTCCCACAGGTGTTTGAGATTCCTTCCTCTTTTCTTCCTTCTTTTTAAAATTTCTGTTCTCCAAACTGGATAATTTAAATAGTCCTATCGTCAAGTTTTACAATTCTTCTTCCTGCTGAAATGGGTTCTTGAGCCCCTTTAGTGAATGTCTTATTCCAGATATTGTACTTTTCAACTACAGAATTTTAATTTATTTTTTAAAAAATACGTCTGTCTCTTTATTGATATTTTCTATTTGGTGAGATAGCATTATCACACTTTCCTTTATTTCCTTAAATATTTTAACATTCTTTGAACATAATACACATACCCAATTATAGTATTTTAGTCTTCATTTATGAAACCCAACATCTAGGCTTCCACAAAGACTGTTTCTATAGGTCGATTTTTTTTCCTGTATATAGGACATACTTTCTTATTTGCTTGCACACCTTACACTTTTTTGTTGTTGAAAAACTTGGCATTTTAAATAATATAATGTGACAACTCTGAAAATCAGGATTTTTTCCTGCCTTGGAGTTATTGTTTCTTCATGTTGTAGTAGTTGTTATTGTTCAGTGACTTTTCCAAACTAATTATTTAACATGTGCATTTTTTGTCATGTGTGGCTATTTAAGTCTCTACTTGCAAAACATAATGGTCAGCTAATGATTGTACAGAGCTTTCTTTAAGTGCCTAGGGCCAAAAAACTTCCCAGTTTCCAAGCACTTCCCAACATTGCTCTTTCCTTCACTTCTTGCTTTTGCAGAGCCCCTCAGTCAGAATATATCAATGTTTTTCAAAGCCCCATGGGTATCTTGTTCCTCAGCCCTTCCTTTTAGCCTTTGACATTAACCTGTTGTTTACTGCAGTGAGTGTTTGTTGCCTCAGCATTCGTTTTGAATACAGGTTTAGCTTTCTCATGACAGAGGCAGGGCTCAGTCACCCTTGACACAATTTTCAGTTCTATGCCACACCCAAAAGACTCAAGCCAGATGCCAGCAAAAGAATCTTAAAGACATGTGGAACACCTAGCATACTGGGTTCCCTGATTTCCTGCCACTTTTTTTTTTAAGAGACTCTTCAGTCACTTGCCCATGAACTTACAGTGACCTGCACCCTATTCCCCAATATATACTGCTGGCTGCCATGCTCTCTTCTCTATGCTTGCCCTCCCTGACCTCTGTGTGTGGCCTCCAAGGATGCTGAATAACATCCCCTGAAAGTCCCCTGGGGTTTTTAGTAAGTACTAAACTTTCCCATTGTGATTGTGTCACTGAAGCCCTGGCCACACTGTGACCCTTGACCTTTAGGCTTCCAGAAGGGACTTCTGCAGAAGTCCCTGGGTTCTCTTTTTGTCCCTTTTCCTTTCCCCGTTCTTGTTGACATTCTTATTACACATACATTGACTTGATTGGTAGTCCCACAGTTATTTGAGACTCTGTCCTGCTTTCTTCATTCTTTAAAAATTTCTGTTCTTCCAATACAGATTCCCTGCTGCTGCTCTTCTGTCCAGGCTCTGGTAACTACTAGAAGTTTCAAAGCTAGGAGCAGAGCTACCACAAAGTTGATAATAAAACTCAAAGAGTTTTATTCAAAACATTTACCCAAACTTGTATTCATTGCCTCAGGCAGCTACGAAGTTAAAACACTTCTCTGTAATTGTTTTCAACTAGTGACCTCTTGGGGAGAAGGTGAGCTCCCAGTTAGCCACCTGATATGCCAAATAATGGCAATTCTTTGAGAATGAGGCTTTGAATACAGCTGCAGCTTTGTTCCTCTCCCTCAGATACCAGGCATAAGTGCTCTTGCTTTTCAAAGCTGCCTCTGAGCTGGAGAGCAGAGGATGAGACTAGAGCAAGTTCAACTGTGAGCAAAGCTCACTTTTACAAAGATTCAACCATTTTTCTTAGATAAATACTCACAAGATGGGTGCAAGTCTTTGAAGAATTTCCAGAGTTTTGAAAAAGTTGATTTTCTTAATTTTTTCCAGGTTTTTAAAAAAATTGTTTTTCTGGAAGTGTGAGTTTTGGGATGTTACTACTCTGCCATTTTTACTGACATCATTCTATGAAGCGTCTCTTAAGCTTGATTTTACCTGAAAGGCTATCAGTTGAGTTCTTAATTTCTATTACTACTGTATTTTCCATTTTTTAAATAGATTTAAGTTTTCTTATAAAATTCTTCAACTTATCATCTATAGTCTTAAACACAAATTTCAGTAATTTTAAAGTTTATATGGAATACATTCTGTATTGGAAAATTCTGTGGATCTGTTTCTACTGTTTGCTTTTTCTCTTGGCCTTTGTTTCTTTGGTTTTGTAAGCCTTGGCTTTGTATACCAGGCAGACATGCCTGATACATTTTTTGTTGAACGCCAAACATTGCATATGAAAATTATATTGATAATTTGATGGTACTATCTTACTTGAAACAGGATTTACTACTTCATCTGGTAGGCTTTTATGCTGGGGCTAGTTCCAAGCTACGAATTTAATTATTTGAAACTGGGTTTCAGCATTTGTAAATTCTTGTCTAACTTTGGCTTGCTTTTACTCTTCTGCAGCTCTTCAGGTTTCCAAATGACAATTTGGATCATCTTCTCGGGCTTTTCCTCCTGAAGGGGTCTGGACAAATAATGATGTCTTCTAGCCACATAGGAGTTCCAAAATTTCTCTTCAGTTTCTTAGACCCTCAGCTTCCCTCCAACACACAGGCAAAACAAAGTCAGTCAAGGCTAGGCTAGATCAGCTGAACTTCCCTTAACCCTCACCCAACCTTCTACCCTCTGAGTGAGAAACAAGTAACTTTTGAAGTAGTTTGTTATGCAGAATGATTGTGGGATTGAGGCCTGATACAGCACTTTTTTTTCCCCTTAAACATCTCCTATCATCACAGACAAGTCTTTTGCCATGAGGCTATCTGGCTGTTCAGCTAGAAGCATGGGTTTATACATCCAATCCAATTTTTTGGCTGGTGAATTTCTAAGTTTTTTCAAGTTTCAGCTTCAGAAAAGCTCATCTGGATTCCTTAACCTGTCTCCTGACCCCTTATAGCTTTAGTGCACAAATCTTTTAGGACAATTTCACATTGTAATCAACCATCAACTGGAATGCCTCTATGTTGAATATGCAAGCTGATAACTTGTTATCTTAGGATCCCCAGCACTATATCTGGCATTTGTTATTTGCTTAAGGTGTGGTTGTAGAATGAAGGATAACAATGCTAATCTGACAGCTGTGTGGCATTTGATAGTAAATGAAATGCTTTTAGGAACATTATTTTATCTTGAGTTTTATGTCAAGCTACTGAAGCTCCTTACCATGTCACATAAGGAAGAAATTATTTTTTCCACAAGATTTTTAACCACTTTATAAACAAAGAAATGAGACCTCAGTGAAGTTAAGTAACTGTTCTGAGATTATAATGCTTTTAAGTAGTAGAGCTAGGATTAGAATCCGTGTTCTTTTCATTGTGCCATATGGTATCTTGATACAATCTGGCTTTCATGCATACACTGATGGGAATTTAAACAAGGCCGTTGGCACCAAATCTGACCATCAGCCAGTGTTGGCATTGCCCATCACTTTCACAGTCAGTGCACAGAACTACAAACACCTTTGAAATTCACAATTTGTCCACTGAATAACTGAGTTTACAGAAGCTAATACTTGTATTCACTTTAACTGTGAACATTCACAAAGTAAAGCAAAGTTACAAGCCGTTTTTCTATGCTTTCATGTAAGAGGAATGCTTGTGTTTGTGCAGAATTATGCCAGGAGGCCGCTGGCAGCTTTTGTCAGATGACATAGAAACATCTGTTCCAATAAATATCTTCCTCACAGACTCATTTGCAGGGAACAAGAATCTCTTCTGGCAGTACGAGCACAGACCTGGTAAGGTGGCCTTAGATGGAATTTTGTTATTTTCTGTGGCCCCTCAGCTAAGCACTGGGTGTCTAGAACAGTAGGTGACCCATGATCAGGAGGTGGTTCAGAGTGGCTGGGAATGCAGGTGCCTTGCTAAGCCTAGGATGGACTGTCCCAAGGTACTCTGCCCTGAAGAGGAGGCAGACAGGTATCTCCAGGTTGAGGATTAGGGTGCAGTGTCCAATAGTGCCTGGCCCTTCCACCAAGTCCTGAGATATGGATAGTTTTGGGATTATAGTAAGAAAGGGTCAGAACACAAAAAGTAAAAAGATTCCAGCAACTGGATAAGTCTCAGTGAAAAGCGTTCCCCTTTGCAGCAGGTGCAAGGAAGTAGACGATCGGCCCACCTCACCACTCAGGTTGCTGTGAAGCCCTGTGCTGCTGATGTGCACTTTAAGAGCCCCACTGCTGGGAAGACTTGGTCACTCCCATCACAACTCTTGTGATCCCAGCTCTGAATATTGCACAGCAGAATGTCTGTCTCCACGTTGAGCTTCACTGCCTGGCACAGTGCTTTCTTCCCCTTCTCTTCCATTTTTGTCATCTGCATTGAACTACCCTTGATGTCATTTGTGACAGTGAGAGCAATGGCTAGAAAAGCCAGAAGAATCAATCACTGCCCAAGTGCCAAGGATGAGGTCCACATGTTTAGTGTCCACCCAAAGACAGAGGACCATCATCCGGAAAGGAATGCTGTGCTCTCTAGTGCAATGTGCATTGGTCATGACCATAGTGTAAGAACAGCCCATTCCCTACTGACTGGGGGTACCAGCAATTGGCAAATGTGTGCTGGATTCCTCCCCCTACTAGAGATTCCCTACATCGGGGGAAGAGTCTGGACTCTGAAGTTGTTACGTATCAGGCGTCACTCAGGGTGTGCATACACCCCTGAGTTATGATGGTTCAACCTGCAAATCCTTGACACTCAGCATGAAACCCATCATTAAGTCAAAGAGCATCTGAACTTACAGTGTTCAACTCATGATTTTTCTACTTTACAATGGATTTCTCAGGTTATTAAATGCATTTTTTACTTACAAGGTTTTTATTTACAATGAGTTTATTGGGAGGTGACCCCATTGTAACTTGAGAAATATCTCTGTGTGTGTTTGTGTAAATAAGGAACTGGTTCACATAATTATGGAGCCAGAAAAGTCCCACAATGTGCCACCTGTAAGCCAGAGACTTAGGAGAACTGGTGATGTCATTCGGTTCCAATACATAAGAACCAGGAGAGCTGACAGTGTAAGTTCTAATGCAAGTCAAGGACAAGATGGCTGTCCCAGCTTGAAAACTGTTGGGCAGAGAATGACAGTGACTTCTCCCTTACCCTTCCTTTAGTGTGATTCAGGTCTCCAACAGATTGAGTGATGGCCACCACACTGGTGAAATCATTGCTGAAATCATTGCTTTACTCAGTCCACCAGTTTGAATGTTAATCCCAATCCAAAACACTCTGAAAGATACACCCAGCATGATGTGTGGCCAAATATATGGGCATCCCCTGGCCTAATTCAAGTTGACTGATAAATGAACCATCCCAGGAGATGACCCGCCTGGGATCAAATCCAGACTGCACTGTTTCCCAGCTATGAGATGTGGGCTGAGTTTCTCTGTGCCTCATGCTCAAAATGAGGATAAAGAGAGTAACTACCTTGTAGGGTTTACAAGGTAAGTACCTTGAGGTTAAAATGAGGAAATTCCTGCAAAGGGCTTGGAACACATCTTGCATGTTACACAAAGGTGCCACCAGATCATTCTCATCCCTGCAATCCTCTCTTCAGCCTGTGACTCCAACTCTCCACATCCTCATCATCTTGCAGGAGGTACGTGGCCCAGTCCCTTCTTCCCTTCCACGGACTCCCGAGTTGGGACAGAAATCATCCTTGGAGAACACAGTTTGAATTAATTAATGAAGTCTCCAAAAAAAAAGTTTCATCCTCCTCCCTTGCTATCTATCAAGCAACATCAGCCGCAAGAAATGAGAAAACATTTTTCTTCTCTAGAACATTCTACAAACAAGCCTTAATTTAAAAAAAATTAAAAAGTTTTAAAGCAGCAAAACTGGAAACACATAAACCCCCTCCAGAAAGTAGTTAATAGCAACTATTAAACATATAAATGAGTGTCATGATTGATTTTCTTCTGCACAAACCAGAGGGAATTTACAGTGGGCTCTGTGCTATTTGGCTTAGGGAGTATCTAGAAAGAAGGGTGAACCTCATGGTTTCAGAGATATACAGGCGTTGACCTACATTTCACTGCTATTTTGGAAGATTAAGACCACAAATGACATAACAGTTAATTGACTCTATAAATTTTACATATGAAAAGAAACATTTTCTTAATGAGTGTGAGTTTGTAATTTAGCTGCATTTTAATAATGGCTTAGAAAATTGAAAAGCCTGACAAACACACGATCGTTTCAAAGCTAGATCACATGATGCGATTGCCTTGGCCTTGACGTTGACCTTGTCCTCCACTCAGGGAGTGCACCTTACGGAGACACCCCAGGCCAACCTTGCTGGAAGAAATTATAAGCTCCCTCCAAATTCAGCGGGCCAGGGATGGAGCGGCGGCTCACATCCTAGGTGTTCAGGTCCCCAGGACTCTTTCTGCTTCATTCTTGCGTTTGTCAGCTTTTCCCTTGCATTGAGATGCACACGTGTTCTGTAAGGTTTATTCTTCCTTCATGTATTCATATGTGCTGAATACAACATGGTAGTCACATTTATTCCTTCCTTCATTTATTTAACAAAGGTTAATTAAGCCTTATGTCCTGTGTACTTTGCTAGGGACTCAGGTTACAGCAGTGAGGAAGACACTCACTGTCTGGACCTCCTGAAGGTTACTTGGAAGTAGAAGAGGGGGACATGAAACAAAGAAAAGCAAGGAAGAAGGAAATAATCTGAGAAAGAACAAAGGGTTGAGCACTTTGATAAGAGCCATCAGAACAGGCGAGCTCTCGCAATGTGCTGTGGGTGTACTCAGGGGACCACCCCTGAGCTCGGTTTCCCACTCGGCCTCCTCCAACCCAGACCCACAAAACTACCATTCAGAGTTATGTGTCACCCTGGATCCCAACAGCAACCCTGCAAGGTAATCACTGTTTCCTGTTGAAAATGAACTCCACTGGTTTAGGGATGTGGCTCACACGGCCCTGCAGATGTGGATTCAGGAGATTCTCTCTGATTCCTGGCTAGTGCCCAGCCACTCTGAATCTCTGTCTCTTGCTGGGGTGGGAGAAGAGGTGGTGATTTCAGCTCTGCAAGCTGCTTCAAGGTTGGCCTTGCTCTAGTGTCCCCAGAGCCCCAGGCACAGGCTCTGGCTGAGTGGCCTTCATTACTACTCCTTAGACTATATGCACTTTTAATGTATTTCTCAATCAGGCCTCTCATCATGCTGCATATAGTAGGTGCTCAATAATTATCCAAGGAATGAGAGAATCAAATAATAGTAGGTGCTTAATAATTGTCCAAGGAATGAGAGGATCAAATAACTACATCAGCTATTTGCAACACCAAACTGATTGAAGATCTTGTCCTCTCCCTTCTTCCTCAACACAGTCCCTAAGATAAAACAAAATTCCAGATGCATGCCTGGCATGGAACCAACAACAACAACAAACTTCATCCAAATGATACAGCATGAACCTGCAGCTTCCCCTTGCAGAGAACAAGGTGGCCACACGCTTGGTGTGGAGCTGGAGCCGGGCAGGACCTGGGCTTCAGCAGGACACAATCCTGCTGGAATCTCAGCTCCACAGGCTGAGACATCCCTGGACGCCTTCGTCTCTTCTCCCGGTCAGAGTGACGCACAGCCCATCTTTCTAAAAGCAACAACTTGCTGGGCCTGAAATACTCAGAGTCTGCGAGGAGATTAGCAAGACTCCCCTCTACCTCTAAGTCTCTCCTAGATGTCAAAATGTTGACTTCGTCCCTGCTAAAATGTGGCTCTGAAAAAAAAAAATCACATCTTTTCAAATTCTCTGCAATCCCTGTGTCATTTGCAGCATATGTTCACGCATAATGATGTTCCTAACTGAAGTGACATTTCAGAGTAATGAGCCTTCAGTGACAACGTGTGAGAGCTGTGACAAGTTTTCTCTAATATAAAAAGGAGTGTAGACAAACCAAAATCCACAGCCAAGACCTTCCAGCTGCTGGGGCTCCAGTGGGGCCTGTGAACCCTGTGCGTGTGCAGCAGGCCTGTGGCCCCGTGGGCCGGCCCTCACGGTGAGCACGCTGGGAACTCACGCGCACCCTCCTACCTGCTGGTGCCTGTCAAGTCCCACGTGCCGGATGATCCCACAGGGTTGGAGAGAGGGAGGGAGGCAAGTGCAAGGCAGGGACCCGGCAGGAGTAGAGCCGCAGAGCTGGGCCGAGGCTGCTAGAACCCCAGCCAGCAGACACCTCGGCCAAGCGACTTCACTTCTCTGATCTTCTCTTCCAAACGGGACGATAACAGCCGCCTCCCAGGAATAAACCAGACAAATTGCTAAAGAAACTCCTCACGGGGCTGGCACACAGGGGGTCTGTGTGCCATAAATGGAAACAACTGCTTTTATTTTTAAATGTATCCTACTTTTAGCTAAAGCTCAAGGATCCTCTAAGTCAAGGATTTGGGCGACAGACACCTTGCCCGCTTTGCCTCCTGAGAGGAGGGCGTTGATGGCCTTCGTCTGACAAGGTAGGAGGTGGATGCTGGGGTTGTCCCAGTGTTGCTGCTTGGCAGGGCCTCTTGCTCAAGACCCCCGAGGACCAGCCCAGGGTGGTGGGCTCCACCCCATGAGAGCCAAGAGGATGCAGTTCACCTGGGGAGCGAGGTGCACAAAATGGCCCTGTGCTCTGCCCCGTGGGAGACCTGGTCTTCCTCCTTCCCCAAAGGGGCCAGCCTTTGTCCTGGGGGCAGTGACGCCAGCCTGGGCCTCAGGCCTGGGCAGAGGGAAGGCAGTGGGGCCCACACCCTCAGCTATGGAACTCTAGGACCGGGTGCGTGTCCTGGAGAGGTAGGGCTACTCTACATCACATCCCAGTGTGCACTAGGGCCCATTAAGAGGGGCTAAAGAAAATTCATCTCCTTCAGCTCTCCCAGCAGATCTGTTTGATTTGGGGCCAATCTGCATGGGAGGCTGAGAAGGAGCCTTGCTCAGCTGAATGTTCCCTCATTACATTTTCCCTGGGGATTGGCACCAGGAGCTGGAGTCACCTTCTCCCCTCAACACAATTTATGTGCCTTCTCGGGGTCATCCCCGGGGTCGGAGACATGAGGCCCATCTATCTTTGCTTTACTTCCAAGTCAGAAGCTCCTTGAGTAACAGAATTTGTCTTCGAGGTGAGTGTAGGGACAGGGTCATGAATGTAGGGCTGAGTTTAATGCACACATCCTCGCCCTTGAAGAAACAAGTCTCAGAAGAAGCCTGTTCCAGTCCAGCTGCAAATGAAAGCCAAGCTGGGTGCCAGCCCCAGAGGTGAAGGAGTGGGTGTTGACTTCAGCTTGGTGCAGGTGCAGCTCTCTGGATTCCCCCCGCCAAGCTGGGTGCCGACCGCAGAGGTGAAGGAGGTGGCTGTTGACTTCAGCTGGGTGCAGGTGCAGCTCTCTGGATTCCCCCCTGCCAAGCTGGGTACCAGCCCCAGAGGTGAAGGAGGCAGGTTTCGACTTCAGCTGGGTGCAGGTGCAGCTCTCTGGATTCCCCCCGCCAAGCTGGGTGCTGACCCCAGAGGCGAAGGAGGCAGGTTTTGACCTCAGCTGGGTGCAGGTGCAGCTCTCCGGGGCCCTACCTGCCCCCAGGTCACTGGTGATCTGCCCTCCTCTGCATGGCTTCTGTGCCTGGTCCACGGCCCTATTTAGTTATAGTTTTGTCTATTTGAATTGTGGCCCCTAAATGATCCATTCATGAAGAACCTTGGAATGTGGGATTATTTGGAATAAAGTCTTTGCAGAAGTCATTAAGATGAGGTCATCCTGGATCAGGGTGGGTCCTAAATCCAAAGAGAAGTGTCCTTGTAGGAGACAAAAGAGAAGGCACAGGGAGAAGAGGTCATGTGAAGATGGAGGCAGAGGCTGGAGTGCTGCGTCCGCACTACAGGCACCTTGATATCAGACTCCGGCCTCCCATGCTGGGAGAGAAGAAATGTCCATTGTTTTAAGCTGCTAGGTTTGTGGCCACGTGTTATCACCCCCTCCCCCCCACACCCAGGACACTCACAGGCCAGCCCGCTGTGAGCTTCTCATCCGTGTCCTGTGTGCCGACTTCCCCAGGAGACTCCCATCTCTTTGGGAATGCCCGTCCACTAATTAGTCATGTCTTTGTGCTTGGGTGCCAGTACACAGTAGGTGTAAAGCTTGTTAAGCCACACAGTTCCGGACACTTGAACATGGGGAATCTCTTGGAAGATACTCACTGAGAAAAGAGAAGGCTCTATGGCTTCTCATCAAGGAGGAAGAAGGGCTTGGGAGGAAACAATTGAGGGGAACAAAGGAAGGGGAGTGTGAGGCAGCTTTTAACCGGCATTTCAAAAGCAGGAACCCTGGCCAGGGCAGGCTTGTGAGGGAGGAGGGCATGTCCAATTAATGAGACTCAAATCACTAAAGCAAGTTCTTCTGATCTTTTAAGGAGCAGAATTCAATGCTGAGACACAGACAGTGGGCTGTGATGAGGCTGGGGTGGGGACAGCGATGACCTACCCAGTGGCAGGCGAATGATTAGGGTGGGAAGTGCTGTCCCAGGGACAGGCAGGCCTGGGAACCCAGTGACGTCACTCATGTCATGTCTAAACCCCTTTCTGCCATCTTGGCACCTCTGCTAGCTGATTAAACACTCACGGAGGGCTGCCGGCATCCAGGAGCCACCTCTCCCTATACCTTGTGCAAGGACCGTCCCTACCTCCTGTGAACAGAGGTGGGTAACTGAGGCTTCCGTGAGTGCTCGCTGAGCTCCTAGCATGTGCTAGGTGCTCTGGGTACTTCACACGCTGCCCCAGGGCTCTCTGGCCCTGCCTGTGCGGTGGTGGCATGCAGTCATATTCAGAGACGTGCTGTATAGCACGGTGCCTGTGTTTAATAGTCCAGTCTCACACACTTTAAAATACATTAGAGGAGAGACCTCATGTTAAGTGTTCCTACCACATACACACCCTCACACCCCAACACACAGGCACACACCCTCACACCCCCCTCCCCATTCACACACAGAAGAGCAGCGGGAAATTTGGCAGGTGACGCATGTCTTTAGTACTTGATGGTGAAGATGGCATCTCAGGCACACGCCTGCGCCCACACTCATCGAAATGTATCCTCCAAATGTGTGTGATTTTTGTATGTTAATTATAGCTCAATAAAGTTTTAGAGGCCGGGCATGGTGGCTCACGCCAGTGATCCCAGTACTTTGGGAGGCGAGGCGAGTGGATCACCTGAGGTCAGGAGTTCAAGACCAGCCTGGCCAACATGGCAAAACCTTGACTTTACCAAAAAATATTAAAAATTAGCTGGGCGTGGTAGCAAGCAGCTGTAATCCCAGCTACTCAGGAGGCTGAGGCAGGAGAATCGCTTGAACCCAGGAGGCGGAGGTTGTAGTGAGTGTCTCTATTTTAACAAGCATTTGGACAACATCATCTCCTGGTTGTGCTGCTTGAATCTTGGCCTTCCTGAGAACATTGGCCTGGTTCTGGAAGAGCCAGGCTCCCGTGTGGTTCCTGGGAGGTGCAGACGAAGGTGAGGACTCAGAGTTCCCTGCATGTCTGTGCACAGACAGGTGACTTGTCCTGAGCACCAGTACGTGTGGCAGAGCCCAACCCCAGCCCCAGCCCCTGTCCCCCATCAGCCTGCCTGTCCTGCACCCCAGGGCTTTCTGTCCAGCATCATGGTGCCTGGCCGTGTGCCTCCAGGAGCACTGTGAACTTGCTGGACCATGTTTTGTCTAATTTTAACCTCGTCGAATGAGATGCAATAGTATATGCCCCACAGGGCATCAGGGATGAAGCTTCCTGATGCATGATGTGCACCTAATAAGCACAATGTCCACCCCTCCTGTTGAACATGCACTGAGGAGAATGGGTCCCTGTGTCTCAGGTCAGGGGCAGCAGCAGCATCACCAAGCTTGGCTGAATCACCCTGGCTCACCCTCTGGCAACATGCAAAGACCAAAGCCTCTTGTGCTCCTTCTACCATGGGGGCTGCAGTGTCCCATGCAGTGGGCGCTTCCTCAGGTCCACCATGGAAGGAGCTCCCTCAAGTCCTGCAGGGATCTGAGCGGCATGGTCAGGGTCTGTGGGTTGCAAGCGTGGCCTCTGAATTTGGGAGGCACTCAGGGTCTCCCTCTCTGGGTCTCCCCACAGGCACGTCACCAGTTGGAGTCTTACTCTTGTCACCCAGGCTGGAGTGCAGTCAAAGGATCTTGGCTCACTACCGTCGCCTGTAGTCCCAGCTACTTGGGAGGCTGAGGCAGGAGAATAGCGTGAACCCGGGAGGCGGAGCTTGCAATGAGCCGAGATCTTGCCACGGCACTCCAGCCTGGGTGAAAGAGCGAGACTCTTTCAAAAAATAAATAAATAAATAAATAAATAAATAAATAAATAGATGATAGATAAATAAAAATAGAGACACCCACTGATTAAAAGTTGCAGAAGCCTCGCTATCCAGATGCATTTACTCTTTGAACATTCCAGGATTTGACTGAGCAAGGAGCAGGATTCAGTCAGATGCTCTCAGGCCAGCTGAAAGCTGCTGCTGCCTTGCCCACCCTAAGCATTTTCTTTTAATTTTAATTGATATGATAATTATACCTATCTATAAAGTGTCATGTGACATTTCTGTGTATGTAAACATCATGTAATGATCCAGGGTAATTAGCAAATCCACCACCTCCAACATTTGTCATTTCTTTGTGGGGAGAACATTCAAAGTCCTCTCTTCTGGCTATTTTGAAATCTACAACACCTTACTGTTCAATGGTCACCTCACTGTGCAATGGAACACTGGGATGCATCCCTCCTCCTAACTGTACCTTAGCATCCTTTGACCAACCTCTCCCCATCTCCACTCTCCCCACTCCTCATTCCCCAGACTCTGTAACCACCATTCTGCTATTTCTATAAGATTAACTTTCTGTTTTTGAAGGTAGTTTTTTTAAAAAAAAAAATTTCAATAGGTTTTTGGGGAACAGGCGGTGTTTGGGAAGCAGATCTTTAGTGGTGATTTCTGAGATTCTGGTACACCCATCACCTGAGCAGCAGTGTATACTATACCCTCTGTGTAGTTTTTTTTTTTTTTTTTTTTGAGGCAGAGTCTCACTCTGTCTCCCAGGCTGGAGTGCAGTGGCCTGATTTTGGCTCACTACAACCTCCACCTCCCGGGTTCAAGCAATTCTCCTGCCTCAGCCCCCTGAGTAGCTGGGATTACAGGCGCGCATCACCATGCCTGGCTAATTTTTGTATTGTTTTAGTAGAGACAGGGTTTCACCATGTTGGTCAGGCTGGTCTCAAACTCCTAACCTCGTGATCCACCTGCCTCAGCCTCCCAAAGTGCTGGGATTACAAGAGTGAGCCACTGCGCCTGGCCTATGTGTAGTCTTTTATCCCTCACCCACCTCCCATCCTTCCCCTGAGTCCCCAAAGTCCATTGTATCATTTTATAAGATCAACTTTTTAAGATACCACATATGATTTTGATTATACGGTACGTCTCTTTCTGTGCCTGGCTGATTTCACTTAACATAATGTCCTCCAGGTTCATCCACATTGCTGCAAATGACAGGACTTGGTTATTTTTTATGGCTGAGTATTATTCCATCGTGTCTGAGGAGGCAAAGAAAAGGAGAATTTATACACCGTTTGTGGGAATGTAAACTAGCGCAACCATTATGGAAAACACTATGGAGATTTCTCAAAAAATTAAAAATAGAACTATCATGTGATCCAGCAATCCCACTTCCGGGTAGAGCATAGATTGAAGTCAATCTGTCTCTATCTAACTGAAATACCTGCCCTCCCAAGTCAATTTGAGCACTATTCACAATAGCCAAGACACGGAATGTACCAAAGCGTCCATCCCCAAAGAGTGGATCCAGGGAATGTGGTGCATACGCCATCGGATCTGTTCCTGGTGCTCTGTCTTGCTTGCGATCAGCATCTCCCTGCTGCTGTGGTGCATGTCGGCCGCACAAGCCTGCCTTTATCTAGCCTGTTGAGGATTTAGAGTCTTAGATCCAAATTGTGTGTAAAATTGCATCATCAGGTCCAGAGAGGGAAGGACCAAGAACCCTTTTCTTGGGCAATGCGAATGGAATTTGGGACTTGTACTCTGCGGCTCAGAGCCTATGCATTTAACCTCTTCATCTCCCAAGACATCCTGGTGTCTTATCTAAACTTTTGGCACAGAGGAAACCTTTCTGCACTGGCATGTGCTCACGGACCAGGCGGGGATTCCTGAGTGCGGCTGGTGGAAGGGAAGCTCATCCCAGAATTTATATAGCCCCTTTCCCCAAGGAGCCCCAAGCCTTACAAATGCCATCATTTTAGCCTTTTATATACTCGTTACAGAGGTTTCAGAAACATTTTAAAATTAGACAAGCCTTAGCGTAGCTTGTAAAATTAAAAATAAACTGTAACAGCTTTAATGATGTTATATTAAATGCCGGGCCTAATATTACCTCCCATTTCTTTAATAGTTTATGGCTTTAAACACACTTTTAAATAACTTCGCATCATGTACAATTTTCAAAACAACGTTGTCTGGCAGCAGGAGGGCTGCCCCGTCTCTCACGCTGGGTGGCTGGCAGCTTGAGGCTCGGCTGCTGTGGGACCAAGGATGGATTTCCTGACAGAGACCCAAGGTCTGAGTGAAATTCTAGAACCTGCCACCGTTGGTCCCTCCTGCCATGACCCCATCCTCAGATCCACACTGTTGACCCCCTGCCACCCTCAGATCCCTCGGACCACAGCTCTGGGCCTCCCCTCATCATTAATCCTACCTGGAGAGAGGATGGGGTGCTCTCCCTGACTTGGGAGCTCCAGAAGTGCAGGGACTTTGAGTGCTTTCAAGTGCTGTAGCCACTACCCATGGGACAGAATCCCATGGAGATAACCCACACTGGCTACCCTTCAGGGTCTGCTGTGGGCAGCCAAGGACAGGCTTCGGGACTATCCCCATCCCTCTTTGTTCCAACCCTTGCCTCTCTCCAGCTGCATGACTTTCAGCCTCGCTTCTTCATCTGCAATGTGGTAACAGTGCCAGGCAGTGTCATCATCCATGCAGGTGCTCGGAGAACGTGAGCATTCCTGAACTCCAGCACCTTGCCCATCCCCTCCCAGTTTTAGGCAAGCTTTTCTTTTCTTTTCTTTTCTTTTCTTTTTTCTTTTTTTTTTGAGACCGAGTCTTGCTCTGTTGCCTAGGCTAGAGTGCTAGAGTGCAGTGGTGCGGTCTCGGCTCACTGTGACCTCTGCCTTTCGGGGTTCAAGCAATTCTCTTGCCTCAGCCTCCCGAGTAGCTTGGACTACAGGCATGTGCCACCATGCCCGGCTAATTTTTGTATTTTTAGTAGAGACAGGTTTTCACCATGTTGACCAGGCTGGTCTTGAACTCCTGACCTCGTGATCCACCTGCCTCAGCCTCCCAAAGTGCTGGGATTACAGGCGTGAACCACTTCACCTGGCCTTAGTCAAGTTTTTGAGCATTTCATGGGTGATGATTCTCCCAGTCCTCATCCTATGGGAGGTAGCCATGGCAACCCACCCGTATCTGCCAAGAACTCATTTTCTCCATGCCCGGTGCCTGCTATGCCACAGAGGGGATGGCTGCCTGCCAGTGGGCAGACAGAATCCAGGTGACTTAGAGGGTGTTTAGGAGGGAGGGCTAGGCCACCCTGAGCTTGGTGGGAGACAATGGGGCTGACTCAGAGAGCAGCCAAGGTAGGACAGCTCCCTCCCCATCCCTGGTCCTGATTTCTCATCTATAGCCTGGGGAGATTGACCTCAGTGAGCTCTGAAGCCCCCTAACCCTGAAACCCCAGGGTTCCATGCAGGACCAGCTATAAAATTTATGGGTCCTGGTGCAGGAATTTCAAGACCATGGCGAGTGGTCTCAATGCACCTGCAAAGGCTGCTGTGCATGGTGCTGGCCTGGGCTTAATGATTGCAAAGTCTTGGAGGAACAGGAGGCAGGGGACCTGGAAGGAAGGTGGGCGGCAGAGTAGCAGCCTCAGCAGGACTGAAGAAGAGTCGCCCTGGCCACTGGAGCCCCTTCCCTTCCTGGAGAAAGATCCGTGTGCAGGAAGATTCCAGAAGTCCTCAAGGGAATTACAGGCCAGCCTCTGCCACGGCAGGCCCTGATCGAGGCCTTGCATGCTTCTACTCCTGAGCAACAGAGGACTGTCTTCTCCCTCAGCTCTGGGCATTTTTGCTAACCTTGATCTCCCCAGCAACAAGGGGGAGGCAACAGCAGTCATCATGTCTGGGGCCTCCAAGGAGCAGATGCTGTGCTTGGCTCTACTGTTGACGGGCGTTATTTCATTTAAATAGCTTTTAGCATCTCAGGGTTATAGATTGCAGAGCAGAGTCTCAGAAATACTGAGTGACTTGCCTGGGTTGCCGAGAATTTGGTCGTGGTGGGGCCAAAATTTGAAACCAGGCAGCTACCTCCAAGAGCCCAGGCTCTTGACCTCCTCCTGTGGACTTAGGTGGGTGATCTTACTGAGAGCCCTGGGCCTCAGAATGACACTTCGGATCAGCCACACTTGAATCCATCCTTTATGACTTCAGAAAATTCCCATAGCTTTCCAAAATCTCATTTCTTTCTGCACTGTAGGAAGAGCGTTCAAAAGGAGGCTTGTCAAGAAGTCAGGAGAGGCTGAATGCAGTGCTCCAGGCACAAAACCTGCTCAGCGGAGGAGCTCCACCAAGAGCAGGCTGGCTGCTACTGTTTTCCTTCCCTTTCCTCCTCTGATCCCTCTCAACCTTATCAGAGATGGAACTGCTCCTCCTGGCATTTTGTCCACTTTTTTCCATTCCTCCTCTTTCCAGTGGACCCCACACCAGCTATTTTTTATCCACATATTTCCTCTGGGCACATAAGCTTTTGCTCAAGTCATTCTTGGTATGATGGCTTGAAAATAGCAGAGGAGCAGAGTGCAGCGCCCTCCAGCTGCTGAAAGACTCTCCTTTCCCCCCAACTGCGCCCCCACCATCACAGCAGGTGTGCCTCCCAGTGTGATGACCCTGCGGGAGTCACGTGGTGTGGTCCACCCAGGCTCTCCGTGTGTATTTTCCTGGAGACCAGATTGACATGAGCTGAGAGTTGGGCTCTTCTTTCATGCGCAGGCTGTGACCTGGGATTTCTCTTTTCTGCAAGTGTGAGACAACAAAAGAAAGGCTCAAGGTATCATCAACAGCCATCTGAGCAGGTCCTGAAGAGGTCGGGCGCTCTGACCTCTCTCAGCAAGGATGCAGACATGTTTTCATAACTTTAACTGGCCACCCAGTTGCTTCAACGGCCGACCGGCTTTAAGAAAAGGTCTGTAAGGAGAAAATCATTTCTCCAGTTCTAGCAAAGTGAAGGCTTATTAGCAACGGTGCCGTCAGGTGATTTCCACACTGATATGCTTCAGTAGCAAGGGCACGGTCTTTAGGGAAAAAAAGCAGGAAAATTCCTTGAGCCAACGTGTCTACTCTTGACCACACTCACCTTGTGTGGAGTTAACAACTGGCCCCTGGGTTTCCTCCACTCCCTGGGACTCACTTCCTGCTCTAGCCTGGTTGGTGGCACAAACCCCATCACCTCTCATTCTTAGTAGGAGCTGGCAGGTGAGTGCTGTCCTCCTCTTGTGTACAGGGGGGTCACCAAGGGCCTGGTGGGAGTGAAGGAGCCCGGTTGGAGAGGGAGACGAGGTGCCCCTGAAGCCACTGCGTTCAACCCCATAGCTGTGCATTTGGACTTAAATTCTCTCCTGCATCAACTCAGGACTCTGAATCCAGTACTCAAATAATGCTCACCCTGAGCAGCCGGTGTGTCTCTCCTGCCCACTTCCGTTCATGGGTAGATTCCCAACCTTGCTCCTTGGCACACCTTTCTGGTTGTCTTTTCTGACTCCCCACCTTCCATGCATGCCAAAGCACAGGAGACTCTGTTCCAAGCTGCCTGTCCTTAGCAGCCAGCTGGAGTCAGGGGCAGTTTGTGCATCTGTGAGCTGGACATAGGGATCCTTTCTGCCAGAGCTTTTGTCTCATCTCCCATAAATTCATTTTTGCTTTAATGACATGGCTTCTTGCTCTCAACCTATGGCCCTCAGAACAAGTTTCCAATTTCCAATTACTTAGTCTTATGATTTTCAGACTGTGAAAGTTATACAACAGGACCTCATTTTTTAACCAATTACACTGCTAGAGCTGAAGATCATAACTTCATAAACATCTATAGTCATTTTAGTATAGCAAGATACTATAATAGATTTTTTAGTATAAAAATAAAATAGGCTACTATAATTTGTTTATTTTGAGGATAAACGATTCAATGTAGGGTTTCAAAATATCTGTGTAATTATCTGAGCAGTGTTTTAATCCATATCAGAAAATTGATTTATTTTAGTTTATTACAAATGCTTAGCAAATGCTGGCTATTTAATAACTCTTTCCACCCAAGATCAATATGATCTTTACAGCATAGGGATAACAGTATCATTTGAAAATAAATTTAAAGTAAAAATAATTTTACCCCAAGTATTATCAAAGTCTAAGTCAGTGAAATTGAGAATTAACCTTTAAAATAATGTCAAAAAGTCTCTGAATTCCCATTTTCTGATGATTGAGAAATATAATGTATTTCCTAAAACTATGTACTTGTTACTAATTTTGTTAGATTTGAATGATTTTCTTTTCATAGAATAGTTTGTTTCTTACATTTTTCTTGTTTTACTTTTTCCTGGAATAACTTATAACGCTTTTTTTTTTTTTGAGACGGTGTCACCCTCTGTCGTTCAAGCTGGAGTGCAATGGTGCAATCTCAGCTCATTGCAACCTGTGCCTCCCGGGTTCAAGTGATTCTCCTGCCTCAGCCTCCCAAGTAGCTGGGATTACAGGTGCACACCACCATGCCCAGCTAATTTTTGTATTTTTAGTAATGACAGGGTTTCACCATCTTGGCCAGGCTGGTCTCGAACTCCTGACCTCAGGTGATCCACCCTGCCTCAGCCTTTCAAAGTGCTGGGATTACAGGTGTGAGCCACCATGCCCAGCTGATAACTCATTTTTAAAATAAACTTTTTATTTAGAACATTTGGAAGTTTCAAAAATGTTGTGAAGATGGTATAAAAAGTTTCCATGTACATGCCCAGTTTCCCCTATTATTAAATCACACATAGTTTAGTACATTTCTGAAAATGAATTGGTACATTGTTACCTAAAGTTCATACTTTAGTCAGATCTTAGTTCCTACCTACAGGATCCCATGGAGGATCTCGCCCAGGACACCACATGACATCTGGCTGCCGTGGCTCCTGAGGCTCCTCTGGTCTGTGACCGGGTCTCAGACTTTTCTCCTTTTTGTTGGCCTCAGCAGTTGTAAGCCACGCATCCTGCAGAATCCTACTCCGTTGGGATGTATCTGATGCTTCCATTATTACACTGAGGTTTTGAGTGGGGCAAGACTAGACAAAGAGGTGAGGTTTCATTTTCATCACATCCCATCAAGACTACATTCTGTCAACATGACTTATCACTGAGGACATTGACCTTGGTCACCTGGATGATGTGTGCTTGCCAGGTGTCTCCACTGCGGTTCCCCTTTCCCACCATTCTCGTATTGTAATCTTCAGTAGGAAGTCACTGTGTGCAGCGTGTGCTTAGGGAAAATGGAGCTGCACATGTAGACATAGGTGACGGAGCATCTACATGAAGTCTTTGAGATTCTTCTGCATGCGAGATTCACCTCCGTTTCCCCTTGTATTTATTTATTCAATCATCTACTTATATCAGTATCGACTCACACATATTTATTTTATATGTTGGATTTTAATCCAATACTATTTAATTTTGTTGCTACAAATGTGTCAGCTTTGGCCATGGGGAGCTCTTTCAAAGGACTCTTGAATCCCTTTGATGTATCCCTATCACTGTGTCATTGTGTGTGTGTGAGTGTGTGTTTAGTGCTTCCTTACTTTCTGGCACTATAAGAAGCTCTAAGTACATCTTCTGTATATCAGTCCGAGAATCAGACATATTTCTTTGAGAAGTCCTGGTTCCTTTTATGGAGACTGGTACTGGAAACCAAGATCTAGACGCTGCGTATCCCATTGCTACTAGGGTGCCATCACTTCTGACAGAGCAAGGAAATGTGTGTTTATAAACATACCTATAAATATTCTTATATTTAACATCGCTATCAATATTAAGCGAAAAGAGAGTTGATATTGATCATGCCAACTCCAATCTGTTTCCATGCGGGCCATTCTAGCCTCCTCCCCTTGCTTACCTCTAACCTCCTACTCCAACAGTGAAAAAACCCTTACTTAAATGTTCAATTACAGTACACATAGACAGTGGTTTCAGAGTTGTTATGTCATGTTCTGTGAGAAGCAACTGTGTCAACTAAAGCACAGTGCTGTGCACAGCTTCTTTTGTCTCTAGTGTCACTGACCACTGACTTCCAAAGTTACATGCATCAGCTTCTTTCTCTGACATCCTCTTCCATGAGGCTGCATTATACATTTTAGTGCAGTTAGATTATTGTGTCACATTCTTCATTCCATCCCATTATTTCCTTGAGCTCCTTAGGGATATTTTTTTAAAATTATATATATACACATAACTATATATATATTATATATAATCCTCAATCTCGCTTCCTGAATCTGTGGCAATCACTGATATATTTACTATCTTCATAGTTTTATCTTTGCCTAAATGCCACATAATTGAAGTCACACAATATGGATCCTTTTTAAACTGACTTTTATTCAGCAATATGCATCTGAGATGTATATGTCTTTTTGCAGCTTAAGAGTCCATCTTCTATGCTATTGCTAATAATATGGTATCGAATAGATGAATTGTATTTTGCCCGTCACTTCACCTATTGAAGGCCATCTTATTTGCTTCCAGTTTTTGGTGGTTGTAAATATGGCTGCAGTAAACACTTGCATGAGTATTTCTTGTTTGTTTGTTTGTAGAAATAAATTTTCAAATCAGTTGGGTAAATATCAGGAGCATATTTGCTGGATCAGACGGTAAGATTGTGTTTAGTTTTGGAAGAAACTTCCAAACTGTCTTCCAAAGTGGCTCGAAGAAACTTCCAAACTGTCTTCCAAAGTGGCTCCATCATTTTACATTGTAACTAGCACAATTACTCACATTAATGTGTGAGTTTGTGTTACTCCCATCTTTGCCCGCAATGGGTATTGTCCTTTTTTTAAAATTTTAGCCATTCTGATATAAATGTGTCGTGGTTCACATTGTTGTTTTAGTTTGCAGCTTTCTAATGATAGATGGTCTAGGGCATCTTTTTCTTTGCTTATTTGCCGTGGCCCAATTTATTTCATGATGTGTCTGCTTAGATGTTTTACCGATTTTTGAATTGGGTTTCTTGTTTTCTTATTGCTGAGTTCGAAGCATATTTTATACAAATTTTGGTACACATCCTTTATCAAATTGTGTTTTGCAAATATTTTCTCCTAGTCTGTGGCTTCTCTTAACATTGGGTTTAATAAAGTAGAAGTTTTCCGTTTTAATAAGATCCAACTTATTATTTTTTTCTAAATTGTGTTTTTTGGTGTTGTATCTAAAAACACATCACCAAACGCAAGGTCTCATATAATTTTCCTAGGCCCGTTTCTCCTCCTCCTCCTCTTCCATGTCTTTCTATGTATTTTTCTTCTTCCTATGTCTAGAGTTTTGAATTTTACACTTAGATCTATCATCCTTTTTTAGTTAATTTTTGTGAAAGTTTTAAAGTCTGTGTCTAAGTTTATTTTATTTTAATATGGACTTCCAATTGTTACAGCACAATTAGTTGAAGAGATGATCTTTTCTATATTAAATTGCCTTTGCTCTTTTGTCAAAGATCAATTGACTATATTTCTGTGAACTCTTTGTTCTATTCCATTGATCGAGGAGTCTATTCTTTTGCCAATAAAACACTTTTTTTTGATTATTGTAGCTTTAAAGTAAGTTTTGAAATCAAGTAGAAGCCCTCCAACTTTGTTCTTCAGTATTGTATTGACGATTTTATCCCTTTTTCCTTTCCATATAAACTTTATCAGTTTGTCAACATCTACAAAATAATTTCCTGGGATTTTGATAAGGATTGTGTTGAATCTTTAGGTCAATTTGAGAAAAATTGTTATCTTAACAACATTGAGTCTTGCAATCCACGAACACAAAGTATTTATTCCTTTATTTAGATAATTGATTTATTCATCTGTGTTATGTAGTTTTTCTCATACAGATCCTATATATATTTTGTGAGTTATATACTTATATATTTCTATTTAACTATATATTGGGCTATTGTAAATGCTATTATTTTAAAATTTCAAATTACAGCTGTTTATTGTTGGTATATTGGAAAGCAACTGACTTTTGTGTATTAGTCTTTTATCCTGTGGCCTTGCTATAATTGCTTATTAGTTCCAAGAGTATTTTTGTTTATTCTTTCGGATTTTCTACATGAATAATGTCATGTCATCTGTGAATAAAGGCAGTTTTATGTTTTCCTTTCAAATGTATATACTCACTTTTTATTTCCTTTTCTCATCTTACTGCACTAGCTAGGATTTTCAGGATGATGTTGAATAAGAGTGTAAAGAGAAGACATTCTCTTATTTTTGCCTTATTTCCAATCATATGGAGAAAGCATTCAATTTCTCACCACTGTGTCATATTAGCCAAAATTTTTAAAAAATATGTTCTTTATTAAGTTGAGGAAGTTCTCTCTATTCCTAGTTTGCTGAGAGTTTTTGTCATGAAAGGATGTGGGAATTTGTCAAGTTTAGCACTAATAAATATCACATGAATTTTCTTGTATAGACAGTTGATATAATCAGTTGCACTGACTGATTTTTAAATGTTGACACAGTCTTGCATACCTGGGATAAATCCCACTCAGTCACATTGCACAATTATTTTATGCATTGTTGAATTTGCCTTGCTACTATTTTGTTAAGTAGTTTGGTTATAAGAGATTTTGCTCTGCAGTTTTTCTTGTTACATCTTTTTCTGGTTTTGATATTACTGTAAGACTGGCCTCAGAGAATTAATTAAGAGTTCTTCCCTCTGTTCTGGAAGAGTAATATTTTGTAGCCATATTAGTTCATTCTCACATTGTTATAAAGAAATACCAAGATGGGATAATTTATAATTTATACCAATAAGAAAATAAGTTTAATTGGCTCATGGTTCTGCAGGTTGTACAGGAAGCATGGCAGCATCTGCTTCTCAGGAGACCTCAGGAAACTTCCAGTCATGGCAGAAAGCAAAGAGAGAGCAGGCTTGTCACATGGCAAAAGCAGGAGCAAGAGAAAGCGAGACCAGATCTCATGAGAACTCACTCACTCACTATCAGGAGGACAGTACCTAGAGGGATGGTGTTAAACTATTCGTGAAAAATCTGCCCCCATGATCCAATCACCTCCCACCAGGCTCCACCTCCAACACTGGAGATTATATTTCAGTATGAGATTTGGGTGGGGACATACATCGACTATGTCAGTAGATAATTGGTATCATGGCTTCCTTAAAGGTTTTTGGTAGAATTCACCAATGCCATCATCTGGGCTTTGTTTCTTGTCATTGCTGTTGTCATTGTTGTTGAAAGGTTGTTCATTATTGATTTAATTTATTTATTAGCTATTTACCTATTCAAATGATATAATTCTCATTGTATGGGTTTTGATGTTTGTGTCTTTCAAGAAATCAGTTCACTTTATCTAAAAGATCAGATGTGTGGAGTTGGAGTTTTTTATATCTGCTTTGTTTCCATTTTAATGTCCCTGGATTCAGTAGCGATGACCACTATTTCTTCTATGACACCTGCAATTTGTGTCTTCTCTTTTCATTGGTTAGCCTGCTTAGAAGTTTATCAATTTTACAAAACTTTTCCAAGAACCACCTTTTAATTTTATTGATTTTCTCTATTGCTTTTCTGGTTCAATTTCATTGACTTCTTGTTTAAAATTTAAAATTATTTCTTTTCTTGTTCTTGCTTTATAGGCTTCAGTTGTAGTCCTTTCTCTAGCTTCTTCACGTTGGAGCTTAGATTATTGATTTTAGATCTTTCTTAATTTCTATGATATGTATTTAATCCTATGCATTTCCTTTTAATCACTGATTTTACTGTATCCCACAAGTTTTGATGTTATCTTATTTTTATTTAGTTCAAAATTGTTTTAAAGTTTGTTTATAATTTCTTTGGCTTATGTGTTCTTTAGAAGAGTATTATTTAATCTTCAAATATTTCAGCATCTTTCAGCTATCTTTCTGCTGGTGGTTTCCAGTGTAAGCCCTTTGTTTTCTGAGAACATATTTTGTATGATTCCTAGCCTTTGAGGTGTATTCATGGCCTGGGATGTGGCCTATCTTTCCGAGTATTGAATGTGAACTTGAAGGGAATGTGTATTCTGCCATTGTTGGATGAAGTGTTCTATAAATGTCAATGAGATCTAGTAGATTAATAGTGCTGCTCAGGTCAACTCTACCTTTAATGATTTTCTGCTTGCTTGATCTATCAATTGCTGACAGAGGGTTGTTGAAGTCTTCCAATGTAATAGAGGATTTGTCCATTTCTTCTTCCCTTTTCTTTCCCTGAAGTATTTTGACACTCTGTCTTTAGGTACACACACTTTTAAGATTGTTATGTCTTCTTGAAGAATTGATGCTTTTATCATTATGCAATATTTCTTTATCACTGATAATTTTTGGTTGTTTGTTTAGAAGTTTGCTTTTGAGATTCATAAAGTGACTACAGACAGCTTTCTTTTAGTTAGTATTAACATGGTATAGCTTTCTCTATCCCTTTTCTTTTAAGCTAGCTGAGTCTTTATGTGTAAAGTTGGTCTCTTGTAATAACATGTACTTGGGTCTTGGGTTTTTTTAATCCACTCTGACAATCTCTGTATTTCAATTGGTATATTAAGACTATTCACATTTAAAGTGATTTTTATATAATTTTATTAATATTTACTATGTTTGTGATGTTTGCGTTTTACTTACACTTGTTCTTTGTTTCTTTTTAAAGAAATTTCTCTTTTTGCCTTCTGTGCTTTGAACTGAGCATTTTATAAGATTCTATTTTAGGCTTGGTTCGGTGTCTTATGCCTGTAATCCTAACACTGTGGGAGGCCAAAGTGGGTGGATTACCTGAGGTCAGGAGTTTGAGACCAGCCTTGCCAACATGGTGAAACCCTGTCTCTACTAAAAATATAAAAAATTAGCTGGATGCAGTGGCACACATCTGTAATCCCAGCAACTCAGGAGACTGAGGCATGAGAATTGCTTGAACCCAGGAGGCGGGAGGTTGTAGTGAGCTGAGATCGCACCGCTGCACTCCAGCCTGGGTGACAGAGTGAGACTCTGCCTCAAAATAATAGTAATAATAAAAATAATCCATTTTATCTCCTCTCTCAGTTTATCTATTATACTCCTTTAAAAATACATTTTTTTTCCAGTCTGGCTGCTCTAAAGTATTCAATACACATTTTTAACTAACCCAAGTCTGCCTTCAAATAACACTACACTGCTTCTTGTGTAGTGCAGGTTCTTAGAATATTCTCAATTCCTCCCTTCCATTTCTTTTGCCATTTTACTATTCCATATACTATAATAATCTAATAAATGGTTGCTGTTACTTTGAACAGTTATTTATTGAATCAATTAAGAATAAAAAATAAAAATTCTATTTTACCTTCATTTATCCCTTCTCCAATGTTCTTTCTTTCTTTATGGAGTCTGAATTTCTGGCCTATATTATTTTCTGTCTCCATGTACTTACTGGCACAAATAGGGCAGCCTCCAGGGCTCCAGAGGAGAGCTGCTCATATTCATCTGACACCATGTGGCCACAGAGTAGAAACTCATCCACTTTTGCCTTCTTCCAACCCAGGTCAAAGAGGCGAATCTTGGCATTAGGGAAACCTTGGCAGAAGTAAGAATGGGTATGGCTTCTTCTTACAATACTGGTAACACTGGGTGGGGCGGCGGCCCATGGTGACAACAGGATCTTTGGTGGTGCGTGGAAGGGAAAGAGACTAGAGTTGGGTCTTTAAAATGTCAATACTTTAATATTGGAAAGATTTCACTCCACTGTCCTTCCAAGTCTGCTGAATTCTTATTCCTGCTCTCATATAGGGGAGGTGCTATGCTTTTTTCTGGCTTCTTTCAAGTTCTTCTCTTTGTCTTTGGTTTGCTGATGTTTGAATATAATATGGATGTGATATACCTAGATGTAATTAAAAAAAATCCTACTTGCTGTTCAGAGAGCTTCCTGGATCTGTGTTTAGGAGTCTGTCATTAATTTTGGGAAGTTCTCAGCCATTATGACTTCAGATACATATTCATTTCTGCTCTGTTATCTTTTTTCCCTCTTCTGATAGTCCAATCACACATGTATGTTACTTTGCTATGTCCTTAATTTTGGGGTTACCCCGCAAATTCACGTGTTGAAACCTAATCCTCCAATATGATTTGATTTGAGGTAGGTCCTTTGGAAGATGAGGATGAAGCTCTTGTGAATGGAATTCGTGACCTTATAGAAGAAGCCCAAGAGAGCTGCCTTGTCCTTTTTACCACGTGAGGACACAGCAAGAAGGTGCCGTCTGTGAACCAGGAAGCAAGCTCTCACTAGATTTGGAATCTGCCGATGCCTCCGTCTTGGACTTCCCAGCCTCTGGGACAGTAAGAAATAGATTTCTGTTGTTTCTAAGCTGCCCAGTTGATGATATTTTGTTATAGCAGCCCTCACAGACTAAGACACACCTTTTGAAACTGTCATGTGGTTCTGGGATGTTCTGTTTTCCTTTTTGTCTTCTGACTAATTTTCTCTTTGCAATTTAGTGGTGGGTGGTGGGGGAAGTTTCTGTGGACCTCCCAATTCTTTTCTTTGTGTGTTCACTGTTGGACCCACCAGAGGCATTCTTCATTTTTGGTACAAGTTTTTTATTTCCCTTTTTTTTTTTTGAGATGGAGTCTCGCTCTGTCACTCAGGCTGGAGTGTGGTGGCATAATCTCGGCTCACTGCAACCTCCGCCTCCCAGATTCAAGTGATTCTCCTGCCTCAGCCTCCCAGGTAGCTGGGATTACAGGTTCATGCCACCATGTCCAGCTAATTTTTGTATTTTTAGTAGAGATGGGGCTTTGCCATGTTGGCCAGGCTGGTCTCAAACTCTTGACCTCAGGTGATCCACCCGCCTTGGCCTCCCAAAGTGCTGGGATTACAGGTGTGAGTCACCATGCCCGGCCTCCTTTTGATTCTTAAATTTCCCATCTCTCTGCTTACATTACCCATCTGTTAATGCATGTCTGTCTTTTCCATTAGAGCCTTTACTTTACAATTATAGTCAAATTTCTTGTCTTCGAATTCCAAAATCAGTATCCTATCTGACTCTGATTCTGATGCTTGATTTGTCTTCAGACTGTGTTTCTTGACAATAGGCAAAATAGTTTTATAATTGTTTGTTGAAAGTGGGATGTGCTGATTGATTAATAGGAGCTGAATCAATAGGACTTCTATCTGAGCTTTTGTGTTGATCTGGGTTGGAGTTTGTCTGTATGTAATATTCACTGGAACTCCAGGTGCCAGAGTCTTCAAATTTTTCTGCTGTCTTTGTTTTTCTCTTCCTCTAGAGCAGAGACTTCCTTACATACTCTCCTTCAGAGACAGCCTCTGTCTTGAAGCTCTTTCTGCTGTAATGCCCTGATATTATACTGGAGCCCTGCTCGTGTAGAAGAGAAGCATTGTGTAACTTTACAATTAAATCTCAGGCTTTTAGTGGATCCATTTCTCTGGGGCGTGGCCTTTCTCAAGGCTGGAGGAGGCTGGAATTGGGGAATTTCTTTCTGCTCACATCGGAGAAGGCTTTGAGAGTCTTCCTGGCTGGATTGCAGTCCTGGTCATGGAGCATGCTCTGGGCACATTTCACAAGAGCTCCTCTCTCCCATGCCATAGATGTGTGGGGACCCACCTTGGATCTGCACCCCAAGAACCCGGGGGGCTCCGTGGACGTGATGCTCATGAAAGCGTGCAATTCCTAAGACAGTGGCCCTGAGGAGTCTCTCATTCTCACACTCGTCCTCAATCTGCCTTCAGCAGTTTGTCGAAATGTCCGTTGAGGTACCCCCACCAGTGTGTAGCTGCTGTGGCGTCTGTTCCAAGTCAGCTCGTGGTGCTTTTGGCTCCCAGGATTGAGCCATCACTCCAGATCTCAGGGAGGTGGTTTGCCCTGTGACCTGCACTCTCCGAGGCCCCTAAGAAAAGTTACTCATTTTCAGTACGGTTCCGTTTTTTTTTCTTCTCATAGGGGAAGGAGTGACAGCTTCCAAACTGTTGATCTGTCAGTGCTGAAACCAGCAGGTCCCTTCAGCGAGGGCCAAATGAGGTCAGTTCTCTGAAAAGATTTTGGAAATGGTGTACTGGAATGAAAGTCAATAATTATGACTTGACTTATTGATTTTTTAATGAAAATGTAAAGATGTATCTGTAGTCATCTCTTAACAACATGCAAGATGCACCTCCCATCCCTGAAGCACTCCTCTTTTCCATTTCTTCTCAGCGGAACTCTCCAGGATACGTCTGATTTATATGATGCCCTCTCTGGGTCAGCAGCTTCAGTCATGAAAACCTGCAAAACTGAAGCGCCCTTTGGCCAGCTGCTGGTTCTGCGACATCACAGGGAGTCTGGCATCCACACACCAATTCTAGGCAAGGAAGCAAAGGAGCTTGCTCTTCAGCTTCTGTGGGCCCATTTGTGAGTTTGAGCGGGTGCAGCCTCTCCTTGAAACAGAGGCCAGGTCCATGGCATGAGTCTTTTGTTCAGACCAATGCCCCACTGGAGGGTCTGGGAGCTGCCGAGCCAGATTCCTGGGTGTGCCTGGGTGCTGTACCCGAAACTGCAGGGCCTGGGGCACCTGCCCTGCTCTCATTGTTACTAGCTGGTTTATTCTCAGTGGAGGGTTGTAATTTAATTCCTGTAGTTCTGCAGTACATGGAGTTGGGAATTATATCCTTCCTCTGTGTTTTCATTACACTGACCTTCCTGCTTCATTGCTCCTGAGACGGGAACCTCACCTGCCTGGCCTTTGTCTCCTTCTTCCCCAGAACCTCCCGAGACCTCTCATCTGCTGATTTGACATGAAACCCCCTGCCCACCCCAGCTTGGCCCCAGCAGATGTCTGGGCAGAGCCGTTACCCAGACCTCTGATTTTTCCCAGGCTGTTTGCCCCTGAAGGTTCTTTTTTCTCTACCCACCACCCCGACCCTGGCGGCTGGCTCAGGTCAGCCACAGGAACAGCCATATCTTTCCTGCAGCCTCACAACAGCTTCAGTGCCTTTCTGGTCCCACAATCTTACCCGTGTCTTATTGCCCCATCCTCTCCCACCTTGGCTGCAGCTTGCAGAAGAGAGACCTGGTTAGGAGTCAGGCAAACCCTGGCTCCCAGCTGCTTCTGATGTGACTTTAGTGAAGTGGCTAGACCTCTCTGAACCCTAAATTCCTAATCCCCAAATCCAAGATCTCTACAGTTGAGGATGATATGACTTCACAGGGCTGTCATGAGGACTAGATCCAACGGACGGAAGCCTTGCTGCATGGTCGGTGTGTGCATCGATAAAGGTGGCTCAGGCCAGCTCCCTCCCCCACGCCTGGCTCAGCGCATATTTTGCCTCGGAGTGTCCAGCCTTTACTCTCTCCTCTCGTGTGAGCTGGAACTGTCCCAGCAAGTGATGAGCAAGTTCAGCGCTCTGCCTACCTGTGTGGATTCTGAGTAGCATGGCACACCCGCTCCCCACCCACACGTGTGGCTCACTCTGGGCATAGGGAGACTCGGGCAACCTGGTCCCTGGTCTGAGTCCAACCAAGGGTGGTGTGTTTGCATCTGATGACATTGCTACAAATCTCTTCTGGCTCAATTGAGGACGTCCTCCTCAAATTGCCCTTCCAACTTTATTTCCATAGTTGTCTTCTCCATTTGGTTTCCAACATGCATACCTTTCCAGGCTGCCTCACAGGTGCATCAGGTGAGAGCCCCGGGAGAGGCCAGCAGAGGAGGCCTGGAAGCACCCACAGCCACGTGAGTGTGGAGAATGGAGGGTTAAAGCGAAGAGTTGCTAACAGTCTCAGCCACTTTATTCTTTTTTGTTGTTGTTTGCTTCTTTGTTTGTTTGTTTTGAGATGCAGTTTCGCTCTTGTTGCCCAGGGTGGAGTGCAATGGCGCCGTCTCAGCTCACTTCGACCTCTGCCTCCCGTGTTCAAGCAATTCTCCTGCTTCGTAGCTGGGATTACAGGTGCGCACCATCACACCTGGCTGATTTTGTATTTTTAGTAGAGACAGAGTTTCCCCATGTTGGCCAGGCTGGTCTCAACTCCTGACCTCAGGTGATCCACCTGCCTCAGCCTTGCAAAGTGCTGGGATTACAGGCGTGAGTCTCTGCATCCAGCTCAGCCACTTTATTCTAATACATATCTCCTAGAAAGTCCCATGGGTCTTTGAAGGAAGACATTGTGTATCAGTTGCTGAGACACCAGGCTTCCTCTTTCTCTCTTCCCTCACTCTCAGATACCTATATTTTCCCTCCTTCTTAGGTCATTTCGCAGGAATAATGCCTGTGTGGAATCCTCTTTGAAAAACACTGGCTTCAATTCCTGGGATACCATGGCGAAGTTCAATGTATACCTACATGCTCCCCAGCCAGGGAGGTTGTGACTCTGCAGGGTTGTGAGGCTCAGGCTGGGGCCAGTGCCTGCTCACCTTCCTCTTGGTTCCCTAAGAAGCCTCCCGTCAACCTGCAGCCTGATGTGGGAATGGCACTGACCAATGGCTGGATGGGGAGGAAGAAATGGTGGCTGTCCTCATGGAGGACTCAGTGTGGAGTTGGAGGTGTCAGGAGAGGGGTCCTCGGCAAGGGATTCCATGACTCCCATGGCACAGCGTCTTCTCCTGCACACGGCTTCTTGTCAGCACACGTCTAATGCCTCCTTGTTTCCAAAGTACCTTGTATAGTGTCTGTTATGGTGTAAGCATTTAGCAAATGTTCAATGAAAGAATAGAAATCATATCTTGGAATTTTGAGAAATACTGTCTTGGGAACGATAGTGAGCAGATAGTATAATTAAAACCAGATGCCAAGGAGATTTTCTAACTGTCTCAGGGCATGACATTCCCATCATTTATTTGGTAAAAATTACTCTCTGCTCCATCTTGAAGCCAGCTCTTTCCTGGCACTGGAAACGCAATCTAAATAGCGTTTAATTCCAGGGAAGCTTTTATCAATTCCTGCTCATGTTCCAACTTGACTTCAGGCCAACCTGGATTGGCCCAATTTGCTGCAAGTCTGTCTCGGCTCAAGGCAGCCTCGTGGGGCAGTTGGGATTCTTGCTGCCTTCACAAGCCACAGCCAGAACATGGAATAGGCAACCTCACAGCACCGTTTTGATGTGAGCTGCTGGATACCAGACCAGGCTCCTTCCCTTGTGTCTGCTTTACCTGTAGGTCTACCTCCAAGGGTGGAGGCTGGGACCCTACTTGGAAGGCAGGAACACCTGTCCAGCTGGGAGAGGATGATGGTGGGGCCAGGCTCTGGCAGCTGAGGTGGAGAGAAGGAAACTGACTTGGGATATTTTCAGGGAAAGAGCACCAGGACCTGCTGATATTGGACATGATGGTGAGGGGAGAAGGCAGAGAAGGACCAGGACCTGCTGATATTGGAGGTGATGGTAAGAGGAGAAGGCAGAGAAGGTGCAGGCAAGTGAGGAACCACAGATCTCTGTTGGGCTGGGCCAGCTGGATAGCCATGGCTGCCGTGCACAGCTTTATCACTGGAACTGCAAGGGAGGAGAGGATCTTTCATAAAAGGGGGCAGCTCCCTGGGCTATAAAAGGCAAGGCTGCCAGGGTGAGCACAGGAGAGGCAATCAGGTGGGTTTGGGGTGAAAAGGGAGGCAGCTGCTGTTTTCTCGGGAAGGGTGAGATGTTGCTGGGCTGAGGAGGTCAGGGAGGGTGTGAAATAGCTTTTCTGCACAAAGGAGAGGGAAACGTTTAACAAATACATTAGGATTGCTGGGGGTTTCGCCTGCCTGTTTGAGGACTCGTGAGTCCAGCCAGCGCAGTAGCGTGTGTCACTGTGAGCACATTCAGCAGTTGGGGAGGGGCAGGGCAGAAGGAGAAAGGGGCTTTAGTGGGTCTGAGGAAATGGGAGGTGGGACAGGGACTCATTAGAGGGTTTCTAATGATGGTCCTGGAGTCTAATTGAAGCAAAGGGCGAAGCAGGACATAAGGGAGAGACAGGTCTGGAAAAAGTGGTTGATGGTCAATTGATGCCACACCAAAATGAAAAGAGCTTGATTTTGGCCATGAAGATGATGAAATGGGGGCATTACAAGAAGGATGTGGGGAGAGAGGTGGTGAGCTGAGGCTGACAGGCTCTTGCAATTCTGAAGACAAGATTGCCCAAGATATGATGTAGGAGGGCATGGGGGTAAGGAAGACATGGCAGGTGGGGAGAGGAGAGGCCGGTCCTCGGGGATGCTGATGTCAGGGAGGACGATGAAGGCAGACATGAGGCCAAGGTGGGAAGGTGGGTTCATGTCTTTAACAAATGCGGGAGGCAACCAGGCTCTCAGAGGATGACAGCAGATGACACCACACACAATCAGAGGGGCTGGGGTTTTTGAGCTAGGAAGAAAATCGCAAAAGTATCAAGGAACACTGGTCTGAATCCCAGGCCTGTGCTGCAGGCATGTGAGTGAAATTGTCCCAAATGGACAGGACACGGGGTGGAGGCGTTCTCAGCTGGATCTCAAAGCAGAAGAAAGTGAGACTATCCAGAGAGGAAGTTGCGATACAGGAGGTTTAGACAGGAGGCAGTGATTAGGGAGGGCACAGCAGGAGGGATTTTCATGCAGCAGGAGTGTGGGAAGCACCCTGCCATCTCAGTTGGGATCTCTAGCTTGCTATATTCTAAGAGTAGGGGTGAAACAGATGTAGCCTGAGCTTTACAGAGATGGCAGCTCATTCTTTGAACATCTCAGTCCATGTTTGGATTAAAGTGATCTGTTGGCTCCATTTATCTAAAAGAGGATACAGAACTCTCCTCAGAGGAAGGCAGTAGCAGCCAGAGTCTCAGGAACTTTAATGGGCATTGTTCAGCTTTCAACAGAAAGGAAGCATGCATATGAGACAGGGCAAAGGGAACAAACAGAAATCAAACTCAGACCCACAGATGACCCAGATATCAGAGATGGTTGACACTGTTGTTAAAATAATTGTGATTAACACGTTAAAGTATTATTTGAAGAAATACTTTAAATAAGTATTTAAAGTGAAATCCACAAAAAAGAATCCAATGGGATGGTGGGCAAAGGCAGGATAACAACTTCCCAAAGGTGCCCATGTCCTGGCACTCAGAACGTGTGAATGGGCTATGTCACATGGCGAGAGGTACTTAAGATTGCAGATGGAAGAAAAACTGCTAACAAGCTGATCACAACTTAAGGACATTATCCTTAATTTAGGTAATTACACAGTTCCTTAAATGTGGAGGAGGGAGAAAGAAGAATTACTGTCAGAGTGATGTGATATAAGAAATACTTGAACGGCTATTATTAGCTTTGAAGATAGAACTGGTTCATGAGCCAAATAATGCAGGCAGGCTATTAAAGCCAAAAAATGCAGCAAATCCAAGTCTCTCCTAGAGACTGTAGACACAAACATATCCCTGCCAATACCTTGATTTTAGCCCCGTCAGATCCACTTTGGACTTTTCTCCTCAAGTATATAAGATAATAAATTTGTGTTGTTTTAAGCTGCTAAGTTTGGGGAAATTTGGAGTAACAGCAATTCAAAAAAATACAGATTTTGGTACTTGAAGGTGTGGTTCTGCCATAACAAAGGACTAAAAATGTGAAATGGGTAATCCCAGCACTTTGGGAGGCTGAGGCGGGTGGATCACAAGGTCAGGAGATTGAGGCCAGCCTGGCCAACATGGTGAAACGCTGTCTCTACTAAAAATACAAAAAATTAGCCAGGCGTGGTGGTGGGTGACTATAGTCCCAGCTACTCGGGAGGCTGAGGCAGGAGAATCTCTTGAACCCGGGAGGTGGAGCTTGCAGTGAGCCGAGATTGCACCACTTCACTCCAGCCTGGGCAAGAGAGCCAGACTCCATCTCAAAAAAAAAAAAAAAAAAAAAGTGAAATGGCTCTGGAATTGGACAGTAGGGAAAGGCTGGAGGAATGTTGAGGACATGATAGAAAAAGCTGAGATTTCCTTGGACAGTCTGTTGTAGAAACATGGATGCTAAGGGTGACCTTAGTCAAGTCTCAAAAAGAAATGAGCATGGTAGAGAAAGCCCTTATCGTTCTAGAGGAGAAGAAATCACCATGCATACCAAGTAGGTAGAAATATGGACATTGAAGGCGTGGCTGGGGAGAACTCACAAGGACATGAGAAGGACATTAAGGAATATAAGGAAAGGCCGCCTTTGTCAAATAGCAGCAGGGAGCTTAGCTGAATTGTGTTCTGCAATTGTGTGGAGAGCAAAACGTTGGACAATGAACTTAGATATTTAACTGAAGAGGTTTCCAAGTAAAGTGTTGATGGTGCAGTCGTTTTTGTTTGTTTTTTTTTCTTGCTACTTACACTAAAATGTGAAAGGAAAAAGGATTGATTGAAGCAAGGGCTGTTAAGCAAAAAGGAACCAAGACTTGCTGTTTTGCGGACTTCTCAGGCTACTGAGATTGCAAATCGTGCTTAAATTAAGAGATTCAGGAAATGTCAGAACAGCCCTCTCTGCCAAGAGCCACAGGTGTGGCTGAATAAAATTTGTGCTAGTGGCTTTCAGGAATCAAAGGTCAGAGTATTTGGTTACACTGGAGGCTCTTCGAAGAGATTAGGCATGTGACTCCCGGATTCCCCTCAGCCATCTCAGCCAAAGCCAGAAATAGAGATGATTATCTGGGGAAGATCTGCAGAGGAGCCCATTGTCTAATGGAGTTAATCCCCATGGAGAGCTACAAGGGCCTTAAAAATATTCTACTGGCAGGAAAGCTGCCTGCCAGCTTGTACCAAAGGGTCAAAAGAAAGAAGGCTATTGGACCCCAAAGATTCCACAGGCATAAAACTAGCTCTAAGTGCTACCCGGCTGCAAACATATGCTTCCTTTTGTTTAAAAAGAAGGATGGTTTCTGAGGGTGAAGCTGCATGCCCAGAGGACAAAGTTGTGAGTCACGGAAATCATTCCCATGCCGTTTGAAACTCAAATGGAGTTCTTGGATTGCAAAATTGCTTGGGACCAGGGACTTCTGTCTTCCTTTCCATTTTTTTTTCCTTTTTGAATGGAAATATCTATAGCTGTGACTCTATCCTTGTCTCACTATTTTATTTAGAGCACAAGAACATGTTTCTTGACTTTCACAGATCAGGAATAATTTTGACACAAGATGGGTGTATGCAGACCTTCATCTTAAATGTTAAATTTTTTATATGCAAGGATTTAGGACTTGTGCACTGATGAGATTTAGATACAATTTTGAACTTTGAGTTAATGCTGTAATGAGATGAGGCTTTGGTGATCCTAAGATAGAATAGACGTGTTTTCCCGGTGGAACACATGTGAATCTTTAGAGGCCAGAGGGCAGATTGTGTCAGGCAGGACAGTGCCTCCCTCCTGCAAAAGATGCCCACATTCAATCCATGAATATGTGATGTTACATTTAAAAAATCATATGATAATAAATTTGTGTTGTTTTAAACCACTGAGTTTGTCGTAATTTATTACAACAGCAATCGGAAACTATTAAAAATGGAAATTGTTAAATTGTAGAATTAACAACTGAAATTAAGAACTCAGTAAGTTAGCTTAACAGCCAATTCTTCTCAGTAGAAGAAAGGGTTAGTGAGCTGGATCATAGCTCAGTAGAAAATATCCAGACTAAAGCACAGAGAGCAAGAAGAATGAAACATACAGAAGAGCATTGCTGCCAGATATTAAAAGGTAAGAAAGAAGATATTATTAATTATTTTATAATAAAAGTGATAAATTAGGTAGTATGGATACTTCTTAGAAAAATATGAATTACCAATTAACTCCAGAAGAAACCATTATAGAATTTGAAACAGTAATATTAAATCTCTATAAAGATTCCTTAAGGCCCAATCAGTTTTAGAGGAACATTTCAACCATTTTAGATGGAGAAAAATTAATTTTTTCAACCTCTTCCAGATTATAGGGAAATAAATATTTGGTATTTCTTCTGATGAGATTAGTATAATGGTGTTATCAAGTCCCAGAAAGAGATAGTACAAGAAATAAAATGACATGCTAATCTCAGTGATGCATTAAATGGAGATATCTTAAATAAAATATTCGTAAACCCAGTGCTGTAACATGTGAAACATGTAAACTATTATGACAAATGAGTTATTTACAGGGCACAAATTTGGTGTATGGAAGTGAAACTAACCACATTAACAGATTAAAGTTGAAAAACTATAAGATCACCAAAATTGATAACAATGAAATAACTTAATAAAATCAGTATCTTTTCATGATAACAAAGAAGCTGTTGGCAAACTAAGGATAGGAGAGGGCTGCCTTACCCAGCTAAGTAGAATCTATTGGATGAAAAAAAACCCCAGCATACATTAGCCATCCTATGAAATGATGAAATAGTGAAAGCATTACCTTTGAAGTCGGGAAGAAGATAAGTGTGCTTCTGTCATCACTAGCATTCTTTGTGGGGCTGGAGGTCCTAACCAGTGCAGTAAGTCAGGAGAAAGGAATAATATGTATAGATGAAAGAATGATTCCCAAGTAACTGTTCACAGGGAATAGGGTTATTTACACAGACATCACCAGAAAAGTGTATTAATGAGACTTTAGCAAGCTGGCAGAATATATAATCACCATACAAAAATCACTTGTATTTCTATATCACAAAAAATCCACTTAGGAAAATGCAATTAAAAGCATGCCAATTTATACCACAAGGTACACAGCTTCTCTTTGTTCACTTCTATGTGCAAGAAGCTTGCTGAGGAAACTGCTTAGTTGGAACCACTGGTCAGCAGCTCCGGCTAACCCCGACCTGCAGACAGAACCAACTCTGTAGACATGAAGTGCACTATCCTGGAACCAGGTCCTCCAGCCCCAAGGCATGCCTACTGATGCTACATGGATGAAGACACACTGTTTCCTGAAAGCTTTCAAAATTGTAAAGTCTTATACAAAATATGTTTTTCTTTTAAGACACTAAGATTTGATGCATTTATTCCTCTGTAGTTGGAATTACAAATTGAATGAAATGTAGGCCCCAGAAATATAATAATGTAAATGTGGATGCTTGAACTATGACACTGATGACGTTGTATGTCCATGGGAAAGAAGAATGAACAGGCCAACAATTGTTGGGGTAATTGGTTATCCGTATGAAAAAAAAATGGCATCTCCTTATATCATACCCTACACAAAGATCTGTCCCCACCATGGAAAACAGTGTCATATAAATGCAGAATTCACTTCACAACTTCTGAAACAAATAGAGTCCAATGGAGTTAGGATGTCAGGGTAGAGAAGGATTGCTTAAATAAGAAGTGACATCAACACAAAATGAGAAGTTGGTGATTTCAAGAACATTAAAATTTAGAACTTTACAATATCAACAGACAATATGAAAAAAGTGAAAATATAATCACAATTAAAAGATGGTATTTAGAATGGATATAACTGACAAAGTTCGTTATATATTATATAGTCTACACTGGTTGGTTAGTGATTAAACTATATAAAGAATTCCCCCAAATCTACAAGAAAACAACCCAACAGAAAATGCTAAAAAAAATAAATCCAAAGAAATGAAATGAATTAAAAAATGAACCAACCAACCAACAAACAAAACAGGAATGCGCAATAAAATTATGGCAAGATGTATATCTTAATTAGCTATCAGGAAACTGAAAATTATGACCACAATGAGATGTCATTTCAAAGCATCCAAGTTGACAGAAACAGAAGAATCTGACAATGCCAAATAGCAGCAAGGCTGCCAAGAATGGGAACTTGACATACGGTTGGCTGGAGTCTAAATTGATGCAAGGACTTTGAAAAACATTTGTCATTCTCTAGCAAATTTGAAAACCTGCATATCCTATGACCCAGTAATTCCCCCTCTCATTTCATATACTGTTCATGTATGGTTGAAGAGATGGATGCAATGATAAAAATAATGGAGCTGCCTATATGTACATCAATGGGGCTGGGTCTCAGGAAATGCAATGTTGGCTGGCAAACACGTGGAGTGGAGGATGGTGATGACAGAAAGTCGTTGCATGGTGCTCACCGTGCATCGGGCTCTTTTCTACCCACTTGATGCGTCAATTCACTTGATCCTCAGAGCACCCCGTGAGGTCTACACTACTGTCGTCACTGTTTTACAAGGAGAAAGCTGAGGTGCATGACCTTAGTAAATGTCTTGCTCACCTGCCACGGAACTGCAAGTGGAAGTGTTGGATTCAAGCCCAGGTCCCTGAGGACCAGAGTGCAGGCTCTTTACCTACTACCAGGGGTGTCCAATCTTTTGTTGGCCATATTGGAGGAAGAAAAATTGTTTTGGGCCACACATAAAAAATACAGTAACACTAACAATAGCTGGTAAGCTAAAAAGATATTGCAAAAAGACCTCATGATGTTTTAAGAAAGTTTATGAGTTTGTGTTCGGCTGCATTCAAAGACATCCTGGGCTGTGTGTGGCCTGTGGTCTGCTGGTTGAATGAGCTTGCACTACACCATCCAGGCTCATAGCCATGAGTTCTTATTTTGACAGGTTACAAAAACAGGTACAACTAGACTATACTTTTTAAGAACACCTTTACTCATGCCTGTAATCCCAGCACTTTGGGAGGCTGAGGAGGGTGGATCATGAGGTCAGGAGTTCGAGACCAGCTTGACCAACATGGTGAAACCCCATCTCTACTAAAAATACAAAAATTAGCCAGGCGTGGTGGTGGGTGCCTGTAATTCCAGCTACTCGGGAGGCTGAGGCAGGAGAATTGCTTGAACCCAGGAGGCGGAGGTTGCAGTGAGCCGAGATCACGCCACTGCACTGCAGCCTGGGTGACAGAGTGAGACTCTGTCTCAAAAAAAAAAAAAAAAAAACCAAAAAAACCCCTTTATATTTAATGAACCTATTAAGAGAAGTAAAGGAAGTACTTGCAGAAAACTGAAGTTAGCATTACCATTTCTCTCTGAGGGACAATGGGACGTGTAGACTTGGGTTTATATAGCCCTGGGTAGGTTACACGCTCATTCCAGGAGTTTTCCCTTCTTTTTTCTCTTTTCTTTATTCTATTTGTATTTTTAACCTTTTTTTTCTACTTTTATTTTAGGTGCAGGGGAACATGTGAGGTTTGTTTTGTGGGTAAATTGTGTGTCACTGAGGCTTGGTGTATGAATGATCTCGTCACCAAGGTAGTGAGCATAGCACCTGACAGGTAGCATTCCAACCCCTGAATGTTCCTTTTAGTAACTTAAAGCCATCTTTAAACTGAGCATACATTCTTGCCATGCTCTGAATGTTTGAATATTAGTGTCCCCCTCAAATTCATGTATTGAAATAATCACCAAGGTGAGGGGATGAGGAGGTAGGGCCTTTGGGAGGTGATTAGGTCATAAAAGCAGAACTGTCATGAATGGAATTAATGTCCTTATAAAAGAGGCCCAAGAGAGACTCCTCCCCTTCCCACCATCTGCGGCTACAGTGAGAACCTGTGAGGATCTGGTTCTATGAGCCAGGAAGCCCTCCCCAGACACGGAATCCACCTGGTCTTGGACTTCCGGTCTCTAGAACCGTGGGAATACGTTTCTGTTGCTGAAGCCCTCCTGTGTATGGTATTTTGGCAGAACAGCCTGAACAGACTAAGGCAACCACATAGACACTCTTTATGTATTTATTTCAAACTTAAATGGAAAGTTTTCCTTTTTAAATTTAATTTAATTTTATTTTATTTATGCTTTTTGAGATGGAGTCTTGCTCTGTTATCCAGTGCAGTGGCGCGATCTCGGCTCACTGCAACCTCTCCCTTCTGAGTTCAAGTGATTCTCCTGTCTCAGTCTCCCAAGTAGCTGGAATTACAGGCATTTGCCACCATGCCTGGTTAATTTTTATATTTTTAGTAGAGATGGGGTATCACCATGTTGGCCAGACTGGTCTTGAACTCCTGGCCTCAGATGATCCACCTGCCTTGGCCTCCCAAAGTGCTGGGATTACAGGCGTGAGCCACTGCTCCTGGCCAGTTTTACTTTTTTTAAAAAAAGAAAAAGACTAAATGTGGCCCTCTTGCTGGTGATGTAGCCTCTTTTTAGTGACTTCTGAATAATAATTTTCCATTGAGAAATCCTTGCATCCATGATGGAGGGTTTTCACCTTCCCTGAAGCATTTATCACAGTTTGATTTTGGTCCTTGAAGATGAGAAACTCTTGTCTCTCCTTGTTTAATCTCTCCATCTGCTCAGCATCTCGGGCAGGGCCATACACAGAGTTGGCAGTGGGTTATTTACTGTTGCAAGAATAAATCCTTCCCCACCTATGGAACCCCCATGTGCTCTCAGAGTCGGGATTTTAGCTGTATGGCACTACCGTTCTGGATGCCAAGTGTGAGTAACAGGATTTAGACTAAGAGATGGTTATGATGAAAACCCTGACCAGCTACTCAGAGAAGAACCTACTGATGTCTCAGCTGAAGTGCCAGGTTGGCCACGTTTTTACAGCTGGGGAGATCCTTTCCTAGTTTGGAGTCTGAGAAGGGCCTTAATTTTCCCATTAGGAGAAGCTTGGTGTCAATGTAGCTTTGCTAGAGAGCAGACAGCGTGTGCAGGGCCAGAGAGGCAGGGCACAGAGGGAGTGGAAGGATGACAAATGGAGGAACAGGTCCCAGCAACCTGAGAGAGGAGCCCTCCCAGGAGTGGCGGCCAGATGAGACCATGCATTCATTTCTGCATTTAGGTTTCCCCTTGTATGAAAGTGGGATGGTGGTCTCTAATTCATGTGTTGGTTTTTGGGAATTTAGCAATATTTAGGTGAAGTGTTGCACCTGATAGTTGACCCAGACTGTTGTTATTATTGTAGGTTGAGCCATATGAAATTGCTGACACTCTGGTGTTTTTGACATACAAACAATGGAAGCTTCATATGGTTCAACTTGATAGTACCTGTCCAGGTGTCTGCAGGCTTCTCTTGCAGATGGTGTGTGCTGAGCAACTGTCTACAAAGTGACTGAGTACTAAATGACCTGCGAATAAAAACATTCCAATTTAAATATCCTGTATTCCAAGATGCAGAGTCTTTTTTCACATTTTAATATTTCTAAAATTATGATGTGTTTTACAACAAGGTTTACGTGAAATGCCATGCTCCTTTTTTACCCAGAAAATCCATTATGAAATTGATGATGTGTCTTTACAATCTGTGACGTCTAAAATTCAATTTCAGGCTCAACATCATGGTATGAAAATGATGCTGGAGAAGAAAAAAATGAGATGATCTGCTAATATTTGTACTTATGTACTCCTCGCCTTAACACCCCCAAACATTTCCTCCAAGGCCCTTTTAGAAAGGATCCCTGAAGGCAGGCCTGGCTGGTGTATACACATCTCCTCTCCTCCAGCCTCCAGACACCAGCCGCTCCACACCTGAGGGATTGAGGGAATTATTTGCAGAGGAGCAGAATCTAAATCTCTAATATTCCAGCATTTAAAAAGCTGAATACGGGATAATTCCTTTTTTTATGAAGTCCACGGAGGTTGCCTTGAAAGAAATAAGGTCTTGTGTCTTCGTTGTTCATACAAGATATTCCTTTACATATACCTGGAAAATATATAACTTATTGATGTGACTACATCTAAACTCACTTTCATTGTTAAAGGGAGACAGCAACAGTATTCTGGACAAACTTTGCTTGCAATGGCTGTGCCAGGACACACCTGGGACAGGTCTGCGGGTGTATTGTTCTGACTTCCAGGTCTGTTCGTATTCAGGAGGACCATCTGAAATATCACGAATACGGTGGATTCAGGTCTCAGTGTGCAGAAGATGTCCTAATTCATGTCTATAGTCCCAGGCTTTTGTCCAGAAGAGTATTTTGTGTCAGATGTTTTATTGGTAAGGAAAATGTTATTATTAATAGTTGTATTAAGATAAACCAGATGGATTTGGTACCCTTCCACCTTGAACTTCCAGCTTCTGCTGTGTTCTTGTCTAATATTGTAGTTAAGACTGTGATTAGGCTAGGCAAGGTGGCTCACACCTGTAATCCCAGTACTTTGGAAGGCTGAAGTAGGAGATTGCTTGAACCCAGGAGTTTGGGACCAGCCTGGGCAAAAAAGTAAAACTTAGCCAGGCATGCTGGTGTACACATATAGTCTCAGCCACTCAGGAGGTTGAGGCTGGAGGATCAGCTGAGCTCAGGAGGACGAGGCTGCAGTGAGCTATGATCACACCACTGCACTCCAGCCTGGGTGACAGAGTGATACCCTGTCTCAGAAAGAAAAGTTGGTACTTATTTTAAGAAGTGTGTTCTGAAAGATCATGAAAACTGATCATGTGTAGCTGCAAAAATACCATCTGACTGTGAAAATCACGGCTGTTCAATTCAGTCAACTGACTTTTTCTCTAATTTAATTTTGGTGGTTATCTATTTCAATTTTTCTTGTGCATCTTTGAAAAGTAAAGCATAGTTATTAACATGTTGGGTGAATTACCATCAAAGAAATTTGCCGATAGTTAAATAGTGCAAGTTATACATCAATATTTTAAAATGGTAAATCAGTCCATTTATTTTAAAAATGAGGCTTTATTTAATATAATTAATGAATAAGAATTTTGGGGAATTTATTTTGTTAAAAGTATTCTGACTTTATTGTGAAAGCATTGTAAATTCTGTTACAAATTTAGATATTGATGAGAAAATCATTAGTTTTTGTAGGGAAAATTAATAAAAATTTAATGTTGCGTAGAGTTATGACCAAAACAATTATTTTACTAGATTAAGAAACTATAGAGCTTGTAATTGATTGTGGTGCATTTATAACTCCTAATGGCGTTCAAATTGTGACATCACACCAACCAAAGATTTAAAAATATTTTTAGGCTGGGTGAGGTGGTTCATGCCTTTAATCCCAGCACTTTGGGAGGCCAAGGCGGGAGGATCACCTGAGGTCAGGAGTTCAAGACCAGCCTGGCCAACATGGCAAAACCCTGTCTCTACTAAAAATACAAAAATTAGCTGGGTGTGGTGGTGCACACCTGTAATCCCAGCTACTCAGGAGACTGAGGTGGGATAATTGCTTGAACCCAGGAGTTGGAGGTTGCAGTGAGCCGAGATCATGCCACTGTACTCCAGCCTGGGTGACAGAGTGAAGCCCCATCTCAATAAATAGATAAATAAATATTTAAAAATATATATATTTTGTATACATACACAGTCACAAGTCACATACACAAGTCCACTACAACATATTCTTTGTGCGTGTCATCAAAGTGACTTTAGATACGAAAAATATATTCTTACTTTTGTTGCAGCCCGTACTCAATTGGGTCTTAAAAACGTTTGAGCCCTCGTGTACTACTTTGTAAATCAAACTATGTGACCCACAATCTTACTGAACTTTTTCTAAAGGAGTTCTCTACATTTCAGTTGCATTTTATTAAGAAGTCTTTGATTTCAAAAATCTTTAATCAAAGAATTCTTCATATAGTTTCAAAAATAATTTGTGATTTCAGAGCTTTTAGCAAATTGCAATTATTGAAATGTTTATCTGTTCTAACATAAGAAAGAAACTGATATTTAACAATGAGATTTCATCAAGTGGTAAGATTTAATGTTGAAACTCTGTAATTGCATTTTGGAATACAGCAACATGTGGGAGGCAACAGTTGATGAAACTCTTCTTTCCTCGGCATTTTATTATGCAAATTCTCAAATGATACAGAAAAGTTGAAAGAATTTTACAGAGACTACCTATACACCCACAACATCTATTGTACCATTAACACTTTATTATACATACTTTCTGTATCTATTCTCCCATTTATTCATTAACCCATCTTATTTTTTGATACATTGGAATGTGATAGACATCAGTACATTTTGTAAATATTTCAGCATGCATGTTATGAACTCAATTTTGTTATGTTTCTTTTCTTTTTTTTTTTTTTTTGAGATGGAGTCTTACCCTATTGCCCAGGCTGGAGTGCAATGGTGTGATCTCAGCTCACCGAAACCTCCGCCTCCTGGGTAAAGGTGATTCTCTTGCCTCAGCCTCCCGGGTAGCTGGGACTACAGGCGTGCATTACCATGCCGGACTAATTTTTTGTATTTTAGTAGAGACAGGGTTTCACCACGTTGGCCAGGATGGTCTGGATCTCCTGACCTTGTGATCTGCCTGCCTCGGCCTCCCAAAGTGTGTTTCTACTTTTTCTCAGTTAGAATTTGCATATTGCAAAATGCACAATTTTTAGGGTAGTGTTTGATAGGTTTTAGTAAATACACTGACTAAGCAAAAAATACATAGGACGTTTTTCACCCCCCACTTTCCTCTGGCCATTCCACCTTCACCCCAAGAGGCAACTGCTGCTTCGATTTATTTCACCGGAGATTAGTTCAGTCTGTTCTAGAACTTCATATACATTGAATCATATGATATAGACTTTCTCAGTGAAAATTTTCTTTCACTAGGCATAATGATTTTAGGATTCATTCATGTGGTCGTGTATCACTACACGTTTTATTGAAACTATTAACTTTTCATTGCTGAATATACTACTGTTTGTTCATGTTATGAATATATCACGGTTTGTTTATCAGTTGCCCTCTTGATGGTCACATAGGGTGTTTCCAGATTGGGGCTACTATGAATAAAGCTGCTAGGAAAATTCTTGGGAGAGTCTTTCTACAGACATATGATTTCATCTCATGGGCATATGTTTGTTTTAGAAGAAAATGCCCAATATTTTCCAAAGTGGTTGTAGCATTCTAAAATGTCACCAAAAATGTAAGAGAGTTCTGACTGATTCACATCCTTGCCAACATTTGGTGTTGTCAGGGGTTTTAGTTACAGCAATTTTGTTATTTGTGGGTGAATAATACCTTACTGTAGTTTGAATTTTCATTCCCTGATGGCTAATAAGGTTAAACGCTTTCGTATGAACTTACTGACCACTTGTATATCTTTTAAAAAATATTTGGCTGGTTTTTAATTAGATTGTTTGTCTTTTCATCATTGAGCCTTAAGAGTTCTCTAGACACACTTGATAAAAGTCTTTGTCAGATACATATTTTGCAAATATTTTCTTGCAATCTGTGGCTTGCTCGTTCATTTTATTAATGCTTTCTTTTAATGAGAAGGCATACATTTAATTAAGACAAATTAATTATGTCTTATTCTTTTACGGTATTGCTTTCTGTGTATTAAGAAAACTTTTCATACCCTCCATTCATGAAGACGTTCTTTTGTCTGTTTTCTTCTAGAAGCTTTACAGATTAAATCTTTGTGTATATTGTGAGATTGGGCTGAGATTTAATTTTTCCTAAATGTATCTTGTTGTTCCAGCACCATTTGTTGAAGTGACTTTTTCTTTCACATTGTATTGCTTTGGTGCTATTCTTCAAACATTAATGGACTATGATCAGCTGGATACATTAAATATGAAAAGAAAAAAGGAAAAATACAGAAAAATATTTTAAATAAAAAATTAATAGACTATTAAAACACAGGGTACTCTATTTTATTTCAGTAATCTAACTGCAACCTCCAGCTCCCGAGTTCAAGCGATTCTCCTGCCTCAGCCTCCCGAGTAGCTGGGACTGCAGGCGCACGCCACCACACCCAGCTAATTTTTGTATTTTTAGTACAGATGGGGTTTCACCATGTTGGCCAGGATGGTCTCAATCTCTTGACCTCGTGATCCATCCACCTCACCCTTCCAAAGTGCTGGGATTACAGGCGTGAGCCACCGTGTCCAGCCCTCAATCTTTCTATTTTTATATCAGTATCTTAATTACTATAGCTTTATAGCAAGTTTGAAGTCAGATGTTTTGTTAACTTTGTTATTTTAAAAATATTTATTTTAATGTTAGAGGTATTTCCATTTCTTATAAAGTTCCAAACCAAATTATCAAATTCCACAAAAATGCCTTCTGGAAATGTTTTGACAATTGTATGGAATCTAAAATTCAATTTGGGGAGGAGCGATAGCTAAACGAATAGAGTGAATCCTCACTCCACGGACAAAGGAGCTCTCCCCTTTATTATACATTTTGGCCTATTCAGGTTTCCTATTTCATCTTGAGTCAATTATGATAAATTTTATTTCAATAAATTTACCTAACTTGTCAAGTATATTGACGTAAACGCCTCCACAACATTCCCTCATTTCCTTTTAATGTCCATAGGATCTGTAGTGATGCCCTCCCCGCAATTTCACTGCTGTTAACTGTAATTTGTACTCTCCTTTTTTATTAATGAATCATATTAAAAGTTTATCGATTTTTTCGATCTTCAAAAACCTAAATTTTGGGCTCATTAATTTTTCTACTGTTTTTCTTTTCTCTATATTCTAGATTCTAGTTCTTATCTTTACTATTTTCTTATTCTTACTTGTTTTGGGTTACTGTTTTTTCTGCTTCTAACTTCTAAAAATGCAATTTTATATCATTGAATTTATACCATTATCATTTTCAAATATGAGCATTTATTGTCGTGTGTTTCTTGGAAGCCTGCTTCAACTACATTTTGAAGAGCTTGAATTAACAACCTGAAGTTTTTAATGTGTTTTCATTAAGAATCTGGTCAAAATATTTTTTCTCTTGTAATTTCTTTTTTGATCTATAATTATTAAGGAATATATTATTTAATTTCTGTTATTTTGGGGATTTCCAGATACTGTGTTTTTGTTGATTTTTGACTCAGTTTTGTTCTAGTCAAAGAGCATATTCAATATTCTTATAATCATTTTAACTTGACTGATATTCATTTTATGGCCCGGCATATGATTTATCTTGGCGATTACAACATGCTTGTACTTGAATGGAATATGGATTTTGAAGTCATGTGAGTAGTTCTCTGAAAGTACCAATTTGGGTGATAATAGTGTTGTTCAGCTCTTCCCTGCCAATATTGATTTTTTTGCAGTTGCTGTAGAGATTATTATATATTCTATTCATGTTTAAGTATATTTAGTGTTGAAATTGTGCCACCTTATATGTATTATCATGTAAAAGCCTTGCAAGCTTGCAGCTCTATTTACCTTCACCTGGTATTTTGTGCTAGAGTTAATATCATATATATCATGTCTACATTATCATGTATGCCACAATGTAATACTCTACGCTTAGTTATAAACAATTGTATTTCAAAGAAATATAAAAACAAATTGTATTTCAAAGAAATAAGAAGAAAATAGAGTCTTTTATATTTATCTACATATGTTCTCTTGAGTCTTTGTTAAAGATTTGACTTTCCATTCTATATTACTCCGCTTTACCTAAAGAATTTAAGTAGTGTATACTTGTGAAAATTTACAAGTTGATGTATTTAATATTTCAGTAAAAACTTACATATGAGAATATTCACGTTTAGCAGAAATTTATCTGAGCTTACCGGGTATTTCAGGACCTACAGATAAAATATTTTCTCAACTAAAAATACCAAGGTTTGAAGAGAAGGGTCATTTGGATTTGTCATCATTTAATTTATCATATTTTCAAGTGCCTTATTCATAAAATTTGACCTTGAAAAAAATTATAGTCACTATTTTGAAAATGTTCAAATTAAAACCATATTAACAATACTTTTTCAGCAAAATACTAGTGATATATATTTTATATGGATCTGGCTAAGAAATAGATCAAAAAGTACATAGATTGTGCCCAAATTTATTAAACTATTGTTTAATTTTAAAATCAGTATAATAGGCCAGGTGCAGCGACTCACACCTCTAATCCCAGCACTTTGGGAGGCCGAGGTGGGCAGATCACTTGAGCTCAGGAGTTCGAGGCCAGCCTGCCAACATGGCAAGACCCCATCTCTACTAAAAATACAAAAATGAGCTGGGCATTGGGGTGTGCACCTGTAGTCCCAGCTACTCAGGAGGCTGAGGTGGGAGAATTGGTTGAACCCAGAACGTGGAGGTTGCAAAGAGCCAAGATCACACCATTGCCCTCTAGCCTGGGTGACAGAGTGATACTCTGTCTCAAAATAAATAAATAAATAAAATTAGTATGATATTAATAACTAAAGATAAGACTTTTTAAGTCATGCTTTAATGAACATGAATAGATGCTATTTTTTGAAATACATTTTATTTTTGCAAATTATTTTTGAATAGAATTATTTAATAGGCTTATCAATAGAATAAAACAAATTGATTTGTGTATGAACATGTTCATAAGTATGTACATATATAATTTTTTAAAAATTATCTGTAGTGCTTCTGTGCCATTTATTCTCAAATGTATCTTAGTTTCACTGATAAATTGTAGGGTCATCTTACCTTTAGGGTTTTCAGCAACCATGGAAACTAAAATATTTTCAACAAGTGCTTCCATAGACAAGAGCTCTCATTGTTTCCTGGACTTTTGACTAAGATCCAGTGTAGATAAGAGCTATTTATTCCACTAAAAAGTGGCAATTCTACATGGGTGTAAGCTGTAGCTCTGGACCAGACAGCAGGGCGGGGTGTGGACACTGCCTGATCCCTGGAGGAAGGTCGGTGACGTCTCCCACCCGCCAAGCACTAAGATTGGGCCGGGCACTCTGTGAGATTGTTATGCGTGGATAGACTCGGAGTCAGGCCTAACGCTGCAGGGCAAACCTGCTAGAGAATGTTTTCCCTCGAACTTGATCTTCCTCTTGCCCAGCCTTAGAGAGGACACTTGGAAAAATGCTGCCTTTTCCATTGTGATCTGCCTCTGGTGAGCTGGGAGGAAAGCGGCCATGAGTTCAAAAGGACGGACGGAAAATCTCCTTAGGGTTGGCAAAGAGCAGCTTTACCACAGAACAGATGGAGTCTTGGTTTCTGTGGACTGCTGGTATTTTTATTATTGGTGCTTCTTTTTTGGTAGAGGAGGAGATGGAAGGTGGAGAGATGAGGATGGAGGGGGAGGAGGCTTGCCCCCTGCTCTCTGTCCTCTGCTAGCCACAGTTCTGCTGCTAAGTTCTTGTATCTCTTTTAGAATTTGAAATATCTGTTAATGTTTATTTTTATTTTCATTTTAAAAAATAACAATAGATTTTATTTTTGTGAGCCATTTTAGGTTTATAGACAAATTGAGCAGAAAATACAGAGAGTTCCTATACATGTCCCGCACACCATTTCTCTGTTATTGACATTTTGCATTGGAGTGGTACGTTGTTAAAATTGATGAGCCGATATTGATACATTGGCCCAAATCTATAATTTCCACCAGGGTTTATGCTTGGTGTTCTGCATTCTGTAGGTCTGGGCAAATATGACAGGAATCCACCATTACAGTATCCAGAGGAGCTCCCCTGCCCTACAAATCCTCTGTGCTCCACCTGCTCCTCTCTGCCTCCACCCGAACCTCTGGCAACCACTGTCTTCATAATTTTGCCTTTTTCAGGATGTCGTGTAGTTGGAATCACACAGTCTGTAACTTTTTCAGGTTGGCTTCTCTCACTTAGCCATAAGCACTTAAGTTTTCTCCATGACTTTCCCTGACCTGATACCTCATTTCTCTTTTTCCCCGAAGCTCTTGCATCTGTTGCCTGTGTAAGGAAGCTGTATATTGCGCCTGACACCACATCGCCCTTCTGACAGCTGTAGTTACCCATAGAATTCTCAGTTCTGCCTGCAACCCAAGGAGACGAGCATTCCTGTCTTCATTTTACAGAGATGACAGGATAAGCCATGTGCCGTAAGCCACACAGCTGGACCCCTAAATCCAGGATTCCAGCCCTTGGCCTCCCTGGGCTACAGGGGCTGCAAGGACCAGCGACAGCAGCAGCACCAGGAACCCTGTTACAAATGCAGAGTTTCAGGCCCTTACCCACACCTACTACATCCCGATCTGCATTTTAACAAGAACCTGAATGGAGCTTTGTCGTTTCCAAGGCAGAGCCAGCCTCTCCATGGGCACACAGAACTGCATACTTCTGTGGACTTGGGGCAAATCTGCTTTATCACACTTTTTACAAAATAGTTAGGGTTCTCACGGTATTTTGCAAGACTACAAGGTAAGAGCTTATCTTGGGATAGGAGGATCCATCTCCATTCTGGAGGTGCAAAGAAAATGGGTCTCAGACTTCAAGCTCTGAGCCTCAAATGCTAGACCTCTTCCTCTGCTTTCCTCTCTCCACCACCAGCATTTCATCCCAGACTCTGCTCAACGCAGCTCAGCAACAGAGAAATGAGAAGGGGACTTGGCTTCAGCAAGAGTGAACTTACTTGGATGCTCCAGGGAGGCAGGAAGGTGCAGGGGTGGACACTATAGATGTGGAAGGTAGGAATTCTCAGCGTGATTCCCATTCTGGATACCTCCCAGGAACCAGCCTGGAGGATGAGGGCAGGGGCAGTATAGCCCAGGACACAGGTACAGAGGCGGGAAGTCACCAGCACAGCAGGATGGTCTGTACCACAAGCCATGGAGGGGTGTGGGTGCCACCTTTGGAGAAGGAAAGAGGTAGCATCTATAGGGAGTGTCCTTTAAGCTGAGTGTTGACAAATGAGAAGGCAGCTTCAGTTCTGCCTCGCTCCAATGATAGCAATCCTTTTGTTTCTGATTATAATACTGGGTACTTGAACTCTACTGACCTACAATATGCAGTCTCTGTCAACAGTAAGAGCATCTGCCCTTGTAGCAGCCCTCATGCGGAACAAGATCTCTGACAGACGGCTAGCACATATTACTCTTAATTATCATAACTGCCAACAAGGTTGGTATCATTGCTCCTGTTTTTGGATGGGAAATCAAAAGTCCAGAGAGCATAAGTGTTACTTCCCAGGTCATCCAGCTGCAAATGAGAATGTGTTTGAACTGCCAAGGGTATTTGTGAATTTGAGTGTTGATGTGGGCTCCACAGTCTGTTGATATTTTTTCATGCAACCCTCACTTATCACCACTGGCTTGTGTTTACTGGGGCTTGCATATATCCAACAGAAGAGGTGGACTAAGTCAGCATGTGAGCTTTTAAAAAAATTAGCATTTAAATAAAGGAAACAGTCATAAAATGTTGTTCACCAGTAGTAACTCAACTCTGCTTAGGAAACATCACTTGGGCACTTATTATGAGCAAGGTGGTCTATTAGGGGTTAAGGTTGTCAGGTTGAGCAAGGTACCTTTATGACAGAAAACACGTACAAATTCAGATTGAGCATCTGTGATGTGCCTCCTATAGATACAGAAGTGAATGCAGCTAGGACCAGTCAAAATTTTACATTTCGGGGAAAGGCAGTTTGCTCAGCTTAGCTGTTGACTAGTCCTAACGTGTTAGGACTGAGTGGCAGCTAGATTTCCTCATATAAGTATGTCCTCTTCCCATGTCAGAGAAATGCCATAAAGGCCAAAAATCATCTCAGATTTGAAAGCTCTTTGAAATTTATGTAGTGCTAAACAATGCAAGCCATGGTTATTTTGCTTGAGATATTTTCCTGTCTGTAGTTTACAGCTGAATAATACTCACAGGGTTTTTTTCACCTTTGTGAGTATTATAGGCATAACTTGCAAAACTGCAAATACAAGGCCTTTGAACGTCAATCAGTCCACCATGTAGCCTGTGGTGTTGATGGATTATTTCATAGAAAGTTGACTGGGCTCACTTCCTGTTGTGAGGTGAGGCTTTAGGAAGCTGAATAATTCAAGGGATGGTTGATCGGCTGAGACCATAAATTCTCAGACAAATTTCAACAGAACCTGGAGGCACACTTGTAAATAGATGAGACTGAAAAGGAAACACAGATCCTGTCTTTGACAGACAAATGTCTCTCTCCAAGCTAAGAATGCAAGTGCCTTATAGGGGCCTGAACTTAATTTATAGCCTTGAGATAGAGCCCCAGACCTCAGAAGAGAAGGAGTTTGGGCCACCTTCTCATCCAAGGTCACGTCCATACCACACGCCCAGCATCCCTAACACATAACCATTCAGCCTGTGTCAGTTATCAACTGCCGCATAACAAATGCCCCCATTCCTTGTGACTTAGAACAATACATGCACTTGCATGATTCTGAGCTTGGTGTCCTGGTCCCTGCTGGTCTCACCTGAGCCCACTCAGGTGACAACCCTAAGCAGCCAGCTTGGTGGAGGAAGGGGCATCCCGGCCTACTGGGGTGGCTCTTTCTTGCTCCATACAGTCTCTCATGCTCCAGGAGACTGAGAACAAGCTTTGCAATATGATGGCAGACGTGTTCTGAGAGAGATAGCAGATGCCATAAAACCCAAGGTCTACCCTACACAGTCAAATTGACAAGTATGAAGAATCTCAAGACATGGAAATAGGCAGATGTAATGCTTATGGCCTGTGCCCTTGTAATTAGACTTTTTATCTTGAGATAATTGTAGAATCACATTCACATACCATTATAAGATATATAATACAGAAAAAACTCATGTACCCTTTACTCAGTTTCCCCTACAGGCAACATCTTGCAAAATCATAGCACATTATCATAACCAGGATATTGACATTGACAAGGTCAAGTCACAGAAAATTTCTATCATCCAGCGATCCTTGGAGTCTAGGAGTTGGAAACAAGCCAATAAGCCAGCGATTCCCACCAGCAAGGGCATCCTCAAATGCCCTTTTGTAACCACACCCATTCCTTCCTGCACCCCACCGTCCTCAATGCCTGGCACCACTAATCTCGTCTCTATTTCTAGAATGTGGTCATTTCAAGGCTATTATAATAATGGAATTGTGGCATATGTAACGTTCGAGGGTTGGGTTTTTTTTTTCACTCAGCATAATGCTCTGGAAATTTAGGGAAGTTGTTTGTTTCTTTTTACTACTGAGTAGTAGCCTTAAGTATGCTGATACTTTTTTTTTTTTTTGAGACGGAGTCTCGCTCTGTCTCCCAGGCTGGAGTGCAATGGCAAGATCTCTGCTCACTGCAAGCTCTGCCTCCCGGGTTCACGCCATTCTCCTGCCTCAGCCTCCTGAGTATCTGGGACTACAGGCGCCTGCCACCATGCCCGGCTAATTTTTTGTATTTTTAGTAGAGACGGGGTTTCACCATGTTAGCCAGGATGGTCTCGATCTCCTGACCTCGTGATCCACCCGCCTCAGCCTCCCAAAGTGCTGGGATTACAGGATACTTTTTTTTTTTTTTTAACGATTTACTTGTTACAAGCTATCTGGGTTGTTTTCAGTTTGGGGCTATTTTGAACAACAACAAAAAAAACTGTTGTAAACATTTGTATACAGGATTTTGTGTGAACATAAATCTTCATTTCTCTGGGATACATACCCAGGAATACAGTTGCTGGGTTCCATGGTTAATTTTTAAGAAATTGCCAAACTGTTTTCCAGAGTGGCTCTACCATTTAACATTCCCACCAGCAATGCATGAATGATTCAATTTCTACGTATCCTTGACAGCATTTGGTGTTGTCACTTTTTTTGTTTTAGCCATTTTGGTAGATGTGTAATGAAATCCAAATGTGGTTTAATATTTCTTCATGTCTTCTGAATTCTAGCTGTTTTTTAAATTTTATTTTATTTGATTTTTATAGAGTCAGTGTCTCTCTCTCACATTCAGGCCGGAGTGCAGTGGTGCAATTATAGCTCACTGCAGCCTCAAACTCCTGGCCTCAAGTGATCCTCCCACCTTGGCCCCTCAATGTGCTGGGGTTACAGGTGTGAGCCACCATGCCTGGCCATGGATTTTTTTTATATGGTTGAGTTTTGAGAGTTCTGGCAGGAGTGAGGCAGTGCCCCTCTTCTGCTGCTGGGACAGTATCAGAAAAAAACAGATAAGAGCAAAGTTTTAAATAAGACTCAAAGTCTCAGAATATAATACAAAAATGTCCAGGTTTCAGTGGAAAATCATCCACTCTACTATGAACAGATGAACTCAAACTAAAGGAAAAAAAAATCAATAGATGCTAACACCTAGAAGACGGAGATGCTAGAACTATCTGACAAGGATTTCAAAGCAGCCACAATAAAAATGTTTCAATGGGCAATTACAATTACATTTAAACAAGCGAAGACACAAAATGCCTCAACAAAGAAATACAAAGTCTCAGCAAAGAAATAGGAGATATAAAAAGTACTAAATGAAAATTTGAGAACTGAAAAATACTATAACCAACACGAAAAGCTCAGTGGATGGCTTGACAGCAGAATGGAGGGGATTGAGGAGAAAATCATTAAAGTGGAAAATAGAGCAATAGAAATTACCCAATCTGAACTAGAGAAATAAAATAGAATGAAAAAAATGAATAGACTCTCAGGGACCAGTGGGACTATAACAGAAGATCTAATATTCTTGTGATCAGAATTCTGAAAGGAGAGTGGAAAGAAGATACCTTAAAGCATATAAATAAAGGGTTTTGGGAAAAGAAATAGGACAAAATCTTCAGGACCTACAGTTAGGCAAAGAGTTCATAGACTTGACACCATAAACATAATACATAAATGGAAAAGCTAATAACTGACTTCATCAACATTAAAAACTCAATCTGTGAAAGACCCTGCTAAGAGGCTGAAGATGTTCTAGTATCTAGAATATGTACAGAACTCTCAAAACTCAACCACATAAAAAAAAAATCCACGGCCACGTATGGTGGCTCACACCTGTAATCCCAGCACATTGGGAGGCCAAGGTGGGAGGATGACTTAAGCCTACGAGTTGGAAACAAGCCTGAGCAACAGAGTGAGACCTCATCTCTATAAAAGAAATAAAAAATTAGCAGATCACGAACAGTGGTGAAAATCCGACTCTTCCCTGGGCCTCCTCTGTTACCCTGATGGGCTGGGAGGGGCGCTCCATTCCTCCTCAATCGGGGTGGAGTCTGGGGTATATGATGCCAAAGGAAACCCCAGGGACTCACCATCCTGACACTCCCTGGGTCCTGAGGCCCCTAGTTGGCCTGCCTTTACCAGAATCTTCTCATGCCTGCTTTATGTATAACACCCAGGGTTTTCATAATGTCTAGGGGGCGTAAGAAAGAATACATCTTCCCAAAGCAGATGTCATTCACAGTGGTCGCTTTTACAGTAAACTAAAGTTTTCTTGTGAGGATTGAAGAAATTGTGTGGTGTGTGTGTGTGAGAGAGAGAAAGAGAGACAGTGACAGTAACTGACCAACACAACCACAACCACCAAACACACCACATACCACACAACACACATGACACCCACCACACATACAACACACTGCATACCACACATACACACCACACAGTACACATGTAACACACACCACACAGCACATACACACCACATGGCACATATCACATAACACGCACACCACACACACACACACACACACAGAGCATCTGAGAGGCAATGGCAAGCAGGCAGCACTGGAATTCCCCCGGGGTCCATGAGGCCTGGGAAGGAACTGGAGTGTCATGTCTGAACCAGGCTCAGGTCGGGGTGGGGCCGGCATCCATGCCAGGTAGAGCAGCTGCCAGGCCAAGGAGGCAGGGACACTGTGTGGGCTGCCACTCACATCTCCTGAGGCTGCATTCCTCCACCATGTCCATGACCCAAGCATTGTCCTCTGTGCCTGGACCTGGGAGGACTCCTGGGGGTGGTTTCCTGCACTGAGACTCTGCGTGAGCAGCAGAAGTGGCCTGTGGTTGGTTTCACTGCCGCCGATGCCTTGCCCAGCTGCTGGCAGGACCCTGGCAGGACCCTGGCAGGAAGAGTAGCGCCTGGTCCTAGCAGGTGGAGGTGACATCCAGAAGCCCCAGGTGGGTGTACGCACATCTTGTGTCCGCCTGCTCTGGCCTTTGAGGCATCGACATGCCGCGCTTCCTACCCGCAGGGAGGACCAGGCCGCCCGGTTATGGCAGTGAGTAGGTGATGTGTGGCGCAGGTGCTGCCCAGGGCTGGGCAGGTAGGGGCTTCTCTGCCTGTGGCCTTGGGGCCCTGCAGCCCCACCTGAGTGCAGAAAATGCCCAGGCCCTACCCTTGCCATCAGCCCATGCCCACCTGGCCCTTACCTGGGGATCTGCCATGTATCAGCTGTGATCATGGGACTGTGGCCTGGGCAGCCTCCCTGGCCCTCCAGCTGGAACTGTGGGTGGGAATGGAAGGGGCTGAGGCCTTTCCCAAGGAAGTTCTTAGCCCATTCCCCAAAAAGGACCCAGAGAATATTTTGGCTTCTGTTTCAGAACAAACTCCTTCTAAATAAATAAATAAATAAATAAATACAGTCGTGTGTTGCTTAAAGACAGGAATATGCTCTGAGAAATGCACCTGTGGGTGATTTTATGGCTATGTGAACATCACAGGGTGCACTCACACACACCTGGGCGGCACAGCCTCCTACACACCGAGGCTATGTGGTATGGCCAGTTGCTCCTGGGCCATGCACCTGTTCAGTGTGTGACTGTATAGATCCTGCAGGAGACTGCAGCACAATGGCAAGTACTGTGCCATCTAAACAAAGAAAAGGCACAGTGAAGGTGGAGCGTCCTAATCTCAGGAGACGACCTTTGTTTGTGAGGTCTATTATTGAGAGAAATCTCATTTAATGGCACGTGATTGTCAGTAGGTAGGTAGATAGGTAGGTAGATAGACGGATAGATAGTTGAATAGATAGGCAGATAGATGATAGATAGATTGATAGATAGATAGACGGATAGATAGATAGATGGATGGATACATAGACTGATAGACTGACAGACAGACGATAGATTGACAGACAGACGGATAGGTAGATGGATAGGCAGACAGACAGATAGATGGATAGATAGATTGACAGACAGATAGATAGATAGATAGATAGACAGACGGATAGACAGATAGATGGATAGATAGATGGATAGATAGACTGATAGATAGACGGATAGATAGACGGATAGGTAGATAGATGGATAGATAGACGGATAGACAGGCGGATAGATAGACAGACGGATAGATAGATGGATAGATAGATGGATAGATGATAGATAGATAGATAGATAGATAGATAGATAGATAGATAGATAGACATTGTTTCTTTTTATTGGCATCAGCAGAGTCTGAAATGAGAACTACAGAAACAATCCCAGCCCCCAGCCCCCAGCCAGAAGGAACCTGAAGTTTCAGGGCTAAGGAGCAGATGTGTTGCCAGGAAACTTAACCCCCACACCAGCCTCAGCCTCAGATGCAGCCTGTGTTTAGTGGAGCTGGCTTAAAAAAAAACACATAATAAAGCAGGGATGGTAGGGGGTGCTGATTCCTTGAGTATTTGCTGGAAGCATGAGTAATCATGGCTCAGTGAAGTGACACTGAAATGCTGTTTTCCCTTTATTGTCATTAACGTTGATAGCGGTGACAACCCCCAGTCCTGTGTTTCTGTGGCGTGCATGTGTCAGAACTCCCAGAACTTTACCAGCAGCCGCTCTTCTGTGCAATGCGCAGAGCAGTGGGTGGGAGAAGGCGTCTCAGGTCCTCATCCCAGGGCTTGGCAGGAAAACGGGGCTGGATCGGATTCAGGAGACCAGCTCCCTCTACCTGTTTCTGCTCCCCTTTACCCAGGCAGCCTTGGGTGAGACACAGGTCGTCCCAGAACCTCAGTGTCATCCTCTGTAAAATGAAGAAATTGGATGCCACCCTTAGGAAAATCTTTCTGGTTATGATATTCTGTGTATGAGCCACTAACTGAATAACTGAAGTCAGACAAACTCCCGTTGTCTAAATTATCTGAAAAATCTCAGGCTGTGAAGCTGAACAGATGGATGAATTTAATAAATGCATCAAGGATCGTTGCTATGGCAGTTTCGTGATCTGTAAAATGGGTTTCATGATGACCTTTTTGGGCATTCTAAGATTCAGAGCAATGAAATTTTCAAAGCTCTCAGCTCAGTGCTAGGCACATGGTAGACAGGAAGTCAAACTCAGCTGTTGTTCAAGCTGGATTCATGTCCAGACCCTGCCACCAAATCGCCAGGTAGTTCCCCCGTGAGAGAAGGTGAATTCTGCTCAGTCTCCCCAGTCCCCAGTCCAGCAAGGGTTCTGAGCACAGTGAGGTTGGGGACGCCTGTTCAGGAGCTGAGCTCTGGTCTCTGAGCTTCATTCTGGGCTGAGCTGGCTGTGAGACCCCAGCTGTGTGTCTTCAACAGTCAAAACACCTGTTTGTCCAATGTCGGCCCTCAGGAAGGAGGGTGTTAGGTCTAACCCCAGGGCCTCCCCACCCACCAGCCTGCTGTGGGACGATGGTTTCAGTGGTTTATTCACAACCACAGTGATGTCTCCACTCACAGCTGCCTTCCCTCTCTGCCTTTCCCCACAGCAGGGAGTGGCAGTGACACTGCTCCATGGAACACCTGAAACATTTTCTTTTTCTTTGAGACAGAGCCTCACTCTGTTGCCCAGGCTGGAGTGCAGTGGTGCGATCTCGGCTCCCTGCAGCCTCCACCTCCCTGGATCAAGCGATTTTCCTGCCTCAGCCTCCCAAGTAGCTGGGATTACAGGCGCCTGCCACCAAACCCATATAATTTTTTTTTTTTTTTTGGTATTTTTAGTAGAGATGGGGTTTCGCCATGTTGGCCAGGCTGGTCTCGAACTCCCGACCTCAGGTGATCCACCCGCCTCGGCCTCCCAAAGTGCTGGGATTACAGGCGTGAGCCACCGTGTCAGGCTACCTGAAATATTTTCAATCCCCAACTTCTGTTTTTGCGGAATGGCAACCATTCAGTGACCTGAGCTTAGATCTCCTGAACCGGCGTCCCAAACCTCACTGTGCTCGGGATGCTTGCTATACAGGGAACTGGGACACTGGGCAGAATTCACCTTCTCTCACAGGGGAGCAAAGTTGCTCGGCAATTTGGTGGCAGGGCCTGGACGTGAATTCAGCTTGAACAGCCACTGACTTTGATTTCCTGTCTACATGTGCCTGGCACTGAACTGAGTGCTACGAAGGTCTCATTGCTTTGAATCTTATAAGCCATTTCTTCCCATTATAAAAACATATAGAAGTTAGTCTAAGAAACCCATGAATTTGTGCTAGGGAGTGGATTCAGAGCCCAGGAGCCCAGAAAGGTGAGCTCCTGGGTGACTCCAAGGACCAGGGTCCTCTCCTGGCCTCCGCTCTGCATTTGACAGTGAGGAGCTTCCCAGAACTCTTTCTGCCAAAGCCACGTCCACCCCCGGCATGGGATTCTGGGTCTGAGCAGAGGGGACCCTCGGACTTCCTTGAGGCCTGTGCCTGGTAGCAGCCTCATAACCAGCTCCAAGGTTTTTCTTTTTGAATGTGTACAAGTGATGCTCTCTGACGCCCAAATGCTCTCATCTCGATGCTTGGTGTCAGTTTTAAATTTGATTTCCATGACATAGAGCTTTGGACATAGGATGAGAGTTACCCCTAAGTGTGGGATGCAGCTCAGGAGATACCATTATTAAAAACATCAGTCCACGCATACACACGGCTTCTCTCTTCATGCTCCTTCCTGACAGGAAGCCCGGGCAAGATGTATTCTTATTCTTTCACTATTGTTGCTACTCCTGTCTTTCCCTTCCCACACTGAGGTTCAGCGCTGTCTACACTGGGGGGTGCCCTCTGCTCCCTGAGCTGGAGGTAAGTCTCATTTCTTGTAGTGGGTTGAATGATGATTCCCAAAATACCACGTCCACATTGTAGCCCCTGGGACCTGTGAATCTGAGCTTATTTGGTGAAAAGGTCCTTGCAGATGCAATTAAGAATCTTGTGGGCGGGCACAGTGGCTCGCACCTGTAATCCCAGCATTTTGGGAGGCTGAGGCAGGTGGAACAACTGAGTCCAGGAGTTCGAGACCAGCCTGGCCAACATGGTGAAATCCCATCTCTACTAAAAATATAAAAATTAACTGGACATGGTGGTGCATGCCTGTAATTCCAGCTACTCAGGAGGCTGAGGCAGGAGAATCTCTTAACCTGGGAGGCAGAGGTTGCAGTTAGCCGAGATCGTGCCATTACACTCCAGCCTGGGCAACAGAGCAAGATCTTGTCTCACAAAAAAAAAAAAAAAGAGTCTTGTGATGAGCTCATCTGGATTAGGGTGGGTCCTAAATCCAATGACAAGCGTCCCTAGAAAAGATGGGGAGAAGCACAAGGGGAGGCCACATGAAGATGGAGACAGAGATGGGGGTGGTGCCTCTACAGGCCTGAAGTACCCAGAAGCTGGAAAGGGGCCTGGAATAGACTTTCCCTCAGAGCCTGCAGACGGAGACAACCCTGCCGTCACCTCCATCTGGGGTTTCTAGCCTTCAGAACTGTGAGGGAGTCCATGCCTGTTGTTTTAACACCACCTTGTTTGGGTTAATTTATTAGGGCAGCTGTAGGTAACTAACACATCCTGAATCCACAGCCTGGGAGCTTCCCCCTCTTGGAAGTGCCTCTGGGCTTCTCCATGGCTCCGCTGGGCTGGAACAGGCTGGGGGAAAGGGTCCCCTCCGTTCAAGGTGGGTACTCAGGGGCTGTTGCCTCTGTGCTCAGTCCATGCTAAAGACAAAGCCAGAGGCTGGCTCCTGTGCCTGGCCCTGGCCCAGTGATGGTCCTGGATCGCTCTCCTGCCCTGCTGGTGGACTCTTCCTTTTGCGGGGCCTACAGCCTTCCTGACTGTGGGGCTGAGAACTGCGTCAGCATGAACCGAGCCCACCTTGCATCCTAAGCTGTTAGTGAGACGCTCCAACTCCTGATTCCCTCAGCAGTAGATGACATGGTCCTCATGGCCTCCTCACTTGTGCTGAGACCCTGATGTGAGAAGAAATTTAAATCTCTTCTGCAAGGTCATGTGTTGGGAGGAGCCGTGCAAGGTTCAGCTGACTCACAGAGGCCCATGCTGAAGCCTGAGGCTTCTGCCAGGGCTGGATGCAGGCAGGCAGCTCACAGCAGGGTACCTCTGGAGCTTGGCATGCCCATGAGATGCAGTGACGCACCTGCAGGCCAGCATGGGCTGCCCAGATCCTGCAGGGAGCAAGTGGGAAGGTCCAGACCCCTGGACCAGGAGTGAGAGCCTGCCACAGTGTCCCTGCCAATTATGAGAACATTCTCCTTTAATTAATCCCAAATACCTACCTCTGAAAACTCATCATTGCCACTTGGCCAGAAAATATACATCCTTATGATGCTCAGTATGGAGACTTGGGACAGGTTCTGGAGAAAGATGACGAGAGTAAAATTAACAAGGGTGCATTTTAGAAACTGTGATATTTAAAAGGCAGTTTGTCCTCCATCAGAAAATTTGACATTTAAAAACCACTTTCGATTTTTCTAAAAGAAAAAAAAAAAAAAGAAAGGTCTATTCCTGCCCAGAGAGGAAAATGTATAAAACTGTGAGAGATTTGCCTGGAGAAAATCACATTTTCATTTTCTCTCTTTGAAAAGTTGAATTGCAAGAGGAAAGGTAAGGTTCTGCCAAGGCTGCAGGTGGGAAGAGGGGTGAGGAGGAACCAGCACTGAGGCCTGCTCAAAGGCTCACCTTCACTGAAAATTCAGAACAGAGCTGCTGAGTGGCTGGCCCTGGAAGTGCTGTTTCCCTGAAATGAGATATTGAACAATCTTAGTGGATTAGAGCCCCACAGCTGGAAATTTTCATAAAATGATCTGACTACGAGAGGCTCTGGAGTTATGGCGCAGATCTTGTGGCTTCTTTTGCTATTGCTTTCTCTTTGCTTTTTTTTTTTTTTTTCCTGCTTTTAGCATCTATGAAGGTCCTGCATAGGAACAGCTCTGAGGTTCCAGGAGCACGCATGGTGCCAAGGCGCTTTGTCTTGTAGCTGGAGACAGCTGTGTCCACAGAGCCCAGACATGCAGATTTTAGAAGAGCACATGGCAGTGTTTCTTATGATTTTCTGTGGATGAGAGAAGTCCCTTGGAGGTCATCACTCCGGGACGTCCAGGGGGCAAGGAGGCACAAGAGTAGGGGTGTGGGCTCCGGATTTAGGAGTTAAGCTGCATGACCTGGAGCCTTCCTCAGCCCTGCTCATGCACACACCCTCCTCTGAGCAACGTGGAAAATGACACCAACCTGCTGCAGTTTCTTCAGGATTGGAGGGCGTGTGCACATCCCCTGCCACGGCATCCTCAGCAACAAGAAGCTGCCATTTTCACCGGGCGTGGTGGCTCATGCCTGTAATCCCAGCACTTTGGGATGCTGAGGCAGGTGGATTACTTGAGATCAGGAGTTCGAGACCACCCTGGGCAACATGGCAAAACCCATCTCTACTAAAAATACAAAAATTAGCCAGGTGTGGTGGCAGGCTCCTGTAATCCCAGCTACTTGGGAGGCTGAGGCAGGAGAATCACTTGAACCCAGGAAGTGGAGGTTGCAGTGAGCCGAGATCGCGCCATTGCACTCCAGCTTGGGAGACAGAGCAAAACTCTGTCTCAAAAGAAAAAAAAAAGAAAAAAAAAAGTAGTCTTGTGCTTTGATCACATGTGGGTGGGATTGAGACTTGGCTGAGTGCTCACACCTGAGGGTAGATAAATGCTGTCGATTTTGAAAGGAGAAACCACTGTGGTCCTCCACCGGGCAGTGCTCTTGGGACTCCTACTGACAAATATCTGTTGGGTGTCAGGTCTGTGTGCATAGCAGAGGCCCCTGGAGCATTCAGAGTGAAAATCCCCAGAGAACATTCCAGGGTGGGCTAGGCTGAAAGCATAGACCACAAGAAAAAAGGGGGTGCACACTGACCCCCAGAAACACGGGAGAGAGCAGGTTGAAGAAATCGCTCGTTTCTGTTCAACATCGTCATCAAGGACTTGAAGAAATCACTCGTTTCTGTTCAACATCGTCATCAAGCACAGAGGGGACATCTGTAAAATGCTCCAATATTATTCAGCCTCAAACAAGAAGGAAATTCTACCATTTGTCTCAATGTGGGTGAATCTGGAGGACATTGCTAAGCGAAATGAACCAGGCACAGAAAGGTATTAATAACAACCATACAGTCACACTCGTATGTGGATTCCAGGAGAGTCAAACTCAAAAGCAGAGAGTAGATTGGTGGTTCCCAGAGGCTGGGGTGAGGGTCAGGGACGGGCAGATGCTGGTCGAAGGAATCAGCCCGATGAAAGGAATAGGTTCTGGAGATCCATCGCCCAGAATTGTGATTACACTTCATCATTACGTATTGTATGTTCCAAAATTGCTAAAAGAGTGGATTTAAATGTTCTCACCACAAAGAAATAAAAGGTATGTGAGGTGGTGGATATATGAATCTAGCCTGACTCGACCATTCCACAATGTATACATATATAGAAACATTACATTGTACCTCATGCATATATACAATTGTTTGTCAAATTTAAAATAAGACATTAAAAAAAAAGGCTGCACAGGCCATATCAGAAGCTGCATGGCTGGACCTGGGTTACCAATGCTCTAGCCCAACACTGGACAAGGGCGTGCTCTGGAAGGATGTTTGGTGCAGCAGTGGACAGTGTGGCTAAGTGGTCAAAGCACCGACCCAGGCAGCCTGGGCCCTTTCCTTACTCTCCTGGCCCCGTGATGGGTGCTCTCATCTGGGAATGGGATGCTGTTTGCACCTCCCTCCCAGGGAGGTGCAGAGGAAGAAGCCAGGGGGCCCATGTAACATCCTTAGAATGGGGCCTGTTCCACGGCAGGGGCTCAACAGCATCGACGTTGAAAGCAAATCTCTGCACTTGGACCCCAAATTGGCCTCAGCATGACTGGAGAGAAATGGGAAGGAAGCCTGCATGGAGGGAAGCCTGCTGTGTTAAGCTGGTTTTTGTGTTGCTATAAAGGAATACCTGGCCGGGTGGGTGGCTCATGCCTGTAATCCCAGCACTTTAGGAGGCCGAGGCAGGTGGATCATCTGATGTCAGGAGTTCAAGACCAACCTGGCTAACATGGTGAAACTCCGTCTCTACTAAAAATACAAAAAAAAAAAAAAAATTTGCTGGGTGTGGTGACATGCACTTGTAATTCCAGCTACTCAGGAGGCTGAGGCAGGAGAATCACTTGAACCTGGGAGGCAGAAGTTGCAGGGAGCTGAGACTGCGCCGCTGCACTCCAGCATGTGCAACAGAGTGAGACTACCTCTCAAAAGAAAAAAAGGAATACCAGAGGCTGAGTAATCTGTAAAAAAAAAAAAAAGAGAGATTTATTTGTCTCACGATTCTGCAGATTGTACAGGAAACATGGCGCCCGCACCTGTTCCTGGTGAGGCCTCAGGAAGCTTCCAATCATGATGGGAGAGGACAGAGAGCAGGTGTCTCACATGGGGACAGAGGAAGCAAGACAGTGGCCGGGGGAGATGCCACACCCTTTTAAACAACCAGATCTCACAGGACCTCAGAGCACAAACTCACTCAGTACCTCAAGGATGGCACCAAGCCATTCATGAGGGATCCCCCTATGACCCAAATAGTTCCCAAAAGGCCCCACCTCCAACATTGGAGGTCACATTTCAACATGAGATTTGGAGGGGACAAACATCCAAGCCTTATCACCTGCCGTGTTTCCAGGCTGGGGAGAGATGTGGCTGTCTGTGGGGTTCAGTAGACCCTGGGGTTGTTGGGGTGAAGGGACGTCCCCTGGGAGGAGGGGTCATTGGCTGCGCCCCGGCCAGGCCAGCCCAGGTTAAGTGACAGACACTATCTGACTCAGCATTTAGAGGGGAGCCAGTAGGCTAGTGAGAGGTGAGGAAACCAAGTCAGGCCTGTGAGTGTTGGCGGAGCTGGGGAGAAAAGTCTGGGGACAGAACCACTGGGTTCAAAGAACAAGGATGCTCTGGTCCAAAGTCAGGGCCTCAGATCACACACTGGGGGCAGCCGTTCAAACTAGAGAAGAGCTTGGGTCCACACTGCCCTGCCATGGAGAGAGTTGCCCCAAAGCTTCATGTTCATGCTGTTGGGCCTGGTGCAGTGGTCAAGAGTGTGGCGTCTGGAACCAGACCCCCGAGATGTAATCCCACTCCACCATACAGCACCAATTAGACCTTGGGTAGTTTAGCCAAAGCCTGTGAGCCTCCGTTTCTCGTCTCAAAATAAGGTTGTTGTGAAGATTTCATGAGGTAATCCATGCAAGGCTGTTGTCATAGTGCCCAGTCCATTTTAAGCCCAAGTCGGCAATTTTGCATTCAGGTGGAGACTGCCAGTCACCTGCCAGGAAACCTTGGCAGGTGGTTCCTGTAACAGTGTGGGAGAGTCAGGCTCCAAGCCCTTCCAGCTCTGATGTTACAAGAAGCTACAGGCCCCAATGGCAGCTTCAAAGCATGTTCTCACATTTCCTCTCCTAAAAATGTCAAAAAAGAGTCAGTCTGCAGGGTTTTCAGGGGAAATGGACGTGGACCGTGCGGTCTTACCTGGTGATAACACATTGTAGATTTGGCCCAAATGGTCCTGTGCCTTGCACCCTCTGGACGCACGGTGGTTTCTGGAAGGACTCCCCATCTTGCTTTCCCTCCGCTGCATCTGAGTCAGGTGGGACTGTTGCCTGCTGCCCGCTTACATGATGGCACCTGGCTCCTACCTGGGCTCTCGTCGTTTGTTTCTTCAAAGGCTTCCAGAAAGATCTTTCCACATCTCAACTCTGATCAAGTCACTCCCTGCTCAGCAGCCCTTGCTGGGCCTCTCCCATCTGGGAGTCAAGGCCCATGCGTCTGCTCCCGCCTTTTCAGCTTAGCCTGGGAGTGCCTTCCTCGTGCTCCAGACAACACGCTCACTCTCTCCCAATTCCAAAAGTCCAGACACACCCAGAGCTTTCCGGACCCCTGGCTTCTACTTACAGAGTTGTCTCCACTCTTGAAGGCCCAACATAAGCATCAACTCCCTCACAAACATTTTGGAATCTAAACCTCCCTCCCACAATTTACCTCTGAACCTCACTGATCCATACTTTGTTATTATTGTTATTATTATTATTATTATTATTATTGAGATGTAGTTTTGCACTTGTTGCCCAGGCTGGAGTGCAATGGCGCGATCTTGGCTCACTGAAACCTCCGCCTTCTGGGATCAAGCGATTCTCCTGCCTCAGCCTCCAGAGTAGCTGGGATTACAGGCATCTGCAACCATGCCTGGCTAATTTTTTGTAATTCTTTTTTTTTTTTTGTATTTTTAGTAGAGGTGGGGTTTCTCCATGTTGGCCAGGCTGGTGTCAAACTCCTGACCTCAGGTGATCCACCTGCCTCACCCTCCCGAAGTGCTGGGATTACAGGCGTGAACCATCGCGCCCAGCCCTCATTGATCTGTATTTGCAAACCTCAGAGCATTTGTTTCACTTGCCTGGCGTCAGCCTGCGTGTGCAAAGCGGTCCCCTGGGATACCCATCTGTCTTCTCTGCATCTCTTCTTGAGCCTGAAATATGCCTCTTGCCTGCAAAGATTCAGTACACATTTGCTGGATAGAATCAGGTCATTTCCTTTCCCTCTTGTTAGATGATGAGGGCCCTGACTGCAAGAAGTGTGTCTGCTGCTTCTCCTACTTCCCCCAATGTGTTTCTGGGATGAAGACAAGTGACAAATCAAAACTAATAACACATAGTTACCATTATCAGGCACCCAAAGGCTTCACATATGCTAGCCCCGGCTATTCAGCCAGCCAGTGGGTAGGTACTGTGGTTCCCATTTTATGGCTGTGGAGGGTGAGTGGCCACCCATTTCTGCTGCTTTCCCCTGATCAAAGAGCCCATGAATGTGGGTTGATTCACTGAGGCAAATCCAGATATGCTTGGCCTCATGTCCTGTGTTCTTTCCACGACTCGTCATTGGCACTCGCAAGGAAACCAGGCCCCAGCCACTGCCCAGGAGCTCTGCTGGGTGCCGAGTGGGGCTTTGCCAGCGAGATACACAAGACTTGTGTCTACTTGGTTCATAGCTGTGTCCCCATGGTCTGGTCCAGGCTTGGCACCGAGTAGGTCGTTAATAAATATTTTAAAATGAATAAATAGGCAGCAGAGAGCTCAAGCAGGGATGAGCAAGAATAGCGAGTTAGCATGAAGAATGAAATGAAAACCCCATGAGTCTGAAGTGCAGAGGTTTTAAAATGCACAGCCCTCAATGGGAAGCACTGACTCGTCACAGAAGTACAAAAAAAAAAAAAAATCTGGGCAATGCCGAGGCAGGAAAAACCATTTAGCATGAAATAGGAAGGGAGGAGGAACTAGCAGCAGGCATTGCACAGAAAGGAAGGAAGGGGTGAATTTATAGGAAACCCAACTGCATTATCCTGAAAGAAAGCATGGACAATTTCAGAAACGCCCAAGGCACTTCCACTCTGGATATTTACGGAGGAGGCAGGGACGTCCCTCCCAGGCAGAGCATCGGGAACAAGCCTGGGGGACTGTGCGGAGAGAGAAGATACCTGGCTCCAGCCTTTGGCCTCTGTGAACCTTGATTTCATGAGGGCGCCCAGAGCCAGCAACTGCTGTAGCCACAAACCCTTACACTAATTCCACAATAAGACAGAGATAATTGCCACAAACACACCTGTATCTGTCATTCTCCGCCGTGCTCAGGGGTTCCTGAAGCTCTCTGTTGTCATTAAAGACAGCTCAGCGTCCAGTTGCTCAGAAATATACACGGGCCCTTCTGAGCGGAGCAGAGTGGAGCTGCCGGGCTCCCGGTCCCTGGCCGGCTGGAGACAGCACATCCAGTCTCACTCCATATTTCTGCTTATTTTCTCTCTCTTCCTGTACTCCCTTTCCCAGGACAAGCTCCGCGGCCAGGAGTCTGTCTTGATTGATGGCATTTTACCTGGACCTCTCTTCTGCGGTTTTCTCCCTGATACTAGAAATGTGTGTGTGAGATTGTGTATACCTGTGTGGTTGTGTTATGTGGGTGTGTGCAAGTGTGGGTGTGTGCATGTGTGTGTGTCTGTGAGTGTATGTGTGAGAATGGGTGTGCGTGTGTGTGCATGTGAGAGTATGTAAATGTGAGTGTGAATGTATGTGTGAGTGTATGTGAATGTGAGTGAAAATGTGTGATTATGTGTGTGTATGTGTGTGGGGTGTCTATGAGTGTGAGTGTGTGTGAATGTGAATGCATGCAAGTGTGGGTGTGTGTGTGTATGTGTGAGAGAGTGGGTGTGCATATGAGAGTATGTAAATGTGTGTGTGAGAATGTGTGAGTGTATGTGTATGTGAATGTGAGTGAAAATGTGATTGTGTGTATATGTGTGTGGAGGGGTGTCTGTGTGAGAGTGAGTGTGGATGTGTGTGAATGTGTGTGAATGTGAGAGTATGTGAGTGTATATGTGTGTGTATGTGTGAATGTGAGTGAAAAGGTGTGAGTGTATGTGTGTGAGTGTGTGAGAGTATATGAGTGTATGTGTGAATGTGTGTGACTGTCAGAGTATGTAGGGGTGTGTGTGTGAATGTGAAAGTATGTATTTGTGTGAATGTGAGAGTATGTGAGTGTGTGTGTGTGTGAACGTGAGTGTGTGTGCATACATGCGCATGTGAACAGTCCATGGAGCTTAATCCCCTGGAGGAGGGATTCTACAGCATCACATGTAGAAGGCATTCTGCTCAGAGAATGGCCTCCATTTTTCCGGGAACGCACCTGTTCGTTCCTCTATCAGAGGCACCAGCTACGGCTGCGGCTGCCCCGTCCTTGGTGAATGTACAACGACGCTTCTTGGCATGAGATGCAGACAGGCCCACACTTTGGGAAAGGGGCCAGAACCCGAGATGTATGTATGTATTTCCTCGCTAAGAAGAAACCGCAGGTCTAACCATGATGTCATTAGAATGATTGTTTAGAGGCCTGGAATGAGACCATCTAATTACCAGTCCAACCTGACTCACTGGTCCTTTCAAATCCAATAGTGTTTCTTAAAATAAATGCTGAAAATGACTTCATTCAGGGAAAGGCAGGTTGTGGCCATTTAATTATGGCTACAGATTAATGAATGAATAAAATATACTCTGGCTAAATTGTGGGAATATTTTCCAATTTTTCCCTAGAAAGTAGTATTCCACTGATCTAACCTGGGACGTGGGATTTTGTCCTAAACACGGCTTTGTGAGTGCAGAAGACAAAAGGAAACCAAAGATCTCTCTCATTGACACCAGGCCAGGGAAGGGCAGGCACCCACCCTCACCTGTAAATTCAGGTCTGGGGGTCCGGGTGCCTGCTCCGATGCCATGGAGAGGCGTTCTGTAAACTACAGCTGTGCTGAGAGCCTCATCTACACCAAGCCTTGGATCAGATGCCTCCATATTCCATTTCATTCATTTCTCGTGGCATATTTGGAATGGATAGTAATGTCCTAGCTTTACTGCTAAAGAAATTGAAGTGCAGAAGGACTCACCTAAGCTCACGTAGTTTGTGTCAGAGCCCAAATCTGAACTCAAGTCATCAGACTCCAAAAGATTCTTCCTAAAATAATGCAGCTCCTTCTCACAGATGCAAAACCTTTGCTAGAAAAAAAAAAAGGAGAGAAGGTGATGATGTTAAATCATTCATCAGACAAAGACACTCGTGAAGGCCCACTTTATGAGAATATCTGAATGGTGCAGGGAACACACAGATGAATAAGACTCAGCTCTGCCCTCACGTAAGCAGCGTCTAATGGTGAACTCAGATGGACACCAATGCATCCCCACGACATTAAAGGGATCATAAAAAATTAATAGAATTATGTGTCCTGCAAACAGCAAGGACAGGGACATTCATATCTAACAGTTGCAGGGAAGTTTTTCCAAAGGATAAGCTGCTCTTGCTGGCTGGGTTATGAAGGAGAATTGAAATTTGACAGATGGAGGTTTGGAAAGCCCTGAAGAGAGAGAGAGAGAAGGAGGTGGCGTGAGCAGTGTGGGCGGGCGGTGAGAGAGGAGGGCAGATTTGGGCCTGTGTAAGAGCCACACTCAGGCTCAAGCCCACCCCATCCCATGTGACCTCCAGGGAGTAAAAGTGGGATGCAGGTCACGTGTGCCAGGATGCTCAGTGACAGATCGAGAGATCTGCAAGCGGGCCGCTCCTTCCCCCGACAGGAGTTCCTGAGCACCTGCAGGGAACCAGCGCTGGGCCTGACGCGAGGCTCCTTTTCTAGTGAGTCACCTCAAGTGAGGACAGCACAGGCAACGCTGGACACAGGAGGACACCCAGAGCGTCTGGGAAGGCACCTGAGCTGGGAGCTCAAGGCAGGAGAGGAAATAGGCAGCAAGGGAGAAGGGTGTCTTTCTGGGACAAAAGAGTCGCACCTGCAGAGGCACAGAGGTGTGAGAGAGAAAGGACCACGAGCGGCCAAGGGCAGGCGGTACACAGAGCTCCGGCAGGAGATGGAGGAGAGGGTGGCAAAGCCACAGTTCCTGCAGTGTGGCCCGGGCTGTGCAGTGGCAGGTGCCCCTGACACCACGGGAGCTGCTGAGAGGGCAGCTGCGTGGGCAGATGTTTATCCCAGAGAGGGCAGCAATACAAGGGTTGGAGGGAGGTGGGGAGATCCGCTTCAGGCTGTGATGTTGGCTTAGGCTGGAGGGGAAAGAGCCCGGAGCTGGGGCAGAACTCGGGTTGTCCAGGAGGCGACACTGAATTAGTGTCTGGGGTCAGATCCATAGAGGGCAGGAGTCAGTGCCTGCGTGGCTGGCTCGGTGAGGAAGAGAGGGGTGGGAGTGATGCATGAACTCTCTGAGGCTCCCACCGCAGCAGCTCCACTCCCAAGTATGGGGCTGGCAGGAGTCTCAGGACCAAGGGAGGATGGTGAGTTGGTTAGTTAAGTTTGAGCCGGTTGAGTTGAGATGTCTGCGTAGAGTCAGGTTCCACCATCACGAGGCATTTGGCAGATGGGCTGTGAGGTGAGGGGATCCAAGGCTTGGAAACAAAGTTTTGGGAGCAGTCACTGCCTGGCTGAGAAACTCACCCCAAAACAGCATGTCCCATCCACCCCAGTCCACCCAAAACAAGAAGGAAGATGTAGTTAAAGAGATAGAAAAGATCCATGTCATTATCAGATAAGCATCAAATGAAAATTGCATGAGCAGACATATGCTTAAGGATTTCTTGGAAAAATACAGCTGATGGGGTAGGATTCCCAGAGAAACTTAATCAGAGAAAAGCAGAGTCCCCAAAACATGTAAACAAAACAAAACAAAAAAAGGCTGTTTTATTTCCCCTAAAGAAAGTTACAGAGAAACTACAAGGGGAGAGACAGCCAAGAAAGGATCAAGGGGGAAGGAGTGGGAAAGGGTTTGGTGGAGGGGGAGAGCACTGTGCAAATGTCAAGGTATAAAAGAACATGTGGACCTAGGGCTCCCTCCTCCCAGCCTGGTCCCATTGCTTCTGCAAAGCTGCAGAGATAGTTGCACCCAGGTAGAAGCCCCAGGAAGTTCTTTCCAAACAAAGTAAACTTCCCACCTGGAGAGAAACTCCAGGGTAAAGATAAGGTTGCGGGGGAGGGCGGGAAGAAGGCCAAGTCCAGGCCAGCTTCTGCCCAGCAAAAGCACCAGCAGGGAGCACTCCCAAAAGACAGGCAGCAGCTGACTTGGATGAGGCACAGGCTAAATCCACCAGGATGGATGCTTCTCTGAGTCTCAGGTACAGGAAGGTCTTAAGGTGGGCTCTGTGGCCAGAGGAGCAGGGTAGGGTCCTCATGAACAAGAACCCCCACCCTGGGAGGACTCACATCTTCTACACCTGGCTACTCAGAGTGTGGGCTGTGGACCAGCAGCCTGACCTCCCCCAGGAGTGTGTTAGACCTGCATGACCTAAGCCCAGCACCCACGTTTCAACAATATCTCCTATCCTCTCCAAGCCCTGTGCACAGTGAGGATTGGGAAGCACAGCTGATGCAGAGAAGGACCATGGCCCCGGGCGGAGTCAGCTGGAGCAGCTCACACTCCCTTAGGGGAAGCAGCTTTGTAGGTCTGGGGGCAAAGGATATGAACAAACATTTCCCAAAAGAAGACATTTATGCGGCCAATAAACATATGAAAAAAAGCTCATCATCACAGGTCATTAGAGAAATGCAAATCAAAACCACAATGAGATACCATCTCATGCCAGTTTTAATGGCAATAATTAAAAAATCAGGAAACAACAGATGCTGGAGAAGATGTGAAGAAATAGGAACGCTTTTACACACTGTTGGTGGGAGTGTAAATTAGTTCAACCATTGTGGAAGACAGTGTGGCGATTCCTCAAGGATCTAGAACTAGAAATACCATTTGACTCAGAAATTCCATTACTCGGTATATGCCCAAAGGATTATAAATCATTCTATTATAAAGGCACATGCACATGTATGTTTATTGCAGCACTATTCACAATAGCAAAGACTTGGGAACCAACCCAAATGCCCATCAATGATAGACTGGATAAAGAAAATGTGGCATATATATACCATGGAATACTATGCAGCCATGAAAAAGGATTTCATTTGCTTTGCAGGGACATGGATGAAGCTGGAAACCATCATTCTCAGCAAACTAACACAGGAACAGAAAACCAAACACCGCGTGTTCTCACTCATAAGTGGGAGTTGAACAATGAGAATGCATGGACACAGGGAGGGGAACATCACACACCGGGGCCTGTTGGGGAGTTGGGGGCTAGGGGAGGGATAGCATTAGGAAAAATACCTAATGTAGATGACAGGTTGGTGGGTGCAGCAAACCACCATGGCGCGTATATACCTATGTAACAAACCTGCATGTTCTGCACATGTACCCCAGAACTTAAAGTATAATAATAATAAAACAATAATTTTTATTATTTGCTTAAATGGTATGTAATTTTATATTGAGATACACAAAAAGACATAAATACAAAATATGGAATATTTAAGTCACACAATAAATTTGACATTATTAAAAAAAAAAGGAGAAGAAGGTCTGGGGGTCATGTGGCCAGAGCTAAAACCCCAATTCTCCTCTCTCAGGTCATGTGAATTCAGGAAAGCCTCATGACCCTTCAAAAGGCTGGAGAAGTTGAGGTGGTGAAGCTGCTTTCCTCAGGGGTTGACTGGAGAATTGAGTGAGGCAGCCCCTGCAAAGGCAGCATCCTGGTGGCCAGGGCAGCTATGGCCACATGTGCCTTATCAATGGTCACCAGCTATAGACAGCACCCACCTGCCCCCTCACTGCACACCCATGCCTTCCTGGAAACACAAATCCACTGGCTCCAGGCACCGCCTTTGGAATAATCCCTCACACGTGAACGGCACTGCCAGATCTCTCTGTGTTCATTCTCACACTCCCTGCAGACCCCCTCGACACCCCCATGGTTTCTCAGGAAGGAGATGAGATTGTTTGTAAGAATATGCACGCACACATTTTCAATCAGCCGGGATTCTTAGCACGTGGGTTTGCATGCCTTTTCCAAAACTCTGCCTCTGAACTTGGAGGAGAACCTGCTCAGTTCACAATGGCCTGTGCAGGGGCTGGGGTGACCCTGTGTTTAGCTAGAACATCAAGACGTGAGAGTCTTTTGAAGTAGCCACCCCTGGGGGTCAATCACACCGACTGCAACACTAGGCAGACTCCTTAGAAATAGGAAAACGGGGAAAGCTCCAGTATCATGACAGGAGGCTCACCTAAGCTTGATACCCAAACTGGTTTCTCGGGAGCATCTTGAAAGCAGTGGCTTAGTCTGGATCCTCATAGTGTTCTGATGCCTAAGGAATAGTTTATATGTGGAAAATGCTCAGTATATGCTTGCTAAATGAAATTATGAAAGAGAAGAGAAAGCTACCTAGTATTTATAAAGCCATGTACATGCATATACAGCTATTTCCTGGGTGGAGGAGCCTCTTCCCCTGGCTCTATAGGAGTTATTAGTTCAGATTCTTGGAATGTGGAATTTTCATCCTTTGCCTGAAAGCATAGATATATTTCTCCCAACAACAGCCCCAGTCACGATCCAGTGGACCAACCTGAAGTGACCCACCCAGCCCACATTGGCAAGTCTGTGAGGGCTGTGGACAAGGAGACACGTTGTCTTCCTACATTCTGTAGACAAAGGCAGTATTAGGCAAGATTGCCTGGCACTTCTGCTTCAGTAATTGTCATCGTTCAGATTTTCCCCACTGTTTAACACACACGTGAAGATACAGTGAGAAGAAACCCTTTCATTTAAAAATGATATAGCATGTACACACACCGTATTACTGTATTCTGTGTGTTGAAATACAGCAAATCTTTGTTGGGAACTTTCTATTTTTCCAAAACAATGGAATAGCCAGTTTACACTCATTCTGCATGAAGTTTTATCAACTACAAAGGAGGAAAGAATAAAACATCTATGTGTCTCTAACATCCCAGAAAGCCAGAGCTGGGAGGGACATTAATGATTATAGAGTCCAAAAAATGTTTAATGTGCTCAGGAGACTGCTATAAAACGGTGATAAATTAAGCTTGAGACAATGAAAATTATTAGCTTGTAAGAAAGCAGACACTTTGTCATCCTACATTCTGTAGACAGAGGCAGCATTAGGCACCGGTGTGTCCGGGCAAGTGTGGGAGGAAGCGAGTGGATGGTGAGAATTCTTTTTCTCCCATTGGAAGGAAATGTCATTGCCAGGTTGTGAAAGGCAGAAGCTCCCCCAGGCTGGCATAGCAACAGCATCCCTCAGAAGCTAGACTGAGCATTGTTGACCTGGCTCAAAGCCCTCACTACAGATTAGGAAGCAGCTGGAGAGATGGAGAGCCCCTGTGCAAATGCCCAAAGATGGGTTCAGGAAGCAGAATTCCCTTTTCCTTCCTGCAATCTTGCCGCTGGTCAATGTCACTTCAGTTCTTTCTTCCTGAGCCCCTGCTGTGTTTCAGGTCTTCTCCGGGGACTCACAGGGTATGTGGAAAGAAGAGGAACTGCTGCGTTCCAGGTGGGCACACTTTCCATTTTGCTGGCTGATGTGTTTGGCTCCCCGAAAATGACTGCACTAATTTTATCCCACTGGTAGTATTGGAGAGTGCATTTTCACACACCTTTTCCAATAATGGAGACAGTGTGAATTTCTCATTTTGATGGGTGAAAATGTGTATACATTTGAGGTCTTAAATTTGCACATTCTTGAGGATGGGGGAGGACGAGATTGTTTACAAGAACATGTACACACATGCGCACACACACGCACACACATGCACACACGTGCACACACATATGCACACACATGCACACAAGCATACACACATGCACACACATGCACACGTGCGCGCACACACACACACATGCACACAAGCATACACACATGCACACAAACATAAGCACACACACATGCACACAAGCATACACACATGCGCACACATAAACATGCACACATGCGTCCACATTTTCTTTTTTTTTTTTGAGACGGAGTCTCGCTCTGTCGCCCAGGCTGGAGTGCAGTGGCGCAATCTCGGCTCACTGCAAGCTCCGCCTCCTGGGTTCACACCATTCTCCTGCCTCAGCCTCCCAAGTAGCTGGGACTACAGGCGTCCGCCATCGCGCCCGGCTAATTTTTTGTATTTTTAGTAGAGACGGGGTTTCACCATGGTCTCGATCTCCTCACCTCGTGATCCGCCCACCTCGGCCTCCCAAAGTGCTGGGATTACAGGCGTGAGCCACTGCGCCCGGCCCACGCGTGCACATTTTCAATCAGCCGGGATTCTTAGCGTGTGGGTTTGCATGCCTTTTCCAAAACTCTGCCTCTGAACTTAGAGGAGCACCTGCTTAGCTCACAATGGCCTGTGCAGGGGCTGGGGTGACCCTGGGCTTAGTTAGAACATCAACACATGAGGGTCTTTTGAAGTAGCCACCACTGAGAGTTAATCACACTGACTGCAACACTATACAGACTCCTTAGAAATCGGAAAGCAGGGAGAGCTCCAGGATCATGACAGGAGGCTGGTGTAAGCTTTATACCCAAACTGGAAAAGGCCAAAATTGAACAAATAAATGAAGAGAAAGAAAAATAAATTGCTTTGGGAAGTCTGGCCACAGATTCAGTGCTTTTTCTATCAAACTACCAATAACATTATTCACAGAATTAGAAAAACTATTTAAAAATTCATATGGAACCAAAAAAGCACCCAAGTAGCCAAGGCAATCCTAAGCAAAAAGAACAAAGCTGGAGGCATCACATTACCCAACTTCAAAGTCTACCACAAGTCTACAGTAACCAAAACAGCATGGTACAAAAACAGACACATAGTCCAACGGAACAGAGTACAGAGCCCCCAGATAAAGCCACACACCTACAACCATCTGATCTTTGACAAAGTTGACAAAAACAAGCAATGGAGAAAGAGCTCCCTATTAACAAATGGGGTGGGATAACTGGCTGGCCATATGCAGAAGACTGAAACTGGATCCCTTCCCTAAACTACGTACAAATATCAACTCAAGATAGATTAAAGACTTAAATGTAAAACACAAAACTATAAAAACCCTGAAGGATAGCCTAGGGCATGGGACCCTGAGATCTGCCACGGGGACATTCATGGATGGGCCCAAGAGCCTGAAACTCCTGAACTCTTAGGGTTAGCAATGGAAGCCCTTTCCCTTTGGCTGGAGAATGTGCAATGACCTCACCTGAAGCAAATGTCTCAGGTGGTTCTGTGCCTCTTCTGGTGCATCCCACCGGCCCCTCAATGCCTCTAGGTCAATGACCAGGTCACAATCTCAGGCCAGACAAGGAAAAGAAGTCCAGACCCTGCCCTGGCAGGAGCTAGCTGGCATGGCAAAGGCATGCAGGGCCTAGTAGATACATACTGTTAGAACCCAGCATGGAGCGTGATAGTGAGTGATGAGTGTGGGGCCCAGGGGAGGCCGAAGGCAAGGTCGGGGAAGAAGAACGTGTTGATGTGGGGGTGCTCACCTATGACTTGGAATCTTTGCAAGGACAGGGGCCTCTGCAGCTGGTTGTGCCAGTCCGTTGAAGCCGTTTTTTTGAAGCCTAGAAGAGGGACAGGCAACAGGAATGAGTGGAGATGGCAGAACTCCCTTGTTAATAGAGAGGTCTGGGCCAGAAGGCTAAGGCAAGTGTGGATGGGAGGTGGATTTATTCTGAGACGCGTGGGGCACCAGCCTCTCTAAGGAGCACAGTGATGTCTGTCCTCGAAGGCCACGGCTGGCAGCCAGAGGCTCTGCCATGGTGTGGAAAGGGACAATGGGACCCAGAGCAGCACAAGCTGGGGAACAATGACCCTTGGACGCAAGGTGGATACAGCCACCATCATGGGTGCCAAGGCCAGCATGGCCATTCATGTATGACCACAGGGACCTCTGGAGCTGGCCAATGGGTCACTGTGCTCCTGGGGGTGAGGGAATGACAGCCAGTGAGGACACTGCCTGTCGTACCTCTATCATAATTTTCAAAAACGTAAGAGTTACAAACAACTTGGAAGTAGACTGATGTCAGTTGCCACAGTGAATAACGATGATCCTACCCTAATATCCAGACCTCAGTCAGTTTATAGTCCCCGGAGCTCACTGCTGAGTTTTCCAAGGATATGGATGAGGAAGATGTGAAGTTAGAAAGAACAGAAAAACAACAGCCCAGAGTTTCAAAATAGTCTGGGGTTGATGAAGAACTGCAAGCTGATGAGCGCTGCTGATAACGGATGGTGGCTCCAATGCACGCAACAGTTGGAGTGAGTGCTTAACACAGTTAGTGTCCAATCATTAAAGTTACCATAAAAGGTGGGTACTATTATTACCCCCCTTTTTCAGTGAGAAAGATGGAGACATTGAGAGGTTAAGGTGGGTTGCCCAAGGTCAAAGCATCCATCTTTACCTCAGTTGCTCCTGCCCACCATGCTGTGAAATGGGAGGTGCACATAGTCAGGGTCTGGAAAAGGTTGGCTGGATGGATGGTGAGGAAGAGGTCTCACTTCGCAGGGAAAAGAGAAAGCCTCGGCCATCATGGCAGACAGTACAAGCTGTCACCAGAGTAGACTGAGTTTGGTGAGGCTTGGAGATGCAGCTCAGATGGGGCAAACATCGCTGGAGGAGACAAGAGCTGTCCACAGTGACCGGGAGGGAGAACCCATGTCTGGGCCCCGCGCCTGCTCCGCAGCTTCCAGGGACATGGCTAGGCTCTGCTGGAGTCTCCTTGACATTTGGAAATTTCTGGGCCCATTGTGCTGTCTTCTGGAATTTTTGGTGCCATCCAATAATTTAGAGAGCTACGAGGTCATCAAGCCTTACAGAATTTCTGAAGAAAAAGAGGGCGTTTGCAAAATGAGGGCATTGCCCCTCTTGCCGAAGAGAAGAGCAAGGAACAAATAGGTTAATTAATTTTTCCTGAGGTCCCACCAAGAGTCAACTGCATAACTGGATAAGAACATTTCACTCTAATGATTTTATGAAGGAGGTACTCTGTGTCCACCTTCACATTTTCCAAGTCACCAGGGCACTCCCGCTGCACCTCGGTCCAGGCCTGCATCCACGCCTCGCACCAACTATTCCACTTGAAGCTGTCAGTGCTGTCTTAAGATTGATGAAATCCCCTCAAACATGCGATTTCATTTGATCCACAGAGGGCTGGAGCAGACGGAGGGCAGGAGCACACGGAGGGCAGGAGCACACGGAGGGAGAGGAGCACACAGTTGAGGGAATATAGAGGGAAGCTGGGGGAGGCGGAGGAGAGGTGGGGCAGGACCAGGCACTGGTTCTCTCTACTGCATAGGAGTCTGATCTCCGCTGCCCGGTGGCTCCTGGCTGTGGGCTCTCAGGTGCTCAGGTGCTTACGTGGGTGCTGCTGTGCTCACCCCAGCAAGTCACTCGGGAACCTGGCCAACTGCCTGCGGGGCCTGCTGCCCAGCTTCAGATGCCTGGGAGGCAGCCACTGAGCCATGAGAAGATGCTTCCTGGACCAGACAAGAAACAGCGGGAGGTGGTGGTTGGGGGAAGTGGAGTTCTGAGATATATGGAGGATAGATTATACCCAGTATGCTCACTGCTCCTTGGCACATGGATCTACTGGGGCTCTCAGAGGCAAGCACAGGTTTCACCCCCAGTGCTGCCAGAAACTGCACCTGCCTCCTCCTCTCAGCCTGGCCAACTCCAATTCAGCCAGGAGGTCTCCTGTTTCTCACCACTGCCTGCTGAAGTCTTCCTGTCTGTCGAGGCCCCAGAGGGCTGGTGGAAGCCATTCTCCGCGCCGAGACCATGGTGTACTCACTTCTGCACAGTGGCTCTCTGTGCTATAATGTACCCATCTGTCTCTGCTGTTTTGGGTGCAGCGCAGCCTCTATCCTGCTCGCAAAGTACTCTGATGCCATCCACGTTTCTGGGGAGGTGCGTCCCTCAGTGAGTGTCCCCTGAGTGTGGGGATGTTTGAATGAGTGAGTGAATGACTGCATTGCCAGCCTGCAGCTCGGGGGTGACGTACACTGGGTGCATAATAAGCGTCCCTTCCATGAGTGTTTGAGGGACTCAGCTGTGACTCCAGCCCTTGGCTATGCTTCTTTAGCAAAGGGAGCCCTTCTGTGTCTGCCTCGGCAGTGGCTATGACCGTGTGACCAAGGGCCCCTCTAGCCCCCACAGAGGGCTGAACAAGGGTCCCGAAAGGGGACCTACATCAGGTCTGAATTCCTGGCCCCTGTAAATGCCACCTTATGTGGCAAAAAGGACTCTGAAGATGTGATGACATCGAGAAGCTTGAGCTGGGGAGATCTTCCTGGATTATCTAGATGCATCCTAAGGATGACATCACAGGCATCCTTACAAGAGGGGGGCCGAAGGAGAGGTCCTACAGAAGAAGAGAGGGCAGTATGGCGGCTGAAGCGAGGTGCCATGCTGGGGCTTGAAGAAGGAGGAAGCGGCTGTGGGCCAAGGAACTTCAATCCAGAAGCTGGAGAAGCAAGAAACAAATTATCTCCTAAAGCCTCCAATAGGAGTCAGTCCTGCCGATGCCTCGATTTCAGCTCATTGACGTGGATTTCAGATTTCTGACCTCCAAACCTAGGGGAGCGAGTGTGCGTGGCTTTAAGGCAGCCAGCTTGGGGTAATTTGTCATGGCAGCATAGGTGGGTGTCACACACTCCTGCCTGGCCCCTTCTCCTCATGTGGGAAGAAGTGGCCGGGACACCTGTGCCTCCTCTGGGCCATGGACAGGCACCTGGAGCTGCTCTCCTGCTGGGTGGGGCCTCCCAGCTTTCCAAGCCCTGCTCGTCCTTCGTAAGTCCATGGGCCAAGTCCTCGGCATTGTAAATTAAACTCTAAGGACAGCATTGGCTTCTTCCCTGACTCGGAGGCTGTGACTCTCACAAAGCCCAGGGTAGGGGGAGGTGGCCCCTGTCCCCAGACCGCATGGCCTCGGTGGATGCCACCCTGTCTCTACCATCACTACCCAACAGCAAAAGCTATGTGTTCCTTTGACAACGATGTCACAGTAAGCTTGCTTCTGTGTCTTAGTCATTAACCTTAGGACTGTCTTCTCCTTCTGGCCATTAAACTTTCTATTTACCAGATTATTCTCAATCGATGTCATGACGAGCAAAAATCGACGTAGTTAGACATGTGCGCAGATGTGTCCAGGCACTTATTTCTTTTGAATTTGTTGCATGAGTAAAAGGACCACACAGAGCCAGGCTTATATTTCTCGAGGTTACCATCATATGTATATTTGCTACCTGCAGAAGGAAAGGTCTTAAAAAGCCACAGTCATCTTCATTTCTATTGGAAGTAACCTGACTGTTAGTGAAAAGCTGGGTTATCTGTCCACCTATCTGAGCAGTCTGACCCTGCCAGGAACACTGGCTTGGCCCTTCCAAGGCTGCAGCATGGTGGGAAGGGAGGCCCTGGTGCCTGAGTGATGAGGGTCATGGCAAATTTCACAAACAACTGTCCCCTAGAATCACACTGAAATATCTGGGTTCCTTCCACCGGGTCCTTTACTTCTCCTCCTAGCTGCCAACGCGATCTGTCCACTATTAACAGCTCAGCAGATGGTGCATAAAATAGGAAGCCATTTCCAAAACTACATAAACTCCCCAACTCTGAGAGGCACATAAAGTCTGATTAATCATCTGGAACAGAAGCTTCAACCTCCAGCTCATCGAAAATGTGATTATTTCTGTCCATGTTTGAATATTTTCTGGAATAGCAAGAACATGCATATCCAGGAGATGACAGCTTCTGGCTGGGCGAGAATGGAGAGCGATTCCCCTCCGCTGGCCCATCGTGAGGGCTGCCCCTGAATCCTCATTTCTTTCTCACTTCTCTCTTTTTTGTTAACCACCTACGAATGCCCCGGCCAAGCTCAGTGTGTGCCTCGTGGAGAGCACACAACATATAGTTTAGCGCTTGCCAGTCTCCCGAGGCTGCTGTAATAAATTATCATGAGAAATGTATTCTTTCACAGATTTGGAGGCCAGAAGGCAGTACTCCCTCCAAACGCTCCAGGGAGAATCCTTCCTGCCCTGCCCAGCATCTGGTGGCTTGGCGTTCCTGGGCTTGTGCTAGTGCCGCATCCGTCTCTCCTCCGTCTTCAGAAGGACTTCTTCTCTGTGTCCCACCTCTTCACCTCTCTCTCTCTCTCTTCGCCTGGTAAGGACGCATGTCATTGAATCTAGGGCTCACCCTAATCCAGGACGATCTCATCCTGAGATCCTCAACTTCATTACATCCACAGAGACGTGACTGCCAGATAAAATCACCTTCACAGATTCTTTAAGGGGCCACTACTCAGCCCCTACAGCATCCAATCTAGTCAGCCTGCTGTTGCTGGCCCAGATGCATTTACTTCTTGGAGAAGAAAATTACCATCATGTTTAAAAAAGTGAATATGCACGGCTGTGGGTGAGCATAAGGAGCCCCGAGTTGGATTCTGAGAGGAGGCACCTGGCTGACTCCTGCAGGGGCTGTGTGTTTCACTCTAGCTCCTGGACGTTGGCCACCACCACCCGGCGTCAGTGTCCTCATGCAGGACTGGGGTGCCTTGAACAACCGAACTTTATTCTCTCAAAGTCCCAGAGGCTGGAAGTCCAAGATCATGGTGTTGGCAGGGTTGGTTTCTTCTGTGAACGTAAGTTATCTGAAAAGGAATTCAGAGGAAAGAGATTTTATTCCAGCAAACAATTTGCAAACCCGGGAGACACAACATTCCCTTCTGGAGAACAAAGGGAAGGCTCAGGTTTTATAACAGACCAGGTTCCCCATCAGGTCTGCTTATGCAAATGAAGGATTGAAATCCACTGAGTTCTGATTGGTTGAGGCAGGTGAGCTCTTGATTGGTTGGTTCAGGTGAGCACTGGTGTCCCACAGCTGAATAGAGGTGGGGGTTTTCAAGGCACTCAGAGTACAAGTGTGACCTCTAGTCAGCAAAGTCTGTTTGGCTCTGTTTTAGGCCCAATTAGCCACTTGGGATCCATCTTGAAGGACTGGCTCCTTCAGGTTCACATTTGTGCACACTTTGAAGGCCTCTCTCCTGGCCTGGTAGATGCTGTCTTCTCCCTAGGCCTCACATGGGCATCCCTCTGTGGGTGTCTGTGTCCTCATCTCTTCTTCTTAGTCCTGTTGGGTTAGGTCCCACTGTAAAACCTCATTTTACCTATTTAATTGCTTCCTTAAAGCCTCTAGCTCCAAATATGGTCACCATGTGAAGTACTGGGGGTTGGGACTTCAACATACACGTTTGAGGGGCCATAATTCAGCCCCAAACATCCCCTAAAGCAATCCTACAAGTGTGTATCCTTGCTCCAAAATCACCTAACACGCATGAAGCCCCTGCTGGGGGCCTTCCTTGTGCTGGGGATGGAAGGCAAGGGAGCGAGGCATTCAGCCTCATTGGTGGCCTTAGTGGAGATGCCGTTGAATGATAGAGGCTGAGTGCACCAGCTGTCCCATGACCCACCCGTGGGGGTTCAAGGAAGGGAGGACCATCCTTGAGATGCCAGGTGTAGCCATCTGACCTCAGGAGAAGGCAGGGACACACGCAGTGGTGCCAGCTGGTTATCTTACAGGCTCTGAGAAGTGCTGCAACGTAGGAAGAAAGAAGTTCCCAGATGTCACCTACTCTCCCCCAGACCCAGACCTTATCTCACAGTCCAGCTGGCAGCCTAAACAAGGACTGTTAGATTTTAAAAACAAGGCCGGGCGCGGTGCCTCACGCCTATAATCCCAGCACTTTGGGAGGCCAAGGCGGGCAGATCACAAGGTCAGGAGATTGAGACCATCCTGGCTAACACAGTGAAACCCTGTCTCTACTAAAAATACAAAAATTTAGCTGAGTGTGGTGGCGGGCGCCTGTAATCCCAGCTACTCGGGAGACTGAGGCAGGAGAATCACTTGAACCTGAGAGGTGGAGGTTGCAGTGAGCTGAGATTGCACCATTGCACTCCAGCCTGGGTGACAGAGCGAGACTCTGTTTCAAAACAAAACAAAACAAAACAAAACAAAAACAAACAAAAAAAGCACAGGATGCTGATTCAAGTTCAAGTTCAGATAAAAAAAAAAGTTACCGCTTTAATAGACTAAGTCTGCATTAGTCAGCTTGGTTGCAATAACAAACACCATTGGCTGGATGGCTTTAACAACAGGGGTTGATTTCTCATAGCTCTGGAGACCAGGGAGTCCAAAATCAAAGGGCTGGTAAGGTAGGTTTTACTCTGAGGCCTCTTCTGTTGCTGGCTGGTTGGTGGCTGGCAGCTTGCTGCGTGCTCACATGACCTCTTCTTTGGGAGAGAATGAGAGCGTCCTCTGGTGTCTTTTCTTATAGGGGACACCAATCCTAGTGCGCCAGGGCCCCTCTTCATGACCTCATGTAACCTTCATTACTTCTGCAGAGGCCGTATCTCCAAGTGTGTTCTCATTGGGGGTTAGGGTTTTCAACAGATCCATTTTGAAGGAACACAACATTCAGTGTATAAAGAATCCCAGGTATTGTATGGGACAAAATTATACTGAAAACATTCATTGTGTACCTGAAATTTTGACTCTGAAATTAACACATCATCCTGTCTTTTTTCTGGCAGCCCTAACTTAAACGCAACCTTCATGCAAAAGGTCAGGCAGGACCCGGTGGTCAGAGACTCGGGCCCCTTAAGGGTTCCCCAAGTCCTGAATGTGGTGTCCGCTCAGCACGCACACCTCCCCATCCCCAGGTACTGGATGGCTTTCTGAAGAAGACCTCCTGTGAACACTGCTGGCTCAGCTTGTGTCTGTCTGGCGAGAATGTCCAGGCCTGAAAGCAGGTGCCTGCAGTGTGAGTCCCTGGTATGAGTCCCAGCTGCATGTTTTGAGAGAATGCACTTTTGAGGGTCTGTAGAGAGTTGCAGATATTATATGTGGATCTACCAACACAAGCATCTGGTCCACCACAAACACCTGCGGATGTAAAGCCCCCTCACCCTGCGCAGACCCCTCCTGTGGAGAAGACTGAATGCACCCGCGTACCCAGCAGGCTGACACAGGGATGGATCGATCGTCTTAGCAGCCTTTCCTCTAAATTCCAAAAGTATTTTTAGTCATAACCGTGTTACAATATTGACCCACTGTTTAAGTTCTAAAAGAATTAACAATTTTCAAATAATAAATTTCCAAGATATCAGAACTCAATGAAATACTTCATGTGTGAGACAAAATTTGCATGTGCCAAATAAAATATTACACCACGAAGTTTGCAGGCTACTTCTCTGTTTCGGATTTTAAATGTGGGTAAAAACTTCAAGTGGCCACACAGAACCCCGGAGCTGCCGTGTTCCAGGGCCTCTTCTGTGCAGTCCCCGTGCCACGGCTGCTCACTGCAAATCAGCTCCTTGGACAGAAGCCAGTGCAGTGATGCAGAGCAAGGCCACTGATGCTCTGTAAGTCCCATACGCATGTGACCTTTGGCTTAAAATCAACCCATATGGCTGAGCCCACCTGCACTGGGGCCCACTGTATAACCAGAGTTTTTAAAAAATCAAATTTCATGTAGAAAATAATGTTTGTTAAAGGTTGAATAATACAAATAAGTTAATTTTAAGTTGTATTAGTCAAGGTTCTCCAAAGAAACAGAACCAATAGGATAAACATGTGTGTATGTGCATACACACACATCTCTCTATAGATTTATATATAGAGAGAGAGTGAGCTGGGGGAGAGAGAGAGAAAGGATGGGGAGAGGTTTATTATAAGGAAGTGGCAGCCGGGTGCAGTGACTCACACCTGTAATCCCAGAACTTTGGGAGGCCAAGGCGTGAGGATCACCTGAGGTTAGGAATTTGAGATAAACCTGGCCAGCGTGGCAAAACCCCATCTCTACTAAAAATACAAAAATTAGCCAGGCATAGTGGTGCACACCTATAGTCCCAGCTACTCAAGAGGCTAAGGCAGGAGAATCACTTGAACCTGGGAGGCGGAGGTTTCAGCAAGCCAAGATCGCACCACTGCACTCCAGCCTGTGCAACAGAGTGAGACTCCATCTCAAAAAAAAAAATTATAAAATAAATAAATAAATAAAAATAAGGAAGTGTCTCATGGGATTATGAAAACTGAGAAGCCTCATGATCTGCCATCGCAAGCTGGAGACCCCCAAGAGCTGGTAGTGTAACTTCCAGCCTCAGTCTGAAGGCCTGAGAGCCGGAAGAGCTGGCAGTGTAAACCGCAGTTCCCAAGGCAGGAGAAGAACAAGTTCCTGCTCTTGCTGGCAGAAGGAAACAAAAGAGAGGTGAATTCCTGCATCCTCAGCCTTTGTTCTTCTCAGGACCTCAAGGGATTGGAAGATCTCCACCCACTCTACCTCACTGAACCCACCCATTCACATGCAAATCTCCCCCAAACACCACCACAGAGACATCTAAAAGGAACATTTAATCTGGGCACCCAGTTAAGTCGACACATGAAATTAACTAATACTGAGGTACATGTCTATTGACATATATTTGTATATATGCACACGCACGAGTGTACATGCATATGTCTGTGTATGTGAGTATATGTGTGTGATTAAAAACTCAGTGGTAAATAGAGAAAATGCTTAGAATGTAGACCAAGAAAGGTTTTTTTCACAAGTAAGGGATATTTTATTACTAGTAGTGTTCAAAATTGCCAATGAAAAGTGACAATAAAAAGCCTGCTGGCTTTTCCTGGGTTTTATAATGGGTGTTAAATTCTCTGCAGACAATATTCTCATTTAATGTCTATGCTGAAAGCTGCTGTTCCCACTGCCCTGGCCTTGGGGTGACACCCCTTTCCTACCTGTCCCCGGGCAACTCTCCAGATCTTTTGGGTCTTGAGTTGGGAGAGTCACCGATGTTCAGGGTGACCCAAAAAGCTAACTCTTCCAATCAGCCTAGGCTCCAGCCCTGCCTCAGTCACGGTCTCAGCATGCCAGGGTGGATCCACTCATCCATCCACCCACCCACCCATCCACCCATCTATGCATCCGTTCTTCTACCCATCTACCCATTCATCCATTCAACCATCCAGCAATCCGCCCATCCACCCATCCATCCATCCATCAAACAACCATCTATCCATCAGTCCAACCATCCACCCATCTATATACCCATTCACTCATCCATATATGTATCCACTCACTCATTCACCCATCCATTTATTCATCCATCCCTCCATTCATCCAAGATTTGCTTAGAACTCTTTGTATTTGGCCAGTGAATTTAGGAATACACATTTATCAGTCCTAGCCTTGGAGAAGCCATCTAGTGGGAGGTGGGGAAATAGATTAATAAACAGATAGGTATGGCAAGACTCCCTGTTTTGTAAACTTTGTAAATGAAAGAGCCAAGCCTGGATTTCTTCTCATTGCATTCATTGATAATTATATGTTGAATGAATGAATGAGTGTAATGGGAGCGTCATAGCACAGTCTAAGGAGTACAGGCTTGGGTCCAGATCCACCTAGGTTCAACATCCAGTTCTATGTAGCCCTGTGTAAATCCCCACCTTCCTTCTTGATCCTCAGTGTTCTTATCTATAAAATGAGAATGAAAAATGCATACTTTTCAGTGTAATTTCAAGCATTAGAATGACATGTGTGAAGAGGCATCTTTACCACTCAATAGTCACTGGTGGTAGTGGCCAATTATCATAACAATAAAGGGCACTGTAGGATCTGAAGGATGCGAAGAGATCAATGAACAATCTTGGGACCAGTCAGCTCTGGGCAGCGAGTGGAAGGGACAGGGTCCAGTCTGAAGGTGGAGCTGAGGGTTGCACTTGAGTCTGGAGCTAAGAGTGTGGAACTAGGGGTTTAAACCAGGATGTGAGTAGTTTTAGAGCAGATAACAGGAGGGCTGGAAGGCACTTAGGCAAGATCTTGGGACAAAAACCCATGTTTCCATGTGTCTGTAGAAACATGCAGGTTCATTCTGCATCCAAGAAGCGAGTACTGGACAAGGAGCCAGAAGGCCCCTCAGCTTTGACAACACGTGACCTCCCCATAGCATGGATGGCCAAGACTGATGATGTCCTAAGCCAATTCCAGTGATCTCTCAGAGGCTGCCTGGAGTCTCTCCGAGGCTCCAGTGATCACTCCAGGGATCTCTCGGAGCCCAAAACAGAGGATCTGAAATGCAATCAGCACTCAGTGGGAAAAGGCACCGAGAGTGATCAGCAATGTCTGCCACCAGCAGAGGTGGACAAAGCAGTGCACAGAGGTGGACAAACTCATGAGCTGGAGTAGACAAAGTCAAGAGAAGAGGTGAATAAAGTCATGCACAGAGGGGGACAAAGCTATGAGCAGAGGTGGACAAAGCCAATGAGCAGGGTTGAACAAAGCCATGTGTAGAGGTGAACAAAGCGATGAGCCGGGGTGGACAACGTTATGAGCGGGATGGACAAAGCCATGAGAAGAGGGGAATGAAGCTGTGAGGAGGGGTAGTTAAAGTTATGAGCAGGGGTGGGCAAAGTCACGAGAAGAGGTGAATGAAGCCATGTGCAGGGGTGGACAAAGCCATGCACAGATGTGAACACAGTCTTGACTGGGGATGGACAAAACCGTGAGCAGAGGTAGATAAAGCCAGGTGCAGAGACGGACAAAAGCATGAGAAGAGATGGAGAAAACCACGCACAGGGGCAGACAAAGCCATAAGCAGAGGTGGACAAAACCATGTACAGATGTGAACACAGCCATGACTGGGGATGGACAAAGCCATGAGCAGGGGTAGATAAAGCCAGGTGCAGAGACAGACAAAAGCCTGAGAAGAGACGGACAAAACCATGCACAGGGGCAGACAAAGTCATGTGCAGAGAGGGACAAAGCCATGATGTGTGGGCTCTTTTCCATCCATCAGAACTCAAGGCCTTGGCAAATGTATAAATTCAACACCTTGTGATCCCAGAGAATTAGCCCCTCATGATCACACTCAGAGTGACAAATCTCACATGGGCTGAAGAAAAATAAAATGACAGTTAGCCTGAGGGGCTAAACCACTGCCTTCTCCTACCCAAAGCCCCCGCTACGCACACTGAAGTGTAATCACCACAGTCATGCTGAGAATGCTGCTGAGAGGCTACAGAATCAGGGCACGGTGGGGAGGGGCACTGTGGTGATGGCTGATTTCATGTGTCCACTTGCCTGGGCCATAGGGTGCCCAGACGGCTGGCGAGCCATTATTTCTGGGTGTGTTTGTGAGGGAGTTTCCTCAAGAGATGAGTATTTGAATCAGGGGACAAGGTAAAGAAGACCCTTCCTCCCTACTGTAGGTGGACACCATCCAATCCACTTAGGGCCCCCATAGAATAAACAGGCAGGGGCAGGGAGAATCCTCTCTCTCTTCTTGAGCTGGGACTCCACCTTCTCCTGCCCTAGGACATCTGTTCTCCTGCTTCTCAGGCCTCTGGACTCAGGGACTCACACAGCACTTTCCGTCTCACAGTTCTGAGGCTTTCAGGCTCAGACTGAATTAAGCCACCAGCTTCCCTGCTTCTCCAGCTTGCAGACAGCACGGCGTGGGACTTAGCCTCCGCATGAGCCAATTCCCATAATAAATCTCCTCTTAAGTCTCTACATATCCTATTGGTTCTGTTTCCCTGGAGAACCCTGACTAATCCACTTGTATTGGATCACATTTCATGGAGGCTACCACTGGCACGCGGAGAGCAAGGCCCAGAAGGAGGGGGCCTCGAGCGGGGGCTCTCACGCCTCCGGTTGCATCAAGCAATCAAGCTGGAAACCTGCAACCACCTCTGGCCTCCGGACTCAGCCTTCCTCTCTTGGCCCCTGACATCCCACAACACATTTCTTCTTAGACCTGTGTGTCCAAGGATCTAAATGCCCTCAAGTTGTGCTTCTGTGGACTGAGAACATCTCCCTTCTCCATCGGGAAGCTGGTTCTAGCTACCCTTCTCAGGCAACCACTTTTCCTCTTATTTTTAGGTTATTTCTCCCCATCTCTGCATTTCATTCACACTGCCTGGTAACTGACTGTTACCATCTCTTTTCCTGACCAGACTCTGAGGTCTTCAATGGCAAAGGCTGGGTTTTATCTGCCTCTGAATTTCCGGGCCCCACGCAGGATTCCTGGCCACATGGATGGGCTGTGGGCTGAGTGCTTCTGTGGCTGATTAACTCGACACAATATAAACACTCCTGGTTCACAAGTGAAGCGCCTTGCTCCCAGCTTGCTTCATCTGTTCCTTTGTTCCTCTGACAAAAACTGAGCTGCCCGCACAAACACCATGGGAGAAGGTGTGAGCTCCCAGGGGAGGAAAAGACATGTCCTTCACCACCACTCAGGTGGTGGGGAGTGCAGAGCAGAAATCGCTTCGCTAACGTGTGCTGAGCACCTGGGAGGTGTCCTGCACATGAGGTATCTGACCTGGCCTGGAGGTTGGGCAAGTTGGACATCACCCCGAGGCTTGCTTTCCACCTGAACTCCTCCCTTACCCGCATGTACGTGGTTGGACCCCACTGCTTGGGTCTCCTCCCCAGCAGAGAACAAGAACAGCCAAGGATTTCCTGCTTTAAGAGTGGGAGTTAAAAGCTTGTCATTGTAATATACTACAGAAACAAACTAGTGTTATTGGCAAGAGGTAAGGAGACATTTCTAGCCCAGGAATAAGTATATTAGTTTGCATTTATGTGGTGTTGCCTTTTATCCCCTCGTGTTCAAACTGCTTTGACAGTGATGACCTCATTTGTCCTCACAACATCCCCATGGGACAGGAAAGGTCTCTCACCAGGAGCAATCAGGGAAACCATAGAACAGAGAGGTCCAGTGCCTGCCTCACGATCACACAGCTCATTAACAACACCAGGTCCCCCTCATCACGCCTGTACGTGGCCTCCTGTAAGCCTGGCGTCTCTGCAGTGAATATTAACACAGCTTCCTTCTGTGGTGTCTTGGAGGCAGCTGGGTTGAAGAGCTCTTAGGAAACATTCATTCCTCCTGTCCCACCACAGGCTGTCCTGTGGGTGGAAGATGACGTTCTCCTGGTCTTTCATCTTCTAAAGGGGGCTCTGTTTTGGGTGACAGCCTCACCCAGTTGTATGAACTGCTGCAGGGGCATTAAGGATCATTCCCCTTTGTAAAAAACGTATCCCTGATTTATATACACAGGGGGGCTGGGGAAGAGAGGGGGCTTGAAGTTAGATGCACAAATGCTGATGTGTGAGCATGTGTGTGCATGTGTGTTTGTATGTGTGCATGTGTGTGTGCGTGTGTTTGTGTATGTGCATTTGTGTGTGTGCATGTGCCTGTGTGCATGCATGTGTGTGCACCTCCCACTCCCCACCCAAAATGAGCACGCCGGGCTGCATGAGCTTCATGTGTCTGTTGGCACAAAGTACCACAAACCAGGTGGCATAAAACGACACAAATGCATCCTCACAGTTCTGGAGGCCAAAAGTCCAAAATCAAGGTGCCAGCAGGGCGGGGCTCTCCCTGGAGGGTCTAAGGGAGGATCCTTCCTGCTTCTGCTTTTCCAGCTTCTGGTGGCCCCGGACATTCCTGATACGTGGCTGCATCACTCCAGTCTCTGCCTCCATCTTCTTCTCTGTGGCTTCTCCCATAGCTTTTCCAGTGTGTGTGCGCATGTGTGTGTGTGTGTGTGTGTGTATCTCTGAGTCTCTTTTCTTCTTATAAAGACACCAGTCGTATTGGACTCAGGGTTTGTCCTAGTCCAAACAAGGTCATATTGATAGGTATCGGGGATAGGATTTGAACACATCTCTTTGGGAGCCACAGTTTAACTATAACATGGAGGACGAGAGGAGAAGGGAAGAAAATCACCCTCTAACAGCAACCTCGTCATGGGCCAGATGCCATCCTGGAGTGTCCACCTGTCCATCAGTGCATCACAGGATGACAATGGTGAGCCCAGTTTTCATATGAGGAGACAAAAGCCCAGAGATCCACTGACTCTACACAGTCACTGGAATTTGGAGGTAGGGCCAGGTCTACGAGCCTAGTGTCTCGACCACATGACCCAGTATCTTCTCTTCCCAGAGCAAAGCTCCTTCACTTGGATGTCCCCCCAGGGCCAATGTGATCAGAAAGAAAGCCATGGAACCATAGAAGAAATAGTGTTTTCTACCCCACCAGCCTCAGTCCATGCCCGGGAGGGAAGGTGCAGGACCCACCTTGACCCCAGGCTCGGCCCTGTGTGCTGCTTTGCATTTAGTCCCTGATGTGTTTTCCTTTGTTGTGCTTGGAGGGTTTTGTGGGGTCAGTGTGTGATCATCTATGGGAGAGTCCTTCTGCCATTGAACTCTGGATGGTACAGCCTTTGCACCATTATCTCGTGGTGCAGGAAATGGAGGAAATGAGAGGAGAGACACAAACCTTGCCTGAAGTCTCAGGGGAGCAGGTGGCAGAGAAGGCTGGCCCCTAAGAACTACCTGACACCCCAACTCCTGCCTGTTTTGCTTGACGAGGCTTCCTCCCCATCACGATCCTCAGGCCACTGGGACGATTCAAGTGGGAGCCAGGGCTTCAGAGAGCACCATGGAGAAGCCAAAGCTCCACCACACCCCAGCTTCTGTTCTTCAGCACGGACCACACACACAGCGAGTAACTGGCAGGCAGGTGCACCTGACTGAAGCCCCTATTATGGGCTGGATTGTGTCCCCCCAAAACATACGTTAAACTCCTGAGATGCAGTACCTGTGAATGTGACCTTATTTGGAGATAGGACCTTTAAAGATGTAATCAGGCGGGTGGATCACCTGAGGTCAGGAATTCGAGACCAGCCTGGCGAAACCCTGTCTCTACTAAAAAAACAAAAATTAGCTGGGCCAGGTGTTGCATGCCTGTAGTCCCAGCTACTTGGAGAGACTGAGGCAGGAGAATTGCTTGAACCTGGGAGGCAGAGGTTGCGGTGAGCCAAGATCGCGCCATTGCATTCCAGCCTGGGAGACAGAGTGAGATTCTGTCTCAAAGAAAAAAAAAGAAATCATCAAGTAAAATGAGGTCATCAGGGTATGCCCTAACCCAAAGAGTGTGTCCTTATATGAAGAGAAAATACCTCATGAAGACAGACTTGCTGGGAGGAGGCCACGTGGAGACAGAGGCAGAGACTGGAGTGATGAAGCCACAAACACCACAGACGCCGCAGCCACCAGGAGAGGAGGGGAGCGAGAAGGGGCCGACCCTGTCAACACCCCGATTTCTGACTTCTGGCCCCCATGACCGTGAGGGATCAAATGCCCACTGTTTCAAGCCACTGAGCTGGGAGTCATTTGCTACAGCGGCTGCAAGAAACGCATCCACCTGCTCACGAGGAAGGCAACCAAATGCAAGATACTCGACGAAACCTTGGGTTTTTAGAGCAAAAGAACAGAAACAGCTGTATGTGATGTTTTGAGGGAGAATGGGGACACTTGCCTCCAGATTGTATCTCGCGGTCACTGTGCCCATTTTCAGTGCCCCAGGCGCGGTGACAGCACATCCTTCTGTGGAGAACACCTGTGGCTCTGGCAGCTCAGTTCTGAATGTTCCAGCAGATGTAAGAGGGGGTGAAGCAGGGGCAGCCAGACTTTCACAACCTGCGGATCCAGGTGAACCCACGGGCTCATTTCACAGTCAGCTTGGCTGAAGATCTGAATTCCTATAAAAAACATTTGGGAATGAGAGTGAAGAGGGAGGTGAAGATCCCTCATCCCAGTTGGACCCCAGAACTCCAGTAGCATTCCTGAGGGCAGGATGGAGGGGTTCAGGGACCTTCTCCTCAAGGAGGGACCTGACCAAATCTCACCAGTGCCCGTGATCACTCAGGCCCCGAAGCCTCCACCAGGCCCAGGCAGGGCCACCTCTTACTCATCCCCCCACTCGACTGAACGCCAGCTCCTCGGGGCGGTGCTCCACACAGGTCCACGCAGGTGGAAGGGGTAGGTGACACACACGCACAACACCCCCACATACACCACACACACCAAACACACAACCCACAACCGCAAACCCACATACACCACACACACACCAAACCCACAACAACAAACCCACATACACCACACACACCAAACACACAACCGCAAACCCACATACACCACACACACCAAACACACAACCGCAAACCCACATACACCACACACACCAAACACACAACCGCAAACCCACATACACCACACACACCAAACACACAATCATAAACCCACATACACCACACACACCAAACACACAACACACAACCTCAAACCCAATCAACCCCTCCCCCTCCCCCACCACACAACTAAGTGCCGCCTACAGTTGCAGCGGCTCTGGGCTCTGGCAATTAAGGCGCACCTGCTGTATGCTGGAGCCCCAGGGAACGCAGGCCCCACGGCAGAGGCACCGGGCCCTCCTCCTAGAGGCCTGTTCTCTCCTCCCTTCATGCTCCTGTCCCTTTGCAGCATAAGGGCTGAAGCTCAGGCTTTGAGAGCACCCTGAGTGTGATGGTTCTCAGGCACGCCTGCGTCTCCTGGTTGACACTGCCCGTGCTGCTCTCTGGCCTTTGCCTCCCACCCAACCTTGTCAGAAGTGGCCATAGATGTGTAGGTTTATCCTAGGCGAGTAAACAGGTGTGTTTCCCCCAGAGCCACAACGTGGAATGGAAAGATGGAATTGGTGAAGAGAAGCCTTGTCCCACGTGAGGCAATAGTCTCCCGAGGTCAGGGTCCGGGGAAAGATGCAGGCCTTGGTGTGGCCATCCCGAGCCCCAGGACCCCAAGAGAAACCAGCACGGTGCGTCTCAAGGGAGTGCCTATGGGAAGGCAAATGTATCTGCCAATGGCACAGATGCCGAGAGGAAACCGAGGCAGCCCAGAGGGCCCTGGTCAGGGGCACCATGCAAGGGCATCTACACTGATGTCACCACTGGCTCTTCCCGCTCACCTGTCTACCCCTCTCCCCTGCGCCGTGTCCTGGGAGGCTGCCTGCATGAGCGTGTCCACGGTTTCTCCACCCCTCTCCCTGCTCCGCGTCCCGGGGGAATGCCTGCATGAGAATGTCCACAAGCTCTCCACCCCTTTGCTTTTCAGATGGCATCAGCCACACGGAGGCACAAGAAAGATCCCAGAAGGAAGAAGGCTGAAGCCCAAGATCCACTGCCAGAGTCCGCCCCCTGGGTTGTCACTACGGCCATCTGTGTCCCCCTACAGAAGGGCACACCCACACCAGCACCGCTGTCTCCAGGGTCTGGAAGGGCTGCTCCCTTTTCCTCTCCAAGCAGGGAGAGGGAAGTTCCTGCGCTGTGGGCCCTGTGTGCTCACCCCTATCACTGCCTTCCCTTAACCCTTTCTTACCTGTATGAGCAGAGGCCGCAAGCACGGTGTTTCTTTATCATCATTCCCAACCAGGACTGTGATGAATATCACTTCTCAATCACAAACCTCTCATTGGACATTTGTTTAGGAATGGTGCTGACATCCACATGGCTGGGGGATTTTGGCTGTGACATTAAGTGAGCACATTGGCCAAGGATTTGGTGACTGCTTGTTCATTTCCAAAGATGGAAAGCCGCCCCTTCCTCCCGCAGGGGATGATGATGTTCAGGAGGGGGAAGATTCAGGCCCTTCAACACATGGGTAATTCTATAATAATAACAGTGATGTCGGTGATGACTGACCACAGCAAGGACCAGTGCTTCTAGGTCCCCCCTGTGTCAGGTGCCTGGGCTGGCAGGGCCCTGCAGGCTGGGACCTCTCTCATCATCACAGAGCCTGCATGAAGCAGGTTATCCTCCCGCCCTTTAGATAGTGGGAGACTGGGGCAAAGACCATTCAAGTCGAGTCTGCCAAGTGCCAGCTGGTGAGAAAGTGGTAGGTCCCCGCTGCTGAGGGCTTGGGTGGCACCCAGTAACCATGTTCACTGTTCGAGGAAGCTCCTTGTCCTTCCTTTTCCCAGGGGCAGATAGGCAGCTGGACCTGAGAGACCCAAGGCTCTGTGCCCAGCCAGTGTGGACGTGAAAAACTGGGCTGAAGTTCCTGTCTGCCTTATTAAGGCCGCTAAAGCCTTTTTCTCTCCCAGGGTTCACAGATGATGAAAAATGCATTTAATTCCACCCATGGCTGTGCATTCATTTCCACCATGCCCGAGATGGCCAGTGGAAATTAATGTGCACACGGGCGTCTGACCATTTATCAATAAAAGCCCTGGTCTCTGTACCTTTGAACTCCAATAAGAAAATTAACCATTGTCATAAGGACAGTACCTTCTCACGCCTGGATTCAGCAAAGTAATCGAACGCCATGCATCCGCTATTGCACAGCTTTAATTAGCACCCAATTCAAGTCCGCACCGCCCAGCAGAGCATTGCAGGGGAACCATGGGCCTGCGCGTTTGCTTTTTAATTTCCAGCAATGATCTGGTGATTATGAGAGTGTCCACTTTCCATATTTATACTGATTGCTTTTTCATTTACTCTGCTTTCCATTATGAAACGCAAATGGAAAGGTGTCCTAGAACCAGCTTAATTGAGTTCAAGTCATGTTACTGGACATCAAGTGATGTTAAAAGCACGTTCTATTTCAGCTAAGTTATTATTTGGCCCTAAACCAAATGGATCTCAATTTTTTAAAGAGAATGCATCAAATAAACATATGCAGGGAAAAATCTCAAAATAAACCATCTCCGTCGTGTTGACTCTCCACGCTGAAGTACATGGTGGAAACAAGCATAGGAATTAGACACAGCAACTTTCTAATGTAACGCAGAGTAAATTCTAAAATACATCTTAAAATTAGAACACTTCACAACAGGAGTGATCTAACAGGTGTCTAATAGGCCAGACGTTCTGCTCTGTAATGCATGACACGAACACCCCTGGACCCACAGCACCTCTCAGGGCGAGCACCAGCGTCTGCACATTCGTGGTGCACGGAGGGATGGAGGTTCAGGCTGGCAGAAGGACATGTCCATTTAGGTCAGCACAGCCGGTAGGTGGCTGTGCCGAGAACCTGGGTCTGACCACAGAGCCAGGCCCTTGCACCCTCCTCCCTAGTCTCCACTCCCTTGGGTGCTGACAAATCAAGCTGTCCGTCAGTGATTGTCTCCAAAGATACCGACGTTTCACATTTCAATTTGACTAGCATTGAAATGCTGAGAACTCTGACATCGCCTCAAGTCAGGGACTCTATAGCCAAGTTTAGAACTGGAGGAAAGCTCTGAGACTCGACCTCAAGGCAAGAATCAACGTTTACTGCATTTGACTCAATGGGAAATGGTCAAAGACTGGACAGAGTTGCCAAGCAGTTTCTCCTCCAATGCAGCTCCGGGAGGCCTGGCCACAGCCACAACGAGTCCTGGACTCTGTGTAGGCTCTGCTGACAACCCTCCATCTGTGGGGCAACTCAGTCCAAACTCCAGGAAATAGCCTCAAGGTGGCCACAGGTGGCCCTGCCTGCCTCTGCAGACCCTCCAGCCTCAGCCCAGGAGCTCCAGCTCAAAGGGCTACCCCTGCATCTGCTGTCCCTCTCTCACTCCAGACCTTGCTTGCTCCCTTCAGCCATCACGTGGAGGGGCTGCCGGGGCTCCCAGGGTCCAGGCCCAGGCCTCAGCCTTGCGCCTTGGTGGGAGGAATTACAAGAAGGGAGAGACCAGAACTCGGGGGCAGGTGCTGACCACGGAGGCTTGGGGCACTGGATACTGCAGCCTTATCAGACTCAGCCTCGGGCTGGGCAGGAAAAGTCACCTCAGAGAAAGGGCTCTTGGGCTGTGGTTAAAGTGGGAAGTGAGAAGGGAGGCCTGTGGTAGGAAGAGATCTGAGGCAGATGGAAACCACACACAAATGTCAAGTGGCCGTCAACAACCGGGGCTTGTTTTGGAAAGCAAGCTTTGTTTGTCCCGTGATGACTAGATGGAAACTCATTAGGAAGCAGCAGGATTCCTAACAAGACCCTTGCATTCTAGGAGGATGAATGACTCTGTCCTGAGAGCCGATGGAGCGCAGGATGGTTTTGGAGAGCGACTGGTTGGCTGGGCCCCAGGTGCACAATGCAGAGCCCAAGCCTCCTCTCCTCTCTGCTCTCCATTCCACACTCCCCTTCTCCCTTCACAAGGTAGCTGTCCCAGTGTGCTTCGTGCCTTCTTTACATGTACAAATTTTTGACAAAACACGTGCTGTTGTCTTCAAATCATGAACCTCCAAGCATGCCAACGGGGGGGTTACCTAGCACTCGGGGTCCTGGAGAACGTTTCCTGTGGGCCTCTGCGCCCCCACACTGTTGCTTCTGAATGCCGCCGTGCCCTGGCTGCTGCAGCTGCAGAGGCTCGACTGGGGAGGCCTCCGTGTGTGTGTGAGAGGGTCCCTGTGCGGGAAGATTGCACAGCGTAGCAAGGAAGGGGCTCCAATGCAGCCACTGGGAGGACCACACAGTCAGGTGCTGAGGGAGGGAGCCAGGAGCCAGGAGCCAGGCACAGAGAAGCCCCCGTCTGCAGGGCTCCAAATCCAGGCCACTCCTCTGTGTTCATACAAGTGTGGGGCTGCTGGCTGGGAGGGGCACATGGAGCCTCCGGGGCACTGGGAATATTCCAGAAGCTTATTTAGAGGAGGGCCTTGATCATGTGACATACATAGAAATTTATTGACTATATCCTAAATATCTATGGACTTTACTGTAAGTTACTCCTCAATTAAATAAAATAAGGGTGCCCTGTAGGGGCTCATGTGGGAGAAGGCCGAGGTGCAGGCCTGGAGAAGATTAACCGTACCTGTAGGACCAGCAAGGGACAGCCGCCACCTCAGCTGGGAAGCCATGAGGGCTTAGATCTGGGTTCTCAGCTCCCATGTACATCAGAATCACTAGGGGAACTTAGTAAACACACCCCACTGCTCAGACACCACCAGGAAGATGGGGTCAGAGTCCCTGGAGGTGGAGGCCAAGAATGAGTATTGGTTGAAAGGTATCAGGGTGATTTTCAGGTACGTCCTGGGCTGGGCATTCTGGCTTAGAGGGAGCCCAGGGCAGCTGGCATGGAATGCCAGAAACGTGAAGAAGGAAACGTGAAGGAGGAAAATCGCCAGGACTCTGTACCTGATTGGAGGTGAGGGAAGAGATAAAGGGAGTGGCCTGATATGACCCTCAAAGGTTTTATCTGGTGGGAGATTGCAGGGTTGGGGGCATCTGCTGTTCTGTGAGAGGGAAATGAGGAGAGAAAAGGGTCTGGAATGGGTAGAGAGGGACCTCCTGCTCTCTGCAAAATGTGCTCCCCCAACACTCACCTGAGCAACTGCCTTCTCCAGCCAGCATTTCAGGCTGGAGTCCGTGTCTTCTCTGAGGTATGGGAAACAAACTCTCCTGTCCAAACCCAAAAAATGGACTCAGAGACCCGGAGAACAGTGAAAGTGAGACTTTTAATGATGATCTTGTGAGATCGGGTGTCTGATGGGCAGGGGCACCCAGCACAGCCACAACAACCAACTTATCCCCTAGTGTGCAGGCCCCTCCCCCGGTTCCTCATAGGCTGAGTACTCTGGGGCCACAATCTTCCCAGACGTCAACTGTCTGTTGTTGGGCAGGGGCTTTAGGTGTTTTCTTTAGGGTTGTCTTGCTGCATTTTGTTGCAGCCAACACTGCATTGCAATCCTAGTTAGCTCAGGGGCTTTTTAAGTATTTGACTTATGACCTAAGTAGCTGGGCAGGCTGATAAGAACAGACAGTGAGCCATTTTGCAGGCTGATAAACCTTCATCTTAGACTAAACTTCTTTGGTTCTGATGAGGGCAAGAAAAGTGGGGTGTACCAATAAGCAGGTGTCAGCTATCCAACCAGGAGCCTAGTATCTTCTGTTTTTTTTGTGTAGTTTGCTGACCTAAGCTGATTTAAGGCACTTTGTCTTGGAAATGGACCACTGTATACATTATTTCCTCCAGAGGGACTGTCCTTCCTCCACCCCAGCCCCAGTACCCAGGCTGTGTGGGTCGTTTGCACCTTTGCGCAGCATCAGGGGCCCCTCCCTGTGGGTTTTACTGTGCACTTTATTTTGGAAGGGTTGAATCGTGGAGCTTTCTCCCCACCACATCGTGAGCGTCTCGAACGCTTCACTTTTGTTCTCCCAGGGAAACTTCTGTGTCTTAGATTAGGTCCCGTGCCTGCATGGGAACAGGGGCTCAAGAGATAAACGTGGAGTTTAAAAAGTGCATGGGTAGGGGGTCTCAGGACAGAGGAGGAGGGGTGAGCAGAGAGCACTGAGTGGAGTGACTATGGGGGTCGGGGCCCGGGTCGGGGCGGGGGTCGGGGCCCGGGTCGGGGCGGGGGTCGGGGCCCGGGTCGGGGTGGGGGTCGGGGCCCGGGTCGGGCGGGGGTCGGGGCCCGGGTCGGGGTGGGGGTCGGGGCCCGGGTCGGGGTGGGGGTGGGGGCTGCACAGACGCATGGACAGTGGTGTGGTGAGTATCCCAGCTCAGACCCATGAACTTCCTGAGTCTGGAGTGATCTGCAATGGTGGGAACCTGGGCTTTCTAAGAGAAGAAACGAAGAAAACAAACACTAAGGCGCAGGGAGAGAAAGACCCTCCTGGATGCTGAGAATCCGGCTCTCGCTTTCCCAGAAAGGGTGAGGCACCAGGTCCTAGCAACAGCAGATGAGGTCTCAGGAATGATACCGGCCATTTCTTGTATTATTTAAGGCAGGGGTTCGCAAGTTGCCTTCTGTGGACCCCTGGGAGTGCCAGAGATAATTTCAGGGTGTTCTTCAGGTTAAAACTATGTTCATACGCTTGCTAAGAAGTGACTTGCCTTTTGCACTGTGTTGACATTCGCAAGGGTGTGCAGAATTGATGGCAACAGGTAAGACTTAGGATGCCTTGCAATGAATTATAGCATGTCTCCAACATGTGCCACTGTCATCGTCTCCTTCACCACACACGTTTGCGGTAAGGCAGGTGGACGGATGATAACGCATGGACAGACAGACAGAGGTAAGATGGGAAAACACTGTTTCACTCATGAATGTCCCTGACAAAGCAGCACAGAACTTCACCTTGGAGCATGCATCTTTTTAGTATTCCATGTGAAGAGATGGAAAGTGCACTGAAAACATCTCTGCTGACCATGGAAGGAACCTTGCTGGCCCGAGGAAAAGCATTGGTATGGCTGTTTAAGTTCCGGGCTGAGCTAGCTGTTCTCTTCATGAAAGAACACTCCTCCTCGTAGGGACGTCTGTGCTAACACAAACTGTGGTTACTTAGACGTGGGTCTTTGCCAACCATTTTCCTAAAAATGAAACAATGAGCCTCTATCACTTCAATACAAACAAATGACAGTATTTATGAATGACAAATTGGAAATATTAAGCAAAAATTGGAATTTTGACGAACACATATGTGCCATTGAGAGACTAAGAGTTTCCCAATGTTTAAAAACTCTCGTGAAGAAGTAAGTAGTGATACTAAGGAATGCAATTTTATATCAATAATATCATGTGTTAATATTTGAAAGGTCTTCATAATTCAGTGAACCAATATTTTCAAATAACCAATGCATGATCTCACAAGACCATGCCTTTGTAACAGTGCTATTTGATGGCTGACCAATGTTTGGCTTTTTTTCTTGAATGCAGCTCATTGTGAAAGATAATTGATATAGTTTCAGATTCCACATGGCAACTAACTTTTTAAAAACTACCGTTTGTTAAGTTTTGATGTAACATCAAAAATAATCTTCATAATTATCTGAAAAGTCTATGAAAATACGCTTCCATTTTCCACCTGGATATCTATGCAAGGCCGAATTGTCTTTGCATACTTCACCCAAAATAACATATTGCAACAGTTTGCATGCCGAAGAGAAGATGAGAACCCATCTGTCTTCTGTTAAACCAGGCACTAGGGAGATTTGCAGAAATATAAAACAATGTCACTCTTCTCCTTAACTTTGGCTTCGTCTTGGAAAACACTTAATTTTAATTAAAAACAGGTTATGTTTACACATCATGAGCTGACTGCAATTTTTATATTAAAAAATATGCAAACACTTAAAACATGTTTCAGTGTTCATTTCTCACATGGTAAATATCGATAGTTATAACTCATGTGAACCCAAGGTTTTTGGGCCTTCAGTGATTTTCAAGAGTGGAAAGGGTTCCTAAGACTAAATCATTTGAGAACCACTGACTCTGGTCAGGAGCGCCCTGGCCACTCCCTTGTTTGCCTTGCAGTGCCTGCGGGATGGCTCTGGGGGGGTTTTGTCCCATTTTTATCCCTTGTGTCAAATTTTTATTGACAAATAAAAATTATGTATATTCAAGGAGTCGAAGTAAGTATTTCAAGGAGTGATTGGCACACTGAACAGGCTCACTGTAGCACTGCTCACAAGGGCCAAGATCCAGAAACAATCTCCATGTGTGTCTATGGAAGACTGCGTACTGTAATGTGATGTATACCCAATGGAACATTATTCAGCCATAAAGAAGGAAGTCCTGCTATTTACAACAACATGGACGGACCTGGAGGCCGTTATGCCAAGTGAAATGAGCCAGGCCCAGAGAGACAAGTCTGGCATGGTCTCCTTCCAGGCCTCATCTCCTTCCAGGCCTTGTCTCCTCAAGGGCGGCATGGCTGGGGCCCAACTTGCCCTGCTCTGTCTCTTTCCTCCCTGCAGGAGCCACCCTGGGTCTCCGCCAGATGTCTGAGGAGCTGTCATCTGGCTGTGGGACTCCGGCTCTTACCACCAGACTGCTGTCCCCAGCATCTGGGCCTGGGAGACAATCCCTTTCCCTCCCACTCCTAGGATTGCTGGAAATTGCTTAACTCCCACCTGCAGGGGGAATGGGGGCCCAGAGACAGGCACAGCAGGCCTGGCAGAGGGCCTGGGGAAAGGCATCCTGGAGCAGCCAGGCTGACGTGGGTTTTGAGGGCTGCATGGAGCCAGCAACTAAGGATGAGGGGCTGGTGCCGCAGTCAGAGAGAAGAGTGTGCATGGATGGGGGAACCGGGTGCAGAGGCAGGGAGGAGGGATGGGAGGGCAGCAGGGGTGGGAGGCAGGCGGGGTGGGGAGAGTGTGCACACCTAGAGGCTCACTGAGCAGGTGGTGCCCCCCGCATATCCTGAGAGCATCTGAGCCCCACAAATTCTGCCCTCCCAGCGTCTCCGTCCCAGGGAGTGGAATCTCTTGCCAAGAGGCCAGCTTTCTGGGCCTGGACTCCTCGTTAGACACCCAGCAGGTCTCCCACCCTCCTTCCTGTCCCAGGAACTGTCCTCTGTTACTAATCTGTCCCATCACAAGCCTCCAAGATGGCCAGCAAGGCTGAGGTCACCTGACTGCAAGGCTGACTCTCGTGGCCTCTTGCCCTAAGCTCACCGTGGCTGCTACATGGCTGTGTCCAGGAATGCCAAGGCCACTACACAGCTGTGTCCGGGACCCTTTCAGGGTCAGAGTTGGAACCTGCTTTCTGCAGGGTCCTGAGCACGGTCCCCTCTTGAAGGGAAGCTGAGCATGCTGGGCTTGCGGCTCTCAGCGGGAGGACGGGGCCAGGCTGAGGACAGCCAGGAGAGCCTGGGCTGCCGCCTCCTTCCTAAGCCCCTAAATCATCTCCGAAGACACATAATTAAACCACAAATCAGATAATCTAAGGGCTCGGGTTTGTTTTGTTTTGTTTTATCACATGTCAGAAGCTGGAACAGCAAGCCGTTCGTCCTCCCACTCCCACAGGGCCAGGATGACTCAGTCCTTCCCCGGCCGGTGGTGCCAGCAGCAGGACGCCAGCCAGAGCCCGTTCCGGGTCACACCCCAGGCCCAGGGCAAGGCACGGCACCTCTCCTGCCTCAGTTTCCTCTTTTGTAAAAGAAGAATGAGAATGGCCTCCCCCTTGGGGCTGCTAAGCACAGACACGGTAAATGCTCAGTGCCTGTGAGCACTGGGATTTTTCTCTGCACCCACGCAGCAGCAGGCTTCTGTTTGTCCACTTGTATGCTTATGGAGACCTAGAATGGGGCTGCAGCTTCACTGCTAAGACCCAGGCCTAGTCTTTTTATCTCTCTGGGCTCAGTCCTTTCACTGGTAGACTGTGGACCCGATCTTCCCCAGGGTCTCTGTTCCATGCCTCCTTGGGCAGGCTATAAGAAAGCGAAAGTCAGCTAAGCCAGGAGACTCGCACAGGACGCAGGGAGAAGGGGCTGGGGTGTGCCTCCCACTGCTCCCAAAGGGCAGAAAGAGGCAGCATAAAGTGGACAAGGGCCTTTGGGTTGTATGGAATACATGGACTTGATCCCAGCTGGTGGGGATGAGAGAGAAAGCAGGTTTGCCCTCTAGGAAAGGAAAATAAATCTTGGCCCCTCCCCGCCCCACCAAAATCACTAAGCTAAAGGGAAAAGTCAAGCTGGGAACTGCTCAGGGCAAACCTGCCTCCCACTCTATTTAAAGCCCCCCACCCTGCTCACTGAGATGAATGCACATCTTATTGCCTCATTTGCAGAGGCTGATCAGAAACTCAAAAGAATGCAACCATTCGTCTCTTGTCTACCTGTGACCTGGAAGCCCCCTCCCCACTTCCATTTGTCCCGCTTTCGCCTCGAGTTGTCCTGCCTTTCCAAGCTGAACTAATGTTCATCTTGCATATGCTGATCAATGTCTCATTTCTCCCTGAAATGTATAAAACCAAACTGTGCCCTGGCCACCTTGGGCACATGTCATCAGGGCCTCCTGAGGCTGTGTCATGGGCGCGTCCTCAACCTTGGCAAAATAAACTTTCTAAATTAACTGAGACCTGTCTCAGATATTCGGGATTCACAGGTCCCTGATCACAGCAGTGAAGTTACATTGCCACCTTCTCAAGTGTGACACAGCACATCCTGCAAAACCAAAAGGCCCCCCTCCCTCCCCATGCACCTGCCTGCACCCTCCTGGTTTTCTGCCTCAGTCCCAGCCCCGTCCTGAGATCTCACGAGGCCTGTTTCTCCAGCTGCTCCCACTGTTCTGCGTTGGAGGTTTCCTTCCTGGGGGATTGACTGGGCCTGCCTGGGTAAGATCGGTTTTCCTACCCCTCTTCTATTTTGGGGAGCCTGTTTTTCTTATATTGATTTTAATTTATACCTGCTTATTTAAAAAGTAAGTTATAAAACTTATTTTATTCTCATGTTTCATCCTTCATCTTCACTGGCATTTTTCCCTGCACCAACTGTGGGCATGAGCCATGTGGGAGTCCGGAGACCCCAGCCCCACCTGGAAGGGGTTTCCCCGTCTGGTAGGACACAGCCAGTGACAGACAGCTGAAGCACCGTGGGCCAGCTCATCTGATGGGATTGGTCTATATAGAAAAAGTAACTTTTCAAATGTTGGGTGTTTCACATCGGAATTGCATGCCGTTGGACACTTTCTGCATTAGCAAGAGTTATGCCTGCTGGATGAAGAAATAAACGCCAAAACCTCAGAGCCATTGTGGAACACAGATCATAGTGGATGGCCAGCCAACTCCACTGTGGGCAGACGTTGGTGTGGTCCTTGGGCCAAGCCTCCCTTTCTTCTGTGCTGAACTTTGTCGGGAGATTCGAGGCAAATGCTTGCCTGCCGTTCTTGAGGAACTGCTGTACCAGAAAATGAACCCAAATGTGACCCCTTCAGACTGAGGGGTTGAAGGTTTTGTTTAATATTATGGAGGCGGCCAGGCGCAGTGGCTCACGCCTGTAATCCCAGCACTTTGGGATGTCGAGGCAGGCGGATCACGAGGTCAGGAGTTCCAGACCAGCCTGGCCAATGTGGTATAACCCTGTCTCTACTAATAATAACAGAAATTAGCCAGGCGTGGTGGTGTGCACCTGTAATTCCAGCTACTCGGGAGGCTGAGGCAGAAGAACTGTGTGAAGCCAGGAGGCAGAGGTAATAGTGAGCTGAGATCACACTACTGTACTCCAGCCTGGAGGTCAGAGTGAGACTTCGTCTCGAAAAAAAAAAAAAAGAAAAAAGAAAGAAAGAAAAGAAACAATGAACAGAACAGTGCTCTAAAAATATTTCTCTTTTTGTTTAAATGGAAAAATGGAGAAACACATGAAACAATAAATCAAAAATGAATTATAATGGTTGCCACTGGGGGAGGGAAGATACAGAAGGAAGAAGAGAGAAACCTCTCTGAATACACCTTGTTTTATAGTTTGCTTTTGAAACCATCTACATTTAAAAATAATCCTTAAAGCTTGAATCAAAAAGAAAAGAAGACCACAGAAATTTGAAAACAAGCTGAAATAAATTGTATTTCGAGTTGGTGGCAAGCACACAAAGAAAAAAAATAATTGTTATAATTGACTTTAAATTCTGAATCTCAACTGTGTCTCCCAAGAGACACAAAAAGACCGCTTTCAGATGTTTTATTGTTAGAATCAATATTGTTATTTTGAAATTAGCTTATATATATTTGTATAATAAAACAAATATTATTTACATTGATGTTGTTGAAGCCAAGATTTCCAACATGATAGAAAACAGATGCAAATGTAACATCGAGGAGTTCGGGAAAAACCCAGCAGTCCTCAGTCAGAATTGGAAACATCAGCATAAATTAATGATTTGTTTCTCTCTTAAAAAATTTATTATCTAGTTCCTAGCTCAGTCCAACACAAACGCCCAGAAACTTTAATAGTCCACAGCAATGAGCACTTAGGAACCTGGATTATGTTCTCTAAGCATGATTTTCCACAAAAAAGCATCAAGGCTTTGGCCTGATGCAGTGGCTCGCACCTGTAATCCAAGGACTTTGGGAGGCCGAGGCAGGCAGATCAATAGGTCAGGAGTTCGAGACCAGCCTGACCAACAAAGTGAAACCCTGTCTCTACTAAAAATACAAAAATTAGCCAGGTGTGGTGGCAGGCACCTGTAATCCCAGCTACTCAGGAGGCTGAGGCAGGAGAATCGCTTGAACCTGGAAGGCAGAGGTTGCAGTGAGCCAATATTGCGCCACTGCACTCCAGCCTGGGTGGCAGAGGGAGATTCCATCTCAAAAACGTAAACAAACAAAAAAGAATCAAGGCTTTTCAGGAAAGTGGCTAAGTCCAGTTCTCAGGCAGGAACTATGCATGGCAAGCCTGAGGAACTTGCTACCCCAGAAACTGAAGAAGCTACCAGAAGTCATTGTGGTTGTGTCAACAGGACATGGAGCGAAAGGAGACCATTTGAGCATCATAAGGAATCTAATGGGTGTTGATTGAAAGTCATTCATAACTTCGTGAGGACACTCAAAAATCAAACTCATCACCGGGGGTGGCCAAGGTAACCACTGACATTCCTCTGAAAACTTCAAGAACAAAGGGAGGAAAAAAATCAAAATTTACCTTGCTTTCCTATAAGATGCATGTTTCAGAATTACTAAATAAATTGATTACTAAATATATTACTAAATGAATCATTGATGGAAAAGATTGTTATAGAAATATACCAGCTTATAAATTCAGAAAGAGTTATAAAATTTCAAGATTACCATTTGGTGACCACCAGTGAGCTGCCGGATCCAGAATGCCGTCATCAATGCCACCCGTCCCCTGCACCGGGAGAGGAGTTATCGGAGGAGATTATGATGGACCACAGTCCAGGCTGACAGCACCCACCCTCTCATCCCAGTCGACATAGCTACCACGGCACAACTGGACTCATGTGCCTCTTGAGAGAAAAAAAGGGAAGTGCTCATTCCCAAAACATTGAACCTGAAGCTTGCTGGGTCTTGACAGCAAACACCCATTTATTAGAAGTTGGTGGATTGTAGAAACATTTCGAATAGCACAAAAATAAACTGATCAGCCAAACTGAGATATTCTAAGGTCAAATGATACATCAACAACAAGTTTAATAAGCTCCCTTCCCCCCACCCCCAAAAAAGAGAGGAGGGGCTATCAGAGATTAAATGAAACTGGAGACAAAACCACCGAATACTTGTGCCAGTTGCTCTTGATTCAAACAAATCAAATATAAAAAGAAAGTCTTGAGGCAATTAAGAACATGTGGACATGGTCAAGTGAACTTAATCAGTTGCATGACGGCCGGCGCGGTGGCTCATGCCTGTAATCCCAGCACTTTGGGAGGCTGAGGTGGGTGGATCACGAGGTCAGGAGATCGAGACCATCCTGGCTAACATGGTGAAACCCCATCTCTACTGAAAAACTACAACAAAAATTAGCTGGGCTTCATGGTGGGCGCATGTAGTCCCAGCTACTTGGGAGGCTGAGGCAGGAGAATGGCATGAACCCAGGAGGTGGAGCTTGTAGTGAGCCGAGATCGCACCACTGCACTCCAGCCCAGGTGACAGAGTAAGACTCTGTCTCAAATAAATAAATAAATAAATAAATAAATAAATAAATAAGTTGCATGATGTCATTTTTGTAGCAAATGACAAAGTCAGGAATCCAACCTGAGACACCACAGCCCTTGGTGATCATACAAAATCATGACCTTCTCCTAGGGTGTAATGTAACTTTAATATGAAAAAGTATGCTGAAACAGCTGGCATCTGATAAGGACAAACATATAGTGGCCTTCAGCAGTGTTTGGAGAGTGGATGAGCCAATGGTTAAACAAATGGGCGGAGGCATGTTTGGCAGGAGAGCCAGTATCACATGCAATTGGTCTCCCATCTTTCTGTGGGATCACCTACCAGGTTCATCTGAAGCTTAGGGAGACTCAAAGAGCCCCAGACACCGAGACATCGCTCTAAGATCCTGTAGCCATGCAGAGCTGACTTTTCCTCTGGAAACAGTATAATGATCATAATGAGAATGAAGACACAGACCTCATTTCTATGGTTAATTAGAAAGATATCTCCACGACTAGCGGGCATTTTCTGGTTTCTGCTGAAGAGCCTGTTCTGCTCTGCATATCTGTGCAATATCCAAGCTGGGGTATGGACCCTGGGAGAGGAGAGACCCGGAGAAGATGAAAGGATGAGGGTGGAAACAGAATGGTTTCACCTGCAAAGCGCAACTCACATATTTGCTACTGGAACATGCTGAGGGCTGGGGAGGTGTGGATGTTTTATGTAAGTCTACACAGCATTACTGTAGTGATTTAGGAAAAGGCTCTTTTATGAGAAAATGGCTAAGATATCTGAATTCAGCTCTTGCACAAGCAGGATAGAACCCGCAGGCTGCAGTCAAAAGGGACATTTTATTTTTCCCATGAAAGCAAACATTTCCTATTCAACAGAAAGACAAGCACACCCAGACTCTGCCAGGTGGAAATTTAAGATTGGGTGAGGGTGATTTTCCTCAGCCTCCTGCAATGAAGACAGGCTCAGGGCTATTGCAAGTCTCCCACCTAGAGCAATTAGCAGCCGCATTAATGTGATGCAGAGGGGCAGCTGCACTTGGAGGTAGGAATGGGGAGATACGGGTGGGATGGCGAGGTGCAGGTGGGACAGGGAGATACAGGTGGGATGGAGAGGTACAGATGGGAGGAGGGGATTCAGGTGGGTTGGGGAGATGCAGGTGGGATGGGGAGATGCAGGTGGGATGGGGAGGTGCAGGCGGGATGGGGAGATGCAGGCGGGATGGGGAGGTGCAGGCGGGATGGGGAGATGCAGGCGGGATGGGGAGGTACAGGAGGGTTGGGGAGGTGCAGGCGGGATGGGGAGGTGCAGGTGGGTTGGGGAGTTGCAGGTGCGGTGGGGAGGTGCAGGCGGGGTGGGGAGGTGCAGGCAGGGTGGGGAGGTGCAGGCGGGGTGGGGAGGTGCAGGTGGGATGGACAGGTCCATGTGGGAAGGGGAGATTCAGGTGAGATGTGTAGGTACAGGTGGGATTGGGAGGTATAGCTAAGCATCTCCTCTGGCATATCAGGCCCTGCCTCATTTGCCGGACTCAGAAGGGGCTTCTGGGGTCTGGACTGGACAGAATCCTTTTCCCAGCCCAAAGCCTGTCCTGACCAGGGCAAAGAGCCCACTCTGTGGATCAGCCTAGTGAGGAGGATCTGGACTCTGTCCTGCAGTGAGCAGCCAGCGTGCTTGGAATTTGGTGCAGGACAGGAGACTTCACCAAGGGCAAACTCAGGCCCAAGACTATCCCCCTGGGCAGGAGAATAACGCAGCAGCCCTCAGCCAGTGTCTCCTCCTCAGCCAGTGTCTCCCAGGTCCATCCGCGCAGCCAGTGTCTCCTCCTCAGCCAGTGTCTCCCAGGTCCATCCGCGACTCCAGGGTGTCTGTCTAGGACCAGCTTGCTGCTTGACTGTGATATTTCATTTGCTTTTATTTGTTCAGGAAACGGGATGAGAGCTCCAGTTCTCTCCTCCCATGCCTGGAAGGATTGGAGAAACCTGTAGCCCCACATCCCAGGAGTATGTGGAAGCAGAGGATGCTGTGAGGGTTATCTGGCCAAAGGGCTCTCACCCCTGCTGACCTGGCTGCAGCCCGGCCTGCAGGAGCCCCTCCTCCCTGCCCCCTGCCATCTGGAGCTGCAGAACAGGCTCTGGGTCCTGCCTGAGGCATCTGCTGAGCCCCCCACCTGCCCATCAGGCTGCAACTCAGCCAGAGCGAATACCACCCCTGCCCCTCCATGCCTGCAGCCACCTGGCAGCCCCTCCTTGCTGCCAGCTTCACGCCAGTTGACCACCCTGCCACTCCTGCTGCCTGGATGTACCAGGAAGAATCTGCTTGCTTCTTTCTAGTCTCACTGTCTGTGGGGTCCCCTTGCAATGAGGGCCCCAGGGCAGGCATGCCTTAGGCTGGGGTAACAGAGACATGGGCGTCTTCCTGACGCATCCCCATTGCCTCGGGGAAAGGAACTCCCTTTACCCCCAACAGCCCTCTCTGGCCCTGGGATTCTTTCAAAATCAGACCAAACAGGGCTGCCATTTCCATCCTAAGGCCCCTTCCCTGTCGCAGTGCTGGCGTTGGTGCTGGGGGAGTGAAGGTGAGCGGCCGGTATGCTGGGGTATAGGTGGGGCTGAGAGTGCTGAAAGGTGCAGGTGACATTCGCCAACAGCTGCAAAGGCTGGGGGTGGCGCTTGCACTCTGGGAAGGTCAGGAGGGGCCCCTGGGAGAGGTCACACATGAGCAAGATGGCAAAGCACTATTTGGAGCACACAGGAGAAGGCACCGGAGACTCATGGCTTCCAGGCACCCTGAGTTCAAATCCTGACAGCCTCTGTGTGGAGGAGCTGGCTCCCATGGGCTCCAGTGTGGCCTGCTTCCCTGTTTGTTTAGTGAACGCCTTAACAAAAAAGGTTTTAGGGGGTGCCTCACCCTTTAAAATTGACAGGACCACAAATCACCCCACACACAATTGTGTGTGTGTGCGGCCCGCCAGGTGGGGAGGGCAGGGCCTTCCTGTGGTCAGGTTCCCAGAGAAGCGCTTCCAGTAGGGGCCACCAGGCATGGCCCCTCTGCCCCACCTTGATCATGTTCATGCTTACATCTCAAATGCACGTGTCTGCTACATCTTTCATTGTCTTTTAAGTCAATTGGGAAAAAGCAAAACAGAACTCCCTAATTCAACCTCAAAGTTAACGCATCCATGTGAACTAAAGAAGAAAACGTGATTTTCATCTATCACAAGAATAAAGAAGTGAAACACTGATCATATTAAAAGGGGTGTGGGGGAATTGGGCACTCTTTCATTTTTGGGGTGAGATCATTAACTGGAAAATGGTTATAAAGAGGAATTTGACAGCACACATCACCTATAAACATTGTAAGATGCTTCATTTTGAAAAGTCTGTTTTATAGACACAAAGTGCTCAGAAGTTACTGCATAAGCATGTTCCCAGTGATGCTGTTTTTAACAGAAAAAAATGAAAAAAGAAATATGGATGATGAAAATGGCTGAATGAGGAAGTGGTATTGTGTGAGCAGGAAAGGGGAGCAGGTGCATCTATTTGCAGTGACCCACAGACACATCTGGTTTCTGCAGGAAACGAAAGCCAACTGATATGATGGTTTCGTTTTGATGCCACTTTATTTTTTTTAAAGTGTATGTGTTAATATGTGAACAGAAGAAAAGCCACATACCTACGTGTTAACAATAATTACTTCCGGGAATGTATATAAAGTGTGAATTTCTGCATTGTTTGCATGTTTTATCAAATGTTACTTCTTTTATAATTAAAAAACAAACCTGAAAAAAACTCCATGCTGAGGTAAACACTGTCTGCTGGTTTGGGTAATCAAGGAAGAGAGTAGTTTGTCTTTATCTAATTTGCTTAAAACGTGAACAACTTGAGGAATAGCTCACACTTCCATTGCACATTCTCCGCCAGGAAATGCTGAAAGCGCTTTGCACATATTAACTCACTCAATCCTCAGAGCCGCTTTATGAGGTATGTGCTGTCATGATCCTCACTTTAACAAATGGGAAATATGAGGTGCAGAAAGGGCAAGAAACTTTCCCCAAAGCTCACGAGAAGTGCGGCACGGATTTGAAATTAGGGTGTCAGCTCGAGACGCCAAGCTTCAACTCCCACCCCACCGGGGCCCTCCCCAGAGCCTCCATGTCTCCCTGCCGTTGCCGGGCACCTCGTCCAGGGTGCCTTCCTGTTCCCCACTGCTCAACCTCCCCAACCTCCCCAGCCCTTACTGCCAATATCCTCAGAGGGCTGGGGAGCCCAATAACAGCACCCCCCAGGTGTGATCAGAGGACAGCGGGCAGAAAGCACTGGAATGGGCTTAAACACTAAACAAACCCCAGTGCCTTTGAAGTACCATGCTCTGGTCACTTGTGTTGGTGAAAGCCGTAGTCCTGAGGCCACCTGCCCTCTCCCAGAACTGAAGAGCTGGCACCCATGAAGGGCCAGGCTGACCCCACTCCCCATGCAGCCGCAAGCCAGGACTGCAGCAATGCAGAGAGCAGAGACCACCAGGATGGCCCCTGGCTGGGCCCCCAAATGACCTGCGGGCAGGCTGTGCTCACAGGAGGCTGCGTGTCTGCTGGAGTCCGCACCTGCCAGCCTGGCTCTGCATCTGGAAGCCTTACAGGAGCACCTCAGAGCCGAGCTTCGAGGCCTTGCTGCAGTCAGATGGGGAATACACGGCCCACCTGCTCCCCAAGCAGCCTGCCCTGCCATGCTGCCCTGTGGGTCTGGGGTACCACTGGATGAGCTCTGGTGACAACAAGGTGAATCATGCCTTCCTTGGAGCAGTGAGAGCCCTTCCAATTATCACGTTTCCAGAGAAAAATGAAAATCTAAATTGAAATCCTCTTTCTCTTGCAAGTTTCAGCTCAGCTGCCGACTCCGCTCTGGAAGCCCGAGGGGCTCCCGGGGGCTCAGGCTTCCTTCCGCAGCAGCCACCCTTGCTGGGGCTGCTTCCTCCCAGAAGGTCACGGCTCTGCGGTGTCTTGTTGGTCATCTGTCCTGTGTCCAGCACTGACACTGCTGCAGCTGTGAGCCTTCCCCAGGGCTCGGCCAGTTGAACCCAGGAGGAGGCAGATCCATCCAGCTGCTCAGAGGCCCAGGGTGGCCTCTTTGGGAAGGAGCTGCTCTGTGCAGAGCTGGGCCTCTGAAGATCTGGGATCCTCCAGGCCTGGGGTAATGAAAGCCCTTCATTGATGGCCAAACCTTCCCTCCACCAGGGCAATATGCCCCACACATCACTGTCCCTTCCTTGTCACCTTCCTCCCTGGAGCTGACCCAGTTATGGGCTTGAAAATATTAATCTACTTCTTTGGGTGACTCCAATCTGTCTTTACTATAAGTCAGGAAACTGAGTGCTGGACCCCAGAGCCTCCTCTGTCTGCCGCCTCCTCCTCCTCTTATTTTCCTCCTCCCCCTTTACCTCTCCCTCCTCCTCCTTCTCTTCTTCCTTCTTCTCATCCTCTTTTTTCTCTTCCTCATCCTTCTCCCACTTTTCCCCTCCCTTCTGCTCCTCCTCTTACTTTCCTCCTCCTCCCTCCTTCCCTGTCCCCCTCCCTGTCCAGCCACTGGGTTTCCTAACATGCTCATTCTGGTTCTGTCCTGCAGGTGAGAGTTTGGGAGTCCAAGGCTCCGGGACCCCAGTGCTCTGTTCCCAAGCTCTGTTCATTTTCCCCTGCATGAGGGAGGGGTCCCCCTGGAGGTCCCCATGTTCCCTGGGCTCCTGCTGTCACTGTCTCTGTGCTTTTCTGCCCAGAGCGTTGCCCCTCCCTGGATCTCCCTGGGACTCCTGCCCCACCTTTCTCCCAGCTGTGCTCTGTCTGGGTAGGGACTCCCTGCTCCTCCACCCTGAGAAAGAGGCGGGAAGGTCATCGGTGATGGTGAAGGTGTTTCATTCAGATCTCAAAACCACGCTCCTTCTTGGTAACCGGTGCTGCAGCTCCTCACATCACCTAAGGGCCCCCTCCAGTGGGCTTGCCCCTGCAGGGGGTCACCTCAGCCGCCATGTCCTGGTAGAGCCGTCCGTCTCCTCTGGCCTGGCCTCGCTGCCCTCTCCAGCCACCCCACACGCGCCTCCGACAGCCTGGACTCCTGAACACAGTGCGGGTGGTTCTGTCTCATTTTCCTCTTCATTGGGTCTAATCTGGTCCATAAAATGGCAAGTGTTCTCCTTAGGAATATCTCCTCTTCTTCCAGCTCAATTCAAGGGTTTTAATTTTTCTTTCACTTTCTCACTATTGGTCCTCAGACAGGAGAGAGGAAACCATCACTCAGGGGATCCTTGAGGCAGAAACCACACCTGTGGGAAAGGGATGTGGGCGGAGAAGGGGAGGAAGGGGAGGGAGTGGAGGGGAAGAAAGGAGAGGGGAGGGAAGAGCTGAGGGAAGGGAGGGGACATTCTTGACAGGCAAGACACTCTGCCTTCCGGGGGAAGAGTGCACAGGTCCCTAGAAGTCTCTCCAGTGCCCTTTGCTCCTCAGGAGAATGGAAGGAGGCCCCTTCTCTCTGGAGCCATGAATCTGAGGACCAAGGCTGTGCCTGCACCACTCTCTGCAAACATCCTCCAACCATCTCTCTCCAAAATACGCTGGGAACTCCTTCAGCCCAGCCTGTGTTTTAGGTTTTTAAATACATCTTTGTTTAGGAAATGGTCTGCCATTTTTTGAATATGTTTAATGAAAAGACGAATGAATGAGCCTTGGACATTTGAGGGTGTCAAATAGAACCCAGGTCAACTGAAAGAATACTCAGTTCTCCAAGGTCAGGCTAGAACTGTCCTCTGGACCCCTCCCCACCAACACCCTTAGTGGGCTTTTGTCCTTCATGGAATGAGACCATCTCACCTTAAATAAATCTCAAAGTCTATGCTGCGGCTCGATCCAGCAAGTCAGGGCTGCACCAAGGTGGGGTCCCTGAAGTGAGTTCCTGGGATGCCCAGACAAAGGCCGGCCATCCTTCAGCCATAGGGAGGAGCTGACCTGGTCCGCATGAGGCTCATAGCTGGCAACTCACTCTATGCTGGGTTGAAGGACACTGGTGCCCACTGATGGGCTCCGGGGCCACACAGGAACCTGGAGCAGCCCCACAGGTCAGCTGGGCCGTCCTGCCCAGGGCTCTGCCCTCACGCACCTCTGGACCGGGTCCTGTTCCAGGGTGGGAGATCAGGCCTGAAGGCTTAGGGATTGATGCTGAGGGGCCTGTGTCCCTGGTACACATCCAGCCTGTATGAGCTTGTGTGGACAGGAATCCGCAGGGCAGGAGGAAGACTTTCATCCACCTCTGTATTAGTCTGTTTTCACGCTGCTGATAAAGACATACCTGAGACTAAGCAATTTACAAAAGAAAGAGGTTTAATGGACTTACAGTTCCACATGGCTGGGAGGTTTAATGGACTTACAGTTCCACTTCCACTCACATTCATGGTGGAAGGCAAGGAAGAGCAAGTCACATCTTACGTGGATGGTAATAGGCAAAGAGATTGTTCAGGGAAACTCCCATTTTTAAAATTCAGTCTCCTGAGACTCATTCACTATAATGAGAACAGCACAGGAAAGACCCACCCCCATAATTCAATCTCCTCCCACCGGGTTCCTCCCATGGCAAGTGGGAATTGTGGGAGCTACAACTCGAGGTGAGATTTGGGTGGGGACATGGTCAAACCATATCAGGCTCCTGTGAGATTTGGGTGGGGACACAGCCAAATCATATCAGCCTCCCAGTGTCACACAGGAACCTGAACCTTCACCTTCCAGGGGTATTGGAAGGAATCCTCCACCCTCCCCTCTGCCCACCCACTTCTCCCAGGGAAGAGGCGTGGATTCAGTGAACACACTCCATGGCGCCCAGGTGGCTCCGAGCTGCTGGGCTCTCCCTGTCTGGCCTCCCAGGGCCACAGTGGACCTTGGCCCCGACCCTCTGTGCCTGGCCTAGTGGAGCTCATTCTGCCCCTGGAAGGAGCCCCCACCCTGCCATTTTCCAGATGCTGCATTTATTTGGGATGAAGCTGTAGCAAGGTCCTCCATCCAACCTGAGTACTGCATGGCTCAGGGCACAGTGCAGATGTTGTGACTCTGGTCTTTCACTTTCTACTTCTCGTTTGGATCCTGACTCAGAGAGGGTGAGGTGCTCCATTCCCCCCGGCCTCTCCAGGTCCCAACACACACACTTCCTCCATTTCCACGTGTCTCACGTAGTTCTCGTCTTGGCCTCAAGAGAAGAGCTCTGAAAGTGGAATTCCACAGACCCTGGAGAGCTAACATGGGCCATTCTGGGCATGCTCCGGCTCTTCCAGCCTCAGCCTTTCCATCTGTAAAATGAAGGTTTGGACGGGAGGCTCCGTCTGCATTGGGGGAAGGGGTCCTCTGGAGACGCAACAGATGGCTTAGCCTCTGCCCATCATTGCCAGCAACAGGGCTCGCTCCCCAGGAGGCAGCTCATGCCACAGCTAACTGCTCTTGTCAGAAAAGCTGTCCTTCCATTCAGCCAAAAATCTGCCTCGCTGTCTCTCCACCCAGTGGACCTGTGTCCCCAGTACACATCCAGCCTGTTCGAGCTCGTGAGGATGTTTTTCTGCAGGACAGGAGAAAGATCTTCATCCACATGGGAGTGTTCTTCTTCCAGAGTCATTAGAAGCCTCTTTCCCAGCAGAGGCGCTGAGAGGGTGGAGGACTGCTCTGAGCTTCCAACAGCCTGTCGCCCTCCGTCTGACCTGCACGTTTCCAACACACACTTGGCACTGGTTACTCTGCTCTGGATGTGTTCCTCGTGGTCAGCATCCACTGAAAGGGAGTGTAACCCCGGACGCGGTTGCAATCCTGCAATCCTGCAGTGGGTGCACTTTGCCCTTTCCCAGGCTGGCCCCTCTGTAGGGGGCTGGGGTCCCTCGCGTGCGGGGCAGCCCGTCTGATGATCTGGGCTCAGGGCTGGGGCCAGCAACACCCGCAGGTGTACACGGCATGAATCACAAACCGTTTTGTTTACCTGCGGTTGGTTTTTGTTTTAATCCAGGGAACAAGCAGGGCTTCACTTTTAACCCTACTCAATTCCATCTTGTTCACTTCAGTCCATTGTTTCGGCCTGTCAAGAGGTCTTTTCTGTCTGGACAATTTCCTCCACCACATTAGCCTCCCCTGTGAGCTTTGATCTGCACATTTGACAAGCAGGTCTGTTACAGCTCATCCAAGTCATTGATAGAAACGGACCAGGATGGGGAGTGGACAGGTGCCACTGGAGACTTCCCTCCAACTTGACATTGATCCATTAATCAATATGCTCCACAGCTCTGCCACTCCCTGACAGCTACAGCCTCTCTTCCAGGGTTCTCCATGGGGCCCATGGTAACAGAGTGGGGACTCCACACAACTCCCCTGTTGCCTGGGTGGGGAGTCTACCAGAAGTCTCAGGGTCCCGAGGAACGTGTATTCCTGGGCTGCACCCTTCTGAAAACCACAGTGGCCTGCCGTCTTCACGGGCACCACGCTGTTGTGGGTCCTGGTTACCCTCTGCCCGCTGACATCCTCTATCTATCGCTGTGTTGGCTTGGAGCTCTTCAAACCCTTCCAAGCAGCATCCCTGATGCCGCCAGCAGAGCCAGGGCTACTTCTCCTTGGCTGCACTTGGCTCATCTGGCGTCCAGATGCCCCTTGCTGCAGGCTGCACACCCTATGTGCAGGTGCCCAGGACGCCTGGGCGGAGGCTCCATGTCGTACTCATTCTCTGTCTCACCCTCCCCACGTCCAGCGTGGAGCCCTTCGTAGACACTCAATAAACATGAGCGTATGGACTGACCAAATCTTTCCATTCTCAAATGCATCTCGCAGGGCAGGGGTCGATACAGATGGCTTGTGTGGCCAAATGTGGCCCTGCTGCCTGCTTTTGCAGGGTCTGTGAGCTAAGACGTTTTAAAAAACATTTTTAAATAGGAAAAAATTTAAACATACCACTTCATGATACATGGCAATGATATGAAATTCAAATTTCAGTGTCTATAAATAAAGTCCCACTGGAACGCAGCCACGCTCTGCACTGACGTGTCACCCACGGCTACCCCCACACTGCCGCAGCTGAATCGGGGAGTTGAGGCCGACACTGCATGGTTCACAAACCCGAAAATAGGTGCTCACTTGCCCTGTACGTACGTTTGCTGATTCCCCGCTTGGAGGGAAATGGGTCTGCTTAGGACAGAAGAAACATCCACAGGCGAAATGCATTCATTTATTCAAGAAATATTGATTTGCAGCCAGCCTGCGGGAGGCGAGATGCTAGGTGGGGGCAATTTGGTAGGAATCTGGAGAGAAAAGGCCCTGCTCTCGCTGACATCAGAGTGAGTTAGGAGAAACAAAAAGCAAGGAAAGAAACAAAAATAATTCCGTATGATGAAAAAATGGTGTAAAATCCCAGGGAGGGGCAGCAGAGCCCCAGGACAGGGGGACAGTGGAGAAGACCTCAGAAGGGGGGCAGCCTAGGGGCGGGGGGAGAGGAAAGATGGGGCAGGTGGGCTGGGTGTGAGGTTCTTGGGGCAGGTGCAGCAGGGAGAGAGGCCGGGACAGATGGATGAGGCCCTGGCAGGCAAAGGGCTGGGCGTTGCTCCAGCGGGACCAGAGGGCTTTAAACAGGGACGCGCCACCATGGGATTTGCATCCTGAGAAGAGCTGGGAAGACCCACAGGCAAGCACCAAGCCTTGGGTGGTGACACAGGAGAGGGCGACATAGCCTCTGTCTCCAAAGAGCTCTTGTGTTTGCAACGTGAGCTCTCGGAAATGTTAGGTCCTGGGGGCCAGAAGCAGGGTTTTTTTTTTTTTTTTTTTTTTTTTTCATAGAGACAAAAAATAATTTGCTGCCTTGCTCATGTGTTCCTCCATCCCCCCGTTTACCCTTCCTTTCTCCCTCCCTCCTTTCATCAGACTGTACCCAGCGCTGGGGGTCCAGGGCACACACACACCCACATCCCTCTGCTCTCCCTGCTTTCAGCCCCTGAGTCTCTGGGAGCCTCCCTGTCACCCCGCAAAGTAGCACTGCACTTGCTCATCCCTTTTCTCTCTTTTTCAGGAAAGCTCATCATCATACTGTTTACCTATTTCTGTTGTTTGTTTGGTCTCTCTCTCCCTACAGTTTCACTAGGATAAGGAATATTTCTCTTTTCTTCATAGCTGAATCTCCAGTGCCTAGAACCCAGAGCAGGCGCTCTGGAAAGATTATGAAATAAATTGATGTAACCCTTGATTACAAGAATAGCTGAGAGAAAACTGAATGAATGGTGCCTGCAATGTCTCTTCCATGGCTAACACCTTTCGCCCATGTGGAGTCTGCCCTACTTCAGGAGATTCACAATGGACGGGACGCATTCTGCTTTCAAAGCACAGTACCTGCCCCTGACGTTCAAAGCCCGCGTTCTCCAGGTTTCTGATGTCCTGTTCTCCTTCTCTTCATGTGTTTGCTTTTCAAGCTGGCTTGGTTGGTGTTTCTCACTGCGGTTAACAGGGAATCCTGTGCAGCCGAGAATCTGCCCTGTCAGGTCCTCAATAGAGGGTGCACATGCCTCATAGATTCCCCCCAAACTCTCAGCACAGCCCCCAGGTCTGGTCCTTCGCGGGCTCTGGCCACTCTGCCTCGGCTCTGACATGCCAGCTACAGAGGCCAGCTCTCCTACAGCAGCTCATGCCACTTCTGGCTCTAGGCATCCGGCCTGTCCTCAGTGCACAGTGTGTGTGTCAGGCCATCCTGGCATTGCTGTAAAGAAATACCTGAGCCTGGGTAATTTATAAGAAAAGAGGTTTCCATGGCTCACAGTTCTGCAGGCTGTACAGGAGGCATGGTGCTGGCATCTGCTCAGCTTCTAGAGAAGCTTCAGGAAGTTTCCAATCATGGTGGAAGGCAAAGGGGGAGCAGGCATGTCACATGGAGGAAGCAGGAGAGAGAGTTAGGGGGATGCCATGCACTTTTACATGACCAGATTTCGTGCAAACTCAGAGCTCACTCATCACTAAGGGGGTGGATGGCCCAAGCCATTCTGGAGGGATCCCCCCATGGTCCAATACCTGCCACTGCCCCCCCCCGCAACACTGGGAAATACATTTCAACATGAGACTTGGGTGGGGACAAATATGCATCCTATATCAGTGTCCACAGAGTTTCGTTCTGCACCTGAAGAGGCTCCTCTCAGATGCTGCCTTCAAAGCGGCAGGCGTCCCTTGCCATTTCTTCTGCCCCAGGTCCAGGCCAGCCATAGGCAGGTCTTTCTGGGTGTTCCCAGGCAAGAGCCCACCTGAGGCTGTCCATGGTTCCCCACACGCTAGCCCAGGATGAGGCTCCCTCACCCAATTCTCAGATGTCCAGATCCCTTTCAAATAAGTCTACTCCCAATTCTCTGCTCTTACAGATCCTGCATCTGGCTTTTGCCTCAGTCCACCAAAGTGAGGACCTCCACATGACCATCATGAGGCATTCTCATGAAGAAGATCCAGGCAAATTCTGGGAGAGACCAAGAGACGTAATTAGATCTGCAGAGGAGCGCTTCTGTGTCAGTGGGGTTAGGACCTCCAAAAACCTACACCTCCATAAAAGCAATGAGAACACTGGAAAAATCTGCCAAAATCAACTTTGTTTTCAGAACTCTACACATGAAACAAAGCCCCAAAGCAACCCAAGAAGCATCTTTGTGTTTTTTTCAGAAAAAAAATGGCTGACTCTCAGTAATAACAGGGAGCTCTGTGGTGTTTTGACTCACACTATTTCCACCTCCCCCTCTGCATTTCCACCAACAGCTTTAATTGTGAGGCTTTAAAAACCAACAGCCTCACATCAAGGTGCATTAATCAGGGTTTTCCAGAGGAACAGAAACAATAGAAACAACATTTCCTATTGTTTATGTATGTACATAAATATATATCTCCTATTTATAAATATTTTATACCTATAAATATATATCTCCTATATATTAACAATCTCCTATATATCTCTTATTTATTTATATTATAAATGTAGATTAATGTATATCTCTTATTTATATTTATATACTAAATATATAAATATATTTTAAAAAATATATACATATATATTTCCTATTTATATATTTATATATAATTTATAATATTTTATACCATTAAATATATTTATAGTATTACATACATAATATTATATGTATATTGTACATATGTAACATATATACATAAAACAAGAGACTGGCTAAATATCTTAATTATATAATATAACATAATTATTATATTATTATATATCTATATATTATATGTATATTATACATGTATATAACATCCAACATATAGATAATTGATACTGGATTTTTACAAAGTTGGATTTTATTGAGGCTGATGGCTTTCACACTATCATTATTATCTATTATTACATATAGATATATAATATATACATCTTTATGTAATAATAATAATAATAGTTTGAAAGACATCAGCCATTTGAACTGGTGGACTAAGTAAGGCAGACGGCCCTGTCTAGTCAGATGAGAAGCACTCCATCTTACCCAGGCTTTCTGTTTTACTCAGGCCTTCAACTGATTGGATGAGGCTCACCCACACTGGACAGCCATCTGCCTTACTTAGTCCACCAGTTCAAATGCTAACGTCATCCAGAGACACCCTCGCAGGCACAGCCAGAATCATGTTTGATCAAATGTCTGGCCACCCTGTGGCCAAGACAAGCTGAACCATAAAGTTAATTAACACATGTCATAAAAATAAGCAGCCTCAGAACCACAGTTGCTGTGAAACCCTCATCCTGAAGGACCCCAGAGAGAATGGAATGAGCTTGGTGTTCCCCAGAAAGCTCCCAACCTAGAGAACTTTCACAATTTGTCCTGTCTGACAGTTACCTGCAAGTGACCAAGGGCTTGCCTTTATTTGATCTAACTCTGTCTGGACAAACAAGCTACATTCCTGGTTGTTTGTCAAAAACAGTCATCAGTAATTTTAACATTCTTGACCCACTATTACCAGCATAAGAAAACAAGAGACTGGTTAAATATCTTAAAAAGAAAATTGGAAGAATGAGATATCCAAAAGAGGCTTTGAAAATCTTCAAAATATTCCTGGTAACCTAGAAGGCTACACACACATCCCAGGCTGTGCACATGCCCAGGGAGGACCCAACATGGACTCAGCCTCTCTGACCTGTGCAAGTGGGAAGTGAGGGCTAAGGTGGAGCTGTGACTGCCTGCTGGAGCATTGGAAGTGCACCACAGAGACCCACAGGACCCTCAGCAAAGGCAAGGAGACATTGGGTGAAGCCATTTAAGGAAATCCACTTCCTATCATAAGCTGACAACTAAACCAACCAAGGAGAGGACCACACACAACAAAGAATACAGATATTACAGAAACGGTTCAGGACAGTCACTAAAAAAAAAGCAGGAACGATAACAACAAATATCTGGGAAATGGGGGAAATCTGATTTCCAGAGTTGTCATATTTTATTATTTAAAATGTATAGTATTCTGGAGGCTGAGGAGGGTGGATTACTTGAGGTCAGGAGTTTGAGACCAGCCTTGCCAACATGGTGAAATCCCGTCTCTACTAAAATTACAAAAATTAGCCAGGTGCGATGGTGCATGCTTGTAATCCTAGCTACTCAGGAGGCTGAGGCATGAGAATCGTTTGAACCCAGGAGGTGGAAGTTGCAGTGAGCTGAGACGGCTCCACTGTCCAGTCTGGGCGACAGAGTGAAACTGTGTCTCAAAAAACTAATACATAAAATAAAATAAAATAAAATATGTAGTTTTCTGCAAAACATTATGAGACACTCAAAGAAACAAAAAGTATACTCAATGCAGAGACAATAGCAACTGTCCCTCAGGGGCCCAGATGTTGGGCTCACTAGTCAGAGACATTTTTTGTTAAATATTTTCCTAAGTTCTATGTTCTTTTTAATGCTATTATACCTTGACTTGTTCAAATTTTGTTTTCAGATTGTTTATTGCAAGTGTATAGAAATAATATTTATTTTTGTATACTTATCATGTACCTTCAACATTCTTCCAGCCATCATAAATAAACCAGATGTGGACATCACAAAAGAAAAGAAAACTCCTTATGAATACAGGTGCAGATATCCTCAAGGAGATACTAGCATACCTAATCCAGCAACTGAGAAAAAGGATTATATGCCATGACCAAGAGGGATTTCAATGTTGGTTAAACATCTGAAAATCAATGTAATACCCCATATCAATAAAGAAAAGAACAAACAATATGACATCTCAGTAGATAAAGAAAAAGCATTTGACAAATCCCAACACATTTTCATGATAAAAACAATTAAGACACTATGAGTAGAATGAGACTTCCTCATCCTGATACAAGGCATCTATGAAAATCTCACAGCTAACATTATACTTAATGGTGAAATACTGTTTTCCTCTTAAGATTAGGAACAAGTCAATGATATCTGCTCTCATCACTTCTATTTGACATTTTACTGGAGATGCCAGTGAGAGAACAGAGGCAAGAAAAAGCAATAAACAGCTTCCAGATTGGGATGAAAGAAGTAAAACTATATTTCCCGATAACTCGATCTTGCATATAGGAAACCCTATAGAACCCACAAAATACACACACCTGCAAAACTATTAAAACTAATAAACAAATTCATCAAGGTTTCAGGTACATGACAAATACACAAGATTGTATTTCTATACACTTGCAATAAACAATCTGAAAACGAATTTTTTTCAAAAAAAGTCAATTTATAATAGCATTGAAAAGAACAAAGTACTTAGAAAAGTATTTACCAAAAATCTACAAATGTGCATACTGAAAACCACAAATATTTTTGAAAAATTGAAGACTTAAATAGATGGAAAAATTTCCCATTATCATGGATCAGAAGATTTAATATTGATAAGATGGCAATGCTCCCCAAATTGATGTACAGGTTTAAAATAATCCCTATCAAAATCCCAAATGCTTTTTTGCAGAAACTTACTAGATGATCCTAAAATCCTTAGGAATATTAAAGGAACCTGGGATAGTAAGAACAATCCTGAAAAGAAGAACAAACATTTCTCAAATTCAAAACTTACTATAAAGCTGCAATAATTGATGTAGGTACCAGCACAAAGATAGACCTATATAGATCAATGGAATCTATAGACACCTAGATTCAATAGAATTGGGTGTCTAAAAATGACCATTGTAATTATGATCAACTGATTTTGGGCAACCGTGCCAAGACCATTCACTAGGAAAAAAAAAAAATCCTTTCAATAAATGGTGATAGGGCCACTGCTTTGTACATGCTGAAGAATGATGTTGGGCTCCCTACCATACCTCATGTACAAATATTAATTCAAAAGAGATCCTAGACCATTACTCTTGTAGGTAAGTTTATTAGCTCTAACTAGAGTTAAAACTATAATCTTCTTAGAAGAAAACATAAGAGTAAAACTTTGTAATCTTGGTATAGGTAATTGTTTCTTAGTTATTTCACCATGTTAGACTTTATTAAAATTAAATACTTTTGTGGTTCAAAAGGCAACATTAAGTAAGTGACAAGACAACCCACAGAATGGGAGAGAACATTTGCAAATTATATATCTGAGAAGGTACCTGTATTCAGAATATATAGACTACTCTTAAATTGAATAATAAAAATGAAAATAAAACAATTTTAAAATGAGCGAAATATTGAATATTTCTCCACAGAAGATATGCAAATAAATGGTGGATAAGCCCATGAAAAGATACTCGACATCATTAGTCATTTTATCAGAGATACGCAAATCCAAACCATAATGAGATACCACTTCATACCTACTAGGTTGGCTTAAATTAAAAAAAAAAAAGACAAACAAATAGCAAGTGTTGGCAATAATGTGAAGAAACAGGAATTCTTGCACACTGCTTGTAGAATTTTAAGATGGTGAAGTCACATTAGGAAAGAGTCTAATATTTCTCAAAATGTTACAGGTAGCGTTACCGTATGACCTAGCAATTCCACTCCTGGGTAAATACCTAAGAGAAGTGAAATACATGTCCACACACAAACTTGTGTGTAAATGTTCATAGCAACATTATTCGTAGCAGCTACCAAGTGGAAACAACCAAAAGTCTGTCAACTGGATAATAGATAAACAAATGTGGTCTCTTCATATAATGCCATATTTTTCAGCCACAAGAAAGGAATGAAATATAACACATGCTATAACATAGATGAATCGTAAATACATTACGTTAATTGAAAGAAGCTATCATAAAAGATCCCAAGTTATATGATTCTATTGTCATAAAATGTCAAGAATAGACAAATCCATAGAGACAAAGTAGATGAGTGCTTTCCAGGAGCTGAGAGGAGAGGCAGTAGCTGCCAATGGATATGGAATTTATTTTCAGGGTAATAAAAATGTTCTCAAATTCTATCGTGGTGACTGTGCACCCCTCTATGAATACATTCAAACCTTTTGAATTACAACCTTCAAAGGAGTGATATTTATGGTGTGTGAATTATAAACAAATTATATTATAAATTGCATTATAAAAATGAAATTGGATCTTCATCATGATATAAATTATGTAAATAAAGAGTTGCATGTATGAATGAAGGAAACTTGCAGGAAACTGTGACTTTATCAATGGGGCTTATCAGGACCCGCTGCTTTGTTTTCCTCCATAAACCTATCACTGCCTGATGTACTGTGCATAGGAAAACCCAACCACGTTGAGATTCGGTACCTCCAGTTGTGTGAACTGCAGGATCACAGTATGTGAAGTTAATGGGATAATGGGGGATCCTGTACAGGCAGCTGTCTTGGTGTCTAGGAATCCAGCTGCACAATTCACATTCATTCTGGACCTTGTTAAAGTGTGACACCACTTGTCTATTTTGGCTTAAAGATCTTAAATATCAATGGGGATGATTCAGGACCCTGTGGTGTAGTAGTCAGGGTTCTCCAGAGAAACGGAAGAGAGAGAGGGAGAAAGGAAGAGAGAGAAGCAGGGAGGGAGAGATAGAGAGAGAGAGAAACTTATTACAATAAGATTTATTGTTAGAAATTGGCTCACACAATTATGGAGACCGGAAAGTCCCAAGATCTGCAGGGTGAGTCAGCAAGTGATCTAGGAGGCCTGATAGTACAGTTTCAGTCTAAAGCTGATTCCAAGACCCAGTGACAGCCAATGTCCCCATCCCAGTCTGAAGGCAGAAAATAAGACCATGTTGTTGTTTGAAGGTGGTCAGGTAGGGGAATTTCCTCCTGCTCGGGGGAGGGTCAGCCTCTTTTCTATTCAGGTCTTCAGCTGATTTGATGGACTCACCCGAGTTAGGCAGGGCAATCTCTTTATCCAGTCTCCTGATTTAAATGTTAATCTCCTCCAAAAACACCTTTACAGGAACACTTAGAATAATGTTTGACCATATATCTGGGCACCCCGTGGCCCAGTCAAGTTGACACATAAAATTAACTATGTGTGGTTACCTGGCTGGTGCTTCCAGCGCATGGGTTGTATTCCACGTATATGTTGGCATGCGTTTCAGTGACTCAATCTGAGGAGATCAGACCCAAATAATTCTGGGGATGCATAGGTACACCTTCTGTTCCCCCTCCTGGGTGGTTTGCCAATCATTTTCCCACCTGGCTCATCCATTTCTCCCTTCTTGTCCATTTCTCCATTTTTATGGAAGCTAAGAAATGCAGTCCACATCCATTTAAGAATGGAATCTGGGCAGGAAATGACAGCCAATTCCCAACCCCATTTGTTTTGTGCTATTATTGGATTTGCTATTGTGGAGTTTTACATATTTACCTGCATATTTGTTTGTATCTCTTTTCTTGCAGCATTTAAGTTCTGTGGGCCATGCTGCCACCCATCCCATGCTGCCCCACCCCCACCTATTATGTTGTTATGTTTCCCTTGCCAGGGGTAGCACATGGTACCATTTGTTGCTTAGTAATTTTTGAGTAAATACAATAAACTAAATTATATGTGGATAGTTTATTAATAAACTGCTTAGCTATGGTTAAGTTTTTGATTTCTGATGCAATCCATGTACTAGCTATGCCCTTCCTGCCACTACCTATGCTCCGCAGAGCATGCTAATATTGGCTTAAAGCCCAGTTCCATAACTCCAAGGAATCCAAGGCCTCCCCACGATGTCTATCCACTCCAGGGCTTGTTCTGTCCTCATTCACTGTCTTCTTGGTTCTTGAATCCAAAAGTGTTATCTGTCTTGACTCTCCCTATCCCTGATTCAACTCTCCCCTGGCACAGAAGAACTTCCAAGACTGGGGGCCATAAGGGTAGCACGTCCTGGCCCTGGGCTCTGCCTTCCTGCTGATCCATGGAGGGCAGCATCCTGGCTCTCAGCTCTACCTTCCTGCTGATCCATCGAGGGCAGCATCCTGGCTCTCAGCTCTACCTTCCTGCTGATCCATCGAGGGCAGCATCCTGGCTCTCAGCTCTACCTTCCTGCTGATCCATTCTCCTCTCTCCTTCCTACCAGTTCCTCACCTCCTCATTCCTTTGTGAACATTCGAATTCTCCCCATTGCCCAGAACCACCCAGCACTTCCACCTACTGTCCCTACCCTTGCACAACACACTCTAGCAAGGTCTTGGCAGAGAAAGAGCCCTTTGTTTAACAGGATCCACTTCCATAGGAGATATTTAGGGTTATAACTATTAATATTTTTCCTATCGCACTTTTTTGGGGGTTCATTTATGTATTTCTCAATTTATTCACAATGGAGTCATACCATGTTTATTTAGCAAACCATAGGCACCAAATAAAAAATACAATAAAGTCTTTTTGATACTTAAGAAATGTAGGAAAATAAATTCAAAGGAGGCAGCTGGCTCCACAGCCTGTGGCCTTGGCCCCGCAGCACTGAAGCCACCGCACAGACTTTCCCCTCCTGCCAGCCCTTCCCACTCGGCTCCTGGCTCCTTCGTGGAGTGGGCATCCTCCCAGTCAGCCCCTCATCAGTGCTTGCAGCGACCTCTAATGCTCCCTACAGAGCACGCCACACATCAAACTCATCAACAAATCCCCACCTTAAACATCCAAAGGCCTCTCTGTCTCCATCACTGCAGGCTCTAGGTGATGCCTCTTAGACAGGAACATTCCTGCTTTGATCTCTGCCCGCCTCCATCTCCCCTGAACATTTCTGCCAAGACCTGTCCTCTCCAAAACCCAAGATTGATCCCTTTGTCTGTGAGCTAAACCCCAAACCCCCACACAGCCCTGAGGCTCTGGATTTGGCCATGCTGCCCGACCCACTTCATCTCTACCGGATCCCTTGGCACAAGTCCATTGAATGTCCATCGAAGTCATGGTGCTCTTGTCCCTGAAGACCCTGGAAATGGGGGTCTCTCTGCCTGGAACGCCCCTGTACTACTTTCCCATCCCCTGAAACATTCGCCATTTTTAAGACCAAGCTGAAATGTCCAGTCTTCCACAAATATCTTCCAGTCTTCCCATCTAGAATTAATCCATTTGCATTCTATAATTTATGTCTGGTTAAATGATCCTTGCTTTAGCTCCTGAGTAGCTGTTTCTGGGCCTGTCGCGTGGGTTGTCCTGAGAGCACAGTCCCTGTCTGGGCCCCTCGCTATGTCTGGTTCAGGGCCTGGCACACACCACTTGGGTGCCTCCAGGGAGGGTGATCAGAGGCTGCTTCCCATGGGACAGGCTTACAGATGTGCTGGCTGAGCGGCCCCACACACCCTTCTTTCTTCCCTTGTACCAAAGGGCTCAGTAGCTGTCCTCCCACTTCCATAAATGCCAGCCGGCCACCCCTGTGCCTTCACGCAGCTTCCAAAGGCCCCTCGCAGGGACCCTCTGAGTCCCCCAGGGCTCTCCCCTCATGCTAGTGGGCTCATGTCTGTAAGGTAGAGGGCCCAGTCCTCCTTCTTCCTCATCCTCCAGCTCTCAGTACACTTCTGGGAACCGCGTAGGTGCTTAGTAAATGCTGTTGGATAAAAGGGATTAGATAATTTATGACCAAAGATAGAGAATAATTGCCAATGAGAATTACATACTAATAACGCAAATAGCTCTGAGTTCATCTTGAAGTTTCTTTCTTGACCTGATTCTCAACAAGGGGAACATAAAATCAAAGGTTGGCCTATTTAGCTAGATGGTGATGAACCGTGAAACTTCAATTGGCAGCCAGGGAAGGCTGATTATATAGATTAGAAATGCATTTATATCAGGCTCTTTTATCTACCAAGAAGCACTGAGAAAGTGGGAGATGGAGTCCATGAACGCTTTGATATTTATGTCTCTTTCCTTCAGTTTTTCTGAGGTCCTTCTATGTTCATATGACATGGCTGAGCTTTCTCTTCACATAGAAGTTCAGTTTCTGTATTCGAAAGTGGCCTTTGACCTCTGTGGATGGAGAATCCAGACTTTCTAATGGTGGTCTGGGACCCTTTTGATGAGCTGCCTGGAGGCTGGCATCATTTTTTACATGACTATTAAAAGCACATTTCAAACTGGGCACAGTGGCTCACAAACGTAATCCCAGCACTTTTGGGAGGTCAAGGTGGATGGATCACTTGAGCTCAGGAATTCAAGACCAAACTGGACAATATGGCAAACTCTCTCTCTGTCTCTCACTTTCTGTATATATATATATACATGTATATATGTATATATATGTATAAATATGTATTTATACTTATTTTATATTTATATGTAAATATATATATACATATATATAATATATGTATGTATATATATATTTTACATGTATATAAAATTAGCCGGCAAATAAAAATTAGCTGGTAAATACAAAAATTACTTGGGGGGGTTGAGAGGCAGGGGGATCACTTGAGCATGGGAGGTCAAGGCTGCAGTGAGCCATGATCGCACTACTGCACTCCAGCCTGGGAGACAAAGTGAGATCCTGTCTCTAAATAAATAAATACAGACACATTTCACGCCTTTTACATGTTGTTTGGAAACTGCTCAAGGGAGGGTCAAGTGTGTTATTCAGGTCAGGTTCCAAACATATGATGACGGAATTGGTGGAAACATAGGTTAACCATGTTCTTTCCCAAGTCATAACTGTGCCTTTCTCATCCATTTGCATAAAAATCCCTGAGCACAAGTGCCTGCTCCAGTTCCCTTCCTGGGGACGCCCCCCGCATGCTGTGCTTATTAAAGGCACAGCCTGGCTGGGATCAGGACGCTCCTGTCTCACTCCTCACATTCTCCAGGCCCATTAATTGTGACAATTAGTGACACTTGTGTTTTGTGTCAGTATAATTCATAAATTCATGAATAAACAACAGTATTCTGAGAATTGATCACTCTTTCGCAGTGACTGGCAGCTTCTACAGAGCAAGGTCCCTGGGAACCATTTCAACATCCAAAGTACTTTGCATATTGGGGGCATGGTCCATCATCTGGTGAAATTTGCCTATGGAAGGAAGAAGGAGAAGGGAAATGAAGGAGGAAAGAAAAGAGGTGAGAGGGAAAGAGGGAAAGAGGGAAGGAGGGAAGGAAAAAAGGAAGGAAGGAAGAAAGGAAGGGAGGAAGGAAGAAAGGAAGGAAGGAAGGAAGGAGAGAGAAGGAAGGGAGAGAGGAAAGGAAGGAAGAAAGGAAGGAGAGAAGAAGGAAGGGAAGGAGGAAAGGAAGAAAAAAAAGAAAGGAGGGAAGAAGGGAGGGAGGATGAAGGCCAGGAAGGAGAGAAGGAAGAAGAGAGGCAGAGAGATCCCCTCCCCTCAACCCCCAAAACACCTTTTGGTACATTTTACCAACACCTGCATTTCAAAATGGTTCTGGAAGTTCTGGTTCTTGGTCTCATGTGTCAAGTTAGCTGCACACATATTTGCCGCACATCCCTCTGTGCCACCCTGGGAGTGCAGGGCCAGTTCTGAAGAGCCGTGCACTCGTGGCCATGGTCCAGTGGCCGTACAACAGCCTGGTGTCTATAACACAGGGCAATTCGAGTTTGGATCCATTTAAACATGTACTGCCTTTTGTCATTCACAGTTTCATGCATGTCACTCTTGTCTCCAGGATAAACTGGAGCAGAAACTGTCTCATTCAACGTGTGTGTTGCTGTAACCCCAGGTTCTACCACTGTCTTGAGCACACAGTAGGGAATTTAAGAAGCAGTTTATCTGGGGCTCTGAATGCATGGCTATTTCATACCTCAGCTCCCAACTCCAGGGGCCTACTCACCCTCCATGCAAGTGAAAACCCCCAGATACCTCTGCCCACCACTCACAGCCTCATCAACCCTCAGCGTTGGAAGGGCCTCTGGGGTGCAGGGTGTTCAGCAAGGTCCTGCAGCCCGCCCACCAGGCACCTCATGTCCCAACACGAACTGTTTACATATGTGATGAGGTTCTGCTCTTAATCCAATTATACCTTCATGTATGCACCCAGATTCTGTTGAGCACTCCCACTGGCATTAATGATATAGCATTGAAAGAAATAAAACCTAACAGAACAAACAGAAAGCCAGGGACAGTTAACTAACAGCAACAAGACCCTGTCCTCAAATAGCTGTCCTCCCACTGGGTGGACAGAGAGATGGGCATGCAGTGGGGAGGCATGAGTCCCTGAGTACAATCATCTGTCACCCTCCACTTGCACAGAGTGAAATCTCCTCCCTGAATGCTCAGCACTGGCAGGAAGGACACATGATGTGCTCAACTGGAAATTCAAGAAAGAGGGGGCTCCAGGGTCAGGCCCAGGGGAGAGGTCTCCTCTCTGCCATGAGGCTTCTTATGGGGACCACATTTTTCATTGGGTTTAATGACAGTGACAGTCCTGGCATCTGCTTAGAGGATGAGGTGGGGAGAGTTTTTATGCTAACTGCAACATGAGGATAAACACAGAGAACAGGCCTTGATCTACTCCAGAGGGTTTCCGGACACCCAGCGGGATGCATACACAGATGATGCAGCAGCAGGGACAGCCACGAGTCCCCGTTCACCTTGCCCCACCTTCCCTAGAAAACAACATGACCTCTTCTTGGACGACCAGCCTTCCTTTCAGTTCCTCATCTCATCTCATCTCATCTGATCTCAGCCCTATCCAAGGCTGGCTTCAGGTCTTCCCTCTCTGCTAGCTTCCTCTGCTACTGTCAACATGGGAAGGTGCCCTTTAAAAACAAACGAACAAACCAAAAGGAAGCAGACCCTAACTGGTTCCCCTGTCCCTACCCGGATACTGCACCAGCTCTCTGCTTCCATTCAAGGTGAAGCTTCTAGAAAGCACAGTCGCTGCTGAATGTCCTACTCCTCTCCTCCTACCTGTGCCCACCACTCACCACTCATGTGGCTCTCATGAGGCAGAGGATTCCCCTTTCTTCTCAGGCTTCCAGGGTGCAGAGCGCTCTCACTTCCTTCTCTGGGCTTCCAGGTATGGGGTAGGTCTTCCTGGAGTCCTCTGTGGCTACTTCCTCCAGCTGCTTTTATAATGTCAACATTGCCTAAAATCCATTCTCAACCTCCTCCTCATTTCTATTTGAAGGACCCCTTCCCTGGCTTCAGTTCCCACCACTGACTGATGACCCCTGATTGACACATCCAGCCCCTCCTCCCTGCACTCCAGGGCCTTGATACTCCACCTTCCTCCACTGTCTGGGGTTCCCACCTGGGGGTGCCACAGCACCTGGAGCTCTGTTGTCTCAAGCTGAATTCATTCCCCTTTCCCTCACAGTTCCCCACCACCCTGGAGAGGACATTCCAGGAAAGCAACATCCCTGGTTTTCCCATACACGCTCCCATGTATTTCAGATCTGTTTTTGCTGTTTCTAATGCCATTTGGTGACTCCCTGTAGTCTACAGGAATCGTTTCTGCTACCAACCGTTCTTGGAACAGCTTCACAATTTCTCCCACATCCCTATCTATAATTGACTTAATATTTTTCTTTAAATCATTGTAAAATCAACTCATATTTTATAATTTCGCCTTGTCTAAGAAACAGACTAGAGAGGTTACTTACTTTTTGTCTAATATTTATACAAATAAATTAAAACCTTGTGACGAGCCATTTATATTCCACTGACCTGAATAGCTGTAATGCTCACACTGTGCCCTGGGAGAGGCTGGCTGTGGCACCCAGGAGCTGCCCTCTCTACCCAGTCTTGGAGTGAAGATGCTGGGGTGTGTCCAGCCACTGGATTGTCATGCAGCTCCCTGAACACACACAGCTCCTTCATGCCTGACCACTAAGGGCTCTCAGACCCACCTGCCTGAGTGGAGGAGGACTGAAAATGATTCCAGAATGATCTCCTCTATCTCAGAAACCAGATAAAACATCTTTGACGTGGGAGCTGCAGTACTGAGCCCACAGCCCACACTCCCTGCTCATCACCCCAGCTCATCACACCATCACAGTCCTCACTCTGCAGACAGGGACACTGAGGCCCAGGGGTGAGTAGCTCCCAGGCTCACCTGGCTGGAACCTGGAGGAGGAATGTTTCAGCACCAGGTACGTCTGTCTTCTCTGCTTGCATCTTTCATCATGTGTCTGAATCCCAGCTCCATCTTTTGCTTTCCAACCTCTGTGAATCTGACTATCTTCATCTGTAAACCAGACCTGGCTTTAACGATTATTTCTTTTTTCTCCTTTTTTTTTTTTTTTTTTGAGATGGAGTTTTGCTGTGTTGCGCCCAGGCTGGAGTGCAATGGCACGATCTTGGCTCACTGCAACCTCTGCCTCCTGGGTTCAAGCGATTCTCCTGCCTCAGCCTCCTGAGTAGCTGGAATTACAGGCATGCACCACCACGCCCAGCTAATTTTTCTATTTTTAGTAAAGACAGGGTTTCACCATGTTGGTCAGGCTGGTCTCGAGCTCCTGACCTCATATATCTGCCCGCCTCAGCCCCCCAAAGTACTGGGTTACAAGCATGAGCCACTGCGCCTGGCCTTTAATGACTATTTCTTAGGATTTGGAGCCCAGTGAATTAAAATAATGTGTCTGAGGCATGTCCAAGTTGCTAGCAAAGAGAATCAGATAGTATCAGAGGCAAAGGCTAGGAGTAACACATATCAACTTGCCTTTCTATGTACTAGACCCTGGGCCTCTGAGGTGACTGGCAAAGGCCCTGGCGCACAGTGGGTGCTCAGTGAGTTTACTGACTGCATCTGCTGGAATCTTCCACACCCTTTCTCTTGCTCTCTTTGCCCAAGGTGTGTTGACCCTGAGCTGTTCCTCAAGTTGACCTCAGGAACCTGGCGTTTACAGAGCCCTCTGCCTAGGACATGTTCTCCTGGACATCAGTGAGGCTTGAGCCCTCCTTCCTTTTAAATATGTATGGAAAAGCCACCAGCTCAGGGAGGCCCTGCACATGCAACATAATGCACATGGCCCTGGAGGCCTCTCCTCCATTACCCTGTATTGTTTTTCTTCACAGCGCCTGTCACCACCTCTCAGATCATATATGTCTGTAGTTTATTGTTATATATTGTAATTCCCCCAAAAAATGTAAGTTCTGTGGTAACTGGGACTTGGTGTAGCCACCACTGTGCCCCAACACTGCCTGACACATAGTAGGCATTCAATAAATATTTCTGAATGAACATATATGAATAACATCATAAATAAATATACACATGAATAAATGATGAGAATGCCTGAACTCAGCTCCACGGAGCAGAGGCTGCACCTGAATGGTTCTCTGTTTTATCCCAGGCTCTAGAACAAAGCCTGGCAAACAGAAGACACTCTGTTTTGTGGAATGAATGAATGTATAAATGAATGAGTGGATGGATGACTTCCATAATATTTATAATCTATAATATCTCTCTTCTGCCATTTATTTTTTAACTGCCATGAATTCCAGATATTTCTAGGCATGTCCAGATTTAACATATGTTGGCCTTAGTGACCTCATCTGGTTGTGCTGCCATTTACTGAGCTGACTGTCATGGCTGTCACCGTGGGAGACCCTTGGGGAATGGTTCATCGGTTTAGGACTGAAAACAGACCCTCTGGGAGGCCACACCGCAACCACGAAGGGTCCAGGGGGTGGACGTGTGGGGAGATGGACTGATTCCTCAGTTTTACACACCATCTGGGAAGGCCAGGCCCTTTATTAAAGAGAATCAATATTTGTACAGTCGGTAGATTGTAAAATTTTATAGTTGTAAAGTGACAGGTTTTCCTAACTGGCCCCCAAAGAGATATAAAACCCGACGGCAAAAGTTACCTGATGATCCCACAATAGGTGGCAACTGCAGAACACAGAGAACACGAGGGGCCACTTCACGCATGACAGAGAGAGCATGAGGGGCCACCTCACGCATGACACAGAGAACACGAGGGGCCACCTCATGCATGACACAGAGAACACGAGGGGCCACCTCATGCATGACACAGAGAGCACACAGGGCCATGTCACGCATGACACAGAGAGCGCGAGGGGCCGCGTCACACATGACACAGAGAGCACGCGGGGCCACTTCACGCATGACCGTCTCAGAGGGCACAGAGGATGCCCAGTGTTAAAGATGTAGATGCTGTTAGGGTTTTGGCACAATCTCAGTGTTGGATTTGAGATCTTGCTGATGTTTGTGCCTTATTAGGAAATGACAATGATATGAATTTTTAAAAGAAGAAAAAAGAAAAATATAAATTTTTTCTTTTATATGGGAAATTTTATGGGAAATTTAAATGACTATGATTGTTGGCCAGGCATGGTGGCTCATGCCTGTAATCCTAATACCTTGGGAGGCTGAGGCAGGCAGGTCGCTTGAGGTCAGGAGTTCAAAACCAGCCTGGCCAACATGGTGAAACTCCATTTCTACAAAAAAACAAAAAATTAGTGGGGCATGGTGGCACATGCCTGTAGTCCCAGCTACTTGGGAGGCTGAGGCAGGAGAATCGCTCGAACTCGGGAGGCAGATGTTGCAGTGAGCTGAGATTGTGCCACTGCACTCCAGCCTGGGTGACAAAGCAAGACTCTGCCTCAAAAATAAATAAATAAATAAAAGTAATTATGATTGTTGGAATTAATCAAATATATCAACAAGTACAATAAATGTAAGTCAATTAATTCTATCAATTAAATCCCAAAGAATATGAACTGGCTAAAGAGAAAAAATATCCATATATGTGTTATTTACATTAACACACATAAAATATGAGTACATTTTAGGGCTGGCAATAGAGAAAAAGTTTTCCAGATAAATTTGGTGTGACAACATTAATATATAATAAAACAAGCTATAATAAAAATGTGATACTAGGAATGTATTTTTACGTAATTTTGGGAGGGTTAAAAGTTCATTAAGAAAACTCATGATTACCTTAATAGATGCAGACAAAGGTTCACCATCAATTCATGTTAGAGGGTAAAAAAAGAAAAGGAAAACAAAACAAAAAAAGCTATTAGTAAATCTAGGGATAGAAGGAACTTTCTCTGATCAAATAGAGTATCTGCAAAAATAACTTAGCATAAACAGCACACTTAAACACTGCCACTGAAATTGAATGAGACAAGGAGTTTGCTACCACGAAATCTGATCCACATTGTAATAGTGGTCATAGCCAGTGCAATATGCCAAGAAAAAACATAATAAAACTTGTATTGTGAAAAAACCTATGATTTCAGAGGACATAACTGTGTATTTTGAAATTTAAAAGACTTTAAACTATTACAATTAATAATGAAACATTAAAAATGCTGGATTTAAGACAAATAATAAAATTTAATATATTTTTGCACTCCATAAATATAAAATGAAATGTTTAAAATATATTTTAAGATAGCATCAAACAAAATCAAATGCCCAGAAATGAATCTAACCAAAGATGTTCAAAATCTCTACATCAGTGCTACACAAAGCACAGATAATAAAGTATTTTTAACAGTTTTAAATGAGATAAACTAGTATAGGTATGTAGAAATTTTAGTATAGGTATGTAGTATAGGTATTAGTATAGGTATGTAGAAACTTTTATGGCTGTTTTGAAATTACCGGAATATTTTTATTTTATTTTAAAAACATATTCACTTAGAAATTAAAACAGAAAAAACTGGTTCTCTACCACAGAGGATTTGAGACAAACTGTTACATATAACGCCTCTATATTTTGAGAAAAAAAATGAAGTTTTACATAAATAGAGAGACACCTCCTGTTTGTTAAGAGGAAGACTCACTAATATAAAGACGACAGCTTTTCCTAAATCAAGTGACGGATTTATTGCAATTCCAAACGAAACTCCAGAAGGATATTTGTGTGTTTGTAGAAATTCACAAGTTGAGTCTGACATTTACATGGAAATGTAATAGGCAAATTGAGGGAAAAGACCAAAGCTGTATCATTTGCAACACTACCTACTATATCGGATGTTCCATTGTAAAACTATAGTAACCGAGACATTGATATGGTATTGATGCAAAGATGGCCAAATAGACCAGTGGCACCAAATAGAGAGTTGAGAATCAAACCCACACATTTGTAGTCACCTGATTTCTAACAAAAATATTCTGCAAGGTAGTAGGAAAAGGATGGTCTTTTTAATAAATGATGCCTGGTCAACTGGATATTCATAAGGAAGTGAGACTCGCCATGGTATCTCACACCATTTGCAAACATCAAAGATGAACTTCAGCACTAAATGTACACAATAATATTTTGCAGAAAAACACAAGAGGGCATTTGTATCACCTTGGAGTAGGTAATTTTTTTTTTTTTTTTTTTTTTAGACAGAGTTTTGCTTTTGTTGCCCAGGCTGGAGTGCAATAGCATGATCTCAGCTCACTGCAACCTCCGCCTCCCGGGTTCAAGCGATTTTCCTGCCTCAGCCTCCCAAGTAGCTGGGATTACAGGCATACGCCATCACGCCCAGCTAATTTTCTGTATTTAGTAGAGATGGGGTTTCACGTTAGTCAGGCTGGTCTCAAACTCCTGACCTCATGTGATCCATCTGCCTCAGTCTCCTAAAGTGCTGGGATTACAGGCATGCACTACTGTGCCTGGCCGGAGTAGGTAAAATCTTAAACTTGATATTAAAATTGCTAAGCACAAGAAAATGGATATATATGATCCATTTCATCAGAAGACACATTAATAATGGTAAGTCGAGAAACAGAGTGGGAGAAAATTATTAATGTATAACACAGAAAACATATAACAACACTTGAAATACACATAACACTTAAATACATATAATAAATGGACTTGTATCTAAAACATATTAAAATACATATAAATTATAACATAAAGGCAAGCAACTCAATGCAAATTTTCCCAAAGACCAGAGGAGACGTGTATGAAAATAAATGTTCAAATGGTCAATACAACATGAAAATCTCCTGCACTTTATTAGCTATCAGGGGATGCAAATTAAAGCCATAATTCAACACCAGTGTGTAGCCACCAGAATGCCTCAAACACAAAAGACAGGCAATAGCAGGTCTTGAGGGTGTGGAGTTCAAGGCAGCTCATGCACTGCTGGTGGGAATATAATTGGCACAACCACTTTGGGAAACCATGTGGAAGAATTCTTAACAGCTCAACAAATCCACATCTTACGCACAGCAATTTCATTTCTAGGTTCACGTCTCACAGAAACGCATATGTGAGTTCTTCTAAAGACATGAAAAGTTTATAAAGGCACTATTCATTACCACATAACTAGGAATTTCCCAAACGCCCATCAATAATGGAACAGACACATCAACTTTAGTATATCATGCAGTGAAACACTTACAGCAGGAGGCTTGAACATCTACAACAATGCCCCAAACGGTGGATGCCCTTCTTATAGAGTGAAAACAGTAAGGCACAAATGAGCATGTGCAGTGCAATTCCATTTATACAAAGGATAAAAGCAGGCAAAACTAACCTATGGGGTTAGACATTGGGATCATGGCTTCCCTTAAGAACAGCGTTGTAACTGGCCAGGGAATGAGGCAATTCAGAAGCCACAGCCACTTTCTGCTTCTTGATCCTGGTGCTGGTTACACAAGTGTGCTCATCTCAGGGCAATTCACTGAGTAGTACATTTATGTTTTGCTTCTCTTTCTGCATGCATGTTATACTTTGACAAGTTTACTTAAAAATATTAACATCATTTAAGATGAAAAAAATTTCTAAATTGAGAATTAACTTGCCATTCTTATCTAAAAAAGAATATTTATTGCTGGGCGCGGTGGCTCACGCCTGTAATCCCAGCACTTTGGGAGGCTGAGGCTGGCGGATCATGAGGTCAAGAGATCGAGACCATCCTGGCCAACATGGTGAAACCTTGTCTCTACTAAAGATACAAAAATTAGCTGGGCGTGGTGGTGCATGCCTTTAGTCTCAGCTACTCAAGAGGCTGAGGCAGGAGAATTGCTTGAACCCGTGAGGCAGAGGTTGCAGTAAGCCAAAATCACATCACTGTACCAGCCTGGTGACAGAGCGAGACTCCTGCCTCAAAAAAAAAAAAAAAAAACTTATTAAACCAATAAAAATCCCAGAAACACCTAAAATAATTACTCTAAAAAGTGGTATCTTAGAGATAGTCCCTTTAACATCAAAATGAGACCAGTTCTCAAAATACTTCTACTCAACACCCTATTGAAAGTCCTTGAGACAGTCTCACCTGTCACTCAGGCTGGAATGCAGTGGTGTGAACACGGCTCACTTGATGTCCTGGGCTTGATCCTCCTACCTCAGCCTCCCAAGTAGCTGAGATTACATGTGTGTGTTACCACACCCAGCTAATTTTTTATTTTTTGTGGAGATGAGGTCCCACTATGTTGTCCAGTCTGGTCTTGAACTCTTGGCCTCAAGCGATCCTCCCACCATGACCTCCCAAAGTGCTAGGATTACAGATGTGAGCCACTGTGCCTGGACCTATCGGAAGTCTTAATCAGCACAAAAATAAATGAACAACAGTAACAGCAAAAGAAAGACACAGGATTGGAAAAGAGATACAAAAATTATTATTTTCAGAGCAAATAGTTGCTTACAAAAGAATCAATTTAATCTATGGAAGAATTATTGGAAGTAATAGAGAGTTTAGCAAGGGACATTAGATAAAAACTGAAGAAATCTGAATCTATAGATTTTAGTTAATAATAATGTATCAATATTTGCTCATTATTTGCAACAAATGTATCATACTAATGTAAGATGTTAACAATAAGGAAAACTGGATATGGGCACATAGTGACTCTATTAGCTTCACTAGGTTTCTTTAAATCTAAAACTGCTCTCAAATAGAGTTTTTTTTTTTTTTTTAATTTTAAGTTCTGGGATACATATGCAGAATGCGCAGGTTTGTTACATAGGTACACATGTGCCATGGTGGTTTGCTGCACCTATCAACCTGTCATCTAGGTTTTAAGCCCCTACATGCATTAGGTATTTGTCCTAATGCTCTCCCTCCCCTGCCCCCCACCCCCCAAAAGGCCCTGGTGTGTGATGTTCCCCTCCCTGTGTCCATGTGTTCTCATTGTTCAACTCCCACTTATGAGTGAGAACATGCGGTGTTTGGTTTTCTGTTCCTGTGTTAGTTTGCTGAGAATGATGGTTTCTAGCTTCATCCGTGTCCCTGCAAAGGACATGATCTCATTCTTTTTTACCATGTTTATGGATAGGAAGATTTGACAGTGTAAAGATGTCAATCATTTCCAACATGATGTCAGGTATAGATTCAAATTACTCACAGGATTCCTGAAAAGATTATGCCCAGAACTTGATAAGATGATTCTAAAATTCATATACAAAAATAAAGGTACAAGGAAATCCAGGACTGAAGAAGGGCCGGGAGGGGAAACAGGCACCTGTTTATTCCCCACTTTCTGTAGCTTTACAGGAAGTGCTGATGCCCGTAAAGGGGAAGAGAAACACAAGTTGATCAATGAAACAAAACAACGAGCCCAGGATCACACCAAGGGTATGAATGAAACTTTGATTTATGATAGGAGAAGCATGGGAGAGCCAAGAGAAAAGACAGGATTGTTTGATGAAGTGATGCAGGGGAAAGATGAACTCTATCTCACACTATATACAAAAATCAACTCTGGATATATTATGTAATGATATCAAAAACAAAAATTTAAACCTTCTCATAGAAAGTATAAGTAAATACCTTCTACGCCTTGGAAAAGGGGATTACTTATTAAATATACATGCATTAATTAAAAATTTAAAATATAGATGTGAGTATGTTTAAATTAAAAACTTGTATTCATCAAAACAAACCTTAGTGGGAGTAAACAGTAAGTTACAAATAGGGAGAAGAAACTGGGAAAAGTTAGAAAAGAGAAGCAATTCAGCCAGGCGTGGTGGCTCATACCTGTAATCCCAGCACGTTTGGAGGCCTCAGGTGGATCACCTGAGGTCAGGAGTTTGAGACCAGCCTGACAACATGGCGAAACCCCGTCTCTACTAAAAATACAAAAAATTAGCCAGGCATGGTGGTGCATGCCTGTAATCCCAAATACTTGGGAGGCTGAGGCAGGAGAATCACTTGAACCCAGGAGGCAGAGGTTGCGGCGAGCTGAGATTGCGCCATTGCACTCCAGCTTGGGTGACAAAGTGTGTCTCTGTCTAAAAATAAAAAAAAAAAAGAATCAACTCATATAAAGAATGTATACAAGAAGTCCTTTATCACAATAGTAAAAGCAAAACAGCCCAACATAAAAGTGACCCAAATACATGAGCAGTTATTGTACACAAAAGGAAAAACGTAGAGGCTGTAGACAGATGAAGAGATGTTCAGCCTCATTAGTCAATAGAAAAGTGCAAGTGAAGGCCACAATGAGGCACCATCCTACACATATTTGATCAACAACATTTTTTTTAAGTCTAAAATAATATAATTGGAAGATGTGAATAGAGAGAACATTTTATATACATAATGCTGCTGGGAGGGCATATTGCTACAATGATTTGTGAAAATATTTGGCGTTACCTTCTGAAGGTGAACATTTACATGCTCTCTGACCCTCTAATTCTGCTTCTACACACCCAAGCGAAGCTCTTGCACGCCTATGGGAGATGTGCACACAAGGTTCCTGCAAATGCCATTAGGACAGTGAAAACCTGGAGACAGTGTAATGCCCGTTTCTAGGAGCGTAGGTGAGTAAACTGCACATATAGTAGCACAAGGAAATGCCCTGCAACCGTCAAAATGAATGAATTTCAGGTACGTGAGAAATCCTCATCAAGATTGGAAATCTAATAAGTAAGAGGCTCAGACCAGGATGATTACATCATCATGATGCCCTTTTAAATATAATTAAAAACAATGTTAATTGAGCTTTTATACCTACTGGAGCTCTCAAAAAAGAAATGATGCAACTTTTTGGCAAATGGAAAACTATCCTAAAATTTTAAAAGTTTGTTTTTTAAAAAAATGGACCACATAGCTTGAAGGCCAAATCAATCATTTCCAGAAAGTGCCTGGTCTCATAGCTTGAGCCTCCTTGGCCTCAGTTTGGCCTTAAGAATCCAGGAGGAAGGCATCCCTGGCCAGGAGTCACCCTTCAGGACACATTTTCAGACAGTTGTGTTAGAGGGGATGAGGGGAAGAAAGAGGGGAAATTTCTAGAGAAATGAGAGTGGGGAGAAGAAAAGCCTGAGAAACAATTGCCCATGCACACAGCCTGTCTCATAAGCAAAGCGACTATCACCTGGGAGATTTCCTGTTAGCTTGGAACATGGCTCTGACCCTCCTTCAGCCTTCCAAGAAAACACACTTATTAAAGATGAGAAATAGGCCAGGTGTGGTTGCTCACGCCTGTAATCCCAGCACTTTGGGAGGCTGAGGTGGAAGGATCACTTGAAGCCAGGAGTTCAAGAACAGCCTGGCCAATGTACCCGAGACTCAGCTATACAAAAACTAAAAAAATAAATTAGGTAAGCATGGAGGTGCACACCTGTAGTCCCAGCTACTTGGGAAGCTGAGGTGGGAGAATTGCTTGAGCCTAGGAATTCAAAGCTGCAGTGAGCTATTAATCCCACCACCGCACTCCAGCCTGGGTGACAGAGTAAGACCCTGTCTCAAGAAAAAAAAAAATAAACATGTATGTGTATATATATATATATATATACACACACATACACTTTATATATACATACACACTATATATATATACTTTATATATACACACACTAAATATGTATACTTTATATATATACTTTATATATATAGAGAGAGAAATAAAAAAGGAACAAGCATCTGATTTATGTATACATTGAAAAATTAAAGGAGTAAAGAGTAGTGGAAAGAAGCGGTAAGCTATAAATATTTACCAAAAAATATTTGCACAAAGAGGTTAAAAATGTTAACTAATCACAACACCACGAACAGAAGAAAAACAACGATAAAGTGATTCCTCTAAAAAACAAACAAACAAAACAGAACACAAAAAGAAAGAGAGCGAGCAAGCTGTTGCACTCAGAGATGCCCTGTTGAGAGACGGAGAAGAAATATGGGCTGTCAAAGCTCAGACGCTGAAGAAAAAAAATTTAAAAAAATTAAGAGCACATTAAAACCTCACCAAGGAGGGCAGAGGGTCCTGCATTTCCCTGTTTCTTATGCTTCATCTCCTCCCTTTCGTGCCTGGTTGGACTTGGAGTTTAATACCAGAAGGGCTCCCTTGATTAAGCCTCCAACCCTCTGCTCCTCTCTCCCCTTCTTCCCTGTAATGAGGAAGCAAACTCACCATCATTGAATCTCACTCTGCCTTCCCCAGGCTGGTGCTGGGCAGTTGGACATGCTGATGACAATGAGTGGCTGGGCTGGAGGGTACTACTTAGGTCTACCTTCATGAACCTCGGATTGACAGCCACCCTCCGCAACCCCCAGACTCTGGTCCCAGGAAATCTCCACATCAGCTGGAGACTCGGCTCTGCCTCGGAGCCAGCCAGCCCAGTCCAGCCACCCCATAGTCTGACAGCCAACCCCTCCATAACTTACTTTTCCTAAAATGCCCAGTATTATCTGAACACCCCACCCCATCGTAGGGCCTCATTTCTTATTTCGAACACACAAAAACAAAAACAGAACCAATTGTAAGAGCCCTCCTCCCCACCACCAGGAGGTCATGCGCCCGCCTCCCTCTGCAGCCCCGTGCCCTGTGGTCCATTTTGGTAATTACTCTGTATAACTGTCTGCATGCCCCCATCTCCCTTGCACAGCAAATCCTGACCCTAATCACCTTCCAAGGACTTTGTTTCCATGGTGTCATCTCTCTCCAGCATTAATAGTCTTCCCTTCTCCTCTGGATCATTTTCTTTCTCTTTTTTTTTTTTTTTTGAGATGAAGTCTTGCCCTGTCACCCAGGCTAGAGTGCAGTGGTACAATCTTGGCTCACTGCAACCTCCGCTTCCCGGGTTCAAGTGATTCTCCTGTCTCAGCCTCCCGAGTAGCTGGGATTACAGGCATGTGCCACCACACCTGGCTAATTTTTGTATTTTTAGTAGAGACAGGGATTCGCCATGTTGGCCAGGCTGCTCTCGAACTCGTGACCTCAGGTGATCTACCCACCTCAGCTTCCCAGAGGGCTGGGATTACAGGCGTGACCCACCACGCCCAGCCTCTAAATCATTTTCATATGCACAACAGTGTATTCTAAAACCACTTATCTATTAATAAAAAAAAGTTTCCTGTCTCATCCTCCCTCCAGTTACTGACCCATTTCTCTGTTCCCCGTTAGAATAAAATTCTTTGAAAGCATTGTCTCTCTACTCCCTCTCCTAATAGATTCTTTCAAACTCACCCCATTCAATCACATTTTTGAAAGGCCACAATTGCTACATTCAGTTGTCAATTTAGGGCCTAATTCTCCTTGTCCTCTCAGAACTTGATTGTATCCTTTATACCCCAAAATGCTTCCTGTTCCTGACTTCAGGGTACCACAGCCCTCTGGTCCCCCTCCTGCCTCACTGCCAGCTTCTCCATCTCCTTCAGCGGACCCACTTCGTCGTTCCAGCCTCTGACTTTGGTTTCCCTTGGATTCCGTCCTCGGGCCTCTCTTCTCTATTTTTACTGTCTTCCTAGGTCGTCTCACCCCTTCTTACGTCCAGGCCTGAGTTTATATCACTCAATCCTTTCTTGTCTTTAAGCCCAGGAATCTTGTGTGCAAATGATCACTCCATATCTTCACTTGTATGAACAATAAGTTTTCTAAATTTAGCATGTTTAAAGCCAAAACCCTTGTATCTGTCCCACTTCAAATCCCCTCTTCTCCCACCGTTTCTCATTTCAGCAAGCTTCTTTCGGAATTTACCCAATTGCTAAAGCAAAAACCTTCAAATTTCCACGGGCACCACCTCCACTTCTTCAGGTCCGATCCATACCCAGCCATTGCCCAGAGAGTAACCAGAAATGTCCTTGGGCTCTGAGCCCTGGTGTTCATCTCTTACGGCAATGGCTGTCCGCCTCCCCCTGTGCAACCTCCCCTCAGCCATTCTCTATGCGGAGTCAACGCATCCAATTTTCCCCCTGCTTGAAACCTCGTCAGGGCTTCCTCATGTTGGGAGCAAGGTCCTGGTCCTGCTGTGGCTCGTGGCCCTGCACAGTCTCAACCCGGCAGCCCCCGGAAACCCACTTTTCAGTCGCATGCTGTGTCAGTGTTCGAACTGCTTTCGATGAGCTGGATACCAATGTTTCAATCTTAACAACAACAACCAGGCCTGCAAGTTGAACAATTTATATCTTGAGATCAAGATCAATGACTTAATTCTTCAATGTAGGCAAAGAGGTCGAGCAAATGCACCGTGTACGAGTCTAGGTGGGCGCGCCTGTACTTGTCACAAGAAGCAACACGAAGCTTTTGTTTAAATGAAGGTTCTTATCATAGTTCAAAGGCTTTCTGAAGAAATGAAACACAAACATGACAGAATTGAAATAAATATGGGTGACTGTGCAGAATCTCCATCGATACATGACAGACACAAAGAAGATAATGACAAGCTGGAAATATCATGCCATCGATAAACAGAACCTAGTCCTTGAAAAAAAAGGACTCGTCAAAATAATCTTGAAATTATAAAATGAGGTATGGGATTGTTTGAATGAAGGAGTCAAAAAATGAAAAATTGCCAGGCGCGGTGGCTCACGCCTGTAATCCCAGCACTTTGGGAGGCCGAGGCGGGCGGATCACGAGGTCAGGAGATCGAGACCATCCTGGCTGACACGGTGAAACCCCATCTCTACTAAAAATACAAAAAAATTAGCTGGGCGTGATGGCAGGTGCCTGTAGTCCCAGCTATCGGGAGGCTGAGGCAGGAGAATGGCATGAACCCAGGAGGTGGAGCTTGCAGTGAGCCGAGATCGCACCCACTGCACTCAAGCCTGGGTGACAGAGCAAGACTCCATCTCAAAAAAAAAGAAAAAAAGAGAATTAACTTACAACCATCTCCTTCTTATTATCCTGAGCCAGAAAGAGGTTTTCAACAGATGGAAATATTTGCACAAGAAAATGAGCTCCAAATAAAGACTTACTGGCTTTGTTGTTGTTGTTAAGATCGAAACACTGGTATCCCAGCTCATTGAAAACAATTTAATCACTAACACATCGAAAATAATTTTTGTACTAATGGATACAAAAATACAGTTAGATGAAAGGAATAAGTTCAAGCCTTGGATAGCACAGTAGGGTGACTATAATTAACAAAAACATATGGCATATTTCAAAATAGCTGGTAGATAAGTTCTGGAATGTTCCCAGCACAAAGAAATGATAAGTGTTTGAGGTGATGGCTATCCTAATTACCTTTATTTGGTCATCACATATTATATGCATACACTAAGCATCTTACGTACCCCATAAACATGTATAATTATTATGTGTCAATAAAAAAAGAAAATGAACTCAAGATTCAATCATGAAACCAATGATAAAAAATAACTTTCAATGATTTTATTTTAAAGAAATACCTTTAAATGAATTTTATTATATGTAGTGTTCATTTTATTTTAAGTATTTTAATCTCATTTTCTGCTGATCATTAATAGGACAGCATTATGCGATTACCTTCCTATATTTTAAAAAATACTTATTTCAGTTGATATCATGTAACATGTTTACCATTCTGGTCTTTGAAACATACCATTTAGTTTAGTTATTGCGTTACTTTGTTTATCATTTAGTTTTTTTAGTGCATTTTGAATACTTATATGAAATACCTTCCTTTGGGCCTTCTATAAAATAAATACCCACCAGTCTGTGTGTTGCTTCTCGGCAGCCTCCCCACCCTCACCCCATCCTGGCAGCCCTGGTCCCTGAAGTGGCTGGGCCACCTCATGCCGGTGCATTCCTGCCCCAGCCCTGCCTTGGTGCCTGGCCTCTGTTACTCCAGAATCTCGGTTCCCAGGTTTCTGCCACATGTTATCATCTCAGAGAAGCTTTTTGATCATCCCTTCTAAAGAGGTTTCCTATCATTCTCTCCTCGTGTCTTGATTCACTTGTCTTAACAGAATTAATCAACCATAATTTATATAAATTTACATTGTTGCTCATGGACTGTCCCCGTCATTAAAAGGAATCACCATCCAAGCAGGGGCTGCCAGGGTCAGGGTGGCTCACACTCCACCCACCATGATAGACTAGGAGTCGGCACAGAGGAAAATAGGATGTGCACCCACAAATTAAATAAATGTGCAATACCCCAAAAATCACCAGGGACATGGAGAGAAGGAAAAACAAAATGGAAAAACCAAAGAGTTTAGAAACAGACAGAAAATCACGGACGTGAAGCTCCAACATATACATAAGTGGTGTTCCTCAACAAAGAAAATCCAGATAATATCCTAGCAAACATGTTTAAAGAAATAACTAAAAATGTTATTCTAGACACTAAGGGATTATTTTTTCTATATATTGAAAGAGCACACCATAGTCCAGGAAAAATTTAAAAAACATATTGGTATCAAACAACTCCTCACTGAAACATACCATAATAAACAGAGGTCATTGAATTTTTAAATAATCAATTTATGAAAATGCATGCTAAAACATTAAGCCATCTATAAAGGTTAAGAAATCCATTTGCCTAAGATTTCTCAACTGTCATATTCAACAAAACAAAAACGAATCCCTCAAAGAAAGAGAGCAAGACTAAGAATTTAATATCCAGCTAACCTCTATCAATATAGAAGCAACAGACACATATTTGAACCTGCAGGACCTATGGCTATTTGACACACAACAGAGCAGATTTTGCACATTACTGGGTGAAGGACACACCAGTCAACAAATTGTGCTAATTCAACTCATAACTATAGGAAAAAATAGACCAGATCTCTACCTCAGTCCAAGTACACAGATGATTTAAACACTGAAATGCAAATGAAAAAATGTAAACATTTTAGAAGAAAATATCAGAAAACGCTTTGGAAAGGTTTTTGAAATAAATAACAGTACAAACCATAAAAGAACTTCTTTTCATCAAAATTCACCACGAAAGTGGCAAATTCAACTAATAAAATATATCTGCAATTCCTGTGGCTGATAGAGAATTGAAAATTAAAATATAAAACAAAAATAACGTTTCAATAATTAATAGTTTAAAACACACCCAATAGGCAACATGGTTCAAAACCTTTTCACAGAAGTGAAAATTAAAAGGCCAGTTAAAGTATAAATAATGCATCTGATTAATAATCACGAAAATAAGAATTAAAAATAAAATATATATCTCAAGCCAAAAAGATTGACACAGTTTTTAAAGATCTGTAGACAAATAGGTGAAACACTGAGACTGCTTAACTATTGCTTTTTCCAAACACTTCGGTAGTAAGAAATAATTAGGCTTCATTTTATAAAAGCTAAAGGTATTCATCACCTATGACCCAGCAAAACTCTGTCTAATTATATACCCCAGAACAACAGAAAAACAAGAAATAATCAAAACACAGCAATGTAGATGGACACAGCAGGAACCAGGCACAGAATATTCACAGCAGCATTGTTGGTAGCAAAAGACTTGGAACCGACCCAAATGTCAACAGGGGAGCGAGTGAGTGGGCTGTGATAAAAAGACTCTGTGACTTTATTCCATGTCACAAGGACACTGAGCAAAGCGCGGCCACGGCCATCTCCATGGAGGGCTCTTCGACCTTCACGGCTGAGTGACAACCGCAAATCAGAGACAATTGCAGAAACACTGCTACCATTTGGATAAAACTCACAAACAAGAAAGACTAAGCAATCCATTGCTTTGGGATAGACACCAATTTTGTAAAATAATAAAGGAAATCAAGAGAACGGTAAAGCAAAATCAGATCAGGTGGCACCTTAGTGGGGTGGAAAGTGCGCATGAATTGGCACTCCAGCATGTTCTGTTTTCTAAGAGGTGAGTGTATGGGCGCTGATTTTATTATAAATATTTATAATGTGTCATTCTGAGGAGCCAAAAAATTGTATTTAAACAGTACAGGAAGATAAGATGAAAGAAAATATTCTATGTATGCATTAGGAACATAAAGCTATAAAACTGTGTAAGAATAAACCAAAATAGCAATGTCCAATATTATGTGAAGAAGAATATTGAACAGGACTCAGGAGTTCACCCCAAGATCTCTGAACGAATGGGAAGTCTCACCATGGTTCTGGAGAGGCAGCCTGCCCACATCCAGAAGCCAACGCTTCCCTAAGTGATGTGTGAATATACATGGGTCTGAATAATGTATAGGATCCCAATTATGAGTGTATATTTATTTAAACCTCCAGTGTGTGTGTGAGAGATTCTCAAGCTGAACTTCACATGCAAACCAGCAAGAGTATTGTCAACAAAGAGTCAAACTCTGTAAAATGTTTAAAGAGGTTTATTCTGAGCCAAATATGAGTGACCATGGCCCATAACTCAGCCCTCAGGAGACCCTGAGAACATGGGCCGAGGGTGGTCTGGATGCAGCTTGTTTTTTATAAGTTTTAGGGAGGCATGAGATATCCATCAAATATACTCAAGATGCACATTGGCCCGGTCCAGAAAGATGGGACAACTTGAAGCAGGGGGTGGGGAGGGGGCTTCCAGGTCTTAGGTAGATTTAAAAATTTTCTGATTGGCAATTGGTTGAAAGAGTTATTATCTGTAGAAAGGAATGGGTTACAATAAGAGGCTGTGGAGACCAAAGTTCTGTCAGGCAGATGAAGCCTCCAGGTATTAGACTTCAGAGGGAATAGATTGTAAGTGTTTCTTATCAGATTTGAGGTCTGTGTTGATGTTAACGCTGGAGGGCTGTAATGAGGCATGTCCCACCCCCACTTCCCATCATGGGCTGAGCTTGTCTTTTAGGTGGAACTGTAGCCTGCCCTGGCCACGGGGGAAGTCCATTCAGATGGCTGGGGGGCCTTAGAATTTTATGTTTGGTTTACAGTATCCAAGAGAGAGATGTTATGAAAAGAGTATGGAATGGGAATTTATACTACTTACCAAGTATTATCACATACAGCTATGCTAATGAAAGCAGTGTGTATTGGAATATAAACTGATCCATCGATCAGATCAAATGGAAGCTATGGAAACAGGCCCGAGTGCATACAGGAGCTTAACCTGCAATAAAAGCATCATTTCAAAATGGGGGTGGGGGAGACAGAAAATTCAATAAATGTGTTGAGAGACAGTGTAGCTGTTTGTAAAATAATAATGATATTGGATTTTTACCTTACTACTCACAACATAAATCTCAATGGATTGATTAACAATAAAAAGAAAGAAAAAAGAAAGAAAGAAGGAAAGAAAGAAAGAAGGAAAGATAAAAGAAAGCAGGAAAGAAAGAAAGGAGAAAGAAAGAAAGAAGGAAAGAAAGAAAGAAAGAAAGAAAGAAAGAAAGAAAGAAAGAAAGAAAGAAAGAAAGAAAGAATGAATACAGAGGTCCTGAAGCAGAGACTGCTGGTGTCCTGCCCGACACCCTTTCCTAGGCTGGGGCATTCCCCGAGAGTTCTCCTTGTCTTCAGGGACCCAGAGGCCCTGGCGGGGCCTGTGGCCTGTGGCATATGGAGGCGGGAAAGCAGCGTGCCCCTTTGCTGCTGGGCTGCATGGAATTTGGCACCACTCACACAACAGGTGCCCTGAGAGCAGACAGAGCCTCCACTTCTCCGGAGACCACACCCCTGCAGCTCCTCCCTGGCCACTCGGCCTCCTCAAGCTCCAGCAGCGAGTCACAAATTCACACCTCAATTACTGCACTCCCTTGCCTGGACCTCCGGACAAATTCACACCTCAATTACTGCACTCCCTTGCCTGGACCTCCGGGTCAAATTCCACTCCTTAGTGATTTGGCCTAATACAAGCAAGAAAAGAAAGCAGAGACAATTTTAGAAATAATTGTAGAATAAGGGAGCGTCTCGCAAGAGACTCAAATTAAAAGCAGATTTTAAAACATTAAATTCTACTAAAATTTTAAGTAGAATGTCAACAACATAACCTAAAGAAAGCCAATGGAGAAAAATTAAACTCTAAAATACAGGTACACATGATAAATTTCTATATATCAATATTGATAAAACACATATGAGGAATAATTTTCTTAAAATGTAAAGACAGTTATCAAATCATTTTAAAAATTTATAGAGTTAAAAAATATACATAAAGGTTTCATGAAAAGAGGAAATATAAATGCCACTTAAACAAATACAATTTCTCAGTTGTGTACCAAGAATCATAAAAATTAAAACCCCAATAACATATTGTTTTAAACTAGTCAGATTGGGAGGCCAAAAAAAAAAAAAAGAAACAAAAACTAAAAAGCAAACACCACGGGCATCTCACCAGGTTGACTCTGGGTTGGTAAACAGTTACTCTTGTAAATTACAGAGGAGAATGTAGTTTTATGACCAGTTTGAATGACAATTTGGCAATACGTTCAAAATTACTGGTAAGTGTCTAACCTTTGACTCAGCAATTCTGATTCTAGGAATGTATTCCGCAAACATTCTAATACTTGTGTCAAATATATGATCTGTGATGTTCATTGCAGCACAGTTTATAACAGCAAAAATTGGAAAAAAAAATGAATGTCTGTACATGGTGGGGAGACTGGTTACATAAATTACAATATAGCTCTACAATAAAATGCTATGTAGTCATTAATGTTTTAAAAAACAGCACCATATTTACCAAGAAGGAAAAAATCCTCAATAAATTCTAACCGCAAGAGTGAGGTGCACACCAACGTGTACATGATGAGGCCAGCGTCTGAGTTACAAGGGGAAGCCTGCGTGTGACTGTGTGGTTTTTGAGTTACAAGGGGAAGCCTGCGTGGGACAGTCTGGTTTTTGAGTTACAAGGGGAAGGCTGCGTGTGACGGTGTGGTTTTTGAGTTACAAGGGGAAGCCTGTGTGTGATGGCGTGTTTGTGCATGCTCACACATGCCAGAAGACCCGGAGAACTGGCAGTGTGCGGTCTCCACAGAGAAGAATTTGGAGGCTGGGGCTGAGGCAGGAGGGAGGTTTGAACTGGCTACAGTGATCTCCTCTGCGTGTGAGTGCTGGTTTAAACGGACTGTGTTCTTTCTCCTTCTGGATAACAGGTGTCCTCTCCTCTGCCTGGGGTCTCAGGGGACCCTCCCTCACAGCTCTCAGTCTGCATGGGTCCCCCAACCCCTCTCTTCTCTATGGCTCTCGAGGTCAACGAGGGCTGGAGTCCTGCTGCCCAGTTCTCATCTGACGGGGACGATAACTCACATTCGATGACCATTTATCGTGGCCAGGCTCTTTAATGTGTTTTACTACTGTTATCATCACCATCTCCATTAAACACAACATCACCAATCTCATTGCACAGATAAGGGAAATAAAGCCTAAAGAAATTAACCAAGTGATCCAAAGTCACCAAGAGTAAACGTGTGGAGCAGGATGCCATCTGGTCTTCCTGGAGGTCAGTCTGCGAGGCCACCTAGATGGTCCTTCAAACCGCAGGACAGCAGCTCACGCTGTGGGGTGGAGGGGGCTACTCTTAAACTTCCAGCCTCCCAGGAACAGGTTTCCGCCCTTCTTGTATTTTGACAGTAATCCCCCTTTTCATGGCTCTAGCCAGCTGGGCCTCCAAGAGCTGACCAGCAAAGGATATGCTCCTTCCTGGAGCAGGCATGAAAGCCAACAGCTCAGAGAATAACAGGGACCAGACCATGGAGGCCAGGGTCCGTCACTCATGCAGAGCGGGAGAGGCAGCTGATGGCCGGGCCCCAGGACCAGGCAGAGCCGCCTCTCAGAGGTGCAGGTTGGCAGTGAATACAGAGTAACAGCTGAGGGTGCGGAGGTGTGTGCAGGTCACTATCCTCGCCCCAGCTACCTCTGGCCCTAGAGGCCTGGACTAGAAGAAGCCGGAAGGAAGTGGGGCAGTAGTTGAGGCCCCTGAAACCTCCCCAGGATCCACATTCATCCTCTGGGCATCTTTGCGGTGAGTTAAGGCCCAGGAGCCATGGTTCCTGGTGACCAGGGCACAAAGACATCAGGCTGAACAGGTCCTTCATCTGGGGGGCCTGTGGTCCCCGAAATGCATCTTAGACACTTTGCACAGGTGTGCGTCTCTATCCTGGCTGCTGTGTGAGCTGAGGACAAAATCCTGGCTGCTGTGGGAGCTGAGCCTGTGGGCAGGCTGAGCCAGGGGTGGGAGTGAGAGGGAGGGGTGAGAGGGGCCTGAGCACCTACTCAGCGCATGCTTCACAGAACTAGCCTGCTCCAGGAAGTTCCGGTGCCCAGTGCCACAATGCACACTCCAGCCCTGTGCCTGCACACCAGACCCCGGGCCCGCTCCACATGGGTGCCTTGAGCTGATTCCCTCTGCTGGAGTTGCTGAAGGGTTCTGCAGGCCTCAATCTACAGTCAGCCCCCAACCCTGTCATCAGCAGGGGCCCCAGCTTACAGCAACGCAGCTGTTTTCACTGCAGGCTAACTCTGCCACAGCGTTGCCAACCTGAAACATCCAGCCCAGAGTGAGTTTTTGGGGAGGCGGGAGGCTGTCCAAGCATCTTACCTGCTGTGTGGGCAAGAAGCGGCCTGCATCTCATCAGAGTTTGGGGATCCAGGACCCAGATCTGCTGCTCCGCAGTTGTGTGACCTTGGGAAGGTCAGGTCCCACCCTGGGTGTGCTCTTCTTTCCTGAAGATTCAATCCGGCCTGTGTGCTAGGAGTGGAGGGCCTGCTGGAGTCTGAGGAAGATGGCAGCTGGGTCGGTAGCAGGGTGAGCAGGGTCTGAGTGGGGCCAGGCTTCCCACACTGGACAATGATGTCCACTGTAAAGCCCATGTCCTGGATTTTTGACAAACATCTTAGCAATCGACCTGACACTCCACTATGTCCAAGTTGATTTGTTTCCATGCTGGACATGTGTCTACCAGGACGTGCTCTTGGCTGCCACTGGCAGGGCCTGGAATGAGGACACTTGTTGTGCACCTTGCTTTGGAGCCCCAGACAGGCAAAAAAATATCCATGTGGCTTCACCCAGGTCATCTCTTTGCTTGTATGAACCTCAGGCCACCCTTAGAAAGGGTCTCATAGCCCCGGTGTCTCACTCTCTGACCTTTGCCAAGTCGTCTTCAGCAGCAGCTGGAACTCTTTGAAGTGGCTGCCACAGATGTTGGCAAAGCCCGGCCTGGGATGCCTCCACCCTGCACCAGGCACGGGGCTGCCTCTGCTGCATATTCACCTGGAAATCATCCACATGCCAAGCACCGCAGAGGCAAGGGGAGTCTGCCATTGGACTGCGTTCAACACGGCTGCAGGGATACAGACAAGCACATTCCCTGGCAGAGGCACGGGCCCGGCTGGCTGGAGCTGCAGCAGCTGTGTGTGGTCACAGAGCTTCCAAATGAGGGAGATGGATGGCCTCGCTTCACAGTGTGCCCAGAGCATGTCCACGGTGCCTGGGAAGACCAGGGACTCACCATGCCCGGCTCTGGTTTCCCTCACAGTGAAGCCTCCTTGCTGGTAGGATCCATGGCCAAGCATGGGGGCAGGGGCTGGGGGAGCTCTGTCAGTGACTTCTCGCAGGCAGCAAGGCCTCTGGGAGCTGGCCAGGAAAACAGAAACTCCATCCTGGAGCAGGTGCGCAAACCAACAGCTCAGAAATTAACAAGGTTCCCACCAAGGACCATGAGCCACCTGTGCTGTCCTGTTTGTTCTGGTACTTGCGCAGGACACGGGGTGGGGGGCGGGGGAAGCACATGTCAACAGGGAGCTGGTGGCCGCTCTGAGAGCCAGCTCCTTTCTCATAACTTGCTTGAAATCCTTCTCTTTGCAGAAGATGGAACCCAGCACATCTCGAGAGCCCACTGCACAGGTCAGGTGCATTTATGTTTACTGTTTCTATCAGCAAAAGAGCAAAACCAAAATCAAACAAACGAAGACTCTGGCAAGATTGCTTGATCCTGCCTTGAGGTGAGCACACAGCAGCATCGGGAAAGTGCGTAACTCATAAAGATGGTGCAGCCTGCAGGTCAGGAGGGGCTGGGGTCTGTCGAGGGCAGCTGGGGCTTTGCAGCCTGATCCACAACACTGCACTCAGAGCGGGGAGGTGCTGTCTCCAGGCCCACCTGTGACTCCTGAGGTACAGGCAGAGGGTCGGGCGTGTATGACACTGCATAGGAGTCCTCTCCGCAGTGTGGAACCCACCCACGTCGCCTGCTCCCTCAGTCCCCAAATGCATCTGGGGTCTGAGATCAGAAACAGCAGAAGCTCTGGTGGTTAGTGGAATAGTTACCTAAGTGGACCCTCATCTCCTGGGCATTCTTTGAGCACCTCCCTGCTAGGCACTGTTTCAGGGGCTGGTGACGGGAAGCCCACCTTGCCCATGAGGCTCTTTCGGCACAGAGGTGGACACTGAGGGACCGCTGGCTCACACGCATGTTGAAATATGTGCTCAGCTGATGTCTTCCCAAGTGAGCCCTCCTGCAGGACAGGACCACACAGTGTCCTCAAAAAGCGCCCCAGGTTAGTGTGAGCTGGGCAATGCTGCCTGGGACGTCCCTGCTGGAGGCTCCTGGTGTGTGTAGGACCAAAGACGCTTGCTTCATTGGATTTAGCCAGCATTTCCCTGGTGTATTTGGCCATAAAAGACCCCCACTCACTTACCCACCACACCTTTAACCCTCTGTGGTAGACACCTGTAGCCGCAAACCCATTATCTATTCTCTCTTCTTTCTGGGTAAAATAACCTTGATTTTTTTTTTTCCCCAGGGGCAATATGTATACAGCAAAAAGTATACTTTGCAAATTCTCTTGCAGGAAGGAATGGCAAACAACATAATTCTATCTAATGAGATGTTCAAAGACATCTTCTGGTGCTTCTTGAAAGACTTGATTTCTTCACATAGATGCAATGTCTTCCCTGTGGTTTCTTCTTCTATCTGCTGGGGACATGGGTGTGATCCCTGGAGCTGCAGCAGCCATTTGTTAACCCTGAGGAAAAGACTCAGAAAAATCCAAGACCTTGGCTCTACTATCTTTGGGCCATTGAACCAGAGGTAGCAAGTCGCATTTCTCCTTAAATGATAATAAAACCCCCCCTTGATTTAAGCCACTGTTTTTTGAGACTCTTATTTATTTACAACTAGATGTCATTCCTGACCAGTACTGGAAATAACTTTGTTCAACCTATAGAACATACTTTGGAGACTATATGACACGTGAGCTGGTTTTAGATCCATTCTGTCTCTCTTGAGAAGTGAGCATGACTATCTCCATCTTTAAATCAGGCGTTCACGATTAGAGGGATTAGCTCTCTCTCCTGGGGTCGCACTGCTTGTTAATAGTAAAGCCAGAATTCTAACCCAGTCTCATCCGACTCCTGTGTACTTGTAATTGAGAACTGAATACAGGGAGTTGAGAATGCAGAAGCAAAACATAAATTTTACAAGAGAGTGTAGTGGAGGGCAGGCTTCCTGGAGCTGTGGTTTGCAGTTGGTCCGTGTTTGGTTGGCACTGTGATGCTGCCTACCCCAGAGGGACGATGGCTCCACACGATCAATAGGTAAATGGTGTTGCTTTTAATGATACCATTGTCAGTTCCCCGGGGTGCCCTCCTTATGTGGCTCCATCCTGGTGTAAATGAATACCAATGCACAGCCAAGGTTCAACAGGCTGTGTGGGGAATAGCAGCAGAGAAATAAGGAAAAGAGAACCTGAGGACTGCCTGGGAGTGTTCAGGCCCACTCTGCGTCCAGCACAGGGCCCTGGTGTGTTACCACCTTTTCAGATGACTTGGAGAAAGAATGAGCTGCTGTGATTTCACACACTCCGCATCCACACCGGGGTCACCATGTTTTTGGCAGACCTGGGGCACCTGGCCCTTGGTGGTGGACCTGTTCTTGCTGGGGGATGAGCCTCAGCTCCCTGAAGATGGGCTGGTTCCTCCTGCTCACAGTGTCCCCTGGCTGTGCTACACGGCCTCGTGCTGGACACAGGGACTGGCTGTGGTGTGAGTGAGGAATGGAGGATTGGCCTTCAGGCGCCATCGTTTCTGTTGCTTGAAGGTATTGAGTTCTTTTCAAAACATCCCTGCTTATTTGTTCAGATGGGAACACGGAAGGGAGGCAAACTACCTTCTTTTAGCAAAGAGACAAGACAGCAGGTGGAAGACACTGAGAACATTGGCGAGACTCCTGGGCTACTCCCTGCAGGGAGATGCAGGAGCAGCTTTAAGGGAATGAGAGAAGGGAGATGTGGAGGGACCTGCAGGAGGTGGGTAGGGCAGAGAGAGAGGAGCTGGGGGTGGAGAAAACCCTCAGGCCCAGGAGCTACATGAGCATGGTCCCTTTCTTGTGGGGTCGCCGGCCAGATGGAGACTCTGAGATGGCCATGGATGTTGTTTTGGAAGAATGAATCTACTCCCACATTTTCATGCAGTCTCAGGGTATTGAAGACTCAGTCCATGGATGGGCTGGTCAGGAAATCCTGCAACTCGGGGTTGCTGTGGCTCCCAGGTATGCCCTCCTCCCCAGGTACAAACTCCTCCCAAACAGCAACTCCTGCACCCGCATCTTCTGGGTCAGCTGTGGGTATGGGATCCCCTTCTGCCGAGGCTGAGGGCCCTACCCCTGTCATAGCCCGATGGTCTGATTCTACCCCCCCCAGTCACCCAGCCCTGTGGCTTTTCAGCACCCCTGCCTGTTCTGGGCACTGAAGGGCACTTTCCGGTGTGTCTGGAGATGTGGCAAGTGGCTGGTTGATCAATTTCTGCTTTCTGGGTTAGTCTTAACCTGTTAGGGGTTTCAGCTGGATGTGTGTCTCTGGGAGTCGGGGGTGAGAGGCATCCTGATGTGGCCTGAGGGATGGTTCTGTGAGGTACTCAGGGTTTGATTGCACTGTGCTGTGGTTTTCCAACATGACAGTCCATGAGCTGGATCGGGAGTTTCGATTCTTTTGTCTCTCAAGAAAGGAGAATAATGCCTCTGTTCCTGGTGAAAATAAGATGACTTAGTATACAGAATGGCCTTGCACAGAGATCGCATGCGGTAGGTGGTCATGGTTACTGAAGTCCATTAAGTCACTGGGCAGTGTAGACGCCAGGCCCACAGCCAGCCCCTCTGTGTAGTCTCCTGATTCAGTCCCCCAAGCCCTTTGCAGTTCCCCAAACTCTGCCAGTCACAGCTGGCTAGCCCAGCCTGCGCCCTGCTGCTCCTGGGGCCAAGTGGCTGTCCTCATAAACCTCTGCTGGGGAAAGCATCTCAGAGGTCTTCAAACTCAGCCTCCAGCCCAGCTCTGTCCAGTACGGATCCCTTCATACTTCTGCCCTATGATCCGCACATCCTCTCTTCTGTATCCACAGAACTGACCCTCCTCCATCCCCTAGCAGGTGCCTCAGGGACCCCACAACATCATAAGGACCCATTAGGCATTAGATGCCGAGTCCATGGTTCTTTTGCCTGTTTTCTCACTGGGCTGGAGTCTCCAGGCTTGCCCAGCTGCTGCCCCTCCTCTGCCACCCCAGGCCCCCAGCCAGTCTTTGGGAGGGTAGAGTGGGCTGTGGACAAGCCCTCCAGGCTCAGTGTTCCTCATGGGGCAGATTCTTTCACTTACAACCTTCGTAAAGGCAGCTGCAGGCTTTCCTCCTGTAACTGATCTCCAGGCAATTATAAGAGTAAAAAGTGTGGTTTTACCTTATTAGGTTACTTCTATTTTCAGCATGTACCCAAAAATGCACCACGGCACTGTCAGGCGTGGGTTGTCCCTGACAAGGAGCCTGTGGGGACCATGAACCTTGGCAGAATCTGCCCCCACCCCCTGACGCCCACAGGCACGCCCGGTAAGCTGAGAAGGCCGCCTTCCCTTCCTGCCTCCCTCCTGCCTCCTTTCTGTTGCTCACCTGAGTGGCTTCCCTGGGATTCTGCAGCCCTGGCTGGTCCCTGAGTCTTGCTGGGTTTCCTGCAGCCCCTCAGGGGCCAGCGTTGCATGCGGCGGGGCCTGGGAGTCAGCTATCTAGGTCTGCTCTATCCAACTTAGTAGCCCTTGACCAGGTGGGACTGGTTACCTTCAGATTAACAGCAACTAAACAAAGTTAACAATTCAGTTCTCCCAGTCAAAGTTTAGGATGATGGCTCCTTTACTGGGCAGTGTGGACATAAAGCACACCTATCATCACAGGGGCTGTCTAGAGCAGAGGCTGTCAGGGAGCCGGTGGAGGTCGGGGGACACCTGAGCACACCTGCACCAGGTGGGGTGGCCTCACTCTGGAGGCTCTAAGCCTGAGGCATCCACATGTGCCCCCCAGGAACCCCTTCTCTTAATGGAGGCCCCCAGCTGCCTCACCCCTAAGGACAGGATGAGTCCAGTGAGGGGGAGGAGAGGCACTCCGTGCTCCACCGGAGGACTTGAGTGCAGGAGGTGCCGTGGAAACCCACAGACTTCCCCGGGGGCAGCGCAGCAGATGGCAGGTGGAGAGGCTCCTGTGGCAGAGGGTGCTGGAAAGGATGCCTGGAAGTGAGCCAGCTACAGACAGAGGAAGCAGGTCCTGACAGGGGACTGCAAGGTTCAAAAGCCCAGCAGTGTCCAGGAGGAGGAGGAGGATCTGGCAGCTGGGAACATGTCCCACTGGCTGTGGGTCGGAGGATGGGAGATGGAGCCGGAAAGTCAGCAGAGACCAGATCTGGAAAGGACATTCTAAGAGCACGCATGGGCCTTACTCTTGAGAACCCCTGGATGCCAGCACCATCCTCCCAGCAATTCACCTGCATGTGCCAAATTTCTGACGCCTGTACCCAGCAGGTCTCCTCTCAGATTTAAGAATGATCAGATCTGAGAGCACAGCCCACAAAGCCAGTGTCTGTGTGCTGAGCATGGCCCACGCCCCCAACCAACCAACGACACACACACACACACACACACACACACACACACACAGCATGTGGTCTGTGTGCAGAGCACACGCGGTTAAAGCCAACCTAAGCCTCCTCGCTGCCCCGCCCGTTCTGCAGGATGGGGATGACTTTCCCTGCTGCTCCGCCTCCCGAAAAATCCCACTCGCAAACACTCAAGCCCCGGAGCCATCATCATCATTCTGATATTTGATGATCTTTAACTACAAATGCTCAATAAATGTTTTTTGAATAACCAAGTGGAGAAATAGAATGATGTTTCCATTTTTATTGCTGAGCATGAGCTCAGCAGGTGTAATGATGGAACCTGCTGTCACAACCAAAGGACAGACCCCAGGATCCAGCTCAATGGGTCCAGTTAAAAGTCGACTTCTTGTCCAGAGAGGGCTGAGCCCCATCAGAACTGCTTGAGGGAGATTGAAAAGTAATCAAAACAGTCCTCCCTGCCTCACCCGGAGCCACAAAATCAAAATGCCCAAGAACAGAGGCCCAGACATTTGCATTTCAAAAGTCCCCCAGGTGACTTTGATGTAATCTGAGCAGCCTGGACCCCGGGGTTCAGCCTGCAGGATTTCTGCCCAGGTATCCCAGCTCCTTCTCAAGGAGAGAATTGAGAAAAGTTGCTTCTGCCTGTGCCCTGGGAGGAAATACAGGGGGATTTGGGTGGGGACTCGGGTGCCTAAGCCCAGCTCCATTCTCTTTTTTCTGAGGTCCTTTAGAATCCAACAGGAGTCCAGTGGTGAACAAAGTGCTAGCCAGTGTCTCGGTGAAGGAAAACTCACCCTCTCCCCTGCCCAAGTGCAGGGCTGCCTGGGAAAAGCGGACAGAAGGGTGGCTCTGTCAGGGGCCTTGTGCACTGTGAGCCTCCCCGTGCACTTGTGAGGCCAAGGACAAGTCCATCTGTCCACCCCAAAGCCACGCAGTCGCCATGAGCATGGAAGCTGGAGCCTTATCAAACTCCCAGCAGGGAGAGCGGACAGACAGGGACAGAAACTGGCTCTGTCTGTCTGCTCAGCTGTAGGAAGCAGGGAAAAGAGCTCTCGGGGACAAACATGTCCCCGTCGACATCACCCACTCATGAACTGTGGCCCAAGGAATCTCAGATCTGACCACTCAGATCATCAGCAGCCTTCTTTCTTGGCAAAATAAGCAGGGAAGGGGCTAGAGATAAGGGTGAGGATCCTGCCCTGGATATGACCTCACACATGTGAAGTGAGGGTGGAATGCCCCATCCTGCCAAGCACAGGCTTCGGGGCTCCAGCCTGAAGGTGGGTCAGGGTGAGGGGAGTGGACAGACGCTGGCCACAGCTCAGCCATTCCTCACTCATCTATGTAAAATTAAATTATTCCAGCTTAAAACTGTTGGAACTTGAAGTTATTCTGCGCCTTGGAAGGAACGTGGCTATGAGGCGTGCATCATGTAGCATGCACCTGCAACTTCTGCTTTTTCCTTTCAATGATTAGGAAGGGACTTGTGGCACCAAAGAGAAGACCCCCTCTGGCCATAGCTGCCCCTACAGCATGGGAAAGCCATCTTCCTTGCAATGTAGCAGGCTGAAACCAATCAAGTCACTAAAACATATGCATTGAGCTCATGGGGAGGTGATGCACATTTTTTTAAAGCTTGAAGTTCTGGGATACGTGTGCTGAACATGCAGGTTTGTTACATAGGTATACGTGTGCCATGGTGGTTTGCTGCACTTTTCAACCGTCACCTATGTTTTAAGCTCCTCATGCATTAGGTATCTGTCCTAATGCTCCCCTTCCCCCTGCCCCCCACTCTGCAACAGGCCCCAGTGTATGATGTTCCCCTCCCTGTGTCCGTGTGTTCCCATTGTTCAACTCCCACTTATGAGTGAGAACATGCAGTGTTTGGTTTTCTGTTCTGTATTGGTTTGCTGAGGATGACGGCTTCCAGCTTCATCCATGTCCCTGCAAAGGACATGATCTCATTCTTTTTTATGGCTGCATAGTATTCCATGGTGTATATGTGCCACATTTTCCTTGTCCAGTTTATCATTGATGGGCATTTGGGTTGGTTCCACACCAAAAGCAATTGCAACAAAAGCCAAAATTGACAAATGCAACCTAATTAAACTAAAGAGTTTCTGCACAGCAAAAGAAACTGAACAGGCAACATACAGAATAGGAGAAAATGTTTGCAATCTACCCATCTGACAAAGGTCTAATATACAGAATCTATAAGGAGCTTAGACAAATTTACAAGAAAAAAACAAACAACTCCATCAAAAAGTGGGCAAAGGGGCCAGGCACGGTGGCTCACACCTGTAATCTGAACACTTTGGGAGGCCAAGGTGGGCAGATCACAAGGTCAGGAGATCGAGACCAGCCTGGCCAACATGATGAAACCCCATCTCCACTAAAAAATAAAAAATAAAAAATAAAAATTAGCTGGGCGTGGTGGTGTGCGCCTGTAATCCCAGCTACTCAGGAGGCTGAGGCAGGAGAATCGCTTGAACCTGGGAGGCAGAAGTTGCACTGAGCCAAGATTGTGCCACTGCACTCCAGCCTGGGCAACAGAGCAAGACTCTGTCTCAAAAAAACAAACAAAAAAAAAGTGGGCAAAGGATATGAACAGACACTTCTCCAAAAACGGACATTTATACGGCCAAGAAACATATGAAAAAAAGCTCATCACCACTGCTCATTAGAGAAATGCAAATCCAAACCACAATGAGATACCATCTCACGCCAATTAGAATGGCGATTATTAAAAAGTCAGGAAACAACAGATGCTGGCAAGGCCATTGAGAAATAGGAATGCTTTTATACTCTTGGTGGGAGTGTAAATTATTTCAGCCATTGTGGAAGACAGTGTGGCAATTCCTCAAGGATCTAGAACCAGAAATACCATTTGACCCAGCAATCCCATTACTGGGTATATGCCCAAAGGATTATAAATCATTCTACTATAAAGACACTTGCACACGTATGTTTATTGCAGCACTATTGACAATAGTGTTGCACATGTTAACTGCCTGTAAAGGAAGCTTTGGCCTCCCCACTTTGGAATGATGTCTGATGTTCTTCAAGTCTGTGTTTCCCGGGGGGAGTATTCTCAGTCTCTGTACTCAAACTCTGTACTTAATCTTATTTTCTGAATCTCATGATTTAAGGCTGACATCTAGAACCTGGAACTGCTTTCCTGTGATTCATTTCTTGGTCCTAAATGGGTCTGATACAAGTTTCGCCTTAAGGAACGGTCTAGGAAGTTGGGTGCTGGTCATTCTAATTTTGACTCTAGGTGCCCCTGACTTGGTGAAGTGGGAAAGGGAAGGGACCTTTCTGGTGCACCAGGCCCATTCCCGAACGGGGCTCCTGTGGCCAGCATTAGCCAGTGCCCTCCGTCTTTCTCATCTGGTCCAGTGACACTCACATCTGGGGAATGGGCTCTCTCAAGTTCCTCAAGGACTGCTCAGGCGGGTGGTGGTCACTGGAGTGATCACGGCACATTCATTGTTGGACACTCTTACGTGTATATCCCTTTTAATATCCCCGATAACACTATGGGGACGGACCATTGTTTCTTTTTTGTTTGTTTTTGAGATAAGGTCTCACTCTGTCACCCAGGCTGGAGTACAGTGGTGCGATCTTGGCTCACTGCAGCCTCCGTCTCCCAGGATCAAGGAATTCTCCCACCTCAGCCTCCCAAGTAGCTGGGATTACAGGGGTGCAGCACCATGCCCGGTTAATTTTTGCATTTTTAGTAGAGATGAGGTTTCACCATGTTGGCCAGGCTCATCTCGAACTCCTGACCTCAGGTGATCCACCCGCCTCGGCCTCCCAAAGTGCTGGGATTACAGGTGTGAGCCACCATGCCCACCACCACGCCATTCTAATTGGCGTGAGATGGTATCTCATTGTGGTTTGGATTTGCATTTCTCTAATGAGCAGTGGTGATGAGCTTTTTTTCATATGTTTCTTGGCCGTATAAATGTCCGTTTTTGGAGAAGTGTCTGTTCATATCCTTTGCCCACTTTTTTTTGTTTGTTTTTTTGAGACAGAGTCTTGCTCTGTTGCCCAGGCTGGAGTGCAGTGGCACAATCTTGGCTCAGTGCAACTTCCGAAGCCTCCCGGGTTCAAGCGATTCTCCTGCCTCAGCCTCCTGAGTAGCTGGGATTACAGGCGCACATGTTTCTATTTGTCAGATAAAAAAACTACTGCTCGAGAAGACAGAAAGATGTTGATTAAGAAAACATAAAGTCTGAAGTCTCAGTTATGCAGGCTGATGAAGTCGTGGGGCTCTAATAAACAGGATGGTGGTGTTAATTAACAAAACTGCATTGTATACTTGACATTCGCTAAGGAAGTCGATCTCAAGTGCTCCCCCCACCAACACACACCCACAAAAATAATTACATGAGGTGATGGCCATGGTAATTAGCTTGATGGTGGCAGTCACTTCACAATGTGTACACACATCAAAACATCACATTGCACATCTTAGAATACATATAATTTTTATTTGTCAATCTTAACTCAAGAAAGCTGGGGAGGGAAAGAAGACGGAATTAGATAATGCCTCCAACATTGTCTAGCACATACATAGTCAGCGTTCAGTGACATTTCAATGAGCAACATCATCGTCTTCATTGTCATCATCATCTTCATCAACCTGCTGCTCTGGGATGTCTGATGAAATTTCCAAAGTAAGGTTCTCGATCACGAAACATGAGCTTGTTCCTGCCTCTTGGGGAATGACTGCAGGGTGTGTGACTCTGCTGGGGTGGTACACGCCCTTGGTGGGTGCGGGTTCGTGGTGCAAGCTGGCAGATGCCAGGTGAGACCCACCCCTCGCCCTCAGGTACTGAGCCCCACCTCGGTCCTTGTGAGGTCTGCCCTGAGGCTGGTTGCCTCTGCCAAGCATTTATTTTTTTCATCCCTAAGGAAAACTCACACTCACCTTTGCTGAGAACTCCATTTATTTTTATCTGTTATTTATTCTCCTGACTCATGAAATTGCACCCTTCAGGATGCCAGTACAAAATGTTTTAAAAAATTAGTAAAAATGCATGAAGTGGATGAAAGATGTTAGGCTTCTTTTATCTTCCAAAATATAAATTTAAATACTTTCACTTTATGATCCCCAGAGGAAGAATTAAATAAAAAGTAAGCACAAAAATTTTTATCAAACTCTTACTCCTTCCAACTTAAATGTTAAAAGTAAAAACAAAAACAGAAAGAGGAAGACCTTGGCCCAGCACAGGAGCGTGGTTCTCAAGGCGGATGAGACGGGCCCCTGACGACCCATGGAGCTGAGACCTCGTGACCTTCAGTCCTCACTCGGTGCCTCCCACATGCAGGTGGCAGCACAGACTGTCTGCCCTGGCTGTGGCACTGGACGCGAGGACGGATAAGCATCAGGGCTTGTTGGGGTCAAGAGGTGGACAACACCCCCAGCCCAAGCGTCCACACTAGGCTCTGTCCAGCGAGGATGTGCTGGCCAAGCGGCTGCCCTCACCGAGAGAGGCAGCACAGGAAGACAGCCCCCATGTACCAGAGCCTGCCAGGGAGGCAGATGAGCTCATGTGGGTGCCCGTGGCAGCACACAGGGAAGTCCGAGCCAGAAGGTGGAAACAGGTTCATGGAAGGCCACTTAGAGCAGGGCCTCCCAGCCACCTGGAGCCCCCCACCCCAAGCCCCGTGCCCAGCCCAGGACCCTGCAGGCCTGAAACTGGGGCGGGGGTAGGTACCCAGCTTCTCCTGTGGGCTCATTCACTAATAATTCCTAGAGGGGCCAGGGGCTGGCAGGCTGAGGTTTTGTTTCAGAGCATCAAGGGAAAGAAATGGGCTGGAAGAGAAGCAGGAGGGAAAAAGAAGCTTTAGATGGGAAAGCCTGGGAACAGGTCAGAGAAGCCAGGCCCCCTTCCCAGGGCGAAGGCAGCGATGGAGACCTCATCAGGGCGCTGGTTAGCCCAGGAGTCCCTCCTCTCCAGAAACAGCCCTCAGTGCTGCCGTGGCACACAGAGGATGGGAGGATGGGAGAGACGAGGGTCAGGGAGGCCACCAGGGGACGGGGCTGGACTCCACGAGTGACAGCCATGGCGGGGGCGAGCCGGGCAGCCTGTCGCAGAGCCACAGCTTCTGGGGAAGGCTTCCCTGAGCCTGGTCCCTCATTTGTGCTGGTGAAATGTCCCATTTTGCTGAAGAGGAGACGGACATGGAAGCCTTTGTCTTTAGTTCACGCTTACAAGTGGCACGGGGACGTGCCGGGGGATGAGTCCTGGAGGGGCTCCGGGTGGAGGCTTCCCGGCTGTCCCTGAATTGAAGCACAGGAAGGCGGCAGGGGGTCTTGGGAGGTCAGAACTAGAAAGTGCCTTCAAGATCTTCGTCCCAACTCCCTGTCCCCTAGACAGAAAGCCTCAGAGCTGAGGAGCTACGCTGACTCATCCAAGGTCAAAAGGGAGCTGGTGGCAAAGCCGGGGGACCCCTTGGCTTCACAACGTGGTCATCACAGGCCCTGATGGCATCAGGGCAGTTCACCCCCAAAGCGACTCGGGACACATATTGTGACGTAGTAGGGACTGGGGAAGGGGAAGCGAGTATGGTGGCTCAGATGAAGTAGTTAAAAGCAGAAAACGGGTAACTGCAGAAGTGCTGGTTGTGGGGGGATTTACGCTTCTTTTTCCTCCAAAGCACCTTGTCCTGGAAGTGCCAGGTGCCCTCTGGGAAGGCCCCACTTAGATTGATTTCTCTCTCTTTGGGCACTTTCAAAAGGTCCTCTCCAAAGCGCAATCCATCGACTCCGCCAATCTGTCACCAGGCAGCTCTGGGAACGGAGCCAGGGACTTGCAGGTGTGGCCTCAGCAAAAAGATGAGCAGGGTGGTGCCTCTGCCAGGGAATCGCCTCTGCCAGGGAATCGCCTCCGAGAGCTGAGCCCTAAGGCACGCTGGGCCCCGGCCTGATGGCGCAGAGGGAGGCTCCCCACCCTCCACTCCCTGGCTTTGTGCTTTGGGGCCAGGCACCTGTGTGGGGTGGGCTTCCCAGGACACAAAGGCTAGATTCAGTGAAAGTGATTCCTTGGTCAGAGGGAGATTTTCAGAGGAATCAATGGCTGTGCGCTTCACTGTCTTAAAGTGGTCTATGCCTCCTGACTACTTTCATGCTAAAGCCCATCTCTCAGCCTAAGGTTGAGGCCTGCAAATGAACTGGTCTTATTCTCCTGTGCGGATAAGCCACCTGTCAACCCCCGCTCCCCAAAATACACACCCAGTGCCATCCCCTGCTGATACCTCAGCTCAACATGCATTCCCAAGTCCATGCCCGCTGGGGAGCCCTATCTGCCCCATAAACCCCCCATCAGCCACGACCTTCACCAGGACAATGCGGGGTGCCGGGTGTCCTCCCCAAGCTTCTCAGATGCAGGTGCTGCCTGAGACAGCAGAAGGGAGGATGGTTCTGAAGGAAGCGTAAGCGGGGGCATCAGTCACGAAGCTTGGCCACAAAGAAAGTGAACAGCGGGAACCGAGGCTGTGGCTTTCCAGGGACCAGCAGCTGCAGGGGTGGGGCACGCGGCATGGATGGGGGCCACGGACAGATTTGGAAGGCAAAATCTGCTGAAAAGTTTAGAGAGGATAAAGCGGGGGGCTCTGATTTAGATTAGCCGTGGCCTGGGGGCACACAGCCCACCCAACTGCTTCTGCACACTGGCTCCTGGAAAGGGAAGCAAGTTGGGGCTGGGGAGGGGGCTGGAGGGCCCTGGCTATGACAGCTGGGTCTCCTCAGGACACCGAGGGCACATGAGGCAGCTGCAGGGGTTGAGCACCCCCAGACAGGTGGCCCAGACCTTCAGCCTGGGTAGGAGCAGGAGGACACTGTAGCATCCTTGGCCCCCCGCCCCCTTTTCACTCCACCGCCCTACGTGTGGATGAAGAGAAAGGACCTGGGAGGAGAACTCCAGGAACCCCAGCTCCTCCTTCACCCTCGGCTAGAGTGGGGACCAAGAAGGGCCTGTGCTGAGGCTGCCACACGGCCTGGCCTGGGAGGAGACAGCAGGCTAGATCACAAGGACCACTGCTGGTGCATGGCCCCCATAGGCTGTGAGCCACACACAGGTGGGGAGGGCAGGCCAGGCCAGGGTTCCTTGAGCACCGACCACGTGCTGGACGCTCTCCTAAGTGTCCTCATCTCATTTGAGACCCGCAGGAACCATGTGGGGACCCTGTACTCTGACAGTGTGAGTAAGTCCTGCAGCCAGTGCCTGGTGCAGCCAGAAAGCAAGCCGGGGCCATCAGAGCCCCAGGCAGGACACTGAGCAGCTGCCGTGGGAAGATGCCGGATAGAGTTTCAAGATTTACAGCATTAATTAGAACTCCTGTATTATTCAGAATCGATATCGCGGCTGGCCTCCATTTTTTAAGACTTGAAGTCAGAGGAATTCTGTATTCTTCTTTCCTAACAGTCAGCCGAAGCCACTCATCTCAGGCTGAAGGGGGGTTTTCTTCTTGTCGGGGGGATGTCCCTGGAGGAAGACTTTCCCTCTGGGGTCTCCCAACACAACATAGACAGAGAACCAGCCGAAAACAGGAGGCCACCCCTGCAGGCCAGAGGGAAGGCGCCCTGGAGTCTGAGCCGAAGCCTCAGGCGCATGGAAGGGCAGCTCAGCCCCAGGCCTCCGATGGTGGAAGTGATGTCAATGCTCCAGATAACACTTGTCCCGGTTTAAAAATCACTCAGCCATAGATGCAGGATTGAAAGGTCAACCCTCACTCCCTGCTAAGACTTCCTAAATTTTAGATGAACTGAAATCCATCTTAACAAAGTCTCCCTCAAGACAGAAGCATTCTGGACTTTGGATGGAGCAGGGAGCAGCCTGGGCGTGGGTGCTCATGATGCTGCTTGGGGCAGGGAGAATGGGGGACCTGGGGGCCTCAGGTGGGAGGAATCAGGACAGGCTTGGAATGAGGACCATTTCCAAGACAGAAGCACAGACTGCATGCATTGGCCAGAGAGGCTGGGAATCCAGAGAGACCTGGGATCCCCCAGCATCCTTTCTAGGCCCTGGTTTCTGCGTTTGTGAAGTGGGGAATTAGTTCCTGGCCAGGAAGTTGCAGCGAGGATGGGATGAGACCCCGGCAAAGCATGCGGCGCTTAGCAGGCATCCCGTGACATGGGTTCCTTCCCTCCCTCTCTCCCTACCCACTGCAGAGTTTCCTCAAGGGAAATTCCTCTGGCCAAGTGTTATGTGGGGCCAATGGGTGATGTTGGAGCTGGCGTCTGTTGGCACCTTACAGGGCACCATGGTACATTATGAATGTGGCTCCTGGCTGGAAGAGCCGGGTTCAGGAAGGGCAACTTCCCAAGACAGAGTTGCCTGCAGCTCAAGCCAGGACTTACACCTGGCTCTGCCCAAGTAGAAACCAGGCTCGTTCCCACCTGGGTGTTTCAGGGGAACCAGCCAAGGGCCTGACTGGGGACAGGAATGGGCTGTGGGCCACCCCTTGCCACCCATAGCTCATGATGTCACTGGTCACACAATATTAAAGCACTTAAAATAAGTAGTGGGCCCTCAAATACCTTAACTTGTGTTTCTAATTAAAACAGGAAACAAGAGTCAGAGAAGAGAGGTATTTAGGGGCATTCGTGATTGAGGTGACTTCCTGGAAGAATGGGCCATAAACCTGCCTGTAACAACCCGTAATGCAAGGCCATGTGTCCAGGAAGAGCGGCTGCAGGATTCAAGGGCCAGGGAAATCCATGGGAGGACAGCATCCACCCACCTGGAGATGGCACCGCCCAGGGCGCCAGGGTCCCCACAATGTTTATACCCCACAAATTCAGGTGTTGAAGCCTTAGCCCCCACTGTGATGGTAATTAGGAGGTGGAGCTTTGGGGAGGCAGTTGGGGTTAGAAGAGGTCATTAGAGTGAGGCTTATGCAATGGGATTCACGTCTTTATACAGAGACATAAAGAGTTCCCCGCCTCCCCTCCATGAGAGGACACACCTGTAAACTAGGAGGTGGAGCGGCACCAGGACCCAACCCTGCCACACCTTGATCACAGAGTTCCCGCCAGCAGGGCTGTGAGAAAATAAACGTCTGCTGTTTGGGTCCAGTCTGTGGCCTTTGGCTATGGCAGCCCCAGCTGAGGAAGGCACAGTTACAGGGAAGTCTTTTGAGAAGAGGGCCCTCCAGCTGGGTCTGGAAGGGTGGAGAGGGCATCTGGAGGCAGAGCCACCGTGCAAAGCAGGTGGTTACCAGGGTGGGTGCTGGGGTGTCCTAGAGGTCCCCGCTCATGCTGGCAGAGGTTCCAGGAAAGAGACAGAGACTGGCTTCTCCTGAGGACTAGGGAGGTGTCCGAGGATGCATTTGGGGGTTCACTGGCAGTTGGTCTGATCAGAGAATCGGGAGGGCATTTGGGGAAGGAAGAAATGAGATCTGTACATCACGGTGTATGGTGCCCACCACAAGCGTGGGACGGTGAGGTCTGCTGAGGCCAGCAAAGCGGGTTGGGGAAAGATCTTAAATCTTGGGAGGTCTTCAATTCCATCATCAGAATTTTATAATTTATAGAGGAAGGGAAAGAGGATGAGGCATACCTTTAAGCAGAGAGATACCTCTCCTGAGCCTCAGTTTCCACGTGCGCACCATGGTGTCAGACCCACCAGAGCCCACAGAGCTGGAGCTTCCATCAATCTTGCACTCTGAGGGTTTGCACTCTGAGGCCGGGAGACCAGAGTAAGGGGGTTGACAGAGACGCCTCTTGCAAAGGTAACTTTCGGGGCACAGCCATGAGGGAGGGCGCTGGTGTCTTCAGTCTGAGACTCCACAAAGTGACGCTCTTCTGTGAGGGACCTGGGTGCAGGATGGCCAGCGATGGCAAGTTCTGGGCCAAAATTCATGTTCTCTGGTGACCGTCCCAGCCCCCAGGTGACAGAGAAATCACTGGACTGAACGTCATTTCCAATGCAGAGTCTAATTATGATTCATGGTGTGTATCTGTGTTCTCGTGAGACTGTTATCAAGTCTCCTGAAATGGAGCCACATTCTCAGGGTGAGGAGAGAGGTGTTACCTACATCAACCCCACCCTGCGTCTGTCTCCTCCCCCCAGGCCTGCTGTCTGGTTTGGAGAGGGGCCTTGATAACTGGAGTCATTGCAGCCTTAAAAATCTCTGCCCATATTAATTGACTCACCCCAAGTAGAGAGGGGCTGGCAGATAACGCTTTAATATAGAAAGAGGCGCTTCCATTTTAATGAGATCGTAGCAGCCACCTGCGGAGCCCAAGGCTGGAGCGCCTCATTAGCAAGAGTAGAGCAGCCTAACTTTGAACTTGAAAATCGTTACAGAACTTGGGCTTCAAGTACTTCCCCAGAGACTTGGGGTTTTCTTTGCTGTTCTAATAGGAAATCTTCTTCCAAATGAGTTTTTCTATTTTTAAAATGTCTGGAAGAAACTACAAAGTGCAGGATTCTACTCCTCTGCAAGGTGGAGACTGTGAAAATATGTTGTTAATTGTGCAATTATGCACAATCCACTGGGACGGCAACGTGGGACATGGACTTCAGGATCTTTTAAAGAAGATGTGATGTGAGTTTTGTGCCAAATCAGCACAGGACACGTTTCTTTAAACCAGCCAAAGATTCCATCAGCCAAGTCCACGTGAAGAAACCCATCTCAACCCATCGAAAACAAAAGGAGGTGCTATCTCTCTGAAAGTGATCCAAGAGGAAAGCAAAGCCTCTTTTCAAAGGTGTGGGGAGAAGAACTTTGTGTTTGTTTGTTTGTTTGTTTTTTGGGTTTTTTTTAAATTTTATTTTACTTTCAGTTCTGGGATGCATGTGCTGAACGTGCAGGTTTGTTACATAGGTATACACGTGCCATGGTGGTTTGCTGGACCTATCAACCTGTCATCTAGTTTTTAAGTCCCGCATGCATTAGGTGTTTGTCCTAATGCTCTCCCTCCCCTTGCCCTCCTCCTCTTCAACAGGCCCCGGTGTGTGATGTTCCCCTCCCTGTGTCCATGTGTTCTCATTGTTCAACCCCCACTTATGAGTGAGAACATGCCCTGTTTGGTTTTCTGTTCTTGTGTTAGTTTACTGAGGATGATGGTTTTCAGCTTCATCCATGTCCCTGCAAAGGACATGATCTCATTCTTTTTTATGGCCGCATAGTATTCCATGGTGTGTGTTTGCCATATTTTCTTTATTCAGTCTATCATTGATGGGCATTTGGGTTGGTTCCAGGTCTTTGCTATTGTAAGTAGTGCTGCAATAAACATATGTGTCTTTATAGTAGCATGTGTCTTTATAGTAGAATGATTTATAATCCTTTGGGTGTATACCCAGTAATGGGATTGCTGGGTCAAATGAGATTCCTCAAGGATAAAGAACATTTTTAAATGAACGATTGGGAGGAAGTTTCTAGACTAAATCCATGCACGCTTGGCTTTCCTGGTGACAGGTGAGGCAAGTCCTCGCCTCAGCACTCCCCACATGCTCAGTGTCCACTCAGTGTCCAGCAGCTCTCAGAAGCTCCCCTGTGTCCTCTGACAGGGGTACAGGCCAGGACCCCACATACCATGCACAGTGAATAAGTAAATGAACGCACAAGGAGGGGGTTGTAATGTGGAGCTGTGTTCCTCCATATCTCAAGCCAGAGTGGATTTGATGAATGGTTTTGAAAAGATGCAGAATTTCCTGTGTGAGTCGGAAGGCTTATGCTTGAAATATTGAGGTTTTCTTGACACATTATTTGAAAATAATTATTTAGATAAATATTAATCTTGGATGACAAAGAAGCCAAAAAGCACAAAGAACACCAATAAAGAAGGAAGGTGGCCAGGCGCAGTGGCTCTCACCTGTCATCCCAGCGCTTTGGGAGGCTGAGGCAGGTGGATCACCTGAGGTCAGGAGTTCGAGACCAGCCTGTCCAACATGGAGAAACCCCATCTCTACTAAAAATACAAAAAATTAGCCAGGCAAGGTGGCATGTGCCTATAATCCCAGCTAATCAGGAGGCTGAGGCAGGAGAATCACTTGAACCCGGGAGGCGGAGGTTGCAGTGAGCCGAGATTGTGGCGCTGCTCTCCTCCATCCAGCCTGGGTGACAGAGTGAGACTCTATCTCAAAAAAAAAAAAAAAAAGAAGAAGAAGAAGAAAGAAGAAGGAGAAGCAGAAGGAGAAGAAGAAGGAGGAGGAGGAGGGGGAGGAGGAGGAGAAGAGGAAGAAGAAGAAGAGGAGGAGGAGGGAGGAGAGAAAGAAGAAGGAGGAGGAGGGTGATTTTTGTCATGTGCAGACGCTTTGTCGTGTGACTAGACGGATGTATATGGTTGCATCTTTGGACAGACAACCTCAATCTCTGTGCCCTACTCTGCCTCATCCAGAGGACTGTTGTGACTAAACATTTCACTCATTAAATGTTTCCTGAGCACTGAGGCCACTTTGTTCTTATTATACTGCATTGTGCAGAAAATGCGAAGTCAATAAAACACATCTCTGGCCCTCAAGCCCATCGTGGGACACAGAGGGGATGACGGAGGAACTGGAAAGTGATGTGCACAGTGACTGGTGCACTGATAGTCCCGGGCATGGGATGCCGTGAGCACCCCATGTGAGGTCACACTATCTTAGTCAGCTCGGGCTGCTGTAACAAAACACCACAAACTGGGTGCTTGAACAACTGGAATTATTTTTCTCACAGTCCTGCGGGCCAGAAGTCCAAGATGGAGGTGTTGGCAGGGCTGGGGCCTGGTGGGGGCTGTCCCTTTGGGTGGCAGACACCCACCCTCTCACTGTGTGCTTGTGTGGTCTTTCCTTGGTGTCTGCACCTGCAGAGAGAGAGTGAGTTCCCCGGGGTCTCTTCCTGGAAGGGCACTAATCCTATCCCTAAGGGATTCCTAGGCCCACCCCATGACTCCATTTAACCTGAACTAATTCATTTGAGACTCCATCTCCACATATGACCACACTGACGGCGAGGGCTTCAACCTAGGAATTTTGGAGGAAACAAACACTGAGTCAGGAACAAAAAGCCAGGCAGGCTGGAAGAAAGAGGGACACAGAAGGTTTTGCAGAAGATGACAGGTTCTTTTGGGCCAAGGCTACATGCAGAGCCCAGAGTGGTGGAGAGGGGGTCAGTGACAGAAGACACAGAGCATAACATGAGTGTGAGTGAGTGTGTGTGCACGAATGCATGTCTGCGCTTCCACATGCGTGTGTGATTGCAGATGTGTGTGTGTGAGCATGTATGCACGTGTGTGTTGTAGAAAGAGAGCTGGGCTGGAGCCCAATATCAGAGGTAGGAGTTAAGGTTGCAAAGCCCAGAGATAAAGAGCCACAGAAACCAGACAAAGGAGCTGGAAGTTGATCTTGAAGGGCGTGGTCCCCACTAAAGTGATTTACTAGAGAAGCACTTCAGAGAGATGTCCATTTAAGAAAGAGATTCTGTCTGTAGTGTAATGAACTTGGTGGAAGTGGGCAAGGCTGAAAGCCAGGAAGGCCAGGCCTTGGGCATCCCGCCAGGGTGTATTTTGTGGGATTGTTGTGAGAAGTGCAGGGAATAATCCACATAAAGGGCTGGAGATACCGAACACTCAGCTGGCACAATGATCTTTTTACAGGCCCTTTATTTATTTATTTATTTATTTTTTGAGGCGGAGTCTCACTCTGTCACCCGGGCTGGAGTGCGGTGGCGCAAACTCAGCTCACTGCAACCTCCACCTCCTGGGTTCAAGGGATTCTCCTGCCTCAGCCTCCCCAGTAGCTGGGGTTACAGAGGCTGATTTTTATTATTATTATTTTTAGTAGAGATGGGGTTTCACCATATTGGCCAGGCTGATCTCAAACTCCCAACCTGAAAAGATCCACCCTCCTCAGCCTCCCAAAGTGCTGGGATTATAGGCATGAGCCACCGCACCCAGCCAGACCCTTCATTTTTAAGGTGGTTCGGGTTCATGGAAGGAAGGGTCGGGTATTTTTTAATCCTGGAAAGTGCTGTTCCCACTAGAGTGTCTGGCACAAGGGATGTCCCATTCAGGTTTACAATGGGGAATTATACCTGTATGGTATTGTACCTCGTGGTGTCCCAAAACCTATTGGGGTGATTAATTAGCAGCAATGTAGATCTTTTAGCTCCAGAAATAAACAGCTCTTTCTTATTCTCTGTAGTTACTGGTTTTTGGGGGGGTTTACTAACATGGCTATCATTTTTTTACTCAACACTCCTTTTGTATCATTTTCCTTCTCTCTGAAATAAATACATTAGAAATGTCTGTAGTGGTATAAACTCTATCAGGTTTAATTATCCGAAACATCCTTTACCTTCATTGCTGAATGATAGCATCGCAGTTGAAAATGCTAAGGTGCCTCTTTGAAGACACAACTTCTCCTTCTTTTGGTTTCCATTGTCATGTTTAACATGTGCGTTGTTGTCATAAGTCATTTCCTTGTAAGTAATCTGAGTTCTTTTATCATCTTCTTTGCCTTTGAATTTCATGGTCCTTCACTGATGTAGCTTGATATTAATTGATTTATATTTCTCCAGGTTGGAATTAGGCTCTCAGTCTATGAGGATTCCTAATTTTAATTAGTTCTAAAAACTTTTTTGGCATTATGTTCAATACTCTCTGGGTTCCATTTTTTTTTCTGTCTCTTCCTCCCTCTCTTTCTTCCGCCCTGTTTCTCCTTCATTCTTTTCTTTTTCTGGAAGTCCTATTGATATGTAGACAGTCTGCCTCACTCTACCTTCCACTCCTCTCAACTTTCCTTTCATATTTCCCGTGTCTGAGTCTCTATGTGCTGCCCTTTGGACAACTAACTGAGACATATCTTCCACTACAGTTGTTCTCTGTTTAGGTATATATATACACAAATATATATACATAAATATATATTATATATAATATATAATTATATAATGTATAAATATATAATGTATAATTATATATTATATATAATATATAAATGTATAATTATATATTATATATAATGTATAATTATATATAATATATAATATATAAATGTATAATTATATATTATATATAATATATAAAATATAAAAATATATAAATATAATTTTTTTTTTTTTTAGATGGAGTCTCTCTCTGTCACCCAGGCTGGAGTGCAGTGGCATGATCTCGGTTCACTGCAAGCTCTGCCTCCCGGGTTCATGCCATTCTCTTGCCTCAGCCTCCCGAGTAGCTGGGACTACAGGCCCCCGCCACCACGCCCGGCTAATTTCTTTATATTTTTAGTAGAGACAGGGTTTCACCGTGCTAGCCAGGATGGTCTCAATCTCCTGACCTTGTGATCCACTCACCTCGGCCTCCCAAAGTGCTGGGATTACAGGTGTGAGCCACCGCACCGAACCCTGTTCAGATATTTTAACACTTGACTTCAGCCGATACATTTGAAAGTAAATGTCATTGATGAGATGTTTCATCTTGAACGTTCTATATGAGATATTCCTTATCTTTTTAATTGTCTTATTCTTTTCATATCTTCACTGAAATATTTATTTTCTAAATTTATTAAACACTCCTATTTTGTGTTCTTTCAAAATATAAAGTCATTGAATGTATAATTCTTCCGTTTGTTTGTTTTCCCTAATCCTGTTCACTCTTGCTGCGTCTTATTTGATTTTACGCTTTCTATGATTCAATTGAGAGATTGTGTTCTTTGAAACCCCATGGATGTCCTGGGAGGTAGTTATTGAAGAGGAGGAGTGGGACCACAAGAAAGAGTGTGTATTTGCATCGACAGTGTACTTGGGAGTGATACCAACTGAGACCAACGTCAACAAATGTATTCACCTGGAATACAGCTCCCCATTCTCAGTGGTTCCTCCTGTTTTATTACTAGTATCCAGAGCAAAGTCCCTCCTGGTATCCTTGAAGGGAAATTGTTTTCCACTCCATTTGTTTTTTCCATGAGGAGGTAGCATTCATTTAAGGGACATAGTTACAGATACTCACCTGGAGCCACTCCCGTGATACCCTCATAACTCAAGTCTCCTGGGTCCCTGGGATAGAAAATACCTTCAAGGCAGCACGCACACTAGCATTCGCTTACTGGACTTGTATAAGGAGGATTTTCTGTACTTTAGTTTAAGCTCCATGATGCTCTTTAAAGGTAAATTTAAAATTTATTTTAGCCTATTTAACTTATAAAGTAGGAGGTTTTCCATGGTAAGTAACCCACCATAGGCCAAAAATGGAAGTTCATCCTTTGGATTTCAGGGTCATCTTGGCCATGGTTTCGTTTATATCTGTTTATCCTCTATGTTGTCAGCAACTCATGTACAGAGACCACAGCCTTTTTAGCTCCAAGTCTCTCCTGCACCCAGCCCAGGGCCTTCTCAGGGTGCTGACTTCAAAACATGAGCATTTACTCATTCATCATGTCTTCACACCTCAGCTGCTTGACATACAAGGTGTAGCAGATGTCACCCTATTTTATCCTGCTGAAAACCTGAGACTTGGAGATTTTTAAGTGACTTACCTATGATCACATAGCTTATGCCTGCCTTGCTGACATCTTGCATTTTTTTTCATGAGACCCTGATAGCTTTCTGCATGCTCTGTCTTCATGTACAAAGCTTTGTCTGTGTCCAGGCAATGTGGTCTATTTATTTTACTACCTAAGATGGGTACAGAGTAAATTGCAGGCGTTAGGTTTACAGCCAGAGGAGCTGTTCATTTCTCAGCACTTTTAAAGCAGAGCTGCTACTGCATTTTCCTGCAGATGAAAAGTTCTTTGAAACTTCTTGAAAAATTTTTGCAGGCTTTGACGGAGGAATAAAATTTGATGAGTAGTGCAGGGGATTTAAAATGGACCATCATCTTCAATGACTCCGACCAGACGATGGGCAATTGCTGCATCCTCATTTCCTCCAGGTCTCTGCTCAATTTCACCTTATCAGTTAGACCTTCCCTGATGGTCCTGTTTGAAATAGCAATCCAGCCTCGACCCTGGCACTCCTCACACCATTTACCGTGCTTTGTTTTTATCTATCTCTTGTACCATCGCCTGATATGCTGTGTATTTTTTTTCTGCCACCTGTACTGGAATGCCAATGCCACAACATTAGGGACATTAGCGTGATGGTTCTTTAATGTATTTCCAATACTGAGGCTAATGCCTGGAACAGAGTAGGTATTTAACACAGTTTAATGAATGAACGATGATGATATAATTTACAAGTATGTGGCCCATTCTTTTAGCCATGATTTCAATGGAGATTCATACTAACCTTCTGAGGCAAGCAAGGAAGAAATAATTGATGGGTGTGTACACTCAGCCAGGAAGCAATAGAGTGAATGGCTGGATCCTGGTGCACTCCATGCCTCTCTGATCCCCAGGGAGTAGGGGAGATGATACTCAGAGTACATAGTCTTACCAGTCTCTGACTCCGTGTTATTGCTCAGTCAGGAGGCTGTCATGGCTCTTAGAGAAACTTTCTGGCTGAGGCATGGATACTTATGCAAGCCTTTGTGTGTCAGTGAGCACCAGACCCAACAGCAAAGTGGCACCCATGTTGAACAGCACCAGTTGGCTGTTCCCTGAATGCACCTGTTGTAAGCGTCAGGGAGGTCTGTAGTGCAGGAGAGGGGCTGTTGCACATTGAGGAAAGATTGCAACCATGGTTCTGCCCATTGATTCTTGAGTGGCTTTGTGTAATACACTAAGCCTCTTTCTACTTAACTTTTCCTATCTGTCATCTCTCAGCTGGTTTCCAGTTCTGAGTTACGGCGAGTGATTAAGGACTTCTTTTCTCATGATGTATTTTTATCAACTCCTGAACATATTTTCCCCTGTGCATGAAGGTGGTCATTCTCTTACTTGGGATCACTCTCTTCCAGTCATAATTTGCACCCCACACATTATTCTTTGTCTCTGTGTGGCACTCACATATATACAAAACCACACACATACACCATACACACACACACACACATGCACACACAATGAGCATACGAAGCCACCTTGGAAGATGCCCCAGAATTCCTCTACCCTCACATGATATGACTAAACTTAATAACAATCGCATATTAAGGGCTGACTGGTCCTAGGCAGTGTATTAAACGCTTCACATTGATTTTCCAAGTTGAGCTTCACAAGAGCATTGCAAGGTCATTTTATTTTCATTCCCATTCAAAGGATGAGAAAACCTAGTCTATTCTTCATGTTGTGAAAAAGCCGTCATTGTGAAGACTCTTTTTTTTTCTTTACTTTCTTTCTTTTTTTTTTTTTGTTAGGCGGAGTCTTGCTCTATCGCCCAGGCTGGGGTGCAGTTGCGCGATCTCGGCTTGCTGCAAGCTCCGCTTCCCGGGTTCACACCATTCTCCTGCCTCAGCCTCCCGAGTAGCTGGGACTACAGGCGCCTGCCACCATGCCCAGCTAATTTTTTTGTATTTTTAGTAGAGACCGGGCTTCACCATGTTAGCCAGAGTGGTCTTGAACTCTTGACCTCGTGACTCCGCCCGCCTCGGCCTCCCAAAATGCTGGGATTACAGGTTTGAGCCACCGCGCCCGGCCGTGAATACTCTTTTTAATGTCCAGAGGTTCAGCCTGCTCATCAAATGAAGTCCAGTTGCTAATGTCAGTGACACACTGCAGTCAGCTCCACAGCTGAGGACAGCTTTTGCTAACCTGAGGGCCTTAACAATGCACTACACAATGTACGACACAAAAGCATTTCTCAGGTTTGTTACTCATTCTGGTCAACGGAACGGAATAAACACTTTCACAAGATTTGGTTGTAAGACTACTGTGGGAATTCAAAACTGTCAAAATAATAAGCCAAAATGTATCAGTATTCGTTCTTTGTTCTCATCTTCCAAAATCCACATGTTTAACCTTACAGATTTTCTCACAAGTCATTTGAAATTCCCAGCTGGAGAAAGAGCCGAGACACATGTCTAAAAATTAGTCGCAAACACATATGCTAACACACCTGTATGCACACATACACGCATACACACACACACGAGTGCACACCTTCATACATGCACACACACAGGTGCACACACTCATGCACACACATGCACGGGCTCCATTGGATTTTGGTTCAGAGCCCTATGGTTTGTGACAATCAGCAACAATTATGAATTGCGATCCGTGAAGGGGGCAGGCCATGGTTGCATGAATTTCAGCATTTATTACAAGGATGCTGTTATGGAGATTTCACCACAGGCCCAGCCAGGCCTCACGTTCTCATATTTAAATATCATTTGGAAGCTGATGAAACTCTGGAAGTGCTCATCTCCCTGTTGGTTCTAAGATTTAGTCTTCCTGGAACTTTTATTTATGTAGCTAAGTGCTGAAATTGAGTCTCAAAGCAGTATTTTATTATATTTCTTGTGGTTGGGGGGCCCGGGTCTGTGGGTCTTGTGGAGCTCTCCAAGGTGCTGAAGCATCTGGTTCTGCAAGAAAACGTTAAAACCAGTGGTTTTCAAATATTTCACTCCAAGTGCAGCTTTTATCACCTTCTTTCTATTAACCCTGTGTTCTAAAATAAAATAGGTCTGAGAGAATCTGAATTTAATGAGTGCTATTTGATAATTTCCCCACGATTTCTTGGTCTAAGTTGTAATTCCGCGGGCTGGGCCTTATGCCTCCAACATTCAATGTGCACGTCCTTCTCTATTTTGGCTCACTGCAACTTCTGCCTCCCGGGTTGAATTAACTCTCCTGTCTCAGCCTCCCAAGTGGCTTGGATTACAGATGTGCATCACCACACCTGGCTGATTTTTGTATTTTTAGTAGAGATGGGGTTTCACCATATTGGTCAGGCTGGTCTCGAACTTACGACCTTAGGTGATTTACCTGCCTCGTCCTCCCAAACTGCTGGGATTACAGGTGTGAGCCACTATGCCCAGCTACAGTTCCTAGCTTCTATATGTACTCAAAAATATTTGTTGAACTGGAATCCAGCACAGATTAGAATTTAACAAACCTGTGTGATAAGCAGGGTGACCATCTTGAGTTGAAAACTTCAGCCACTGAAAATAACATCAACAGTGTGATTAGAAGACACCACTATTTCTTGAGGAAATAAATGCTTGCTGCAAGATACCCTAAAGTCCTTAAGACGAGAGTACTTACATCCTTACACCTTTTGCACAGCCTGATGTGCCAGTGAGAACTCAATTTGGAAAGCCCACACTCAGGCATTCAGGCCTAGGAGGACTCATCGACTCCTGTCACAACCTCTTCCCTGGAGCCTCCCTGTCCTTGCAGCCCTTAGAGGTTACAACAAATGCAATCAAATTTCAGATGGGCTGGATGAGCTGCATGGTCTCAGTTGTATGTGTGTGTCTCGAAGACTATGTGGTAATAAAATTGGAAGAAGAGACCAGAGGTAAGTGTTTTCCAGTTGTCAGGGATGCTCAAGGTTTACAACCCTGGGGAGGTCATCCCTAAGCAGTGGATGGTGCACAAATCCAGGGCACCATCCATGCACACTAGTGGGAGAGGCAAGAGGGCTCAGTCATCCTACCATTGGACAAATATGATGGCCTGACTGCTTTTGGGATACTCTTATTTATTGGTTTGTCACTGGAGAAAGGTTTTATCTTCTCGCCCAAACCATGCTATCTCACATTTCTGAGTTGCTTTGCCTCAAGTATTAATATAAGATGCTTTATTCATTCACATAACATTCCTGAGAAAGCATTTTATGGCAAATCCTAATCAATATATATTTTGGGGGATGGAGAGGACAGTGTTCCTTGGCATCAAAGAAATACAATACTAGTTGGCCACAGAGACCTTTGGGATCTGGAGGACTCTGGGGCAGGCACTTGTTCCGGGGATGAACCTGGATTGACAGTGGTCCTGGTGGGGCTGGACTTTACTGGCAAGTTGTTGAGAACTGGAAATGTGGACTGAAATGGAGGTTGGAGAGACCTGGCAGAAGAGTGGAAGACGGAGCAATGCTCTACACCTGCCAGGTATTAAAACGTGTTTGTTTCATTCCATGAAGTCCATTGTGCAGAAATAGCCCCAGTATTATATTTCATTAATTGCTTTTTGGGAATTCAATATAATGCTGTGTGCATGTGTGTGTGCGTGCGTGTGTGTGTGCAGGCATGCACTCCTGTGTCTGCATGGTTGAAATTTCACATTGCTATTCACAGGCACACACACATACACCTGAGGCAAAAACTCATACGGGTCAAATGATTTGTGTTGTTTACCATCGTGTTTACAATGCACAGGATTTATGCCTAAGGTCTGTTTGCTCTGCTGCAGCATTGGTCCCTGGGGTTGCTGAAGAAACAAGCTTACTCAAAGAAACAGAGACAGGGAGGAAGAAGGAGGAGGGGACAGAATAGATGAAGGGGAGGGGTGAGGACAGAGCCTCAGGCGGGGCTGTGGAAACTTGCGTCTGCAGGTCCAGGCAGTGCCATTTCATCACACCTCCTGGGGCCCAGGTCCCATGTCAGGGGAAGCTCAGCACCCCTCCCAGTGCCCAGGGTGTTGTCAGTATTCCAGATGATCAAGGAGCAAATGCTGCTGGGTCTGCCTTTGTTGAACCACTGAGGGAACAGGAAGGAGATCACATTGGGAATCGAGCCTCTCCACCATCCCCTACTTACCCGCTATACCCAGTGTTTCCTATTCTTGTCCAGAATACTGGCACACTTGAGAGCTGGTGGTCAGTGCAGCTGTGCAGCCCACAGAAGTGTGGAGGGGGTGTGTTGGGAGAGCTGGGGTCAGCTTGTGAGGGGCATCGTTTAATTACTCACTTAGTCACTCAACTGACACTTATTTGGCAGCTACTCTTTACCAAGGAGTCACTGTTACTTATTAGGGTTACTCAAGCAGGTAAAGCAACCTCCTGAATCTTGGACTTTGAGGAGAGGTGGGAAAGTGTCCCATCAGGGAGCAGCCCCACTTTCCCTGCTGCAGTGGGGAGCCAGGTTCTCTGCTCTGTGTTTTTTCTAAAACTCACTCTGGCATATAATTCACATAAAGCTTCACCTAAGTAAGAGGGGACATTCTTTTTTTCTTTATAAAATAAGAAGTGAGAACTTATGGGCCTCAGGATCCTCCTCCACATTGAAGACATAGTGACTTCACAGCTCTGTGATCTGCACTTGGAATAATTTCCTCTGTCACTGTCTCCACTGGATGGTGGCAGTTCATTTGTCCCTCCATCTGTCCACCCATCTGTCCATCCACCCACAGACCTCCCGCTTGCCTTCATCCACCCATCTGTAGTTCCCTCCTTTCCTCCCTCTTTCCATCCATTCATTCATCCGCCCACCCATCCATTCACCCATCTGTCCATTCATCAGTCCACCCACCAGTCTGTCCATTTATCCATTAATCCATCCATCCATCCGCCCATTCACTCACCCATTCATCTATCCATCCATCCACTCATCCATCCATTCACCCATCCATTCGTTAATCTATGCATTCGCCCATGTATACATCCATTTATTCACTCACTCCCCCATCCATCCATCCATCCATCCATGCATCCATCCATCTGTCCATCTGTCCATCCATCTGTTTATTCACCCACTCATCAGTTGATTTATCCATTTATTTCTCCACCCAACCATCCATTCATCCATCCATCTACTCACCCACCCAACCACCCACCTGTCCATCCATCCATCTTCCCACCCACCAATCCACCTGCCTACCCACCTATCCTTCCATCCATCTATCCATCCATCCATCCATTAATCTATGCATTCACCCATGTATACATCCATTTATTCATTCACTCCCCCATCCATCCATCCATCCATCCATCCATCCATCCATCCATCTCTCTGCCTGTCCTCCAATCACTCACCCAGGCTTCTATCATCCCTCTCTCCTTCTCTTCATTCTTTTTCACACTAAGTTAATCTGTTCTTCTACCTGGGTAGGCGCTGGGTTTGGGAGGGGTTGGGGAGAAGCATGTGTCCCTGGCTTTCTCCTCTACAAACCAGAAGTTTATTTTGAAGATAAATGTGATTTAATGCCAGTGCATCAGATAGAGCCTGGTGCATGGATGCCACTCAGCCCAGTTACAGGAGGCCAGGGGTTCAGGGATCTGAAAGCCTGCATTCCTCACCTCATGTAACTCTGAAAAGGATCCATTTCAGAAGGGTCCTTGAGCCATATTAACATGGATGATCAGTAAAGATCAACCTACAGCTGCCTGAAGTTTCCCCAAAATCCAAAATGAGAACTTATTTCCTGTGCAGGATACTATCTAGAACATAGAAGCCACCAACGTTCTCCTCATGCCAGCAAATGTCCTGCCCCTCTGGCTGCTGCCTCTGCAGTCTTGCAGAGCAGGAGCTCTCCGTGGTACTGTGGTGGCTCTGCAAGCACCCACACAGGCCAAGCTGGCAAGGGCCCAACCACAGCTAACCTGCGTCAGGTGAGAAGGCCTCCTGACCCTCCTGGAAGAGGGTGCCAGCATGGTGAGGAGCTGCCTCTAGGCATTTGCCATGCACCTCCCCTCCCTGTCTGCCCTGGGGGCTCGTAGGATGCAGATCCTCCTGCCCTCTCGATTCTGGTGATGTGTGGGGCTTCCTGCCTTGCCCTCTTGGGAATGGAGCCACAGATGGTAGACCTGTCTGGCTGCAGCCTGGATTCAAGTCCTCGGCAGAGGGCGAGCCCCAGCTCTGTTGCACTCATGGCCCTTTTGCTTCTGTGTGGCCCTTTTGCTTCCTGTGAGGCAAGGATGGCACCTTAGGCTCCTCTTCCTTTCAGCATCTATGTCAGGAATAAATCTCTGGATCTAAAAGCAGCTTGTGTTTTCACTGGCTGAGGCAGTAAGACCTTGGCCTTGCCTTTTCTCCTGTGTGCTTGTTAGGGACTCTAGAATTTTCTACTCCATGTCCTCTTCATTGAGGGCTGTTTCCTTCCATTTCTGCAAAGCCTCTTCCCTGACCATGACACCTTTAGTTAATTTCACTCATTCTGGTCACTTCAACACTAAATCAATGCTTAATTATTGAGTCAATTATTTAATCTTTCTGGGCTTTAGGAACCATTTAGAGTTGATCCCCTGCCTTTACAATGAAAAGATAACACTCTCTTTCCTCCCTAAACTTCTGTAATAACTTTCTTTGATTACTTTATATAGAGATGCCTTATCCAAATATCAATCTCCATTAGGCTATGAGTGATATCTTTTTCTTTTATTTATCTTCCACAAACCTTAGCACAGCTTTAGGCAAACAGTAGAGGCTTAAATAGTTGGTTTAATTAGTTTGAGCTCTCAGCACCCAATTTTAGTTCTCTGCCCCGGCCCCAGCTATACTTCTTCTTGGAGGCTGGAGCCTCATGCTCCTGTAGGCTATGGCCTTGCACCCAGAGCAACTTTATCTGATCATGATACCAGATTCCATCAAAACCCAAGCAGGTTCTTATCATGCTTCAACACGGCAAGCCTAGGGCACCAGACCTCAGCTTTAAGTTTTCTCTCCCCAAGCCTTCAAAACCCTCTGCCTGCCAGCCCACCTAGCAACAGGTCCTTTTGATTAAATACCTTTCATCCCTTTATATCCTTCAGATTTTACTCTGACCACAGACACAGTTCCTGCATTAAATGAAAAGAATAACAGGTATAACCTTTCAGAATGTGTCACCAGGTTGTAAATCACAGACATTCAGTGCGCTGGGGGAAGTTAGGATCAGGCAGCAGGGTAGGGAGGCCTGTGAGGGTGTGCATGCTGGGTGGGACAGGAACAGCCTCAGGAGAGGGGGGGGTGGCTCTCAGTGTTTGTGGGTGACACCTGCAGATGTCAAAGGGGGCTGTGAGGGTTCGGCCATCAACCTTCAATGTTTGTATCATGGACCAAAAATGCCTGCAGTGACCTATGTTGTAAATCATTTTCTGTGTACATGGATCTCAAATTCATATTAAAAAGAGATCAAACAGACAAAAGCCAAAAATGCCATAGGATAAGTTGAATAATGCTTAGACACCCAGGGTGGACTCACAGAATGTCAGTGGAAGGCCAGGTCACTTCTCAGAACACGTGAGGCTTTGCTGTGTCTGTCCCAAGAAATCCAGACAAGAGGCACAAAGCCGGAAGGATGTGGGCATGTCCAGATACGGGTTTCCAGGGAAGTGGTGCCAGGATCACAACTTAGTGTCTGGATTTCCAGAGCCCCAGGTGCCAAGCTCAATAGTTTCTATCTGATCATGGAGTCATGGGCATCTTCAGGTGCACGGTTCAGCTGAAGACTCCTCAGCCCCGCTTGATAACACACGTGTGCTCCGTGTCTGCAGAGGCCTCTCCTTCTGACTGGCCGAGGTTTCGCCGAGTTCTCGCTTTTTATAGAAGAGCTTCTTTATGTTTCATTTGGAAGCCGGCCTCTGCTTACACTGCGACGTCACTCTGTCATTTTAGGAGCTGCCAAAATGTGGTCTCGCCCCTGTGTGTGCTTTAATTCATGTGAATCCAATTGCACTTCCCTCAGGAGGTTGCTTAATGTGGTGTCAAAGTTGAATAAATAATAAATAGGCCACATCAGGGCTCCCACGTCTGCAGCTTGTGGGGCGGTGCTGGTGGCATCTTTTCCAGGAGCATATGCCGGCTGGAGGGAGAGGGGTGTGATGGCTCCAAGTCCAGTCCGCCCTGCCCTGGATGGACTCCCAGATCTGCCAATCCAAGGATGGGAGGGGCCCCTTCACTTCAGCACTTCTCTCTGTGTGTTTCAATTTAGTGCATGAACCAGCTCTCTTCCCCGCTGCCTGTGTGCACAGGGTCTGCAGCCCTCGACTAGTTTATATTTGGGGGCTGCAGGGAGTCGAGGTGATCACCATTTAATCAAAGGATACTGGACTGACACGATTTGGTGGGACAGAAGAAAGAGCAAGCCTTCTTGCTGTCTTGAGAGCAGGTGCCCAGAGGACAGAATGACTTAATTGGGCTTTTGCTGCCTCGTCTATCAAAGCAAGAGGCAAACCCCTTGGGCTTCTCCTAATTTGTTTGAAAAGGCAGGGCGCAGTCATGGAGTCCTATGAGGCAGCATCTATTAGGGACGTGCACCGTGGGCCCATAATTCTAGGTAGTGGAGGAATAAAGGGGCAAGGGGCTGCTGGGGAAGACATTAGAGAAATAGGTGAGAGGACCCCATTTCAGAATATAGATAGGAAGCAGTGGTTCCAAATCCGCTCTTACTGGTGGCTAGAGTCATGCATGATTTTCAAATTTATAATCATAGAAATTAAAAATAACACACACACACACACACAGCCACTTCCTCCTAAGTATATGCAGCTGTTTCATAGAGCAGGGCTCTATGTTCTAGATATATCATCAGCATTCTTCCCACACATATGAATCCCTAGGCAGAGCCAGGAATGCTCCTGACCCCTGAGCAGTAGCAAAGACCCCTGAGAACTATTCTGAATTTTTATACTACTTTTTGCTCCAAAGAAGGAGTTCTTAACCTGGGGCCCTACATAAGCTTCAGGAGCAGAAGCCATGAGAGCCCCGAATGTCATACAAAACTGTAAGCACCTGCACAGGTGTATTTTCCTGGGGAGAGATTCCATGGGTTGTCCTCAGATCGTCCAAGGTGTGGATGGGGTCTCCAGAGCTGAACCCAGGCTGCCTCCTACACCACTGACAGCCTCTCTGGGGAAGCCCCAGCTGGGTGTGGGAGCTGGGTTCTGCACAGGAGCACACCTTCCGCTAGCATTACACTGCGTTGGCATTTCTAGAAGGCAGCGAGAGATGAATTATTCCACAACAATGGGAGTCTGAGACAATTATTGTCTGATTTCTCTAACTGTGGCGTGGCAGCTCCTAAACCCAAAAGACGGAAAGCAGCAGCCATAAAAGACACATTAAAAGAATATTAAACCACAGGAGCATGGCTACTTCTTGAACAAGAGGCCGCCTCCTCATGGAGTCAGCTCCCGAAAGCAGGGCCAGGGATGATTCACGGGGATCTGAGCTGCTGAGGCTGCTCCTGCCTGCTGGGTGCCCTGACACCCCAACATCTTCAGGCTGGGAGTGCAGTGGTCAGATGTATGACCACCTGGAGTGGCCATGTGAATAGTGTCCAGTACAATCTACTCCAATTCCTTTCCCTTCTCTTCTCTATAAATCAAACCTCTGCAGACCCGGGGATCCCTCCACGTCTGAGCAAATCACCTTGACACCAACACCGAGGACCCTACTGAAAACTGAGTCCCAGAGGCATCCTGGGTTCTGCTGCATCCCACCTAACTATAGAAAAAAACAATGGAGGGTCAGAAAGAAAGTGGGGGAAGCCAAGGCAAGCATGCACGCACATTCTAAAAAACCAAAGACAAGACTACACAAGAGGTTGAGTAAAGCTAAAGTTGGAGCTTCGCAAAGGTAACAATATTAGACAAGAGAAATCAGAAAAAGGCAGAAGCCACCAAAAGCAGCATTAGGAATGACCTCAAAAAAGTGGACACTTTCACAGAGAATACCACTGTGTAACAAAGCTGGCTGAAGAGCAAACAAGAAAATAATGGAAGAGATGGACAGCCAGAAAATACGTCCAATGAGTAGTTCAAGAATTTTCCTTAAAGACCACTCCTCTGACCCTGAAGTCCATAGACCCAGCTGGACATTTTCCCTAGGATGACTCAAGGGTGTGTTGACCTGACCCAAGAACTATTTGGCAATGCCCATGGCCCCAGTCCTCACCCAGCCTGGCACCATCACCATCCATTCCATGTCCAAAGCCCAAAACTTCAGTCACTTCTGACCTCTTCTCGCACCCCTCAGAGCTTCCCTCTAAAAAGGTCTTGGATAGGGGCCCTTCTCATCACTGTCACTGTGCACAGCCTCCTACTTGGGGATGAATGACAGCACTCACCCCACATCCAGCCACTTGCCTGCTCTTCCCAGGCTCCTTTGCAGTTAGGGTGAGGTCATGTGACTCATTTTGGCCAATGATGGGACAGCATAAAGGATGAGGGTTGCTCTAGACAGAGGCAGCCGAAAGCCAGTGCATTCCTTTGTTTCTACCTCCCTGGAGGACAATGGGGCACCCAGCTCAGCTGCAAAGTGGAGGAAGACCACCTGGCATGCATAGGCCTAGAGTGGGCAAGAAATAAGCCTAGTCTTTTGGAGTTTGCTGCTGAAGTGACCCATCTATCCTGCCTTACTTGCCTGGAATTACAATTGTATCTTCCTCACTGGTGTCTCCGCAGCCACTAGAAACTCTCTCCAATTCATTTTTAATAATCTGCTCAGAGTAAACTTTTCTAAATGCAGATCTGGTCTATGTTCATGTGCACACATGCATGTGTACATAGACACACACACAAACACACACACATGCACACTCTATGGTGGCTTCCCATTCTCCTTAGAAAATGGCATCATCCTGTCCATATCCTACTAGGAAATCACCCTACAAACCCCTCAGCCCGCTTGCCCTCACCCACTCTGATGTCCCAGCATTCAGCCTGTGGTATGACTTGGCTCTGTGTCCCCACCCAAATCTAATCTTGTAGCTCCTGTAATTCCTATGTGCTGTGGGAGGCACCTGGTGTGAGATGATTGGATTATGGGAGCAGGTCTTTCTCTTGCTGTTCTCATGAGAGTGAATGAGTCTTACCAGATCTGATGGTTTTAAAAACGGGAGTTTCCCTGCAAAACTCTCTCATTTTTTTGCCTGCCACCATCCGCGTAAGGTGTGACTTACTCCTCCTTGCCTTCCACCATGATTGTGAGGCCTCCCCAACCAAGTGGAACCTCTTTCTTTTGTAAATTGCCCAGTCTTGGGTGTGTCTTTATCAGCAGCATGAAAACAGACTAATACAACTTCTCAGCATCCCCGCTACAGCCCTCATGCACCAGGTTCATCCCCTACAAGCAGTATCTAGCCCCACTCCCCGCCAGTCTGTTCTGTGCACCCATGAAGCCTCCAGATGCCAGCTCAAGCGTTCTCTCCACGCAGAACCCTTCCTTGACCTCCCCACATTACATTTCTTTATTGCACTCTCACTGAACCATGCTTTTACCTTAAAAACTCCTATCTTTGTGTGTCATTCATAATTAATCAACATAATTACTTCTTTGATATCAGACTCCCTTTTAGAGTAGGAACGTGGCTACTTCTGCTCAACTTCATATTTCTTAGTACTCTGCACGTGGTTGAAGCCCAAAAACTCTCTGTGGGATACTGAATACACAAGAACAAAGAGCATAACATGGGGAGTTTCTGAGTCCTTCTACCCTGCTTTGCCTCATGCTTTCCATGGCTGAGCCAATTTGGGGAGGTTTTGTCATCCTGTAGGAAGGACAGCCACACCTTCCTAGTAATGGGCCAGGCCTTCTCCCTAACACAATGCACTGTTTCTAAAATCTGACTCACCTTTTGCAATCAATCTGTCGGTGGAGATTCTCATCACTAATTTTGGGCCTTAGTATGTTGAGCCCATGGGCCAATTCTGAGCCCATGTGCTATCCCATGGTAGAGTATAGAATCTGAGAAGCTACCCAGATCTGTGGCCCATGCAAGGAAGAGGACAAAGAGGACTCCATCCTGCCTCTGCCAGAAGTCCTCTAAGCATGAGACATTTCCCAGAGGGTTGATGGACTGCAATGGTTACCAGGAACATCCACTGCAGAAAGTTGGTCAGGGTCAGGATCCTGGAATTGTGACTTACCAAGTGAACTCATGTTGCACAAGTTTTCTATGCCTTCATCCCTCAACAACAACATCTACCTTAGAAAGTGTTCTGAAGATCAATCAAGCTAATTCACGCATGCAAAGTACTTAGCCCAGTGCCTGGCACAGCCTACTTGCTTAACAAATGTTCGATGTGGTTCCTCGCCACAGTTGGGCAGCTCTGACAATTTTTCCTCTTTCTGAATCCACATCTGTTACCCTGTAATTTCCTTCCATCTGTCTTGTTCCAATCCCTATGGCCACGCAGAATAGACCTGTTCCCTTTGCACATGTCAGCCTGTCAGAGGCATTGTAAGACAGGAATTGTCTCCTTCCAAACCTTGTCTTCCCGTCTTGCACCTGACCCAATTCCCAGGTCAGCTTCACCCCTGTTGAATGCTGCGTCGAGCGCCTGGTGTTGTTTTGTGACTGCTCTTAAGGCTGGGGCCCTTTGCTGTTACCACTGCTATGACAGATTTGGATCAGCCCTCTGCTTCCATCCTCCCTGGAATAGTTATCCTGAGAACTCTCTTTGCATCCCTACAAGATATATTTTTTTCCTATTTTGTTTGAGCATCAGATTTTCTAATGAGATGCAAAATTTCTAAAATTTTCTTCCTGGGAATAAAGTTGGTTTTATGCAAGAACTCAGAAATTGACCCATTCCACGGAGCATCGTGTTTGGATTGTGGGAGGGAGACATTGTGAGAGTTTCCCCCAGAACCAGCACTGAAGAAAATGCCCTTTGCCAGATACGCTACCAAAGGAGCTTAGCAAGGACAGGGGCCAGCTAGTGTTCTCTGGACATGGCCTAAGAAAGTGCAAGGTCTCCTGAAGGGTTTACAGACTTTGGTCTTCTTTTGGCAACTGCTCTGTGATGGTTGAGCCCCCCTGCCGGTGACTCCTTCCCCTGTGGAGGAGACTCTGCATCACCTAATAGTTCCAACGGCGACACGATGAGCCCTGGGGCCTGCACACCCCCAGGGCTTCTCCCTCCATAGGAAGGTCCTGCTGTTGAGTGTGCTCCTCCAGCCTCCCCCTTGGTCACAGGACAAGGGGTTCCACCCCTGCCTCCATGTCTCGTCTCTGCTGTGTCTAGCAGCTGCTCCTCACTCCTCCGCCTTCGCTTCCAGGTGTGAGAGCTGCTGCCCCTTCTCCCTCCACAACTCTGCCTGCAGTTTTCACAGGGCAGGACCTTCCTGAGGCTGAGGTCATCTCCAGGTGGGCCTCTGGTGGATGTCCCTGAACACAGGTGGTTTTCTCCACCCTGCCTTTAAGTAGCGTCACGCTTCTTCCAAACCTTATTACCCATGGCGTCTCACCTGAGGAAGGTTCCCTATGTATCTGTGGGCTTTCCCTATGTGGGGAATCTGCACCGTGGCCATGTGATACACAGCTCATTATTTCCCAAAAGATCTGGGTAGCTTCTCAGATTCTATACTCTACCATGGGATAACACATGGGCTCAGAATTGGCCCATGGGCTCAACATACCAAGGCCCAAAATTAGTGATGAGAATCTCTACCAATGGACTGATTGCAAACGGTGAGTCAGATTTTGGGAGTAGTGCACTGTGTTAGAGAGAAGCCTTGGCCCATTGCTAGGAAGGTGTGACTGTCCTTCCTACATGATACATGCGATACACAGCTCATTATTCTCCTCTTTTCGGAGGAGGATTCTGAGACTTGCGGAGTTGGCAGACTTGCCTAAGGTCACACGTTGAGTTTGTGGCAAGATTTAAATACAAATCTGCTGGCTTGAATTCTAGCAGACCAGGCCACACAAAATCTAACAGACTACAGCACAGTCCGATGACACTGCCAAAGTCAATATCCAGAAGCAGTGCCATTGTCCTTCTCCATTGCAGACAAGACAAAACAGCTCCAGAGGTGTCAAGATGCAATTTCCCAATATCAGACAGCAATGGACAGAGAATTCTAACCTAGCATCTCCAGTTTCCAGCTCAAATCAGTCTCCATACACCATAAGCTACAATGCACTGAAAATAGAGGTCACCTGATGAGTCCATCAACAAACACACTGGGCTGAGCAACTCCTCAGCACCAGGATAGAGAAGGGAAAGGAGCTCCCATCCTTCAAGAAGAGGTAGCAAGGCACCACGGGGCTCCTGGCTAGGGAAGGCCATGTCACCGACAGCACAGTCAGGAGAGAAATTAGCATAGTGCCGGGAGAGGGCTTGTCAAAGCTCATGGGTAGACTGGATTTATTTATTTTTACTCAGCACACATACAGCACTCACTGTCCTCCAAACACTGTAATAAATGCTTTACAAAATTCGCACCCAAACCTCAAAGTGGCACACAGGAGGCACTCTTCTTATCCCTACTTTGCAGATGAGGAAATTGAGGCAAATTGCCGGTTTCAGTTCATTGTTCAGGGTCATTGGTGGCAAAGGGCATCTGGGCCAGACTTTCCAGTCTCCTCAGAGATGTAGGCCACAGTGCCAGTGCCCAGGGTGGGGGTGGTGGGAGGGGCCCAGCAAACAAGTGCATGTGTGCCACGGGACCCTTCAGAGGGACACCCCTTCCCACTCCTCCACTCGCTTCTCGCCACAGTCCTCAGAGGCCCAGACCCTGTTTCTCCAGCGTCAGCACTTTCCACGTGGACAGTGAGCACTGAACACAGCCCTGGCACCCACACAGGAGAAGCTTGTAACCATGCCGCCCCCAGGCCCGGGAGCTAGGGAACCAAGGCAGCATTCAGGGCGTGGGTGTAAGTGAGAAACTAGGGAGGACCAGCCTAGCACCCCCGGAACCAGGGAAGCCCCCAGCTGAAGAAGAAGGGGGCCTCCCTCCCAGACCCTCCTCCCTCGGGCTGCCATGAACACAGCTGGCATGGGGGGCAGAATTCAGGCTGTCAACATGAGGGCTTTTGACAAGACTGGTTCTGACAGCCTCAGAGAGCCACACACATCCCAGCATCGTAACTATTTCTAACTTTGTGCTTCTTGTCACCCAGAAGCAGGGGAAACAAAGCAAAGCCATTTGGTGAAAGGTTTGGGCAGCTGCGATGCGGTGGATGCATCTTTGGGGAGGGGCAGGGGGACCATCCATGTGGGCTTCTGGGGCTGTGGCCTCTCCACGGACAGGAAGCCAGCTGATGCCCTTGCCCTGGAGCTAGGACAACCCAGGCCTTCCTGAGCCTCAGATGCAGGGCAGGGTGCTGAGCTCAAATGAGTCAATGCCCTGGCTCACCCGTGACATCATCTGGGAAGATCTTCAAAATACATATGGCTGAATCCACTCCTAGAGCTGGGGAATTGATTGCTCTGGGGTGTGCCCTGGGAACCAGGATTTTTTAAGGTCCCTGAGTGATTCCAATAAACAGCAAAGTGTGTCAATCACTGGATCAGGTGACCCACAAACACAGTATGTGGTTTGGGGCAAGCTATTCCTTCCTCTGAGACTCAGTTTCCCTTTCTGGGAAATAAGCATCTCAGACTAAATCATTTACAAGTTTATTTCTAGCTTAGCTTCTCTATGATTTAAAATGACACTGTCCTCATGTATGATTCCCCGTATAACTCACAATTTCTGGCAACTGCTGCTCAGATAATTATTTTGTTGGCTGGTGAAGAAAATAACAAGACAGGAAAGTCAGCAGCAAGAATTCAGCTTTCTGGCTGGCCAGGCCTTGTGGGTCTGGTGGCGATGAGCCCGGCTGCCAGGCAGCACAGCGGCCGCCCGTCTTGGTGGGAAGCGCGGCAGCACGCGCGTGTGGAGATGCATTGATGTATTAAGTCTGTCTGAAGTATCTCCCACAGTAATCTCATCTGGTGTTTTTTCTGTCTGAATTGCCAGCGAGCTACTGATTGTGACATCCACTTCTTCACTCCTTCGCGTCCAAAGCAGCTCTCGGAGTCTATTATCCATCATCATTTCTATCCTGAGTGAGCCTGCGCTGCCTTTAGAGCACAGAAAAGCTTCATGGGGAGTTAGAAGGGCTCTTTCTTGTGATGAGTTTACAGAGAGATCAAAGCCAAACCAAAGCACAGGGAGGAGGGCAGGGGAGGGAGAAGCCATTCTCACCTGTCCTGCCCTGCCCCAGCCAGCCTAAGACCAGGCCTCCAGAGCCCTGCCTGGCCCCTGCAGCTGCCTCCTCCGTGATCTGCCGGCCTCCAGTCCCTTCCTGTTGACGCCTTCACTGAAGGCCAACAAGACCTTTCTGGCATTTGAATCTAATCATGGTCTTCCTTTCTCTAAAATCCTCAGTGGATTCCCCAAGACCTTCATCAACACCCCTAAAATCTGAACCCCTAATCCATGGCTCAGGGAGAATCTCCAGTTCCCCACCTGGGGCCTCCCCCAGGCCCTGGGAGTTTCAGGGATACATAACTCCCAGAACTTCCCTACCCTCCCAGCTCCCACCCAGGCCAGGCCTCTTGAAGGCCGGTTCCATGTGAGACCTGCAGGCCTCAATGTGAGACATTGAGGAGACACTGGGTCTGGATTTTAGTAGTGGAGAGTTGTTCTAAGTCCTCCCCCGTGTCTTTGCCTGAGGAGGCCCTGCCATTCCCCAAGTCCCAGGTCAGGCCTCATTGACCCTGTGAAACCTCCCACCGCCAGGCCTCTCTCCCTACAGAGCCAAGGCCCACTTCTGTAGATCTCTTCTTTCCTTTGAGCCAGCTCCAGAGTAGCACCTGCCGTGGCTCATGGAGCTATTTCTGAGCATGTCTGAGCCAGGACGGCAGTTTGCCCATTGCTGTGTGCCCAGTACAGAGCCAGGAGCCCATCTCCTGCACTCTGCTCCAGCCCTCTGTGCGTGTCCTGGCAGCTGCCCCAGGATGCGTGTGTGCCCATGCTGTAACTCGAGGCCCCCTTTCTGCACTGCCCACCTGGATAAACCCTGCTCCATTGTCAAGACTTAGATCAACAGTCACGGCTGTGGAAGGTGTTACGGGTTGAGCTGCGTCTCCCAAAAAGATAAGCTCAAGTTCAAAGCCCTAGTACCTGCCATGTGACCTTATTTAAAAATAGGGTCTGCGGAGATGAAGTGGAGTCAAGAAAAGGTCCTAGTGGAGGAGGATGAGCCCTAATCCAGCGACTGACATCCTTAGAAGAGAGAAATTTAAACAGAGAAGACGCAGGAACGACGGCCAGGTGAAGCCAGTGGCAGAGACCGGAGTGAAGCGACTATGAGCCAAGGGTTCCAGAGAATGCAGGCACCCCCATGCCCAGGAGCTGGGGAGCATTTTCCCCGGGAACCACGCCTTTGTGTTGAACGTCCAGCCTCCAAACCGTGAGACAATCGCTTTCTGGTGCTTCAACCACTCAATGGTGGCACTTCATGACAGCGGCTACGGGAAGGTGCTGCAGGCTGCCCGTCCCAAGGCGGGGTCCCAGGATCCTCTGTGTCTTCTCTCCCTGTCAGGGTGGCTTTCAGTCAGCCCAGAAGCCTCCTCTGTGGCAGGCGAAATCTGAGCAGTGTGGCCTCAAGGCCCTGGGAGGGGCAGATCAGATCACATAAGGCGAGCACCGCCCAGCATCCACCCACTGCGCCTGGGTGGCCTCACCGGAGACACCAGTCACCCAGAGATGTGTGGAGTGTAGGCCCTGACTTCCAGAAGCTCAGAGGAGGCAGAAACACACAGCAAAGACAAACCAGAGAGGGTCCTCTCTGTAGCAGGGGGGTGCACAGTGAAAGGGGTGGTGTCCACGCAGGGCTGGTCAGGAAACCAGGTCCCTCCATGGGAAACTGAGAGGTGACTGGGGACTCACATGGACATTGGGAAGCCGAAGGAACATGGCTCAGGAATGTCACCGCAGAGTTCAGGAGAGCTGCGCCCTGCAGCCCAAGGGTATGGTGGGTGTTGCCTCAACGCTCCCCTGGAAGTGAAAAAAGCAAGGAGAGTGTCCACGTGCCCATGGAGAAACTGTGGGTCCCACACCTGCCTGTATGCAGGGCTGTGGCTCCTCTGAGAGTCACGGTCCTGCTCCTCTTCCTCCAGCCTCACAGGCATCCAGATCATCACCAAATCCTCACCCACAGGGGAGGTGATTCTGGGAGGCATAGCTCCTGCAGTCTGTTGTCCCTTGGAGAGGAAAGACGGTGGTGATGGAGTGACCGTCGGGCGCCTGGCAGTGACCACTACTTGGTCATCTGAGTGCCTGGGCCACCCCTTTGCCTGCCCTGAACATCCAGGTAGAGGGGAGAGCATTTCAAACTTAGGTCCCACAAGACACAGCTGAACCTATGACTCCAAATTCACACTCAGTCTCTGAAGAGGGAGACAACAAAACCCACAGTGTCTATCTTTAGGGGAGGTTATTTCTTGGGTTCTGACACAGCCCTTCTCTGACATTCTGTAATTAAATCCTGATGTGTAGGGTCAACACCATGACAGTACCTTACATTGGGTGCCAAGAAAGGCGGGAAGCAGGGGAAACAAAGCAATGTTTGAATCACAGGTGAGTGGGCGTCTTCTCTTCCACGGCAGGGTTCGCTCCTGTGAGCCTTGTTTCTGCACCTGGTTATTTAACACCGTAGGTTTTCATACCTTCTTTCTTCCATTAACCCATGTCCTCTCTGCCTTCACCTGGGTCCTCAACTAGCTGTAGATCTGTGCAAGGTGAAGGGACCTAAACCTTTATCTCCAAAGGGCCTGGGTCGTTAGTGGCCTTGCCCCAGTTGGTTGTATATAGTTGTCCACTAACACTTCCAGTGGACCCAGGGCCCCACAGTGCGCTGCAGGACCCTGGGCTTCGGGTACACTCCTTCCTGCCCCCATGGCGGCCTCTGGGCCTCCTCTTGGTCAGGAGCAGTCATCCCAGCCAGCACAAGAGCCCCCCACTGCCTATGGGGTCAGAGGCATGGAGGAACCAAAGGCGCTGGATGGCCAGGCTCAGCTTCCAGGTCAATGGGCCTTTGCTGTCTCCCTGGTACACACATCTTCCTTGGGAGCTGAAACCATTAAGCCTACAGAGCCCAGAATCAGGAGGACAAAATGCACATGTTTTGCTCATGTATGATCTGAGGTCATGGGAAAAGAAACCTCTCCCAGTCACTTTCCTCATCCCCAAACCCATGGATTTCTTAGCTATGGGAGAAATAGCATCGTTTACTGGGCATTAGGTGGTATGGGTTGAAATGTGTCCCTTAAAAACAATATGTTGATGTCCTAAACTTCAGTACCTGTGAATGCAACCTGATCTGCAGACATAGTCAAGTTAGGATGAGGTCGTTAGGCTGGGCCCTGGTCCATAGGACCAGAGTCATTATAAAAAGGGGAAATTTAGACACGAAGACATGCACGGAGGGAAGACAACGTGAAGAGACACAGGGAGAAGGCCATGTGGGGATTGGAGTGAAGCTGCCACAAGCCAAGGGATGTCTGGGGCCACCAGAAGCTGGAGGAGGGAAGGAAGGCTCCTGGCCCTGGAGGTTTCAGAGGGAGCGTGGTCCTGCCCTGCCGACACTGCCATGTTGGATGTTTAGCCTCCAGAACTTGAGGGAAGACATCTCGGCTGTACGAGCCATTCTGTTGTGGTCCATTGTTCCTGCATCCCTGGAACATGCTGCCGCAGAGGTGATGCCATGTGAAAGGCACAGCAGAGGGCGAGGCCCCAGCATGGCTGCAGACGGAGGTCTGGACAGAGGCAAGAAACGCAGAGCTGTGTCCAGAGAAAATGACCCCGCCACCACCGAGGATAAACCGCTGCTCCCTCTGGGATGGCAGTGGTCCAGCCCAATGCCTTCCCACCAGAGGAGTGCCTGGGTCACCAAGGAACAATGCCATGTCAGTGTCCCCATGGGGGAGAGGCAGACGGGAGAGTCAGAGCCAGAGATGGAGACGTGAGGCTGTAAGCAGAGTTCAGGGATGATGATGGGCCATGAACTGTGGAGTGTGGGTGACTCCAAAAGGTGGAAAAGGCAAGAAAACGGTTTCTCCCAGGAGCCTCCAGAAGGAACCCCAGCCCCACCCACGCCCTGCTTGTATCCCAGTGAGGCCCACTGTGGACATTTGACCTCAGAACTGTAAAGAGAATCAATGTGTGTTGTTTCACCGCAGCAACAGGAAACTAACATGCTTGGTGTTTCACAGTTAGATTTTTTTAATCCCCACTAGGGCCCAGCAGCAAGCCAGAAGCTATTTCTCAAAAAACAGGAGAGGGCGTGTGTTGCTCTAAAATCTTGAAGTTCACCTAGGCCTATACAGACGCCCTCTCAACCACAGAAACCCCAAGTGCCACCAATCTGCAGCCTCTCAGAGATCCAGAGGCAGGGCAGCTTGCATGGAGCACAAGCCGTTGCAGAGCCTTCTCTTTTTCTGGGCACCACTCAAAACTAGCAGCCTTTGATTTCTTGGCAAATAGGCCAGAGCAGTGAGCCCACGGTGCATGGCTTGCCTCCAAACCCTGAGACTCCACACCCACGATGGATTGGGCTCCTCATGGCTACAGTGACCAGATGCAATAGTTAGCCCATCTCCTTGGAGGGAATATTTTGGCATATCGCAGACCACTGAATCCCTAGAGACCTCACGCACATGGCAGCTTCCTGCACCTTTAGAGAATGCAGTTCCTGGCATTGGCCCTACTCAGGCCATGGTGGAGAAGGACAGGGCCGCCCCTGTGCTTACAACACAGAGCATGGCCCCACGAGCCCAGGCAGGAGGGGAGACGTACATGGCTCACATCAGGAAAAGAGAGAACCAAAGAGCCTTCAAGACACAGAGAACAACCAGGCCAAGTTTGAGACCACCCAACCCATCTCTGGCAACAGGTAACACCTGGGGTGGGGGCCGGGGGAACAGTCTCCAGGAACTTTAAAGTTTCCAGCGGAAGGTGAGGGGGCAGTTGGAGATTGATTTAGCTACTGGAGTGTTTGTCCCAGTTTTTGACTCAGAAAATGTTTGAAACCTCCTCCCTGTCTTTGAAGATTTCCAGAGAGGGGAAGACCCACACCTCCTCCGCACGGTGTTTGGCAGCTGGGCCCACTAACGGCAGTCCTCTTTCAAGTCCTCACTAACAAGGAGCCTGCTCCCCCTGTCACGTTTCTCATTTTACACAAGTAAACATCTTTTAATTGAAACTCCTGGGCATTTAACATTATTTATAACTCCTCAAATTAAAAGCCTCATGGAACTCTGGTTACATCTCATAACCGGTGATTCCCGGACTGCTCCCTAATTATTTGGGAGATGTTGTGTAGCATCAGTAATTATAGGGTTGATTTAAAACCCAGTGATCGGGGTTGCCATTTCAAAGGGAGCCAAAAAGGCAATATGCATTTGGACATCAAAGTCTCTTCTCAAGAGGAGAACCATCCAGGAAGCGTCAGAAGCCAAACTTCTAAGTTTTCACTTAATCGACAACAGTCATCGTGCTGGAATTATCCCAGGCCTTGCCTTGTTTTTGAATCTAATATCGTCTCCATCCTTAACCTCAACGGCTTACGTGCATGTGCTTGGACAGCCTTCCTCTACCAAGCAGCACCCTCCCTCTATTTGGAATTTGATGAAAGTGGCAGCTCACAGCTTTGCAGTGCTTAAGAACCACCTAGGAGCACCTGACAAAACCTTTACGCTGTGGGCACTCACTGGAACCATGGGGTGAGGCCTAGGGAAGCAGCATGGGTGAATCTGATGTGTCCTCCCAACCCCAGACTACATCCCCTCCAGGAAAGTCAGGCTTAGATATCCCTTGCTGTGTTTCTGCCTTATCTTTGCTGAGACGATGGGCTCCCCAGGCTTCTGGGCACAGCCACTGTGCTGTGGGCATTACCGATGGTCCCCTGGGCTTTCAAGATAGGTGGCAGGAGGTGAGATAAATGTTTGAGTCAGAAAGGCCTCAGCTTGAGCTGTATGGCTTCAGCCTCATTTTCTCTGCACCGTCTGCAGAGGCCTGTCTCCTTGGCAGTGCTATTTTAGTCCTTGTAAACACAGCCACCAGGGAACAAAGGCCATCAGAGCGCTCAGCCTGGCCCCACGGAAACCTCTCCAGGAGGCCATTCTGCCTGCTCACTCCAAGGGCTCTGCCTTCAGGTCTGCCGCCTGTGCCGCCCCCTGCCCGCTCCTCCTGTGCTTGAAATCTCTGTTCATTGACTTCTGCCCTGTTGAGCACCTTGGAGAGGTGACCCGGGTTTAAGGACGTTGCAGGGCTCTGGCCTCAGCACTCTGTTTCAAACAGGCCATTGGCGTTAACTTCCACACTTGACCCACAGCAAGAATAAGTGAGAAACATCCTCTAAGAACTAGGACACTGTTCCCCGAGTGGAAGAGGTCGTAACACATCCACCTTACTTGGCTGGTTTCAGGGTAGAACCGAAAATTATAAAGCTTTTTGAAAAACATACGAGAGAAAATTTGGGGGATCTGGGGCTGGGCAAAGAGCTCTTAGATGTGAGCCCGAAAGCACAAGCCCTCAGAGGAAAAATGATCCACTGAACCTCATCAAAATTAAAAATGTTTGCTTTATGAACAAAACTGTTAATGGTGATAAAACAAGCTGAAGCATTGGACGAAATATTTGCAAATCACATATACAACAAAGGACTGGCATCCTAAATGTATTTTAGCTGGAGGTGCCCTGTTGACGTCCAGCCCACGAGCCAGGTGGGTGTGTATGTCCAGCTTCTGCCTCCCATCCCTCAGCATCCCAGCAGAGGCAGAGATGACTCACACTGACTCACTGCGAGTGGGTGGGGTGGAAGCTTGGGTCCCCCTGGGCCCCACTGATGGCTTCTCAGCTCCCCTAACTCATTGCATCTGAATGGACACCTCTGCCATCAGGGAGGGAGTAAGCTGAGGGCCAACTTACCTCTTTCAAAGGAGTTATGTGGGGGAAGTGGGGTGTTTCCTAGTTCCAGCCTGTAGCACTTATGCATTCTCATTGATGTCGGGTGGGGCTCAGTCCTTCTGACACCATTTCTGCAGGGATTCAGACCGCCAGCTGCTTCTGTTCAGCATGGTTGGGGCACAGTGGAATGAAAGATAAACTCTCTCTGGGGCCCCACAGAAACTGCAAGTGGTGTGTGTGTGTGTGTATGTGTGTGTGCGCGTGTGTGGTGAGCATGTGTGGTTTCCCTTCCGAAGAGTGTTTATGTTAAATTTTGTCAACTGTTCTCTTCAAGTAATATAAACCAGTGATTTGTTTATTAGCCTGGTCATATGGCGCAGTACATTGATTTTGTTAATATCAAATACCTCTCATTCCCAGGACACACTTAACTTGGTCGTGGTATATTATACGTGTTTATTTATCTCTATGTAAATATAGCTTATATGTATATAATACAAATATATAACATAAATGTATATTTATATGTATATATTTTTATATACAACATTCATATATTTGCATTTTATATATATTGCCGGGTTTATTTAGTTCCTATTTTGTGGAATATGTCTGTGTTCATGCATTTTGTTCCTGAGGGATGTTCTGTATTAATGTTTGTCTGTTTTTTTCCACTGTCTTTGCCTAGTTTCAGTGTCATGGAAATGCCAACCTCATAAAATGAGTTGGGAAATGTTTCCTTTTCTGTTTTCTAGAATAGATTGTGCGGTGTCTCCTTTAACTGTTTCAGAGATTTTATCATGAAAATTCTTTCACCTGGAGATTTATTTGCTAAGGGGATTTAATTGGGAATCTATACTGTATTAGGTATAGCATGTGTTTGGTTACCTATTTCATATTCAATGTAACTTGGTACTTTGTGGTTTTCAAGGGAATTAGACATTTCATCTGCTTGTCAAGTGTGTGTGTAAAGTATTTGCAGTATTCTCTTGTTAGCCCTTTAATGTCTGTGAGGTCTGTAGTGATTTCTCTTATTAGCCTTTTAATGTCTGTGAGGTTGGTACTTTGTATCTTCTTTCTTATTTTCTTTTTCTGCCTTGCTATAGATTTTTCAATCCTATTATTCTTTTTTTTTTTTTTTTGAGATGGAGTGTCACTCTGTTGCCCAGGCTGGAGTGCAGTGGCACAATCTCAGCTCACTGCAACCTCCACCTCCCAGAGTCAAGCAATTCTCCTGCCTCAGCCTCCCGAGTAGCTGGGACTACAGGCATGTGCCACCATGCCCAGCTAATATTTTTTTGCATTTTTAGTAGAGACAGGATTTCACCGTGTCAGCCAGGGTGGTCTTGATCTCCTGAACTTGTGATCCATCTGCCTCAGCCTCCCAAAGTGCTGGGATTACAGGCATGAGCCACTGCACCCCGACAATCTTATTATTCTTTTTAAATAAACAAATTGGCTTCATTGATTTTATCTGTTTTTTGTGGTTTTAATTCTATCAATTTCTACTTATCTTCATTATTTCCTTTCTTCTACTCATTTTGAATCTATTCCTTATTTTTAGTTAATACTTTTTAATTTTAGTTTAAGTTTATTTTTTATTTTTAGTTATTATAGTTAGTTAATAAACCACAAAGATAATTTGTGGTTTCAAGTTGTTGAAAGTCACAAGACATACCTATATATTATTTTATCAATAAGTGACTCTAAAAATTGTTCAAAATCCTTTTTTGTAGTTGAGAAAACTGTTAACTGGTCTGTCCTATTTCTCAGAAGTTCATATGAATGCAGTGAAATCTGAGAAGCCAAACCGTAAAATCCAAGGAAGCATGTCTACACAGAGTTCATAGATATGTGTTTACAGGATGTTATATGAAAAAACAATTTTGAACAAAAAATTAGTAGTAATAATTTAAAATTATGCTTGTGTGCTGATTTTAATGGTAATAACATTGCTAATTTTACTTTTCTAAAATGAGGTGAAAACTTAAATTATTGATTTTTGCCCATTCTTATGTAATGTCAGCTTTCAGTGCTATACATTTTACTCTAAGCCACTGCTTTGGCTGCTTCCCACACAGTTTTATGTGTTGCATTTTAATTCATGTGTTGCATTTAATTTTTTTATGTGTTGCATTTTAATTTTCATTCAGTTCACAATTTTTTTAATTTCTCAAAAGTTTTCCTCTGTGACTCATGGTTTCTTTAATAATACGTGCTTTAATTTTTATGTGTTTGATGAGTTTCATATTACCTTACGTTATTCATTTCTAGCCTAATTCCATTATGGATACAGAAGATGCTTTGTGATAAATAAAATCTATTTTGTGATAAATTAAAAATACATTTATTTTTTCTGATCCAGGATTTGGCTTATTTTGCACCTTGTGCCCTTTAAAGTATGTTTATTCTGCCACCAGTAGTGAAGTATTCTATACATAACAATTAGATTCAGTTGGTTGATGGAGTTTTTACATTCTTCTAGAGCTCACTTAGCTTCTGTTTACTAGCACTATTTGCCACTGACAGAAGAGTATTGAAGTCTCCAACGGTGTGAATCAGTCTATTTCTTTCTTTTTTTTGTTTTTTTTTTTGAGATGGAGTTTTACTCTTGTTGCCCAGGCTGGAGTGCAATGGCACCATCTCCACTCATTGCAACCTCTGCCTTCTGGGTTCAGGTGATTCTCCTGCCTCAGCCTCCAGAGTAGCTGGGATTACAGGCATGCACCACCATGTATGGCTAATTTTGTATTTTTAGTAGAGACAGGGTTTCTCCATGTTGGTCAGGCTGGTTTCGAACTCCCGACCTCAGGTGATCTGCCCACCTTGGCCTCCTAAAGTGCTGAGATTAAAGGTGTGAGTCACAGTGCCCAGCCAAATCAGTATATTTCTTATTTCATTTCTGTCAGTTTTTGCTTTATGCATTTTTAAGACCTATTATTAGGTGCATTCAAGTTTATGATGTTATATATTCTTGGTGGGTTGATATTTTATTATGTTTTGTTCCTCTTTATCTCTGGGAGTTTTCTTTGTTGTGAAGTATAATTTATCTGATATTAAAATTGCCACTTAAAGTGGAAAGGGGAAATCTTGTTAATATACAGGTCTCTTTCCTCTCACCCCTTTATGTTGTAATCATCTTACTATTACATCTACATACATTGAAACCCTTATCAGAAAATGGTACCACTTTGCTTTTGATTGTCAAACCTAGTTTAAATAACTCAGTAGAAAAAATAGTCTATTGTATCTTGCCAGTTAGTTATCATTTTCATTGCCAATTTTTCATTCCTGAGTTTCCAAGTTTTCTTCTGGCATTATTTTTTTTTCTGAAGAACTTTCTTTATAAATTCTTTTAAAGTAAGTTTGCAAGAAATAAAGTCTCAGTTTTCCTTCACCTTAGGATAGCTTGATTTCACCTTATTCTTGAATGATATTTTCACTGTATTTACATTTTTCATAAATAGTTCTCTTCTTCAGCACTTTAAACATGTTGTTTCACCTCCCTCTGCCTTTCATAATTTATGAATATAAATCCACAGTTAATAAAATTGTTGTTATTCCAAAAGAAATGCATGCATCTTCTCTGGATGCTATCAATATTTTTCTATTATTCTTAAATGTTGGCATTTTTATCATCATGTTTTTGGTTGTAGATGTCTTTTCTTTTTAATCTTTTTTTCCTCTCTTTTTCACATTGGTTAATTTCTATTACTCTATTCTTGGTCATCTCCAGCCTCCTATTGATCCTACTTAGTGGATAACTTGGGTTATCATCGTTTTAAGTTATAAAATTGTTATCTGGTTCTTCTTTATATCTTCTGGTTCTTTGTTGTGGTTGCCTCTTTTCCATTTGTTTCAAGAATGTTTATGCTTACTTGTTGGGGCATATTTATAATAGCTGTTTTACAGCTTTTGTTAGATATGTCCAACATCTGCTTCATGATAGTATTGCCATCTGTTGTTTATTTTCTTGTAAATTGTGATTTTCTTGGTTCTTTTTATACTGAGTAATTTTGGGCTATATCCTGGATGTTCTGCATATTTCATTATGATAAGCTGAGTTGTGTTTAAATCCTATTTAAACATCAAAAATGTTGATGTTTTTGTTTTCGTTAGCAATTGCCTCAGCTGAATTCAGGCCTGCAGTTCCAACAGGTTTTGGTTGGTTGTGGCTCAAGGATCAGTTTCATTTTCAAAAATTTTGCAAAGCTATTTAATGTATTCCATGTGTTCAGCACCCAGTAGCAAGTCTGATATTTGAAGAATAGACTATTTTACAGCTCAGTTCTCAATATCTACATATACCATTTAAGATCAGATATACATAGGCACGTCTTGAGTAGGAGTCCAGGCATTGACAAACAGCCCTGAGGTCACTTTCCCAAGCTCCTGCCTCTCCACAAGCTTCTTGGTACATTTCAGCTTTCTCTTTATTCCTCAGCCAGTTATCCCACTCCACCACCCATTCCTGCAACTGCTCTCACAGATTAAGCCAAGCAGGAGGAGCAGACAAAGAGAAGAAAAGCAAAGAGGGTTTTCCCCACCCTCCTGAGAGCACAGTTTCTTTCACAGGAGAGGAAGGCATCCCTCCTAGGTAGTTTTGGCTCCTAGGGACTCCTGTGGCAGCTGCTGTCTTGCCACCACTGTATTGCTTGGGAGCATGGGAGAACAGCGTAAAGAGAAAAGGGGAAGTGAACAATTTCATCACCCTTCTGAGTTTCCATAAGCACCTTGTCTAACTAGACGGTGCTCCTGGGGTTCTCTCTGTCTGTACTCAGGTGGACACTTTGGGGTTCCAGGATGTACTGAGTTCAGGGTGCAGGAGTCCAGAGTGGGGAACTCAATGCCTGCAGGTGATATTGAATTCGGTATTCAGTACTTTTAATACTGACATTTATTTTCCAATCTGCCTGCTACTGTTTACTTTTCTGAATCATCAAATGGCTGTTCCATACATCCTGCCTGTGGTTTTTTTTTTTTCTTTCTTTCTTCAGTGGGAGAGACAGGGTGGAGTGTGCTTACTCCATTTTACCCACAACCAGAACTGCCACAATTTTTTGTTTTAAATTGCATTGTTGCTCCACAGTAATGTGACACAGTCTGTACACAGAGACACACGTGTGTGTGCACAAACACACACTGACTTCAAAGTTTCAGGAAAGTCTGCTAAAGATGCTAACGACTAGTAGGAATGATGTTAAGGTGAATCCAGAAAGTTGTCTATTTCCCTTGGACAGCTCACATGAAAGGTCGAGACAGCCAAAACTCACCTTGAAGCTATTTTTATTTCCTAAAACCAAAAACTAAATAATTTTATGGCCATAATTAAAATATAACCCCCCAAATCCCTGATTGTAAAGTCTATGGCCAAATCCAGGCAGAGGCAAGCACACAAAATGGTAACGGATTAACTGGAAAGTTATTTTGCTGCAATACAGAGCTGATTGGATTCAAGTCCATGAGTATTATTTTCTTTCTTTACCAATTCAATTCACCAAAACGATATTGAATAAAAGAACAGTGTCAGACACTCCTTGAATTGGATGTTTTTGACCCGGTAACTTTGAAGAGCCACCTTCCCATGTGTCAAGGCATATCTGGGTCGAGAGGTGCCACCCAAGCATTCAGTGTTTAAATGTGAGGACAGAAAGCAGGGCAGAGAACAGGGCATCATTTGTGCAGAGCACTCTTTGAAGCCACCTCCAATCAAAGCCTCCTTTGCGTCCCAGGCACCTGCTTTTCATTTCCAGGACACTGCTTCTACCTTGGTCTCACGTAGCAAGTTAAAAGAGCCTGTCAAAAGAAATCTGGATTTGTTTCCAATCAGTTTACATCATGTTCAGTTGACATGACAAGTTTTATAATTAAATTTCCTTGACTCCTACCCCGTCAGGTGCACCGTAGACACTTCTCACAGATGTGTTTTCACACACACAGTAGCAATACGGTCGTAATGATAACACCTCTTTGGATGAGTGGGTGATGTTTACAAAGGGAATAATCTGATGTTCTAATTTGTCAGGATAGGCTAAATGGGAGAAAAAATAAATAATGCATATTTGTTTCAACCATTTGTCTATCAAGTATCTGCTGAACATCTAAGCGGCCCAAGGCCTCTCCCAGCACTGGAGTCTGTGTGTTACAGAGTGATTTTTATCAGCTGAAACTTAGGTGGATCGAAACACAGCTTTTGTCATCCTCAAACTAGCCTAGTTTCTACGCGGAGTTCTCACTCCACCACACTGAAATAGAAACTTTAACCTTGCCGATTTAAGGTATACACAATCAAATTAGTATTTCTCATTAATTTCAACTGGGAACAAACCCTCTCGTGGATTGTGGCTCACTCTTCCTTCTCCTTGGTGATCCCCCATTAAGAATGGGAAGGGACTTAGTGATCCTGTAATTTGAGGGGTGGAGAGAGATATCAAATCTCCAGTTCCCTTCTTTTGCCTGCTGGCATCAGTGAATAGTAAGTCAAATCACTGGTGCTGGGTAAAAAGCTTCTCTTCCCTCTGCCTGGGCTGACGGTGGCAAATGTCCTCCATGGCCTGCAGCTTGCACGGTACCTGTTTATATCAATAGCATCCTTCTCCATGACCAGAAGGGACCTTTCATTCTTCCCACATTTTCTCACAAGGAAAATACTTAAACACTGCTCTATTCCAGCCTGGATTTGCAGGAGTTGAGACCCTCTCTGCCTGAACATGTCTGGTGGTGAAGCACCCATGGCAGCTGCTCAGCCTCTTCCACAGGGCCTCTCCTTTGTAAGTCTTGGATTCTGTGCAGGCTTCACCCGGAACACTAGGAAAAGTCCTTTCTGTCTCAGATTTCCCCAACATGATTTCTATCATTCTCTCTCAGAGGCCCACACCAGTGACTAACTCTGTTGCTTGGCAGCCCTACCTCCAGGGTTGCCTGCCTTCAAACACTCTTGCCAGTGACAGTTTATAACACACAATTGTGCTCAGATCTTTCCAGCTCTTAGGCTTTTGGGACCCCACTTACCTTTTATTAATTTTAACACTTATCCATTTCTTATCTGTGGCACTGGCATTCAAAACTAATATGGTTTGGCTCTGTTTCCTGCCCCCCCTGCCCGCCAAATTTCATCTAGTGGCTCCCCTAATTCCACGTGTTATGGGAGGGGCTTGGTAGGAGATAATTGAATCGTGCGCATGGGTTTTTCCCATGTTATTCTCAACGTAGTGAAAACGTCTCATGAGATCTGATGGTTTTAAAAATGGGAGTCTCAGCGGGCAGGCATGGTGGCTCACGCCTGTAATCCCAGCACTTTAAAAGGCTGAGGCGGGTGGATCACGAGGTCAAGAGATCGAGACCATCCTGGCCAACATGGTGAAACCTCGCTTCTACTAAAAATACAAAAATTAGCTAGACATGGTGGCACCTGCCTGTAGTCCCAGCTATTCGGGAGGCTGAGGCAGGAGAATTGCTTGAACCCGGGAGTCGGAGGTTGCAGTGACCCGAGATCGTGCCACTGCACTCCAGCCTGACAAGAGAGCGAGACTCCATCTCAACAACAACAAAAAAGGGGGAGTCTCCCTGCAGAAGCTCTCTCTCTTTTTGCCTGCCACCGTCCACATAAGATATGACTTGCTCCTCCTTGCCTTCCACCATGATTGTGAGGCCTCTCCAGCCATGTGGAACTGTAAGTCCAATTAAACCTCTTTCTTTGGTAAATTGCCCAATCTCAGGTATGTCTTTATCAGCAGGATGAAAATGGACCAATACAAAGACTTATATATATGTTGTGTATTTCAAGACCTTACTATGGGGAGAAAAAAGTCAAATATCAGACTCTGTTTCTGCCTACAAGCAACCTCCGAAGCAATAGCTGTAGTTATGTAAGGGCCATTGGAATAAATCCATTGTCAAGGAAAGTTCCCTTGACAAATATTTCCAGATAAGAAGGAGACAAATCCCTCAAGAATATCAGTCCACTGGGCAAGCACATTAATTACGGTAGGCTGAACCATAGTAACAATAGACCCGTCTGAATGCCAGTGGCTTAGAGATAAAGTGGGTTTTTGAAAATCACTGAAAGTCCTGGGTTTTGCATAATCCGGTGGGAACGATCTCCTCTGGGATCCTGGCTGACTGTTGTTCCATGTATTTTGCACAACACAACACCATTAGCCAGAGAGGGGAAAGGGATGGCGTGCACACATGGGGTGTGTTCTGGGTCAGAACTATTCCATGAGCTATGACTCCGTCCTGCAGTCCCTCCTAACTGCAAAGGGATCTGGAAATGCAGGGCCACTGTGTGTCCGAGAAGAGGAGTAAATGGATTTTGGTGAATATTGCTGTCATGGTTTGACTTTCTGGTCACCAAATATCCATTTGTCAAGTTCATCACATACAGAACACACTCCTCCACTGATATGGTTTGGCTGTGTCCCCACCCAAATCTCATCTTGAATTGTAGCTCCCATGATCCCCATGTGTTTGGGAGGGACCCGGTGGGAGATAATTGAATCATGGGGGTAGTTTCCCCCACACTGTTCTCACGGTAGTAAGTCTTACGAGATCTGATGGTTTGATAAGCAGTTTCCCCTTTCACTTGGCTCTCATTCTGTCTTGTCTGCCGCCATGTAAGATTTGCCTTTTACCTTCTGCCATGACTGTGAGGCCTCCCCAGCCATGTGGAACTGCAAGTCCATTAAACCTCTTTTTCTTTATAAATTACCTGGTCTCGGGTATGTCTTTATCAGCAGGGTGAAAACGATCTAAAATACCCACCTTACCAGGAGAGACAACCAAGGTCCCATCCAGCTCAATGTTCAGGATTTCCAGAAGATGCTCAGTCCTCTTTCAGGTCCAAATATGGATCCCCTTGGTCCAGGGACCTAGGACATAAAAAGAGAAGCAATGTGTCTCCCCCTCACCCTGTCCCACATACACCCAACATGGAACACTAGAGCCAGGCAAGGATATCTGTGCACAGCAGGTCCTGGTCCATGCAATGATAGATAAGCCTGGAAGGCTGGGCCTAGCTCCCCTGCCCAACGTGGGAAGCTGTTCCATTAGGAAGTCCTCTGCCTGTCATTCCTCATGCCCTGACCTTATCTTCTGGAAGGTGTTCCATTGTCCACCACCATCTACAGCCACATCTACCCTGGGCACAGTCAGTATGTCTCCCATGGGGACTGCACAGCTTGTCCAGCCCACTTCCTACTGTGCAAGCTCAGGGAATCCAGAATCATTTTAATGCTCATACCGTAAAAGCCTTCTGTAATACAGGTGTATTGTTTCTTTAACTACAAAACTGAGGGGGCTTAGTGGAACTGGGGAAAATCATTTCCATGTGCCAATAATCATATCAAAAGATTTTTGCTTTTTTTCCCCCTAGACATAGTAAATATCCATTAGTTTTTAGTTTCTCTGTTCCCATACCCTTCTCTCTCTGTGTCAATTTAATGGCAACTTCCTTGAGGCTATCAGAGGAAGAAAAAGAGGATTTGGTAAATAGACAGTATCCTTAATCTGTTCTTTGCTGCCTGGTTAACTTTTTTTTGTTTAATTGAGAAGTCTTAATGGGATTTTGAAGCTCAACGCCTTTTCCATCTTGTTTCCTGCTGTTTGGGATCCAGAAGCACTTTTCCAACCTAAATTTTTGGATGATCTGTATTCCCTTTAGTTTTGATTTGCAGACTATTTCATTCTTCCCCAAGCTTGCCTCTTTCTTGTAAATGTGGGCTGTGACAAGGAGCAAGCAGTTCACACATTCGTAGTTTGGCTCTTCCCTGCACAGCGCAAGCCTCCACTGTGGCTGCCTCCGCTGCTTCACCCAGATTCATCTTTCCCGAATGTGGCGTGTGGCATTGTCCCGTGCTTATCAGCGAACGCTAAGCCGATGCCGTCTACTTTAGATTTTTGATGCTGCAGATACTGCACTTCAGTATACCACGTTCTGTCATCGCTGTGGTACGCTAGGAAGAGATTACACACAGATCTTGAAATGTTAATGTCTTAAAAAATAAGAAAATGATTTCCTTTTCAATGAACACTTCTTGACTTGTGTCCAGGGTAGCAAGTCAACTCTCTTACACGTGGTCCTCCAGGGATCCAGGCAGACAGCGGTTCTGCTTTCTCCTTGTGCGGCTTTCCAGGTGCCCTGCATTTGCTAGGGGAAGACAAGATCATGAAGAGGCATAGCGGCTGTGCCATGGGTCAGGCAGAGCCGGGCGTGTGCCACTTCCACTAGTAATCCACTGCATGGGACTCAGTCACATGGCCACACCTGACCACAAGGGAACTGCAGAATGCAGTCAGGGGGAGTGGCCAGGAAAAAGCAGAAATGTTTTTTCCTGAACAGTTCAGTTTGTGCTACAGAGAGGCTGCTAGGAAAAGATTTCTAAAGCGGCACTGTCCGAAGGCACCTGCACACTGTCATGGAAGCACACCGGCACCAGGGCCAGAGGCACTCGGCACTTCCTGGAAACTTTGGAAGGGAAGTGCATCTGTATTTCTGCAGGAGAGAGGAGTGTGAGGTTGTGTGGACAGGGAGTGAGGACAGGATTCTGGGCAGAGGGAGTGATGTAGGTAGAGGCTGAGCTGCATGAGAGGGGAGTGTGAGATCGTGTGGACAATAGGTGAGGACAGGATTCTGGGCACAGGGAGTGGTGTAGGTAGAGGCTGAGTTTGCAAAACCCTGACAGTTGACAAAGGTACAAATAAGTTGGGATGGCTGGGACACAGGTAGGTGGATAGAGGAGAATAAAGAGTGGGGGAGGGGCCTAGGGAAGAGAGTGGGGGAGGGGTGGGGCCTGGGGAAGACAGTGAGGGAGGGTCCTGGGGAAGGGGGTGGGGGAAGGGGAGGGGCCTGGGGAAGACAGTGGAAGAGGGGCCTGGGGGAAGAGAGCAGGGGAGGAGCCTGGGGGAGCAGCAGGTAATGTAAGTTTTCCAAGACCAGTGGCCAATCAGGCAAATTATGCTGAACCTAGAGAGAAACATGGATACAATTAAACAACATTCCTCATTACCTCAGGCCCCAGTAACTGAAATTCAGATGACACAGGTGGGCTGGCATGGGAGGAAAATGGTCGGTACTATCTAGGTTGCGCCTCTCTGCTTTGATCTAATCCAGTTCCCTGAGGGACACCACCCTGCCCTGCTAACGGGGTTGTGTTTGCATGCAGATTTGTCCTTCTATGACCTCAGTTCCCTTAAAAAGGCCAGATGTTGTCAGTGAAGAGGGACTTCAGAGTGGAAACAGGACAAACAGTGGGCTTTTAAAAATATGATTTTGAAAAACAAAAATAGGATTTACGAAACTGGCCCTCTAATTACCAGTGAGACAAAGAGGGGCGCAGACACCTGCAGGTGGAGGGTGCCGCTTTCCTTCCCATGGAGTCCATGCTGTCCCTCCAGTTAGGCCTGGATCCCTGCCTCCTGCCCAGGCTGGCTTCTCACCTCTCCTGGGCCACCTGGAGCTCAGGGCCTCAGAGAATCACAGCCCTCGCCAGGGCAGACACCAAGGACTTTTTAAAACATATTTTTCTTTTTTGAGACAGAGTCTCGCTCTGTTCCCCAGGCTGGAGTGCAGTAGCACGATCTCGGCTCACTGCAACCTCTGCCTCCTGGGTTCCAGTGATTCTCCTGCCTCAGCCTCCCAGGTAGCTGGGATTACAGGCACATGCCACTATGCCCAGCTAATTTTTGTATTTTTAGCAGAGACGGGGTTTTACCATGTTGACCAGGCTGGTCTCAAATTCCTGACCTCAGGTGATCTGCCTGCCTCGGCTTCCCAAAGTGTTAGGATTACAGGTGTGAACCACGGCACCCAGCCTAAAAGATATTTTCCTATGCCTGGACTATGAGTTCTGCGGCAGGGGTCACCATGAAACTAACACAAGCAAAAGACAGATAAAAGGTGTGCCTTGCAAGGTAATTCACCCCTTGGGGAATGATGGTGATTCTATAATTCAATGAAAAGCTTTTCATGTCACAAAGACATCAAGAGTAACCTGATCTATCTTTAAAACAATTCAGAAAATAGAACAAAACTGTTTAAAGAGAGATTATGAGCCAACAAGAGAAAACAGTGGAAACAGATAAAAACCTTCCAGAACTAAAGGCTATGTTAGAGGTAGTACAATTTCGTGGATGGGATGGGGAACTGACTCCAGTCAGAAAGATGGTAGTTATGTCATCTGGACAAAGACAAAGGAAATACAAGATGTAATTGGTACTTTTGAAGAACTGAACAAAAAAAAAGTATGTAGACATATAACAAAAGAAAGCTTTCCTGAAGTAATAAAATACTTGAATCTGCAAATCAAAACAATATGTGATAGCCTAAGAGAGAAATAATAGAAAAGAATCAACACTGCACAGATTCAGAAGAAGACATGAATATCCAGGAAAATCATATGAGGATCTTTAAGGGAGGTTGGGAGGTGGAACTGAGGTTGGCCTTAGATTTCCTGTCAGCAACTGTCAAGAAAAGACACCCCAAACACAGTAGGGCAATGTTTATACAAAGGAAAGAAGGCAAATTATCCTTTCACTATAAAGATAAGGGACGGACATTCCCATATGCAAAAATACAGAGATAATAATACCCAAAAGTCCTTCTTGGGAAGAAAAATCCATCTCACAAAGGGGTGAGCCTAAATGAACACAAATGGAGAAGCAGCATCCAATAACTAAGAATGAACACTGAAGCCATTAAATATTAAACTAAATTTAACAGTGAAAGCTGTGGGCTGGGTGGATTCCAAGCAGGAGGCATAGCTATTAATACAAACAAAATAAAAGTTATAGCATAATAGAAATGGAGCAAAGTGTAATTGTGCTAATTATTCACTTTTGATGGGAGAAGGTCAATTACTACTATACAAATTTGAAACACATACATAAAAATATGCAATGATTCTATTTCCAACCGAGATGCCAAAACCTTTCAATGGGAAAAGAATAGCCTTTCATCAGCTCATGCTGAAACAACTAGATATGCCAAAGAATGAAGTTAAACTGCAAATGCACAACATATATAAAAATTAACTGAAAATCAACCACAGATCTAACGAAAGACTTAAAACTATAGAAATTTTAGAAGAAAACATAGGAATGAGTCTTTGTGATCTTGGCTTAAGCAGTATATTCTTGGATATGACATCAAAAGCACACGCAACAAAATTAAAAATAGATTGAATTTTATCAAAATTAAAATTTTGTACTTTGCATAATACTGTCAAGAAAGTAAAAGAATCTGCAGAATGTGGGAAATATTTGCAAATAATATATCTGATAAGAGACGTGTAACCAAAATATGCAAAGAGCTCCTACAACTGAATAATAAAAGATATTTTTAAAAACTGTATTTGAAAATGGGCAAAGGATTTGAAAAGTCATTTTCCAAAGAAGATATGCAAATAACCGATAAATACAGGGAAAGAGTCTAAACATAATTAAACTTTAGGAAAATGAAAGTCAAAACCACAATGAGATGGCACCACCACCCAGCAGGATGACTATTACCAAAAGGACAAAAACAACAAGTGTTAGTGAGAATGTGGAGAGGTTGGAATCCTCATACACTGTACATGAGAATGCAAAATGGTGAAGCGGCTGCTAAAGCAAGTTTGGCCATTCCTCAAAATGTCAAACATAGAATTATCACGTGATCTAATGATTCTCCTACAAGAGGAATGGACACATTTGCACACACGAGCTTATGCACAAATGTTTCCAGCAGCACTCTTCACAAAAAACAAAAAGTGGGCTGGGCACAGTGGCTCACACCTGTAATCCCAGCACTTTGGGAGGCCAAGGTGGGTGGATCACGAGGTCAGGAGATTGAGACCACGGTGAAACCCCGTCTCTACCAAAAATACAAAAAAAATTAGCCCACGTGGTTGTGGGCGCCTGTAGTCCCTGCTACCTGGGAGGCTGAGGCAGGAGAATGGCATGAACCTTGGAGGAAGAGCTTGCAGTGAGCTGAGATCGCGCCACTGCACTCCAGCCTGGGTGACAGAGCAAGACTCCGTCTCAAAAAAAAAAAAAGTGGAAATGATACAAATGTCTATCAACAGATGAGTGGATAAATAAAATGTGGTGTATTCAGACAATGGAATATTGCTTGGCCATGAAAAGGAATGAAACCAATATAGGCTATGTGGATGAGCCTCCAAAATATTATGCAAAGGGAAGGAAGCCCTTCACAAAGGCTGTATATGTGTATGATTCCATTTGGATGAAATGCCCAGAATAAGCAAATCTACAGAGACAGAAAATAGATTTGTGCTTGCCAGGGGCTGGGGCCTGGAGGAAATGGAGAGTTTAGGGGTGCAGGATTTTTTTTTTGAGGTGATAGAATATTCTAGAATGAGATAGTGGTGATGACTGCATTATTTCATGGATATACTAAAATCACTGAATTGTATGCTTTAAATGAGTGATTTTAAGGGAAGCCAATTATATCTCAATAGAGTTGTCATAAAATATACAATAATTCCAACATCTTAATGCATTTTACACTGTGCACACATTTTTGAAACTAGTAACTCTTATGAACAAATCTTTATTTGAAACTTCTTAATTTCATTAACTTCTCTTCATTTAATTTGTATCTAATGTTTATATTCTTTACGCTTGAAACTATTTGAAGCATTCTATGTTTATTAATTCCTTTACTTCCCACAACTATGAAGAATCTACTATTATTATTATCCCCATTTTACAGAGCAGGAAACTGAGACTCGCTTAGGTTAATTTGCTCATATAAGGCTACACAGCTAATCTGCGGTAGCATCAGGATCTGAGCGTGAACAGTCTTTTCTCCGAGTCTCTCAGCCCATACTCTACGTTGCTTCTTCAAGTAAAATCACGTTGAGTTCTTTTATTAAAAACTAGATAAGTTGGAGCCCATTTTCATTTTACAAGCCCATTTTATCTGGCTTCCACATTTATCTGCCAGTCTGTCAAGGTATCCTTCAATCTTTATATATCCATAAAGGTAAGTCTGAAATAACCTTCTCTAAATATTAGCTATGGTTATTTCTGGGTTCTGAGAATTGCAAAATCTTTACTTTTTCTTTTGTCAGCTCTGAGTCACCTGGCTCTCTTATAATAAGCCTGTGCCCTTTTTATAAATAATAAAAATCATTGTTCTTTTACAATGGAGTTACCAATGGCAAGATGGATAGACATATAAATAGACAAATGGATGCATGAATATTTTAGATAGATAGATAATAGAGATAGGTAGATCTCTATCATTTAGATTTAGATAGATAGATAGGTAGATAGATACACAGATGGATGGATGGGTAGTTTGAGAGAGAGAGAGATACATGGATGGATAGACAGATAAATAGAGATAGATGAATATGGATGGATAGATAGACATGGAAGGATGAATAGACAGATGATAGATGATAGATAGATGGATACATAGATAGATACATAGATAGATACATAGATAGACAGATACATAGATAGATAGATAGATACATAGATAGATAGATAGGTAGATAGCTAGATAGATGATAGATAGATAGATAGATAGATACATAGGTAGATAGATAGATAGATAGATGATAGATAGATACATAGATAGATAGATAGATAGATACATAGATAGATAGATAGATACATAGATAGATACATAGATGATAGATAGATAGATAGATACATAGATAGATAGATACATAGATAGATAGATACATACATAGATAGATAGATAGATAGATACATAGATACATAGATAGATAGATAGATAGATAGATAGATAGATAGATACATAGATAGATAGATACATAGATAGATACATAGATAGATAGATAGATGATAGATAGGTAGATAGCTAGATAGATGGTAGATAGATAGATACATAGATAGATAGATAGATAATAGATAGATAGATAGATACATAGATAGATAGATACATAGATAGATAGATAGATAGATAGATAGATAGATAGATAGATAGATAGAGATAGGTAGATGGAGAGAGAGAGAGAGAGAAAGGCAGGAGGGAAGCTACAGTTAGATGCAGGTGATGGATTCTGGCTGAGTCACAGATCTGCTGACCAAGAATCTGGGCTGCGAGCTGGGTGTGTGCAGGCTCTCCTGAGTGATTCTAATGCAGTGAGTCTGCTGATTGCTATTTGGAAACCTCTGATGTGTGGGATCCTGCTGGAAACCAGGTGCCTGGAGACCTGGGTGTTAGTTTTCAATCTTCCACCTGGTCCTGTCTAAGAAAAGACACTTCGCCTCAGGGGGCTTCAGTTTCCCAACCATTATGTGTGCTAAGAATTAGGTCCCTTGTCAGTCTATAAGAGCCTTTCTTTCTTCAGGGACTGGTGTGACAATTGCAACAGTATGTGACAGCACGTTCTAGGTTGTTAATCTGTGTTCTTCTCTTGCGCATTGTTTTTAATGACTCCTTAATTAATACTTTATCTCCCAACTGCCTCAAGCCCTTCACCTACATTGCTTCAGCGATGAGTCCATGTTCTTCCATCCAGCCCCCCCATCATTTCTATAGCCATCGAATGAAGTATTACCTCTTGTAGTTGTGCAAATTCAGTTCTGTTTGCTTTACTTTATAAATCTACACCCCTTTCTCCAAGAACACCAGCCTTACCATGAATTCTTTCATTTATTTACTCATCCATTCATTTATCCATTCACCACTAATTCCAGGTACATCATGGGCCAGTCATGATTTTAAAGGCTGGAGACATGAAGTATCCGCCATAGTTCAGTTCTTGGTTGTCTGCAGGAGCACAAACTGCCTGAGAATTGGGAAGAGGGACTGAGCAGCAGCCACGTAAGCCGTGGGTCCATGGGTGACACTCTCATTAATTCAGTGAGTACAGCGTCCCACAGAACACACAAGGCTTTCCTAAGAATCTCACAGTGGAGATAAAATTAACAAACCATGGAAGGAAAACAAAACTCCCTGCATTCATTCACTCATCCACTGCTGCATAAGCTGGGCTAGGTGTCAGGTGAGCATGTTCACGGCTCTGCGGGAGCTCAGAGGCCACCTTGGGATTGACGTGAAGACAGTCATACATAAATAGAAGGGGAAGGAGGGAGACCTCCACCCAGCGGGGTCAGGAGGGTCTGAGTTAGGCTTGGACAGATCATGGGGAGTTCAGTGAGTAATCAGGGGAAGGTATTTCATGGTGCAGAAATGGCACGGGTAATAGAGTGGAGGTCTGGAATTTTTGGGCAACCTGGGAATTAGAAATAGTTCAACGAAATGTGGGGTTGGCAGGCGAGGGGAGGGCGGGCCTGACGGCTGGGGAGGGCAACAGGGTCAAGCTCCAGGTCTGCGTTTCTGCACTGAGGAGCCAGGGGCAGGCAACAGGGCTGCGTTTTGCACTGAGGAACCAGGGGCAGGCAACAGGGCTGTGTTTCTGCACTGAGGAGCCAGAGGCAGGCAACAGGGCTGCACTTTGCACTGAGGAGCTGTAATGTGCCCAAGGCAATGGCTTCCTGGAGCGGCACCTTGCTCAGAGTACTCATGAGATCAGACCTCCCTGGCCTTAGGAGGGGACACACTGGGGACAAGGAGAGCAGTGCAAATGGTGCCTCTGATGGCAAAGTGGGCGAGAACAGTTGTCTCTGGATTGGGAAGAGGGGTGGACACAGCCAAGAAAGTAGGAGGTGGACGCTGCAGGCTGCATCTCCTACTGACCTGTGTCAGTTTTCTCATTGGACACAGCAGCTCAGTGAGAAGCAAGTGTCCTGCAGAGCTTTCAGAGGGACCATTTGTGAGGTCAGATGCATGACAGGGATCTGACAGAGCTTTTAGAAGAATATTTGTGGCTGGGAGTGGTGGTTCACGCCTGTAATCCCAGCACTTTGGGAGGCCCAGGTGGGTGCATCACTTGAGGTCAAGAGTTCAAGACCAGCCTGGCCAACATGGTGAAACCCTGTGTTCCCAAAACACAAAAATCAGCCTGGCATGGTGGTGTACGCCTGTCATCCCAGCTACTTGGGAGGCTGAGGCAGGAGAATCACTTGAACCCAGGAGGCAGAGGTTGCAGTGAGCCGAGACTGCGCCACTGTACTCCAGCCTGGGCAACAAAGCAAGACTCCATCTCAAAAGAAAAAAATGAAGAAGAACCATTTGTGAGGTCATATGCATGGTGATTCCACGAACTGAAATGGCAACCAGGAAGCAGAGCAAGGTTTGGGCAGTCTGGGCTGGGATGGAGACAGAAATATCAGGAATGACTTCTGTAAGTGTCAACACAGGGCCAAACATCAATGAGCCAGATGCTAACTGCATTGCTAGGAGTGCAAAGGAGGGAGACATCAATGTCAGTTAAAGGGTCAGGGAGTCTCCTGGGGGTGAAGAGACTCTGTTGAGTCTTAAAGGCTTTAGAAAATGTAACATGTGTTGAAAATCGAGTGGGAGGCTTCAGCACATCTCCCACAACAAGAACCATGGGTGTCAATTTTTGCAAAATCATGTTTAAGAGATATTCTCCTAGATTTTGGACTCTGTTGCTTTCTTTCTTAATTAACTGTTCCCTCACTAAAAACAAACTACAATGACAAAACCTGAAATCAACAGCCTTACTTCATGAATTTGCTGTTAAAATAAATCTCATGAGGCTGGGGGCGGTGGCTCACGCCTGTAATCCCAGCACTTTGGGAGGCTGAGGTGGGTGGATCACGAGGTCAGGAGATCGAGACCATCCTGGCTAACACGGTGAAACCCCGTCTCTACTAAAAATACAAAAAATTAGCCAGGCATGGTGGTGGGCGCCTGTAGTCCCAGCTACTTGGAAGTCTGAGGCAGGAGAATGGCGTGAACCTGGGAGGTGGAGCTTGCAGTGAGGCGAGATTGCGCCACTGCACTCGAGTCTGGGCGACAGAATGAGACTCCGTCTCAAATAAATAAATAAATAAATAAATAAATAAATAAATAAATATAAAAATAAATAAATCTCACAAAAGCATACATAGAGTGCCTGCACACACAACATGCTCAGTGGTCGGCCCTTCACTCCCATCTTGGATCTGCAGGGTAATTACATAGGAAATGCATTTCTGTCCCGATACCCTGGGTCTCTGTGGTCATCCTGCAGGGACAGGGCCTCCCAAGAGCTGCTGCATGCAGCTAGGGCTCTCCATCTCCCCAGTCGGCATCCTGACACCAAGCACCCACATTTTATCCCTGCAGTTGAAATGTTACGGCTGAAATAACCACGTCCGTGAGAAAGCACCATGTCCTGCCATAAAGGCAGGTAAAATGAGATGAAATGAAACGCTGAGTGCTTGCTTTGGTCTTTAGGGCTGATGGATGGGCCCAGCCTCCCTGGCCCTCGCTACCATGTGGGCTGCAATCAATGCCTCTTCTCCCAAAGGTGCCCGACCACCTCTGACTCCCTGCTCAGTCACTGGCAATACCCTTGCCATGAACACCTTGAGTTATCACAGAGCTCCCTGTGCACATCTGCACTATATAACTCAACCAGTAAAGACGCCTTCCTCGCAGGGCCAAGTTCAGACTTTTCTTAGATTAAGCAACTACAAGAAAGAGGCATTTTATGATTTGGAAACTCCTGTTATTATGGTTCTTCCAGGGCCTCCCTCAATCATGAGCCCATGTCTGGACTCAGAGACCTAGCTCAGCCAAGAGGTCAGGAAAGGCGCCTGCCTGCGTCACACCAGCCTCCCAGGGCCAGGGGCTGTGGTCTCCTTCTCCTTCACAGAGCAGCAGCTGGGCTCAAAATTAATCAATTGCTCCTTCCTGGATGATCTCCATTCGGTAAAGCCTTTGGGAGGTTTTTCTACTTACTACCTTATTTCCACACCTCGAGCCTGGATGGGAGGGTATGCTTTCTGGATGTGATTCCTATAAATAACGGTAGTAATGCCAACAATAAATACAGCTCACATCCCTTAGCAGGCACTGTGTGCCTCCCATGGACTGCTTTATAGGAGCCGCTTCATTTAACCCTACAAATGGCCCTCTGTGGCATCAGCCCAGCCTTCCAGATGGAGGAAGTGACTTGCTCCAGCTTGCAAAGACAGGAGGAGAAGGTGGTAGTGGTGGATTTTGAACCCCAGGTCTCTGAGTCCATACTTGGCCTTTCTTTGTTCAACTTCAAATTGACATATAACACACACAGAAAAATGCTCATAGCCTAGGAGCATGTCTCTAAGAATTCTCATAAATGGAGACCACTCCTGTGAACAATATTCAGATCAGAAAGCAACACTTTACCAGCATTGGAGGAGCACAGCTTAGGAGGCCTTCCGGGCACTGTCCACGCAGAGGCATCTGTCTACGCTCCTGACTTGTAACTTGGTATATTACCTGTTTTGGGACTTTATACAAGTGTGATCATTCGGTGTGAGTTATATCGCACAGTTCGCATACTTCCCCTGGTGTTCTGTGTGAAGACCCATGCTGCTGCATTTTTTGCGTGACTGTAGATGGTAGAATTTTCCCTGGTGTGTAGTATTCCGTTGTATGACCACAACACCGTGTATTCATTCGTTCCCTTGCCAGTGAGAATTGGAGCGGGTTCCAGATGTCTGCAACTGTGAGGAGGGCTGCTAAGGAGAGGCAGCTCCGTGTTTTATGTGGAAGCTGCATAGCCTTCCCGTGGGTGTCCACGCGGTCGCTGGGAGCGCATCATCTGCCTTGGTCCGTTTGGGCTGCTAAACAAGGTACCATGAACTGGGCGCCCAGCTGCAGGGGAGGCTGCAGCGCCTTCCCCAGGGCATTTCTCCCAATTGTCTCGCCTGCTCTCCATTCCGGCCCTTCACGGGCTCCTGAGTTCCAAGAAGTGTGCGGCTTTCACTCCCCAGCGGCTAGTTCATCCCCGGCCTGGCCCTCCCGGCTTTCTCTCCTGTCTCAGGAACCAGAACAGCCCTGGGCAGGGGAAGGAAGCAGGGTGTGGTTAACTGAACAAGCCAGGGCGCTGCAGATAATACGCCTCGCGGCACTCCTCCGTCATCCCTTTTCCTCTCTGTGCCTGAATCCGACATTTAAAGGTGGCATTCCCCGAGTGGAGGCATGAAAGGAAAACGGACTGGACGGGGCACCGGAGAAGCGCCACGTCCATCCTGACACCCGTTGGGTTGACAACTCATTTAAGTCCCGTAATGGAGTCGCCAAAACCCAGTAGCCGCAAACAACACACAAAGGGGGTTTCTCACAAGCCCGACATCAGCGGATCTTAGAGTGGCTTTTCTGGGTGGCCTGCTCTACACGTCCCGCGTGTTCCGTGGGGGACCCCCGCCCAGGGTGGGGACCGCTTCTCATGGCGCAGACAGAGGGGCTGGAGCAGGCAGGTCCAATCAAAAGCTTTCCCAAGATCTGGGGCACGGCTGTGAACATCCCAATGGCAAAGCCATTCCCAGGGACGGGTCCTGGGTGGAGGTTAGCCCTGCCACCATGGGAGGGCGCAGCAAAGTGAGTGCAGGTGGTATAAATACAGGGTGGCAGGGGAAGGGTTGGGGCCAATTTCTCAACGTGCCACACAGCCTCAAATGTAGGAGCATCAGGAGAACATCTGCTCTTGTTTCCTGACTGAGCTGTGGCAAGGAGGCAAATTGCTCACTGAGGAGTGCTAATTAGGGAAATAGAGATTATTATAACGGGGTGAAGCTGACGGTGCCGGGGGGCACCCGGTTGAGTGAGAAAGACCCCATTCACAGTACTCACTGGGAAGAGAGCTTGAGAGCAGGCAGGGGGCCAAGAGGTGGCATGTAGGGAGACGGCCATGGCACAGGGCTCGCCTGGCTGCAGAAGTCCCCTCTGTAACCCGGGAGGCTGAGCATGTTGAAGAAAACACATTGCCTATTAAAAATCACACACCTTCCTCAATTTGCATTTCTGCAGTGTGTTTCATCCCCGGACATCAAAGATCCTGGCTCACCATCTCTCCTGCGGGGTTCGAATGGAAAATGTCGTATCACAAGCTTCTTTCACATCTAATTATGGGGGCTGAATGCAGGGTTGTCTGGCCTGAAAGCAAAGAGGCCCCTCTCCTCCTGCCTGCTCCAGGGGGCACACGTCTGCCGGATGCCTTCGGGCGAATTCAAAGGCAAGGGAAGATTTCAGCAAAACATTGACAGAGCATCAGGATCTGCAAAGCTCGCTAGGACAGCAGGAATGCAACCGGGGGATGGTGGTCACTTTTTTGAGAGGGAAGAAGAGGTGGCTTGTTGTGCCGTGTCATTAGTCCTGGAGCCTAGAGACAAGTGAACCGAGAGTAGCCCACAGTGCAGAGCCCAGCTGCACACCCACAGGGGAAAAGGGGAAGGGATAAGGGGGAAGGGGACGTGGCACTGGCTGAGCTACCTGCCTCTGCCAGAAGTCAGAGCCTTCATATAAAAGTGAACACCCTTTAGGTCTGGCTTGATCAATCCGGTCACATAGATGCATCACCAGAGGCCTGAGATGTTGTTACTTGAAGGAGGAGATGCAGTCCCTCAGTGGTGTAGCTGGCTTGGAACCTCAGGTGTGGATCTGTCCTTACAATGGGGCTTTCTCCACCATCCCAGACCCAGGAGGCCCCCGTGGGTCCTATGAGCTGACCTGGCTGGCACGTGGCATCTGGCTACCACAGGACACTCAGCTGCACTTCCACGTTTCCCTGTGGGAGCAAGAGGAGAAGGGCTGAGCCCAGAACAGGGGAGGAGATTACAGTTCTCCGTGATGACCCAATGGGGTCATGTGGGAGGTGCTGGGGAGACCCTTGCTGAGCATCTACATGTGATTCTACTGCCTTGGCGTGCCAGGAAGGGAGAGCACGTGTCTGACTTGTCTCGGGCTGCAGCTGCTGTGAGGACAAGCCATGGTGGCTTTGGTCTCTGTGATCGCAGTGACTGCCCCAGATGCATTCCTGGCATGGCCTTATTCACTGGCTGTGAGCTACAGCCACAGAGAGGAGCCAATAGGAGAAAGTTTCTGACCCTACCAAGTTGGGCAAATGCAGAAATTCACTGAGCAGGCGGGCTTCTCCTTGTGGTGAACAGGGGGTATGCGAGCCCCCACTGTCACTGTGGTCAGGAGTGCTGAGCCTGCCTCCAGCTTATCTGGTGGACAGTGTGATGGCCTCACAGCCATACTGTGACCTGAGAGCAGCCAGCATCATCTGTCTTAGTCCATTTGGGCTGCTAAACAAGGTACCATGAACTGGGTGTCTTAGAAACAACAGAAACATATTTCTTATGGTAATTCAGCTCTGGAGGCTGTAAGTCTGAGATCAGGGTGTCAGTGTGGGACCTCCCAGGTCCCATCTCCTGACACCATCATGCTGGGGGTTAGGGTTACAGCCTCTGAATTTTGGGGGGACACATTCATTCCATCACTCTGTGCTTCCTGAAGGGGGATTCGAGGGCCTCTTGAGGATGTGCTCTGGATGATCCAGTGAAGCCTGGTGTCCACTTTGTCTACTACACCACCATTAAAAGGAACGAAAAGCCTCTGGTCTCTGCCGCCAAATGAATCCTGGACATGTATCCTCTGTGGTGTCACCTAAGAGCAATGAGGAAGGTAAAGGGTCAGGTCATGAGTGCTGGCGTCTCCCTTAAGAGTGGGGAAACAGAGAGGGGACCCTGAAGTTGTGGAAGCTGTCAGTGCTGTGGCCACATGGCGGGAGACTGCTGAGTGAACTTTTGAAAATGACTCATTTGCCTTTTCCGGGCCAAAAAGCTACCTCGTCATGAGTTAGTGATGTGGCAGTGCACAGCTTCTAGCTAAAATGCTTGTGAATGCACAATAGAAAAGCAAAGGTGGGAAATCAGCAACACTGAAAACTACGGTGGACATTCACATTCCTGATAGAATCAGAGAAGAATTCCCAATAACCAACAGGGACTGGATGTAGGCAACAACTGGTGGCCTTTGCTTGCTTTCCCTGGAGATAACGTGACCTCAGCCATATGGGGGAGAAAGGAACAAGTGTCCTCAGTCTCATAGGTCTATCTCGTGCTCCAACACAAGGTCTGCACAACAAACAGTCCTGAAAGTCATCCTTTTCCTCGGTTGTGCTTTCTGAGGCAGGCAGGAGGGTAGATCTTGTTCCTATGTCCCCACACTCTGCCATCACTAAAAAACATCCATGGAAGGACTCCAACTCCCAGCAAATCACCCTGTAAGAAGCCTCCACCACAAAGCTCTCCAAGCAGAAGTCTAGATAGGAAGACTACAGAAACCACAGGCTGGCTGCTGGCTACAGATTTTCAGGTATCACAAATGTTTGATGTGTCAGAGAACCAAGCATTGGGCAACGAAAAATCAGATATTAAAACATCCCCCTATCCTTCCATTGAATATTCATTCATTCATCAATCCATCCATCCATCATTCATTCATCTATTATGCATCCATCCAGCCATCATGCATTCATCCATCATCCATTCATCCATTCATCCATTCATGCATCCATCATCCACCCATCCATTCATCCATTCATCTTTCATTCATTCATCTGTCATCCATCCATCTAGCCATCATTTATTCATCCATCATTCATTCATCCATTCATATATCCATCATCCACCCATCCATTCATCCATTCATTCATCCATCATTCATTCATCCATCATCCATCCATCCATCCATCTATCTAGCCATCATTCATTCATCCATCATCCATTAATCCATTCATTCATGCATGCATAATCTACCCATCCATTCATCCACCCAGGCATCCATGCATTCGTCATCCACCCACACATCCATCCATCTATACATCCATTATTCATTCATCCATCCATCCACCCCCATCCATCCATCTAGCCATCATTCATGCATTCATTCATTTATCCATCCACCACCTATCCACCCATCTAAATGTCATCCATTCATCCATCCATTCATTCATCCACCAATCATCGGTTCTTCCATCCCTCTGTCCATCAACTCATTCACCCAGCAAATACTCTCAATGGATCTCCCATGTGACAGACACTCTTCTTAGCAGTTGGGTGGCAACAGAGAATAAACAAACAAAATTTCTTTACTTGACATATAGAATTTGTATTACAGTGTGTAGGAATAAAATAAGTAAATAAATAAGTAAATATGAAGGATGTTAGATTAAAAACCTGCGAGGCAGTAAAACAAATGTAGGGAGCAGAGCGTGTCCGCAGTGAGGACACTGGGATTTTAATAGGGCTTTTAGTCAGCACAGAGCTTCCTCAAAAGGGGATGGAGGTGAGGGAGTGAGCAGCGGGAAGGACAGTCCAGGCCGGGCTGCAAGCACAGACATCTGATTCTGTGCCGGGCAAGGGATGGAGGAGCCCAGTGTGACCAGAGTAGAGTCAGGCTTGAAGCACATCTGATAAGAAACAAAAGAGGGCAAAGAAGACAGGGTGAGGGTGTGGGATTTGGAGCAGGCAGGTGGTATGATCTGCTGTATGTTTTCAAAGATTCCTTTGGCCCTGAATGGGGACTTGTGAGGCAGAGTGACCACGATAAGAAGCCATGTTTGTCTTTTCTGCTACCAACAAAATCTCACAAAGTCCCTGACCCTGTGATGATGGGCAGCTCTCCCGAGGAGTGGATGGAATGGAGCACACAGCCCCCCACATCTCTTGCCTGAGTCACTAATATGCCTTAAAACACAAACGACCCTGCTCCTTGCGGTTTCCTACACAGGAGATAATGCCTGACAGGGTTAGTGAACATGCCTCTGTAGTCGATGGCCACGTGAACTCTTTCTTCCACCCCTAACCTGGATGTGACTCTTGATGGAACTCTTTCTTCCACCCTAACCTGCTTTCATGTGAAGTCCAGGAAGTCTGATGTGATTCTGCACATATGGCACCTCTACCACCTGGATGTAACTGTGAGCTGAAACGCTGTTTCAGGGCAGTTGGACAGAACCTTTCTGAAAGACTCCTCCCAGGCTGTGGTCCTCAGGCTACAGTCCTCAGTAAGAATTCTGAATAAAACTCACTTTAGTTCTTTAAGAGCTTACCTTTTTTTCTTTACTCAGCTGACTACAGTGGGGCAATTATGGAGAAGAAGGAGACCAGACAGAAAAAACCGTGATAGGAGGAGAATGATGGTGCTTGGACCAGCCTGGGGTCAGGGGAGGAAGAGGAATTGGCTGGATTCTGTGCTAACTTTGAAGGGATTACCAACCTGATTTGGTTCCAATCAGCTACTGGATGACAGGGTGAGGGGAGAAAGAAAGCAATGCTCAGAAGAACCAGGCAGGCTCCCACCTCTGTCCCGAGCACGTGGAAGGATGGAGTTCCCGTCTGCTGGGTTGGGGAAGATGGTGCAGAAACAGGCTGGAAGTGGGATGATGGGGAGTTTGGTCTTGGATGTATCAGTCCAGCACAGTGCACCAGGCAATGCAGGTCAGCCACGAGATAGTATCCTAGGAGTCAAATACACCAATCGGCCCTGATAGCAAGCAAAACATTTACTCAGAGAGCACATTTGTAGGTGGGAATAACCCAAAATTTCCATCTAGAAACATACAGTATCTACAAAACAAAGGAAAAGGATATTTCCTCAAAGAGAGTGACCAGGGTTCTACTTTTGAATGTAATTCACTAAAAGAAAGGATGAACACTGTAGATGATGCTTTTATGAGGAGCAGCCTTGAGAAAATAACACAGCAAGATGGGAAAGGCCAGTCACAGAGGGCTCGGGGGGCTTCCGAGATTCTGCCTGCCCCTTCACTCCAGGAAGCTCTGCTTGACCAGTCTATGAAGGGGTGGCGGTGCTGGCCTCTCAGATTACAAAGGCAGGAGCAAGGTGAGGGGTGCATCACAAGGCCTCATTCCTAACAAGAGCCCCCCATTGCCTGGAGGAAAAAGAGGAATAAAGGAGGCCTAGGTTAGTAAAGACATAGCTACATGGCTGAGTAGGTCTCTGGGACGTTGTAAAACAATGAAAATTAACGAACATGTCAAGAGTAATGAAAATACCTGACACCAACATCGAAGATGGGAGGGAGTCAAAGTTGCCGTTGTCTAACACTCATGGCCTTTGATGAGGAGAACAGATGTGCTACTTAACATTACACTCTGCTAAGCCTAAAAATGGTGAAAAATTAAGGATAACTATTAAAACGTTAAACATGTAGCATGTAATTTTCAAATCATAAACAAAAAGTAGGAAAATAAAAACAATTCAGTAAAACCAACACAAAGAAGAAAGAAAATAAAACAAACAAATGAAGAAACATGGCAAATAGAGATGACAGAATGGACAGGTAGAAATGAACTTCAATATTTCAGTAATCTAAGATTCATTGAAAAGGATTGAACTCACTAGTTAAAATATAAAGTCCCACATACCAAAAAAGTAAACAAACAAAAACAAATAAAACACCCCAAAATAGACAAGCACGTGTGCTGTTTTGCAAACCCCTGGAAGCCACCTAGGATGTGGTGACATGAAAAGATTGGCAGCATGGGGAGAGAAATCATTCATACCAGGCCAATAACACAAAATAAAGCTCCAAATGAGCTGGTGCAAATATACTGATATATGAAATAAAACCTAAGGCAAAAAGCATTATTATGAATAAAGACAGCTAGTTTAGAACGATTGAAGGACTAATTCATGAGAATAAAACACCAATAATGAGTAAGTATGCACTTAATAACATGTCCTTGAAATAGATGTAGCAGATCCGTATGGAATCATAAGAAAATTCTGCAACACACACATATGCAGGCACACACACACGCACACACACACACACACACACACACACACACACACACACCCCTCATGGTGGACTTTAATACATTGCTAAGTAACTGATGCATCAAGCTGAATAAACATCCATATGCACAGGGAACAGAGACTCCTTAACTCCTGCGTGTTTTTGTAAATAAAGTTTTATTGGAACACAGCTGTACTCACTTGTTTATTTCTTTATTGCCTGTGGCTGCTATTTAGCTACAGTGGAAGAGTGGCGAAGCTGTCACAGAGACCACCTGGCCCAAAAAGCCAAAAATAATTTACTACTGACCCTTTACAGAAAAAGTTTGCCAACCCCTGACATGGAATCTTTCAAAAGCGTAGTGAGTGTTCTTGATCAAACAAACATAAATAGAACTACAGTCATGCCTCACAAGGGGGACATGCTCTGAGTAATGTGGCGTTAGCCAATTTTGTTGTTGTGTGGACATGACAGTGTACCTGGACTAACCTAGGTTGTCCACCCTACTGCACACTGGGGCTATGTGGTAGGGCCTGTTGCTCCTGGGCTACGCACCTGTGCAGCGTGTGACTGTACTGCATGCTGCAGGCAATGGAAACATGACGGTAGGTGTCTGTGTATCTAAGCCTCTCTAAATGTAGAAAAGGTGCACCAAAAATACAGCATTATAATCTTACGGGACCACCCTTGTAATCCAGTCTGTTGCCGACCTAGAGGTCTAGGTGACACATGACTGCACACCCACCCAAGTTAAATAAAATATCCTTCTCTCAAGAGCACACAGAACCTTTACAAAACTTGACCACATTTCAAATCACAAAGTAAGTCTCAAAACTACCGAAAAAACATCAATATCACTCAGATCATGTTCTCTGACTGCAATTTGATAAAAATTCATTTCTAAATGATTTGTGGTTAAAAGGAGATAAGAAAATGGAAAAGAGAACAGACTTGAAACCAAAAATTAATGAAAATGCTACTTATCAAAATGCGTGTGATGCCGTCAAGGCAGTACTTAAAATAAAATTTATACCTTCAAAACGACTACGTTTGACAAGGGAGAGAGATGATAAAAATTAATGACTGAAACGTCCTACTCAAAAAAAATTAGAAAAAGAACAAGATAAAGCTCAAGAAAGTAGAAAGGAAAAATAATTTAAATAAATAAGTAGACATGAGTAGAACACGGGTCTTGGGCATGAGTTAGGGCAGGCACAGAAGCCAACGGTGAAAGTTTCCGGGGCGGAGGTCCTCAGACCCAGGGGTTTATTCCATCACCTCTGCCCTTTCATCAGGAAGAGTGTCTCAGAATAGGAAAGCCTTTTAGGTTTTATGAAGGGGAACTTCCCATTGTTTGACAAAGGCCATGACTCTAAACTGGTGGAGAGACTGAGTTCTGCTCGCCCTACAAAACCTTACTCTGATGTGTTGAATTTTGTCTCCAAAAAATGGTATGTTGAAGTCCTAACCCCAAGTACTGCAGAATGTGACCTTATTTGGAAACGGGATCTTTTGTAGAGGAAATGAAGTTAAAATGAGATCCTTAAGATGGGACTTCATCCAATGTGACAGCTGTCCTTAGAAAGATGAAACGTAAACACGCACAGAGGGATGACGGATAGGAGTGATGTCTCTCTACGCCAAGGAATACCAGAGGTGCCGGCAAACCATCGGAAACTAGGAAGAGGCAATGAAGACCCTTCCCTACAGGCTTCAGAGGGACAGTGGTCCTGTGGGCGCCTCGATTCTTGATTCCCGGCCTCCAGATCTGCAAGGCAATCAGTTTGTGTTGCTCTAAGCCGCCGAGTTAGTCATACTTGGTTTCAGCAGCCCTGACAAATGCACCTGCTGAAGATATAACTTCATTTTGTCATTGCCAGGCCTGGGCAGGCAGTGCTAGGTCTGCTGTCACCAGGAGGCATCCTCCTTCCTGCTGTTTGCACTCACTCGAAGGCCCGGGTAGGAAACTGGCGAGGCAAAATCCATCCTCACACTTGCCTCTCCCTGCTTTATGTCTCTGCGTTGCTCATCACTTTCTAAGCAAGTGTTTTACTGATTTCCATGGTCGAGTGTCCCACTATCTCCTCTCCTGCAGAGTGAGCTATGGGAAAGTGGGATTGCCTGTCTCACTCCCCAGCAAATCTGCACTGCTGCCAACGGAGCCCGAAGCTACTGAGAGCTCCATGTTTGTTGAATGAATAATAAGATGAATGAAATGATACAGTTTTAAACCCACACTTTTATTTTGGCCTATAATACAAGCATCAAGAAGATCACGAAACCCAATAAATGTTCAAAATTAGCCAAGAGAACTTATCACAAAACCTAGTGAGAAAGCACTCCATATACCAGATACCTGCCACAAAGCCACTGTCATTATTAAAAAAATCTCAAACGGCATAAAAATAGACACAGAGAGATGAGCAGACTAGAATAGGGTTCAGAAATACAACATAATATCTTGAGGGATTTAATATAAAACCAAGGAACTCTTTTAATTCAGTGTGAAAATGATGGTTTATCATCCTAATTAAAAAAAAAAAGCTAAACTCCCACTTCACACCATATACAAAAATAAATTACAATGAGAAGAGAAAATTTTTAGAATAAAATTTTGAAAACTACAGTTATACATCTTTTGTGTTAGGGATACATTTATAAATTAATTTTATGTAATGCCTCTCCCTTCCAAAAAATATTTAACAATGAAATGAATTTTCCTGTGGGTGAAAGAAAAGAAAGAGAGGAAGACAGACAGAAGGAAAATAAAGAAAGAAAGAAAGAAGGAGAGAAAGAAAGAAAGGCTTATTGATATGTTATATTGTGTTGGGAGGGTGCACAAAGATAGGAGTGTGTGGATTTCCCCATCTCCCAATTCTCCCATTCCTGCTCCAGGATAAAATGTTAGGAGTTTCAGAACTCTCTCTCTCTCAGATCGCAGCCCTCAGGATGGGCTAAGACTCATCCTCCCAGCAGGGTTGAGTCTTGAGGCATTGTCTGCTTGGGTTGCATGTTAACACCAGAGAAGTGGAGCCGGGCATGCTCAACCCACCCCTCCCTCTCTTGTCCTTTTGGGATGCCTGTTCTCCATTTGCTCTTGGCCAGATGTAAGCTCAGAAATCAGTGCAGGGGAGCACTAGCAGGTCAGGAGGTCCCGGCCTCAGCGACGTCTGCAGCCAGCTCTTGGTCTTCTCAGATGCCTGCAGACACACGGCTCACTCCTCACCACTCCTTCTCCCCCACAGGACTGTCACACCAGAGTCAGAGGACGCATCTTTCAGTGGCTTCTTTGAGAAGTGTGAGGTTTTATTTATAATTAGCTCAACTCCTCTTTCCTTTTAGAGAGAAAATATTGGCGGTTCTACAAATCAATATCTTTTCCTTTCTAGATTGTGTTGACCAGCACCAAATTATCTCAGTTTGGTGACACATAGTTTGATAAAGGACAATTACCCCCCAAGCCCCAAGCACGTCAGTATGACCTTAGCTTTGATTTTTCCAATGGAAGAAGTTCAGCATCATTCTGTGGAATAAATTTACCGTGTCTAATCCCATAAATTCCTTTACCTTTCTCATCCTGCAGGGAGCTATAGAGCCATGAGCAGAATTTTTAAATTATATTAACACAATTAAATGGGTTATTTTTTAATGTCCTTGTAATCTTTTCTTTTCACAGTCAAGTTCCCTAAAATAATTTCAGCAAAAAATTTTTTCCAACGCATTAAAAAATCACGGTAAATAGTAAAATGCAATCCCATGGACTCATTCTCAGATTTCCTTGATGCTATCATTTTGCTGTAATTACTTCAGGTTGGAAAAGAGAATTCTACTAAACACACCCCTCAATCTCCACCCACATTGTGACTCATGTCAGAGAAGATGGGATCCAGACAGCTAGAACCAAAATGGCAGCTTTATTATCATAAAAGCTGGACTAGAGGACAGTGCTGTAATGGGTGACCACATAAATAGGTTTGTTAATGCTACTGGGATTGATCGTGGTATATCCATAAAATAGAATATCATTTGACCATAAGAATGAATGACGTGCTGATACGTGATACACATGGATAAATCTTGAACACATTGTACTCAGTGACAGAAGCCAGTTACAAAAGGCTGGATTCTATTTGTATGAAATGTCCAGAATATGCAAACCTGGATAGACAGAAGCTAGATTGGTTGCCCAGCCCCTGGTTGTTTGAGGGTGATGTCAGAGTGAGTGTTAATGAGTACAAGGTTTCTTTTCGAGGTGATGAAAATGCTCTAAAGTTAGATAGTGGAATGGTTATACAACTCTGCGAATATACTAATATACTAAAATCCACTGGATTACATGCCTTAAAGAGATGATTTTTTTGTTATGTGAATTGTGTCTCTATAAAGCTGTTATAAAAAGGTTTATGGCTAAATTATTCAAGCTAGCTCATGTGTCATTCAGAAGCAGAAATGTACATATATATGGCAATTAAAATACCCATACAAATAAATACAGATACTTAAAGTCAATTCATTCTAGAATAGAAATGGATTATGTTACTTCTAAATTCTGGGAATGGTAAAATAGCTTATACTGAACTAACCTTTCCATGAATGGAATTATAAACTCCAGGTCAATTGTAAAGACAAATATCTAGGTTATTATAAAGATGACTGCCTGAAGGCACTGGGATGTGCAAGCCAAAGCAAGCAGAAATTGGATGTATCTGCTGCCAACCAAAAGGAGAAAACATAGTGTGTTACAGGGTGATCAACACATTCAACTGCATGAAGTTAAAATATTAATATTTTTCTTTTCTTGAGTTCTTTAAAGAAATGTACATTTAAAGCAAAAATAATAATCAATTTTGATATTTATATCATATATGAAAGAAAAATGTGTAACAGCAAGAGCACAATAGGCAGTCAGGGAAAAGAGAAGGCTCTGACATTGTATGCAAAAGGCGTATTATTTACTCAAGATGAATCATGATGAATTAGGGATGAGTATTGTGGATCTCTTGAGCAAGCACTGAAGGAAAAATAGAAGAGGTATAGGTGAAAAGCCAGCTGAGGTTATAGAATGGAATACTAAAAAATACTTGACTCAGCCAAAATAAAGCAGGAAAGAAAAGAAAAAGAATCAAAGTGTGTGGGAGAATGGAGAAAACAAGTAGCAAAGTGGTACACTTAATCCCAAACATATCTACAATTACATTAAATGTAAATGGATCAAACACACCAATTATAAATCACAGTTTCTCAGGCTAGATTAAAAATGAAAGACTCAACTACATCCTGTCTATGAGAGGGACGTTTTAAATGGAAAGACACAGATAAGGTGAAAGTAAAGGATTAAAAAAGATATGACATGCAAGCAAGAAGCAAAAGAAACTTGGGTGGCTATATCAGACATAGTAAAGTTCCAGGAAAAGTGTTATACAGGTGAAGAGGGCCATTTCATAGTGACAATTGAAAAAATCCATCAAGAAGTTGAAAAACACAAACTAAAACTTAATGTATATAATATCTAATGAAGGAACTTCCAAAATACATGAAGCAAAAATTGACAGAACTAACGGAAGAAAAAACTCTCTAATAATATAGTTGGAAACTATAATACCTCTCTCTTTGCAATTGATAGAAGAACAAGACAAAAAACAGTGAAGATATGAAAGATCTGAAGACACAATTAGCCACCTGGTCCTAGTTGATAATCATAGAACATACACCCAACAAATGAAGAACACACTTTCTTTTCCAGTATAGATGATACATTCACCAGGGTAGTTGCAATGTAAGACAATAAAACAAGTCACAATACATTTAAACGGAATCAAATCATACAGAGTATTTATCTGAAGCAAACGGAATTAAGTTAAAAATATGTAATGATGATTTACCTATAAAAAGTAGCAAATGTTGAGGTGACAACTCTCCCTATTGACCTATAAATGGAGAGAAATCGCAATCAAAATCCCAGCAATTTTTAAAAATTGATATTGATGAATTGAAACCAAAATATGTACAGAAACATAAAGATATTAGTATAGCTGGTGAAATTTTGAAAAAGAAAAATTTGGGGTAATTATACCACCTTATTTCAAAATTTAATACAATGATAATGATCAAGACTGTGTGGGACAGTCTCAAGTCAAGACCAGTGGATGAACTGAGCAGAAGGGAAACCAGAAATAGACACATGTGGCCTGTGAATTGATTTCTGACAAAGGTGCTATTTTAAATTTTTATTTTCATCATTACTTCTAACATAGCTGGCATTAATTTTGGTATTTATTGAGAGATAAGATTACAAGATTTTTCCCCCAAAGCACAAATCAAATATCCCAGAGCATTTCAGTGCAAAATCCAAATTTTCACAAAAAAAGTATGTATTTAATTGTAATGAATTATTTTTTCTCATTAAAGAAATAAATGTTTACATTTAAAACTGTAAGAGAATGATGAAGATACTAGCATCGTCTGAATTTGTGAAGTTATATGATATATCATAACACAGGCATGTTGTCCATCCATGTCCCATTGCTGTGGGTTGGCAGGGATGGGGTGGAAAGTTCTCGCTCCACGAAGACACTCGAGGATCCAGGTGTCTCTCTTCTTGTGACTCTACTATCCCAGGGTCTTGGTGTCCTCATCTGGCTGGCAAAAGTGGGGGGAAAAGAAGTAGCATAGGACCTCAAGATTGGACCTAAAAGCAGCACATGTCACTCTGCCCCAGTCCACTGGCCAGAACTCAGTCACACACTCTCCTCATCGAAGGCGAGGCCAGGAAATGCAGGCTGACCTTGGGCTGGGAGGACATGGAAGGGCCCGGTAGACACATGGCACGCACCCAAGTGCTGGGCATTGTGAGAGCTTTCTCTGTGCCGGGCTCTGCTTGTGAACAAGAGCCCTCTGAGACAGTGATGGGAACCATCTGCATCACAGAAGCACAAGCTCTGGTGATGATGAAACCAGATCAGCAGTGTGCAGACGGAGGCGGTGAGGTGGACTCAGGAAACATTGAGCAGGACTTGGAGATTAACTAGACAGTGAAGGAGAAGAAGGTCCCCTAGAGACCTACACTTCTTAATGTTGAAGGCCTGAGCTGCAGGGGAGGCCACAGATTGAGCTGGGGCCACATCAGGGAAACACAGGTGGGTGGACTGCTGCCCCGAGCAATCGAGGCTGAGCTGAGGGTTTGCCACACTCCCCAGTGCAGCCCCTGCCGACTCTCCCACTGCCCCTTCACAGTAGAGAAGGGCAGAAAGGTGCTCGGGCTCCAGAGCCAGACCTCGTGGGCATCAATACCCCTGCTGCTCTTGGTAGCTGGGGGACCGTGCCTTGGGATGTTGCATAATCTCTCTGCACTTCAGCATCCTCTCTTATAAAATGGGGACAGCAGTAGCTCCTACTGCATGCCAGTGTTGGGAGGCTCAATGATTTCAGTGACACCTGTGAAACTATGCCTGATGTGGCCAGTTAGATATCATCCTATTACAAGGTAGTCTCAATCCACACCCAGTGGTACTCTACCCCTAGTGCCAGGCTTCCATGCCAGGCTTCCACGACTTTACTCCCTGGGGTCCCACCTTCCTGTGGTGCCCCACCCTCCTCTCACCCCTCCTCTTTCTGAGTCATTCCTTGGAATTCTGCAAGGCGCAGCTCAGCTCCAGGCTCTCTAGGGTGTCCTGGCTGACTGCTCCCCACCAGGGTTATCCTGGGAGCTCCCAAGGCACCCTGATCTTGGGTCTCCACGGTTTCATGAGGAGCTTAAGCTAGAAGTGGATGGAGGAGAGGGGGCTGAGGAGAGCTCTCTGGCCTCTAGTCTTTTCCCAGCACCCTGACACCTGATGCAGAGACTTCAGCCTCTAGCCATGGCTGCCAGCTTCCTGGTCCTGATGCTACCCTTGGGCTGAGAAGATGACAGGGTGGAAAACTACCAGGATGCTGTCCTGCAGCCATGTGACAGGGAGCGTTTCCAAGTGTTTCCAAGCACATTTGGCTCGTTTCTCCCTGCGAGAGTGAGTTAAATGCTTTAAGACAGGACATGTTGTCCTGAGAGACTGATTTGCAATTTATTCGAATGTAAAAATAACTGGACAATAGCAATTTCTCCCTTGAATCTTTCTCATCTGGTAGGAAATAAAATTGTTATGTGTTATAATAAAGATTGTATTTTTGTATCTGTGGCTTTTATGAAGTGCTAACACTGCTGTGGGTGAATTCTTTGAGAAAATCAAAAGATAAATCTTGGAAAAAGAGTTAGCAGCTCTTAAAACAGACCTTAGATTAAAACGTTGTGAGGTCTGTAAGCGCAGGCTGGAAGTGTTGCTTTGCTTTTCTTCCTTTGTTTGTTTACACCTTGCCTTGCTTCAAAGAGGACTGAAGGTGGAAAACTGAGTCAGATCAGGAATTTCCACATCCTGTGAGGACGGCCCTCAGCTTTGGGGCTGGGACAGCTTCTGTGGACTCCTGGAGAAGACACATGACCAGGACCAGACTGGCCCTGGCGAGATCCAGGCAGATTCTCCTAGCTGTGCTGTCAATCCAGGGCAGCAGCCACCTTGGCTCATGGTACTAGTGGGAAGCTACCAGAGATCTCACCTTGTGCCCCCAACCCCACAGGTTAGAGGAGCTCCTGATGGATCACTGAGCGATTCTCCTGCCTTCAGAAGATTCCCAACCAAGCCGCCCAAGAACAAGGGTCAGCTCCTTTACAAAACTCAACTTCCTTCTTCTAAAAGAAGATAACTTCCCACTTCCCATAACATGACGTCCGCAGTCACAGACCCCACATCTAAAGCCTCCCGCAAACCAGCCCACCGGGCTCACCCAGCCAACCTCTTTTAGCTCTTGGCTCCAGACGACTCTAGGTGATGGAGAGATAGAGAGCTCTTCAGAAGAAAACGTCTGGAGTACATTCCAAATGCAAGCAGAGCTAATTGGGCAGCTAAGTTAAGCCACAGTGGCATTTGTAGGAACACTTTCCCACATGGCCACACGAGCTGTGAGTTCCAGGGAGACAGGGTCCATGCCATGTCCACCTTGTTGAACATCTCACACACTAGCATGCACTCACACACTAGCATAGCAGATGCTTAAAAAGTGCTATTTAATTGCAGGCTTTTAGGAAAAACCCAACCTAATGAAAAGCTGCCACTTCTTTTAGTTTTTACTTTTTTTATTTTCTGAGATGGAGTCTCACTCTGTTGCCCAGGTTGGAGTGCAGTGCCGTGATCTCGGCTCACTACAACCTCCACCTCCCAGGTTCAAGTGATTCTCCTGCCTCAGCCTCATGAGTAGCTGGGATTACAGGCACACGGCCCCACACCTGGCTAATATTTTTAAATTTTATTTTTGTATGTTTAGTAGAGATGGGGTTTTGCCATGCTGGCCAGGGCTGGTCTTGAACTCCTGACTTCAAGTGATCTGCCTGCCTTGGCCTCCCAAAGTGCTGGGATTACAGGCATGAGCCACCGCGCCTGGCCTGCCACTTCCTTTAGGTATATAGCATACACACACATCTACCCCAAGGAAAACTTTTAAAAGACAACAGACCAGATAAACACACGTGGCCATCTTGGACCATGGGGCAGCCAACAATGTGAGCACCATCAGCCCAGATGGGCCCAGAATGGCAGAACTGCGTAGCCAACACATGTGTCATGAGAAATGTTACATGGCTGTTTTTTTATGATGGAGTTTCTCAACCTCGGCATTTCTACTAGACACTGCTTTGCACAGGGAGGCTGCCTTGTGTGATCCAAGAAGTTGAAAACATTCCTGGCCTCTACTGTACAGGGCCAGTAGCCCCCTCCCCCACATCCTGACAATAAAAATGTCTCCATACACTTCCACGAGTCTTCTGGGGAGCAAACTGAGGTGGAGAACCTGCTTTAATCCTCTGACTTTAGAGACAAATTGTCATGCGGTCTGTGTGAATGTGGCAAGGGCTAACTCCTGCACAAAGCCCAGAAATAGGGTGTTCTCCCTGAGGAATGTGGGAGATGCCCTGTCATCTGAAGGCTTCCTTCTGTCCCACGCTGCCATTGCCACTTGCCACGGTGAGGGGTGCTGTCCCTGCCTCTGTGAGAGCACCTGAGCTCCCCAGCCACCGAGGCCCACCATGGAGACAAGCCTAGGCACCACATCACATTCCCAACCCTAGACATCCTGTCCAACTTCCAGGAGTGCCCCTTGCCCTCCACAGCTGCCCTCCCATGCTCAACTTGACTCTTTCTAGGGATACAAACAAACAGTTAGGACGTGTCTACAATGACCTTAGAACGCAGGATCAACATCTGCATGGAACAGTAAACCTGGAATTGAGAAACGTGGCAAGCCCACCCAGCATTGCAGGCGGTAAGCTCAGCACTGGGTGCACCATGCCCACTCAGCATTGCAGGCAATAAGCTCAGTGCCAGGTGCATCATGCCCACCCAGCATTGCAGGCGGCAAGCTCAGCACCGGGGGCACCATGACCACCCAGCATTGCAGGCGGCAAGCTCATCACCGGGTGCACCATGCCCACCCAGCATTGCAGGTGGCAAGCTCAGCAGCGGGTGCACCATGCCCACCCAACACTACAGGCGGCAAGCTCAGCACCGGATGTACCATGCCCACCCAGCATTGCAGGCGTTAAGCTCAGCACCGGGGGCACCATGCCCACCCAGCATTGCAGGTGGTAAGCTCAGTGCCAGGTGCACCATGCCCACCCAGCATTGCAGGCGGCAAGCTCAGCACCGGGTGCACCATGCCCACCCAGCATTGCAGGCAGTAAGCTCAGCGCCAGGTGTACCATGCCCACCCAGCATTGCAGGTGGTAAGCCCAGCGCCAGGTGCACCCAGCCTCCAGTCTCTGATCCCTCTGCAGGTAGGCACATCCCCTGGGGTCTTCCTCAGCCGACTGTCAACCCCTTTCAAATGTGCATTGGGTTGCTGCTGCCGCCACGTTCTTTCTCCCAGGACCTGTGCGGCTCTCTGGATCTCACTCTGCTCCGTTTCATGTTGGTCAAAAGTTGGACCGATACATGTCACCGTTACTGGGGAGAAGGTCATCTCATGCCCCGTTCCCCTCCCTTGGAGGTCACCAAGCTGCTCACATTTGGATGTTCTGCTCTTATCCACTTACTGCTGATCTAAAAGGCTGCCAGGTTTAATAGGACCCAGTGGTGGGCCCCATAGTGAGTCATGGAATGCACAACCTTTAATAACAAAAGCCTTAAGGATGGAGGAAAAACAAGGTGGGCGATCTTAAAACTGTTAAACCCCTGCCTCCTTCACTGCGCCATCGGCCCAGAGGGGTGCTCTTATTAGGAAGTCAGATGGGAAGGCTGGGTCGGGGGCAGCTCTGGAGTCTCTTGCAATCCTGTGAAAATGGGGGATGTAAGAGGTGAAATATGAAGGCACTTGGGTGGGGTTTGGAGGGACAGGGGCCCCAGTACTGGTCCTCCACAGGCCAAGCCCAGGACACTGGGAAGGGGTGGCTTGAGAGAGGGGAAAATGTCAGGGCAGAGTCTTGGGAGTGGGTGCTGCCCGGAGGGGCTCCAGTCCCATTTGTGGATGACAGGAGAAGTCACAGGTCACAGGTCTGGGAAAAGTCCTGGCCATGCTCTCCTTTCTCCTCCCCTTTTTCCCCTAGGGGAGCCTGCCCCAGGCTAGCCCTCTAGTCACCCTTCCTCCCACCTCTCCACCAAAGCCACCCCTTCTGGGATCTGTCCCAGGTGACCAGAAAGCTTTCCCTCTGCCTGGCCCATTGAACTCCTGGAACCCCATTGCCTTGACCAAGGACACAATTGCACATGGTGAGACTTCGGCTGCAGGCTGAGGCTGGGCTTGGCACTGTCCACTCAGGTCTGCTAATTTCTGGTGTCCCTTGCTTCTCTCAGTCACTGTAACCTTTTGGGGTGTTCCACAGCTATGGTGCCCCTTTTCATCCTTTACCTCCTGCAACCTTCATGAGCTTCTTGGAAGGAGTTAGCACTTCATCGCCTGACAGAAGAGGAAATTGAGGTGCAACATCAGGCCTTGAGCCCCGGCCGCAGGTCCTGGGCTGCTGTCCTCAGAAACCCCCCACACCACAAAGGGCCAGTATGTCCCTCAAACTCTCTGTTTTCCTTTTTTAGGCGCTGACGGAAGCACGATTGTCACTGAATTCATTATTGGAGATGAATGTGACCATGTTGGCCAATTCTCCTGAGTTTTCACGGTTTCTCACTAACAATGAATGCCTCATTATCAACAGCAAAACGGGGCTCTGGGGGTGTGAGCCGCACACTCCTCTGGCTGGGCCCATTCAGCAGGCATCCAGCATCCGTCCTGAGTGCTGGGCTGTGGGGAGGTCTGAGGAGGTGACCCAGCCATCCTCATCAGCATCACCAGCCCCATGGGCTTCAGGAGGGGCTGCCCTGGAGAAGTATCCGTGGCTCAGAGGTTTAGGGATTGTTGGCTTGAAGAACCTCCTTTCCTGTTCCTCTGCCCATTTTCTGGGCTCTGATAAGTTGGGCTCAGTGTGGGAGCACACGCACCTCTCCACCTCCTCAGGGGCCAGCCCTGGCTCCAGCAGATCCAATTCAGCCTTCCCAGAGCAGGAGCCGGGGATCCGCATCAAGGTGGGTCTGGTGAGACTGCAGAGGTGAGGCCCTCTAAGGTGACCCTGGGTCAGCCCCTTATACTTGGTGGGTGTTCAGTAGCTGTGTAATCAGATAAAGAGACAGGTGGGCTTTGTTTTGTTTCCACAGAAAGTGTGGACCAAATTGGGATTCTTTCCAGCCACATGCTGGAACCAGCTCATGCTGGCTTGGGAGAGAAGACGGTTAATTTTCCAGGAATATTGTGAGGCAGGTGCAAACGTAGGTGAAGTGGGTTGAATAGTGCTCCCTTCCCCCAAGAAAAGATAGGTCCCACCAGATCTGTTCATGGCGAGTGTCCTTATCTGGAAAGGGGTCTTGGCAGATGTAATTGAGTGAAGGCCTCCGAGGTTTCTGATGGGCTCTAAACCCCGTGGCAGATGTCCTTATTAGAGAAAGATGGGGGCTGTGAGAGTCACACACACAGGACAGAACGCCTTGGGGTGATGAAGGCAGAGATTAGGGCAATCTGTCCACAAGCTAAGATGCAGTTGGAGCCACCAGAGGCTGGAAGAGGCAGGAAAGATCCTCCCTCAAATCCTTCAGAGGGAGGGTGGCCCTGCCTACACCTTGATTGCAGACTTCTGGCCTCCAGAACCCTGAGCAGATGAATTTCTGTTGTTTAAGCCCCCAAGTTTGTGGTAACTTGTGATGGTAGCCTGAGGAAGCTAATACAATAGGCATGATTAAAAATTATACTATATAAATTTACAATTCAATAAAATAAGGGCAATGCATACTTAAAATTCAGCCCTTCCTAATTGTCTAATTACAGTTCACTAGGAGTTTTGCTTCTGAAATCTCATTTGTGTCTATTTCTTCCATATGGTGGAATTGCTCTGTAATGACACGCTGCCACTCACCACTTCTCAGCTGAACCTCCAGTGTGGTGTGAAGCTTCAAGTCAACCCTGGTGGGGGTATTTACACCACGGAAATTGGCAAACATGACAAGACAGTGCTTGGTTCATGGTTTTGTTGATTATCTGGAGGTAAAGCGGGGAGAAACTGCCACTGATGTACATCTAATGCCAAGGTGTGCTCTTGTTATTGTTGTTACATTTTTTATAGCACTGAAAAATGAAGAAATATTCATCTAGACCTTGGGAACTCATACCCAACCCAGAGCCGTTGTAGGGGTCATTGGCCAATGAGTGAACTTCCAGCATGTGTCTTCGTTGTTTTACTTTTATTGTCTGCATTCCCTATAAGTTTTGTGCTTAATGTATGTAAATATGTAAATTGTATGCATGACACATACATTTGAGGGTTTTTTTGTAAATAAAAATAACCAATGTTCACGTAGAAGCTATGCACATTCATCAATTGCAATTATAGTTTGTCAGCACATACAAGACTTCAGCAAACACTCAATGAAAATATTCTGTGAGAATTAATTGCCTAGATGGAATTTACAATAAACAGTGTGGTATATAGACTATTATCATTTACAAATTATGTAACACACATCCTCTATGTTAGTAAAATTAACAACAAACACATACTCTGAAGGTTGAGGTGTTGGATGAGGTTCTGGCTTGCCTTAAAAGGGGTTTTGTTCCTAACCTTCTTTGGGATGAGGTAGGTAGAGTCATTTTAGAACTGAGGCCACTGAGACATAGGAGTGGTTTGACTGTGTCCCTCTGACCAGGTGTTCCCACTGTGTCCCCTCGAGGGCCTGGACAACTCTCCCTGCACCATTAATTGATAAATAAATTGGAGAGAGAAGCACAGCTCTCCCTGGGGTCTTGACCCCCGAGCTCTTTCCATTGGGTCACCTGCCCCAATACGAACCCCTCCACTTCTGCCTTCTGGTCACCCTTACCAGATTAGGTGAATCCTCCCTTCTGAAGAACTGAGTCAACGCATGCTTCCACATTTTCCTTAAAACCTCAAGGATTCGTGTAACACATAGAGAAACAGGTGCCAGAGGGAGGTTAAAAGGACGAGTAGGATCCATGAAACTGCTTTTGCTTGAGATAGGAGCATTGGCCTCATCTCGAGGGGAGGCAAAGCACAGAAAAAAGCCAAAGCAGTGTAGGTTAACAGTGGAGACCTGATTCAGTCAAGTGGAAGGGACGGAAGTCTGATGAATTTTCAGTGGAGGTGGCACTGAAGCCATTTATTTCATCATTTATTCTTCCGGCAGGCACTGGGGCAATTCCTGGGCACAAGATACTGTTCCCGGCACTGCACATATGTTATCTCGATTAGTCCTTACAACAGCCTTCCACAGTAGCTGTTACCAGCCCCATCTTAAAGAAGATGCAGGTGAGAAAATGTCAGTGTCAGACCAAAGTTGCCATCATTAGCGAATAACACTATGATATTTTCACCCAGCACTGATGACAAGACTCTTTCCACAAACCCATGTCATCTCTGCTCACATTTTAAATATGAAGTATATTGGCCAGGAACGGTGGCTCATGCCTGTAGTCCTAGCACTTTGGGAGGCCGAGGTGGGTGGATCACGAGGTCAGGAGATCGAGACCATCCTGACTAACACAGTGAAATCCCATCTCTACTAAAAATACAAAAAAAATTAGCCAGGTGTGGTGGTAGGTGCCTGTAGTCCCAGCTACTTGGGAGGCTGAGGCAGGAGAATGGTGTGAACCCAGCAGGCAGAGGTTGCAGTGAGCGGAGATAGTGCCACTGCACTCCAGCCTGGGCAACAGAGTGAGACTCCATCTCAAAAATAATAATAAATAAATAAATTAAAAATATGAAACATATTAATAGCAGCTTTGAGCAGTGGGTGATCTGAAAAATCCCTCAGACACAAAATCCCCCAGATTCTGGGTAAATTGCAAGATATATAATTTGACATGTTTGAATAGGTTCAAAGGAAAATACTGAAGTTACCTGCAGAGAACAAATAAATGAAACCATAAAAGTTGGTGCTGCTCTGGAGGAAAAGCCAACATTGAAAACCCAGGATTTGGGGGATCAGTTTGGAGAGGTGTCAGGAGACTAGGATTTGGCTCCTTTTTTTATGTAGGAGCTAAGCCAAGTTCTCTGTGTAAAGCCAGTTTTCTTGAGGAGCCATATCCTCAGAGAAAGGGTGGGAATTAAAAATATCTACCTACTGCGAAGGGAGATTACATGAAATTGTATCTGCTACTGTCCCAGGTAGAAAAAATAATGCCAATAATTATTGTCTGATGTTCCATTTCAGACTGTCTCTGTTGTCACAGTGTCTTCAGGTTGCTAACTTCCCTTGGCACCTGGTAGTAACAATATTAATTTTTTTAGAAAAAAATTCAATCCAAATCCCTCAGGATTCCCATAGATTAAATTCAGCCCAACATGTGGGTGGAACAAAACATAATCAAAACTAAGCATTAAAACTGTTACCAAAAGCACAAGGAAAAAGCTGCCAGGAGTGAGAATCAATTTAAAAAGGGGAACAGATTTAGCAGCACTTCCCTCAATAGACTTTAGATATTCAACTGTTAGTAGCAGGACACAAAATAACACAGTATGAAAAAATTTAAAATAAATGTGATGTTGGCAAAATGAGTAAGAAGGAATAAACTACATAAATGACCAGATTTCTTAAGGAATTAATAAAACTTCTGGAAATTAAAAATATAGTGACCAAAATGATGGGTTAATGAATAGGTTAAATAGCAAAGTAGATACAGCTAAAAATAAAATCAAAGAAAAGGAAGATAGATTAGATAAAATTACCGTAATGGGGCAGAAACAAAGATGACATGAGGCATGTGAAAAGGAGTGAAAACACACACAGTAAAACCAGAATGTCTCACATCCATACATCGGAGTTTCAATAAAAAAGTCTAGAGAATGGGAAAAAAGAAAAATTGAAATGATAATGGCTGATGTTTCTTTTCAGGACTAATTAATCTTTTTTCAGAAGAAAGGCATGAATTTACAGATACAAACACACTGGCAAATAAAATCAGAAGGATACATAAAAGGATACATCAAAATAACATTTTGATCCATCGCAGTAAAATTTTACAACATACAAAAGATCTTGAAAAGCCTTATAGAGAAGAGAGAGATTGCTCAGAAAAGATTAACAATTAGATTGACAGCAGATTCCTAAACAGCAATAATGGAAGCCAAAATAATTGTGTAATAACATTTTCAAAGTATAAGGAAAAATCATGGTTGGCTTATAATTCTGTGTCCAGTAAAAGTACAAAGGTAAAATTGAACATTTTAGAAGAAAATTGTCAACAACTTTTACCAAAAGAACTTCCTAAAGACAAGTCAGAAAGAAGGAAAATGATCCAGGATAAAACCACGAGATGTAAGAAGAAATGAGCTAGGCATGGTAGCTCACACCTGTAATCCCAGCATTTTGGGAGGCCGAGGAGGGTGGATCATTTGAGGTCAGGAGTTCAAGACCAGCCTGGCCAACATGGCAAAATCCTGCCTCTAGTGAAAATACAAAAATTAGCCTGGTTTGGTGGTGCATGCCTATAGTCCCAGCTACTCGGGGGGCTGAGGCAGGAGAATCGCTTGAACCCAGGAGGCAGAGGTTGCAGTGAGCCAAGATCAGGCCATTGCACTCCAGCCTGGGTGATAGAGCAAGACTCTGTCTCAAAAAAAAAGAAAAGAAAGAAAAAGAAAAAGAAAAAAAGAAAAAAAAAAAAGAAATGTTGGCCAAAACATTGATGAAAAATAAAAAATATGAGACTATAGAATAAATGCTGACCACATTGGTAAATGTGGGTAAATGTGAATAAATATTGGCTAGTAATCATAGATAATTTATGAAATTTAAGAATAATAATACACAGTCTAATTAAAATACTGGAAAAACAACAGGTTTTAGACTTTGTTGGGGAATAAAAGCTGAGGTTAGTGTGCTCAGATGTCTGTGTTACCCGGAAAGGATTGAGTTATTCATTACATTTAGCATTGCCAATGAAAAGTGAGAATGGCAAAATTTTAATTATAATTTAAAAGGTGTAAGTGGGGAAATGATGAAAGGAGAAAAACCCAAACCAGTCTAAAAGAAACTAAAAAAAAAAATGGGAAACTAAGAGACAGAAAGTTTGGACCAATGGGAAACCCATGATAAGATGGCATAACAATAAATATAAATGGAGAAAATTAAATGCTTAAAATACATGACAAAATATACAATCACATCCAATTTACATGCTTAAAACCAGACACACGATGAAAACAAAAAGTAACAGAACTGGTGAAGATGAAAAGACAGAAAATTTATGTATGCTCAACAAACACTTGCTGAAAGAAAGTTGGGGCAGATCAACTATTAATAGCAGAAAAACATACATCTGAGAATATGTACAGAAATAAAGAAGGTCCCAGTGGCACTTCTTCCATCAGTAAGGAAGGTACAGTAGTTCTGAACTTGCAGGCACCTAATGAAGTAGCCTCAATATTTAGGAACACTGACAGAACTGCAAGGAGGAATTGCCAAATCCACCGTCATTGTTGGAGACAGCAACACAAGTCCTGCAGGAATGCGGTGAGTCAGCGGACAGAAAGGAAGTCAAGATGCAGAAGACTGAAGCCACCAGATAAGCTCACTGCAGTCGGTGGGGAGACCCAGACCCCACATGAGTCTGCTGGACACTGCACGGCCTTTTTACCCACACGTGGAAAGTTTACAAAAATGGGCCACTTGCAAGTCCATAAAACCGTCACTATAGATTTCCAGTAAGTGTATTATTCTGAGTGTGATGCGGAGGAGAGTGGGTCTGGAGAAGAACCCTCAGCTACCTTGATCATTCAGTTCATGCAGATCTTACCTGATATTACAGTTCTCTAGACCACGCATGCCCCTGGTCACTTAAAATATATTCCATATTGGAAAAATAACTAATGGGCACTAGGCTTAATACATCGGTGATGAAATACTCTGTACCACAAACCTCCGTGACACAAGTATACCTGTATAACAAACACATGTACCCCTGAACTTAATAAAAGTTAAAAAAATACTCCATATATAAATACATAAATACATAAATAAATAAATAAAAGTTAAAATATATACTCCATATTTTGCTCTCCCTTTCCAGGTCTCTAATGCATAAATGAAGTTGAATCAGTAGTTTAAATACACTAAGAAAAAGACTTGTTTAAGAGGGAAGCACTGGCAAACTTCCAAAGACAAGATGTTTACAAACCTATACACATTTGTCAGACACGAAGAAAAGAGGCAATATCTCCAACTCATCCTACAAGCCTATTCTAATCTTGATACTCAAACCGGACAAAGCTAGCATGAGCAAAGAAAATGATAGAGAGGCGAGGCTCCTGCATAAAATTACATGGAAAAAAAAATCCCAATCCTGACATTCACATGAAGCCGCCTCTCCCTTCCCTCCTTTCTTTTCTTTTCTTTTCTTTTCTTTCTTTTTTTTTTTTTTTTTTTTGGTTTTTTTTTGAGGCAGAGTCTCACTCTTGTTGCCCAGGCTGGAGTCCGGTGGTGCAATCTCAGCTCACTGCAACCTCCGCCTCCTGGGTTCAAGCGATTCTCCCAAGCAGCTGGGATTGACAGGCGCCCACCACCACACCCGCCTATTTTTTTTTTTTTTTTTTTGTATTTTTAGGAGAGACAAGGTTTCACCATGTTGGCCAGGGTCTTTTCTCTTCTTCATTCTTCCCTCTCTCCTCCCCGCTTCCATTCATTATCCCTCCTTTTTCTCCTCTTCCTTCCTTTTTCTTTGATTTTCTCTTCTTGTCCTCCTATGTCTTTCTCCAAGACCACATACAGTTTATTCCAAGAATTACTTGATTTAATATTTTAAATTGCATCAATCTAATTTACCACATTACCACGTTAAAGGAGAAAACCCATGTAATTATTTAAATAAATGCATGCATATAAATGAGTTAATATAATTTGAAATCACCCCTGATCAAAAGTAAAACCAAAAATATCTTTTACCAAAGTAAATGTGATTCTATCAGGATCCTCAGAAAATATAGAAATTATCCTAGGTATTTCAAATGAAGGGAATTTAACACAGAGATGATTTATTCATGTATTGGAAGGCATAAAGAAAAATTTTTTTAACAAGGTAATTCGTATGTAATAAATTACGGAAGCAGTTGTCACCACTGGGCTGAAGTTACTGAAATTTTAAAGTGGATTAAAATTTAATGTGTATGGGGAATAGATGCTAACTCACTGCTGGGGGTGGCCCAGAGAGCCTCCCCCCAAACCCACACGCACCGCAAATGATGGGTGCTCAGAGCTCAGGCTGGCGTCCCTGTATGTGTGTGGTGTGGTATGTGGCGATTCTCGAGAGATGGCTGATGGTGCCTTGCACGGGTCTTGGCACTGGGAGCACGTGGAAGTCGGATGAGGTGATTTGGGCTCCAGCTTCCTCTGCTGCAGGACAGGTGCTGACAGTGCCTGCAGCCAGAAAAACGTCTAATGGTCTCTTTTCAGTAAATCAGCAATATTGAAGACATAACTATTGAAAATATTTGTAACATCAATGTAAGGTACATAGGAAGAAATCTAACTAGATACGTGCACAACCTCACTAGAATATTATACATTTATTTTGAAAAACAGAAATATGTTGAAATACATTCCATATTTAAAGTGATAGAGATTCAGTATAGTCTCCCTAAATTGAGTCATAGATTCAGTGAAAATCTCCATACAGGTCTTTGTAGAAATTGGCGAAATGATTCTAACAGTTACATGGAAGAACAAGGACCAACAGAAAAAAGCCTCTCTTCTCCTCCTCCTGCTTTCCGTACTCCCAGCAGATCCTCCCACTAGCAGGGCCCAACTGGAAGCCAGCCAGCAAAGGAGTCTGGGAAATTTAATTTGCAGGAGCTAAGCCCTGGCATCCCCGAGCAGGGTACAGAGCGGGAGGCTCTTAGTGGAGATGAACAGGTAAACACCCAGGTCTCCATCAGGAGCCTTCAGGATAGCCCCCACCTAATAACAAAGCAGGGAACCTAAAAAAATTATAAATAAAAAGAAATAAGTCTAATATCATACCTTTTATATGAAAGGTTTAGACAGTATGATAAAATAAGGTTATATATACGTAAAAGCACATATGATATATAAATAGATATACAATACTTCCCTTTACATTATATATATATATATATAAAATGTAAAAAGGGAAAAATTTCTCTTTACATTTTATATATAATACATAATATATATAATGTAAAGGGAAATATTGTAACTATTTGGAGGTATAATAATCATCTACATAGAACCCCAGATGCATTCTACAAAAAATATTAAAGTTAGTATGCATTTAGTATAGCACTGGATATAAGATCAATACATATAAAAACTAATGGTCTCTTTTCTCTAAATCAGCAATATTTAAGATAACAACAATGTAAGGTACATAGGAAGAAATCTAACAAAACATGTGCACAACCTCACTAGAAAATTATACATTTATTTTGAAAGACAGAAATATATTGAAATACATTCCATATTTAAAGTGAGAGAGATTCAATACAGAATGATGTCAAATCTCCCTAAATTGAGTCACAGATTCAATGAAAATCTCCATACAGGTCTTTGTAGAAATTGGCGAAATGATTCTAACAGTTACACAGAAGAACAAGGACCAACAGAGGCCATGACTCTCCGGAGGATGACCTCTAGGCTCTCGAATCTAGCTCAGGAACCAGGGATGGTGCTGGCACAAGGACAGAGAAAGAGCCTGATGGACCAAAACAGAGAACCCAGAGAAAGAACCAGAACAGGACGGCACCGTGACTTGGCGGGGGAGGAAGATGCATTCAGTGTGTGCTTCAGGACTTCTATTTGTCCACGTGGACAAGTTCTGGGACTGGCAGGTGAGGCGTGGTACAGCAGGGCCACCTAGGGAAGAGTGGGAATGGGCACTGCCACTGAGAGCACCCGGGGGTGTGGGGGTAAGATGTGAAGAGGAAGCGGCAAGGTGCCTGGGTGCTGGGAGGCACAGGCGCAGAGCAAACTAGGCCTCGCTCCTTCTCAGTACACGGCACCGGAGCTCAGAGCTTCACTCACACCTTGGTGAGGTCACCCCAGACATCCATTCTGTGCCGCTGGTCTAACTGTGCAACCTCTTCGCCATGTAACCTTTCCAGCGCCCCCTCCCCAGCGCAGGCCTAGCTGCTGCATGATGGATCCATCTACTGGGGAAGCAAGCGGGCCCAGGCCACCCCCTACAAATGATCTCGTGATAATTCAGTTCCATTGAGTGCCTAATTGCCCTCTCTCCTCCGTTTCTCTTTAACTAGTTTATGAGTCTTCCAAACTGGATTGTGAACTCTTTAAAAGAGAAATGCATTTCCTGCTTGTATTCCATGCACCATTTAGCTTGGGGTCAGGCATGTAGTGTGTGCACAAAGACAACTGAGCCGGAACTGGAGAAAGCCTTTCTGATTCCAGCACTGCCTGTCTGTAGTCGTGTGATCATGACAAGCCCCTTCCTCCTCCGTTCCTTACCTCCATCCTTCCGTCATGTGCAGTGTGAGGGGAGTGGGCATGCAGCCCCCGAGGACCCCTCCACTCTAACACTGGGGGCCACACCTTGGTTGGGCCAGGCACCATCTAACTCTGGACACTTCCTATCCAAGGCAAGGACCAGAGCCCCGCAGCGTCAGGGTCCTCTGGGAGCTGTTACATTTGTGGCATCTCAGAGCCCACCCAGCCCCGCCAAGTCAGGCTCCACATGTGAGCAGCATCCCCTGGGTCATCCACGCTGAAGCTTCAGAGCCTTGTGTCCCATCCCTGGCACCGTGCCCACTGGGCTCCAGAAGAATCACTCAAGGGCCCACAGAGTGGAGGGCTCCAGGCCCTTCGCCATGTCAATTCTGCTTCTAGGAAGGGTATGTATGAGTTCACTAGAGCTGCTGTAAGGAAACACCACAGCCTGGGTGGCTTTCTTGCCTCACAGTTCTGGAGGTGGAAGCCCCAAATCAAGGTGTCCACAAGGTCGGTTTCTTCTGAAGCCTGAGAGGGAGAATGGGTTCCAGGCCTCTCTGGAGCTCTCTGGCTTGCAGATGCCATCATTTCCTTGTGTCTCTTCTCACAGGCTTTCCTCTGTGCCTGTCGGTCACTGCGTCCAAATTTCCCCTTTATGGGGCCACTTGCCCTATTGTCTTAGGGGCCCACTGTACCCCTATGTGACTTCCCCTTAACGAATTGTGTCTGCACTGACCCTGTTCCCCAGCAAGGCTGCATTCTGAGGCACTGGGAGTTAGGACTTGCATATATGAATTTTAGAAGGACACAAAACCCGTAGCCAGACGTCTGAATCTGTGTTTCAATAACTTCCCTGTGGGATTCTGGAGCACAGCCTGGTTTGGAAACCTCTGGAGCTGGCAGCTAAGGCTCTCGAGGCCTGAGTGCAGTGCACGGCACGTGAGGTACGGGTGGAAAGGGCTGCTGTGCCCAGAAGTTGTCCCCAAGGCTCTGATCTGCAGCTCCTTCCACCGGAGAGGGTGGTGTGGGTGGCCCCTTGGGGCCAGTGGCCAGCACATATTGTTGATGTGGACAGCTGCCACTGGGGGTGCTGAGTGCTTTCTTCCTTTTTCTTCTCTGCTGTTCTGTTCCCAGAATGTAGACTTCCCCAGAGGGATTCCTAGGCGGCCTTTTTGCGCGGGTGCCTGTGTGGAAAGGCATAGCACCGCGCCCGGGCTCCTCTCAGCTCTCAGGGCCTTCCTGTGGTGTTGGTTTGTCCGGTGTGGGTGTGCAGTTGCCCTCTCTGTGGTCTGCTTTCTTACTCAGATGCTAATACATTTTTTAAACACCGACTTGCCTGGAAGTGTAGCTGACCCTGATGTAAGACGCTATCGCCCCCGTCAAGAACAAGCCTCCCCACTGCAGCCGGGCTAGCTGGGGTTGGGAGGCAGCAGGAGCCCAGAGGCCATGCACACATCGGCGGCCCGAAGGCATTCACTATGCTCTGTCACTGGGTTCTGGCACTGACAACTGTGGGAGGGGACGTGCCCTGTGGAAGGTGGCTTCACTGTCTGTGTGATGACTCTGCAGGAATCTAAGCAACCCCCATAAACTTCAAAGCACTCTGAGGAAAACAAGGCCCCTGCCATTCCCCTCCTTGGCCAGTTCCTCCTGCAGGGGGGCTTTGTCCCCTAATCTTTCAGGCTTCAGACTCAGAATGTGGATTCATTCTTCTCTTAAACTCCCTAAATCCCATCAGGGGCCAAACCCAATCGGTTCTTTGAACCAGAAAATTGTGTCAGCCCTAGGCAATACATAGTTCAACAATTCCCAGAGACCTGTGCCTAGCAAACCTGCAATCTAACAAGGAGCATCAGGGTAAGACAGAGAGGTTTCCCCACCACATTTGTCTGAACCCTGAGAACTCCAGGCCCTGTGAATGTGGAGGCTTCTGGCTCTGAGCTCCTCTCTGCACTGTCTATGCAGAAAAACTCTTCCAAGAAAGCGGGTGGCTATGGGCAGAAGAAATGAGGGGAGAGTTCGCTGTCTGAGAAACAGGGCTTTAACATCATTCTAAAGAACAAAGAATGACAGGGCCGATTACAAAAGATCCTTATCTAATCACCGCAGCGGCCCTGCAGGACCCTCCTTGATAATGGGTTGGCTTTTCATCCATTGCAGAGTGTGTGCTCAGAGGGAATGAGACTTCGTTTCTGGAATAATAGGCCATAATTGAGATCTTCCATTCAGGCAGACAGCCTCTGCCTCATTTAGTCCAGAACAGTGGAGTCTGACGGCTCCGCCCCGAGCTCCTCTGGAGGAGTATGGACGGTGTGGAGCAGTCAGTGTGAAAGGCAGGGGGCTTACATGCTGTGAGAGTCCCCTCCACCATGTCTGAAGCACACGGTTTTAATCAGACGGTGAGTGCACACCTCCCAGCCACTTCTTTATCTCTGCAGGAACATCTGGAGGAGCTGGTTGTCAGTGCTTTAGGGTGTGGGAGGAGGTAACAAGTCCTCTCCCTTGGCTGACGTGATTTTCCGTAGTTATATAGGAGTATTTATCAGCCAGGGCTGCTCTTTCTTAGTTCATAGTCAAGATCAAGCCAGGTCTCTTTCTCTAAGCAGCCTACTAATGGCTGTGCACATTGGTGAGGTCACATTCTAGGCATCCTAAGCAGAAAGGAATTGAATACAGGACACATTGTTGGATGGGTTGGAGAAGTGGGGGGCTGAGCCTGGCATTTGGGTTTAGAGTGCACCACCACCGCTGCCATCAGAAGCCACCCCAGAGACTCCACTACTGCCCATGACACCCATAAAGCTGGGACTGGATACCAGAAAGCCACTCAGACTGTTACGACCACCTCAGACACGTGTATCCCATGATGACTGTTACGACCACCTCAAACACGTGTATCCTATGACCTTGCATGTCAAAAGCAGACAGAGGAGGATGGGCTCCATTCTACCCAATGCCGGGTGAGAGAGGCAGTTGGCAAAATATTCTTTCCAGCTTTTCAGCTTCTGCTGGGAAAAGGGTGAGAGGGAGGCTGAGAACGCCGTGCCATGGTGTCTGTACCGTGCAGTGTGGAAGCCGGTGGCTAATCCCAGGCACAAGAGGGTGGGGCATTGGCATATATTCCAGTATATGATTCTAGTACCACGACATTGATGGCAGCACTCGTGCCCTCACTGAGGCCAGGAGGAGTCAGGGCTCCCTCGATGACTGGGGCCCCAGTTATCTCTACTTTCCACATCCTGGCCATTAGGGGCTAATTGTGATATGCTTGTAGGGGTTGAACAAAGACCAGCAATTAATTTTACCCCTGAAATTTCAATTCTGTCTCACTTGAATCCATTCCAGTCAGTAAAGGCCTGCTCTTGGAAGGAGATGGGGTTCGTGAACTTGGAGATTGAAGGAAATCAAATCTACCCTCTCGGACCATTGCCAGAGTAACTGCAAAACACACCCAGGGCAGAGATTTTGTTTGCAGGTGATGTGTATGTTATGGCCCCTTTGTCGAACCTTTCCTTTTTGCAGAACACCCAGAGCATGTGGGGGGCACCAAGCAGAGGAAGTCCTCGTGGAGGTAGAGACCCTCGGAGCTCTTGGTGCAGGCCTGAGTAGCCCCTACCAGAATCACTTGAGCGACCCGTCTTCCCAGCACAATGACCACCCCCGCAGCCCTGGGACCCGGGGCCCTTGTTTGGATCCTCATGGAGCAAGGCGTGGGCCCAGGTTCTGCCACAGGAAGTCAGCGCATCCGCGGGGCCGACTGAATCTCCTGCTGTGGCCTGGAGCGCTGTTCAGGCGTGGAAAAATGACACCACGTGTCTGCCCACGTTCAGAACAGAATTGAAGAGGAAACCACAAAGAGAGAGTAACATCAAAGTGTGAGCGTGCCCCTCATCTCAGACTGTACACCAGGAAGTGTTTCCAATGGATCAAAAACACAGATGGAGATCTGAGCTATTCTCACACAAATCAGCTGTTCCAGGCTTTGGAAACTAGGGTGTGGCTGTGACCCATGGGAGAGGGGGAACAGCTGGGGGAACCCCACATTCTCCTCGCATTCCCAAAGGGGCCCCTGGAAAGGAGAGCCCAGATGGGGAGCAGAGGTCTGGAGGTGTGGCTAAAACCCACCTCCGCAGCTTTCAGTGAGGACAGCTGTCCATCCAGGGGGTCCAGTCTTTCGGCTTCCCTGGGCCACCTTGGAAGAGGAATTGTCTGGGGCCACACATAAAATCCACTAACACTAACGATAGCTGATGAGCTTGAAAACACACACACACACACACAAAAACTCATCGTGTTTTAAGAAAGTTTAGGGATTTTTGTTGTGCCACATTGAAAGCCGTCCTGGGCTGCTTGTGGCCGGCGGGCTTCGGGTTGGATGAACTTGTTCTGGATAATGCAGGTGGACCTGACTTACTAATTTGAGGACCCTAAGAGTAGAGCTGAGGATTCTCTCCCTGAAGAAAGACTTCCACAGCGCTCCAGCCTGCCCTCCTGGGGCCCAACCCACCCAGACCTCCAACTTGCCTAGCCAGACCCCCCAGGTTGTCTAAGGCCATTCCTGGCACTAAATCTCTTACTATAAATCCCTCCACATGCCCCATCCCCACCCCCACATTCTGTGTCTCTGGTTGAACCCGAATGAATAGACACCTGCCTGGAGCACCCACCCTCACCCATGTGACCGCAGAAGAGGAGAGTGCCCAGGGGATTGAAGGGTGTGGCCACGCGGGCCAATCACTAGCCAGGCCAAGCCATCCATGCTCCGAAAAGCTCAGCCTTGACCAAGGCCTCAGAGCATTTGTTCAGTTAACAAATGACAAGGCTTCAGGAAGCCTCCTCCACGATGAATAAAGTGATGGTTTTGACCTGCAGGCTCAGAGATGTGCTGGCTTCTTCAGAACTATCCCATCGCTCATGGATGTGCTCACCTTCAGGACAAGGGCACCAGATGTTTATCCAGCCAATGTCACCAGCCAGAGACCCCAGGGGACCCCCTGCAGTTGAGCAAGGTGGCTTCATTGCTTGCTGGAGAAAGGAGACTCAGGGAAACTTTGGGGTGCCTCAGTAAGAGGGTGCCAAAAAGAATGTACAGGATTCAGGCTTGGATTCGAGGGCTGTGGAGGGGTCCCAGGAAGCAGAAGTTGGCTCTTGGTAACAAGTAGGGATCTTTCCTACGATCAGACATCTTTTTAAAAATGGAGATACAGGCTGGGCACAGTAGCTCACACCTGTAATCCCAGCACTTTGGGAGGCTGAGGTGGGCGGATCACCTGAGGTCAGGAATTCGAGACCATCCTGGCCAACATGGTGAAACCCCATTTCCACTAAAAATACAAAAATTAGCTGGGTGTGGTGGCACACACCTGTAGTCCCAGCTACTCGGGGGTCTGAGGCAGGAGAATGGCTTGAACACAGGAGGCAGAGATTGCAGTGAGCTGAGTTTGTACTAGTGCACTCTAGCCTGGGCGACAGAGCAGGACTCCGTCTCAAAAATAAAAAATTGAGATACAATTCACATGCCGTAAAATGTACCTTTGTAAAATACAACTCTGTGGCTTTTTGCGTATTCATGAAGTTGTGAAACCATCACCACTATCTAATTGCAGAAGCTTTTCATTACCCCAGAAAGGAGCTCTGTGACGGTCTTCAGTCCCTCTCTCGATGCTCCCCTCCACCCATGGCCACCCCAAATCTACTTTCTGTCTCTATAGTTTTGCCTGTTCTCAGCATCGCATGTAAGTGGGGTCACACACAATGTGGTCTTGTGTCTGCTTCTTTCACTAAGCGCCATGTTGCAAGGTTGATTCACGTTGCAGCATGAGACGAAATCCTGTTCCTCCTTTGGACTGAATTACTGTCTCTTGCGTGGATGGACCACATTCTGTTTCTCCAGTCATCTATCGAGGGACATTTGGGTTGTTTCCACCTTTGGGTTCTTGCGAATTATGTGGCCTTGAACCTTTTTGGACAGGTTTTGGTGAGGAGGTGCGTTTTCAAAGCACGTGGGCAGATGTCCAGGAGGGGGTTGCTGGGGGTGGGGGCTGGTAATGATTTATTTGTGTTCTCTTTGTGCATCTGTCTTGGAAGGCAGCCTGAAATGAGGATGAGGCTGGGAGGATACAGCTGCCATGTCACTGAGAGGAGCTGGGAAGAGGGCACTTGGCACCTTGTGTTTTGCACAGCGACCTTGTTTTTGACCGTAATTTTGGAGTCATTTTGTTCTGGGTCTCTCTTCATCATGATCCCAGACCAACCTCGTCCACCCCAGGACTTCTGTGAGGTCACTTTTATGTCCGACAGGGAGGCACCACGACCACGCCGTGGGCTTGCTCCTGGGTGGGGCATTGGGGCAGCTGCCGTCATCCTGGTCCACAGTAACATCCTGTGTGAGGGGAGGGAGGGTGTGAATGCCTGCGGTGAGTTCCCTGGTGTGGCGGATGGGCTGCCTGTCTGCCCTGCCACCCGGCATTGGCCACTGAGCAAGTTAGCCGCTCAGAGCGCTCGGAGCAGGCAGAGTCAGCAGGGCCACAGTGGACCCGCCACCCCTTCCACATGCGACCCTCCCCTCTTGTCTAGGCCCCCATGCGGCTTTCCTCTCAGTCCGGGACACTCGATGTCCCCCACGCAGCCTTCTCTGCCCACTTCACGTTGCATCTTAAGTGGCATTTACCAAGAGCCACCCCCCAGGCTACATCAGGTGCCCCTTCTGTGCTCCCCAAAAGACCCCTAATTTCTCTTCAAGGGGGAATCAGAGGAACAGGGAGCAGGGCGAGGGCCATGCATATTTCCCACGGGAACCGACACGGCCGCTGGCACCCCTGCCTCCAGCCGCCGACACTGCCCGGCCAGTCCACAGACAGCTGCTTCTCGCCCAGCCTCCCTCCTCTGTCCTTTGCAAAGCAAATATGACCCAGTTCCTCCCAGTCAACAAACTTGCAGAACTCCGTTGTCCACAGAATAAATCCTAACCGATGCCGGGATCTGAGCAACCCGTCTGGCCAGGAGTGTCCGTGCCCTGGGAGGTCCTCAGGCTCTTCGAGGGGTGCTGGGCAGCATCACAGTGAACCAGGAGAAGGTGTGTTACCTGAGTCAGGTCTGGAGCTTGGGAAACATTTGGTTGTCAGCCTCTGTCCCCTCCAGCTAATGTACATAGCATTTAGATTGTGTTACAGCTTGACAACCACTCCGTAATTATATGGGTAGGACAGGAAGGAAGTGGTGTGTGGTCCATGCCCAGCATCACATTCACCAAGACTGCCGTCCACATTCATGAACTTGTTTGTTGCTAGAAGATTCCCCAAATGCAGATGTGATTTTGTTAAAATGCTTGACAATTCAGAGTAAGTAAGACCTGTCCCCAAATGCTTAGTTTGGGGCAAATTCTGCTCTGCGTTAGATAAAAGGCCTGAAGATTTCTCAGAAGTTAAGAATGATATTTCAGGTGAATTATAAGAAGAGAATGTCCTTTTCTATTTAGAAAATGCAATAAACTTCCCCTGCAGCGTGTTTACCTTTTTAAAACTAGACGGGAACCACATTCCGGCACAACAAAATATCCCCGACAGTTTCTTCTAGGGCGGTGATTATGATGTCTGTCATGAGTGGAAATGCTTAAATATTTCAATTCCACAAATGTTTATCATGCACCTGCTATGAGTCCAATCATCTCTGGGCACAGAGGAAGATACAAAAAAAAAAGAAAAAAAGAAAAAAATGGCTGGGCTCAGTGGCTCATGCCTGTAATCCCAGCAGTAGGAGGCTGAGGCGGGCAGATCACCTGAGGTCAGGAGTTCGAGACCAGCCTGGCTAACATGATGAAACTCTGTTTCTACTAAAAATACGAAAAATTAGCTGGGCATGGTGGTGCATGCCTGTAATCCTAGTTACTCAGGAGGCTGAGGCAGGAGAATCGCTTGAACCCAGGAGGTGGAGGTTGCAGTGAGCCGAGATCATGCCATTGCACTGCAGCTTGGGCAAAAAGAGCGAAACTCCATCTCAGAAAAAAAAAAAAAGTATATGAAATAATGACAATAAACTAACCAGGACAGACCCATATAAATAAGTGTTGACTTCAAAGTCTTCCTCTTGGAGGAAGCGGGGACTCCTTCCACTGGGTCCTTAAGCAGCCACGGCTCACTCTGGCTGCTGCGCTTCATTTTCTGCAAGGTGCCTGGAGCTGCTGATCTGCAGATGGATTCTGTGGGTCTTTTCCAGCAAGGAGATTCCTGGAGCTCTGTGATTAAGGTGGGCAGCTTCCTCATCTCCTTTCCTTAACCCTGGGGCAGATATAACCACCACTCACCACTGTCCAAGTCTTCTTCCCCTCCAGACCCAGGAAAGACCACATCTGTGGCTGATTTCACCTGGAGGTGACAGGTGTGCTTATTTCCAAATGCTGTACTCAAAATGCCCTTCCTCACCAAGGCTGAAGGGAAGGCTGTGATCCAGATGGTTCTGCCTCAAGAAAGGGGAACCTCCAGCAGCCTGAGGTCCTGAAATAAGGTGTGGAACAGAGCCCCCTGCCTATGCAGGATAAGTAATATGAGCAGACAGTGATCTCTATCCGTGTGTGTGTGTGTGTGTTTATGTCACTAAGATTCCAGGGTCATTAGTGACTGTAGCACAGTTTAGCCTGTTCCGGCTGCTACCTCCTTTCCCACTCCCCACCTACATTTACCAAGTGAAAACCCATTCTCTGGCTCTTGTTGCAAGCAGGGAGATCTAAAAACAGAGAGAGAGAGAGAGAGAGAGAGAGAGGGAGGGATGAGGGATGATGGATCCAGTGGGTTTGGGTTTGTTTTCAATTGGGTGTCTAAGATGTTGCTCTTATAAAGATACGGAATAAGGTCAACCTACTTGAAGAAACATTCTTGGAGAAAGAGAGACACCATGACATGTTGAGAACATATAAAACAGCCTTGTCTTATGTCATCCAAACTTGACACTATTGAGTTTTACATTTGATGACTCCAGAGTTATTTTAAACATCTTTTGTAAGAATACAGGTCAGTTACTAAGGCCGGGCGCAGTGGCTCACCCCTGTTATCCCATCATTTTGGGAGGCCAAGGCCAGCGGATCACGAGGTCAGGAGATGGAGACCATCCTGGGCAACATGGTGAAACCCCGTCTCTACTAAAATACAAAAAAATTAGCCAGACATGGTGTCATGCACCTGCAATCTCAGGAGGCTGAAGCAGGGGAATCACTTGAACCTGGGAGGCAGAGCTTGCAGTGAGCCGAGATCCCGCCACTGCACTCCAGCCTGGGCGACAGAGCAAGACTGCATCTCAAAAAAAAAAAAAAAAAAAAAAAAAAAAAAAAAAAAAAAATACAGGTCAGTTACTAAAAAAATTTGCTAGTTTGTTTGATGTTCCTGATGATTAGATTCATTTGACAAATTTTTGGCCGAATGCTGCATAAATGATATTTTGCCTTTCCAGGGACCCACATTCCAGGGACTCACACCCAGGTGTGCACGACATCTGTTTGCCCTTAGTCGATCATGTTAATTTTGAGCGCTTGGTTAAAGTGTGACCTGGTTTCTCCACTGTATAGTTACTGGTTTTAATTTTGTGAATTAGTAAATACTTGGTAGGGAGATTATTAGATTATATACATATCCTTTTTCTCAACAAACATTCTCATATTTAGGATCTAGGATGATTCTAGCCTGAATTAGTTATTACTATGATGAGGGCAAGTGATGATTTTCCAACTTTTGGTGTTTGTTAGCTGGTGTTCCACTCTAAGGAAAAGCCCTTCCTGTCCCTCCATGTATTCACTTATTGATTTATCTATCATTTATTTGTATGTATTTATGTCAGCGTAGCCTCACGCATTCTTGTTTTATTGGATGGTAATGATCTGTCCCTTGCCACTTGCTCTGGTGCTCACACTGTGTGGCTTTGGCCCAGGTGCTCCAAGGAGCAGGCTTCCCGGTCCCTCAGACCTGCCCCATCGATGTTGAGGAAGCTCCTCATTTTGGGCACAGTCAGTTGTTTAAGGCTCTGTTTGTGTCCTCCTGCTTGAGGTCCTGAACCAGCCATTTCCCCGAAGGAGTGCTGCTGCCTTTCAGAGAGGAAAGTCAGGCCAGAGAAGACACGGCAAAACGGAAGAAAGTTTCAGGTCACAGGAGACTAAAGAGAGGATGCCTAAACACAGCACGGGTCACAGGACACTAGAGAGGGGGGACCCCTAAACACAGCGCAGGTCACAGGAGACACAGTGCAGGTCACGGGAAACTAGAGATGGGGGATCGCTAAATACAGTGTAAGTCACAGAAGACTGGAGAGGGGACCCCTAAACACAGCATGGGTCACAGGAGACTAGAGAGGGGGGACCCCTAAACACGGCACAGGTCACAGGAGACACAGTGAAGGTCACAGGAAACTAGAGATGGGGGACCCCTAAACAGAGTGCAGGTCACAAGAGACTAGAGAGGGAGGACCCCTAGTCACAATGTAAGTCACAGAAGACTACAGAGGGGACCCCTAAACACAGCATGGGTCACAGGAGACTATAGAAGGGAGACCCCTAAACCCAACATAGTTTACAGGAGACTAAAGGGTGGCTCACCCCTGTGATCCCAGCACTTTGGGAGGCTGAGGCAGGAAGATCTCTTGAGCCCAGGAGTTTGAGACCAGCCTGCGCAACATAGTGAAACCCCGTCTCTACAAAAAGCATAAAAATTAGATGGGTGTGGTGGCATGCCTCTAGTCCCAGCTATTTGGGAGGCTGAGGTGGGAGGATCACCTAAGCCTGGTTAAAATAATCAGGAAGAAATCAAGACCAAAGTGAGGTCCTTTTTCCCTTCTCCTCTTCCTTCCTTCCTTCTTTCCTCCCTCCCTTCCTCCCTCCGTCTCTCCCTCCCTCCCTCCCTCCCTCCCTCCCTTCCTTCCTTCCTTCCTTCCTTCCTTCCTTCCCTCTCTTTACTAACTGGGAAGAAATGTGGTTGAAAGGAAATGTCCTGGCATCTGAAGTTCTTTGGAAACCAGGCTGGGAGCTTATCAGTGACATAGCTTCTGGTTGGTCATCTCAGTTCCCTGGGCCTCAGGATAAGGACACTGAGGACACCTACATGGCACAGCAGGGTGGGAGGTGCGTGGGACTGAGCCCTAGCCTGGCGACCGGGACCCCAGCCGTTGTTATTTCCCCTGCGACCCACAGGCTGCGGGTTGGGCTGCAAGTGACCTCCAGGAACCCACACCCAGGGCAAGAAGCCCCAGACACCTCGGTGGGAAGGTGAGGAGGCGGGCACTGGACCAAGCCTTCCTGCTGGGCAGAGATGGGACTGGCTTTTCATAAGATTGCGCCTTGGGCCGGGCACGGTGGCTCACTCCTGTAATCCCAGCACTTTGGGAGGCCGAGGCGGGCGGATCACGAGGTCAGGAGATCGAGACCATCCCGGCTATAACGGTGAATCCCCGTCTCTACTAAAAATACAAAAAATTAGCCGGGCGTAGTGGCGGGCGCCTGTAGTCCCAGCTACTTGGGAGGCTGAGGCAGGAGAATGGCGTGAACCCGGGAGGCGGAGCTTGCAGTGAGCCGAGATCCCGCCACTGCACTCCAGCCTGGGCGACAGAGCGAGACTCCGTCTCAAAAAAAAAAAAAACAAAAAAAAAAGATTGCGCCTTTCAGCAACATCAACTCTTCCAGGAAATGTGCTTATATTTGCAAAATGTATCAAACAGAATAAAACTATCTAAACAACCATGACTCAAAGGCTTTCTTCTGACTTAAGCAAATGGAGTTCAGTTTGCAGTTTGCAAATTCTTCCGTGGAGTTAAATTTTTGAGTCACTTTGCACAATCTTGCTCTTTAGAATAGTTTTCAAAGAGAGAAAACGCCTAAAGCAAAAATTCTCAATTCCACAGTCGCTTCCTTAGCTCACCCACAGCCTGGCTCCCAAGGCGGGAGAGAGGTGAACATTCTACCCACATCCCCCTCTAAACACATCCAGCTGCCTCTGGAGGGGACGGCAGAGGCTTCTGGGCTCCTCCTGGGGCTGAAGGAAGCGCTGGGGAGGGTCCTGGGCTGCACCATACAAAGATGCAAAAGGCTTACCATGGGCAGGGTCAGGGGAAGTGTGTTCATTATTTTAAGTGTGAATGTTTAGTGGCTCCTGGAGAAGGTATGGATAGACCCTGAGCCTCAAAGCCACCCTGAGCAGCCAAGTCTGGACGCCCTGGGGGTGGCTCAATCCCGCCCATCCCTGCTGCCTCCTGCACCACCTTCCTCAGTCACAGATTCCCCGGGGCAGAGACAGACAGGCACGCTCCTCTTGGCACCCTCCCGTATGGGGCCACCAGTCCCTGCCCTGGCCCCAGTGAGTGCCCTGAAGGGTGGTTAAAGACTTCAAGAGAACGGAGTCTCTCTGTTCTAGAAGCTGCTCCCACCTCAGCTTGGGGCTGACCTCTGCAAGGGACGAGGCCCTCCTGCTCCCCAGCGCCCACTGGGTCCCTTTCTCCACATCCACTCTCTGACCAGCTCGGCTGCCCCAAGCCCTCCTTCCACCCACGGATGCCTGCTCCGCTCTCTGGGGCGTCTGGAAAAGGGAAGGTCCTTCCACTGCAGCACTGGGCTTCCGATGTTTGCAGGACCCGGTCACATCTCTCCCGCTTGGTCAAGCCTGTGCTCGCGCATTTTCTGAGATAGTGTTTGTTACAGGTTTCCCCAGTGCCTGCCTCTGCCCCTAAAGTTGCCAGGAAGCATTGGCACAGTCCCTGCCACTCTCCTGGAGGAAGGCTGGGCAGGTCTCACACCAGCACTGGGAGAGTTCTGACAAGGTGGCTGGGCCTGGGTGCCATCCTGGGTTCTGTCCTGCGCCTCTCTCAGCAAATGACACCATGGACCCCTCACTCTTTCTTCAAACACTCTTTCCTCCTGGCTTCCAGGACACCTGGCTTCCTGACCCTTTCTCACTCCCTGCCCCTGCTTAGGCTCCTGTCTGGCTCATCCTCATTTTGGTGAACTTGATACCTTAGTACCTGAGGCTCAGACCTTCCCCTCCTCTTCCCTGTCCATACGCAATCAGTCCCCTGGGCAGTATCCTCCTGTCACCTGGTTTTAGTACCGTCCATCTGCAGAGACTCTGAAACGTGTAGCTCCAGGACATGCATCTTCCACCACTCTCTCCTTCCTTCCTCCCTCCCTGCTTCCTTCTTTCCTTCCTTCCTTCCTCTCTCCTTCCTTCTTCCTTCCTTCCTTCTCCCTTCCTTCTTTCCTTTCTTCCTTCCTTCCTTCCATCCATCCATCCTTCCTCCCTCTCTCCTTCCTTCTTTCCCTCCTTCCTTCCCTCCTTCACTCCTTCCCTCCTTCATTCCTTTCTTTCTTCCTCATACACACAGCTGAACACTCCATAGAAGTTGACATTTGACAGACATCTCAAATGGAACACGCGTGACTCTAAACTCTTGATTTCTCCTCAAAACATGCTTCTCCCCCATTTCCCAATCTCTGTAAGTGGGAAAACTGTTCTTTCTGTTTCTGAGACCAAAGTCCTCAGCGACGTCTCAAATCCCCTTTCATTTTCACTCCTCATCTTCAATCCATGGGACTTTCAAAACCACAACAAGAACCCCACCACTCAAGCACAGGGCCTCCCCCTCCAGCCCTCAGCCCTGCCACGATGCCCCTACCTACTCTGTTCTCCCTGCCAGTCCTCTGTTCTTCATGGAGCTGCCAAGGGGATGCTTACCAATCTGATTTGTGTCTTCCTTGTTGATAATTGACACCGGACCCCTCGTGGGGATGTGTACTCCACCCAGGAGGGCAGAGACCTGCTCCATCAGCAGCTGCGTCCTCCTTGCCTGGGACAGTGCCTGGGCATCAGCAGCCATGTCCTCCTTGCCTGGGACAGCACCTGAGCAGAGACCTGCTCCATCAGCAGCCATGTCCTCCTTGCCTGGGACAGTGCCTGGGCAGAGACCCGCTCCATCAGCAGCTGCGTCCTCCTTGCCTGGGACAGTGCCTGAGCAGAGACCCGCTCCATCAGCAGCCATGTCCTCTTTGCCTGGGACAGTGCCTGGGCAGAGACCCGTTCCATCAGCAGCCATGTCCCCCTTGCCTGGGACAGTGCCTGGGCATCAGCAGCCATGTCCTCCTTGCCTGGGACAGTGCCTGGGCATCAGCAGCCATGTCCTCTTTGCCTGAGACAGCACCTGAGCAGAGACCCGCTCCATCAGCAGCCATGTCCTCCTTGCCTGGGACAGTGCCTGGGCAGAGACCTGCTCCATCAGCAGCCATGTCCTCCTTGCCTGGGACAGTGCCTGGGCAGAGACCCGCTCCATCAGCAGCTGCGTCCTCCTTGCCTGGGACAGTGCCTGAGCAGAGACCCGCTCCATCAGCAGCCATGTCCTCTTTGCCTGGGACAGTGCCTGGGCAGAGACCCGTTCCATCAGCAGCCATGTCCCCCTTGCCTGGGACAGTGCCTGGGCATCAGCAGCCATGTCCTCCTTGCCTGGGACAGTGCCTGGGCATCAGCAGCCATGTCCTCTTTGCCTGAGACAGCACCTGAGCAGAGACCTGCTCCATCAGCAGCCATGTCCTCCTTGCCTGGGACAGTGCCTGGGCAGAGACCTGCTCCATCAGCAGCCATGTCCTCCTTGCCTGGGACAGTGCCTGGGCATCAGCAGCCATGTCCTCCTTGCCTGGGACAGTGCCTGGGCAGAGACCCGCTCCATCAGCAGCTGCGTCCTCCTTGCCTGGGACAGTGCCTGAGCAGAGACCCGCTCCATCAGCAGCCATGTCCTCTTTTCCTGGGACAGTGCCTGGGCAGAGACCCGCTCCATCAGCAGCCATGTCCCCCTTGCCTGGGACAGTGCCTGGGCATCAGCAGTCATGTCCTCCTTGCCTGGGACAGTGCCTGGGCATCAGCAGCCATGTCCTCTTTGCCTGGGACAGCACCTGAGCAGAGACCCGCTCCATCAGCAGCCATGTCCTCCTTGCCTGGGACAGTGCCTGAGCAGAGACCCGCTCCATCAGCAGCCATGTCCTCTTTTCCTGGGACAGTGCCTGGGCAGAGACCCGCTCCATCAGCAGCCATGTCCCCCTTGCCTGGGACAGTTCCTGGGCATCAGCAGTCATGTCCTCCTTGCCTGGGACAGTGCCTGGGCATCAGCAGCCATGTCCTCTTTGCCTGGGACAGCACCTGAGCAGAGACCCGCTCCATCAGCAGCCGCGTCCTCCTTGCCTGGGACAGTGCCTGGCACCTGGCAGGTACTCGCTTAGTGTGCTCGGGCAGGTGAAGGAATGCAACGGGCTGCTTTGCTCCATGAACGCGCCTGTGCGTGTCTGCCGTGTTCCACGTGTATTTCGTGGAGGCCTACAGTGTGCACATATGCCAAGGGTGGGGGGGGGAGCGGAATATGGGGTGAATCAAATATAGGCTTGTGGCATCTTTAGGAATATGTATTTATTTGGTCTTTGTCCCCACTCCCTGGCACACAGCTCCTAAAGCCCTTGACATCTCTGGAGTGATGAGGGTCTTTGTAGGCCAAGGAGATGAAGGGGGCCAGGGCCCCAGGGAGCTTCAGGTTGGGGTCTGGTGGCCAGGAAGACAAAGGCAGAATTGGGGGGTGGGACTTTCAGCCCCTTTCCCAACTCCAGGGAGGGAAGAGGGGCTGGAGGTGGAGCAGTCACCAAGGACAGGTGACATAATCAGTCCTGCCTGCAGGGTGGAAGGGTCTGGGGGGCTGCTGGGCTGCTGACTCCATCCAGGTGTTGGGAGGGCGGCTCGCCCAGAAAGCACGTGCAGGATCCTCGCCCTCCCTCCTTACACTGCAGCTCTTCCTTGTGGCCGTTCTTGAGGCGGATCTTTTATAATAAGTTGTTGAGAATAAGTGGTGGATTTTGCTGAGTTTTGTGAGCTGTTCTAGCAAATTATGAAAGGAGGGGTTATGGGAAGCCCTGATTTCTAGCCTGTCAGTCAGAAGTACAGGGGCCACCTGGGACTTGGTGGCTGACATCTGGGATGGGCACAGTTTTGTGGGACTGAGCCCCTCACCTGTGGGGTCTGTGCTGATTAACTTGTGGGTAATTTGTGTCAATTGTGGGGCACCCAGCTGGTGTCTGGAGAGTTGAAGAATTGGTCGTTTCTGTGAATAAAAAGCACCATGCTTTGGTGTCAGAGTGTTCCGAGTAAAAACAGTTCCAAAGACCTGGCCTCAAGGGTTTCACCCCTATTTGGGGGAGGCTGGCCAGAAGGAGTGAGGGAGGAAGTTTCCTTCCCTTAGAATGTCAGTTCCCCAGACGGGATCCTGTGGCTTCATGGCTGCGTTCACACTCAACAGTGCCAGCAAGCAGGAGGCTGCTGTTGAATATGCACAAAGAAGGAAGAGGGAGGGAGGAGGAGGACTCCAGAGAAGGGAGGGTCCCCTCGATTGGCCTTTCCGCCTGGTGCCATCCTGCCTCCATGTCAGGACACCCCAGTGCGACCATCTGTCTAAGCGTCTGACCTGACCAACCTGGCATTTCAACCTTCTTTGGGGAGAAGTGGTACTCGGTGTGCATTTAATTTCATAATTGCAGTCTCCGATTTGTCAACTTCTCTACCTTCGGGAAGCACAAGGAACACTTTCAGCCAGCGCCTGTGTGATTTCAGAGCGCTGCCCTGAAGTAACCTCTTGTAAAAACCCACTGTGTTACTAGCTATTGAAATTTATAGCTCTCGTACCTCTGGGAGAGGTGAAAGTGTTTACTGTTCTTTAAATAAATAAGGATGTGTGTTAAGCATTATAAGTGAGTCTGGGAGACGGGGGTGAAAAACAGTTTTAGGATTTGCAGTTGAGGAATTGTAGATTTTACTCTTTTGGGTTGGAGGCTGGCAGAAAGCACTGGTGCACAGCCAGAGGGGCAGGGTAGCCCCCTGCAAATCTCGAAGACCTGGGAAAGCCACTCTCTGAGCAAGGTGGGGTGGGTGCATTCATGAACAGCCAGTGAGTCCATTTTCCCTTTGGTTAGAATAAAATAAAACCTACTTGCAAATACATCTGCATGAAAACAAATAGACAATAAATAAACACACACATAACAAAATCAGTAAGAATACACATAATAAATAAAACTAATAAACATCAGCCCCGCCTCTCAGAAGCTGTGTGATCAGCAAATATTTTCATTTTTGGAGCCTCAATTTCTTCATTGGAATAATCTGGAAAATATTTCCTGCCTCCTGGCTTTGTTGGGGGGATGCAGTTCTGCTAATGCAGTGAGACGTCTGCTGCCGGCATCGACAGAAGCCTGGTCTGGACACACAGGGCGCTGCTCTCTCAGGATGACTGGGTTTTAGGAAGAGCTGTTGCCTGTTTTAGAGAAGGTCACACAGTCAAACTCTCCATGCAGATACTTTGTCCACTCCCAGATGTGCGGATGGAGACTGAAGGGAAAGAGGCGTGGTTGATCCCATCATGGCAGGGCATCCGTGGCCTTCCTGGGGGGACCACCTACTGCCCCTTGCCACACGTCCTGAGTGATGGTGTCCAGAAGCAGGAGCTAGAGACACGCAGGCCTTTGTCGGCTCTGAAACACAGCGCACACTCAGGACCGCATCCTCAAGGCGCTACACCAGCCATTTTGCTGAAGGCAAAACATCTTAAAATAAACAAGTCAAGGCCGGGCACGGTGGCTCACATCTGTAATCCCAGCACTTCAGGAGGCCGAGGTGGGTGGATCGCCTGAGGTCAGGAGTTCAAGACCAGCCAACATGGTGAAACCCCATCTCTACTAAAAATACAAAAATTAGCCAGGCATGGTGGCAGGCTCCTGTAATCTCAGCTACTGGGGAGGCTGAGGCAGGAGAATCGCTTGAACCCGGGAGGCAGAGGTTGCAGTGAGCTGAGATCGCGCCATCACACTCTACACTGGACGACAAGAGCGAGACTTTGTCTCGAAATAAATAAATAAACAAACAAGTCAAATGTGCAAAGAAATATTGCCGTGGTTCTAACTTCACAGATTTGCTGACTTTCTCTGGGGCTGCAAAACTTCACTATGTTTCCAGGCAAAAGGCAGGTGGACGCCAGGGTCTTTGCAGGTGCGGGTGGTGAACCCAGTGCAGGGCTGTTTCCCCCCTACCTGCACATTGCCTGCGTAAACAAAGGCCAGCTCTCTCCTCATTTTCTCCGTGTTGCTTTCCAACAGCAGCTGACTGGGGAAACCCAGAGACAAACGGTCCCAGGGGCTCCGAGTGACACTGTGCTTTGTCACCACGTCGTTCATCTCAGCCAGCTCCTCTGCCGGCCCCCTCTTCACCTTGATGGGGCAGCGCCTTTCTCCGCTGTGTCTGTGGCCTTCCCAGGTGGACTTCCCACAGGGGGACAAGGAATTGGCTCTCTGGGGATCCAAGAAGCTGCCAGAACACTGCAGAATTCCAGGCAGGGAGAAAGGGCAGAGATTTCATCCAAACTCCAGAGTCTTCCTGTGAGGCGGCAGCAGGACAAGCCCTGCTCACAGTTAGAAACTGGACAGGTGGCAACACGACCTGAAAAGTGTGAGAGAAAGTCCGGAAGTAAGCCCAGCAGGCAGGGAGACCTTGGCCACGCTGCGTCATCCCTTTCTGACAACTTGGGAGGATGATATTCCTCCTAAATCGTGGAGAAGTCCTGTGCTCCTTCAGCAAACATCCCTGGAACATTTCCTACAGGGCAGGTCTTAGGACAACCCTAGGACCAAACATAGTGAAAGCATCCACAGTGGGAGGGGAGGGGTGGGCAAAGGAGCATCAGCAGCTGGCGGTGAGCACAGAAACCCCTCATCGGACCAGACCTCGGGGAGCCGGACCTGGGGAAGCAGCAACCCCTCATGGACCAGACCTCGGGGAACTGGACCTGGGGAAGCAGCAACCCCTCATCGGACCAGACCTGGGGGAGCAGCAACCCCTCATGGACCAGACCTGGGGCAGCAGCAACCCCTCATTAGACAAGATCTGGGGAAGCCGGACCTGGGGAAGCAGTAACCCCTCATGGACCAGACCTGGGGGAGCAGCAATCCCTCATTGGACAAGACCTGGGGAAGCCGGACCTGGGGAAGCAGCAACCCCTCATCGGACCAAACCTGGGTGAGCTGGACCCGGGGGAGCAGCAACCCCTCATGGACCAGACCTGACAGCCGAGGGCCGGGGCTGTGTCTCATCCATCACTGTCTCTCCTGATCTCATCAGCACAGTTGGGAACAGCAGGGGAAAATGTCTTGAGTGAATGGACTCAATAACTTAGACACTGTTGGAATCCAAAAGACGCACCCAGGACAAAGCATCGGTAGAGGAAAGCACATTCCCGACGCTGACCCATGAACTTCTCACACTCCAGAGTTCCCCTCACAGGCGGCAGCAGGGCCTGTGTTTCCCAGTTGGAACAGGGGTCGTTTTGGCCCATGACCATCAAGACAGGCGCTGTTGAATGCCCCTGTCTGGCACAGGGGTTGTAAATTCTGAGGAAAATGGGCAGCCAGCATTCCTGCTGGGCATCCATTCCCCATTTCTCTCTGATTCTGCTGTTTCTCAAGGAAGCAGAATCTCGCCCATTCCACCTTCTCCTGGCCTCCCCGGCACAGCCACTACTCTTGTACAATTACTGCCTTCAGAGCCTGTTGTTCCTTCTCTCGAACTGACCTGGAGGAAATAATTACCAACAGCATTTAGCACTGCTCTCTTCTTCTTATAGTACGTGGGGATCCTTTGATGTATTGTGATATTAAACATCTAAGTAACCCAGATGGGTGTTGTCTGTCGTTAGTTAAGGGTTCTCCCAGAACCATTAACGCCCACGCATTCCAAACCCAACATTGCACAAATCTGACTGGTATTAGAGATGTTGTGTGCTGTCGCCATGGAAACTTTCTCCCCACCCCACCCCCACCGCCACTCCCTGGTTTTCAGCTTAATTTTGTAAAAAACATGCAATTCAGCTGGCAGGAGCTTTCAGATTTAAATATAGAGATTGGATTAAATTAGTGTTAAAGTGGAGTTTGAATCCATAGTGCAAGAAATGAATAAAACCTGGTCATGTTAAGGGATGTGGTGGAAAGAGCCGAGATGGGGCATTAGCACCGCACCAGACGCCTGCCTCAATGTCAGGTGGTGCTCCCTTTAGCTGCAGGTTTTGGTGTTTCAGTAGCCTGTGTGCTAAGACATCTTCAAGGGGAAAAATTAGTTTGGGTTTTTTTCTTCAAGTACGTCTCTGGGTTGTTTCTGCATAACTCATTTCCTCTTTCTGTTTAGGGTGGGACGCCCAAGGCTGCAACTTCTTCTCCACTTCTTCCTCCCTGAAGTTTGGGTTGGTCTTGGGACATGTTTTGTTCAATAAACGGAGCAGAAAAGTGTGCGCTTAGGTCTCACAAGGCTGTGCACACTTTAGCGCCTGCAACCGCTACCATCAGAGCAAGCCCCAGCTAGCCTGCTAGGTGATGAGGAGCACAGGGGTCAGCCACCCCCATCCCTCAAGCCCACAGCTGCACAAGCGGGGCCACCTGCTGCTGGCTAACCCCCGTCACATGCATTAGAGAGCCACTGCCCAGCTGGGCCCAACTCAAATTGCGAGCCCACAGAACTCTGAGCAAAATACATGATTATCATTTTAAGATGCTCCATTTTAGGGCATTTAACTGTACAACAAAGGCTTATTTTTACATGACCTAACAATAAAGCATCAGATTAGCCTTGTGGCATGAAAGTAGAAAAACAACTGTTACCTTAGCAGTTTAATGTAGGGCATTGATGATTTCTTGAGAAACAGGGATAATTTCTGTTTGTGGAACCCCGTGAATTTCAGATCCTGCAATCTTCCATGTACCAGCTGGCTCCCGTCTCTCTCAGCCACACAAGTTGGCAAATGGTGCCTGCAAGCCAGGTTGTCCTGGGGCCAAATTACAAGGGGCTCCAAGCTGCTGCCCAGATCTTTGGTTGGTCTGAACGTTGAGTGGAAATGAGCCACAGATCCGGTTTGGGAACTCAGTCTTCCTTGTAGCAGGAAGCTGTTTAGGTCACTGACATGATGGTCCAAACAGCACTCAGAAAATCATAAAATGGCAAGCAAAATGAGCAATTCTGCACGCAGCACGTGACATGGAGTATGAGCTCGCATTTGCCGAAGGAGCAAATGACAATGGCCTTGCCTCTGCCACGTGTTCAGTGCCCTGTTCAGTGCAGGTGGAAGGAAGCCACCCTAGGATCAAGGCCTTCTGGACTATGGTCTACTTGTTGTGACTACGGGGGTGCTTGTCCCAGCCTTGATTTTAGAACACATGTAAAATAGCATCGTAATCTTTGTAGCACTTTCTTCACAGAGTCTCTTAGCACTTTATACCTCACTCGGCACCCAACTTGTGAAAGGCATTTTCAAATAACAATGATAGTTATGATTCTTTGGGCAGTTGATTGTTCACATACAGGACTAGACAATGCCCAGAGATTATAAATAGTCCCATGGCGTGGTTTTCACCTGATATGCTAGAATTAGACACAAGACTTGCTCTCTTCCACGCCACATCATATTTTGTCCCTCTCTCATGGAAACAAGACATTTCATGGGCAAGAAAGCAGGCAGAGAGCCAGCCTTTGATCCTGTTGTCCGTGCTGCAGAGAAGTATTCACACACGTGGCCGGACAATGTGGTTCAATGGCTTTTATGGTGTTTGCATGCGGAAGGCATCAGACATTTCATATTTGTAATCTTAACTAATCTCTCTGACAACCCTTCAAGGCAGATGGCACTCTCCTACGGTGAAGACGAAGATGCAGGGGCTCAGGAAGAACAAAGCCCTGCCAGAGGCCCAAAGGCAGCACGGGAGGAGCCGAGGTGTAAACCCATGGAGTGAACAGAGACCCCCACCAGCACCCAGGCTTGTCCGTGGGTTTCTTCTGCCCTGTCTCCCTTTGCTGAGAAGCCTGTTCTCCGATGTCTTTCCCAAAGTATCCAGGGAACCCTAACCAATAGAAAACATATCCTACTGGCATGTTTCTGGAAGAACCATGATTCAGAGTTGCACAAGGTACTGGAGTCCAAATGGGCATCTCAGAATGATTTGGTGAAGGGCGCTCATGAAAATCCAAAATGCTTTGTCAGGATGGATGCACTGGGCTGCTGTTCAGGGGCAGCCATGGACCATCTGCCATAGGGGAGCTCGTGCCAGCGAATATGCTTCACATGACTGTTCATACATCTCAAAATAATCTTATAGCGTTGTTTGTACCTTGGCCACTAAAAGGTTGGAATGTGCTTCTCACCAACTTCTAGAAGTTGCAGGCTCTCCAAAACATGTTTAATTTACATGGGCAACTCCCACATTTCAGTTATTTTTATAAGTCTAAGATATTACTACCAAGTGACAGAACAGTCGGCACTAATTACTGCTCGGTTGAGTTGCTGGCCTTCGTCATTAAGGCAGAAGCAACATCTTGCTAATTCTATGTTTAATTCCAAGAAGCCTCTCGTGCACCTGCTCTCTTTCAGGAAGCCCAGCTCCAGGGAAGTGGTGGCCATGTCCTCTCATCTCAGTTTCTTAAGGGCAGTGAACCTACTGTGTGTCAGCAATGGTAGAATTTCAAACTATTTGACCACAAGCTTCTTCAGCCCATCAGAAATACTTGGCAATTTCTGCATCTTCTCACCTTGTCTGCATTTTCAGAAATGTTTTCAGACCCAGTAACATAGAGAGAGTCAACCTGAATTAAGGTGAGACCCTCTTCATGTGAGAATTCAGTGCAGTATGACCTCAAAACTGCAGGTTGTCAGTACTGTGTGCAGGACCATCTGCTTAGTGCTGGGTGGCGTGTCAGAAAGCCAGTAATAACACCCATCTCACGGCAGTGTTGTGAGAATGAAGCCAGTTAATACAGGAGTTGCACTTAGAATATTAGCACCTTCATTAGGCATCAGTAAAATCTAGCTGTCATCATCATCGTCATCTTCATCCTCCTCCTTTTCATCACCATCATCATCATCACCAACCTCCTCATCATCACCATCATCACCATCCTCTTCCTCGTTATCATCATTACCATCACTACCATCGCCATTATCACCATCATCACCATCGCCAACCTCCTCTTCATCATCGTCATCTTCATCGCCAACATCATCATCTTCATCACCATCACTACCATCACCATTAACACCATCATCACCATCACCAACCTCCTCTTCATCATCGTCATCTTCATCGCCAACATCATCATCTTCATCACCATCATCGCCATCCTCCTCCTCATCACCATCATTACCATTGTCACCATATCATCCTCATTCTCCTCATCCTCCTCATCATCATTATCATAATCATCATCATTGTCATCATCATTATCATCCTCTCCATCATCACCGTCATCATCATTTTCATCACCATCATCATCATCACCATCATTACCATCACCATCCTCATCATGATCATCACCGTCATTACCATTACCACCATATCATCCTCATTCTCCTCATTATCATTTTCATCATCACCACTATCACCATCATTCTCCTCGTCCTCCTCCCCATCATTATCATAATCATCATCATCGTCATCATTATTATCATCCTCTCCATCACCACCATCATCTTCATCTTCATCACCATCATCATCCTCATGGTTGTCCTCAAGTGTGGAAGACCCTCTCCAAGGCTGTCTGTCCTCTCTTCCTCCCCTGCCTGCTGACATGTTCCCAGTCACATCAAGGGATAGAATCTGATTCCCTCTCCTTGAAGCTGGGCTGGCCTTAATGGCTCAGCTGAACAACAGGGTTTAGAGGAAGGTACCTTCTGGGGATCCTGTGCCTAGGTCTCTTGGGATGCCCCCTGGAGGACCTCAGCTGCCCCAGCAGGAGAAGCCTTGGCTACAGAGCCCCAAGTGACCATGTGAGGCTACTGCTCCAGCTGAGTTCCCAGCTGACAGCATCCACCCCCAGCCACGTGAGGAGCCACCTTGGATGGCCAGCCCAGGGCTCTTCAGCCATCTTCATCCCCAATCTTTTGGCTGCACCTGCATGGGAGTCACTGGGGCAGCCCGGAGGACTGTGAGCAGTAAGGATTTAACCAAGCTCTTGGGTGGTTTTAGCTGCTGAGAGCTATGAATGTGAGCTCATGCCAGAGCTGGATTCAAGGCTGTTCCTGTCACTCCCTGGCTGTGTCACTTCTACTTCTTGGACCTCCATTTCCTCGCCTATGAAACAGAGCTGTTCAGGGTCTCAGGCTGAAGTAGCTGCTGTGAAGCTTTCCTGTAAGCGTGTGGATGGAACAAATGCATGCATGCAGCTATTGCCATGGTTATCATGTTTCAGGAATCAGGCGTGAGGGTAAAGGCAGACACAGCCACATCATACTCTTGGAGGATGGAAGGTGGCCTTTTCCCAGCATGGGGCTGGGAGAGGTGGTCAGAGAGATTTGCCAGAGGGCCTGGCATTACCCATCCTGGGCATTTCAGCCTCTACAGCTAACACAGGATGCAGATTTTTCAAATAGGGATGGATACATAACAAGTAGTGATTGCCTAAAATGTGAGAGGCTCCACACAAACACATCAGCGCAGCCACACAGTCACTCCTTCAGTCCCTGTTGGTTTTGTTCCATTGAGGCTGAATGGCCTCAGGGCCCCACAGCTCCACCGTGGAGGAGCTGAGATTCCAACCCTTCCTGCACACCAAGGGGAGGCTGTGTCCTTCCAGGCCCTTGCTGGGCTGTCTCGGGCAGCACGGCTTCCAGGTTGGAGGGACACCCCACCCCGGCCTCCTGTAAGGGAAGGCTGCACAAAGGTCAGAGCACATCCATCCTTGGAGTGAGCCCAGCAGTGCTGTGAGTGAGAGCAGCCCTCCCCATGGCAGGTGGCAGCATGGTCCCGGGCCTTGGACACAGAGCCCTGCAGTATCCCACATGAAAGAAAGGTTGTTGTTGACTGGTTTTATGGTCTAAACCACTAATACAAAATCAAGCAATGGCGGCACCTTGTACCGAGCTCACACAGCACACAGTGACTTGAGTTCCACAAAGAGCCTCCATCAGGGCAGGTGCCATCAGTCACCATCAACCACCCAGGAAAACTTGATGTCCATGGAAGCAGGGCCTTGCTAAGGTCCCCGCCAGAGCTTCCTGGGCTCCCTGACATCCTTCTCTTGGCTCTTCCAGCAGCATAAACCAAGATGGAATCATTAACTCAGGAACTCTCCTGCTCCCACTCAGCCCCCAAGGCTGTGCTGGGTCCTGGTGAGATGGGCATACCAAGAACACTCCCCTGCCCTCAGCTCAGATGGGGCAGTTTGGGGGGAGTTACATTCGGGGAAAGTGATTACAACCCCACAGCAGTGCTGGGACAGAGTGACTTGGGGTCTCCTGGGCTGTGCAGCTTGGAGGTGGGAAGAGCTTTGGGGGCATCAGCTGGGCCGCAGGATGGGCCTTCAGGAAGGTGTTCAGCGCCTATACTCATTGCAGAAGACTATTTGAGGAGCCCCCATGGGGGCAGCACGAGGGAACAGAGGGGATGGCTGAAGCATTGCAGGCCCGTCAGGCCACATGGTCCCACCCTGTGTGAAGGGTGCTCCCTCCGGAGGCTACTCATAGCTGGAGCTTTTACACTTCACCCGCAACTCCATGCATGTTGCCTCTTTATTGACTGCTCAGGTGAGACATCAGTGCCTCTGCTCAGCCTCTCCCACCCACCCCGATGGGGCATGATGCTCCCAGCAGACCTCCACTTTCACTGTGGATTCAACCCTGAGAACATATCGAGATACTATTGTATCTTTTCCTTTACACTGCAGCTCGTAAAGGTGCTCCTTGAAGGAGATGGTAATCGCATTTGGAGGACTGCCTCCCTCCCAGACGCTGGAGAATTGTGTTGCACAAGGGCTGGGGGTCCACTGTGGCTGAGGTGGCAGCATCAGAACACAAGTGGGAGGCAAAGGCACCCACCTGCACCAGAACAGCAGGACATCCTCCTGTAGGAACTGGAGTCACACCCATGCAACCTTTGCAGGCAGAATGAGTGCAAAGGTGTCTCCTCCTCCAAGGATGCCTGTGCCTGGCTCTTCTGAGGGAAACTAAAATCAGTCACACTCTCCACCCAAAAGCTGAGAGCAGGTGCAGGAGAACATGTGGCCTCAGGGAGCCGATGGCAAGGCAAGCCCAGGGCTGCACAGAGCAGTGGCGCGATCAGGATTCTGACACGGGGAGGGAGACACCTGTTCCAACGTCGTAATGTAATAAATGGGTAATTGTTGCTATAATTAAAATGCTTGTAATAAGAGCAGACCTTTATATTTGTCAAAACCTGAAGTACGTTTGAGTATTGCCATAAAATGTGGGAAAATAAGGAAAACTTGATTATTCATTAAACCTTAGAATGTTCCAACACCAGGATAAGTAATTTTAGGACAAATAAAATCAGCCATCCAACCCACAATATTTCCTATGTGCAGAGGAAGTAAAGTGGGCAATTGGGCGAACTCAACCCGATTAAACAATTATGCCCAAAGGCAGAGATGTCTAAATGGGGCCCACCCCTGCCATGAAAAGATTCTTATTAATATTGTCAGCAATTTTGCTTCACAAATATTTTTGCATAAACAGAGAATTAAATGGATGAAGATCTAATGGCTGGCCCACAAGATGCTATGTACTGGGTGCTGATCCAGCGTATGGGAGCGAGATAGGAGGTGCGTCATGGCACGGCCAGGTGAGAACAGCAACAACCTCCACAGCAGAGCCGTGGGCCGAGCAGAAAGGCTGATATTGAACAGGAAAGGAGGCCGGTTCCAGGCTTGAGTCTAAAACAGGAGCGGTAGCACCTGCCTCCAGGGCACCCCAAAAGGGACTTCGCCTCTGATTCGCAGCTGTGGCGGCAGGGCCCAGGATGACGCACTGAGTGAGCACAGGGTGTGACCTCATTGTTAGACATGGGCATGCGCACACAGCACGCACTATGCAAACACAAATACACCATACACACAACGCACACACAACAGAAACACTCAAGAACCCCGTTCTGTGAGCTTGGGTGTGCGCGCCCCTGCTGCTCTACTCTGAGGGCCTGTGGCCTCCGGGCTCCGGTTCACAGCAGGGTCCGGCTGGCGGAAACTGCCCCAGGCGCATCCTTCCTTCTTCTCTCACAGCCCTGGGTGCCTCCTGCTGCCACATCTGGGTGAGCAGGAGCGAGGCCGTCTCCGCAGGAAAAACCAGACTCCTCCTCCTGGGTCCAGGCCTGTGGCCCCAGCCACATCCACACCCCACGTGGCAAGAGGGAGGGAGGCAGTCACAGGTGGAAGCCGGGGCCACTCCTTTTCATGGTGTATTTCAACCAAAGCATGGCGTAGCCTTCGCACGGTGTTGACCTGGCACAGGGAGCTCCGCGGAAGGAAGAGCCTGCTTCACGGCCCATGTGTTGCCTGAAGGCCCCGGTGCAACGCGTGCTCGCCCGGCACGCCAGGCCTGGGGTGTGCCCTGTGCGGTGTCCACCACCGTCTAGGGAGGGGGCCCTGCGACAGCTATCAAGCGGAAGAACGCGCTGGGACTTACAAAAGTTAGGTGATTTCCCCGAAGCCGCAGGGCTGTGAAACTAAACAGTGTGAAATTGCCAATTAGTTAACTATTTTTGTACCTAAACAAATAATGGTTTAAAAGAATTTAAATGAGATGGTAGCAGAGTCAAGACTCGGGCTTCCACTTTCTGGATATAGAATTTAATTCTTTTTTTTTTTTTTTTCCCTGAGAACGGAGTTTCGCTCTTGTTGCCCAGGCTGGAGTGCAGTGGCGCAATCTCGGCTCACTGCAACCTCCGCCTCCCGGGTTCAAGCGATTCTCCTGCCTCAGCCTTCCGAGTAGCTGGGATTATAGGCGCCCACCACCACGCCGGGGTAGTTTTTGTATTTTTAGTAGAGTCGGGGTTTCACCGTGTTGGCCAGGCTGGTCTCGAACCCCTGAACTCAGGTGAGCCTCCCGCCTTGGCCTCCCAAAGTGCTGGGATTACAGGTGTGAGCCACTATGCCTAATTCTAAATGAGCAAGTTATTATCGCTTTTGAAAAAATTAGGATTTTTAAACTTTCCATCTGTCCCTGAGAGGCCTTCGGACGCATTATGATTTTGGAGTCTGACTACACCTCTGAAGTCTCCAGGAGTGGGGTGAACACACATGTTCTGAATAGAGACACAGATGCTGGGGTGGTAGGTAACCCAGCTGAGGTCCACAGATCACGGACAGGCATGCTGGGAGTGGCCACAGGGAGAGGGGAGACCCACCACTCAGCAGCTGTGACTTTTCATGGTTTATGGACCTTGTCTCCTTAAATGTGGTGTGCAAGAGTCCGGGGGCACGATATGTTATCCCACAGACAAATGTGAAACTGAGGTCCAAGACCACACACTTAGCAAGGCAAGAAGCTGAGATTTCTATCTATGTCTGACTGCCTTGAAAAGCCAACATTCTCCACATTGCACACTTAGCCTCTCAACTCTCAAGCCAGGCGCCCTGAGGAACACAAAATGCACCACCAAGAATGAAGTGAGGATCCCCGCAAGCAACAAGTGGGTGCTTCTGGAAGCCCTGGACACAGAAAGTATCCCCAGCCAGTTCTGTTCCTCAACCCCAAGTCCTTAGCCAGCTCTGAATGCAAATCTATTATGCGCATTTCACCCTCTTTTTATTTTCCCACAAATGCAGTCTTCCTTTCAAACAACTCAATGACAAATGTTTTCAGCAATCATTACTAACCTTATTACATCTCAATAATGCCACAGACAAAAGCAGAATTCAATTGCAGTGCAGACTGAAATGACCTTCTTGCAAAAGAGAGAAGTGATATTCCCAAGTCTGACAAGCAATTTTGAGTGCACTATCTGTTAATACTGTGATCATTATTTGTTTGTGCCACCTTGGGAGATGGCAGCCACAGCCCTGGGCAGAGCCAAGCATGGGGGAAGGTGTCTGCAGTAAGTATCCCCCTGGTTATTTGTAATCATTCATAAATAGGCAGAGGACTTCTGGGTGGGAACGGGGAAGGAATCCTGACAGTCTTCCCCGTCTCAAAATCTGTAGCTTTGGGGATGATCCGTAAAGAGTCCTGCATGAGGTCTGCATGGAGCAAGGTCCCCGAACAGCCCAGTCCCTGCTTCATCCCAGACCACTGGCCGGATGCTTCTCACTTGCAGTTCCCTCGATGAGCTTGAAGGAGCCTGTCGCCTGGCACACAGTGCTGAGACAGGGCAATCCTGGGCATCCTCATCTGGGGTGCCGCTGCTTTCCTTGTTATTCCCTCAGTTAACATGTGTTGAAAGAATGGGTCATTGTCCCCTTGGCATCTCAGACCCAACATAAATGCTCGATTGAAAGTCCTTCGGCCTTTGGTGTACAGAGGGTGTGTCTCATCGTGCAGCACGGGGAGCAAGCACACTCTCTGCTTTCCGGTTCCGTGCCTGTTGATCTGAAGAAATCCACGAAGAGCACCTGCCTGCCTGCCCCTCAGTAAGCCGCCCCTGCCTGCCTGCCCCTCAGTAAGGGGCACCTGCAGAGTCCAAGACAAAAGTGCTCCCTGATTTTCCGTGTGTCCTCAGAATGGGACCCTACTCCCTGACTGGACCAAATACATCCATCAAATGTAATAAAGAAAAGGGATGCAGAAGTCTTCCCTGTCTGAGTCTCCTGCAAAAGCAGGTGCTGGTGGGAGGAGCCTGGCAGGAGGGATGGAGCAGAGGACGGAGGCTCAGGGGGATTCCTGCCATCCTTTTCCTAGAACGGCGTGTCTCAGGGGGAGGGGGCTGCTCAGAGCTTTGTAGGGCTGGGCTCACGGGCTCTATGTCAGCGTCTGTGTTGCGGGAACTCTTGTGTTCTCACGAAGAGGCAGACACCAGAGTCCCACGGTAGCTGACCCTCAGCCTGTCCCCAAGGACACGTGGCCTGTCCATTGCCAGGGTGGGATCTGGTACAGCAGGCTCTCCCCAGGGAAAGGTAAGGGGAAGGTCTGCACTCCATGCACCTGCCACCAGCAGGACAGCAAACACCCGGCCATGAGGAAGGAGGAGGGTATCCATGGCCAGGAGCTCAGGCTCTGGGAAAATGGCAAATATACATTTAATTGGTGGGATGGAAAAGGAAGACTCCTCAAGCAAAGAGTGGAGACTGAGATCACACTGCAGGCTTTAACCCATGCCATGCCGTTATCATCACTTTAACCCAAATGGATAATAGAAAAAAGAAAAGAATAGAAAAGAAATAAAGGCTGCAAGAATACAAACCACAGTTGCTTTATCTACCTGGAGACCTGCTCGTCTAGGGAGCCCCGCGCTGCCCTCACTGCCCCAACTCAGCCACAAGTTGGGAAATAGCTGCAGGACATCCCAAGGAGGGATCCCTGGCCAGGGTCCACCCACCCAGAACCTTCGTCCCACTCTCGGCAAACCTCACTTGACTCTTTTTACAAACTAGGACTGAGCCTGCCTCCCTTTAACAGCACCCCAAGGTCGTCACCTCACCTCGCAGACTGAGCTTCCCTTGCAAATTGGCCCTTGGGGTCCAGCGCTTGTGGGGCGGGCCCTGGGGAGCCTGCTTTGCCTCCGCCCCACGGGACAGCCTGGGGCAGCTGAGCCATCCCCAGCCCCCAGAAAGCAGCTTTGTGATTTTTAATTGAATGTTTTCAAATTTTGTACACGAGCCCGGAGGCAATGTGCTCTCAGAGGGCACGGTTTTACAAATTGGAGAAGAGGTAAAATGAAATAATTGAAGCCTTTTCACTCTCTCCTCTTCTCATTATACCTGAGGACAGGACGAGGGTGGCTGCACGTGAGCCAGAGGGGCTGTGGACGTCTCACCAGGAGCAGCCTCGGAGCAGCCTCGGTGCTCCACCGGAGTCAGTGCACGGGAGGCCCGTGCCTGCCTCAAACCTCACGGCCTGCTGGACCAGACCGAACGCTGACCTGTGCCTTCCCAGCACAGTCACTTCCGCCAAGGTCCCACCCACCCTTCAGTGTGTGTGACTCATGCCCCGGCCACCGACACCGAAAGAAGGAGGGAGGGAGGCCCGGTCCCCAGGCCTGGCTACGGCGGGCATCACACCTGCCATGCTATGTCCCGCAGTGTTCACGGACATACACCATACACACACACACACAACACACCCATACCTATGCACCACACACATCACAAATGCCACACACACAACACACCCATACATACACACCACACACATCACAAACACCACACATCATAAACACACACACCATATACACAAACACACCATACACATTACACCCATACATACACGCACACACATCTCAAATACCATAGACACACACACGACACACCCATAAATATGCACCACACACATCACAATCCCCCACACACCGTACACATCACACCCATACACACCGCACACATCACAAACACTACACACACCTTACACACACACACCACACCAAACTCATACATATGCAGACACACATCTCAAACACCATACACACACACAACACACACATCCACCACATACACCACACCCTACTCCATCTTATACAAAACCCACACATGTCACACACACCACTGACCACATACACCCACACACATGACATATGCACACTATGCACACATCACACACATATGCCACACACACAGACACACAGGGACACAATCACTCATTTTGATAAGAGACTCACTGAAGTGACTCTCTGCAGATTGTCCCAGCAAAGCACATCCGGCACCTCACGCAAGGCCGTAAGGTCCCATGGGTGAGTCCAGCCCCCAGCCTGGCCACCAGCCTGCCTCCTCAGCGCTCTGCCAAACTGCATTTCAAAGGGTGCTGTTCCTCTTTTCTGGCCATGAGCACGGAGGGGAAGGTTCCTGCTTGCTCACCACCTGCCCTTCAGCCTGGAGAAGGCCCGCTGACCTTGGACCTCGGGGGAGAACTATGGACTCCACACAGAAGGGCTGAAGTGGGAAAGGAGAGATGGGAGAGGGGAGAGGGGAGGAGGAGTGGGAGAGGGAGGGGACAGGGGACGGGGAGGGGGGCAGCGGACAAGGGGTGAAGGGAGAGGGGAGAGGGGAGAGACGGGAGAGAGAGGAGAGAGAGGGGAAGGGGCAGACGGAGGGAGAAGCAGCCCTGGACCCACGCCCTCCTGAGACTGGCCCTGCCTCTCCATGGTTTGTAGAAGGCTATGAATCCCCTCTTGGTTTAACCTGCTTTTCTCTTTAAGTGGCCTTTCTCTTACTTTCCACTGAAGAAATCCCAGCAAACAGAGGCCCAAGGACTACAGATGGTGAAGAAGGACAGAAGCCAGAACAGGTGTAGCCAGCGTCCCCCTGACTCTCCCTCTCTCTGAGTGGCGAGGCTTGCAGGTGGGCCCTGGCGAGGTGGGCTTCTTCAAGCCCAATCACAGCCCACAGCCTCGCCCATGGAGACCCCGGGAGGACTGTGTTGAATATTTGGCCCACATGGTCAGTGACAGACTTCCAGAAATCAGATCCAAGGAATGTCTTGGGCTCAAAGGCTTAGCTGCTGGCTTGAATGTGGAGAGGGCTCCACAGGCGGGAGTCCAGGATACGCCATCCTCACCCAACTCCTTGGTCACTGATACCTGAAGTCCCACCACAAATGTATTACCCTAGAGAAGCCACAATACATCTACCAAGTGATCTTTTCTAAAACATAAATATGGCCGTGTCACTTCCTGCCTAAAAGCTCACGATGATTTTCTATCCTCACCCCTTCATTGTTAGTGCCGTGTCCATCTCCCGAACTTCACCCCTCACACTCACCCCTCCAGACACCCCTGCCTCCAGGCATCATGAACCACAGGCAAGTCACCAAACTTCCTGCCTGCTCTGCCTCCGAGCCTTTGAAGATGATTGTCTTGGACTGCTCTAACAAAAATACCAGGGTGGGGCGGGTTATGAACAACAGAAATTTATTGTTCTCAGCCCTGGAGGCTGGAAGTCCAAGGTCAAGGCACCGGGAGATTTGGTGTCTGGTGAGGACCTGCATCTTGATTCCTACATGGCACCTTCTGACTGTGTCCTCACATGGTGGAAGGAATGAGGAACCTCTCTGGGGGCCTCTTTTATAAGGACACTAACCCATCCATGGCACTCCACCCTCATGATCCAATCACCTCCCAAAGTTCCCACCTCCTAATATCATTACATTGTTCCCACCTCCTAATACCATTACATTGGACGTTAGGGCTTCAAAATGTAAATGTCGAGGAGACACAAACATTTAATCTACAGCAATGCTAGACCTACTACCTGATGAACTCCTATTCATCCTTTAAAACCCAGTTTAAATATGCCCAAAGCAGATGTATCCTCTCTCCTCTCGGCCGAGTTGATGGGTCTTGCCTTCATGTCCTCACATTCTCTATCATTTCCCAACCACAATGGGCCCCCTCCCACTGAACCACAGGCTGCCCCAACACTGAGATGCTGTCTTGTTTGTTGCTGCATACCCGGGGTGCCAAGCCCAGTTCCTTCCCCATGCCAAGCTCAGGAGCTCTTTATTGAATGAATGTGAGGTCCCCTAGTCCAAGTTCCAAGGGAAGGAGTGCAGAGATTGATTAGTCAGGTCTGCCACAGATGACACATACGGGAATGGAAGTGTTAGGTTGTGGAGGTGGTCTAGGTTAACTCCAGACTTTTGAGGGGTGGGGATTGATAAGGTGGAGGAGCGGGAAGGTCCGTGGAGGCTGAGAGGCTGCCAGGGAGAGGCCTCTCTAAGTCCTCAAGCCAGTGGACTGAGCCTCTCTAGATACCTGTTCAGGAAGGAGTAACCCTTCTACCTGGAGCATGAGACCACATTTCTGGACACGGTTTCTACCTGAAACAAGAGCGTGTTCTTCTCCAGCCTGTCAGAACTCTGATTACCTATCTTGTTCACCAAAAATGATTGATGTGTACCTGCATTTTTTAAGACCCTAGGACTTGAGTGAGGTGGGGACTTATGCTCCAGATTCTAGATGTTGTCTTAATTGCAGATGTTATGGGAAAGAATGAGGCAACTTCCTTAAGAGGATCCCAACCCATTTAAGCTATTGGGTGGTGGTACTTATGGCATATCGCTTTAAGCAGTTTGAAAGACAAATTCTGGTCTTGATTTTCTGCACCTCAGTGGTTTTTTTATTTATGTTGGAACCATGTGATGTTTATGTATTTGGTAGTGCCTCTTTCTGCTCCACACAATGCTATTGGAGTCTGCTGCTGGCAGGGAGGTGACACCCTATGAATATTTTATCAGCCCACATGTGTGGGTAAGGAAAATGAGGCCCTTGCAGGCTCTGACAAAGTGGACTGGATGCTGTATGAAGGAGGGGGCACACAGCACCTTTGTTCTCCTGGACAAATAGGAGAGATACTGTGAACCTTATGCTTTATTAGAACACAAGAAGGAAATTAGTTCCTTTTCATCTGCCGCAGCGGATGATGGAGTGTCTCCTCGGGTCTCCTCTGCAAAGTCCTGCAATGAGTCTGTGCTTCAACCGTGTTCTCTGGCAAACATGAAGCAAGGACAAATGGGAACCCAGGCAGCAGGAAATGGGGAGGGTGGGAAATCCACCTGCACGTCGCAGGTCACACCCAAAGAGGGATCACAGCCCCGCTGCCACTTCTGGGTGTGTCTCTGGGTTTGAGGCCTTTTTATGCATCGTGTGTGAAAAATCTGCAGCTGTGGTGCAGAATTGAACGGCTTTGGAGCCGGGAGGGCAGCTAGTAGGTCTGGGATAAAATGCTCTATATCCTCCATCGAACGCACAATCCATGTGACATGGAAATGGTAACTAAACAAAACTTTGTGCGTAAATATTCATCGCAGCATTATTCCTAATAGCCAGTAGGTGGAAACAGCCCAGCTGTCCATCAGCCGATGGCTGGATAAACAATGTGTGGTCCATCTATACAATGGACCATTCCTCAGCCACATCAAGTAAGGAAGCACCGGCACCTGCTGCAACCCAGATGAATCTAGAAAACGTGATGCTGAGTGAAAGTCGCCAGACACAAAAGATGATTTATCGGATGATCCCATTGATATGAAAAGTCCAGAGTAACAAATCTACCCAGACAAGAGTAGCTTAGTGGTGGCTGGCAGGAGAGGGAATGGAGAATGATTGCTAGTGGATGTGGGGTTTCTTTTGGGGATTTTGTGAATGTCCTGGAATTAGAGAGTGGTCTTGGTTGTGCAAGACTGTGCATGTGCTATAGGTGTCACTAATTGTAAATGCTACATTTTGTTTTTTACCACAATGAAAATGATAGCTAATAATCAATCGTGTACCACTTGTTGAGTTCTTCATATATGCTAGACATCATGCTAAAGGCCTGACACGTTCACCCTTACTTGCTTTGTCTCCATGGTGAAATCAGCATTCTCATCCTTGTTTTATAAATGAAGGCCCGAGGTAGGGGAGCAGTCTTCTGATAGGGAGAGGACCTCAGGTTTTAGTCTAGCACTGTCTTAGCTGTTGCTCATGACATCATGCTTTTCGGTACTGACAACGCAAGGGTCCCATCATCAACTAATTTAGGGAATCATCCTTTAGACAGGTCAACCTAATTGACCACAGGGCATTTTAGAGCTTTGGAAATACTAATGAACATTTTGAATCCTCAAGAGTGGGATCTAAGGTGCTGTTTTCTCAAATGTATTTAGACAAATAATAATTGTTTCAACCACCTGTTACCATGTGAGGGGAGGTTGGCAAACACTGGTCTCAATTAGCTCCCTTTTGCTCAATTGCACCATGACATGGAGGGAAGATCCCTTGTTCAGGGTGACAACTAGTGAAAAGGAGTAAGCATTGAACCAAAAGGCTGGATATGGGGAAACAGAGACAAAACAAGACTAAGCGGCCACATCAAGTCATCCAAAGTCAGAAAGCCTGGTCGAAAATGCAGGAAGGAGACAAACTGCATCACTGGAAGGCACCTTGGAGGTTATCCAGGCCAATCATATCTATCCATCCATCCATCCATCCATGCATCCATCCTTCCATTCATCCACCCACCCACCAATCTATCCATATCCATCCATTCAACCACCCATCTATCCATTCATTCATCCTTCCACCTATCTATCCATCCACCCATCTATCCATCCACCCATCAATCCATCAATCCATCCATCCAACCACATTCATCTATCCTTCATCCATCCATCCATTCATCCATCCATCTGTTTATTCAGAATGCAATTTTTGAGGCCCTTCAGTGTATGCAGCAGAGTTAGCATGATTGAGGTTTCAGTAGTGAAAAAAAGATGTCCTTTATTAGGAAAGATAGACAGAAGTCCATAAACAAGCAAATGCACAGTGTGTCAGAGGTGTCCAGGGATATGAAGAAAAATAAGAGGCTAGGATTGCCTCTTATTTTTACATGCCCATAATCCCAACACTTTGGGAGGCTGATACAGGTGGATCTCTTGAGCCCAGGAGTTGGAGACCAGCCTGGGCAACATAGGAGGAGCCTGTCTCTACAAAAAAATGCCAAAAAAATTTTAGCCAGGTATGGTGGCATGAACCTGTAATCCCATCTACTTAAGAGACTGAGGTGGGAAGATTGCTTGAGACTCGGAGGAGGGGGTTGCAGTGTACTGTAATCACACCACTGCACTGCAGCCTGGAGAGCAGAGTGAGACCCTGTCTCAAACAAACAGAAAAAGAAAACAGTGTCAGGAACCAGAATGTGACAAGGCAACCACAGCTCCAATCAGCTGTTTCCAGTGGAATCAACCATGGAAATGCCTCTTAACCAAAAGGTCTTCCTTATTGGAACCCAAACCTGCCCCACTCTTACTTTTGCCCCTGATGCTAGCTTTGCTATAGAGGATAGATTCTCTCTTACCTCATGCCGATATCCCGTATCTGATCGGGTCCTCGCTGAGTCTTCTCTAAATGAAGGGCCTCAGGCTCATGGTCCTTGGCCTCCCCTTTTCCTGCACTCACCCAGTTGTCAACATCCATTCACCAGATGACGCCTGTGGGCTGAACCCAGTGTGAAGAGCTCACTGAATGAATGTGAGACCAAAACCTCAGCTGGTCTTGGTCTTTGGGATGTTCCCTTATCTCTAGGAGGGGGAGAAATTAAGGACAGTGCAAGCGTAATGGGGTGAGGACGTTGGATGTGCTCTGCCCCAGGCCTCCTTCCTGTAGGAGCCTCTAGTTGACTTCCCTGCCTCTCCTTGGACCCTCTGCAATCATCCTGTCCAGTGCTAGGTCCAGAGGGGTCTTTCTGGAACTTGAGGCAAGAGAACAAAATCACATCAATGGGGTTGGTGGGGGGGCAGGTGTAAGCAAATCGTGGCAAGTCCAGTCTGTCATAATTTTTGCATGAGCTATTTCACATTAAAATCATTTTGATAAATTCTGTGTAATAAAACAAAAAGTGCTTTTCATGTAATACCGCATGAAAATGTGAACTGGTGAGTTGCGTGGACTGGGGCGAGCTGGGGTGAAGTCTCTGCCTGCTTGTGGAGGCAGCTGGGGTATCTTGCTGGCCTGGAGGCCTAGGCAGCCAAGCATGATCAACGTCCTGGAGATGCTAGAAGGCCGGGGTGCAGATCCGCTTCTTGAGCTAGAAATGAGCTGACGTTTCCCCAGAGGTGACACCGTCGCCCGAATCACACTCTGAGTGGAATGGGGCAGGGGTGCCATTTATAAACTCACCCAGTAATGGCCAGAGCTGGGCTGGACCTCAGGGCAGATGGGACACCTGGCCCAGGCAGGCTGGAGAGAAGACAATGTACAGTGCCCTGCTGAGATGAGGGGACAGTCATGCCCCTCAGGTCTGAAGAGCCATCACCAGGGTGGTTGGCTGTCAACACCCTCACCCCAGGGCCCCCATTCAAGGGCTGGTTCTCCCTGGGAAGGCCGTGGCTCTGCTGAGGAGGACTGAGCCACAAATCCAGGAAGAGAAATCTGAGCCTATTGCTCTAAGCCCCCATCCTCTAGCTCTTTTGTGACACGGATGCAGTTCCCCACCCAATCTAACCCAGCCATCGTAAGCCAGGGATGCTGACGGGGCTACGGTCCTGCTAGAGTGAGGATTCCCCAGGGAAGGCTGGCCAGCAAGGAGACTGCCTCAGCTGTGCCTCCAGATGAAACTGCCTTGTGTTGCTCAGAGATGTGCAGCAAGAACACACATGTTTACATGTGCACCATGTACACACATGCATTCACATACGTCTATGTACACACACTCTCACATTAAATACATACATACTCATACACACACATACATAAATATACACATGCATGCACTAGCACACTACACAGGCACACACATATATGTACACGTATTCTCCCAGCCACACACAAATACATGCAGACATATGTACACTCACACATATATACATACACATAAACATGCACTCACACATACACATGAACACACATTAACACTAGGCATACACCTCTATACACACATGTATTCACACACATGCATGCACGCATATGCCCCACACTCATATACCTGGGTACATAAACACACGCAAACACAGACTGTACCCCTGGCAGAGGGTCAGGGCCTGGCCTGTGTTGTGGGCCTTGGAAGCAGAGCCTGGCATGGAGTTCAGAGATCCCTGATCCCTGACTCACCCAAGCCCCCAGCCTATAAGTTGTAGTCCAGCCCTCTGGGAGCTGCAGCGGGTTGCCAGGCGGGGAGGGCACTGTGGCAGGTGGGAAGGCTGAGCCAGCCTCTGGTGCTCACACCTGAGCATCAGGGCACCAATTATTACCTGCCTGAGCCAGGCAACCAGGCAAAGAGACAACCCGTGACATTTTGCGAGCTGAAAATGGAAGTGGGACGAAAGAGCGAGGTAAGACACTTTAATCTGTGCCCTTTCATAGTAAGCCTGTTAACTAGAGAAAGTCTAAGAAAGGGATCTAATTTGTGAGGCTGCAGGGAGGGGAAAGAGGGGGCAGAGGAGGAGAGGAGGGCACATCTTCCTCTGGTCTGGCCCTGCCCTGCCTCCTCCAGCCCATCCTCCTCCAGGGCCCCATCCAGGACTGGTCCCCACCCACTCCCAGCCTGCAGCCTGGGAAGCTCCAGCTCCAGCCTGGCCGGGCTGCTGCAGCCACTCCTGACCGCTCGCTGCTCTCCTGTAACTGGGACTCAAAGTCCACCTGCTGCGCTCCAGACCCTGGCGCCCAACTCTCCGTCAGACAGCTCAGCCAAACGGGAGGCAACCCCCTGCTGCCAGCCCCTCTCCTCCCAGACAGACTCCTCTAAAGTCCTCCCACAGCAGCTCAGGGCCCTCCCAGGACTATCCAGGAAGCCAGAATCCTGCAGGTGCACCTGGACTCCACCCCTTCAGCCTGCCCTGCACGCGGCTCATGGGTCAGGCCTGGAGACACCACCCAGGACTCCGAGCTGAGGACACAGAGGGTGTCGCAGCTGAGGCCCAGGTCACACCGCACACCCAGAGGCAGAAGAAGGTGGGAGAGGCTGGTGCACAAGGCATGTGGCTAATGTGGGTTGTCTGCAGAGGCTTCTAACCCATTGTCAGTTTCTCTCGGTTTCTATGTGGATGGTCATGAGGAATGATGCTTCAGACCTCAGCCTGAAAGCGTCCTTGTCGGCCACTTCCCAGGGGAGTGAGCTGTGTGCCTCAGTCTCATGAATGAACCTCCAGGTTCCTCCAGGGCAAGGTCCAAGCACCAGCCCCTGGTCTGAGACGGGCTCGTTACGCTGAGCTAGATGATACAGTACCCTCCCTCCTTGAACAACTCAGAGGACCTAGCCCCAGATCTAGGAGGGGCTTGCCAACTTCCCACAGCCGAGGGGCAGCAGAATCGAATCCACAATGAGGCATGAGATCATCTTGGATTCACCCCCAGGTAGCCAGCCAGGGAAACAGAAAGTTCTAGAACTGGCAAAGAAATTTCCCTCCTGCCACTGGAGGTTGCTGTGCACCGGCTGGTAGCCTGGCCTTGTCCCCTGGCCCAGGGGAGGGTGGGGTGGGCGCCCGATTCCCAGGCCAGCCTGGACACTGAGCTCCTTCTGCTCGGGCCCCCTGCCCGGGGCCGGGCGCCCAGGGATTTTCCTGCTTGCAAAAGGCCTCACGGGTGTTGTGGTTTTGGCAATTACTGAAAAGAAAGCCTGGTTATTATTCTTGTCACGTGTTGAGAAATCTCTATAAAGTTTTACAGCCGCAAATGTAAAAGGGGTTTTTATTAGTTTAACATTCTTCCCTATACCCTTCCCCCTCCTCCCACCCAGAATCTCACCCTCCATCTCCCGCCTCCTCGGGGCCATAGTCTCAAGACAGCTGCGGCCGGGAGCCTGGAAATACCTGCAGAGAGCAGGAGGCCCCACCGCCTCCCAAGTCCTCCCAGTTCCACTGGAGCCTCCAAGCCTCAGGGTCTTGTCCTCCTTTCAGCTCCGATGCCCAGTGACAGAGCTTCCCAGCTTCCTTCCCTTACTCCACAAATGCATTGGAAGGCCTGCCCTGGGCCAGACGCTGCTGCAGGTGCTGAGACACAGACGAGGGCAGCACAGACATTGATTTTCTGCAGGAAAAGAGAAAGATAAACGAGAAAACAAGTAAACATAACTACAGAGCAGGTTGGCTCCAGGGCCTGCTGTGGTCACACAGGGCCCAGCCTTAGGAGGGTCCACCCTCAGGTCCAGGCTGTGCTGGTGCCCTCCTGACATTGCAATGCCTCCTGGGGTGCACAGATCAGGTAGGCGGTCCTGACAGGGTGAGGCAGCAGGGCAAAGGCAGAGAGAGGCCTGGTCCAGGGGGACGGTGGCACCTTTTCCAGAGTGGTCGGGAGGGAAGGGCTCCCTGCAGAGGGCCGTGGGAGCAGAGAGCTACACAGATCAGGGATTGAGGAGCACAGGCGTTGTTCAGGCAGAGGCCAGCCCAGGGCTGTGTCTGAGAGGTGAGAGGCAGGATGGCCATGCTGTTGGAGCAGTGTGTTCCCGCACGTGAGGATACGGAAGGAGGACAGCCAGCTAGAAGAGCCAGGAGAGTGGGGCCTCCATGGCTGGGGAAGGGGCTTGGGATTTACTGGGGGAATGTGGGAAGCATCATCCAACCTTTTTTCTTAAGGGTGTCCCTTGCTGCTGCTCAGGAAATGCGAGTAGGAAGGTGGGAGCTGCAGGGATCCCTGGGCAGAGGTTGCAGCCCTGCAGAGGAGGGGCCGGGCTGCTCTGGATGGGGTCAGGGAGTGGGGAGGAGCCCAGGGGAGGGGTGAGCATGGGGCTATTCATGGGCTGGCTGCTGGGATCCACCTCACAGCTGCCAGCCCAGCTTCCTCCTGGCGTGCCCACGTGCTATTCACTTGCCGACCCAATCTGGCGGACCCGGGAGAGACTTACTTACTTCATCAGCCTCCCGTCACACCCATTAGGTCACAGACAGACACGGTGTGGACAGGTCCTGCAGCCTTTCATTAGGGCTGACGCCTGGCCCAGGCGGAGGAATCGCTGGGACAGAATCGTACCTAGAGAAAGGTTTAGCACTACATCGTAATCTGCCAGCAGATGACACATTTACTAATTATGTCCCCAGGCAGGCAGTCCTGACTCTGCCATCAGGCCAAGAAGAAAGGATGGCAGAAGGCACGTCGCCAACAAGCAACCCCAGGCCAGTCCTCAGCCTCTCTCTCTCCGCCTAGCAGAGGGCTGGCATAATTCCATTTGCTGCCTTTGAAAATATATTGAGAGACTTCAGGCTTCATCTCCAACACAAAAAGAGCTTGGAGGTTATCACTCCTGAGCTCACAAGGAAAACAAAAATGGAGAAAACTGAAAATCAACAACTTTACTTAGCCGGATGTGGTGGCTCATGCCTGTAATCCCAGAATTTTGTGAGGCAGAGATGGGCAGATTGCTTGAGCCCAGGAATTTAAGACCAGCCTTGACAATATTGTGAGATCCCATCTTTACAAAAAAAAATAATAATAAATATAGCCCAGGTGTGGTGGTACATGCCTGCAGTCCCAGCTACGTGGGAGGCTGAAGTGGGAGAACAGCTTGAGCCTGAGAAATCGAGGCTGTGGTGAACCGCACTCCAGCCCAGGTGACAGAGGGAGGGCCTGTCTGAAAAAAAGAAAAGAAAGAGAGGAAAGAAAGAGAGAAAGAGAGGAAAGAAAGAAAGGGAAAAAGAGAAAGAAAGAAAGAGAAAGAAAGAAAGGAAGAAAGAAAGAAAAGAAAAGAAAGAAAGGGAAAAAGAGAAAGAAAGAAAGAGAGAGAAAGAAGAAAGAAAGAAAGAAAGAAAGAAAGAAAGAAAGAAAGAAAGAAAGAAAGAAAGAAAGAGACAGAAAGCAAGCAAGCAAGCTTTACTTCGATCTATCAAAGAATTGATATCCCAGGGCAAACTGTCACCCAGACACCCAGAGAGAGGGACAGGCTGGTGCAGAAAGTCACAGCTGAAATCAGCTTGCTGGTGCTAAGCTGCTGGAGCCAGCAACTTGTAGGGGAACACTAAACTAGTAATTGATGAATTGCTGGAGGCTGAGTGTGGACTAGTTGGAGAGGTAAAAACCCTGGTGGGGTGGGGGGTGGGGGGGCAGGATTTTGTAGAGTTTACCTCTAGGAACCCTAGGGTCTCAGGGTAAAGATCTGAAGATGGTACTAAAATTACTTCATGCCTCAGGAAAGGAAAGGGGAAAAATGGTCACCTGAAAATACGCCCAGAGGGTTCTGCCCTGGGAACAAAAGTCTGCCCCCCATCGCCGCCCCCAGGGAAACAATTTGACCATAGGCTTATCTGACCTCTGGCTTTCCTCTTTCAGGAAGGGAAGAATAAAAAAGCTACACAACACTATTGAAGGTCATAGCTCAAGAACTCAGGCCCACGAAAAACAGTGAAACTTAATCATATTATATGACACTTCTCCTGCCCCCCAACAGATTACAACTGATAGAGTTACAAAATATAGACTCTATTTAAGGAGTTCTTAGGTAAACCTCAAAACAACAAGAGAGGAGCAAACAAACAAACAAGGAACCTCAGCATCTGGCATCAGCAAACACAAAACACAACCCAGCTCGTTGGCAGATTAACATGAAATCTCACTCAAAAGGCCTGGACCCTTCAGCTCCTATTGCCAGAGACAGCACTTACAGCTTTCAGCAAAACATTGTAAGACATGCCAACAGGCATGGAAAAGCGCAGTAAGAAGAAGGAGAGCAAGCACCAAAACCCAACTCAGATATGGCACAGATGTCGGTATCATCAGACGGTGAATTTAAAATAACTATGATTGAAACATTACGGGCTCTAGCAGAGGAAGGATGCAACACGCGAGAACAGGTGGGTGATGTAAGCAGAGATGAAAATTCTAAGAATCAAAAGGAAGGAAATGGTAAAAATCCAAACACTTTAACAGAAATAAAGAAATACCTTTGATGGGCTATTTAAGTAGACTAGACACGGTCAGAGAAAGCTTTCACAAGCTTGAATATGTGTCAATAAAGACTTCACACACTGAAACACAAAGAGGAACATGTACAAAAACGTGGTACATAATAAACAAGAACCGTGAGACAATTACAAAAGGAGGTGTGGGTGTGTCATTGGAAGAACTAAAAGATAAAAAAGAGAGAGAGGTGAGAAAATAAGAATAAGAAATACTTGAAATGTTTCTGAGAATTTTCCAAAAGTAATAACAGATACCAAACCACAGATCCAGGGAGCTCAGAGAACAGTAAGCAGGATAAATACCAAAGACGTACACCTGGGAGTATTAAATTCAAGCTGCAGGAAACCTAAGACAAAAAGAAAATCTTGAAATAAATTGCAGGGGGTGCAAAACAAATAAATGGAAACCTCACCCGAGAATTACGACAGACTTCTCATCAGAAACAATGCAAGCAAGAAGAGATTTGAGTGAAATATTTAAAGTGTTGGAAGCAAAACCCACCAACTCAGATTTCTGTATTTAGCAAAAATATCCTTCAAAAGGGAAGGAGAAATATTTTTCCAGCCAGACAAAACTAAGCTAGTGAACAGCAGAAATGCCCTTCAGCAAATGGTAAAAGACATTCTTAAAAGAGAAAGAAAATTACATAGGTCAGAAACACAGACTTACATTAAAAAATAAAGCACATCAGGGAAAGAATGAAAGTAAAATAAAATACTCCATTTTCTTATTCTTAATTTGTTTAATAGATTACAATTAAAAGTTATAATAGCCACAATGTGTTGGGTGATCATAGCACACATAAATGAAATGAATGACTGTGATATTACAAGGAGGGAGGGAAGAATTTGGAATGCTATGTTATAAAGAAACAATGCCTTCACTACTCACAAAGTGATACAGCATTCTTTGAAAGTAGACTTAGATTAGTTGTAAATGTATATTTTTTATGGATGCAAATTTTGTGAAAAGGGAAATCACTAATTTTTTTAAAAAGAAATATAATTGATATACTAATGCAAATCAGAAAATGAAATAATAGAAAATGCTCAATTAAAACTGAAAAAGGCAGAGAAAGAGGGTAAGATTAAAAATAGAAGCAGGCTAGGCATGGTGGCTCTTGCCTATAATCCCAGCACTTTGGGAAGCCAAGGAGGAGGGACTGCTTGAGACCAGGGGTTTGAGACCAGGGGCTTAAGACCAGTCTATGCAACATAGCAAGACCCTATCTCTACAAAAAGTTTTTAAATTAGCTGGGCATGGTGGCCTGCATCTATAGTCCCAGGTACTCATGAGGCTAAGGTGGGAGGATTGACTTGATCCCAGGAGCTGGAGGCTACAGTGAGCTATGATCATGCCAGAGACCACAAGAAAAGAAGGAAGGAAGGGAGGGAGGGAGGGAAGGAGGAGAAAGAAATAGAAAGGAAGGAAGGAAGGAAGGGAGGGAGGCAGGGAGGGAGGGAGGGAGGGAAAAAAGAAGGAGGGAGGGAGGGAGTGAAATAAAGAAAGGAAAAAAGAAAGGATAAGTGTAATGAATAGAAAACAGTAACAAAGATGGTGGATGTTAATGCAGCTATATCAATATTCACTTTAAACGTGAATCGTCTGAATATACAAATTAAAAAATCAGATACTGGTTGTTCTGCCTATGGAGTAACCATTCTTTTATTCCTTTACTTCTTAATACATTTGCTTATAATAAATAAATAAATCAGATACAGTCAGAGCAGATTTAAGAAAAATAAGACCCAACTTTATGTGAGCTACAAGAAACCTATTTTAAATGTAAAGGCACAGATATATCACAAGTAAAAGGATGGAGAAAGATATACCACGCTGCTAAAACTGATCAAAAGACAGCTTGAGTAGCTATATTAATTTGGGGCAAAGCAGACTTTAGAACAGGAAAAAATTTATAGATAAAGAGAGCCATTACATAATAATAAAGGGGTTTGTCCTCCACCGATACATAAGAATCCTTGGTGTATATGCAGCTAACAACAGAGCATCAAAATAGGAGAGGCAACACTCAAAGAGCTGCAACGAGAAACAGACAAATCCACTATTAAAGTTGGAGACTTCAACGCCCTCTCTCAGTAACTGACAGATCCAGCAGGCACAAAATCATAAGGACATAGTTGAACTAAACAGCACTATCAATCAACTGGATCTAATTGACATTTATAGAAGACTTCACCCAACAACAGCCAAATACACAATCTTCTCAAGCACACATGGGACATTAACCAAGATAGACATTCTGGGCCACAAAACACACCTTAGCAAATTTGAAAGAATATAAATCATAGAAAGTATGCTTTCTAGACCACAATGGAACTAAACTAGAAATCAATAACAAAAGCTAGGTGGAAAATATCAAAATATTTGGAGATTCAATAACACACTGCTAAATGACACATGGGTCAAAGGAATCTCAAGAGAAACTGTAAAGTATTTTGAGGAAAATAAAAGTACGACCTATCAAAGTTTGCAAGATGTAATGAAGGCAATGCTTAGAGGGAAATGTATAGCACTGAATGCATATATTAAAAAAGAAGATCACAAATCAATATTCTAAGTTTCCACATTAAGAAGCTCTAAAAAGAAGAGTAAATTAAGTTTAAAATCAGCAGAAGAAAAGACTAATACAAATTAGAGCAGAAATCAATGACATTTAAAATGGAAATCAATACAGAAAAATCAATGGCATTAAAAGCTGGTTCTTTGACAAGATCAATAAAAGTGATAAACCTCTAGCCTGACTAACCAAGAAATAAAGAAAGGCAAATTACTTATCTCAGAGATGAAAGAAAGGGCATCCCTACTGATCCCATGGACATTAAAAATATAATAAAGACATGTTATGAACAACTTTGTGCTCACTACTAGTTGTCAACTCTAGTTCTTTACCACTGCTCTTAATATTATAGTGGCAGTCCTGGTTAATGCAATAAGACAAGAAAAAATGAAAGGTATACAGACTGGGAAAGAAGAAATAAAATGGTGCTTGTTTACACATGACATGATTGTCTATACAGAAAATTCTAAATAAACACACACACACACACACACACCCCACCCACCCCTCTCAGAACTCATGATCAATCAAGCAAAGTCTCAAGATACAAAGTCAACATACAAAAGGTGGTTGCTTTCCTATATATGCTATCTACGAGAACAACTGGAATTTGAAATTAAAAGCACGTCATTTCCATTTGCATCCCCCAAAGTGAAATACTTAACTATAAATCTAACAAAATGTGTTCAAGATTATGGAAGGAAAAGAAACTTATGAAATAAAAGAAGACCAAAATAAATAGATGTTCCATTTTCATGGATAAAAGGTCCTAATATTGTTAATGACGTAGGAGGCAGGACTCAACTCTGGGGGCAGGGCTTGGACTCTGGACCAGATTGAAGACTGGCTGAAACAGGAAACAGGGAAGAGGTGAAAGCGCCTCTTCGTGAGACACGCCCACCAGCACCATGTCAGTTTGCTATTGCCATGGCAACACCCAAAATGTACTGCCCTTTTCCATGACAATGGCCTGACAACCTGGAAATTATCACCCTTTTTCTAGAAATTTCTGCATTGTCTGCTCCTTAATTTTGCATATAACTAAAAGGGGGTATAACTATGCCTTCAGCACTGCCTCTGAGCTGCTGCTCTGGGCACACTGCCTATGGGGTAGCCCTGCTCTGCAGGGAGCAACACCTCTGCTGTTGCTGTACACGTCCACTTCAATAAAAGTTGCTATTTAACACCACCAGCTCACCCTTGAATTCTTTCCTGGGCAAAGCCAAAACCCTCCCAGGCTAAGCCCCAATTTTGGGGCTCACCTGCCTTGCATTGTTAAGATGTCAATTTTTTCCATGTTGATATACAGAGTCAGTGCAATCCCAATCAAAATTCTAGTATGTTATTTTGTGGATATTGAGAAACTGAGTCTAAATTTTATATAGAAAGTCAAAGACCTAAAAGAGTCAACACATTACTGAAAAAGGAAGAACAAAGCTGGGGGACTGACATTACCCAACTTCAAGACAAGCTATAAAGATGCAGTAATCAAAAGAGCATGGTATGAGAGAAAGAACAGACCAATAGATCCATGGAACAGAACGGAGTGCTCAGAAATAGACCCACACAAACACGGCTGACCTTTGGCAAAGAAGCAAAGGCAATTCAATAAGAATGGCTGCTCTTTTCAATGAATTGCTGGAGTAATTGGCCATCCACATGCAAAAAAAAAAAAAAATGAATTTAGACACAGACCTTACATCATTCACAAAAATTAACTCAATATGGATTGTAGATCTATGTGGAAAATACAAAACTATAAAACTTTTAGAAGATATCACAGGAGAAAATCCAGGGAACCTTGGACTTGGAGATGACTTTTAAGATACAATGCCAAAAGTATGATTTAGGAAAGAAAAAAATTGATATGTTGCATTTCATTGAAATTTGAAACTTCTATTCTGAAAAGCACTGTTAAGAGAATGAAAAGACAAGCCACAGACTTGGAAACCATTGTTGCAAAGCACATGTCAGATAAAGGACTTGTACTTAAAATATACAGAGAAATTATTTCACTCAATTTCCCAAAGTCGTTAAACTCAACAATAAGCAAACAAACCCAATTTTCAAATGAACAGACATCTCACCATAGGAGATACACAGATGGCAAGTAAGCATAAAGGGAGACGCTCAATATCATATGTCATTAGGGAACTGCAAAATAAAACAACAATGACACATTACTACACACTTATTAGAATGACTAAAACCCAAAACACTGACAATAGCCAATGCTGCTGAAGATGTGGAGTAAGAGGAACTCTCATTCATTGCTGGTAAGATGCAAAATGGTACAGCCACTTTGGAAGACAGTTGAGCAGCTCCTCACAAAGGTAAACAGGCCCTAAACATACTCTTACCACACAGTTAATTAGTAATTGTGTCTTTAGAAAAACAAAAGCTTCACATAACTATCTATAGCAGTTTTATTCATAATTGCCAAAACTGGAAGCAGCTAAGATGTCCTTCAATAGATGAATGGATACAGCCTCACATTGGAATATTACTCAGTGATTAAAAACAAATGAGCTATCAAGCCATGGAAGGACATGGAGAAACGTTAAATGCGTATTGCTAAGTGCAATAAGTCACTCTGAAAAGGCTGCATATTGTATGATTTCAATTACATAACATTCCGAGAAAGGCAAAGCAATGGACATAGTAAAAGTTCAGCGCTAGCCAGAAGTCTGAGCTACGGCAAGGAGTGATGAGTAGGTGGAGCACGGGGGATTTTTATGTGGAGCACAAGGGATTTTATGTGGAGCACAGAGAATTTTTATGTGAAGCACGGCGGATTTTTATGTGGAGCACGGCGGATTTTTTTGTGATGAAAGTGTTCTGAAGCACAGCAATCGGCGGTAACTGCCATTTGCATTTGTTAAAGCCCAGAGAGCTTTACCCACAACACAGAGTGAACCGGAATGTAAACTATGGGCTTTAGTTAGTTACAATGTATCAATACTGGTTCATTAATAGTAACAAATGTAGCACACTAATGCAAGATTTTAATAATGGAGAAAAGTAAAGGCACATGTGGGAACTCTGTGCTTTCTGTTCGATATGTCTGTAAATCTAAAAAAATAAGTCTGTTAATGAAAAACATATATACTGAGAAACTGTGTCAGGTTTACAAAGATGAAACAATTAAACAGTCCCAGCCATTACTTTTAAGGATCCACTGTCTGGTGTAAGAGACAGCATCATATGTCAGCTTTCATGGGGAAGTCAGGAAGGACATGAGATGGACAGCGCCCAGGATGAAACACTCAGCTCCTTGCAGGAGAGGGACCAGGAGAGGCTTCTGTCAATGCTAAAGTGTCATGAAAATACAAGCCAGTGATTATTATTGGGGTTGCCGTGGCTCCTGCGGTATCTCACGTACAGATTTCAATATTTACATGACTCAGCTCTGCAGCTTTATTTATCCTCCCTCCCAGAGCTCTGGAAAGCAGGAACTGGGATTTTCTTCTAGGTGTTGTGGAAACCATCGGATAATTGTCATCAGGGGAGTTTGAAATATCATTCTGGCTGCTGTATGGTAAAGGGATTGAGGAGCAAGAAGGGAAGGCAACTCGAAGGCCAAGTCTAAGGTGAAGTAAGAATAATAGTGACTGGGGCTAAAATGCCAGCAACGGAGACAGGGGGAGGGAAGCAGAGAGATTCAAGATGTATTCTGCAGGAAAAGTCAGCTTCCCAGGTCAAAAAACTGCTCAAGCCATCTGAAGGACAGAGAATTCAGTGATCATGCCTAGATTTCTGGCTTAAACAATTGCAAAATGATGAGGTTTATCAATCCGGGAAGACGAGCATTGAAAAAATAAAAGTGCGGGTTAACAAAAGTTGAATTTCTATGTTGCCAGCGTTAAGCCTGAAATGCACATTTTACATGCACATGGAGATGTTATGTCAGCTTCTTGATGCAGAATTATAGATGTTGACAAAGAACTTTGAGGTACTCCAACCTTTAAATATCAATTAAAAGAGGAGCCAGCAAAGTGGGTGCGATGAATAGCCCAGGGAAGAGAAAATAAACCAGGAGAACACACTGATAGAAAATCCAAAAGGAAAACGGCGAAAAGAAGGAAGGGTCAGCTGGATCCAGTGTTGCCGTGGGATCTTCTGTGATAAGAGCATTGACTAATGGACTTGGCAATGAGAAAAATCGCTGGAGATTTTCTCAAGATCAACATTGTGAGGTGGAGGGGACAGATGGCCAGAGGGAGAGAAAGGTGGAGGACGGAGCAATGGGAAACGGATGAAGGGTGAGTGAAAGAGGAACTAGGTATAGGTGGATCAATGGAGGGAGTGATGGATAATTGGATAGCTGGGTGAATGGATACGCAGATAAACTGAGGGAAATGATTAACCGATCGAGTGATCAATTTATAACAGAGGAGATGTATTGATTAAAGATGGTGCCCAATAAGGCATGATGAAGGAGAATTAAAGGAACCTGATGTTGTGAAGTGGGTATCATTAGGTCAGATGGAAAGGTGGCATTAGGATAGCCATAAATGAGCTGCTTCTGAGTCAGGGAGGACTTAGTTCAAAGGTGGGGAAGAAAGAGGACTTTAGAACCACTGATCCTTAGTTCACATAGCATGCTTTAAACATTTATGGATTATTAAGGGCTGTTTCCCTTAAGGCAACAGAAATGCAACTCAGACTCAATTAACAAAACAGGGAATTTATTGTTTTGAATAACTGGAACGTCTCAAGGTCAGACTGATCTTCTGGCACCACTAGATCCAGACTCCCGGGCGTCCTCAGGGCCTCCTGCTCTGCCTTCCTCCCAACTGACTTCATTTACAGAAAAAATGCTAACAGGGATGACTTTTCCCACAATGGGGCAAAATTAGCTCTTACTGGGCAAAAAATCTTAGCTATTATAATGGTTTTGGGACCCCACAAAAGGCCCCAGTATATTAAAATATATATATATATATATATATATATATATATATATATATATATATATATATATAAAATACTATTAAAACATAACAAGTGGGTAGTAGTGACTGCAGTAAAATTGTCTAAAAATCACTTCATGGGTCAATAATAAGAAAAGATTGAGACACATCAGTATATGGACAGGCTTTCCCACAGGTGACAACAAGATTCTATCCTTCTAGGAGGTCAAGTTCAGGTAGAAGGCAACACCCCTTCCTAATGGTCCAGCCAAAAGTCCTAGGGCTGCCTCTCAGCCAGCAGGTTTGATCCTGGGCCTAGCACTGTGTCTCTGAGTAGCCAGGATTTAGGCATATGATCATGCTGGGGCTTTGGGGAAGGCATCAACCTCACCTGCACAAGAGGAGGGAGCATATCACCCCCCAAAAAACTGATGAAGATGGGAAGGGGAAAATGATTTGGAATGGGTAGAGACCAAAAGATGTGTGTCCCAGAACGGTTGCATGCCAGTTAGGTAGGGTGGAAGCCTGTTGCTACGATGTGGGGAAGGTTGTCTGCTTCTCAACCTGTGGCCAGTGAAATGTATGCAGAATTGATGTGTATCAGCTCCGGACAAACATTTTCAGGGCCATGATGCTCTATCTCCTGCGGCACTGCTATTGAAAGCACAGGGATAGATTGCTCTTCTGTGAACCTGAGTCTCTGAGGCTACAGCAGCCCCTGACTACGTACTCAGTGAGAAGCAAGCTGGGTTCAGTCACTGGCCCAGGGGCATTTTTGTTATCACAGCATAACCAGGTCTATACTGACAGCTACACTTGGCAATAACTTTAAGGTACTATAGACTAAGAACTTTGCTTTATGGCACATGATCTAATTAAATGAGTTAGCAAACACAAGGAATATAGAAAAATGGAGAAATAACAGTTCCTTAAAAGTTTGTCTCTAACACATGATCATTCACTTTGCATTGTCATGCCAAGCCATCATTCATGGCTGAATTTTTTTTTTTGATGACCTCACTTAGTGTCCCTGGGCATTGCTTGAGTGAGAACCATGTGCTATAGATGCCCTGATTTCATTCCTAGTGTCTGTTCTGAGCACCCTCTGGGTGTCAGATTCTGGGGCAGTTACACACCCAGTCAGTCCACAAATCTTTATCAAGACTTCTTATGGGTCAGGTAATGAGCTAGACTCTAAGAATAAAGTGTGAAACAAAGACTTATTGAAAAAGAAAAGAGCCATATAAATCTGATGACGTGGCTTTTCTTGTAAAACAGCAAGCTTATTCTGTATAGTTCATGCATTATTGACTTCAGAATTAACTTAAATGAGTATAGCTGATGAATCAATGACTTGTGACAACTTTGGGCAGTGGGTCTCAACGAATTCAGCTTCCTAGGCCTTCAGAATTAACTTAAATGAGTATAGCTGATGAATCAATGACTTGTGACAACTTTGGGCAGTGGGTCTCAACGAATTCAGCTTCCTAGGCCTTCAGAATTAACTTAAATGAGTATAGCTGATGAATCAATGACTTGTGACAACTTTGGGCAGTGGGTCTCAACGAATTCAGCTTCCTAGGCCTTCAGAATTAACTTAAATGAGTATAGCTGATGAATCAATGACTTGTGACAACTTTGGGCAGTGGGTCTCAACGAATTCAGCTTCCTAGGCCTTCAGAATTAACTTAAATGAGTATAGCTGATGAATCAATGACTTGTGACAACTTTGGGCAGTGGGTCTCAACGAATTCAGCTTCCTAGGCCTTCAGAATTAACTTAAATGAGTATAGCTGATGAATCAATGACTTGTGACAACTTTGGGCAGTGGGTCTCAACGAATTCAGCTTCCTAGGCCTTCAGAATTAACTTAAATGAGTATAGCTGATGAATCAATGACTTGTGACAACTTTGGGCAGTGGGTTTCAATGAATTCAGATCCCTAGGCCCCACCCAACACCTGCTGAATCAGAATCAGGAGATTGAGCCTAGAAATCTGGATCTTTGATCACGTATTCTGGGAGACTCTGACACATTCCAAAATTTGAACATCTTTGCTCCAAGTTGTAATTAGTCATTGAAACATTAGTGAGAATGGGTGCCAGACCCTCGGTAAGCCAAGTACTGAGAATGGTACTGAGGAAGCACGCTTCACTCAAAACTTCTCATGAGCACTCTCTTGCAAAATGATCAAAGATTTTTCAAGGAAAATATTAAAAGCTTTGCTCTAAAAGTCCTAATGTCTGCAGAGACACTTGGTGTGCGTTATTACGCACCAGCTGCTTGGCTATGTCAACGTGGAGCAGCCTGGATCTGCCCTGGGATGGCCTTCATCTGAGCACTTGGCCGCCTGTGCCTCACACAAAGCCTCAGGGCTGCACCTCTGGAACAAGAGAGAGACAAGAAATAGAAGATATTTCTAGGCCGGGCGCAGTGGCTCACACCTGTAATCCTAGCACTTTGGGAGGCCGAGGAGGGTGGATCACCTGAGGTCAGGAGTTCAAGACCAGCCTCAACATGGAGAAACCCCGTCTTTACTAAAAATACAAAATTAGCTGGGCGTGGTTGTGCAGGCCTGTAATCCCAGCTACTCGGGAGGCTGAGGCGGGAGAATCGCTTGAACCTGGGAGGCAGAGGTTGTGGTGGGCCAAGATTGCACCATTGCGCTCCAGCCTGGACAACAAGAATGAAACTCCACCTCAAAAAAAAAAAGACTAAAATTTACTTGGAAGATTATAGAACACTCCTCCCCAAATATTAACCCCACACCAACAGGTTCCCATATAACAGTGGACCCTCTGTAAAGAGCTGCAAGGCACAGACCCTCTTTAAGAAGGAGTTTTTAGGGAAACCCAAAGACAGTAGGGAGATAAACAGACATTCTCTGAAGAGGATTACTTAGGAAAGCGCCAAGTGCAGAAGGCACACACAACAAGAAAGTTAGAGGGACCGGAAACCTCCATCGCCTACAGCCATAGCAAACAAGAAAGCGTCTCACTCAGCCGTGTTAATACACTCCTAAAATTAAAGGCCAATTTACCTCCATTCCTATCACTCAATACAATCTTTCTGACTTTCAACAAGAAAAAATCTCAAGGCCTACCAAAAGGCAATCAAAAACACAGTTCGAAAAAATAAAACAATCATCAGAAATAGATTAATATATAATAACCTACAAAAAGTTAGAAATATCAGGGAGGCATTTAAATAACTACAATCAGTATCTCATAGGTTCTAGCAGGAACTAAAAACCATGCAAAAAGAGATGAGCAATGTAAGCAGATAGATGGGAACTAAAAAAACTAAAAGATATGCTGGAAATAAAAAATACTGTACAGAAATAAAGAATGTTTAATGGCTCATCGAAAAACTTGACACAATTAAGAAAAGCATCATTGAAATTCCACATAGGTCAACGGAGACTTCCCAAAGTAATATGTAAAAATAAACTTATATTGAGTGAGGGAAAGATGTCAAACAACTGTGGGACAGTAGGCAAAGATGCAGCATACACAAAAATGGAATATCAGAAGGAAGAAAGAGAGAATGAAGCAGAGAAAGTATTTGAAGTAAAAATGACCAAGAATGATTCCAAATTAATGGCAGACACCAAGCTACAGGCCATGAACTTCATATGTTTCCCCAGTAGTTGCATGTTAAAGCCCTAAATGTGATTATATTTGGAGATTGGGGCTTTACAGAGGTGATTAACTTAAAATGAGGTTACTGGGGGACGCTAACCCAATCTGACTGGTGTCCTCATAAGAATAGATTTGGGCACAATGAGACCCCAAGGGTCACGTGCACAGAGGGTCAGCCAAGTGAAGAGCCAGCAGGCGAGAGGCCACCTGCAAACCTAGGACACCCCCAGGAAACCAGCTCTGCTGACACCTCTTGAAGAGAAAAACTCAGTGAACACCAAGAAAGGAATTGTAAAGAGAACTTACACACAAACAAATAACAACAAAAACACCTGCAGAAAAGCAAAGACAACAAGATAATCCTGAAAGCAGCTCCGGGGCAGGAAACTTAATCATGGAGAGACAAGTCACGAATCACAGAAAACTTTTTGTCAGAAACCACGCAGGCAAGATAGGAGTGGAGTGAGTTTTTTAGGTGTTGAAAGAAAAAACTAAGAACTCTACATCCAGCCAATTTATCTCTCAAATGTGAATGAGAAATCCTTCTGGAACAAACGAAAACGGAATTCACCACTATCAGACCCACCCCGCAAGAAAGGGTCAAAGTTGTTTTTCAGGGAAAAGGAAAATGATATGTGTGGGACACTTGTGTCTGCATTAAAAAAAGAAACGATGTCATAAGAAATAAATGAGAGTTAGTAAAATCTTTTTTTATTCTTAATTGATCTGAAGATAACTGCTTGATTGAAATGATAATAGTAACAATATATTAGATGAATATAGTATATGGATAAATTGTCACACATGATGGGAAGGAAAAACTTGGAATATATCCGCACCACATGAAACGGTATAGTGTCATTCGAAGTCAGATTTTAAATATTCAACAATGCACAACAATGAAACTCCAGCACAATCACTAAAAATAATATAATATGCTAAGAAAGGAGATGAAGTTATATAAAATGCTCAGTTAAAACCAGGAAAAAAAAAAAACAGGAAAAGAAGGGAAACACAAAGAAAAAAGAATAAATGTAATAAGTAGAAATAATTACAAACATGTCAGGTATTAATCCAACTATACAACACAACTACGCAATACAACTATGCAACACAACTATACAACACAACTACACAACATAACTACACAATACAACTACGCAACACAACTATGCAACACAACTAACACAACTATGCAACACAACTACACAACACAACTACACAACACAACTATGCAACACAACTAACACAACTATGCAACACAGCTAACACAACTATGTGACACAACTACACAACACAACTACACAACACAACTACGCAACACATCTATGCAACACAACTATGCAACACAACTATACAATGCAACTATGCAACACAACTACACACCACAACTATACAACACAACTATGCAACACAATTATGCAACACAACTATACAACACAACTATGCAACACATTTCTACATAGCACATGGGTCAAAGAGGAAGGCTCAGGAAAAGTTAAAAGGAACTAAATTCTACTTTCAATAATCACTTTAAATGGGAACATTCCAAATACAGCAATTCAAAGACAGTTTCATAATGGATTGCAAAAAAAAATCCAACTTCAGCAGGTCCTCAAATAATGTCACTTTGTTCAACATTGTTTCATTACAATGTTGATGAGAAAAAAATTGATTCCCAAATGGAGCTACTGTCTGTGTGGAACTTACGTGTTCTCCCCATGTCTGCCTGGGCTTTCTCCAGTTATTCCAGTTTTCTCCCACATCCTAAAGATGTGGGTATTCAGTTAATTTGCATGTCTGAATTGTGTGAGTGTGGAGGGGGGTGTGGGTATGCTCTGAAATGGGAGGGTATCCTGTCCAGGCATGGTTCCACATGTGCCCAGAACTGCCAGGCAGGCTCCAGCCACCCATGACCTTGAACTGGAATAATCGGGTAAATAAATATCTTATTTGTTTTTATTGATCTTTCTTAAGTGTATGTATAGCTCACAATAATTTCAATGTTTAGTATTAGTGTTTGGGGATTTTATTTAGAAGTCTGGTGTTTTTGTGAACAGAAATACGCCGTAGCAACAAAACTCTTGTTTGTACCAATTCTCCTGTGGTAGAATTGGTTTCATTATATGTCCTTTCACTTAAAGTCACAATTTCTAAGAACCTGTCCACAGCGCTAAGTGAGAACGTACTGTATGTATTGTCTACAAGAAATCCCATTTTAAGTATAAAGACTAGAATAGATCAAAAGTAAAAGGATGGAGAAAAATGTACCAAACTAGCACCAATCAAAAGAAAGCTTGAGTAATTATATTAATTTCAGACATAGCAGACTTCAGAACAAGAAAAATGATACGGGAGAAAAAGGGGCATTACATAACGACAAAGGGTTGACCCTCTAAAATATATAACAATCCTTAATGTGTATGTACCCAGCGAGAGACAGTCAAAATACTCAAGGCAGAAAGTGATAGAACTGAAGAGAGAAATAGACAAATCCACTGTGACAGCTGGAACCTTCGACACGCTTCTGCTGCTGACAGGCAGATGCAGCATTCAGAGGGGCGTGGTTGCACTGATCGCCTCAATCATCCAACTTGATTTAATTGGCATTTGCAGAAAGTTGCACACAATAACAGAATACACTTTCTTCTCGAGTTCAGATGAAACATTCACCAAGATAGACCACATTCTGGGCCATAAACATACCTTTAAATTTTTTAAAACATAGAAATCAGATAGACCGTGTTCTCAACTAACAATAAAATTAAACTAGAAGTAAATAGCAGGAAAATATCTGGAAAATCCCAAGCCATGTGCAGATTCAACAACACACTTTTAAATAGCACAGGGGTCGGTCGGGCTTGGTGGCTCGTGCCTGTAATCCCCAGCACTTTGGGAAGCCGAGGCTGGTGGATCAACTGAGGTCAGGAGTTCGAGACCAGCCTGGCCAACATGGTGAAACCCCATCTCTACCCAAAATACAAAAATTAGCCAGGTGTGGTGGCACATGCCTATAATCTCTGCTACTTGGGAGGCTGAGGCAGGAGAATCGCTTGAACCCGGGAGGTGGAGGTTGCAGTGAGCTAAGATGGCACCATCGCACTCCAGCCTGGGAAATAAGAGTGAAAGTCCATCTCAAAAAAAACAAAAAAATAGCACAGGGGTCAAAGAAGAAGGCTCAAGAAAAGTTTAAATGAACTAAATGAAATTAAAATGCAACATATCAAAGAGGCATTCTATAAAAGTCCTGATCAGTATTCTTCCAAAACAGGGTCATCAAAAACAAGGAAAACCTAAAAAACTGGCAGAGCCAAGACAGCCCAAGGCAACATGATGACTAAAAGTAATGTGGGATCCTGGAAGAGAAAAGGAATGTCCGTGAACAACTCGAAAATCTGAATAAGGTATGGATTTTAGATAATAATACTGTATCTATATTGATTCGTTTATTATAATAAATGTGCCACATCAGTGTAAAATGTTAATAATACGAGAAATATGATGTGGGATATATGAGAACTCTGTATCTTTGCAATTTTCTTTTAAACCTGAAACAGTTCTAATGTCTTAAAGTTTATTTTATAAAAATATAACAATCAAATTTGTGGGATGCAGTGCAAGTGGTATGTAGAGGGAAATTTATAGCATTGAATGCATGTACATATTAGAAAGAAGAAAGATCTACAGTCAATCATCTATTCTTCATCCTTAGGAAGCCAGAGAAAGAAAAGTAACGGAAGCCTAGAGCAAGCAGAAAATGAATAAATAACAAAAAATACAGCAGAAATCAATGCATTTTAAAAATTAGAAAACAACAGAGAAAATCAATGAAACCAAAAATAGATTTTTAAAAAAAATCAATCAAGTTGAAAACCTCTAGCTAGTCCAACCAAGAAAATAAGGGAGAAGATGCAAATTACTAATATCAGAAACGGGAGAGCTCTATCTCTGCAGGGTCCTGTGAGCGTTAAAATGGAATATGATGAAGAACTGATTCCACACCTGCAAATGTGGTAACTTAAATACAGTGGACCAAATCCTTAAGTCTACAAACTATCAAAATTCACACATGGAGAGACAGAGAGCTTGAATGGCTTTATATCCATAAATGAAATTGAATCAGTCATTAATAGCCTTCCAGAAAACGAAGCCTCAGGCCCAGATGTTTCACTGGTGAATCCTATCAACCTTTTAAGGAAGAAATTATACCAATTCTTCACATTTCTGCCAGAAACTAAAAGCAGACAAAACACTTCCAAACTCATTCTACAAAGTCAGCATTACACTAATAGCAAACCAGTTAAAGACGTTAGAGAAAGGAAAATTATACACAAATCTCACTGAAAAGCACAGATGCAAATAAACCTAACAAGATATTAGTGAAAAGCATCCAGCAGTGTGTAAAATGAATGATAGGCCACAGTGAAGTGGGTCTTACTCCAGGCATGAATTATATTCCTTTTTCAAAGTTCCTCACCACCTTGTTGACTTTCTGAACCTGTTAATAATTTGTGGTTTCTATTGTACACAGCTGTTGTCCCTGTCTTCAGAGGGATTGATGGATCAATTGAGTTGGCCCGCCATAACCAGAAGCAGACTCTTTGGTCTGTCTTTATTCCACTTTGAATTTCCCAGCATGTGGCAAATTACTGGGTACTCAGCAGGGATTCATTAAATATTAGGTAATTGAGTAAATAAGTAAGGAGATGATATGGTTAGGCTTCGTGGCCCCACCCAAATCTCATCCTGAATTGTGATTCCCGTGATCCCCACAGGTCAAAGGAGAGACCAGGTGGAGGGAACTGAATCCTGGGGGCGGTTCCCCCATGCTGTTCTCATGATAGTGAGTTCTCACCAGATCTGATGGTTTCATAAGGGGCTCTTTCCCCTTCACTCGACACTTCTCCTTCCTGCCGCCTAGTGAAGAAGGTGCCTGCTTCTCCTTTGCTTTCTGTCATGATTGCAAGTTTCCTGGGGCCTCCCCAGCCAAGCTGAGCTGTGAGTCAATTACTCATTTGTCAGCAGTTCTTTTTTTTTTTTTCCCACGACAAAGTCTCACTCTGTCACCCAGGCTGGAGTGCAATGGCACAATCTCGACTCACTGCAACCTCTCCTCCTGGGTTCAAGCGATTCTCCTGCCCCAGCCTCCCAAGTAGCTGAGATTACAAGTGCACGCCACCGCACCCAGCTAATTTTTGTATTTTTAGTATAGATGGGGTTTCACCATGTTGGTCAGGCTGATCTCGAACTCCTGACCTCGTGATCCACCCACCTCGGCCTCCCAAAGTGCTGGGATTACAGGCGTGAGCCACTGCGCCCAGCTGGCAGTTCTTTATAGCAGTGTGAAAATGGACTAATACAGGAGACAATATGTCTTTTTTTATTTGTTGTAGTGATTGCAATACATAAATAATGTTTTCTTACTTTTTCTAGTCTCTGAGCTTCTGAAATGTGGGAACATTGTTCTTTCTCACACATGTAGCTTAGGCTAAGCCTGAAATTTTGTTTGGTGTTGAGATAGCTGGGATGGAGCTACACTGAAGACCGTCTGGTGGCGAAAGGCTTGCATTCTTTTTATGCAAATTGCATGCTTCTGAAGGCAGACAATTGGTTTAAGTTGAGTTGATTGTATTTGGATTAGTGGGAGTCCAGAGGCCAGGGAGGGTGGGGCAGGGGAGAGAAGGGCATTAAATAGCAATGAGCTCTGAGAGTTGAATAGGGGATGGGAAGGTGTATGTGCCAAGGCCCTGAGGCAGGCAGCGCAGCCTTCGGAAGTGAAAGTTGGCCGAGCTGGTGGCTCACGCCTGTAATCCCAGCACTTTGGGAGGCTGAGGTGGGTGGATCACATGAGGTCAGGAGTTCAAGACCAGCCTGGTCAACATGGTGAAACCCTGTCTCTACTAAAAATACAAAAATTAGCCAGGCGTGGCGGCTCATGCCTGTAATCCCAGAACTTTGGGAGGTCGAGGCAGGCAGATCACATGAGATCAGGAGTTCAAGACCAGCCCGGCCAACATGGTGAAACCCCGTCTCTACTAAAATTACAAAAATTAGCCGGGCTTGGTGGCGCATGCCTGTAATCCCAGCTACTCAGGGGGCTGAGGCAGGAGAATTGCTTGAGCCTGGGAAGCAGAGGTTGTAGTGAGCTGAGATCGTGCCATTGCACTCCAGCCTGGGTGACAGAGTGAGAAAAAAAAAAAAGGAAGAAGAAGAAGAAGGAGAAGAAGATAGAGAGGCCAGGCGGGGGGATGGACTGGGAGAGGGTACCCGTCAGCAGGAGAAGCAGGTAGGGCGGATCATGAGGCCACGTGGGGCCTGAAGGCCATGTTTGAAGGGCCGGCCTTTAATCTAAGAACAAGGGGAAGTCATAGAAGGAAATTCAGCAGCAAGAAAAGCTGGTTTGTCTCTATCTGCAGAGGTTCTGGGAACACCGCATGGTGGTTTTGACTGGAGTGGTGAGAGTGAGGACAAAGGGAAGACAGAGGCTTTTAGATTCATTTAGGAAATCAACAAGACACGGCAGATAACTGGATGTTGGGAAGCAGGTAAAGAGGAGGATGTGTCTGGAAAAATGCCCAGGTTTACAGCCAGAGTCACTGAAATTCAGGAGACAGTGAGCCAGGTGCGGCTTGGGGCGAGATGGTTTTGACAATGAGAAGAGAGAGGCCCCAGGCCAGCAGCAGTGAAGGCTCCACCTGGCCAGTGGCGGAGCTGCAACCCTGGAAGCCTGTGCCGGCCTCTACGGGCCCCACTGCACCCTCCGTGCCATGAACCTAGTTGCTGACCCCCAGGTCACAGCCAGGCAGGAAGGAACAGAAGCCATGGAGGACCTGAGGGTGTGGCCAGCAAAGCCCGCGCTGGGATCCATGTTGGAAATGGAGATGGGATGTATGGGACAACAAAGGGCTCCTGGTGCATTGCTGAGGTATCCTGGGCTCCCACAGGGGCCACACATGGATTTGGTGTGGAAGTGTCCCCCCAGGCTCCGTGTCCCAGGCTCGGGGCAGAGCCAGCGCCAGTGGTTGGGAGGTTCAGGGAGCGTTTTCCAACATCAGCAGCTAAACTGTGGAGCCCACCACACCCGGCATGTCCCAGGGGAGGCTGAGGGACTCTGTTAGCGTTCACAGGCGGCACATCCCCCAGGGCAGGAGGCAGCCCCTCTGGCCCCACGATGTGTGGGTCTGCAGTACCTGGTCAGCCCTGCATCATGGCTGATACACACTGACGTTCCAGGATGAACCTGTAGGCGACAAGCAAAACCAAAGTGTGGAGCCTCCCTACCCGAAAGAAGCACCTGGCAGCGCCAGCCTCAAGCCAGGACCCCCTCGGCACAGCAACACGACCGGCTCCCACCCGCCAGCCTGCATTTGAGCCTGGCTGAGAGCCGCAGATAGCCCGCCTTGGTGCAGGCTCACTGCCATCCGGCAGACGGGGCCTCCAGCAGGCCGCCCAGAGCCCTTGTGGGTGGCGTCCGTGGGTGGATGAGGAGGCAGGCTCTCCCTCCCAGGCAATCCCTCCCTGTCCTGAGATTGGCTCCGGCGACCATCCCCGGTGCAGGCTGATGCCTCTGTGTCTTTGCCCGGCTGCCTCTCTTCCTCCTTCAGGATTCCTCCCCAGCAATGCAGAAGGGCCCCATGAGGGCCCACACAGGGCATCTGCGGTCTGTTGGGCTCAGCCCAGAGCCAGTAGCACCTTGGAAGTCTGTGGTCAAGGTCAGTTCTTCATTCACCTGCTTGGAAAAGCAGCACTGAGCACCCTCATGGGGTGCCAGGCCTGGGGCAGCCACTGGGGCACCAGGGAAGCAGCGCCCATCCCCAGTCTCTGCTCTGGGTCCCTGTAGCAGGTGATTTGGAAAGTGGGATGTATTTGCTAGAGTGAGGGGTCTTTAGCTTAAAGGACGCCTTCCGGGCCCCATTGTAGATCCCCATTCCCCTCAGCCACCGACCACAGTGCCCAGCTTTTGTATTCCCACTGTTCTCACACACACAAGGCTGATCTTGTTCACATGCTTATTTCTGAGCTTATTGTCTGTGGTTGCACACACACCCACATGCAGACACATGCGCAGACACACGCGCAGACACACGTGCAGACACACATGCAGACACGCACAGACACACACATCGCCAGCTACATTGTGCCGTGATGCACCCAGGATAAACCCACTGTCCAGCCCTGCGGTTGTCATTGGACCAACAAATTCCACGTCTGATAAATAACATGAAATGCTGCAGGGTGGACGCCCAAGATCTGTACCACAGAATTACTGATGACAGTGAGAATTTAAAAAGACCCGAAATAGCCCGCCATGGAGGAATCACTGGCTGCCTTCGGCTGCATCCACATCAAAAACACCTTTGTAAAAAGTTGTGCTCACATCGAAATAAATGACGAAACAGAACACAAAATCTTTATATTCAGAGTATTATTGTAACGACAAATACAGGTGTTTATGACGTTGGCAATGCTGGGCTGGGACCACATGGTGCAGCCGTTTGGGGGACATCTCAGGAGTCGGGTCCCTGCAATGCTGTCTCAGCTGCACCCCTGACTTGCTGGGGATTTGGGGAGCCAGGTAGCCTCCCAGAGCCCCCAGGGTGGTGCATGAAATAGCAGCATCTGCCCCAGGGTTGTCCTAGGAGTGAGGAAGACACCAAGTGAGGAAGGCGCCCCACGCAAGGAAATCAGAGGGAGGCCTGGCGCACGGCGTGCAGTTGGCTCTTTTATTTTTTAAGACCAAAGAAAAAGTCTAGAAGGAAGACTATACCCCAAAAAAGTAGAAATAGTTGTTTTGCTTGAGTAACTAAATTAGGTATTATTTCCTTTTAACTTTTTTCTGTTTTCTGTAACTTGCATGTTAACACTTTCACAATTGGAGGGAAAAATACACCTCTGAGAAAGTGAAGTCATTCCAGGACAGGCTCACCGAAGTCCTCCAGGGCCAGGCAGCCGCACGGGGAGAAGGCTGGGCTGCATAGGCAGGGCTGCGGAGCTGAGTGCTCAGAGCCACTCCGGCCTCCTCTTCAGTCTTGTGAGAACCCTTCAGGCCTGGGGCCCCCGGGAGAAGCAAGCACCCCTCCTCTTCAGGTAAATCCACTTCAAGTCACTTTATCCCCCTCTCTCTGAGAGCTGATTGCAGCTGAGATCGAGCCCTGAGGACGTGCCAGGATCCTCCAACGCCTTCTAGAACAAACACACCACCCGCTTGGCACTGCCAAACAGCCTCAGAGCCTCAGGGAGGCAGTTGGCTCTGTCGCTCCAGCTCTCTGCATTTCTTTTGTCTGTTTAAGCCTAAGAAGATCACCTTCCCCAGACACTGTTCTAATCACCACTCTTTGGGGCTACTACAGCCCTCCCAGGTGTTGGGCAAACCATTATCTTCTTGGGATCACCCAATGTGCGGCATCCTTCCTCCTGCCATCCTCTATCTTTGTAGAATTGGTGACGGGAGCCTGAAAGCCTCCCGGGTCTTCTAGGAGGCTAGGACTGAAGCTCGGTGGCCCATGCTGCCGTGGATGACATTACAAGTGCTGACCTGAAACCTCTGGTGGACCACAGGCATCCTGGGCAGACGGGGCTGATATGTATGGTTTGGATGGCCGTCCCCTCCAGATCACATGCTGAGATGTGATCCCCAGTGTTGGAGGTGGGGCCTGCTGGAAGGTGTTTTGGTCATGGGGGTGGACCTCTCATGAATGGCTTGTAACTGTCCTTCTAGTAGTTAGTGGGTTTTCACGAGATCTGCTTGTTTACAGTGTGTGGCTTTTCTCCCCCAGCTCTTGTTTCTGACATGTGATGTCCCCGCTCCCTCTTTCTTTGCCTTCCACCATGATTGTGAGCCTTCCAAGGCCTCCCCGGAATCAGAGGCCAGCAGGATGCTTCCTGTACAGCCTGCAGAACCATGAGCCAATTAAACCTCTTTCCTTACAAATTACCCAGTCTCATGTATTGCTTTATAGCAGGGCAAGAATGGCCTAATACAGTGGCACCTTGGGCAAAATGTTTTTAGTGCCTTGTGTTTGCGGTGCAATTTCAGACCAATCACAACATATTTGCATCCCTTGTATGTGCCAGGCTTAGAAACTATGCTGGGTGATTTTGCAATGCCCAAGGCCCTTCCTTCCAGGAGCTAGAAATCAAATTGTGATGGTTGGGTGGGAGCGTGTCTGAAGAACCCTGCAGGAAGCACGGAAGGTGCCCACAGGCCCAACCAGAGTCTCCTCAGGGCTGAAGTCTGCCACACACCTCTGTCAATCCAGAGAACCCGGAGGGTCCCCTCATGCCAGCCCGAGCTGCCTCCACCCCGGCTGGTGAAGCATCTTTCCCCATGACCAGGCCAGGCTGTGGGCTGCTGAGTGGGGAGGGATGTGGGCCGGTCTATCTCTCTCCTCTGTCCACCCCAGAGACAGGAGCAGACAGTGGTGGGCCAGGCCTCCAAGAATGACGTCAGAGGAGACATGCGACTTGGCTGAGATGTTGCAGGGGGAGCAGGATGTCGGCAGACTGGAATAAGATGGCCAGACCATCCAGGGAGGTGAGCAGATTGGCAGCACCCGCCGAGGTGCATCTCCTTCAGGCCTTGGAGCAGACAGTGCAGTGTCCTGGGAGGCCCACACCCAGTTAGAGCCTGCGGAGGCCACAGAGCCACTCTTCAGCCCTCTCGGGATCCGGAAAGAAAAAGTCTCTGGATTCCATGGCATCCCCACCCAGGCACACGCCAGCCTCCGCCTACATTTGCTGGCTGCTCCTGTCTGCCTGGACGCCGCCCTTTCTACATGGGCCTTGCAGGAGCCTCTCCGCAGGGGAAGAAGCAAGGTCCAGCTTGGCGAGCTGAGTGAGAAAAGGTAGCAAAGGGGAATGAGCATCACTGGGAGGGTGACCCTCAAAAGCAGAATATGAATTTTTTTTTCCAAGAATAAAGCTAGACATGCACATGGACATGTGACGCCACCCAGGCAACCGTGCCAAGCCCACATTACAGAAATGCACCCGGGACCCACCCAGAAAAGCACAACACAGAGGGAGGCAAAGGCTCCATGAGGCAGGGAGGGGACGGGGGTGGCCGGGCATGGCTCTCCACTTCTGCTTGTTTATATTTTTATGCTTAATTAAGTAATTAATTTTTTGAGACAAGGTCTCACTCTGTCACCCAGGCTGGAGGGCAGTGGTGTGATCATGGCTCTCTGCAGCCTTGATTTCCCAGGCTTAAGCAATCCTCCTGCCTCAGCTCCCCAGGCAGCTGGCCCTACAGGAATGCACGAAAATACCCGAACAATTTTTGTATTTTGTATAGAGACAAGGTTGTGCCATGTTGCCCAGGCTGGTCTCAGCTTCCTGGGCTCAAGCAATCCTCCTGCCTCAGCTCCCCAGGTAGCTGGCACTACAGGAATGCACCACATACCTGACCAATTTTTGTATTTTGTGTAGAGACAAGGTTTTGCTATGTTGCCCAGGCTGGTCTCGCCTTCCTGGGCTCAAGTGATCCTCCTGCCTTGGCCTCCCAAAGTGGTGGGATTACAGGCACCGTACCCAGCCTGTTTATATTTTTAAAACCAGGAGCCTGGAGCAAGCGTGACAGAATGTGTATGTACGTTAGCCCCAAAAAGCAATGCGTGGGGTGTGTGCTCCTCATCTTTATCGTGTATTTCTTAAACATCCTTTAACTAAAAATGCAAAACCTTGTTGGAAGAACAGAGCCTTGGCTGGATGGGAAGGGCTGTGTGCCCTGAGGTCTTCCACCTCCAGCCGACCTTGCACCAGGCCCAGAGTGCACAGGGCAGGCTGTGGAGCCCTGATCATTCTGTCACACACTGGCTGGAATGCTGGACAGCTCATGGGGCCTTTCCCTTCCTCCGTGACCCCCTCACCCCAGCACGGCACCTCAGGGTATTCTGTGGGGTTTTAACATAGATACTTGCACATGAAAGCACTCACAGAAGGAACCAAAGAGCAAAATAGAATTTCAGCTTTGTACCGTGCCCCAGTGCTGACATCTCAGCCTCATCCTTAAGCCTCCTCTCCTCCATCCCTGTCCTCTCCCTCTACGCTGGGGTAAAGGTCTACCTGGGGTGGGACTTGGGTGCACGTTGAACCAAGTCCAAATGCTCCCTCCATCCCCCTTCCCCCATCAAAAGGTGACACCAAAATCATGCACAGCCACAGCCTGCTTCCCTGACACACAACAGGCACTCTGCTCGTGTCCCACCATGAGGGGCTCTTGGCTGAACAAGTGCCAGGGACGTGCCTGTAGAGAACACAGGGCCGCTCCTCTCACCCTGCCTGGGAGCCCTTCTGCGGGGAGCTGCAGTGAATGCAGCTGGCCCCGAGGTCACGGTGTTTTTTGCCTTGCTCTCCGCATCTCTCTGCTTGCCTCTCCCCTGCCCAGGATTCATTCTCTGGGATGGCAGCAGAGGCTCCAGGCTCCCCACCAACCCCCACCCCGACAGCCTAGCAGCCCTGACGGAGATGCAGCAGGGGGTGGGTTGTCAAGGACGTCAACAAGGTCTGCCCCAGACCTTGCGGCATGTCCACAGCCAGGAGTCCTCTGGTGGGTCGGTCCTGCGCCCACTGCTGGGGCCAGGGGCAGGGGCCACCCACACCTAAACCCAGAGGCAGAACAGACCCAAGAGGAGAATTAGCTGATAAAATCCACATGTCCACCTTGGGGGTTCACCTGAGAGGTGCCAGGAAGCCCTTTCTTGGGGCTGTAGGAAGTCTGAGTTCAGAGGTGAGAGAGGCTGAGTCTGGGCTGCGGGGAGCTACGTGTGTGCATGCGTAGCAGATGAACCCAAAGTCTGGGATGTGGAGGAGGCTGAACAAAGGAAGAAAGAGCGGGGACACCTGAGGGACCAAGACCACTGACTGCCCAGGTCTGGACCCCTGGCTATTTCCAGGAAGCAAGGTTGCTGCCTCCTCTGAGGGACGGTGCCACCTTGCTGAGCCTCTGGCAGCTCCCAAGTTCCCATGTGGGTGGCCTCCAACAGCAACGGGGGAGGACAGTGTCCAGCTCTGCGGAGGGAAGGAAACCATTTTCTTTCAGGCTCTCCACCCAGGTGTACCTGGGCTGGCAGGCTGGAGAGACAGGGGCCTGGGGGAAACATGGGGAGAGACCAAGGCTGCAGAACCATCCCGTGCCCAGACACAAAATGGAGGTGTCTCTGTTGCAGATACATTCCCAACCCCGGACCCACACAACAGAGTCAGGCCCAAGAGACGGGCTCCGGCCGTCCATGCCTTCTCCTGGATTCCTCCAGCAGAGAGCCCTGCAATCTTCATCCTCATATCAGGGATCAGAGAAAGTTCCAGGCACACTGGCTGGCTCCCTGTGAGGAGGCCACACCCTGGCTTAGAAAAGCAGAGGCACAGTGACGCCCAGGGACCCAGGGGGACGCCGCCGTGTCTCCTCCTCAAGGGTCCAGAGGAGGGGAGGCAGGAGCCGCATGCGGGTGCACAGAGGAGGTGCATATAGGGTGGACAGAGGAGGTGTGGACAGGGGAGGTGTGGACGGTGTGGACAGGTGAGATGTGGATGGGACGGGGTGGACAGGGGAGGTGTGGACGGGGTGGACAGGGGAGATGTGGATGGGGTGGGGCAGACAGGGGAGATGTGGATGGGGATGGGGTACACAGAGGAGGCCGGAGGTCTTCGAAGTTTTCCTTCCCTTCAAAGTGGCCTGTCCTAAATTCTCCCTCAGAAAGTAGCAAGAAGGTGCGACTTTGGTGGAGCAAAGGGGCAAGTGTCCAGGGGACGTGCATCCTAGGAGGTGCCCAGGTCAGCCTCACTTCCCTTCCATCAGCCCCTTCTAGGAGTCAGAGCAGCTGGAGGTGACCACCTGCTCCCGCCCTCCCATGGAATTTTCCCAGCAGGACTGGGAGGGAGGCATCGTGTCTCCAGTTTTCACATGGGGAGACTGGGCCCAACGAGGCAGATTAGCCATGAGCCCTTCTCCCATGTGTCTTGACATCTCAGCCAGGTTGGCTCACCGTGAAGGAAGAAGGCCTGGTGTGGGAGGTGAGAGAGGCGTTGTAAGGGGGGCCTGCCCACCTGCCCCACTGTTGCAGGACGTGAGGGGGCCTGTAGGAAGTGAGAGGGGCTGTAGCGGGGGCCTGCCCACCTGGCCCCACTCTCTGCTTGCTGGGCCACCCATAGACAAGTGACTTGGCCACTCTGGCCTCTCCTATCTGTCAAATGAGGAAATGAGCAGGGGTGATCTAGGCTTCCTGTCCCTGGAAGACACATGCAGGACCTGGAGCACAGAAACTGTTCTGTCCTTCCAGATGCCCCAGAGCTCCCTGGAACCCTGATCCCGCCACCCTGTGGTCTGTCCTTCCAGATGCCCCAGAGCTCCCTGGATCCCCGATCCCGCCACCCTGTGGTCTGCCCTTCTTCCGCCTCTGGACATCAGCTTGCTGGAGCCATTCCCTGTGGCTATGCCAGGTGCCTCAAGACAGGCTGCAGGCCCCGCTGTGCAGCTCACCCTCTGGGGGACCTTCCACTGTCTGGAAGACCATAAGGTCCCTGGGTCTCAGCTCTGCTGCCTCAGATGGGAATGGCAGCCCCACTCTGCTGCCTCCTGGGGCCGTGGAGCCTGGATTTCATGTCTCAGGGGACCTCACTTTCAGGGCCTTCCTCCTGCTCTGTCTCAGGGCACTCACCTGGTCCCCTGCCCTGTCACTCATGATCACGTGAGCCCAGTGTGCAGATGCCGGGAAAGTGCAAAGGTCATGGCATCTGTGCTGGGCCCCACCAGGAGGATGGGGGTGAGCCAAGGGCCACAGTTATAACCCCTCCAGCATGGCTCCGCCACGTCTGTGGTGCTGCAGGAATGCAGAGCGGAACGAGACGTGGCCCTCGCTTTCTGCCTTGTCACCTGCATCGTACCGGAGCGGCGGGCATGAGCTGAGAGCCAGAGCAATGCCAGGGCTGGATGCCCACCGCAGAGAGGCCAGCCTTCCTGTGGGGCAGGCTGGCCTCACCCAATTCCAAGCATCCCAGGGCCAGCCTGGCTGACAGTGCTGGCGTTTAGATTCAGGACGTGCAGCCTCTGTGCTTTCTCCTGACCCACCCAGGGCTGAGGAGGGACTGCCGGCAAGATACTGGGAGCTAATGTTTTAAGTGACAACATAGGAGACATCACAAACGCAGAGGGCTGCATCCAGGCCCCAAAAGGCACAGGGCACTGGGTACTGGGCCCAAGAGGAGCAAGATTCGGGAATGGGTGGGCCAGGGCATCACACAACCTCTGCCCACAGGTTCTGAGATACTTCCAGCCAGGCCAGGAAAAAGGAGGGCTCTCCTATGCTTTCAAAGGGAGAAAACCCTCTTCCCAGGGTGGCTGCCTCTTCTAGAAAGTCACTTAAAGAGAAGCTGTCCTTCCGGGGGCTTTTTACAGCCATGGCTCAGGCAGCCCTTTTGAGGATAAATGGTTAAGAGCTTATTTTTCCATAAATTAGCAAGAGAGAAAAACCCATACAATTTGTCAGTAGGCTTCAGAATTGTGCTATTTTCAAACAGTACACATCGGGGCGTGCTTAGAACCATATGGTATCTCAGTGCCGCTAACTCAGACAGCCTGTGCCACAGGACGCTGAGTGCACAGGGGCTAACGGTCAAGTGTTGACTGCCCTGCCTGGCGCCCTGGGGGTTGTGACCCTCATTGTGATAGGAACAGTTAGACTATTAAAGCAGATCTTATGCTGTGAGTATGAAATCTGTGCCAGGCCCTGGGTGAAGGTTAGCCCAGGGAGGCTAAGGAACTGGACCCAGGTCACACGTCTAAGAAGTAGCAGTGAGATCCAGCCCTCAGCTCTCCCGCAGACACTGCAGCAGCATTTACTGCGAGTCTTGAGGACCCTTCGTCATGCTGGTGTGAGTAGCTGGTGCTGGCTGGATATGCCTGGAGTCCAGTGAGGTCAGCAGCTGAGAATATCCCTGAAGATCAGGGGACAGAGACCAGGCAGCTGACAACCACATATCTGCAGCCCCAAGGGGCGAGAACATGCCCGTTTCAGGGATGGGTAAACTGAGGCCCATGGGGCGGGGACTGGTACTCACTAAGCACCATTTTTGTCCCAGACCATCTGCCAGGGGCCTGCTTTCCACAGTAAGCCTCCGAGATTGGGAGTATCATTCTCATGTTATAATTAAGGATTACTGAGGCTCAGAGAGGTTAGGACAGCTGCCCAGAGTCACCCAGCGGGCAGGTAGCAGCAAGGTGGCTTCAAAGCCCTGCATTCCAGCAGGCCAGCCCGGGGAGCACCGCTCAGACCCTTGGGCCATGGCTTCACCATAGGTCCGTGTGCTCCTGCCTCACAAGAGGGCAAGCTTCCATTCCTGGATGAGCTTCTGCTTTTGCAGAGCGTCCCAAGCTCCTGAACGCAGACTCAGAGCAAAGGAACGCAGGGCAGGCGAAGGAAGGGCACCCAGCACGCCTCATGCCTGAGGACTATGAGCCGAGCTGACAGCAGGGACTGGTATCTCCCAGCTCCCACTCCAGGTGTGAGAGAGGGAAAGGGAGCAGAGGGGAGGGAGGAGGGATAAGGATGGTGGGGGGAGGGACGGCCCTAGGGCTGAGGAGCCATCCTGCAAACTCGGTTCCTATGCCCCTTCCAGAGCCTGGTCAGCCTCTGCAGCTGGCATGTGGAGTCCACCCCAGCCCAGGAATCCACACTGAAGGCATCCTGCCCCTCTCCGTGGCACCTCTCCGTGGCACCTTTCTGTAGCCCCTCTCTGTGGCCCCCTCCGTGGCACCTCTCTGTAGCCCCTCTCCATGGCACCTCTCCGTGGCACCTCTCTGTAGCCCCTCTCTGTGGCCCCTCTCCGTGGCACCTCTGACATTTCTGACATTTCAGCTTCAGGCCATGTGGTGCTGGGACTCCGTCCTCAGGAAGGCCTGGAGGAGCCTTTGGTTCCCTCCTGAGCTGGGGCCACGCCAAAACCACCATGTCAAGGCGACCGACGCCCAGGCCGAGGGTGGATGGTGGGTGGGATGGTGCCGGCAGCTTGCAGCGGCTCTGCCACTGGGGGACTCCCGTGGTTCTCCCAGGCCTCCTTCCTCCGCCTTACCACTGTCTGGGGTGGCCCTCATCAAGATGTGGCATGACCACCTCTCCTCCGTCCAATCAGACCCACGGCCTCCCCCTGGCCCTGAAGGCACCCAGCAGGGTGGGTGGGTGGAGAGTCAGGGTGAGGGGCAGCTTGGTGCACATCACAGAGCCCTGAGGCCCTGGACCTATGTCTGCGGGTGAAATGAGCAAGCCTAGATTAGAACTTGACAGGGAATTGGAAATGATGTTTCCCCTCCAATGAATTCTAAAATAAACACTCTGCAGCCGGCACCCATTTCCTGTGCCCTGCTTCTCGGTACAGCCACGATTCACTTATGATCTTGTCGGTTATAAATTGCAGCCCGCATTTCTCATATCAAAATGCACAGCCAGTGATATTTAACTCTAAAGAAATATATCCCCCGGCAGTGAATACAGTCAGAAATTACTCACTGAATTTAACCAAGGAGAGAACGATGCCATATAGATGTACAGCATAAATTCACAAATGTGGGACAATGGCCACCATTTATTAACATTTTATCTCCTCGTGGAAATGTTTGACCTTGCTTCAGCAGTTTTACTGGGAGCAAGATCTCTGGAAGCTCCCATTTCCCCTCTTTCCAAAAGCAGCCTGAGCTGTTCAAAGTAGTAAATACCTTTCAAGTTGTCATTTTCCTGATGTTTTCTTTAACCCGGGAGAGGAAGAAAAATTGTGGGGAGAAAAGGTTTCCCCCAGAAAAGTGCCTTTTGAACTTGTCGTGGAAATTCAGGTCATTGAAACCTGCTCAAGTTCATAAAAGGAAATGAAAGCAATTTAACCGTGGGGGGCTGAGGTTTCTGATGAGGGTACTGGACTCAGGAGTATTGCATATTGGAGAGGGAAGTGGGGGGCCTGTACCTGGCAGGCGTAACCAAATTAAACCCATTCATTCACTCTGGGATCCAGATCGCACACTGAGCACGCACCCTGCTGTAGGCTTTGGGCAGGATGTAAAACTGTCAAAAATACAAAAGGGACAGAACCAGCTCCTGGCCTCGGGCAGCCAGCAGTCTAGGGTCTAGACATCCAGATGAACAGCCAGAAAACTGGAAATAAACACAACACTTACAAAGGCTTACGAAGTGCTGCAGGGTCTAGAGGAGGGGGCGTGTCTCCCCTCTTAATCCACACCTACCCGGGGCCTTGTCCACGTCTCTCCTCTTAATCCACACCTGCTCGGAGCCCTGTGCATGTCTTTCCTTTAATCCACGCCTACCCAGGACCCTGTCAGCTTCTCTGACCTCCCTGCTTCACTCTGAGGTCTGGAAGCCACTGACCAGGGTCTGCAGTCAGGACAGGTGAGTGCAAGCTGTGCAGAAAGATGGCCAAGGCAGCTAGGGAGGCCAGGGGAACACGTGGCTGGGGCCCAATGTCACACCTCATCCTTGAAGCTCGAAGAGGTGAAGACAAGGAAACACTTGACCACAATCATCTGTCTCCCATGAGCTGGGTAGGAGGCGAGATGCCACACAATTGCAGCCCACGGGCGATTTCTCGAGATGCTCTGGGGTGAAGGGGGTAACCAGCCCTTCCTCTATGCATATTACTGTTTTTGCAAATACAATGTATGTTTATGATAAAGAATAAAGCTATTCCAAAAGTGCAAAGAAGAAAACAAATCACCCCCAACTCCCACCACCCAGAAATAATATCATTATGTAAAAAAAAAGATTCTACATCTTTCTTGATAGAGAGACAGAGAGAGAGGGAGAGAGAGAGAAGTGGAGATAGAGATGGACACACAGAGAGATAAATAATATAAATGATTGTGTAAAACAGGGGTGTCTAATATTTTGGCTTCACTGGGCCACATTAGAACAAGAAGAATTGTCTTGGGCCACACATAAAATACACAAACAATGACGATAGCTGATGAGCTAAAGAAAAAAAATCACAAAAAAGATCTCATAATGTTTTAAGAAAGTTTAAGAATTTGTGTTGGGCTGCATTCAAAGCCATCCTGGGCCACATACAGCCTACAGGTCACAGGTTGGACAAGTATAAAATAAGATGGTGTCATACGTGATGCTTGCAGCAAAAACTTTAATTTAATTTTAGTCCCATTTAACAAAATGATTTTTTTAAGTGAAGTGAAATTAGAGGAATTGCTGTACTTTAACTGTTTCTTGATCACCAACAATATCATTCTAAAAGTTCTTTCTGAAACTAAGGACAATTATTACATTAAAAATTAGGTTGATGTTTTATTTTTTGTATCCAATGAGCCCCCTCAGTGGAAGATGAATTTAATATTCTTGCTGCCTGATCCCACCCTCTTTCCAGATTTCCAGACTTTCTTCATTATATCACTTCTGTGTTCGCATTGTCAAGGTTTATGAAGGTACATTTTGTTCTGAGCAATAGTTCCCACAGTGGTTTTCATTTATACCTAATCTTTACAGGACTCATATTCACCACATGTCCTTAGAGCCTTCAGTTTTTCCACAACCATGTTATTTATTGTCAATCACTCATGAGGTATTTTTTGTTTGTTTCAATTTTGTAAAAGCTCAAAAGACTGTACTTCCTGAGCTCCTGCAGGCTGAAGAAGATATGTTGGTTGATTGTATGCCAAAAGGTCATTTAGCTAGGTATAAAATTTTTGGTAAATATAGTCTTCCCCCTCAAATTCAAGACCTTTGTTCTTCCTGCTTGATATTAAGTGTCATATTGGTCTTCATTTTTTTAACCTATTAATTTTCCCAGATTATGTATTTATATGTTTTTCTGAGAATGATGATTTCTGTGAGTGATTGATGCCCTGTGTTATTTCATGTGTGAGAATGCTTCTTAAATTAAAAATATATATCCCTGCAAGAACTGTAGACATTGTTCTATAGTTTGATCACAAAGCTGGGACTAGGGTGAGCCCAGCAAAGTGCATAGATCATAAAATGTGCCTCCATCAGCTGTGCCTGGTGCACTCCCCTGGCCCTGTTGGCTGGCATCTTGGAGAAGCCTGAGGTCAGCCTGCTATTTTATTTTTATTTTTTATATTTTGAGACAGAGTCTTGCTCTGTCACCCAGGCTGGAGTGCAATGGCATGTGCCTCACTGCTTAGCACTCCCAGAGTTCCTGACAGTCTCACACACAGTAGGTGCTGGATAGTTCTAATGAGATTCTTAGACAAATGTGAAGTGAAAATCTGTAAGCTCCCTATGAGTAGGGTGTCTGCAAAGTTCCCTAGTTCATCAGCAGTGTGTGGATTGCAGGATCTGCTGCATTAAATGGGTTTAGGAACTATTCCATGGACAGGTGAGCAAATAGATGAATGAAAGAATGAATGAATGATTGGACCGTTTTCTTCTACAGATAAAACAAGAGGAATTTAGTTCCTTTAGCAGCCAGGGAGGAGCTCTGGGCAGGAAGAGGTCCTCTCCAGCCAGTGCAAATGGAGCCCAGCCCATTGTCCTGGGAGAGGGAGGCCACAGGAGCTCCAGGGCAGGACCCTTCTAAGCTGGTACAGTTCACCTGGGAGGGGGTGGGGGTGAGGATCAGCAATAGCTTGCTCCCAAAGATCTGCTGGGCACCCTCCCGCTGCAGCCCACCACCGTGCCCGGCTGGGAACAGCCACTATTCACCACACACGGCCCAGTAATGGCTCATGAATCAAACTAAGCAACTCAATGTGAAGCTAACGACAAAATCTGGAGGAAAACCCATCTTCCTGGTACCATCTAAGTGGATGCTATGGATGGGAGCAGATGGAAGAATGACATATTTGTGGATTCCAACCACCATCTGGTCACAACTGATGGCCCATCTGACAGCAGGTCATTATTGTTTTCCAGCATCATTAAAGACGCCCTATTTATCTCTGTGCACCATTTCTGAGTTTGACGCGGAGACCTTCAGAGATTCCAACCTCTTCTCTCCAGTGACCTATAACTCACAGCATCCTTTGGCCTCCCCTGATGGGTTCCCGAGGTCTCTCAAGCTGACGTGGCTCTCAGTTTAGCTGACTGATTAATTAAACTCCCCCTTGCTCTCCCCGGCTCTGTGGCCTTGGGTGGTGCCTCCAAAGCGATCGTTCACCATTGGCCCTCTTTTGTTATGTTTAACTCTGCAAACTTCCAAAAGACTCCAGCTTTCATGCTGCACCTAACGCTGTTTCTGCCAAGTTAATCCCGTCTTTTTTACTTTAAATTTTATTGAGTGGGAAAGGACAACTTTGGTCTAGTTTACAGATAGCTGGCTCTTTGACTCGGACTGTGGTTGGGCCAATGACCCAGATTCTGTTCTGGCTTTAGCGACCATATTCTTGGTGGGGGAGGGGGTTTCCAAAAAAGGAGGAGTTTGTGTCAAAAAAAAGGGAGAAGGAAGTAATTCAAACCATCTGTTAAAAGGCGTAAACACTGGGCTCACGTGAAAAAGGAAAGGGAATGTGTTATTTTTAAGAAAACTATTTAAGTGTAAAAAATACATTTTTTCCCTAATTGCAGATAAAAACACACTTTTAGAGAGAGGGGATTACACATATAAAAATCTCAGTTGCATAATTTTAGTAATAGATATGGTGTTTAGATGTATCGTTGGATGGCTTGTTTTATCATTTATTAGGAGTTCCAGGTCTGAGCAGTGCATGTGAGTTGAAACAGAAAGAAATGGCTTAGCTTCAAAGATAGCCCCGGACAAAAGCCAGCTCTGATGAATGAAGTGGCCCAGGAAGTGGCCACGTCAACCCCAGCTGAACTCACGGCTGGGGTGTCCCGGGATGCATGTTGTTGTTGCTGTTTTAATTGTGATAAAAATATACATAATACATAATCGATCATTTTAACCAGTTGTTAAGTGTACAGATCAATGACATGAAGTATAGTTACAGTTTTGTGCAACCATCACCATCAACTACCTCCAGAAATGTTCACATCTTGCAAAACTGAAACTCTATACCCTTTAAACACTATGCCTCCGTTCCTCCTTCCCCAGGGCTCTGGTAACCACCATTCTACTTTCCCTGGGTTTGACTCTTCTAGGAACCTCACAGGAGTACAGTCATACAGCATGGTCCTTTTGTGCCTGGCTTATTTCACTCAGCATAACGTCTTCAAGATTCACGCATTCTGTAGAATGTGTCAGAATTTCCTCCCTTTTCAGAGCTGCATCATATTCCACCGTGTAAATGGACACCTATCATGTATCCACTCAGGCACTGGTGGATACTTGACTGCTTCCACTTTTTTGGCTGTTGTGAATAATGCTGCTATGAAAACATGGGGGTACAAATATATTTTTGAGTCACTGTTTTCCACTTCTTAAACTGTATATCCCAAATTGGAATGGCTGGATCATATGGTAACTCCATGGCCAATTGTTTGAGGAACCTCCATCATTTTCTTCACAGCAGCTGCACAGTTCAGCATTCCCATCAGCAATGCACAAGGGTTTCTATTTCCCTGGGGTACGTTATTTTATGACTCAGTTAAGCAAAGCAGAGTCCACTAGGGACACCAGGAGGGACTTGCCAGAGACCGCCCTGCAAAGCCCCTTGGAGCACCAAATAACCAGGTGGGTGGCTGAGAGCCGATCCCAAAGCATCTGTGGAATGGGGACTGTGGAAATGGCATTCACATCAGAGCTGAGCCTTGCTCTCTCCAAACCTATGATCTGTGGCCACTCTCTCAACCCCAATTCTGCAAAAGAGGATAGCCCTGCCCATTTCACTCACTCAGTCCACAGATCATCTGGGGTTTCTCCTCCCACCCTTCCTCTTTGCAGAGTGCCACATCCTTCCCACCTCCAATCCTGTGCTCCCCTTTGTGTAGACTTCCCTGCCCTGGAGCCCAGAGAGAGAAAGGAGCTGTGTCAGTAGCCGCAGCCTCATCCCCTCGCTCATGCACAAGGACCCTGGCATGTGTGCGCCCACCAGTCACCTCGTCTTAGCTGAGCGGTGGCCACAGTGAATGCAAGCCCCGCCCAGCCGCCTGGCTGCTAGCACATGGCTCTGCAGGGGAGGCACACAGACCTCTCTGCAAATGGTCTGTTGGCCTGGAGTAGGCAGGATGCCCACCCGGCTGATTGGGACTTGTTCCTTTTTCCGGTACATCCAGCTCCCGCGCCCATGGCCGGAGGCGGCCAGCTTTCCGCAGGTTGTAGTTCATTGACTAATTGGCAGGAGCAGACGGGGCCGGGGTAACGGGGCCTCTGACCCGATGAATACCACCTTCTGCTGTCTTCACCGAGCCCTGAAAAGCCCTTGTTTCTGGCAGATTCCCTATTGTCTGTGCTCCTGGTCCACATGGCAGAGCAGGCAGCCTCTCCCTCTGCACACTGTGGAACAAATGGTTGACACGCACCTCTTGGAAGAGGAAGCGGAACAGGTGGCCCGATCATCGGGGGGCAGGCTGTGCAGGGTACCCAGGAGGTGGTCCTGGGGTCTTGGCAGGCCCATGCCCTCCTCCATGGCAGCATCAGGGAGGCTGGCATCCAGCCCATCAGTAGCAACCTTGGCAGACAGACATGCTGAACTGGGGTCCAGGAGGGACAGGCCCAGAGCTTCAGGCTGGACCTGCTCTCTGCAGGAGCCTGGATCCAACTTTAATCAGAGATGACTGATAGTCCAAGGTGGGATTTTGCCACCAGTCAGTCAGACAGGACAAGGAGGGCTCATGCCCAGCCCGGCTGCAAGGACAGGCCACAGGGAGGTGTGATAGGCTCGGCAGCTCCTGGGCACCAGCTCTGTAGCCACCCATCTGACAGATGCCCTGGAAGGCTGAGCTGCCACCCTAGCTGTGGCCTTACAGCACTGCAGCTGCCGGGTGGCTTGGGGGACCCTGGGTCAAGGCCGCTCAGATTGGTCTGTGGAAGGCACAGTGGGCCTGCTCCACATCAGACCCGAGGGATGCTCCTTGAAGAGCTGGAAGGATGGAGGCCAAAGTCTGAGAAGGAGGCTGTAACCACTGAGAAAGGAAGCAGGTGCAGGCAGCTCTGGTTGGGGCAGGGATATGGGGGGAAAGGGCTCGAAGTTAGGCCTTCAGCATGATGCAGGCTCTCTCTGGGGCAGGGCGGGGCAGCGGCACAGCATGTAACCACACCATCGGGCCCAGTGATGGCACAGAGTATGTGCACGGACCCCACCCTTCAAGGGCGCCCACAGCCCTCCACTCTGCTGAGCCCGGCCTCAGCTCCGGGACCCCTGAGCACACAAAGCAGGCACCAGCATAAGTCAATCCGAGTGGGTCATGGTAGTAACCCCATTCCCCAGAGGGCTGGCTCTGGGACAGGACAAAATTGGAGCCTGTGGGAGAGAGGGTGGCACAACCCGGGCAGGGGCAAGAGCTCCATCAGGTCAGCTGGGGCTTCAGCCCAGGCAGGTACAAGGGCTCCACCAGGTCAGCTAGGGTTTCCTCCTTGGGGTCGAACACCAAGAGGGATCCACAACAGAGTGTGCAGAGCGGTGGCTCCCTGAGCTGCAGGTGCAGGACAAAGCAGGTCCTGCCTGTCCCAAGCACCAAGGACAAAGGCAGGCAGCCAGGCAGGAGGCTGATGGGCTTTGGGGGCCCTGAGAAGGGCAGCCTGGACGGGTGCTCCAGACCTTCTGGCACCCAGCCCTGCTTGAGCTCCACACCCTTCTGCTGCAAGATGCTCTGCACCCCAAATGAGCTGCTCGGCTGCTCGGTGTTTTCATTTCTTCCTCCGCAGAGTGAGGATATATCCAGCAAGATTGTCCTGAGGCTTAAAACAGATAAGTAAAAGTGCTTAGGAAATTGTGAGCTGCCCTCTCTGAATGTCAGACAATATTATTTTTGAATCAGCTTCAAGAGATCACTTGAAGGGAAAGTATTGGAAAATTGATTTTTTTTCTCCCATTGGTTTAACAGAATGGCTCCCCTGCCTTGATCTCGCTGTGCCGTTGTCCTTGACTTTGGGGGCTGCCTCCCCCTTGGGACTGAGTGGTCTGTGTCTGGAGCCCCCACTTGGTCCTAGCAGAGCTGACATTGTAGATAAATGGCAGGCGAGTGACAATGAATAGAAGGAGGAAGAAAGCCCAGGGGTAGAAGGTGGCAGGTGTGGGAACATTCCAGAAGCCGCTGCCCCCTCTGCATCCATTCTCTAACAACCCCCAAGTGCTCCATCAGGCCCAGCTCTTCCTGATTCAGTCCCCCAGGTTCCTTGGACAGAGCTGTCTCCCCAGAGCCCCTCTGGCTTCTCCAAAAGATGAGGGAACTCTTTGACATCATAGAACATCCCAGGTCCAAAAGGGACCTGAAGGTCACCTAAGCCAACCTCCTGCCTGGCAAGGACCCCCTTCCCCTCCTTGGAGTACCCTGGCTGGTGCCTGTACCCCATGGCCCAGGGACTCAGAACCTCTCTAGCCCTACCGATACCCAGAGGGTACCAGGGTTTGGAATCTCCCACCCCTTGGTCCTGACCCATGTTCTGGACTCTCTCAAGACACACGACATTCCAATGAAATGAGGACCACTCTTGCTTCCCCTAAAGGCTTGCTTTGCTTGCTTTTCATTCATTCATTCATCTGTTCCTTCCTTCCTTCCTTCATTTTAAATGAAACAGCCACAGTTGCTTTAGCCTTTCCTCCCAGGTCACTTCATTCTTCCTTTTTTAAACTGTGGTAAAATACATGTAATGTAAAATGTAATATCCTAAGCATTTGAAGAGGACAGTTCAGTGGCATGAATTATGGTCACGTTACTGTGTGCCATCACCACCCTCCGCCTCCAGAACGTTTCATCTTCCCAAAATGAAACTGTCCCCATTAAACTCTCACTCCCCACGCCCTCCCCAGCCCTCGGCACCCACCTTTCCACTTTCCATCCCTGTGGACTGACTATTCTAGCTACCTCCTCTAAGGGGAAATCACAGGATTTGTCCTTCTTGACTGCCTTATTCCACTTAGCACAATGTCCTCAGGGTTCAGCCATGCTGTGCCATGCAGCACCCTTCTTAAGGCTGGGTGATTTCCCATCGTATGGAGAGACAGCAGTGTTCATCCGTCCATCCATCTGTCATGGGACACCTGGGTGGCCTCTACATCTTGGCTGTTGTGGATAAGGCTGCTGTGAACAGGGGTGCACACACGACTCTTCCAGCCCGTTCTCACTTCTGTGGGTATACACCCAGCAGTGGGGTTGCAGGGTCATGTGGGGCCCTTGTTTGCTCTTTTAGCCCGGGCACCCCTGGTCCCAAGAAGGCCTCTCTGGCCCCAGGTCAGCCTAGATGTCTCCCCCAGCAGCCCCACGCCAGGCTCTGCTCCTCCCTCCCTCCTCCCACTGCACCAGAGCTTCCTGCACTCTGCCTGAGCCCCCAGATCCTCCCTGTCCTCTTCATGCTCATCCCCCAGCCAGGCACTGAGCAGGGGTCAGCAACGTCTGTGAAAAAAGCCAGGTGAGCCGCGTACCCCCGGCTGTCTCAACCCTTCTCTCCTCTGTACAAGCCCCAGCTGCAAAGTGGCCCTCTGCAGCCCACGCCCAGCTCTCCTGCACTGCCTGGCGCTGCCTGCACAGACTGTTCCTGCAGGAACCACCTCCACTCCAGCCATTCAGCATCCCACCAGCCAGTGGGTCTAACTTCAAGAATGTGAGGCCACCAAATGGGAGGCCAGTGTCCTGGAGGCCCACGTCCAAGCTCTGAGTCAGAGGGACCTGGGTTCAATCTGGTGCACTTCACACAGAGCTCCGCAGCCCAACCCAGCCCAATAAAGGGGCCCCCAGGAAAGTCTGGGGGGCCCATGAATCCTGCCACCTTTACCGCCCCCCAGAACCCTGGGAGCAGAGCTGCCTTCCCAAGAGCCGGACAACTGAGATCAGGGCCTGCCTTACCCTGGGCTGCGGGGCGGCTCATGTCTGCAGTGCTGGCTGCCAACCCCTTCCCATGGCAGGGTCCCATGTGGGGTCCTGACAGGGAGGTCCTGACCCCTGCAGGCTACCCATGAAGCTGAACCCCCATTCTTAGCTCCTCCCATCATGGGCAGGAGCCAGGAGAACCCTCCCCATGGGACATGCCCCACCCAGCACCCAGGATAGGAGCCCTCCCCACGGAGCTCACTCCCCAGCCTGATAGAGGTGTGGGCAGCTTCCGGGTCTGAGATTCAGGTGCCCGCTCTTCTTCACCCTCTCTCCTCCACTGTGGATGGAAGAAGTTGCCTTGGATGGCGTCTGAGGGCCCCATGGAGGAAGCAGGCTCTGATGGGGCCAATCCCTGACCCTGCAGAGGGGTGCCTGGGCCCGTTCCCACCCCTGACCCTCTCCCTTGGAGCCTCCCCGGGCTGTGTCCACACCCTCAGGGAAGCTGGCGGGAGTGGCCAGGCCAGGATGCTCTGGGGTGAGGGAAGCCTTGGCAGTGTCATCTCTGTGTTTATCAGACACTCGAAGTCCCACGTTGGGCTGTGCCAGGCTGCACTCCTCCCAGTGACAAGGCTGCCATCCATTCGTTCTTAATGTGATCATAGTGGGGCTTGACATGAACACAGCCTGGTTATTTATCTTCCCTTTTTGGTTCCTGGGCACCATCCACGGGTGCAGGTTGTCCAGGGACGGACGTGGGGAACATGATGGACACGTTCAAAGCCAGATGCTCCCAGCCTTCCACCTGCCCACTCGCCCTGCCCACCTCAAACCCATCCCAGCTGAGGCAGAGGGCAAGACCCTAGCCCGAGCCCAGAGACACGCCCCACTTACACAGCACAGCACAGCACAGTACAACACAGCTCAACACAACACAACACAGCACAGCACAGCACAGCACAGTACAACACAGCTCAACACAACACAACACAGCACAGCACAGCACAGCACAGCACAGCACAGTACAACACAGCTCAACACAACACAACACAGCACAGCACAGCACGGCACGGGGAGGCGGGAGAAGTTAGTGTTCCATGGGTGGGGAGCTTTGGCCTGGAAAGATGAGCACATCCTGGAGGGGAGGGCGGTGACGGCTACACAGGGTGAATGTGCTTAGTGTCACTCAACTGTATACCTAATGATTAACATGGTAAGTTTCATGATTATGCGTATTTTACCACAATAAGAAATATTTTTAAAAGCCTGCTATTGACTTCCCAGTGCCACCCTCAGGCCCCAGGCAACTCCAGGCCTTGGGACCCCCTTTTAGCATCAGAAATGCCCACCCCTTCCCTCCACTCCTGGAAACTTCCTCCTATCCTCCCAAGCCCAGCCCTGACACCATCTCCTCCGCCAGCCTGCCTGGGACTCCCAGGCAGGACTACATAGACAGCCCAGACCGCCAGGGAGCAGAGTCAGGAGGGAAACCCCAGGGGCCCAGGAGGATCAGGACAGCTGGCCCAGAGGTGACTCCATTTGCATTCGTATCTGGTGCCTACGTGGGTGGGGTGGAGGGCAGAGGAGCCTAACAACCCCTAGGGACCATCCCTGTCCCCCAGATCATGCTGTTTCTGCTCCCCAAACCCAGACTCGGAGGCAGGTCCAGGGGGTGCTGGATGGAGGCCGTCGGCACCAGGCAAGCTGCATACAAGTCAGCGTGGTGGGCCCCAGAAGATGAAACCGGCGATCCATGAAGAACTGCAAAGCCCCCACGCAGGCTCCCGCTGCTTCTAGGAGCCTGGAGCCCAGTGTGGGGCTCTGCAAATGTGTTCTCTCCCAGAACGAGTTTTAAAGACCTGAGCCTGAAGCCATCGGGCTTTCTTTCCTCTCCTCCTCCCTAGGGGTTCAGCCTGCAGACAGTTCGATGCTGGCGCACTCTCTATTAAACAAACATCATTCCTCACAATGGCTTCTCACAGCTGGGCCACTTCAGGCCACGCAGGGGAAGAACTCAGCCTGCAAGTCCTGGAAAGAATGCAAAGCAGTGATTTGTTCTTTTTCCGGACCCCACACACAACAAGCTATACATAAATGCAGAAAGTGATGCTCATAAATTCTTTAAGCTATTTACTTAGAGCCTGTGCTTATTAAACTGGTTGGCTTCCAAAAACTCCTTGTAGATTTCTCTCTCAAAAAAGTAAGTTTTATTTTTCCAACCCACTATGAATTAAAAATGGGTCTTTGATACACTCAGCAGATTTTACCCCATCCGTTAGTCTTATGTAAGGAGTAGAAATAGCCGATATTCAACAGCAGTGCGGACACACACACACACTTTTTGCAATTGTATAAGCTGAACAAATTCTTAGGTGGGACTTCTCCATGCTCTCTCTTCTTTTCTTTCTTTGCTGTTTCACTCTCTTTGGGATTCTTGCGCACTGGGGTGAGAAGGCAGTGAGAGAATCTCTCTTTTATGAAAATGGCTGTCAAGTTCTCCACACCCACTCATACCTGGATTCACACGGCATCTCAACATGCCCTGGAAGAGACACTGAAAATGGATAGTGCCAGTTCTGACTTTCTTGGCTGGGAAACCGAGATCCAGCTTGGGTCATGGCTTGCCCAGTTCACAGAGCCCAGGGCAGCTGAGTCTGCTCAGAGCTGGGGTCCTGACTCCAGGTCTCTGCACTGAGCTTACAGGATCTGGCCCCAAAGGGTGGAGCGTCCTGGGTTGATGGAGACTTAGGTAGGTGGGTCCCAGGGTCCAGGTGTCTGGGTGCCCATGAGTCCTAGGGCCTGGGTGTCTGGGAGGGTGAGTGAGTCCCAGAGCCTTGGTGTCTGGGTGCCTGTGAGTCCTAGGGCCCAGGTATCCGGTGGTGGGGGGCAGCTGTGAGTCCCAGGGCCATGGTGTCTGGGTGTTCATGAGTCCCAGGGCCTGGGTATCTGGGCGCCGGCGAGTCCTAGGGCCCAGGTGTCTGGTAGGGGCAGCTGTGAGTCCCAGGGCCTGGGTGTCTGGGTGCCTGTGAGTCCCAGGACCTGGGTGTCTGGGTGTTCATGAGTCCCACGGCCTGGGCGTCTGGGTGCCCGTGAGTCCCAGGACCTGGGTGTCTGGGTGTTCATGAGTCCCATGGCCTGGGCGTCTGGGTGCCTGTGAGTCCTAGGGCCCAGGTGTCTGGGGGGCGGGAGGCTGTGAGTCCCAGGGCCATGGTGTCTGGGTGCCTGTGCTCATGAGCAAAGTACCCAGAACATGCGGTATCATTTCATTGCATTTCTGCTTTTTGTTTCATTTGTGTCTCTATTTTCAGTCTGAGCTTCCAGGAATCTTATCTCTAGGGTAATCTTGTAATCAGGGTCAGTTACAGAACTTGCCAGTCCAGTGAAAAATGCAAATGCAGTTCCCATTTCAAAAAGGAAAAAAAAAAAAAAAAAGTGCTGTTGGAGATCGTAAAGTATAAATCTTTTCCTTCTAAAATACTTTGTTACTTCTAAAATATAATAGAGATAATAGTGACATGAAAGTAAGAAAAGAAACTTTTTAATTGCAAAATAATATTTTGAAGTCATAATTGTATGCAAGATAATGATATGTTGTTAATATAATGTCTTGTTTGTCATAAATTTTTCTGACTACAAATTTGTTTATTAAGTTGTCAAAATGCGTGTTTTCAGCAACTTCATTTTTCATCAATATAATTAAAAACAATGTCAGTCTCTTGTGGTAAATGCAAGATTGCAAATAATTTTTGATACTTTTTACTTTTGAGAATCATTTCATGCTGATGCGTCAGTTCCTGGGGTTCTTTACAATATTTATGTGCCATGAAAACATTGGGATACATTTATGATAAACTATTTCAAAATATAAATTTTAGTGCATTTATAGCTGATCATCCCTGTGGAACACTTTTTCTAAAAAGATTTAACTCTTCATACAAATCAGTTTTGTGTAATTTTAAAATTAATTCCAAGTATAAACTTATATAAAGGCAGTTTAGCATTTTTTCTGACATTTCTTGTAACTTGTAGAGTTACACAATAAATCAGAAGTGGCTTCATGTTTTGTGAATAATTCAAATGTTTGCTTCTGAATTCTGATTTTATATCTTTACTGTGGGAAAAATTTATTTTAAAATTGTCTTCTTTACTAATAATTGGATCTTCTGAAGCATCCTGTGAAAATAGTGTTCTTTTCCACCAGAGGCAGTGATTTTAAAATATGATTTATATTTCTAAGCCTGTATTTACTCTGCGATGTTGCAGCAGTTTTCAAGACTGAAGATTCTAAATTCTTTGATGAGTCCAGACAACTCTCTGATATACTTTATTGCAATGTCCTTGTGTGCATTTTCGTTTTGTAATAATTGACTGACAAAGCTGACTGCTGAGTGCCAGTAATTCCTGTGCTAGGTTCGAGCAGGAGACTTGCTACTTACGCAGACGGCTCCAGGGATGGGGATTCCTGTTGGCCTCCATGACAGGTCTCAGTGCTGGCCCATGTAGACCCCTTCATCTCTCCCAGGGCTGTGACCACTGCCACCACTTCTTCCGCAGCTACCACCTTCACAGCAGCCATCCTGCTCCCAGCCTAGCTGTGGGTCTCCAGGACCTCAGAAGCCTGGCTGCAGGGAGACGTGCACACACTCAGCATCTGCCCTGCAGCCTGCAGCACCCACAGGCCAGAGCCCGCACAGTGCATGCTGCTATGCTGCGTATCTCCATCAGACCTCACTTCAGAACCTTCAAGTCAAAAATGAAACTATTGAGCACCTCCTGTCTGCCAGAGTTGGGACCTGGAATACCATGGGTCAAAGTCATATTATCCCTAACGCCCTTAGAACACATGGCCCAGCAAGAGGGCCTCCAGAGGTGTTGGGGCTGTGGGGCACAGCGGGGTGCCTAATCCTGCCGGGAAAGTCAGAGAGGAGACTGGAAAGCTCTTGGAACTTGGAAAAACATTTTCCATTTTCATCTATAGTACATCTCCCCCGGGTATCAGAAGAACCATTACTATTTGTTCTAAGTGGCAAGCGAATGTGTCATTTTTCTGTTTCCTGATTTTTTTTTAATTTTCTAAAATATTCTAGCTTTATTACATGAATTAACTCCACTTTAGCTTCTTCCACATCCACGTTCATTTTATTACCGTCTTGGGAACACTCAAGGGTGATAAGGGACACTGGGACATTGAGACCAGTATCTGGGAAGTGAAATTAAAAGGTAAGCATCTGATTCTGGGAACTAAATGGAGATGACAATTCCATACTCTGTGACTTACCAAGTATTCGACCTTGAGCAAGTGACATTATGCTTATGGGCTGAAGTCTAGGAAAGAGCTTCTAAACAGAGGTGGCTGGAGGCCAGGATTCAATGAAACCATTGAATATCCATATCCAACCATTAAATATCCATATCTAACCATTAAATATCCATATCCAACTGTCGAATATCCATATTCAACCATTGATTATGTATGTCCTGGGGACATCCACAACAGCAGTGACCAGTTGAATTCTTGCCAGGTGTCATTCATGAGAATTTCATGTTGACTTTGCAATAAGGCTGTGGGGTGGGTACTAATGTCTCCTTTATGTAGATGAGACCATTGACTCATAAATCAATTAAGCAACTGGACCAAAATCAGGAGGCAGATTTGAGACCCAGCCACACCCAGTTCTGCCTGACCCTACAGTCTGGGCTTCCTCACACCACAGGATATTTCAATGCAAGGAGCAAGGTGACTGGCCTATAAGGGGTCCCCCTAAAAGGCTAGGTCACTGTATGTGTTTGCTAGGACTGTCATAAGAAAACACCACAGATTGGGTGACTTACCAACAGGACTTTATTGTCTCACAGTTCTGGAGGCTGGACGTCCAAGGTCAGGGTGCTAGCGGGGCTAGTTTCCCGAGGCCTCTCTCCTTGCCTTGTAGAAGGCTGCCCTCTCACTGTGTCTTCACCTGCTATTTTTCTGTGCACACACACCCCCCAGTGTCTCTCCCTGTTTAAACAAAGATGCCAGTCATATTAGCTAAGGTTCCACCTTTATAGCCTCATTTTAACTTAATTAATCCTTTAAAAACCTTATCTCCAAATAGAGCCACATTCTGAGGTACTGGGAGTGGGGATTTCAACATATGAAATTTGAGGGCCACCATTCAGCCCCTAACAGTCACCATCTGTAGTGGGTAGAATGGTGGCCTCCAGAAAGACATGTCCAGAAAATTATATCTGGAAACTGTGAATGTGACCTTTTTTGAAAAGGGGCTTTTTGAAGATGTAATAAGGTTAAGGATCTCCAAAGGGGATCATCCTGGATTAGCCAGGCGGGCCCTAAATCCAATGACAAGTGTGTTTATGAGATACACAGAGGAGAAAAACAGAAAAGAGAGGAGAAAACTCAGAGAATATGATTATGTGAAGACGGAGGCCAAGGCTGGGGAGATGCAGCTGTGAGCCAAGGACTGCAGGAGCCACCAGGAGCTGGAAGAGGCAGGAAGGACCCTCCCCTGAAGACTCCGGAGGGAGCACGGCCAGGCCGACACCTTGACTTCACACTTCTGGCCTCCCGGACTGAAAGAGAATAGATGTCTGTTATTCAAAGCCACTCCATTTTTTGGCCATTTATCACAGAAGCCACAGACCATGAAAAAGCCACCTTACCGTGACTCACAAATGTCATATTCTGCAAGGAATCAGACTTGGGGTAAGAGGCAGCACACGTTTAAGAAAGCTGATGTTGAAAAGCGTGCCCATTGTAGTCCCAGCTACACGGGAGGCTGAGGCAGGAGAATGGCGTGAACCCGGGAGGCGGAGCTTGCAGTGAGTCGAGATCGCGCCACTGCACTCCAGCCTGGGCGACAGAGCGAAACTCCGTCTCAAAAAAAAAAAAAAAAAAGAAAAGCGTGCCCATGTCAAGGAAGGCACAGCCCCTCCATGGGTCTAATGCTGTCTTGAGCATGGCCCTCTTTTTAAACACACCCAGCTCCCACCTTGACCTTCACCTGCCAGAGAACGAAGGCAGGTGTTCCGGCTGGACATGTCTCTGAGGGTCAACCTGCATCTCCTTACCCACAGATATTCATGCATCTGAGCTCCTGCTTTCCTTGCAGGTAACTTTTCTGTCCCTTACTTGATGGGGTTCATCTCTTTTTTTCCTAGAGATAAAATAGCTTGGGTTTCTTCTTCAGGATTTGTATTTAGCTACCAAGTAATTTTGCAGAAACCTTCTGCCACACTCCTGTGGAGTGACCAAGGTTGGGTTTAATATGATGGAGCACTGTCTTTGAGCAGCGAGATTGGATTTGGCATCATTGCCATGTCTGCCAGAGATTTTGAAAACAGATTTCTCCTTGGATCAAAGTCCAAATAGATGGTAGGTCATAAGAATTAGGTAGAAATGAGTGGCCAGTCCCCAGGTAGAGCCCTTCAAAGGGAAACTGCATGTAGCTCATCCGAGGCTAAAGGCACTTAGCTGGAGGGCTGCTAAAACCCAAGAATGGGGCTGCCTCTGGTGCTGACAAAGTTTATGCGTTTAAATTTCTGTAAACCAAAGCCAAGTAAATACTGCAGTAGCAGCCTCTATTTTGGTGACCTTCACTGTAAATCATTTTGCAAAGCAGATAATGACCTCTCTAATGAAATAGCCCCCGTTTGTCTGCAGAAAACAAATTCCAACACCCCCAGTAGATGCCTGAGACCACAGATGGTAAGGAACCCTATAGACACTATATATTTTTCCTGTATATACGCACCTATGATAAAGTTTAATTTATCTTATTGTACTGTCCTTACCTATTTGGGGGCCGAGGTTGAGCATGGGTAACTGAAACTGCAGAAAGTGAAACCACAGATAAGAAGGGAGTGGTGTGGCAGGTGCAGTGGCTCACATCGATAATCCCAGCACTTTGGGAGGCCAAGGTGGGTGGATCACCTGAGATCAGGAGTTCGATGCCAGCCTGACCAACATGGCAAAATCTCGTCTCTACTAAAAATACAAAAATTAGCCAGGTGTGATGACACGCCTGTAATCCCAGCTACTCGGGAGGCTGAGACAGGAGAATCGCTTGAACCCAGGAGGCAGAGGATGCAGTGAACTGAGATGGCGCCACTGCACTCCAGCCTGGTCAACAGAGCAAGACTCCATCTCAGAAAAAAAAAAAGAAAAGAAGAGAAAAGAAAAAAAGAAGGGCAGCGTATCTCTACTTGCAAGATTAACATTAGGCTTTCATATTTGGGCTTGGATTTAAATGTGGAAGACGGCTCTGAATGAGGTCTGCAGGGCAGGCAGCGCGTGCCGAGGAACTGCCAGGCTTCACTGCGCCGCTCATTTGCGCTCACTGTAACACCGCCGGGAGAATCCTCAGTCAAAATCAAAGCCTCTTTCTCCTCTCACCTGTAAATTACAGAAAGTCTCTCTGCTTTTTCCACGTTCAACCCAGTTGCCGCTGAGCATCCATTTGGATTGAGTTAGCCTTGGTAATCGTCCTCTAAACAGAAGCTCGGGGTCGCCTGGGCCTGCCCACCCTCTCCTCTTCTCCCCAGTAAGGCTGCTCACCCCAGAAAGTGGCCTCCCCGACACCGACTCCCGGCCTCGTTCCTGTGACTTTGGGCCCCACAGATGAAGCCCCTCCAGATTCTGGCTTCTTGGACTTTTTCTCCCCTCTCCTCCTCCACAATTGCCTTCACTCCATCCGACCACAGGTGTACTTCCCCAGGTGCAAATATAAATTATAGCCGGATCTCCCCAGCACAGCCTCCTGTCTCTCCAGCTTAGTCCCCAGCTGACCCCAGCACTGCCTCAGTTCTCACACCTGCCTCACCAACGCACACCTGGACTGAGGGGCCACCTGCCCACCTGCTGCTCACCAGCTGGTCCCTTTCTGGCTTGGAATCCCCCGAACTTCCTCCCAGTTGCTAGAAGCAAGTCACTGACATGCAGAGGACCCTCAACTGATCAACCCTCTCTCCCTCTGTCCAACACACCCGGCCAAAGCCCAGTTCCCAGGGAGCCTGCCCCAGCTTATTCCCGCAAGACCCAAACTCGTTGCTCTCTCCTGTGCACACTTGCCCACTTCTAGAATATTCTTTCACCCCTTTTCCCTTTAGCTAATCTTCATGTTCAAATTTTGGCTTAAGTATCACATTCTCAAAAACACCTTCAGTGATCACCCCCGCGCATGTATGCATACACTAATGCATGCATACACACACACACACACACATGCATGTACATGTCCACTCATGCACACACATGCACGTATTCACATATATATTATATATATACACACACACACAGTCACACATACAGGTGCATACAGGCATGCACACATGTCTGGGGAAACCAGCCCTCCATGTCACTCCTTCAGGGCACTATTGTCTGTTTACTTTGGCGTACCTGATTTCTTGCCCATGAATCTGTAAAGTCATGGGAGAGCCTCCTTCTGTCCTGCCCCTGGCTCTAGGCACTGGGTGCTCAGCTCATGTTCTGGAGGTGCACAAGATGCCCCCCCCATGGGACAGCAGTATCTTGGAAGTAGATCTTCCAGCCCCAGTCAAGCCATCAGATGATAGCGCCCCAGTGAACACATGACTGCAACTCCCTGAGAGATTCCAGATGAGAACTGCTCAGCCAAACTCTTCCAGAATTTCTGGCTAGCAGAAACCATGGAAAAGCAAATAATTATTGTTGGTTTAAGCTGACAACTGTTGGTTGATTTGTTATATTTGATAACTGGAAGAGCGTCTGTGGTTTCTCAACAAAGAAGATCCCCTAGAAGGATCAAGTGGAAAATGGGAAGGAAACATCTGGAGGGGCAATAAGCATTATCCTAACATCCTCTGCTTTTTAGTTCCTCTGAATCTTGCGGGACCACCATTCAGGCTATTGGGAGCCAAAAGTGACCATCAAGACATTCTTACCACCACTGTCATAAGTTCACTCCTCTAATCCCAACCTATGTCTTTTGATAGCCCCCTAAAGCTGCTGCTAGACAGTCTGGATTTTGTCCCCTAAAAGCCCTGAAATGCCTCAGAAGAGTATTGAATTAAATCCATGCAAAACCTACACAAAGCTGAAAATGCAACACATAGATGACTTCCCATCTGTAGTGGGCAGCTTCTGAGATGATTCTCAGGAATCTATGGAATTCATTCTCCCACCTTCATGAGTTGGGCTGAACCTATTGGCTGGATTCTACCCAGTAGAATATGCCAAAAGTGATAGGATATTGCTTCTGATATTAGGCTGCAAAAAGACTGCAGCTTCCATCTTGGGACTGTCTGTTGCTCTCATCTGCTTGCTCTGAGCTGCCGTGATCTGAGCCACTCTATGGAGAGGCCCATGTGGCAAGAAATGAGGGAAATTTAGCAAACAGTTGATGAAGAATTGAGGTCCACAGTTCAGCTGCCCAAGAGGAGCTCAATCCTGCCAGCAGCAACATGTGAGCCTGACAGCACATTATTTCCCGCTCAAGCTTTCAGATGAAACAGCAGCCACAATAGGAGGCTTAGCTGCGACTTCATCAGGGATCACAAGCTGGAGGATTTAGCCAAGTGCACATGAATTTCTGACTCACAGAGACTGAGATAACAAGGGCTTATTGTTTAAACTGCTAAAGTGTGAGATGACGTGTTATTAGGCTACACATAGCTAATATCATCCTTTATGTCATCCAATACAACCCATCAGTGGTTCTGCAATGAAATTAAAGGTAATATGAAAATATTTTAAGAGTAAAATGGGAAACAGGGAATCATAGTAATGCTCCATAATAAAAGGCCAAAAACATAGCAAGGCACTAACTACATGGGAATATTAACCCTCCACCATTACCAGCATCCTAGGGGGAGAATTAAATCCTGAAGATTAAATCTTGCAAGTAAAAGTTCAAAGACATTGGTGCCCAAAGAGATCCAAGTCCCTTTGCTCTTGTTAATAAACAATCAAAAATTCATCATCTCCAATGCCTTCTTCTGCTCATTCTCAGCCAGATTGCTTCTTGAGGCCAGGGCAGAAGTGGGCTCTGTCCACCACCAGCTTGGGCCTGAGGCCACTTCTCACTCAGAAGTGGCACTGGCTCAGTACAGTGACTCCGCAGCTTAATGTTAAAGACTGCTGGGTGTTATGGGGCAGAGAGTAGAACACAACCCTGGCCTAAAACCCACCAGGCTTGGAAAACAAACCAAGCTCTGCTCCTTGAAGCAATGATCCCAGGCACAATGACCTTTCCAGAACCTGAGACTTAGTGTTTCCAAAGTCTCTGGACTTGGAAGATCTGGGAGAAGGAAAACTTCTGGGCTTTGGGTAAACTCCTCTGGGCTTGGCTTTCAGGCTCTGTCAGTCAGTCAATGCCTGTGGCCCACGTGATGACCTGAGGTCACACACTTAGAGGAAGAACTCCCTGAACAAGACGTCCATTCTGAGTACACCATCTATAATGCAAGGTCACACGCCAGCCTGCATTATAGTGCCCCATCCTTTCCACGCTGTCTGGCACTGAGCAGATCCTCTGTCACAGCATAGCAGCCATTCCGCCTCCCCCTCCCCATCTCTCTGGCTGTTTCCATTGCCCCTTGCTGTGGACTTTCTAAGGCCGAAGGACCTGCCTTCCAAGCGTGCCTCCTCCTGACTCTATATTAAGCGAACTGGAGACCACGCTGTGGGCTTGGGGGAGTAGCCTGTGGAACTCCTTGAATCTAGGACAAGAATCTGCATGACCCCTGGCCCTGTGTGAAAAACAGAGCCTGGAGGGGCTGGCCCAGCACTGTCCAACAGGCCTGCACCAAAAGCACACCTGGATTTTCAGCGGGTTCTTACACGCACCCCAAACCCAGCTGCTGGGCCCCTGAAAGGGATAAATGCTGTTGTTCTGCATACCCAGGCTGAATAATCCTGGAAAAGCTCTTTCTCTACAATTAGATCCTTGCCCCACCTGCCTACCCAGGCTTCTGAAGCCCACCAACATATGGCTGGGACCCTCCTCTGACCCCATGAGCCATGGCCACTACGTGTGAGGCTCTACCTCCCCCACGGCCAGGCCCAGGGCTGTCTGCCAGGACCCTGTCTTCCTAAAAGTGAAACAAACCTTGCGCTCTACAGGCAGATGCCCACGTACGGGCCAGGCCAGCTCGGCCGCCTCGACCTGATAGGGTAAAAGCCCAAATGCTCAGGTCCTGGCCAGCCAGGCATTACAAGACCATTGCCTCCTGCCTTCCCCGTGCCAGAAGCCATAGTAGTCAGTGCTGTGTTATTTTTCTAGACATAATTTCCTAGGAACTAAGTTCCAGGGCACTGGATTTTGGGGTGTCTTGGCTCGGATCTGCAGATTTGCAGGCCTCCTGTCCCTTCCAAATGTAGCACATGGCCTGGTAGATGGAGAAGACACGCCCTCTGCTGCTGGTGCGTCTGAGGGATGGGAAGAGAGGAGGTGGCTGAGGGCAAGGGGGCACCTTCCTCACCTGGAGTCCGGATGGAGTGGACCAGCCTGGTCAGCGGCGGATGCTCTGCAGCAGGACACACGGGCAGGGACGTCCCCAGGGGAGCAGTGCCAGGCGAGTCCTGAGCTCAGCTCACCTGGGGAGGAGGGAAGAAGCAGAACTGCCAGGCCCCCTCCTCCCTTGTCCCCAGCCTCCCTGTACCTGTCTGCCCTGCAGGGAGACGCCATGGAGGGCAGGACCCAGCTGCCCCACACCAAGGGGGACCAGAGGGGGAGGCAGTGTTCCCAGATCATAGCAAGGTGGGAAGGAAGACGCAAACCCCGCTATCTAACCATGCAGGGACTTGCTACCGCTGATGACATGTGTGCCTGAGCCTCTGAAATCTAACCTCCCTCCTGTCTCACACACACCACACACCATAGACCCCACCCACACACACACCAGACACCACATGCACATACCACACACACCACACACACACCACATACACACCACACACAACCACACAGCACACACAACATGCATCACACACACCAAACACACACCACATATATACTACACACAACCACACACCACACACCGCATACACACCACACACACACACCATGCACCACACACATCATACACCCCCCACACACCATACACACACACACCATACACACACATACACCACACATGCCACACACACCATACACACACAACACACACACTATTCACCACACACCACACATGCACACCACACACACCACATATACACCACACACACAAACATACCACACACCATACACTCCACACACATACCAAATACCACACAGACACACATACACACCACCACCACACACATGACATACACACACCGCTCACTCCACCATACACACACACACCACCTACGCACCACTTTTATTGAGGTTAAAGAGTCCAGCATTTCCCACGGAGGAAGCAAATCCTTTCTCCTCCACAGTCACGCGTTCTGCACGCGTATCCCACGCTGCCATGTGGACGTCTAAGTGGAGAGACAGAGGCTCTTCCCGGCAGCGCTGCCGCTCAAGCGGGAGAGGCCGACCCCGACCCTGAAACCCTCGCAGGCGCCTGGTGCTAGCAGAGGCTGGGGTTGTCCTCGTTGTACCAAGGGTGCCGGAGAGGGAAGGTGGGTGGGCCAGTGCTGCCTCAGAGCCGGGGACAGGGTCTGGTCCTTCCCTGTCACTCCTGTCCCCCTAACCATAGCCCAGCGGCCACCCACGGAGGGCAGAGCAGCCCCAGGGCCTCCAGGCCTGGCCAGAGCTTGGCGAGCTCCACTGCATCTGGAGAAGGGGCTGTGGCTTGCAGTGGCCCAGACTTAGCCCCTAACGGGCCGGGCGCCATGGGCCCCACCTGCCCCCCAGCGCTGGCCTGAACCCACCACCTCCCACCTCCAATGACTCCTCCCCATGCGGCTTACCCCAACCCGCCTCCCTCCAGCCTCACTCTGCTTCCCCTTTTAGCCTCTCCCCCGCCTCCAGCCATCCTCGCCACGCCCAGGCCTCCCATGGGTGACAGGTGACGTGCGTGACGGATGGGAAGCGGCGCACACACCACACCTTAGCTCTGCAGAGGCTCCAGCTCCATCGCTTCCAGTGCATCCACCTGCTCCTGCTGGAATCGCGGCTCTGGGTCTTTCCTGCCTCTGTGGGGCAGACACACCTGGGGCTGCTCTGCAAGGGCGCAGGAGCTCGGGCGCAGAGCCTCGGGGGTGCTGCGAGGAGACCAGCGTGAGAGGCTGCAGCAGGCGGGACAGGTAGCACTGGGCACCTCCTTCCTGACACCACGGCTCCCTGGTCAAGGTTTGGCAGGGCGCTGATTCTCTCATGCACTCCTGGATGCTCACACCCCTCTGGGAGGGCAGTGGAGGCTCCCAGGCCTCCCGGGGTGGCCCTTCATGGGAGGGGCAGCAGAAAGCGTTCCTTGCGTCAGAATGTCCAAGGGACCAGGACTTGATATTCCCAGAGGCAGGTGTAGTGGAGGCTGAACAGAAGCTGGGTCTTAGCCTGGAAGAGACAAAGGCAGCCTGGGGTGTCAGGAGAAAAGAGGGCATTGGTGGTGGCAGTGCCCAGGGTCGGGGGCAGGCACAGAAACGGGGTCCCATCCACGAGCCGACTCCTCCTCAGCCCCGGGTCTCTCCCAGGATGCCTGTGCCTCCCCATCTTCCATGTCTTTTCCACAGCTGGACCAAACCCTTCACCCTTTCACGTTCAATTGGGGCCACCGCTCCCAGGGACCCTGGCCCGTCATATGGTCCCATCTTTGCTGGGCGCCCAGGGATCCTGCTGTCCGTCCGCACCGGTACCCATGCACCATTGGCTTCTCTTCCTCTCCCTCTGATACATGACCCCCAGGGGCCAGGGCAGCAGACAGTCGGTGCTCGTTCTGTACCTGTAGGTGGAATAAATCAACCAAGGAGTGGGTGACGCGTTCCTGGTGCCCCCTTAGGAGGCCACGCCTGGCTCCTCACAGGGATTCGCAGGTACAGGAGAAGTCGGTACAGGCCCCACCTCCCGAGGGGCGTGGGCTCCTTTCTCCCGCCCGTGGTCTGACGCCCAGCCTGTGGTCTCATCTGTGGCCACCCGGGGAAATGACAGTCCCTCTTCGAGCGGGAAAGGGGTTCATTATGTCTCGATCGCTCAGAGAAGGCAACCAGGTCTCGGGGGAGGCCTCCTCCAAGGTTATCCACGATGTGGCCGAGTGGGTACAAACCGCACCCACCTACCCAGCATTCTGCCCTCGCCTCCCGGGCTGGCACCGGCCCTTGCCAGTCCAGCTCTGAGCCTGCCCAGGGCTGAGCCGGGCTGGGATGAAATCCAAGGTCCCATCCTGCATTTGGCTCCTCGGCAGGCGTGGCTGTGTCCCCGGGGCCCTGACCTCAGGCTCTGTTCTCTCCCTAGAAGTCACCCTCACCAAAGATGTCCCCAAAATATCATGGTTGCCCTTGGTAACCAATCACGCATGTGTCACCCATTCATGTATTTAACCCTTTGCTGAAGGTTGCCAGATTTTCAGTGGTTGTGCCTTCTGGGGCCACAGTTCCCGACTGTTTGCTCATCATAGAGATGGAAGCTCCCTTAGCCCTTCCCACAGGATGCAGGGATGTGGAGACCCCCACCCTCGCCACCCTGTGCCTCTGTGAACTGAAGGAAAGAGGAGGCACAGTGTGGCTTTCTGTCCCTGGAGGGGAGCAACTGAGGCTGCCTCCCAGGGTGTGGTGCTGGGTTGTGAGGGTCTCCCGGCTGCACTGGTGTCCTTTGGAAAGGGTCGTCTGGGAGACCGAACATGTGGTTGGGAGCCCCAGCTCCAGGTCCTAGTCCCGCAGTGGAGCATGGGCCTAGAGCAGGCCTTCCCTTTCTCCCCTGCAGCTGGAGGCTCCTGTGGGCTCTGGGCGGCCGCCGGCTCCCTCTCACCCTTGTGAGTCCCCTGCCCCTGCCCTGAGCTGCAGTGCCCAGGCGAAGGGCCTGCGTGTGTGTAGCTCTGAGGCAGGGACTGTGCAAGTTTCAAGACAGGCGCATCCCTCCAGAAGCCTGCAGGCTGAGAGGAACCACACGGGCGCTTACCAGGAGGCTAACAGATCCCTGCACCCCAAGACCTGGGCCCTCCATGCAGGAGGCCCCAGGACAGAATCAACCCCTCCACTCCCAGCTTCTGACATGTTGACACTTGTCTCCCTGGCAGGGCACACACCTCAGCTGGGCCCTGTGGCAGGTGAACCCCTGGAGGGAAAGAAACAAGACTCATTCAACACAGACCCAGCCTCAGGCCCAGGAAGACTGTAGGGGTTGGGGAGGTACAAAAGCAGCCCCAAGGTCCCTGTGTCCCCACTGTGGGGTGATGCGGCCAGTGGTGACTGGTTCCAATGCTGGCCTGAAGCTCAGCTGGGTAAGGCCTGATCTATACTTCCAAGTGCCTGCTGGGGAGGTCTGAGCAAATTCCACGGACCGGGTGGCTTCAGCACCAGAAGGCACCATCTCATCGTCCTGGAGGCCAGAGGCTCAAGAGCCAGGTGCCTGCTGGGGCAGCTCCTCCTGGGGCCTCCTTCTTGGCCTGCAGATGCCGCCTTCTCCCTGTCCTCACAAGCCCTTCCTCTTGGGTGTCTGTATCCTCTTCTCCTCTCCTTACAAGGATATCTCCATACGAGATCAGGGCCCCTGTAATGACCTCATGGAATCTTAGTCATCTGTTTGAAGACTCTGTCTCCAACAACAGTCCCATGCTGAGGTCTTGGGGGTTGGGGCTTCAACACGTGAATGTGGGGGCAAAACTCACCTGTGACAGGTGGGAAGGGCAGCCTCCAAGGACCGAGGACATCTAAGAGGAAATGCCCAGGACAGCTGTCCTCTCCTCACTAGAGCTGACAGCTGCAGGTGAGGGGCTACAGGGCCCACCAGGGGGTCTCCTGTGTGCATCCCCCCCGGGAGGGCTGATTGTGGGGCAGCCCTTTATGGGTCCCCGGGCACAGCCACAGTGGTGCCAAGTCAATCCCTGAGTGGATTTCTTTTCTACAAGCCACCTCTGCACATAGCTAAATTAAAAATTAGATCACCCACCTAAGCCCAGAGCATTCGAAAACACCTCCCCGACCTGTTTGACTTTGGATGGGCAGTAAGGCAGCACTGTGGATGGGCAGGAAGGCAGCATTTTTGGTTTTGGTTTTGTTTGTTCCTGTTGACTGAGTTGTTGGTTGGGTGGGGATGGGGTGAGGGCTCATGACCAGTAATGGCTTGGAGGAAAATCAGCCCCTTCCCTCGGGGAGGGGGCTCCATGGGCCAAGGCTGTGGAGGCAGGGAGACCATTCACAGCAGGGCCCAGGGCAGCAGACTCTCAGCAGCCTCTCAGAGTCTCAAAATCTGTTGGTGAGCAGGATACTGTTGGGTGGAAGGAGGGCCTGGATATAATCAGCTCTGGATAAAGATTCCTCCTCCTTCTCACTTTTCCCCAGCAGGAAAAGTGCTCACTCTAGCCACATGGTGCCCATCCCCAGGGCCTCTCCGCATGGCTGACTTGGGCTTCCACACAGCGTGGCAGTTCTGAGTGAGTGTGGCTTCTTCCACAGAAGCTGCTTTCTCCAGAGTGAGTCCCAAGGGACCCCCTGTAAGTGGCAATGCCAGGACCTTGAAGCCCCAGGGTGGCACTTCTACCTCATCCTATTGGTGAAACAAGACTGAGGCTAGCAGGCTCCATAGGGAGGGGAGGAATCGGCTTCTCCCCTCCCAGGGGAAACACCAGTGCTTCGGGCTCGGGGTGGGTGGGAGGAATCGATGTGGTCCTCTTACAGGCGGTCGCCCCATGAGCTGCTTCCGCCTTCTGTGTGGTTAATGCGTATTAATTAGGGCTAAATGTCACAGCAACTGAGAATGAAGTTACCTTTATCTCTCTTATGACAGAGGAGGAAATGGAGCTCATAGAAGCTTGGCATCCAGCCCAAGACCACCCACCTGTCAATAACCTTGACACGACAGGAGCCCTCGCCAGTCCGACCCCCAAACTCCAGCCCAAGACCACCCACCTGTCAATAACCTCGCCACGACAGGAGCCCTCACCAGTCCGACCCCCAAACTCCAGCCCAAGACCACCCACCTGTCAATAACCTCGCCACGACAGGAGCCCTCACCAGTCCGACCCCCAAACCCAAGCGTCTGTACAATCGTGTTTCCATTGAGGACAAAGCAGTTGATCTGTTTGGAAGATTTTGATCCCTGGCATGGGTTTCTGAGGAAGGGTCTGAGATTCACGTTGGAAGTCTCTGAATGAGCCTGCCATTTTGTCAAGTGATAAGAAATTTCCAGTAGACATTCCTTCTGTGCATGTTGAGCTTGTGGACGGAACTGGGTGGCAGGCTGTGGTTTTAGGACATGTGGCCAGATTGGCTGAGGGTAGGAGGGTGCAGTATTGACTGCAATTGTGAAAGCGTAGAATTTTCTCGTGGAAAGTGGCTTGGAACATGGTCCAATCGAACATCATCATCCTACAACTGAGGAATGTGAAGTCTGAGTTTCTAAGCTCCCAAACCCGTCTGAAATGAGAACACAGACACACACACAGACATGCACACACACACACACACAGACCACAGACACACACATAGACATGCACACACACACACACAGACCACAGACACACACACAGACATGCACACACACACACAGACCACAGACACACACAGAGACACACAAGATGCACACAGACATGCACACATGCACACACACAGACACACAGATGCAATATAGACAGACACGCACAGACACATACAGACACACACACAGACATGCAAAGACACACACAGATACACACAGACATGTAAAAACACAAAGACACACAGGCTCACACAGACACAGACACATACAGATGCACACAGACACAGACATGCAAAAACGCACAAACACACACAGACACAGACAGACCCATGCACACACTGACACGCAGACACACACACTGACACACAGTCTCAGGGAGGCTGAGCCGGGTGCTGGGTTAGCTCACAGACTTGCTTCCACCATGGCTTCTGACACATGGGGGTGGCCATGAGGATGGGGGAGGCCGTGGGGACAGAAGCACAGCCGGCCTGACCCAGGCGGGCCAGAGCTCACCGGGCTCTGGTCCTTCGTTCCCAGGTGGGCGGCTCCAGCCCCTCCATCCCCTCGGGTCTGGGCAGGCTCTGTCCCACCGGGCACTGCCTTGGCCCCCCTGGCACCCAGGCAACCCCTAGGCAGGCCTGGCTGGGCACTGGTGTGGGGCCTGGCTCATACCGGGGGGTGGGAAGAAGGGTCCTGCCCCGTCTCCCTGCATGTGGGCTCTGTCTTCTGCAGAACAACCTCAGGCCTGCAATGGTGTTGGCATCTGTCAGAGCAAAGCAGAACCTCCCTCCTCCCAGACTCCAGTGGCTGAGCTGGGCCGTCAGGGCAGGGATGGTGAGGGTTCAAATGCCAGGGCAGAGCAGGCCACGGCATCCCGTCCACCCACAAATGTCTCCGCAGACCCTGGTGATGGCTGTACTGGGGGTGCAGCCCCCAGAACCACTCGAAGCTCACGTAGACTGCTCCCCCAAGCACGGGGGTGGGGGAGGCTGGCCCCCTGAGCAGGGCCCGGCCTCTGCACCAGTGCAGCCCCACCTCCCTCCCAGCCCAGGTCCAGGCTGCTGGGGGTGCAGAGAGGGCGAGCTGCAAGTGGAGGTGAGAAGGGAGCTCGTGGGACGCAGGCTCAGAGAGAAGCCTCCGAGGAACCTCTCTGTTCCCTTCACGAGCGGAGCCTTGGGGCAGCTCCGTGTTTCTGCCACAGTTATCTCAGGAGATGATGGCTGTGGGCTGTGTTTGTGGGTGTGTGCATTTGTGCACCTGTGTGTGTGTGAAGAGGGAGAGAGACAGAGGGGAGTGAGACAGAGACCTGGAGAGGGGATGGGAGAGAGAGATTGGAAGGGGAAGGAGGAGGAGAGAGGCAGGAAAGCAGAGAGGGACAGGGAGAGTGCGGAGGGACAGGACCATTAGGGAAACAGGGAGAGGGAGGGAGAAGAGAGGGAGAGAGGAGGTGTGAGAAACAGCAGGAGAGAGAGGGAGGGCGCGGGAGAGAGAGGGATTCCAAGAAGGGGGAACCTCCCTACAGCTTTCTCCCACTGTCTCTCAGAGACATCCCTGGGGCCGCCTCTGCAGAGGGGGTTGCTGCGAGCTGCTGGAGGGAGTGAGGGTGATGCGTCTCCCGGTGCCCCAAAATGAGGCCTCCGCCTGCACTCCAGCAACCCAGACCCAGGGAAAACACCACCAGGACCCCTCAACAGCAAGGGAGGCTCTGTCAGACAGGCCCAAGCCTCCAGGAAGCTGGGCCCTGCCCCTGAGCTGGGGGTCTTCAGGCCCCTGCCAGAGCCACTTCCTCTTAAGACACCTACAAGCCGGTCCCCAGTAAATTCTAAACGCCACGGTTGTTCCCATGGCGTTGCTCTCTCACTTCTCTACCTCTAAACTGTAGGATTCCTAATTCTATTCAAAACAGCGGATGTTTCTCTGTTTTCTGGGGCACCAGGATGTGTTGTGAGTGCTGAGGGCAGACGTGGGATCCGGAAGGCCCAGCTGGGAACCCACGCTCTGCAATGAGCTGCCCTGAGTCCTTGGACGAGGTGGAAAATTACTCCAGTCTCAGTTTCCTGTAAAGACAGATCAGCAGTTACACCCCTCCACGGGTTCTTTGTGATGTCACTGAGGCGGTGAAAGGAGCACCTGCCTCTAATGGCACCCACCATTAAGTCGGATCTCAGCAACCATCTGCGTGGCAGGAGCTATCACACTGGAGCCTCGCAGTAGCCAAGGAGAGACGCCAATGAGGGAATCATTTTTCCACTTGGTGAAATACATTTTTGCCCCGTGAAAGCACGAGGAGGGCCTGTCTTGGATAGGTGGAGTGGTCCTAGGTCCTACTAGATGGAAACCTCAGGACTCGGAAGAGGTTCACCTTCGGAGCGAGTCCCCCTAAGGGTGAGGTTGCCCCCAGGGAGCACCGTGGGAAGAGTCAGGGACCCCTGGTGCTCCTGGAAGCTGGGCTTCACCTGGAGGGCTTGGAGATGAGCCCCATGGGGCATCCTGATTGTTGTGTTAATACAAATGCTCCCCCCCAGGGCTGGCCAGCCTCACGCCAGCTGCCTTCTTCTCATGACATGTGGTGTCCTCACAGCCAGCCGTAGGATCTGCATTGAGTTCAGCAAGCGGAGGCGACTTCCCCAGGGCCACACAGCCATGGAGGGCTGCGGCTCAGTTGCTGACTGCTCCAGCTCACCCTCACGTCCATGAGGTTTCTGCTCCAAAATGCTATTGCTAAGAAAAATGTTCCAAACACGACCCATTGGCTGACCACAGGTCTTCATTATAAAAGCATCTGAAGGAGTTGCTGAAGGGGATGTCCTGTTGGCTGGACCCTGTCGTGCTGGTTATATGTAAACTGGCTGAACTACCCAGTTCTTAAACTGTCACATGTGAGTCCTTCCTTCCAAGGTCAGAGGCTCCTATCCTTCAAGGGTTCAGGGCTCGTGGTGGGCTCAGCGGGATCACAAACATTGGCATGGCCAGCCCAGTCTGGGGAAGCTGCAAGGGCCTGGGGGGTTGTGGCCTTGGGCATCACAGCATCAGACTTGGGGAGCCTGGTGACGAGAGCCTGTCTGAGAAATGTGACTTGTTTCCAGGAGCAGTGGGAGCCCCTTCCCTCCCTGATGAAGGGGGAGTGGCAGTTCCCTCCCTGATGAAGGGAGAGCGGTGGGCACATGGATGACGCTGCCCCAAATCGCTCCCCTAACCTTCCCAAATGACGCCCCAGCCACTGTGGCTGCTGCTTTGAGAACGGACAGGAGCCTGGGGAGAAGCAGAAGGAATGCAGGTGAGGCAGGAGCTGATTGAAGAGCCCTTCTGCAGGGCAGGAAACTGGGCCTGGGTCCCGGCCGGCTGGACGGGGCAGCAGAGGCAGGTGGAGCGGATGGCTGGGAAGCCTGGGATAGGCAGACTCAGCCGCTCTCACCAGGCCTTTGCCCCTTCCCTCCCTAACGCCTTCAGAAACCGCCCATGACTTTCTCTTTTCCAGATACCGAATTGTACATTTTGTTTCACCGGCTGCCGTCAGCTGCTCGGCTTCCTCCCCTCAGGGCAGTGCTATTTAACACTCTCTCTTCGAATCTCGCCTTCCTGCCTCCCCCGTCTGCAGCCTCCCCTGCACTGCGCACCCGCTCACTCTCCCCTTCCCCCAGGAGAACACATTCTGGCAGACAGAAGTTCAAATGAGAAGTTAAAACGCTTTGAGGCAGCAGGCAGAGTGTCAGCAGAGCCGGTGGAAACCGCAGCCTTGGGGGCAACACGTGGACCCTGCTTGGGGATAAAGCAGGACAGACAGAAGGAGCAGGACAGACAGGAGGAGTAGGACAGACAGGAGGAGCAGGACGGACAGGAGGAGCAGGACAGACAGAAGGAGCAGGATGGACAGAAGGAGCAGGATGGACAGAAGGAGCAGGATGGACAGAAGGAGCAGGACGGACGGGAGGAGCAGGACAGACAGAAGGAGCAGGACCAACAGGAGGAGCAGGACAGAGAGAAGGAGCAGGACAGCCAGACAGGAGGAGCAGCCTTCTGGGACCCAAACAAACAGTCATGCCCCAAATACCCCCAGGGCTCTTGAAAGGGACAGCGGAAGGCACAGGCCAGCTTCCTCTCCAAGCAGACCCATGTCCATGAACCCTGCAATCCCAGGCCAGGAGACAATCTTGAAACATGCTGTGACCCTCTCTTCCCTGGCGGAAGCCCTCACGGAATGGACTGAAGTGAGTCCGGCAGGAAAGCGAAGCCGAGGTTCCCTTGCTTTGCAGCCATGAGGTCTCGGCCCCCTCTCATCCAGTCTCTTTGTCTGAAATGTGCAGGCAGCTGAGGCACCCCCGGGGGGTTCAGTGAGGATGAGGAGGGAAGGAGGCGGCCGTGGGACTCTGGGCATGCATCTGGCACAGGGCGGAGCCGTCTGAGATGCCAGCCATCCCTCTTCTTGCTGGTGTCGACTTCATCTGTCATCGCTGCTCATCCCTTCCACAGCAGTTCTGCCTGATGGTTCACCTGCGGCAGCCGTGCCACGTGAAGATCTGGGTTGGTTTCCACCCTCTGAAGCTCATGGTCCGCTGGAGGAGTTGAGATCACAGACAATATAACTTGTCCAGCTTCCCTGCAGCTGCCTTCTTGGGGCTTAACTTTAGATCCCAGGAATCTCTCTCAGAACCAGCCCTGGCCTGCCTAACCCACCTGCTGTCCTGTCCCTAAGCAACACCTCCATCCTGCCACCCAAGATACAGCATTGTCCTCCAGCGTAACAATGTCATCCCCTCACTGAGTGCCCTGATGGAATGTAAAATATGCCACCCACCCTGATGTGGAAGGGGAAGTGTCCTCTTCATGGCATACCCATGTGGGCTGTTTTCTCCTGTCCACCCAAGACAGAGAGCCCCAAAGGGGCTGGGGCCAAATCTGGGTCATGGCCACATCCACGAACAGTGGGACAGACCCTCTGGTGTGCACCATGACCCCCTTCAAGGAAGGATGTGTTGCCAGCTTCTCTGTGTGCTGCCTACACACGGCCTTCATCAGCCACCGTTTGGGTCCAACTGAGGTAGTCACTGGGCCTTCACCCAGCTCACTCCCCCTTCTCTCCCTTCTACCCATTGGGTCCCATGGGCCCTGCACAGGCATCCTACCTGCTAACCTCCACCTCACAGCCGGCTTTTTGGAGAACTTGATCTGCAACAGTGAATGAGTGAATGAGTGAATGAATGAATGATGTTGGCAGAGTAGGGATTATCAGTTTTGTTGTTGTCGTTGTTGTTTTTTGAGATGGAGTTTTGCTCTTGTCACCCAGGCTGGAGTGCGGTAGTGTGATCTCGGCTCACTGCAACTCCGCCTCCTGGGTTCAAGCGATTCTTCTGCCTCAGCCCCACAAGTAGCTGGGATTACAGGCATATGCCACCACGCCCGGCTAATTTTGTCTTTTTAGTAGAGATGGGGTTTCTCCATGTTGGTCACGCTGGTCTTGAACTCCCGACCTCAGGTGATCTGCCCACCTCGGCCTCCCAAAGTTCTGGGATTACAGATGTGAGCCACTGCGCCCTGCCGATTATTACTTTTTTTAGTGAGGAAAATGAGGCTCAGAAAGGATAACTATTTCGGTCAAGGCATCACCTTAATGATTACAGGAAGCAACGAGAAGCTGTCCTCCTAATTGCAGGCTGATACCGAAGGACACAGTGAAAAATTGGCTAAGATGGGAATGGCTGGAGGACGGTGCTGGAGAAGCCGCTGTGGGCTGCCCGCCGGCAGCCGCAGTGCCACAGAAAGCCAGGTCTTCCCTGCTGGTTTTTCATGGATTTGGCCAGAACCACCGAGGAGCTGGGGTCGATTGTGTTTTTTATTCCTTCGCGCACAGCCTGAGAGCTGCCTCTATAAAGCCCGAGTAAGAATCGATGTTTTCTCTCCAGAAAGAAGTCTTCTTTCTTGGAGCCATTTTACCAAAATCATCAGGGTTGACAACAAGCTGGATGTGTTCATGAGCATTCCCGAGTCACAGGCTTCTTCCCCCCAGTGACAGTCCCTCCTGCAAGTGCCTAAATCTTGCCTTGGGAGTTTTTTCGCCTCGGTGTTTGTGGCCAGACCTCACCCCCACTGCCTGGCTTCCTTCTTCATGTAATTGAATGCGCAGTTCATTAAGATCTTTGGTGGTGGCGGAAATGTTACAGGGGAAGAAAAAGCTGTTGACAATTTTATTTTTAAAAGTAACTAAGAATAGGGTAAACCTTGCAAAAATAGCAAGCCTGCAAGCAGAATTGTGCTCAAGGCCAAGTTCTCCTCCCCAAAATCGGAGCATGGCATTTAATAAGAACAGGGCGCAAGGCTCAGGCTCAACTTCCCATGCACTGGCGTGGAGGTCTCAGGAACAAGATCAAAAACAACAGCACATGAGGCCGGGTGTGGTGGCTCACACCTATAATCCCAGCACTTTGGGAGGCTGAGACCAGTGGATCACCTGAGGTGGGGAGGTCGAGACCACCCTGGTCAACGTGGTGAAACCCCGTCTCTACTAAAAATGCAAAAATTAGCCGGGTGTGGTGGTGCACACCTATAATCCCAGCTACTTGGGAGGCTGAGGCAGGAGAATTGCTTGAACCTGGGAGGCAGAGGTTGCAGTGAGCCGAGATCACGCCACTGCACTCCATCCTGGGCAACAGAGCAAGACTCCATCTAAATAAAAAAAAAAAACCATGTGGAACCCACAGCCACTGGCTGTGAATGTTTGTGCAATGTCCAGTGTGCCCTTCCCCTCTCACCAAAGAACACAGATAGACTTACCAGATGTATTTGGATTAGATCCACACGTCACCTCATGAAATACAGGAAATCTCTTTGGTCATGTTTCGTGTAGTCCCAGAACTTAGAAGAACAAAGGTAGTATGCAAAAGTGTCTATGACTTTGAAACTGTTCCATTAAAAATTTTTTTTGGCCAGGCATGGTGGCTCACGCCTGTAATCCCAGCACTTTGGGAGGCCAAGGATGGCAGATCACCTGAGGTCAGGAGTTCGAGACCAGCCTGACTAATACGACGAAACTCCGTCTCTACTAAAAATACAAAAATTAGCCGGGTGTGGTGGCATTTGCCTGTAATCCCAGCTACTGGGGAGGCTGAGACAGGAGAATCACTTGAACCCAGGAGGCAGAGGTTGCAGTGAGCTGAGATCGTGCCATTGCACTCCAGCCTGGGCAACAAGAGTGAAACTCTGTCTCAAAAAAAAAAAAATTCTTCTTTTGATATAGAGATTTGATCTCACTATGTTACCCAGGCTGGTCTCAAACTCCTGGCCTCAAGTGATCTTCCTGCCTCGTCCTCCCAAACTGCCCTTGTGTAGTTTGAAGGAAGTTGGGTATTTCAGTGAAAAAGAAGCATTTGGGAAGAGTGTTGTCTTTCTGTTCACCCTCTGAGCCCTGGCCAGAAGGAATGGAAATTTGAGGGCCAAAGATCTTTTTTCTTTTCTTTTCTTTTCTTTTTTTTTTTTTTTTGAGACAAAGTCTCACTCTGTCGCCAGGCTGGAATGCAGTGGTGTGATCTCGGCTCACTGCAACCTCAGCCTCCTGGGTTCACGCCATTCTCCTGCCTCAGCCTCCAGAATAGCTGGGACTATAGGCATGCGCCACCACACCTGGCTAATTTTTATATTTTTAGTAGAGATGGGGTTTCACCATGTTAGCCAGAATGGTTTCAATTTCCTGACCTCATGATCCGCCTGCCTTGGCCTCCCAGAGTGCTGGGATTACAGGCATGAGCCACCTCGCCCAGCCAAGGGCCGAAGATCTTAGCCCAAGGTTCCCTGAGACAAGAGAGACCGACAGACAGAGAGCAGAGGCCCGACACCGGAAGTCTCCAGGGCCAGCTGGAGGGGTCTGTAGAAAACCTGCCGAGGGAAGAGCTCACACTGACCCCAGGGATCCGAGGGCCACTCTTGTTGGGAGCCCCTGTGTCTCCTTGTGTCCTGGGCATCCTGCAATTCAGGAGTTTCACATGGCCGGGGGCTCCACGACTAAGGAACTGAAGACCGAGTCTGTCAGTCAAATCGCCCCACGGCCCTGCGAAGCAACCAGCAGCCCCAAAACACAGTAGAAAGTTATGAACGAGCTGTGTGTTTCTTGGAGAATCAGGAAGGCCTGGACAAGGTTGTGCCACAGTTGCAGAAGGTGAGGTCGAAGGGTGTCTCAGCCGTGTGCTCACATCCTGAAATCTTAGATAAATTGTTCTCAAAGATCCGCCAAAGGGAGGTTCCCATGGTGCTGGCCACAAACGCTGCCCAGAATGGGGAGGGGGGTGGCATTTATAAAGGATCTGCTCAGCTCTGCTGGCCGCGTGAGCCCCCCAGGCCCCCAAGGCAGGCTGCGCCCTCTATGTCTTAAGGAAACACAGTCTCCAGGAGGGATACCGAGTGCAAAGCAACTACAGAAAAGTGCACACACTCCAGGTGCCGTGGGTGAGCGCCCCTGTAGCATTCTTTCCCTAAGCGTCGAATGAGCCCCTACTGTATACCAGGGTCTGTGCTGGGTTCTGAGGTCCAGAGAGAAACCTGCAGGGATGAGGAAGAGAAGGGGTGATGGGTCAGCCAATGGCAACGTGGTGCACGCAGGGCTACACCCCAGCAGGCCCGTGTTCTGTGAAGCCATGGGGAGACGCTGGCTGGGGGGCTGCACAGTGGAGCAGACAGTCCTGTGACCACAGGACTCACATCTGAGCAGAACTTGAAGCCCCACATTACGAATCAGTGCAGCAAGTCCCAGAGGCAGGAGACGACTTTGCTCCAGGTCCTGCCGGCATCCCCAGCATCCGGCCCTGATGGATCCTTTATGGCAGACGATGAATTAGAAGCGGAGCACAGACTCTGGAACCAGCCCAGCTCTGAGACGTTTCTCTGCAATGGCAGAAGTAATTAGTCAGATGCGGGTCTTTGAGATCATGCTTCTGATTAAGAAGAATAAAAACCAAGACGTTAATTAAACCAAATTCCAGGAAGCAACAAGCATCTTCACACTTCTCGCTCTCTGTCCTTCCAAGGCTGGGCCCCAGCTATCTCTCCTGTCAACGTCTCCTCCGTAAGCTTTTCTACAGGACAGACCTGAGCGTTCTCTGCTCAGAACCACGGTCTGGGCTTCTGCTCAGTAGGTCCTGTGGGACCCCAGCGTCCCCGCTTGTGGCTCCTTCACGCCCCTGGGCCTGCCGGGCTGAGTCCCTGCAACCAGCACCTGTGTCTTGCTGTGGGGAGGGTGCTTCAGACTGCAGAGTCCACTTCTCACATCTTGCAGGCCAGACAAGAACGCCCTGTCCCCCAGCGCTGGGGGCTGACGGGGAAAGGAGGCGTGAAGACTCTGGCTCCTGTCCTTGGTAGAGATGATTTCAGGCATGCGTCTTACTCCATTTTTCAGAGTTCCCTGAGTCTAGCAGTTTTCTGTGGAGGCTGAACTGACATCCCCCTCCTCCTCACCGGCTGCCCCTTCCCTGCCAAACTCCCCCACGCCCTCTCTGCCGTATGCCACTCGGAACTCCTGGACCTTAGCCCTAGCCCTCAGGGCTTGCTCCTGGAAAATTGCCCACATGAGACTCGAGACCCAAAGTTCTTGTCAGGGCATGGCTGTGTTTTCCTGTTTCCCTGCAGGCATGTGGTGTGCAAACACAGGCTCCTTCAGATCCATCTCGGCGAGATGCTCAGGACCACGCCTCCCTGCCCACAGCAGGTTTTCTGCACCCCCAGCTAGAGCTTGGCACTCCAGAAAGAACATGCACTCAGGCTGTTTCATGTATTAATTATGGGACCTTGGGCAAGATGCTTAACTCCTGAAGGCCAAACCCTTCGTCTTTCAGATGGGAAGAGCCCCACCAGCCTTCATGGGGGTTGTCAGGACTGAGTGACATGATATGTGTGAAGCTTGCCGGCCATGAAATAGTCACCATGAATAACACTTATTACCTTCCTCAATTCCTTCTGGTCCTGGTCTACAGGGAATGAAGTTTCCTCAAAGCAATTAATATAGCCCTGCATGAATGCAACATTCTCCGTTGCAAAGCTCCTACGTTATTTACTGTTAATAATTTCAGCTGACCCTTGAACAACACGGATTTGAACGGTGTGGGTCCACATATACGCGGACTTTTCTTCCATCTCTGCCACCCCTGAGTCAGCAAGACCACACCCTCCTCCTCCTCCTCCTCCTCTTCAGCCCACTCAACACGAAGACAATGAAGATGGAGACCTTTATGATGATCCACTTCCACTTAATGAAGAGTAAATACATTTTCTCTTTCTTAGGATTTTCTTAATAGCATTTTCTGTCCTCTAGCTTGTGTTGTAAGATTACAGCATATAACACACACCACATACTAAATATGTTTCATCAGCTATGTTATCAGTAAGACTTCCAGTCAGCAGTGGGTTATTAGTAGTTAGGTTTTTGAGGAGTCAAAAGTTATACACGGACTTTTGCTTGCACGGGGGTTGGCACCCGTAACCCTGTGTCGTTCTTGGCTCAGCTGTTTATGTGAACACTGCTGAAGCACCATCGCGCACAGACCGTTTTAGACACGGCACAAATCCAAGGCTTTGGAGCAGTCACTCAGTTATCCTCATATTATAAATGAATAGACCGAGGCTGGTGCAGCCATTATGGGGAGCACTATGACGCTTTCTCAGAAAATTAAACGTAGAAGTACCCAAGACCCAGGAATCCCTTTTCTGAGTATATATTCAAAGGAAAAGAAACCAGCACCTTACAGAAACACCTGAGCTCCCAGGTTCATTGCAGCACCAAGAGATGGAAACAATAGAAAAACATCCTCTGTGGATGGAAATGTGCCTAAAGAAAATGTGCGATAGACACGGAGGGAAAGGTTCTGGGCCTTTAAAAAGGAGACACCGACATTTGCAATAACATGGGTGAACCTGGAGCAGAATGTATTAAATGAAGCCACACACACACTCTCACACTCACATACACTCACACACTCTCACACACTCACCCTCACACACACTCTCTCACACACACTCATACTCACACACTTACACTCTCACAGACTCACACTCACACACTCACACTCCCATACACTCTCACACTCACACACACTCTCACACAGACTCACACTCACACACACTCTCACACAGACACGCTCACACACATTCACATACTTACACTCTCACACAGACTCACACTCACACATACACTGTCACACAGTCACATGCACTCATATACATACTTACACACACTCTCTCACACACACTCAGCCAGTCACACACACACCCACAGAGACTTTCACACACAGACTCACACACACACAGTCACACACTCACATTCCTATACACACACTCTCACACACTTTCACATACACTCACACATAGGCTTTCACATACACTCACACATAGGCTTTCACATACACTCATATTCACACACTCATACACATACACATAGTCACATACACAAACACACATACATGCTCACAAAAACATACACACTCCCACACATACCCTCACACACACACATAGTCACACTCACACACACACTCATACACACACATTCACACTCACACACTAATATGGTTTGGCTCTGTGTCCGCACCCAAATCTCATCTTGAATTGCAATCCCTACATGCCAAAAGGGGGTCCTGGTGGGAGGTGATTGGATCATGGAGGCAGACGTCCCCCTTGGCACCGTGTCATGATAGCGAGTGAGTTCTCGCAAGATCTGATGGTTTGGAAGTGTGGCATTTCCCCTGTGCTCTCTCTCTCTCTCTCCTGCTACCTTGTGAAGATGGTCCTTGCTTCCCCTTTGCCTTCTGCCATGATTGTAAGTTTCCTGAGACCTCCCAGGCCATGCAGAACTGTGAGCCAATTAAATCTCCTTTCTTTATAAGTTACCCAGTCTCAGGTAGTATGTTTACAGCAGTATAGTATATACAGTGTAGTGAGAACAAACTAATACAGACACACACACATGCGTGCACACTCAAACACTGCATGCCGTCTCTTACAGGAAGAATCTTTTTTAAAAGTTGAATCCCTAGAATCAGGGAAAGAACAGAATTCACCTGCAGGCAGGATGGGGGTATTGGGAAGCACGGGTCAAAGATGGCAAGGTTGCACTGATATGGGACAAGGAGATCTGGAGCCCTCATGTACAGCATGAAGACTGTGGCTAATAATCTTGCATTGCATACTGGACATTTTCTGAGAGAGAAGACATTAGGTGCTTTTACTACAAACAGCAGGAGCAGTGTACAATGACAGATATACGAAGCTGTTACCTATAATACTCCACTCTCTGCATATCATACCAGTATACTGTATACCTGAAATCTATGTAACAAGCGCATGAGGAGACTGAGGCACAGAGAGGCTGGATAACGTGCACAAGGTCCTACAGCTACATGGCAAGCCCAGGACTCGTGCCCAGACATTTTGCCTCTAGGGGACCAGCTTTCAGTCCCCCTCCTACACCCTCTCAGAGCCCCAGAGACCTGACCAACATGTTTAATAAAGACAAGAGAAACTAGTAACCGGGAGGAATAACTTAATCGCAGCCTGAGTTAATTCCTCTATTTGTTAAGAACGCGTCTCAAGCAGAATATTTTTAGGCAGTCTGGCATTACAATGTGCTAACACTGAGAATGTATTAAACTCAGCCCTACTTACCGAAAATATCCCCTGCGTCCATATTGCCTCTTTCACTTACGGGAGGGAGCTGTCAGGAACAACAGGACTCCGGTTCTTGTTAGCAGCGGGAGCTGAGCAGGGAGACACTCCTTGGTTGGGTCTCCGTGTAAGGGGTCAGGGGTCATCTTGGCCAGCTTGTGCCTGTCATAGGTTGATGCAATTTTCTGAGCTCTGGCTTTGAGACGTAATCCTAATCCTTTAGGTACCTAGGAGGGCACTCTGGTTAACAAAAAACAAAATAGGATCAACAGAGACAGAGAAGAAAGGATGAAAGAAAATAACAGATTCCCTAGTTTTTTTGAACAAAATGAGAAAGTGGCACATGGGAAAACTTGCAAATGAATCAAAACCAACTTTGCTTGGTCTATTCCATTTCTTTCTGTACCAAAAAAAAAAAAACCAAATATCAGTAATAATAATAATAAATAACAAACTTAGAGTTCAAGGTCCAGGAAGAGAGAAGAGTTCAAGGAAGGAAGGGGCTGAACACCTGTCCAACACCCACATCTGCCCTTGCTAAGCACCTGCTTTGTGCCCGACTGTGTCTGCTGTCACCCTGACCTTCCCCTTCATGGTGTCTCTAGGAGGTGAGAGAGAGCTGGTATTGCACTTTACAGGGAAGGAACATGCAAGTCAGGGAGACAGAATAACTCCCCGAGGTCACACCTCCTGGTCCACGCCATGCTGGAATCCAGCCACACGCAACTCTAAGTCGGGGTCTCTCCTACTCTAGGCCGCCTTCCAGGATACGTTCAGCAGGACTGAGGACAAGGGAGTCAATACCCAGGCTTCTGAGGGAGTCAGACTCAGCCAGGCAGAGGACACTGTGAGGCTAGCACTCTGTCAGCACAGGTCCGGGTCCTAGGTAGCTTCGAAGCATCTCCAGGGAACATGGAACTGTGAGAGGAGTGGGCAGAGGAGAGGCTGATCAGGTTTGTGCATGATGGTGACTCTGTCCACAGTGGGGGTGTGGGGGGATCAGCAAGTAACAGGGAGGAACTCCAGGCTACAGACCAAGTTAGAACACGGGAGTACCGTGTGCTGGAGAGAAGCTGGGGCAGGCCTCTCCTAGAGGTGGGGTCACAAAGGCCATGCCACCTCTGGGCTCCACCCGGGAAAGCCCCCGTGTCTGCCCTGAGGGAGGCAAGGCTCTTCCCCAGGGTGAGGGGTCTCTGGACCCTTTGACTTCCTCTCTTTTCAGGCACAGCACGGTCACGATTGAAGAGCTTTTCCTGATCTGCTGCCAACAGGGACGAAAGGCTCCTCCTTCATCATGGAGACGGGGCTCTGGGAGCAGGCCAGCCAGGGAACATCTCTGTAACTGGCTATGTCTGCCAGGGGCTCTGGGGAGCAGGCTGGCCAAGGAACATGGTTGTAAATGTGCGTGCCTACCTGTCAAGCTCAGATGACAACCTGCTAGGCCAGGGAGCCCTCGCCATGAGAGGGAGGCAGAGATGGTGTCTGGACCTTCGGGAACTCTGAGGTCACCCATGTACTCTTTGTTTGACACACAAAAGGAACCAAGGCATCAAACGCAGCTCTTGGTTCTCCTCGAAGCCCAACTCCTCCACAAGCACCAGTACAGGACTGCACAGAGGTGCAGGGTCACCCCTTCCCTGGCTGATGGCCAATGGGCCACCAAATGCAGGGGCGAGGCCACCCAGCCCCACCAGCCCACCTGCTGACCTCAGACAAAGAAGCAGTTCCAGCCAACTCCAGCCAAGCAGGGACCAGAGCAGCCCAACAGCCAGCCGACCCATGGTCTCGAAACAGCAGGAAACACCTGTGGGTTTAAGGCGCTGACACCAATAGCAGGTGCAGTCAATCAATCAACAGGCATTCATTTGACCAGTGATGCCCTGAGCGTGAGGCCAGACATGGGACTGCAGAGAATGCCAGGACACGGAACAGAAACCCCAGCCCACCTACCATGCATGGCCACCGGCATCTCCCTGTCACCAGGTAATCCACTCCACTTCCTTCCTCGGGACCTTGGTAGTGGCTGTGCCCGCTCCCTGGGATGCCCGGACCTGCATCCTCTGTCTGAATAACTCCTGTTTATCCTCTAGTCTCAGCCTAAATGTCGCCTCCTCCTCCCCAGTCACTGTGACTCCCAGCTGGCTCGAGGTTCTCACCCTGTGCCATGCTTCCTTGCATGGCGCCACCCATCTCCAGCTTTGGGCACCCAACCCAAGGCTCGGTGCTTGTGGTTTCTTGGGGCTGGGCAGCCCTGGCTGCCAGCTGGGGCACCTCGGTTCTCCATGTGCCTCCCATCCCCAGAGGCTGGAGGTATTTCCTGCCATGGTGTTCTGAGGGCAGAAGCCTCAGAGAGCCACAGCGAGGTGTCTCCAGGCCCAGCCTCGGGACTCACACCGTCACTTCTCCCACACTCTGTGGTCGGAGGAAGTCACAGGCAGCCCACAGTCGGGTGAGAAGTGGACCCCTTTTGATGAGGACAGTGACAAAGAAGCTGTGGCCGTGTTCATTGTTCCTAGCGTTGATCCTGGCTGTAAGGCATTCCATTTTGCAGCTTCTTTGCATGTTGTTGGTGTCCAACACTGACGTTCCAGCGCCAGAAAGGCAGGGCCCTGGTCCTGTTCACTCTGCTCCCCGGGCAGTGCCTGGCATAGAATGGGCTTTAGATGGGTGTTTGTCGAATGAATGAATGGCTAGAAGACAAGGTCCAGCCCTGCCCTTGAGGAGCTGCTGCCTCCCCAGCAGGGTTCCTGCTCCATACCACACCACCTGAGCCCTGCCTGGATGCATGCCTGTGCCCACAAACCCTGCAGCATTGCACTTGCTCCCAAGGGGCACCCCAGCCCCTTCTCAGGGAGCAGCTGTCAGCGCAGTCCCCTGGCAGATTTGGCTCCGAGGAAGATAGAAGGTGGCGAGCCCAGGTGGTGACTCACTGGACAGAGACAGAGAAATAAAAAGAACAAGAAGCAGGAAGAAGAAGAGGAGTAAAGACTGGGAGATGGAGGAAGAAAGGAAGGGAGGGAGGGGAGGAAGCCTGAGTGTGCGGGGTTTGGTGGGTGAGGCTCTGGGAGAAAGCCCAGCCCGAGAGAGCACGAGGATGGCCAGACCACCCTCCTCTTCCAATCGTGGGTGCAGGAAGGGCTCGGGGCCAGCCGGGCCAACTCTCTAAGTGACACATGCCACATGCTGGGGCTTCTCCATCCCCACTGCCTCCTGGAGCCACAGTATCCAGACACCAGGGGCCTCCAGACAGAAATGTGTCGCTGGGATGCTTCTGTGCTGTGACTCAACAATCCCTGTCCTGGAATCTCAATTCAAGTCACTCCAACAAGTGGGCAAACAGAACTCTGTGCCCTGCAGGGTTAATCACATTATTCATTATTCACAGTCACAGAATTCAGGAATCCACTTCACTGCCTGGCAAGAAGGAGATGGTTATGCCAACATTCCATATTCCATAAACCCTGGGGCCATGAACCACTGATGTTTCAGGGCATGTGGAAAATCCTGTGAGATAATGCAGGCTGACTGCATTTCTGTTTTTTTAATTTGTATGGGCTTACATTGGAATATTTTGCAAAGCAATACACAGCAGTACATATACAAGTCTGTGTATGTAGCTTTATACGTACAGCTATTTTGGGGTCAATGCTACTTTGAGAAGACCAACCTACCTGTGGGTCTAATGAGCCTGTGAAGTCCACACAGGGCCTGGCTACAGGACCTGAGGGTTCACTTCCCCCAGGGCAGCCCCCGTCGGAGCTCTGGCCCCTGTCCCATCATATGTGTCAGCTCTTCCACACTTATTGCTGTTCTCCTTTCTGCATTTTTTGGATATTAGTCAATGTTTATTCAATTTATGCTACATTTTTCATTCCCGAGGGCTCTATCGACAATGGGAAGAAGGTTTAAATGAAAAATACTCCTTCACTATCTCATGAGCTTGATGCTCATCAATGAGCTGCTCAGGACTAGGTTAGGCTGAGGGAGGCAGGAGAGCAGGTGGGGAGTGTGCTGTGCATACAGGGGCTTGTCACTCTTGCATATGAGGAAGAGTGTAGGGAAGGTCCACAGAGTGAGGGACCTAGGTTCACATCTCACCATTGCACCATGAATGACCTCCATTCCCGAGAGTGTGTCAGGGTCCCAAATGGTTGCATGGTGCTCCAGCCATCACATCTGTGCTCCCACCGGCCAGGAGACAAAGGGGAGATCAGGTACACTTCCCTGTGAGAAGTTGCATGCACAACCTCATGCATTTTATTAGCCAAAACTTTGCCAGGCAGACCATATCTAGCTGTAAAATTGGTTGAGAAAATATTTATTTAATTTGGGCAGCTTTGTGCCCAGCTAAAACTTGGGGATACAGGTGTTGGGAGCAATCAGCCATCTCTTTCACAACTATAATGTGTAACAAGGCCATAAATCCGTCAACTTTGAAGGCTCTAAGTATATGGTTCTTTTGTGAATATATTGTTTGAGATAGATTTTATTTCTTAGAGCAGTTGTAGGTTTACAGAAAAATTGAGCAGAAGGTTAAACAGTTCCCTTACCCTCCTCTAGCCCTCTCCCTCACAAACCCACCTTCCCTATTATTGCCACCTTACATTGTATGGTGCATTTGTTATTATTGATGAACCACGATTGATCCATTATTATTAACCAAAGTCCATAGTTCACCTTAGGGTTCATTCTTTCTGCTATGTGTTCTATGGGTTTTGCCAAATGCATAATGATGTGGATCTGCCATTACAATACTGTACAGAATAGTTCCACTGCCCTAAAACCCCCTGTGCAGCCATATTCATCCCTCCCTCCCTCCTGCCAAACACCTGGCAACCACTGGTCCTTTACCGTCTCCATCATTTTGCCTTTTCCAGAAAGTCCTTTGAATGGAATAATACGGTCTGTAACCTTTTCCGACTGGCTTCTTTCACTTAGTGATATGCATTTAAGGTTCCTCCTGGCCCTTTCACGGCCTGACAGCTCATTTCTTTTTAGTGCTGGGTAATATTCCATCGTCTGGAGGTGTCGCAGTTTACTCATCCATTCACCTGCTGAGGGGCATCCTGGTTGCTTCCACGGTTGTGGATAAAGCTGCGATCGACATGCACGTGCAGGTTTTTGTGTGGACAGAAGTTTTCAGCTCATTTGGGTAAACACCAAGGAGTATAATTGCTGAACCATATGGTAAGTGTATGTTTAGTTTTATAGGAAATCACCAAACTGTCTTCCAAAGCAGCTCTACCATTTTGGGTTCCCTCCAGCAATGCATGGGAGTTTCTGGTGTCCTGAACCCTCGCCAGCATTTCGTGGAGTCAGTGTTCTGGGTCTTGGTCATTCTGATAGGTGTGCAGGGGTGTCTCATGGTTTTAGTTTACAACTCCCTGGAGCCATATGCTTACCTGTGTCTATCTGTCTTCTTTTGTGAAGTGTACATTCGAGTCTTTTGCCTGCTTTTTTTCATTTTTTTTTTATTTTACATTAAGTTCAGGCATACATGCTCAGAACGTGCAGGTTTGTTACATGGGTACACACGTGCCATGGTGGTTTGCTGCATCTATCAACCTGTCACCTAGGTTTTAAGCCCCGCACGCATTAGGAGTTTGTCCTAATGCTCTCCCTCCCCTTTCTCCCCACCCCCCGACAGGCCCCGGTATTCCCCTCCTTGTGTCCATGTGTTCTCATTGTTCAACTCCCACTTATGAATGAGAACATGCGGTGTTTGGTTTTCTGTCCCTGTGGTGATTTGCTGAGAATGATAGCTTCCAGCTTCATCCACTTTTTAACTGGGTTGCTTTCCTGTAGTTGAGTTGTAAGGGTTCTTTGTATATTTGGGATACAAGTCCTTTATCAGACATGTGTTTTGCAAACCTTTCTCCCAGTCAGTGGCCTGTCTTTTTGTTCTCTTAACAGTGTCTTCCACAGAGCAGCAGTTTTTAATTTTAATGAAGCCCAACTTACCTTTTTTTTTTTTCTTTCATGAACTGTGCTTTCAGCATTGTGTCTAAAACCTCCTTGCTGAATCCAAGGTCACCTACGTTTTCTCCCATGTTATCTTCTAAAAGTTTTACCATTTTGCATGTTACATTTAGGTCTATGATCCATTTGGTGTTAATTTTTGTGAAAGGTGTAAGGTCAGTGTCTACATTTATATATTTTTTTGCATGTGGATGCCCTTGTGAATATCTTTGCAATCATTAAATGTTAATTACAAGGACGACAGAGGCTGGAAAATATCAGGATGTAATGTTAAGTGGAAGGCAGTAGGCAGAGCACCATCTCTGCCACAGTTTCAGGTGAAGGGGTTTCATCTCGGTCGGTAAAAGGAGCAATGGAGTGGAAGGAGAGAAGGGAGGCAGCTCCATGGGGGGGCAGTTGCCTGCAGAGCCCGGGACCCACACTTGCATCATGGGAGGGGCTGAGGGAGCCACACCCAGGCAGGAGGTGGACTGAGGAGATGCCGGCTAAGTCACTGATGCATGGAGAGGCCCAAACAAAGAGATGGGTGAGGAAGGCCTGGGAAGCCCACAGATGCCCCTGCTCAGGGGAGGGTATTAGGCCATTCTTATGTTGGTATAAAGAAATACCTGAGGCTGGGTCATTTATGTAGAAAAGAGCTTTGATTTGGCTCACAGTTCCGCAAGCTGTGGCATGGCACCGACGTCTGCTCAGTTCCTGGTGAGGCCTCCGGGAGCCTCCAGTCATGACAGAAGGTGACGAGGGAGCAGGCATCTTCTGCCGCCAGAGTGGAAGCAAGAGAGAGCGGGAGGAGGCGCCATGCTCTTCAACCACCAGATCTCTTGTGAACTCAGAGTGACGGCTCAATCATCACCAAGGGGATGGCCAAGCCATGCAGCAGGGTTCCAGCCCCGTGATCCAGTCACCTCCCACCAGGCCCCGCCTCCAACACAGGAGTCACATTTCAACCTGAGACTTAGAGGGGACGAACATCCGACCCACGTCAGGGTAAGCACTCCTCATGTGGGCAGAGCCAGCAGAACCAAAGAAACAGCTAAAAACGGAGGTGCTTGCAGGAGGCCGGGCCAGGGAACACAGACTCTCTCCCTAACAGCTCTAGCCAGGCTGCACTGAGCCTGCTATTTACCTAGGCTCACCCTGGGCTCCTGCCTTTATGCTGGCAGAGTTCAAAGTTAGCAAGAACCCTAAGTTAGTTTAGCCAGAAGCCCCAGTTTCGATGTCTGAGCACCCTCAATGCCTGACCGGATTCCTCATCCCCTACCTTCCTCTGGGTGATGTCGGTCACCCTGGCCTGCCTCTAGCCAGAATCCAGCCTGGTCAGCTTAGACAGAGTGACCCACCCTCTTAGCCATCTTCCATCCACCAATTCCACCTGGAGCCTTGCTTCTGAATCCCCACATTTCCTTGTGTTTGAAATGGAGCACAATCTTTCTCCCCTGTTGCAAAACCTCATTGCAGGGGCCCCTGTGAGTAGAGACTGCTTTACCGTCTGGAATAAGCCTCAGAAGAATTTTATTCTTAACATGGGAAGTGGACCAGAGGGCAGAGCCCCCAGGGCTCTTCTCCTCAGCTGGCAGCCCATAGTCCCACTCTCAGCTCCAGAGGCACAGGCTCCCCACTGCCGGGCCAGGAATGGGAACAGCAGGGGCTCCGGAGTGGGCAGGGGGCCCTCGGGCAGGAGGTGCACAGAGGGCATGGGTTGGCCACCCCGGGCCTGGCAATGGCCACCTGCTCCCTGCACATGATGGCCTCACAGGGCATCCTCATGTTCATCATGCTATAAACGATGCCCTAAGGATCTGAACCGGGGGTGGAACTGACATCTCTGGACCTCCAAGCTCAGGTGTATCTCAAAACTGTCGAGACAGGATGGCTGAGGCCCTAGAACCCTAAGGCGCAACACTATCTATCCAGCCCAAGCTGTGGCCCCAAACTCCTACTTGAAAACCCTGGCCCTGTTCATGTGGGTCAGACCATGTTGGGCAGGAGGACTTGGTTTCTGAGGACCCAGCTGTCCAGAGTGGCCCAGACCCAAAGCCAAAAGGATGCCTCTCCCACCTCTCCCTTGGGCCCTGCCTCCTCCCCAACTCTGGAGTGTGTGGCCAGATGCCAGCCAGATGAGGTCCCGCATTTCTGGACAGTCCTTTGATCCCCTTTTCCTTCCACCACGAGGCGGCCTTTGTCACTGGGTCCCAGGACAAAGCCTCGGGGCAGCCTGGATGGTGTTCTGACCCCAATCCCCCCAGGGGGCTCCTAGTCAAGGGTCTTCCCTGCATGGAACCCCCAAAGCCAGTAAGAAATAGAAGCTTCCTGAACATTGCTAACGTCCTGAATATCCAGCATCCACGAAACCCAAGCGAACTAGTTAAAAATAAAAACGTGGTGATGATCATTTGCTGTGGGTTTAATCCAATTTGAGGATTTACTTAAAATAAAACCTTGGGGAATGAAAACAGAAGTCAGTAGCACACCTCCAGGGCTAGTAGGGAGCACATTTGCCCAGCACCTGAGTCCTTGCCAGGTGCCAGACCCTGTTCCTGACAGCTGTGCTGGGCGTGCGCACACAAGCCCCGGGCGGAGGCCAGGGCTGCACTTAGCGCATATGAGATGCTACGTGGGACTGGAAATGCCTCCTGCGCTCCCTTGAGTTACATGAAACTACTGAGAAGTTCTTGATCTGGGGGCCATTAGAGGAACCTGGCCCACCTTGTCTGGAACACAGAGGGAAGGCTGGTTACGGGGAAAATCCAGAGGCGGCAACTTCGTGCTCTCAACAGACAGCATGAGTCACCATGAGAAGGGGAAAGGGGACTTGGCTTCCAGACACACACCAAGGACTTCAATGTGGACAGTGGCAAGGTGCTGTCCCTGACCCTCCACCCGTCGCCCACTCAACCTGGCACCCCAGGGCTGTACCGGCCGAGTCATCACCAAGGCCCACCTCTCGCCTGGTCCAGGACTCCCTTGGAGATGAGGGCAGACAAGTGGATGGCACCCTCTGCTCCAAGGCTCCGGGGCCTCATGAAGCAGCCGTTCCTATTGAACAGCTCCAGCAGCTGCAGTGTTCCTTCCTGTATTCCTCAGAACCTGTTGTCCTGAAGCTCCGTCTGTCACCACTGTGTCTATTCCCTTCAGTCAGTCACACAGAACAAATCTATTCCCTTGTCCTCGGAAAAGGGGTCAGGTCCTTGGATGTTTGAAAATAGCTGCCCTGTCCTCTCTGACCCCTCCCCCGCCACCGCCGCAACCTAAGGCGAGGAGCTGCCACTTACAAGGCACCTACTGTTTGTCGAGGGTTTTATTTAGGTCAGGACGCGGTTATTCCCATTTAGAGATGAAGAAACTGGGGTTCGGCGAGGTTAACTGCTTGCCCAGGGTCACACAGGGAACAGGAGACGCTGGATGTAAACTCAGCCCCGTCTGGTTCTGAAGGCTGCCTTCTCCCCGGCCCTGCAGAGCGCCAGCCTCTCTTCTATAAGCTGGATGCCCCCGGCCCAACACCCCACAGAGAAAAGGCCTCCAATGCCTCCCCTGCCATCAGCGCTTCTCTGCAAAAGAGCATCCTGAATGCCCACGCCAGCCACAGAGGCGCCCCTCCCACCCTCTGGCAGGTGGGCTCCTCTCACCTTCCTTTTCTGTATCGATTGGTATGTATTCAGGTCAGGTAGCAGAATGCCTGGCCAGCAGTGTCCTGAAGAGACAAAGCTATCTGGGACCTCAGGGTAGGTGGTCGGGGCTGGGCAGTGACTCACGACGGCCATTAAGAAACCAAGCTCTTTTTGTCTCTGTCCTACCGTCTACAGCAAGTGTGCCTGTTGCCTTGAGTTTGCAAGATAGCTGATCCTCTTCCAGTCATGACATCCTTCAGGAAGAAGGGGAATGACACAGGCTTCCTCTGAAGGCTGCTCTGTCTTCTGACTCCACAAAGGAAGCACTGCCCAGCACATCTCCTCCTGCATCTCAGCCAAAACTAGGCCATGCGCCCTCCAAAGACCAATCTCTCTCCAGGAGCAATGAAACGCATGTAGCTGTCTTTGATCCGCACGCCTCCTCCCCTGGTGGGGGTGGGCCATGTCCCACCTGGATCTCACATCCCTAACTGCAACCTAAAGACAAGAACTCCATCAGCTGGGGGCGAGGGTAGGGTGCTGTGTGCAATGGGCTGACTACTAAGGAGGCCATGGAGGGCGGCAGCTTCACCCTCCAAAGTTTAATCACCCTGAAGTGCCAATACCTGAAAATATTTTTGGAAGCATTTTATTCTAAGAGGGATCAGAAATTTTAGCAAGAAAGAGTAACGATATAATATTGGAATTCCAGGCACTATCTGCCAGTAGGTCATAGTGATAGATAACAAGGTAGGTGGTGAGAGGTTACCAAAAGGGAGTCCAACAAATACGGATGAATGAAGGGAAGGGAGGAGGCATGGTGATAGGTGGGTGAGTGTGTAGAAGGGAGGATGGTGGATGGATGCATGGATGGATGGAAGCTGGATGGATAGATAGCTGGATGGATGAATGGAGGAATGGATGGATGAATGGAAGGATGGATGGATGATGAATGAATGGATAGATGGATAATGAATGATGGATGGATAGATGATGGATGGTTGGATGGATGGATGGATGATGAATGAATGGATAGATAGATGATGGATGGATGAATGGTTGAATGGATGATAGATTGATGAATGATAATGGATGGAGGAATGATGGATATATGATGATGGATGGATGGATGATGAATGAATGGATAGATGCATAATGAATGATGGATGAGTAGATGATGGATGGATGGATGGATGGATAGATGATGAATGAATGGATAGATAGATGATGGATAGATGATGGATGGATGAATGGTTGAATGGATGACAGATTGATGAATGATAATGGATGGAGTAATGACAGATGTATGATGATGGATGGATGATGAATGAATGGATAGATGGATAATGAATGACGGGTGGATAGATGATAGATGGATGGATGAATGGATGGATGACAAATGAATGGATAGATGGATGATAGATGGATGAAAGAGTGAATGGATGATAGATGGACAAATGATAATGGATGGAGGAGTGACAGATGTATCATGATGGATGGATGGATGGATGATGAATAACTGGATAGATGGATAATGAATGATGGATGGATAGATGATGGATGGATGGATGGATGGATGGATGATGAACGAATGGATAGATGGATGATGGATGGATGAATGGGTGAATGGATGATTGATGGATGAATGATAATGGATGGAGGAATGACGGATGTATGATGATGGAGGTATGTATGAACAGGAATGGATGAATGCATGCAGGAAGGCAAACTGTTTCAGCGGACACCTTTGGAAGATGCTTTCTGGTTTTTGAATTCCTACAAAATTTGCTTTGATAACCACCCAAGCAGAGTGCTTGCTGTCTTTTAAACTCTCCTCGGCTTATCTGAGCTGTAAGCGAGGCACAGCTCCAAGAGCAGAACAAAAGCTGGCAAGCACTGGTCCCCATTGTCATGCGGAACCAGTTGGGTGGACAGCAGTACTCTCTGGAGTGGCCTTTTCTTCCCGCTGCACTTGCCTTTGACTGGACGGATGAGGTGTTTTCACTTATAACAGAGTTTAGTCAACCCTCTCATACCATCCTCCTTGGCAAGCACCTGACAACATGGCTCAGAGAGAACCCCTGGAGAAGCAGGTCACGTCTGAAGGATGGTACTCTGTGTGTTCTAGGAAAAAGCCACACCTGCCTGGGGGTGGGGGTCCCCAGCCTGAAGAGAACCTCCTTGGGCACCCTGTGCTCCCCAGGGCAGGGGTGTCTCCACCCTGGCTTAGCATTCTTTGCTTGCATCAAAGAATCTGGCATGGATGTGGGGGGGAATCTCTGCTCACCACAGCTGCAGGCATTTGGAAAAGTCAAGGAACAGAATGATGAGGAACGGTGAGCACAGGTGGGCTTCAAGGCCAGCACAAAGAGGTTCCAAGTTTCTTGCAGCTCTCATGCAGAGGGAACAGGCCCCTTTCCTTAAAAAAGGGCCAATGTGTCCATTGGCCCACAAAGCCAGGAGCTGTGTGAGGAGGGTGGCAGCTGGGCTGAACTGGGCCCACCTGCCCCAGGTCGGGGGATCCAATGGGGTCAGCACAGGGGGCTCCTAGCCCTCTGTGTGCTCACAGGGAAACAAGAACCCAGAACTCTGCCATTTAGGAGCAGGTCTATTTATGGGCCATTTGTGCTGCTGTGGTTTTCCTTTCTAATTTTCCCTCAGATCTGAGCAACGTTCCTTTGGAAAATTCCAGTGCAGCTCAGCTGTACTGAGAACACGGGAAGGATCAGAGGCAAACGTTGAAACAGTACCTGGTACTCAGAGCGCTGTGTTCTGGGGAGAGGCGGTGGGAAAGGGGGCTTCCCTTGAACGAAGTGAAACCTGATCACCCCAGGGAAGGCAGGAGTAGGCTCTTCATTAGCCCCTTTTCCTGGGGTTCTTTGAGCTTAAACTTCATAGAGCTCGGTGGACAGTTTGCGAATGTGGCTTTGTGTTTAGCAAGGGAGGCTGCATCCTAGAGGCTGATAGGAGCCACCCTAGGCCACCGCTGGTCAGAGTGCAGCCAGGTCCCCTCCTTATGTCACCTGAACAGGCTCCCTAGCCTCTGTGAGCCGCTGTCCCTATCTGTGAAATGAACACGCAGAGGCCAACTCTGCAGAGAGCAGGAGGGGACCAGATACCACATGGAAGGCCAGCGCCATGTGGGCGTCCACTGATGGGTGGCCAGGATATCGTCCTAATGCAAAGTAAGGAACCAGAGGCTTTGAGAGATGACACACTTTGCCCTGGCTCATGTATGCACACTCACATTCACACACACCACACACACGCATGTGTAATTGCTCACACACAGGGCAGGTTAGTGACAGAGCTGGAACTCACAGTCTTCTCCACCCTACCCCCCCATCACAGACTGAAGTTGTCATGAACACTCAGGGTGGAAAATCCCAGAATATCAACAAAATAAGAAGAGTATAGCCTCCAACTCCAGTTCCAAGGGCAGGGCAGAAGAGAAGGCTCTGGAATCACTGTAGGTCCGAGAAGGGGATTTGCCTCCCCAGTGCAGGGTCAGTGAGATGAGCAGGGCCACACATGTCCCAGCTGAGGGAAGTACGAGAGAGTGCTGAGTGAAAACGGACCATTCCCTCACAGCACTGGATATGAGAAAATTCAACATTTCTAATAAAAGACAGACCAAAACATCTCGGCTCAGGATAAAGTGAAAGAAGCTACTTGTTGATGCATTGTGTAATAATGAATCTGGCCAGTCTCTGTCCACCACACCTCTCACCCATTCCTGCGAGGTAACCTCTACATTCTTAATATTTCTTAATTGATAGAAGTGTCTTTGTTACTCATAGTGTGTCCTTGGACAACAGCTGAGTCCATGCCAAGAAAGTGACTAAGGGAGACCCCCTAGAAAACCTGTGCTCAGGAGATGGCACCTGATGGGGCTGGTCCTACCAGAAAGAGCACCCATGCAATAGGACAGGTGTGGAGGGGGGAACTGCTTTGAGCCATGGCATATCAGCTGGTCTTTCACCTCCAGGAAGGGGATGGGGCTGGAGGTTGAGTTCCACTTCCGGGCTGTTGATTCAGTCAGTCATGCCCGTGGAATGGAACCCCAATGAAAACTCTAGACACGGAAGCTCTGGTGAACATCCTGATGGGCAGTTCCCTGTGAATGGTCACACACCTATGTGCCGGGAGGGCAACCGGTCCCTGGGGCTGACGGAAGCTCCCAGGCCTTGTTGTAGGTAGCTCTCTCTGTAGCTGGCTATTATTTGTCTCTTTATGCTATAATAAAACAGTCATTATAACTATAGCACTTTCCTGAGTTTTGTGAATTGTTTTAGTGATTTATTGAAACTGAAGAAGTTCCTGGGGACCCCCGACTTTGTAGCCAGCTGGTCAGAAGTGACAGTGACCTGGGGACCCTGAATTTGCAGCTGGGGTCTGAGGCGATGTCTCCTTGAGGAGGACAGTCCCCTTACCCAATGGAGTGTGGCTGACTCCAGGTAGTGTGTGTTCAAAGTCATTGCACAAACAAACAACACTAAACAATGTTGGAATGTTAAAATTAAAGTATCACCCAAGAGCTATTGGACAAAAGCAAACTAAAAACAGACTTGACAATGTTAATTTCTAACATTGTGTATTTCAATATAAATGGAATTAAATGGAATAAAATGCCAATGTATGTTGTTAATATCTTAATTCTACAATGAAGATAAAGTAGAATCCCACGTGCGCTGACCAAGGTAACATGAAAATACAAGTCCAAAACGCCTGGAAATATATGAAGAAAACGAAAGAAACACATTGGATGCTTAATAAACGATTTTTGGATACCTCACAATCTTATGGGTATAGAAATAAGAACAGTGACAAAGCTTAAAACAATTGAAATAATTCAATTACTAAATAAAATAATACCAGAAAGAGAGAAAGTCTTTATCATTTTCAGTAATTCATAAACATTACACTCTATCTGCATCTATGCTACACAAATCTCCACAAATTTTCAAAAGCAAAATTGCGCAGAACACATTCTCTCACTGAAACCTGGATTTATAATAGGAGCAAACGGATATACACACAGATATACACACAGCCTGTGGATCAAGAGATGGGGTATAGGGGCTGCACTGTACCTAGAGGGACCAATTCTTTGTCTTTTCATGAGGAAAAAAAAAGAAGAAAAGAAAGAAAGAGAAGGAGGGAGGAAAGGGAGGAAAAGAGGGAGGAAGGAAAGAAGGAAGGAAGGAAGGAAGAAAGGAAGGGAAGGAGGGAGGGAGGGAGGGAGGGAGGGAGGGAGGGAAGGAAGGAGGGAAGGAAGGAAGGAGGGAGGGAGGGAGGGAGGGAAGGAAGGAGGGAAGGAAGGAAAGGAAGGAGGGAAGGAAGGAAGGGTAGAGGTAATGAAGGAGAGGACCACATCAGAGTTGTGTGGGAGGGTTGGGCGTTGTCCGCAGAGGAGGGGACATTGTGAGTGGTGAAGTCCCAGCCTCCAGCCCTGGGCAAGGCCAGTCCCCGTGGGCATGGGTCTGCTGGACAGTGTCCAGGAGGCAGCAGGGCAGGCACGGTGTTAGTGGGGATTGAAAACCTGGCCAGAGTGCCTGGGAGTGAGACTGCAGCCCCTTTGCTCCCCAGCTGGGACCTTGGGTGCATTGCTTGGCCTCTCTTGGCCTGTTTTTTCATCTGTGAAATGGAAGTAGAGATACTCTCTACCCCTGAGCATTACTGTGAGGATTAGCTGAGTTATGACATGTGAAAGGTTTAGAACAGGCTCAGCGCACTGGAAGTGCTGTGGTGCGTCGGCCATTATTATTTGGGGGACGGGCAAGACATATGCCCCTCCCAAGATCATCATTGCATCTGTCAAGCCCACAGGTATGATCCCCAGACTCCTAAGCAACCTTCCAATGATGATCAACTCCCACGTAGGTTGGGAATGAGAGAAGGTTCATGCAGACTCAGTCTCCAAGGCCTGGAACCTTCCAATGATGATCAACTCCCGCGTAGGTTGGGAATGAGAGAAGGTTCATGCAGACTCAGTCTCCAAGGCCTGGGAAGCTCTCTGCCCAGATCTTCTCCTGCCTGGATCTGTTGCTCACTGTGGGTGCGGTTCGGCAGCGCCCCGGAGCATGGCCTTGGGGGTCCCTCAGTCTGGCAGAAGCCACACCCATGCTCTTCCCCTGGTTCCTCACACGCAGGACCTAGGCAGCTCTTTATCTTGTTGGGGATGTAGCCTTTCTACCCCGTGGCACAGAGCCCCAGCATGGGCCTTCTCTCTCTGAAACACTGTGTTGGCCATCACAGAGGAAGGCCTCTGTGCATTTTTGTTGGATTAATTGAATACATGAACAAAACCCAGCTTCCTTGCCATTGCAATGCAATTCCTACAGCTTGTATGGAAAGCTGGGCACCCATCCTGGGCCATCCTGGTTCCCAGGAAAATGATGACCTTTATTTTGAATGCAGGGGTTGCGGTTTTGATTTATGCCTCATTCCCCGGGTCTGTCTATGACCTTGCGGGCAGTACAGGGCACAGTTGGCTTTGGAGCCTAAGCCTCTGAGGACTGGAGCCAGTGCCACGGTTTTCAGGGCATCTTCTGGGCTCCAGGAGCTCCCTGGCCTCGAGTTAGCAGCAGCCAGGCTCTGACAGTCCCTGTAAAGCCTTGGCCAGCCCTGCAGACTCACTGCAGGGGCCGGCGGCAGCTGCTCCTTCTCAGCCTGCAGCGGCTCCCCCTGTGCAGCTCCATGGCCAAGGTGGCCACTGCACCGTCCAGGTTGAGGCCGGGGGAGGGAGACTCAGGTCCCATCAGGTCTGCTCTTGCTCTCCCCATTTTAGATCCAGATTTCCTTTCTCCCAGGACCCCGCTGACCCCAGCATCTGTGGGCCCAGCAGCAGCCTTCCTTGGGTGCCTGAGTCCAACCCTGCTGCTAGGACAGGGCACTGGGCAGCTCAGGAACAACAGACATGGACTTCTCAGGGTTCTGAAGGCTGGAAGCTCAAGATCCAGGCCTCAGCAGATTCGGCACCCAGGGAAGGGCTTCCTGGTTCACAGCTGGTACCTTCTCACTGTCCTCACATGGAGGAAGGAGGAGGGTCTCTCTGAGGTCTATTTTTTTTTTTTTTTTGATTTGGAGTCTCAATCTGTCACCCAGGCTGGAGTGCAGTGACACGATCTCACCTCACTGCAACCTCTGCCTCCTGGGTTCAAGTGATTCTCCTGCCTCAGCCCCTTGAGTAGCTGGGACTACAGACATGTGCCACCACACCCAGGTAATTTTTTGTATTTTTAGTGGAGATGGGGTTTTGCCATGTTGGCCGGGCTGGTCTCAAACTCCTGACCTCAAGTGATCCACCCTCCTTGGCCTCCCAAAGTGCTGGGATTACAGGTGTGAGCCACCTTGTCCAGCCTCTGGGGTCTATTTTATTAGGGCACTAATCCCATTCATGAGGGCCCTGTTCTTATGACCTAATCATCTCCCAAAGGCCCCACCTCCAAATACCATCCAGCCCACTGGGGCTTGAGTTTTCCATCTCCCCAGCTCCCCCTGTCTTCCACCTAAAATCCCTAATTCTATTAAACACCTTGGACTTTTGTGGGGCCCTTCCCAAATCCAGCATCGCCCTCCCGTCCTAAGAGCACACAGGTTCCCCTTGGGGAGCACCTTCTCCACTGTGAAGCCACCATGTGCCACCAAGGGGCCAGCCCCAGCCCCGTATCCCCGAGGAGTTCTGATCAATTTGGCCAAAGGCGCTAATCCCATCACAGGGGCCACGGAGTGTCATTCCATCCTCAGGAGCACGAGTGCTCAGGCCTGGGGTAGGAGTGGGAGAGTGCCTTCCCCTGGAAGATGCTGTGCAGAGGTCCCTTGGGCCAGGCTCCAGCTGTAGGGGAGCCAGGTGGGGGTCAGAGCTGACCTTCAAGGGAGAGCAGAGCCCAGCTAGAGAGCTGAGCACACCAGGAAGGACACGGCCGCCTCCGGCCTTTTCAGCGGCACGGGCCATGCCGCTTCTATTGGTCAGCTCTGTCTGGGGCTTGTTTTGTCCCTCGCCACAGCGAGCATTCTAATGAAGTTAGATCAAGGCCAGAAAAAACGAAATATTCAAAAAAGCAATGAGAAACATACACTAATAAGAAACATATGGTTCTTAACTGAAAGAAAGAATAAATCTTCATTGAAAGGAATAAAAGATAATTTGAATAAATGGAGCACAGTACTTTTTGCTGAATAAAAAGAAAATATTGAATATTGTTTTTGCTAAATTAATTTGCTATTTAATTTAATTCCAATCAAGATTTTCATGAAGATTGTTCTTAAAATGTGGTAAAAATCATCCCTAAGTTTATCTGGGGGTAGAAAAGCATATAATAATATTTTAATATGTAAGTGAAGGATAATAAGGGGAATCTGTCCTACCAGATACCAAACCGTATCCCAAAACTATAGAAATAAAGCTACTAATGCCAGGACAGGAAAACATTCCTGGAACAGGACCGATATCCCTAAGAGGTCCTTTGCTCAGCAAGGGATTGAAATTATAAAACGGCCAGGCGCAGTGGCTCACGCCTGTAATTCCAGCACTTTGGGAGGCCAAGGAGGGCAGACAATCTAGGTCAGGAGTTCAAGACCATCCTGGCCAACATGGTGAAACCCCGTCTCTACTAAAAATACAAAAATTAGCTGGGTGTGGTGGTGGGTACCTGTAATCCCAGCTACTCAGGAGGCTGAGGCGGGAGAATCACTTGAACCGGGGAGATGAAGGTTGCAGTGAGCCAAGATCGAGCCACTGCACTCCAGCCTGAGCGACAAGAGCAAAACTCCATCTCAAAAAAAAAAAAAAAAGAAAGAAAAGAAAAGAAAAAAAAAGAAAAAGGGATGAAAGACAACAAGGGAGGGGTGGATTATTCCACAAAAGGGATTGGGAACATGGGCCTTCACAGTAAGATTCAGTTAGATCCTGACTCACACCACATGCAAAGGTACCTTCCAAATCCATTAAAGAGTTCAAGGCCTAACACTCATCAACAATGCACCACACACAGGTGAGCATTTAGCCAGGCCTAAGACGAGGAAGTCAGCAATGGCAGGAGTCAGGCGGGGAGCACCTCCCTCCCGCACAGGACTAGAGTCAGGACAGAGGGTCCCTGAGCACTGGGACATGTCCGTCCTGGCATGTGGCGTCAGTTAGGGTCTTTCTCTTTAAATGTTTTTTTTTGTTGTTTTTTTTTGTTTGTTTGTTTTTAATAAAAGGCCATTTCCTCTGCCATTTCCGACGTACCCTGCGTAGTTGGTGCATGACACCCTCAGCCAGCTGGACTTGCCCCACCCCAGATGTGTTGGGAGCTTCTCAGACAACGCTGCCTGCGGCTGTCCTTGGCTCCATGTGGGACGTCTTGTAGGATCTACAGAATCTGGGAACATGGGCTTGGGATACAACTGGGGAGACTGGTGGAGGTCTCTTCCTCTATCATCCCTTCTCCTGGAGTCATGTGATGTTAGATTTTGGAAAGGGGCAGATTTGAGTTTCACTTTAGACTTTCAACATTACAAAAGGGGAAAAAAATGCTCCCAACCCCCAAAAAAAAGGAGAGAGAGAAAGAAAATGTCAAATCTGCAAATGTGCCGCATTCTAAATTATCCAAGCACTTGCTCTAATTAGTATTCCAAGCTAGACAAGAGCAGAAAGTCAAAATCTCCATTTAAATGAAAATCTCCCCAGCCCCTGGCTGGGGCTTCCGTCTGCACCAGGGGGTTCCTGGTGCCTCCAGGGACTTAGAATTCAAGGCCCCAGGTGAGCCTCGCGGCCGGTCTCCCTCTGCCTCTTGGGAAGGTGGAGGGTGGAAGCCTCAGGGTGGGCTTGCTTTCTTTGCTAGCTTAGGTGCTCGGGTGGGAAGGGCACCAGGTTGTTCAGGCCACGTGGCTGAGATCATGCCTGCACGTTGGTAACTGTGGAATTGATTTTGAATGCAGAGAGTTTGGCATTCATTGAGGATTAGCCAATTGATTGCCATTCGTGTGCAGAAAAGGTTATCTCTTTCTAGGGACTCTGGGGCCCTGTGTGTTTACTCTCCCTCTCCATAGGAACGCTGACTATGGACAGTCCCTGAGACACACCCATCCTCCCCAGAGCTGTTGCCCTGGAGCCTCTGCAAACTTTGCTGATCGTTTACATTGTACTTAAGGCCATGGTGGGTGGTGCTGGAGTTTGGTCTACAGCGGCTCACAGACTGCCCAGGCTCATAGATGCCAATGCAGAAGTGCGTCAAAAGCAGCCCGAAGGAATAATTGGTTTGGTAAACATTTGAGCCACACTATCTGGCCCCGGGAGGCTCGAGCTCCAGCCCCACCCACGGAGCCTCCACCTCCGCACAGCCTGGAATCCCTCCAGGACCCACTCAAGGCCTCCTCCTGGAAGAGCCTCCAAATCCAGAGGACGTTCCCTCCTTGCAGGGAACTTGGCAGGGAGGTCCCTGTGGGGCACCTGCTGAGCGAAGTTCACCTCGTTTCTGTTGTCATCTTCCTCCCCCTCCGTGAGTGACAGATGAATGACAAGAGTAGCAATGACAATAGCTGCCCCCACTGCAGGCTTCCTATACGGAGGCCCTGCCTGTGTGATCTCCAGTCTTTCCAGCTTCTCAGCAAGTGGGCTTCAGGACCCCCATTTTCCAAAAGGAAAAGCAAAACAGCCCTGGCCTTCAGAGCAGCTGAATGAGGAACTTGTCCAGGGTCATGCAGCTCAGCCCAGAAGGTGTCAGAGATCAGATTACAAAACCCTGGAATTTCTGCTACATCCCAGAACTTCCAAAGCCAGTCTTAGATTTCCTGGAACAGGGAAAACTGTAATAAATATCTGCAATGTAGCCTTTTGCGTGCATGTCGGTCTTGCCCAGGGTGAGTTGCGGTTCACTGAGTGATGGTCCCACGTCGGGGTACCATGACCTGTACTGAGCATCTGCCAGTCACTTCATCCTCAGGCAGGGATGAGAAAGAAAACTCCTGCCTTAGGAATGCAGAAACTGACTTGCAGCAAGATTCAGTATCTTCCCCAGATGTCACACCCAGTCCTTCCAGAGCCAGCCTCCAGTCTGCCCAAGCCTCTACCTGGGCTCCCAGGGGCTGGGTGTCCACACTAGAACAACACAAGCTACACGGGGTGTCGGGTCTTAGAGCCTGAGCAAGAGCCTGGGGTTCCATCTCCTCCATGGAACGTCCCCCCTTTTAGCTACACTGAGCAATATCAGATATGGGAAGATATTGGATATTGGGTATACTTTTTTCTTTTCTTTTGTTAATTGGCAAGGCTCACACATTTTTCTACTATCCAACTTACCTTTCCTGTATCTCTCCCCAGACTCAGTCTCATTTTACCTGCACAGACGCTTCTTCTTTTGCCCAGGCCCCATCTCACATGTCGTAACCTCTCACTCACTCATTCATCTGCTCATTCATTCCTTCAGCCAGCATGTGTGGGCCACCGCCGAGCACCAGGCTGTTAGCTCCTGATGAAGGGCACTGAGATCAGACTGAACATCAAACTGCAGGGCAGCTGCGGCCCAGGCTTGAAGGCGTCCCTGCCTGGGCATGCACAATGCACTTGGGATCTAAACTCAGCTTTCTTTGGAAAAGCTGGGAGCAAAGACAGCAAGTTCACAAAATTCTGACTGGCTGCCGCCTCTTTTTCCATCAGCCACTGTTATTTCCCCTGCAGGACCCTGGTCCTCAAGCCCACCTGGCCACACAGGGACCCCACTCCTCTTTCTGGAGAGTCTGAGGGTGGACCCAGATCAAGGCTTTTCTATGCGTTGTTGGAGGATCCTTAGGTATCATCCTAAATGCTTCCTGACCACTACGCCCACATCCGGGAACAAATCACTGCTAATCATTTGTTTCCACAAGAGAAGAGAGTCCATCTTTAAGTTTTTTTCCAAGGCTGGAAGCAGGGCTATTTGTGATATAAATAGGAAGTTCTGGGCCTGCAGCAGGGCTGAGTTTGAACTGCTCTGATAGGAAACAAAAATCCATTTGGTTAAATATGTTTTCCAGGTCCCCGGCGCCTCCGCCTGAAGAAACGGATTAAGAGACAAGACGCTCTTTAGCTCATCTAGAAATTCTCCAAAATATGGCCATTTACTAACAAATGTAGGATTTGGGGTTCTACAGGGCCTACAAGGGAGGGTCTCACCTAAGATGCCAGCGTTATGTTTCACTGATGCAACCCTTGGCTCATTATATTTGGAGGGCTTTCGATGCAGGAGAGGCCTCCCACCTGGCCCCTCTGTTTTGCACCCATCCAGGCTGCCGTTGGCCATCCTGAAGTCCCAGAACAGCGGGATCAGCCTCCCGGGTCCCAGAAGCCAAGTGGTGTTGGTGAAGAGCAGCTCTCCAAAGCACACACTCGAAAGAGGAGCTGGTAAAAGACTGGGGGTCCCTTGTGAAGGCCTCCGCATTCCAGCGTTTAGCATAAAGTCAGTGGCAGCAGCACAGCACTCTGCCTTGAGGATGTAGTGGGGCAGCTTGGCTCTCTTGCCACTTAACTGGAAAGGCCTCCGCCCACTGTGGCTTTGGCCCTCTATGTACCTATTAGATCCTACAGGAAGACTTCCACTGGCCTTCCAGCCTTGGAGGGCACTGACTGCATGGAATACCAAATGGAGACAAATCTGGAAGGAAGGAAAATAAGGCCGGAATCCAACAGACTCAGAGAAGAAGGGGCCCAAGCCCCCGGGAAGTACCACAGATCCAGGACGCTCCATAGACCCGGTGTTCACCGCTCCTGGCCTGCGTGTCCCATGGGCTCTGTGGTGTGACGGGAGAGGCACAGCCCACCCTTGGAGATGGAAACATTTCTCCTACTGACAAGGAGTCTGAGAACCAGGCCGCATCTGTAATTGGAAGGAAAGGGACCTCGCCACGAACTGCTTCCCCCAGGAAGAACAGAAGTGTCAGATTCTGGATATGCATACTGTTTTTTATTTCTACACATTAATTTCAATTGTTTTGAAATAATACACTTTAGTGCCAAATGCTTTAAAAGTACTTATCAGAATTGATGTAACTATGAAGTTGTCATTGTATGTGTCAGTCCCACTGAACAAAAGCATCTCTCTATTTAAACATGGCTGGCATCCAGAAAGCAAGGTGTAAGAGGAGCTCTCACTCCTCAAAGGCAGTGCTCCCTACTGAGGTGCTCTTGAGGGGCTTCCAAGGTGAGAGGAAGGGGCGTCCAGGCCTGGATGTCCCAAGCAGGGGAAGACAGCAAGAAGGAGGGCAGACTTTGGGAGCAGAAAACGGGATTCTTCTGATGCAGTCCTGTCTGCTCTAGAGCAGCTCAACTTCTGGAAGAATCCAATGCCAAGGCCAAGGGGAGCTTTGGGTTCAGAGAGGGGCCAAGCAGCCTCTGAGGGCCCACAGACTCAGGACACCACAAGCCACATTGCAGTACATTTTATTTATTTATTTACTTATTTATTTATGAGCTGAGGGATGTTGTCTTGGGTGTAACTCTTGAGGCCAGGACACCAGGGCATGCACCTGCTCACCAAATGCTCTCTCTCGGACAGCTCCTTCTGGGAACCCAGCCACGGGGCTGGGAAGAGCCCAGGCCACAGGAAGGGGACCTGGAAGTGCTCTGGTCCGCAGTCACAACTGGCTCTGGACTTCTTGGCCCCCAGCACCCCCTCCACCCATCACATCCTACCAGCAGAGGTCCCAACATCAGGAAGCGGAGGCCATGATGTAAAGTGCAGACCTGCAAAATCCAGACACTAATAATAGACAGTGGTGCTTGTTTCATCCCAGTATATTTGCATTGGCTTGTGACATCGAGGTAGGTAACAGGCACGCCACCCGTGGATCCGCCAGGTCTCCTCTCCTGCCTCCCCTCTTCTCTGCCTTGTTCCTGGGGCTCTGGTGGGAGTCAGGAGTGGGTCACGCACATGATGCTGAGGAGGCTGCCTCCACGCTTCCCAGCATCCCCTGCTGGGCCCCCCGGGTGGGCATTTGTGATCCCCCACCTGATCTCCTTCTTCCAGGCTTCCTCCTTCCAATCCCCTTCCCCACTTCAATGATCAAAGTGATATCACTGCTATCATCGTCACTTTTCTAACACTTCACAATGTAAGAAGTACTTTCAAATGTAATAATTCATTAAATAAAGCAAACTTTAGGAGAGAGAATCTTGTTCAATTTTTATAGAAACACCATGGCTCAAAAAGGCAACATGACTTGATGAAAGTCACTTAGTATTCAAAAAATAGATAACAAATCTGGCCCCTAGCTCTGGGCTATTTTCTCCACACCATTGCCCAGTGCTCACTGCATTCATTCCAGATCTTTACCATGGCATTCAGGCACCCACAGAGTCTGTCCCAAATAAACTTGCATCTCTGTTTCTCTCATAGATCAAGTTCCTTCTGGGAATCAGCAAGGCCACAAACAGAAAGAGAACATGAGAACCAGGTCTGTGTTTTGCCTCTGGGAAAAGCATACCATGTGTTCATCTTGTTTCCTCTTTTGTTTGGTGACCAGGGAGGCCAGCACAGCCCCAGAGGCAGCTCCATCTTTTTTTTTTTTTTTTTGAGACAGAGTCTTGCTCTGTCACCCAGGCTGGAGTGCAGTGGCGCCATCTCGACTCACTGCAAGCTCCACCTCCCAGGTTCACGCCATTCTCCTGCCTCAGCCTCCTGAGTAGCTGGAACTACAGGCACCCACTACCATGCCCGGCTAATTTTTTTTTTTTTAATTTTTAGTAGAGACAGGGTTTCACTGTGTTAGCTAGGATGGTCTTGATCTCCTGACTTCGTGATCCGCCCGCCTAAGCCTCCCAAAGTGCTGGGATTACAGGCGTGAGCCACCGCGCCTGGCCAAATGCAGCTCCATCTTAGTAACCATGCAGGACTCCAGGCTTTGCTGCCTGAACTTCACTTTCCCTGTGCTTTGATTTTTTGTTCTTTCAATATTATATTTCCCTATCCCAGCATTGTATTCATATGGCACATACCTTATGGATTTTTGCTTATTTTCTCTACTGATAAATTCCCAGAGCCTAGGACTACGCCAGATGCAGAGTAGATAGCTACTGAAAGAATGCATGAATGAACAGGTGAATTGTTCCTCTTGGTATCGTAAGCACCTATAAAAGCCACATCAAAATAGCTAATTTATTAAATACATTGCTACATAGTGGAATTTAGCCATTTCAAAGTGGGAAAACCTGACTCTGAAATGAAGCTATTTTGGCTTCCACTTGGCCAGAACCAGGACTGTAGTTGCATCCCAGCCCAGTGGGACCTCCTTCCTGGCCTTTTGCTCCAAACCTGGCAGCAGCAGGTCTCATGCTTAGAGCGGCCACTGGTCCCTCCCTCCAGCGCTAGCCTTGGTTTTAGCTCCTGGAAAGGGCTAGAGGGGGTGGGGAGAGTGAAATAAGACAGAACTGCCTTGAGGCCCTGTCCAAATAAATTTTAAAATCTGAAGTTCTGATATACCTGAAAAGGGAAAACAACATGATTGTCTGCAAAAGTTAGGATGGTCTACTTTAAAACACAGGATATCATTACTAGGAGTAATAATATAATTCAGAACAACATCACTATCCCAAATAAGTAACTGTCTTATACACCAAAAAGGACTAGCCGCACAAATCTCCATGCATAACAGCAACAAAAGAAATAAAATATGCAGTCAGCAACTAACAAGATATATTCAGGACAGATACCAAAGAAGAGAAATGAAGAAAGATTTGAATAAATGGAAAGAAATATCATGTTCCCAGAGGGGAGAGCTCAGCTTTTTAAAGATGTCAAACCTCACGAAGTGAATTGATAAAAAATTAGAATTCCAATGAAAATCTCAGTAGAACTTTACAAAATGGATGTTTGATTTGAAATTTTTTTCTTAAAAAATAAAATGATAGATAACCAAGAAACGTTGTCTTATCAAATAGTTTTACATTAATAAAATAGTATGCTACTTAGAGAGAGAGAGAGATTGAAAGAGATCGATGGAATCATAGAATAGTCTAGAAATAGGCCCAAGAATCATCTGGAAGAATTTGTCGTATGATAAAAATGGTATTTTGTTATCTGTTGGTAACAAATGAATTATCCTCTAAACTGTATTGAGACCACTAAAGAAGTATTTATAAAATGATGTTAGTTACCTATCTCTACAGCAAAATGAATTCCAGACAGATTTAAAATGTACAGTTTGTACAAAACATAAAATATTGGAAGCTCAAAAAGATATCATTTTAAATAACCTCAGGATGGAAAAACAGTTTACTAGGCAAAGACCAAAAGGCAGAAGTCACAAGGAGAAAATATGGATGAATTTGACAATTTATGTTTTATTAAGATATGTTCCTAAAACTCAGAAGAAAAAAGGATAAAGTCCCTCCACTTGGAGAAAAATGGTTTAAAAATGCCAATAAGCAAATATCAAAAGAAAAATATAAGCACGCAAAAATGTTCATCCTCATTAGCACTCAAAGAAATGCAAATTACAAAGCCGTGTGAGCCTCTTGTCAGCAAAGGGGAGGAGGGAACCTCTCACGGGATTCCTGGGCTGCAGCGCGGCTGGACCAGAGGCTGTGATGTTCTGGCTCCAGGAGGGACTCACGGGTGTTTGTGGGAGCTAAGAACATAAAGTACATTGATTTCTTCATTATGGCGAGAAGATATTTAAGAATGTTAGCACAGATCTTTGAATAAATTTTGTTCCTAAGAGAAGTTACTATTTATTCCTAATTAAACCGGGGGGGGGGATGTCTTTGAAGAGGAACCTCTGCTTTATTTTTTACAGGGGCATCCTTGCATTATGATGCTGTCTAATTGTATGTTATAGAATTATACGTATCAAATATTAAGGGAAAATTAAATATAATGTTTACTGGCAGGAAAGGCAATCATGAAAGTTCCTACAGCTTGACGCACAGATAAGGACTGTGCCAGCATTGCCAGCCTGAGTGGCCCCTGTCTCCTCTGGGGAGGGCAGGTGCACCATGTGGCCACAGACAAGCCACCCAGGACATGGGGTGACAGTGCTCTCAGGTTTTGCTGATGGCCATCCCTGGACACATTGGTAATGCTGAACTTCCCCATGTGGGAGTCAGGCTGAGGGCAGCCACCCCCAGTCAGTGACGCCTTAGCAAGCACACGGCACCACCAAGGACGTGTTTTGTCAAAAGAAAATGGGAACTTGGATCTGATGAGTGTTTTGGAGCCATCTTCCAGCTCACAGAAAATATTCAGGATAGAGGAACACATTAAATGACACTCGAAAATAGCTAATAGACAAGTGCAGCCTGTGGAAAACCCTACAGGACAAATGTCCAGGTTTCTGCAACAACACAGTGTCTAAAACAAAGGGGATGCCCTGGTGTTGGATTGAGTGGGGCATGTTGGACCTCAGTGAGGACAGTTGGGGAGGCCATGGGGGGTCCTCCCGGGACCAACTGCCTTAGTATGCCTATTGCACTCAGTTATCAGCTGACGCAGACTGTGGGGAACCTGTCTTTGGTGTGAATGCAGGGATGAACTTCAGAGCAGGAACATGGCCCTTGACCATGCAGCCCCCAGCAGCCGGGGACCTGAAGGACACTGGCTCTCAGGCTCCACAGAATGTGGCTGACAGTCCTTGAATCTGGTGATGGGAAATACAGGTCAAGTATCCCTTTTCTGAAGTGCTTGGGACCAGAAGGGTTTCAGAGTTCTATTTTTCCGTTCTTTTTTTTTTTGGATTTTGGAATATTTGCATATACATAATGAGATATCTTTGGGATGGGATCCAGGTCTAAACACAAAACTCATTTATGTTTCATATACACCTTACTCACATAGCCTGAAGGTAATTTCATGTAATATTTTTAACAATTTTGTGCATTAAACCAAGTTTTGACAGCCTTTGACTGCGACCCATCACATGAGGTGAAATTCTTCTTGTGGCATCATGCTGGCACTCAAAGCGTTTTGAATTCTGGAGCATTCTGGAGTTTGGATGTTCAGACGACAGAAACCCACCCTGTACCGGAGCAGTTTGCTCTGCTTTTCTGAATGTTGGAAAGCTTTCAGAGCAGCCTGTTAATGTGCACCTACTCTGCTTCAGAAATTCCACCTCCTTACATGTGGGAGGAAATCAGACCCTTGATAAAGGTGGAAATACACCGTTCACCCCAGAATTGGCCAAAGAACAAACTCTAGAGCCAGCCGTCCTGGGTTTGCACCCTGGCTCTGCTCCTGACCAGGTGTGTGACCTTGGGCAAGCGGCGTGTGACCTTGGGCAAGTTACTTCACCATCTCGTGCTTCAGTTTCCTTATCTGCTAAGTGGGGTGATTGCTCATGTTACAGATAATGAAAAGTCAATCAGGGGCTGGCACAACGGCTCACACCTGTAATCCCAGCACTTTGGGAGGCCAAGGCTGATCTCCAAATCCAGCCTGGCCGACACAGTGAAACCCCGTCTCTACTAAAAATACAAAAATTAGCCCAGCATGGTGGCACATGCCTGTAATCCCAGCTTCTAGGGAGGCTGAGGCAGGAGAATTGCTTGAACCCGGGAGGTGGAATTTGCAGTGAGCCGAGATCGCATCACTGCACTCTAGCCTGGGCGACAGAGCAAGACTCCATCTCAAAAAAAAAAAAAAAAAAAAAAAGTCAATCAGCATCAGGTACTCAGAACAGGGCCTGCTCCCAGGAAGTGCTAGGAATGGGTAGAAGTACAGCTGGGCAGATCCTGCAGTCCCCACTGCAGCGCCAGGCACTCACTTGTGAAGGTAACAGAGGAGGCTCCACCGCCCTGGGACGATGCTCCAGGGGTATTACAAAGTTTAAGGAGACGTCTCCCTAACAGAACAGTATGGCTGCACTTTTCTTTAAAATCTGGGCAGGCAGGAGGCCAGGTGCAGTGTCTCATGCCTGTTGTCCCAGCACTTTGGAAGTCCAAGGTGGGCAGATTGCTTGAGTCCCGAAGTTCAAGACCAGCCTGGGCAACATAGCAAGACTTCATCTCTACAAAAATAAGAAATAACAAAGATGATATTGCATAGCTGAGACTGGTTAATTTATAAAGGAAAGAGGTTTAATGGACTCAAAGTTCTACATGGCTGGGGAGGCCGCCAATCATTCAAGGTGAGATTTGGTTTGGGGACACGGAGCCAAAACCGTGTCAGTATGCACCGTTATCTCTCTGACGGGGTGAGGGTTTCCTTTCTGTGTCCCTGCATTTCCTCACTTGTCTACCACGAGCATCTTTTTTTCCTGAATCTAAGAAGACATGAAGGATCTAGGTGCCCATGAGGGTTGAGGTCTGAAGCCCTTTGATGGCCATCAGACCAGAGCTCCTGCAGGTGCAGCCACGAAGAGCCTGGGCAGTGACCCTCAGTGCCGGAGGAAGCGTGCAGATAAATGGCTCCCACTGGCCTGAGTCCAGGGTGCCCACAGTAATGCTGGCATCTTGCCCGGGGCTGGCGACCCTCCGTGCCCCCACCATCGGGCACCATTGTCAAGAGCACACCATCGAGACACTTGCTGCTGCTGGGAGCTCCCTCGGTCCACACCAATCCTGAGAATACAGTCAGTGGAGGCCCCTGCGTCCTCTTCCATACATGAGCAGAGGCTTCAGAGACCAGCGGCGGGGGCTTCAGAGGAAGTGGCAGAGTGGAAAGGTGGGCAGAGCCAGCTTGCCCCCTCCCGCAGACTGTCTGCGCAGTCCCAGAGCCCCAGAGCTGGAGCAGGAACTTGGGGCTAGTCAGAGGCTGCATGATAGAAAGGGGCCCAGGCATCCCCTGGGGGCAGAGACCTCATGCAGGTGAACCCCTAAGGCCAACAATGATGGCCCAGCAGGAATTGAGTTTGTGGGACACACCAGATGCCCATCAGGCAGTGGCAGAGCCAAGGGGTGGCCGTGAAGCTGTGCTGATGGAGTGCTTTTCAGTTGGTTTAGAGCAGGAGGTACCAGAAGGAGGGTGGGTGGGAGCAAAGCTATTGTGGCATGGTAGGACCTGGCTTGGTGAACTTGATCAGAAAGGCTAGAGATCTGCTTCTGACCCTGTGGTCCTGTCCACATGGCAGACTAGAAGGGGAAGGGGAGCCCTGTCCTGTAAGCCCCTTGCTGGCTCGGAAGCTTCCAGGCCCTGGGAAGGCCTTGACAGGCCCAGCCCCTCCCAACGAATGAGAGGAGGAGAGATGACAGAGCAGCCAGGGTGTGCGAGGATGCCCACACGCGACGGGAAAGGGGGACCCAGGGTGCGGGAGGCACAGGGCAGGCCCTGGAGTCTGCCTGGGCACCACCGGGAGAAGCTGAACCCCCGGCTCTGGGTCTGGCCTGGGCAGGGGCTGGAGCCGCTCTGCCTTTTGCAGCCTCTGCTCTGCAGAAGCAGGTGTGGGCTGACTCCTGGGGGCCTTGTGCCGCCAATGGGGAGGTCCTCAGGGACACGCGCCTTGGTGTGCTGGGAAAGAGTGAGAATGGGACTGTCTCTGTGACATCTCAGGTGCACTGCCACCTTGGGATAATGCCCACCTGAGAGGAAAGCTGGAGGCAGCCCCACCTCCAGGCTTACAGGCCTGCAGGAGCTGGAAGGGGAGGCCCCAGATGCCCAGGGGTGTGGGAGCCTCACCTGCTCTCTGCAGGGCGCAGGCTCAGGTATGAAGAGGGCCGGAGTGCACACACATGTGCATGGGCTCAGGCTTGAAGGAACAAGCAAAGTAAAAGGAGTTCACTGGAAGCTTAAAAAAGAATGAATCAAAGAAATAAGTCTCATTCCCAATCCCCGCACAACTAATAATCAAGGAAATATCACGTTTCTGTTGTTGTAGAAACAGTCATTTAACAAAATATTTCATGAGTATTGAAATCACTTGCTGTGCATCTCGGGAATCTAATCATTGTGATTAAGCCTAATGAGCATGAGTCACCTGCACAGAAATAAACGGGGGGGCCGATTTCCGGTGAGAAGTGCCTTTGGAACCAAGTCCCTACCTCAGGCTTAGTGCCCCCGTGTTCCCAGTGCAAGGCTGTTGGATGGACAGGTGAAATGCAGATGGAAAAACGCAACTCTTTTCAAAAATGGAGCGGCCAAGAGTGGACGCAGGCTCTCTCTGACAGGCCTTGGTGATGGAAGTCTCACTGTGTAGGGGCTGGAGTTCTCCGAAGACTCTTTCAGTTTCACAAGGAAGCCTCAGGAAAGCAGCCTGATCAGGTCATCCCATGACAAAGAGAAACAATAGCTACAGACAGCAGCAACTTCCTGAGACAACTGACCCAGCATACAACAGACCCAAGGTACAACAGACCCAGGAGACAATCAACCCAGGGTACAACAGACCCAGCAGGCAACAGACCCAGGGGACAACCAACCCAGGAGAGGATCGACCCAGGGGACAATCGACCCAGGGGACAATCGACCCAGGGTACAGCAGACTCAGGATGCAATAGACCCAGGGTACAACAGACCCAGGACACAAGAGACCCAGGGGACAACCAACCCAGGAGACAATCGACCCAGGGTACAACAGACTCAGGATGCGATAGACCCAGGGTACAACAGACCCAGGACACAAGAGACCCAGGGGACAACCAACCCAGGAGACAATCGACCCAGGGTACAACACACTCAGGATGCGATAGACCCAGGGTACAACAGACCCAGGACACAAGAGACCCAGGGGACAACCAACCCAGGAGACAATCGACCCACGGTACAACAGACTCAGGATGCAATAGACCCAGGGTACAACAGACCCAGGACACAAGAGACCCAGGGGACAACCAACCCAGGAGACAATCAACCCAGGGTACCACAGACCCAGGAGACAACAGACCTGGGACACAGCAGAACCAGGATGCAATAGACCCAAGGTTCAACAGACCTAGGAGGCCACCAACCCAGGACTCAATTGACCCAGGTGTCCTTAGATTTTCAAGGACCCAAAAATACAACCATGTTACATCAAACTGTTCTCCAGCCTCAGAGAAACAAGGCATCAACCACAAGTCCAGAAATAGACCAAAGAGCTAAAGCCATTGAATTTGGGTTAAAATCCTGAAGAATGCTGCAAGGTGGGCAAACAAGTTATTCATAATGTTGCCTAATCTTCAACATGTGAAAGAAGGAGTGAGTCGTAGCCACTGCACTAGCTCCTGAAGTGAGTTATTATCAGTAAACGCACCATCGAGCCCCTGTGTGGAACGGACAAACCCCGCTGGCATTCCAGGACTCTGGTTTGGAATGGTGCTGATGCAGATGGGGTGGGAAAGATGTGAAGGGCAAGGGAGCGGCTCGCAAAACTCCCCTTTCAGCTGCCTGCAGGCCCTTCACAGCCCTCAACCTGCGCCGTAAGGGACCCCAGGAATGATCCACAGCTGCCGGCGCTGGCAGCCCTTGCAGCCCAACAACGGAGAAGCTGGCATGCTTGGCTGGAAAGTCAGTGGGCGCCCTTCTCAGTGCCTCTTGAATGTGTTTGAAATAGGAAAGGAATAAATAACTGTCATGTTAGATCCACTCCCATCACAGTGGAAACAATCCATTTCTTACTGGAGCAACCTAATTAGGGGCTGATAAGCTGCACATTCAGGGCGGGTGAACATTTGCTGTAATTCTTTCCAGGAGAAGGGACAGAAGCCAGTGCAGCTTTTATTAAGAGACAAAAATACCAGTATCTTCAAGGAGTCGAGACCCCTCCTGCCTGCGCAGGTGTAGTCACCAAACCCAAACCAGGTCCTATTTATGTAACCTGGGAATGTCGTGTGGCTCTCCCAGTCTACTCAGGATTCGGGAGCAGACGTGAGTACTCACTGCACAACAGTGGAAGTGACTATCAGCCCCTCGCCTTTGGGATGCCATTTGATCATTGATCATTTCCTTTATTTACGAATGTTTTTGTTAATTGAAAACTATGACTGAGCATCCACTGGGACTCATCGCAGGATCTGAGGAATACTTAGCCCTAAATTGAGCCCTGTTCTGGACCTGCCTAACAAAAGCAAGAACCAAAAGGAATAAATAGCTTCCAACTAACTGAACTGAACCTCAAACAAATTTAAGAATATTTATAGCAATACAATATATCCAGAACCTTAGGAGACTAATTTCACACTGGATGCAGTGGCTTATGCCTGTAATCCCAGCACTTTGAGAGGCTGAGGCGGGCAGATCACTTGAGACCAGGAGTTCAAGACCAGCCTGGCCAATATGGTGAAACCCTATCTCTACTAAAAATACAAAAAATTGGCTGGGGGTGGTGGTGTGCGCCTGTAATCCTAGCTACTGGGTAGACTGAGGCATAAGAATCACTTGAACACAGAAGGCAGAGGTTTCAGTGAGCTGAGATCACGCCACTGCTCTCCAGCCTGGGCAACAGAGCAAGACTCCATCTCAAAAAATAAAAACAAAAACAAAAGACTAAATTCACAATTTCTGGCATCCAATAAATCACCAGGCACCCAAAGAATAAAAAAATACAACATTGGGAGATAAATTCATTGAAACGAACTCAGAACTGACCCAGATGTTAGAACACTAAAAAGTTATTATCACTGTATTGCATATGCTCAAAAATTTAAGTAGAGACATGCAAAATACATACACACACATTCAAATCAAACTTCTAGAGATGAAAACTGCAGTGTGTGAGATTAAAAATACCCTGGATGGGGGCTGGGCACAGTGGTTCACACTTGTAATCCCAGCACTTTGAGAGGCCGAGGCGGGTGGATCACGAGGTGAGGAGATCGAGGTCATCCTGGTCAACGTGGTGAAACCCCACCTCTACTAAAAACACAAAAATTAGCTGGGCGTGGTGGCACCCGCCTGTAGTCCCAGCTACTGGGGAGGCTGAGGCAGGAGAATCCCCTGAACCCAGGAAGTGGAAGTTGCAGTGAGCCAAGATGGCACCACTGCACTCCAGCCTGGCAACAGAGCAAGATTCCGTCTCAAAAAAAAAAAAAAAAAAAAAAAATCCCTGGATGGGATTAATAGATTAGAGACATTGCAGAAGAAAAATTCTTCATAATTGCTCAAATTTGGAAGCAGTAAAGATGCCCTTTGGTAGATGAGTAGATAAATAAATTAGTACAATTATAAATAAAATAATATTCCAGACAATGGAATATCATCCAAGATTAAAAAGAAATGAGCTATGAAGCCATGAAAAGACACGGAGGCAACTTAAATGCATATTACTAAGTAAAAAAAAAAAGGTCAATCTGGAAAGGCTACATACAGTCTATGTATAACATACTGTATGACATTCTGGAAAAGGCAAAGTTATGGAAGCAGTGAAAATACTTTTTAACTGCCGAGGGTTAGTGGGGATGGAGGGATGAACAGGTGGAGCACTGAGGACTTGAGGGACAATGAAGATACTCTATATGATACTATAATGGTGGGTGCATGTCCCTATGTATTTGTCAAAACCCATATAACTGCGCTACATAAAGAGTGAAACCTAAACTGTGGGCTCTGGGTAATCATGGTTTGTCAATGTAGGCTCATCAGTGGTAACACATGTACCATTCCAGTGGATGATGTTGACAGTGGGGGAGGCTGTGCATGTGTGGGGGCAGGGGGTATATGGCAAATCTCTGTCCTTTCATCTTGATTTTGCTGTGAACCTAAAACTGCTCTGAAAAAGTAAAGTCTTTTTTAAAAAGTCAACCTAGAATTCTATAGTCAACAAAAGTATCTTTCAAAAATAAAGGCAAAGTACTTTTTCCAGCACTCAAAAGCTGAAAGCACTCATTACAAGCAGACCTGCAGTGGAAAAGTGTTCAAGGAAATCCTTTAAGAACGAGGAAAATGATGCCAGATATAAAAACATAAATCTACACAAAGAAGAACAAGCAGAAATGGTAACTGCACAGGTAAGTATTTTAAAATTTATTCTTATTGTTTAACTGTTTTTAAAGATAATTACTTAAACAAAAGCATGTAATGCAGGGGTCATAACATGTGTAAGCAAAATGTATGACAACCATACCATCAAGGCAGGTAGTGGAGAAATTCAAGTATACTGTTACAAGGTTTTATACTATACATGATATGGCATATTGTTTGAAAATAGACTGTGGTAAGTTAATGATATATACTATAAGCCCTGAAGCAACCACTAATATAACAATAAAAGAGCTATATATAATAAGCCAGCAAAGGAGATAGTCACCAACAATATCCACAAGTTATCTTTAAAAGGTAGGAAAAAATTAAAAATGGAAAAAGAAAAAAATGCCAACATTAAAAACAGACAGCAAAAGCATAGACTCAACCTAACAATATAATCACAATAAATGTAAATGGTCTAAACACTCTCATTAAAAAACACAGATTGCCAGATCTATATAAAAAGGACTCAAATATACACAGATGGCAAGAAACATACTGTAAATATGGAGACAAAAAAAAAATAAAAGAAAAGAAACAAGCTATGCCATTTACATTAATCAGCTTTGGCTGCCATAGCAAAATATTCTAGACTGAGTGGCTCAAACAACAGAGATGTATTTTCTGACAGTTCTGGACGTTAGAAGTCCCAGATTAAGGTCCTGGACAATTTGATTCCTGATGAGGGTTCTCTTGAAGATTATCTCTTTCTTCTGCATCCTCACATGGCCTCTCCTCTATATAGGTGTGGAGAGAGAACATTCTGATATCTTTTACTCTTTTTACAAGGATAACAGCTTTATCAGATTAAGACTTCCACCCTTATTACCTCACTTAACCTTCATTACTTCCTTGTAGATCTTATTTCCAAATACAGTCACATCATGGGTTAGAGCTTCAACCTATAAATTTGAGGGTGGAAAAAAGACATAATTAAGGCCATAAAACTACCCTAACATTGGACATAAGAAAGCTATAGTGGTTATATTAATATTACACAATGTACATTTTAAAGCAAGGAAAATTACAGGAAGAAATAAGACTACGCCATGAAGATAAAGCAGTCAATCAAGAGAACATAGCAATTCTAAACATTTATGCACCTACTAAGGAGGTGAAAAATCTCTACAAGGAGAACTATAAAACACTGTTGAAGGAAGTCAAAGTCAGATTTCCACAAATCTGTGGAAAAACATTCCATTCTCACAAATCGGAAGAACCAATATTATTTAAATGGCCATACTGCCCAAAGCAATTTACAGAGTCAATGCTATTTTTATCATACTACTAACATCATTTTTCACAGGATTATTTTTAAAACTCTAAAATTTGTATAGAACCAAAAAAAAATAAGCCTGAATAGCCAAAGCAATCCTAAACAAAAAGAACAAGCTGGAAGCATCACACTACCTGACTTCAAACTATACTATAAGGATACAGCAACCAAGACAGCATGGCATTGGTACAACAACAGACACATAAACCAACTGAAAAAAATGTAGAACTCAGAAATAAAGCCACACACCTATAACCATCTGATCTTTAGCAAAGCTGACAAAAACAAGGAGAAGGGAAAGAAATCCCTATTCAATAAATGGCGCTGGGATAACTGGCTGGCCATATACAGAAGAATGAAAGTGAGCCCCTACCTTTCACCATATGCAAAAATTAACTCAAAATGGATTAAAGATTTAAATGTAAGAGACTCAAAGTGTAAAGAAATTCTAGAAAACTTAGAAAATACCTTTACTGACATTAGCCTTAGCAAAGAATTTTTGCCCAACTCCTCAAAAGCAATTGCAACAAAAGCAAAAATTAAGAAGTGGGACCTAATTAAACTAAATAGCTTCTGCACAGCAAATAAACTATTAACAGAGTAAATAGACAACCTACAGAATGGGGAAAATATTTGCAAACTATGCATCCAACAAAAGTCTAATATACAGAATCTATAAGGAACTTAAACAAGTCAATACACAAAAAACACATAACCCTGTTAAAAATGGGCAAAGGACTTGCACTCCTCAAAAGAAGATATACAAGCAGCCAACAAACATGAAAAAATGTTTATCATAACGAATCATCAAAGAAATGCAAATCAAAATTATAATGAGATACCATCTGTCACCAGTCAGAATGGCTATTACTAAAAAGTCAAATAATAACAGATGCTAGTGAGGCTGCAGAGAAAAGGGAACTCTTATACACTGTTGGTGGGAAAGTAAATTAGTTCAGCCACTGTGGAAAGCAGTTTGGAGATATCTCAAAGAAATCTCAAAGAACTTAAAACAGAGCTACCACTCAACCCAGCAATCTCATTACTGGATATATACCCAAAAGAAAATAAAATCATTTTACCAAAAAGATGCATGTAGTCATAGGTTCATTGCAGCACTATTCATAATAGCAAAGACTTGAAATCAACCTAGATGCTCATCAACAGTGGACTGGATAAAGAAAATGGGGTACATGTATGCCATGGAATACTATGCAGTCATAAAAAAGAATAAAGTCATGTCCTTTGCAGTCACATGGATGAAGCTGGAGGCTATAATCTTAAGTGAATTAACACAGGAGCAGAAAACCATGGCTGGGTGCGGTGTGCTCACACTTGCAATCCTAGCACTTTGGGAGGCCGAGGTGGGTGGATCACCTGAGGTCAGGAGTTCAAGACCAGCCTGGCCAACCTCGTCTCTACTGGTGAAACCTTGTCTCTACTAAAAATATGAAAATTAGCTGGGCATGGTGGTGCACAACTGTAATCCCAGCTACTCGGGAGGCTGAGGCAGGAGAATCACTTGAACCTGGAAGGCGGAGGTTGCAGTAAGCTGAGATTGCACCACTGCACTCCAGCCTGGGTGACAGAATGAGACTCTTTCTCAAAAAAAAAAAAAAAAAAGAAAGAAAGAAAGAAAGAAAGAAAGGAAGAAAGAAGAAAACCAAATACTGCAAGTCCTCACTTATAAGTGGGAGCTAAACTTTGAGAACACATGGACATAAGTGGGAACAATAGACACCACAGACTCCTAGCAGGGAAGGGAGGGAGGGGGACTTGGGTTGAAAAACTACCTATTGAGTGCTATGCTCACCACCTGGGTGAAAGGATCTGTACCACAAACCTCAGCATCACACAACATAGCCATGTAACAAACCTGAACATGTACCTCCATATCTAGAATATCTAACGTTGAAATTATACAAAACAGATAAATAATAAAATAAGCAAATTTTTATTTTTTGTGAAAATAATAATTGTGAAAAAGTGAAAGAAGAAAGATAAAAAATACAAGAAGCAAAGGCTCAAAGAACCAAAAGGAAAAATAGAAAAACAGACAATTACAGTTGGAGATTTCAATACCATTCTCTCCATAACTGACAGAACAAATAGACAAAAAATTCAGTAAGGATATAGATGTGAACAACACCACGAGAGGAACTTGACCTGGTAGATGCTTGCAGTACATTCTACCCAACAACGAGAGAACACACATTCCTCTCACCAGCATTTATAAGGATAGACCATATTCTGGGCCATAAAATAGGTCTTGATAAATTGAAAAGCATTCAACTCATACAAAATTTGTCCTCTCACCATAATAAAACTAAATTAGAAATCAACAGCCAAAAGATATCTGGAAAATTCAAACATTTGGAAACTGAGTAACACATTCCTAAATAACCCTTAGGTCAAGAAGGAATCAAAGTGGGGAATAAGAAAGTATTTTGAATTGAATAAAAATGAAAACCCAACATATAAACATCTGTTGGGTGCCTCTAAAGCAGTCCTTGGAAAGGCACATAAAATACTAAATACCTATATTAGAGAAGAAGAAAGGTTTGAAGTGAATGACCTTAACTTCCACCTTAAGAAACTGGGAGGAGCCGGGCGTGGTGGCTCACACCTGTAATCCTAGCACTTTGGGAGGCCAAGGTGGGTGGATCACTTGAAGTCAAGAGTTCAAGACCAGCCTGTCCAATATGATGAAACCCCATCTCTACTAAAAATAAAAATAAAAATTAGCCCAGCAGGGGTGGTGCATGCCTGTAATCCCAGCTATGCAGGAGGCTGAGGCAGAAGAAAGGCTTGAACTCAGGAGGCGGAGGTTGCAGTGAGCCAATATCACAGCACTGCACTCCAGCCTTGGTGATGCAGCGAGACTCTGTCTCAAAACAAAAAAAAAAAAAGCAACTGGGAAGGGGGAAAAGGTAAATTAAACCCAACATACGCAGAAGGAAGTAAATAATGAGTATTACAGCCTATATCATAGAAATAGGACACAGGAAAAATATAACAATTACTGACACTAAAAGATAGTCTTTGCAAAGATGAATAACATCGGTAGACCTCTAGGGAGATTGATCAGGAAAAACGTAGCAGCGATGCCATCAAGGAAGAAAGGCGATGTCACTAGAGACTCTGCAGGAAGACACATTATCCCAGGTGGCACACCGTGCTGATCCCACGCATCTATGCTGTAAAGGACAAATGACTCCCTTGACCTGAGGAGCATGGTGTCCCAATGGAGGCTGTGGCAGAGTGTCACTGTGTTCCTACCTGGGTCCTCTGGGTCCTCTTCCTGGGCACAGAGGAAAACCAGTCTTCCTTGTAGTTAGACGTGGGTCATAAACTGAGTTCTGGCCCAGGGAATGCAGGCAGAAGCGAGGTAAAGCACCACAAGCCCTGATCCTTACAAGCATCCTTCCACGGTGCCCTCGTCCCTGCTCTACCGTTAGAAGCACGAGATAGAAGGAGGTGTCATGAACTGAATGTTTGTGCCTCACAAAAGTCCCAGGTTGAAACTCCCAACTCCCAATGTGTCTGTATTTCAAGAAGTAACTAAGGCTCCGTGAGGTCGTAAGGGTAGGGCCCCGATCTTATGGATCCCTGTAAGGAGAGACCACAGGGAGCTTAGTGCCCATGTCCCCTCTCTCCTCATCATGGAAGGAGGCAGAGAGAAGGTGGCATCTGCCAACCAGGAAGAGGACCCTCCCCAGGAGCTGGACTGACCGGCACCCTGATCCTGGACTTATCAGCCTCTAGAATTGTGAGAAAATGCGTTTTTGTTCTTTAAGCCGCCCTGCCTATCGTGTCGTGCTATGGCAGCCAGGCCTGACCACTGTGGACAGTGTTCATGGTGATTCAGAGAGGAGTGGCTGGGGGCGCACCCAACTGGAAATGGACTTTAACCCCCATCAGACAGAACTGCACTGGCCTGTGGAATGAGGAGAAATCAGCCTGTTTCGGTCAAGCTCCAGAGATGTGGGGATTATTGTTTTGGCAGCGAGAGGCATTTCCCTGACTCATGGAGAAATTGGTACTTACCTTGGGTGTTTCCATTAAATAAGGAGGGAGGTGAGATCAGCTTCAAGGTCAGGCTGCCGTCTGGTAGGAACCCGATGTAGGAGTCCATTTTCACACTGCTGATAAAGACGTGCCTGAGACTGGGTAATTTATAAAGAGAAAGAGGTTCAATGGACTCACAGTTCCACATGGCTGGAGAAGCCTCACAATCATGGTGGAAGGTGAAAGGCACATCTTACATAGGGGCAGGTGAGAGAGAATGAGAGCTAAGGGAAAGGGGAAACCCCTTATAAAGCCATCAGATCTCGTGAGACTTATTCACTACCACGAGAACAGTATGGGGGTAACAGCCTGCATGATTCAATTATCTCCCACCAGGTCCCCTCCACAACGCATAGGGATTATGGGAGCTACAATTCAAGATGAGATTTGGGTGGGGACACAGCCAAACCCTATCACCTGATTATCAGAAACTAAAAATATGTTAATGTGAACCAAGCAGAGGACACACATCTTGGAACTGTAACCTTCTCTCCACATTCAGTCAGTCCACGTGCCCACTGAGTCCGTATTTCCAGAGAAGGAGGTTGGAAAATCATGTGAATGGTGAGTGCTGGCAATTTGGCAGCATGTGGCAAGAGGTTGCAAGAAAGAGGTGGCCTCAGGAAAGCAATCAATGAGAAGAGAGAGATCCCTGAAGTTCTGGCATTTGCAGAGTTTGAAAGCTGTACTGCCTGCATCTAGAGGTAGAATTTTCAAAACCTGAGCTACAAATATCAAGCCAAAGTTATTTTTTTTCCTCCAAAGTAATTAAGTCAGTCAGGGAGAGGTGAGAGTAAGTGGCATCCACAAACAAGTATACGAGTGAGATAAAATGACTCAGGCTGAAGATAAGATGAAGGTCGCGGCTTTCTCCCTTGTCATCCCAAATACACCATGAGATTCACCATGGAGCGGAGATGGACGGAGTTTGGAAGACCCAGGAGCTGTCTGGAGGACAGCCAAGGAGTCTCCATGCTCCCAGCGGGCGAATCTCCTTACTCCTCAGGAGAGAAAGAAACTGTTACTGTTGCTAAGCTGCTGGGATTTGGGAATTGTTTGTTAAAGCAACGAGCAAGTGTTACTCTGGAAAAGATGGAAGCAGAGGAGGGTGAGAGGCAGAAACAGGGGCCAGGAGTAGGCGCAGGATCCGTGCAACAGCGCGGCGGATCGGCCTTGGGTGGCTGAGAAAGAGGTTCCCTGGTGAAGAGGAGATGAGGTATAAACGAACACCCAGGGACCACATGCTGTGTGCCAGGAACTGTGTCCCTGGCAACAGTGGATCAACGCACTGCAGGGAAGGCCCTGGGGGTGGGTGCGGAGCCCGCTGTGATGGTTTCTAAGTGCAGGCTTGCTAGTTGGGATTGAGTAATATAACCCAACTCATCGGCTTTCCATTGTACCAAGATAGAAATGATGGGCTGGGTCCACCTTCTCTCGTCACTTGAGCAGGTATAATCTGAAACAATAAATAGAATTTTTAATATCATAGATTTTATTTTAGAATAGATTTATGGAAACATTGAAAAGATAGCACAGAATGTTCCCCTACTCCCTGCAGCCGAAATCCCCTGCTGTTAGCCAGATGAGTCCTGAGGGCTCTGGGCAGCTGAGAAGGTGGACAGTGTGGGGCTGTGTTTACAGGAGAGCTAGAGAGCAATTGCAGAGAATACTCACACTTAGAGTCAGGAGGAGAAGAGGGGAGGGACCAAGGAGACAAGCAGGGAGGGGATCTTAAAGTAGAGCCCACAGCCAGAAGTCAGAAAGCTGGAAACACTCGGGCATAAGAAACAAAGAGCCAAGGATGAATTTTAGTAGCATTTCGGTTTGTAAATGTGGGCAGGAGGAACTAGCATCAGAAGAGGACGCAGGTGCACAGACCTGCTGGGCCAGGTTAAGGGGGTGGCCAGGAAAAGAGGGGAGAAGGGACGTTCTGAGGGCCGTTTTCCACGTAAAATTCATTCATCTTCTCATTCATTCATTCACTCGGTGTCTATGGGAAACTCGGCTGTTTCACGCACATTCTGGGGTCACCATGTTTCTTTCACTTAACAAATATGGGAGGCTTTGCATGTCAGAATGAAGAATCCTTGACCTTCGTTTAATTGATAATGGGTCAAATGAAGGTTTCCAGGTAAAGGAGTGATAAAGCAGAATAAATCGCCTGGAAAGCAAGCTCCCAGCAACAAGGAACAATCACACAGCCTCCGTTCCTATGGTGTCCGCGCATCACGTCTGGCCTCGCCATTAGGGAGGATTTATTTATTTATTTATTTATTTATTTATTTATTTATTTATTTATTGAGACGGAGTCTTGCTCTGTCGCCCAGGCTGGAGTGCAGTGGCTCAATCCCGGCTAACTGCAAGCTCCGCCTCCATTAGGGAGGATTTAATAAGTACTTGGCCCATCCATGGATTATCCAAGTCTTGGCGTGAAAGGGTAGATGCAGGTTGGGAGTGTGGGAAGCGTGGACCAGGCATGAGGAGCCCCTCAGGAAGCTGTGAGGTAACCCAGGAGGGCGGAAGATCCGCCTGGAGCAGGTGCCCTGAGGATGCAGGAGACGGGACCCCAGCCCAGGCTGCTCCTGTCCAGGGCTCTCGGATGTTTCAAGGCTGTGCTCCCCAGAGACACTGATGGGTGGAGGAGGGAGGACAGGAAGAGGAGGAAGCCAAGCAAGGGTGCAATTTCAGGAGAAATTTCACGGGATGCAGGTTCAGCCGAAGCCTTCGAGGGATTTCTGGAGTACGCCTCAGAGATGTCCTGAGTCAGCTGAGGAGCTGGGAGTTCCTGCCCCACCCCAGCTAAGCGCACCCCGGGGGAGGGGCAGGATGCCAACTCCCAGACATCTCCAGCCCTTTGTGTGGGCAGACGATGCAGTGCCAGGGGCCAGGGCAGTCCCCCGGAGAAGGGCCGAGTGTCCGCCACAGCGAGGGGGAGGAAAGAGCACCCGTGTTGGAACAGAAAGGGGCTGGACAGGATCCAGGCAGAACCTGATAGTGTCGGCAACAATATGCATGCGCGGGACTGATGGACCGTGAAGGAGAGGCGTGGAAGGCAGAGCCAGGATCTGGAGCCTGGAGGCTGGGAGATGATATTAATGGGCAATGGAAGATGCGGCTGGAGAAAGACGACATTCGGGGCAAGATAACAAGTCCGACTTGGGAGAAAACCACCCACCTCTGTCCTATAAATTAGGCATAAACGAGGTATTTATGGAATGCCTACTGGCTCCTGGCACCCAGAAAAACAATTTTTTTTTTGAGACGGAGTCTCGCTCTGTTGCTCAAGCTAGAGTGCAGTGGCATGATCTCGGTTCGCTGCAACCTCCACCTCCCAGGTTCAAGTGATTCTCCTGCCTCAGCCTCCCAAGTAGCTGGGACTACAGGTGCACGCCACAATGCCCGGCTAATTTTTTTTTTTTTTTTTTTTTGGTATTGTTAGAGGCTGGTCTAGGAGTTCCACGCTGGTCTCGAACTCCTGATCTCAGGTGATCTGCCTGCCTCAGCCTCCCAAAGTGCTGGGATTCCAGGCGTCACCCACCGTGCCTGACCCGGAAAAGCGATTTCTATCACAACCCCATTTACTGTTCATGTCAACCCTATTGGGGAGGATGAGAAAATAGGACTTGAGTTTACATATTTTACTCAAGTTCAGAAAAGGTAGCAAACGATGAGGCTGAGATTCTAACCCAGGCCCAATTAATTCCGAAGCAGGAGCTCCTAAACACTATGCAGTGTGCGTATTTATAGATTTTAAAATCAGTCGGCCCATCTGGCTTCCCCTTTCTGGGCCCATGGTCTTCTGCGGCTTCTCTCTGGGTGCACACTTCTTCTTGGCATGGAAGGAGGCTTGGTCTTGACTCAGGGATTGGGAACGACGGACCCCTTTTTGTCGAAAAGCCCAGTGCTGCCCTGGCTCCGGCACCAGACACCCATTGGCTAGTTTACGATCTATTTTACTGTGATCATTTCCATGGCCAAGTGTCCAAAGCCAGAAAGGTTTTTGCGTCATAGTTTTGGAATATAAAATCAAAGAATGGCTGGAATATAATCATCAGAGTCCACGGCTAACCCGTTCTCTCTTTCTCAGAGGAAGGGTCTCCACTGGGCTCTGTCCTGGGGCAATCGGAAGCTCATCACGGGGCTTCTGGCTCCCATAGCATCCTGGTTTTCTGTTGCTTTTATTCTGCTTTTTTTTTCCCAAAAAAAGTGAGTGTCCCCTTTTCAGATAGAATTTCAATAGAGGGATACAGAGGAGGTATTGGAGGGAGCTGGGCAATTCTCTTCTCTGTGATCTACCTCCCTGTTTAGCACAAATAATTTTAGCTTGCTGTGAAAACTTGGTCTTCTAACTCAATAAAGAACCTGTTTTCCATATTTAAAGTATTTTTATTTTCAGGCTTCAGGCAAAAAAGGTTTCTCTTGGCTATTTGATATTTTTCCCACATTTCTGCTTCCACAGGGGCCAGGCCAGCGAAGCCGGCCTCAGCGTGGCAGCATCCCACAGAGGCAGGTACAGCCACACCTGATGCTTTCATACACTCCGCACTGTCAGAACTCACATTCCTAATCCCAGAGTTCCGCAGGGCCACCAGGATTCCCCTTCCCCCAGCCGGCCAGCCTCCCCTAACCTCCTCCAGGCTGCCTTGGTGGAGTCCACTCCTGGCTGTGGGCCTGGCATCTGACTCCCGGTGCCAGGCTCTGTGCCCCTGTGGCTCTTTGATTGCAGGCAGCAGGGTGTGGCTATGTAGCATCAGCAGGAGGCATCCTGGGCAGCTCAGACCCGGAGGGCTGTCCGGAGAGCCAGGTGAGGAGACAGGCAGGGGCCAGGCAGCTCGGGAGTCCGGGAAGCAGAAAGTGCCTGATGAAAACCCTCAGCAGCCCCCACATAGGGAGCAAAAAGTGACAGGCACCACTTTGCATCGTCACACTTCTGCACCCAGGATGAAAAGGCCCGAGGCAGCAGCTGCATTTGGAGAGGGCGAAGCATGATGCCACATGCTCCAGAGAAGACAGTGTCCAGGGTAATAAGGAACCGATGTTACCAGGAGGAGAGGGGTCACACAGTGTGTGGCTGAAGAGCCACAGCTGTCACGACAGAGCCAGGCCAGGTCCATCTGCCGCGGCTGTGCCCGTGTGCGAGCCCGTGACTAGTGGCGGATTCAACCCTGCTGCCCAAGTATACCAGCTGCTCTTCTCTCTCTGCTTGCCTTTCCCAGCCCCTGTGCACACACATGCACACACATGCGTGCACACACACGCATGCACACACATGCACAGTCCTTGTCCCCACACACAGTTTTCCTCACCTGCAAACACTGCGTGTGTGCAATTGTACCCCATAAACATTGTATGTGGTTATGTACTTTGCTTTGTAATTATGATTTTGAATGCCTCATAATATTCCTTCAAATGAGGAACCGTTCTTCACTAGATCAGCTCTCCACAGAGGGGTATTTGATCCAGGTTTTCACCGTGTGAAGAACTCTGCATTGAAAACACTGCTTTCTACCTGTGGCCTCGTCCTTCAAGGATGAGCTCCTTGGGGCCAATTCCTCAGGCCGGGATTACTTGGCAGTTGGTAGAGCCATGTTTGTGTTCTCTGATGATACTCATAAATATTAAATCCAATAGCCATGGTGTGCCAGGGACTTTTCCAACACTGGCTCTTCCACTGGAATTTCAGCTCCTCAGGGTAGGGCTGGGTGTTCTGCTCATGGCTGTGTCCCCAACCCCTAGAACAGAACGACTCTCAGGAGGCACTGGAAAGGTTTGTTGAATGAATACCGTAATGAATAGCAGCCTGCCATTTCCAGCTGAGGACTCAGGCTCAGAGAGGCCTGAGGGGCCATCTGACATCATGTGACTGTAAGTGCTGCAGCCAAGCCTGGTCCCCAAACATCTATCTTCCCCCTGGGCACACGTCGCCCTGCTTTCTGAAGATGTGGGGGGTTAGGTGAGCTCACAGCCTCCCGTACAGCCTGACTGTAAGGAGGCCCCCTCTACACCCCCCGACACCTGTGATGGATGCCCATGCCCAGGCAGACCTGCATTTGGGGGACATATGGGGAAGAAGGGAGGCCCAGGCGAACGTGTGGGGACCTGAGCTCATCCATCACCAGGAAAGTCAAGGGCACGAGGCAGCCCCAGTTCCCGCTGGCTGGATCCTGCGGGCTGCAGCTCCATCCCAAGGGACCTGGCACGGGGAGAAACAAAGTTCAGGGTGCATTCCAGAAGGATCCACAGGGCTCAGCAGACAGTGCTGGGAGTGGGGAGCAGCCAGATGTACGGACGCCTCCCCTTCCCCACCCCACTCTGGCCGCTGGACGTACAGAACCCGGAAAATGCAGCCCCTGTGATGTAGTTATACCAGCCTTCCCTGGCCAGACCCCTGGCTTCCAGCCTGCCCCGGTCACAGCCAAGTTCACCCTTACAGGAGACAGCGGCCGACCCCGGAGCCCTTGGTAAAGCAAAACAAGCCAATGAAACAGACGTCTGGGTTTTCAGGACATCCATGTATCATCAGCGTGTTCTCCCCCAGCTCTCAAAGGAAGTGCCGACCACAGCTAATGAGGCCAATGATTGTATTCGGAAGGTGGAGTCACGCACAAACGGAGAGAAGCAGAGGCCACCGCTGCAGGGCCCGAGGGGTGGCTCCCAGGCCCAGGCAGAGCCGGCAGGAAGCGTGGCCCCGTCACCATCACAGCATTCAGGCGAGATTGTGCAATGGTGTGCAATGGAACTTGGACTCTGACCGAGAACGGGGCAGGGAATCCACATCTGATCCTGGGGGTCACCTTTTTCAGTTGGGATTTGGGGCAGAGGCCACTTTGCTTCCTGAGCCTGAGGGAAAAGGAGCCTCCAGCGCTGCTCCTGTCCCCGGTGAGAAAGCAGCAGGAAGGGAAGGGCCCCCTGCGCTTGGGTGGTGGGAGCCCAGGGCAGGCGGCAAGTCTCACCCTCCCTTTCAGCAAACCTGCCCAACAGCAAGTAAGACACCCACCGCGAGCTGGAAGAACCCGCCTGAAGTCACACCATAGGAAAGGGCCCTGGTCTCAGACAGAGCTTCTGTTCCTGAGGTCCCCTGCCTGCCGGGCGACGCTTGCTGCAGCCCGGGAAGCGCGTCTTCCATTGCTCTGTGCTGAGCACAGCCGCGGTGCGGGGCCTGGGTTGGGCCTGTCTGCCACGCCTGCTCATACCCCAGCCCTGCGCTGGAGCCAGGGTCCACAGGGAGAAGGGGAAGCACAGGGCACCCCAAGCATGTCGCTGGATACTCAGGCTTCAGAGCCCTCTAACTTTCTCAGAGACAGGAAATGGGACTCGGAGAAGTCCCAGTGCCACCTGTGAGTGACGTGGCCGTGCAGAGCTGGGGTGAGAGCCCCACCAGCTGTTTTCTGGGCTCCTGTCTGCACCCGTCACAGCACAGCTCCTGTTGGGATAGGAATCTCTGAGGAAAAAGCATGAGACCTGGAACAAATGCTCCAGAAGACACCCCCAAAATTGTGCGGAGTCATTCAGAACCATATCCCTGATCCTGCTGTCACCGGCAACGCCTCCCTCCTTCCTTAAGTTGGCCACCTCCCCGGCAGCTGTACAGCTTCTTCGTTCTCCAGTTGGAGAGCACAAGGGCATGCTCAGACATGCACACGTGTACGGGAACACACACCTGCACCCTCGCAGCACACACACATGCACACTCATATGTACACACATGTGCACACACACTCACACATGCGCACCCTCATATGCACCCACAGCTCTGCTCCTGAGCCCCCTGCCTTTCCATGTCACCAGCTTGCCTCCCCCTCGGACTGACTTCCATCACACCCGCCACTCCTTGCTTGCATGAAGTCTGAGCTCCAACCCAGAGCCTTCTTCTTTCTGCCTCAAGCCCTGCATTAGTGGTAGGTCTGGAGCAGCTATGTGAAAGCCCACTACAGAGGCACAAACTAGTGGTCCCTTGACTTTCTTGCCTGCAGTGACCTCCTCTGATCTACCCTTGACCCCCATGCCCAAGGTCACAGCTTAGCTTTGCCATCCATCCCCTCAGCTCCACCCCATCGATCTCCCCTATAAAAAATGCCCCACATTGCCAATGTCCTTGTTCAATGGTTCCCAGTAAAACTCCTCGTGGGTTTCCTGGAGCGCCATGGGGCAGACGGTTAACATAAGAAACCCTGTAGCTTCCCCTCGCTGCTCTCACCCCCTCAGTAGCTGAGACTCAAGCTCCCAAGGCTAGTTCCATTCTGGACAACCCCTAACTTCCTTCGCTCCTCTGTCTTTCTTCAAGACAAAGACCTGTCCTTGGATTTTCCAGTCGTCATACTGGAGCCAGGCGGCCTGATGGACAACATCACAAAAGCACACAATCAGTTCTCATCCTGGCGATGTGTCCACTGCCCTGGGCCACACCCCTGCCCCATCCACTCTGGCCTCTTCTGAACCTCCTGCCCACTGCTCAGCCTTGGAGTTCAGCACCTCAGCTCACCCACACGCCCAGCAGGGGCCTGGCCTTCTCCTTCACAAAACAAAGAGAAGCTTCCAGACATGGCTGCTTCTGCGTGCTGGTGTTCCAGACACCAGGCTGCTATTCATACCTGCACAATTTGATCCTCAGAGCTGTTATCCCATCTCCTAGATGCATACCTCCATCTAACCTCCTGCAAAGCATCTTTTCAGCTGGGTGTGGTGGCTCACACATGTAATCCCAGCACTTTGGGAGGCCAAGGTGGGTGGATCACGAGGTCAGGAGATCGAGACCATCCTGGCTAACATGGTGAAAACCCATCTCTACTAAAAATACAAAAAATTAGCCAGAGGTGGTGGCATGCACCTGTAGCTCAGCTGTTCGGGAGGCTGAGGCGGGAGAATCTCTTGGACCTGGGAGGCGGAGGTGGCAGTGAGCCTAGATTGCGCCACTGCTCTCCAGCCTGGGCAATAAAGCAAAACTCTGTCTCAAAAAAAAAAAAATTATTCACATTGTATTTTGGAAATGTTCATGTGTGTATAAAAAGAGAGAGAATAGGAAGATGAGCCCCCACTAACCGTCACCCAGATTTGTTTTGTTTTGTTTTGTTTTTTTGTCTCAGCCTCCCGAGTAGCTGGGATTACAGGCACACGACCACGCCTGGCTAATTTTTATAGTTTTAGTAGATGGGGTTTCTCCATGTTGATCAGGCTGGTCTCAAACTCCTGACTTCAGGTGATCCACCTGCCTCGGCCTCCCAAAGAGCTGAGATTACAGGTGTGAGCCACCACGCCCGGCCACCATCACACATATTTAACGGTTTTAAACACATGATCAATATTGTTTCAGCCACAGCCACACTCACTAATACTCCAAAATGGATTGTTTAAAAATAAATCCTAGACACACAGTAATTTTATCCAGAAGTACTTTGGTGTGTGTACCTCTAGAAAACAAGGACTTCTTTTTAGCCCAGCTATGCCATCTATGCCGAACACCTTGATCATTTCCGAAAATCATCTACAGTCCTCTCCATATTTGATAGTTCTACCCTCTCTCACACTCGTTATTTTACAGACAGTTGGTTCACCAAACCCAGATGAGGTTCACACATTTGGTTTCTATGCCTCTTAAGTTCTTTCGATCTGCAGAGGACATCTTCTGTGTGTGTGTGGTTTTGTTTGTTTTTTAGTTTTTGTTGAAGAAAGTTCATTTGTCCTATAGACATTCCCACACACTCTCAAGATTCTGCCAAATTTTACCCCTGTGGTGTTTCTAACATATTCCTCTGTCCCTGTATTTTCTTTTTTTGTTTGGTTGTTTTGTTTTGAGATGGAGTCTCACTCTGTTGCCCAGGCTGAAGTGCAGTAGTGTGATCTTAGCTCACTGCAACCTCTGCCTCACAGGTTCAAGTGATTCTCCTGCCTCAGCCTCCCTGCTAGCTGGGATTACAGGCATGAGCCACTGCACCTGGCTTTTAGTAGAGACAGGGTTTCACCATGTTGGTCAGGCTGGTCTCAAACTCCTGACCTCAGGTGATCCACCCACCTCAGCCTCCTAAAGTGCTGGGATTACAGGCGTGAGCCACCATGCCCGGCCTCTGTGTTTTCTTTAAATTAGTAACTGGATCATGGTCGGACTCCGGTTTAAATTTTGGCAAGAAGCCCTCACCAAAGAACCTTTGATGTCCTTTTGACTGTGTCCCATCCATCAGGAAGGGTATCAGAAATAACCAGCCGTTGGCCTGATGTGCCTATCACACAGTTCCCTCTGCCTCTCACTGGGTCATTTTAGCAGCTGTTGTTGAAAATTGTGTAGATGTGTCATTTCATTAAAGAGAGTGGGTGTGTGTGAGAGTGACAGAGAGAGAGGAGGAAGGAAGAGACCGGCTGGGCTCTGTCTTCCCAGCTGGGTCATGGTCTCGTTTTTTGGGATATCATCCTCCTTTGCTCAGTGTCCAGAGCCCAATGGTGGCTCCATGAACGTCCCCTGAAGAAGGAACAAAGGCGTCTGATAAGGGCTCAAAGAAAACCAAACACACAATGAATCCTCTCTAAATCACAAATAGTCACTTAAAATGCCATCTGCAGTGTTTTGCCATTTATTTATGAGTATTCAAATTCTGCCTCTTGGACGACATTGACAGAAAGCACATTTCATCTTTGTCCAGTGAGGAGAAACAGCAGTGAATCTCTTTAAGAATCCAGTGTGAGGAGTAAAAACTGGGGGCAGCGAAGGGTGGCATTCAGTGCTTCTGTGTCCTGGAAAAGCACAATTCCACCATTCAAGAGGGGCTGGGGCCTGTGGCCTCCGTAGGTACCTCTGAAACCTCAAGCAGAGTTGTCTTCGAGAGCCCCTAGCAGGAATTGATAACATAAACAATTTGCATGAAATTCCCTTGGGATCAGAAAATAACCTCCAGGCTGGGCGTGGTGGCTCACGCCTGTAATCCCAGCATTTTGGGAGGCTGAGGTGGGTGGATCACTTGAGGTCAGGAGTTCAAGACCAGCCTGGCCAACACGGTGAAATCCTGTCTCTACTAAAAATACAAATTAGCTGAGTGTGGTGGCGGGCGCCTGTAGTCCCAGCTACTCAGGAGGCTGAGGCAGGAGAATCACTTGAACTCGGGAGGTGGAGGTTGCAGTGAGCCAAGATTGCACCACTGCACTCCAGCCTGGGCGACAGAGTGAGACCCAGTACAAGAAAGAAAGAAGAAAGAAAGAAAGAAAGAAAGAAAGAAAGAAAGAAAGAAAGAAAGAAAGAAAGAAAGAAAGAAAGAAAGAAAGAAAGAAAGAGAGAGAGAGAGAGAGAGAGAAAGAAAGAAAGAAAAAAAGAAAGAAAGAAAGAAAGGAAGGAAGGAAGGAAGGAAGGAAGGAAGGAAGGAAGGAAGGAAGGAAGGAAAAGAAAGAAAGAAAAAGAAAGAAAGAAAGGAAAGAAAGAAAGAAGGAAAGAAAGAAAGAAAAAGAAAGAAAGAAAAAGAAAGAAAGAAAGAAAGAAAAAGAAAGAAGGAAAGAAAGGAAGAAAGAAAGAAAGAAAGAAAGAAAGAAAGAAAGGAAAGAACCTGCAGATTCACTGCCCCTGGGCTTGGTGGGAGAAAGCGGTCAAGGCCCCATGCCTGGATGGTCTCAGGAAACTCAGCCCAAGTCCTTGGATTGGGGAACATTTTTCCCTGTGCTCCCCATCACTGTGGGGTTCAGACTCCAATTCCACTCACCAGCCCTGCCCATGCGACCTCTGGGTGGCATCTAATTTCACATTTTTAGAAATCCTTAAGACCATTTCTCCTTCTAATAAATGTCTCTCCTAGCTTGAAATATATACAGTCCAGGGTTATTGTTTTTTAGCATCTCGTAATTAGCAATTCTTAATGAAATGAGTTTCTTAATTATGCCAGCAACATCAATTCTGATGTAAAGTGCAAAATGTTGCTTTGATTCACATTCATTGGACTTCCCCCTCCAAAAATAAATAAATCAATAAATAAACCCACAGAATTCAATTTTGTCTGGCATGTTTATCTCACTATAACATCCCATTGAAATGATGGGGAAATATCCCAATGAGGTGAATATTATATAGGACAGAAACTGGCTTTGGAGAGATCCGTGGAGGATGATATAGATCCCCAAGTCTCAGCGTCCTCAGGCCTTGGTGTCTGTGCTCAGCCACGTCTCCATTCTTGTCATTTCCAGGACAAGCCGGGCACATGCTCTGGGGAAGCGGGTTACCCTAATGACGATTGCCATTTCAAGCTCCAGAAATCTGCTCGCTTCGCCCTCCAGGGGAAAGTTGTGTTCTACAAAAACCAAGTCATTGGCTCAAGCAAAGGAAAATGGAGAAGGAGGAGTGTATCCCTCATGTCTGCCTGTGTTTCCATCACACTCCGCACGCCCTCGAGATGAGGAGGGCATCTGAATGCGGACCTGGGCTCGGTCCTCCGGGAGGGCCACGTTCACAGCCTGTGCTCCAGAGCTGGGGCACCGAGGGCAGAGACACGACCCTGGGGTGGGTCTGCAGCCCACACAGCCTGACGTGGGCATAAACCAGTCTTTGGAGGGGGGCCTCCCTCTGTCCCCGCCCTGGCACTGACTGTATGCAGGCAGCCTTCTGCCGTGAGCCATGACCACGGCCACTCACTGCCCAGGTCTGGGCACTGATGTCCGGAAGGCAGCCTTCTGCCGTGAGCCGTGACCACGGCCACTCGCTGCCCAGGTCTGGGCACTGATGTCCAGATGGCAGCCTTCTGCCATGAGCCGTGACCACGGCCACTCGCTGCCCAGGTCTGGGCACTGATGTCCGGAACATCTGAGAACAGAGAGCTTCTTTTCCTTACTGACCCCACCTGGGTCATTCCCTCAGCCCTGAACACACCTGAGGGGCCCTGGGGCACGTGCACCAACTGGACAGGTGTCATCATCTGCTCCGGCTGCCGTAACTGTCACAGACTGGGTGGCTCAAGCAGCAGAACTTTAATTTTTCACTGTGCTGGAGGCCAGAAGTCTGAGATCAAGATGTGGCCAGGGTTGGTTCCTCCTAAGGCCCCTCTCTTAGGCCTGCAGACACCATCTTCTCCCTGTGTTCTCCCTGCCACCCTTCTGGGTGTGTCCGCATCCTCATCTCCTCTTCTTACGAGGACACCAGTGGGATTGGATCAGGGCCCACTCATTATGACCTCATTTTCACTTAACCACCTCTTTGAAGACCCTCTCTCCAAACAGTCCCATGCTGGGGTGCCGGAGGTTAGGGCTTCAACATAGGATTGCAGGGGACAGGACACAGAATGTGACACCAGGCAGGCAATGTGTGTCCCTCAGGGGGCCTGGGTTCCGGGAATCTGCACCCAGATTGCACACCCCATGGAGCAGGAGCACTTCCCGACAAGAAACTTGGCACAGGTCCAATGGTTGGGGCTGGTGTCCTGCCGTCCTGGGTGGTAAAGGAATTTACCGAGACGGTCCCAGGTAAAGAAAGGCAGGTTGGTTAGAGGAAAAGTGTGTTGCAAGGGCGCAGCGGACAGCACAGCAGGGAAGGGGGTGTTTGCAAAGAGGCAGGGGCTGCAGGATTTGATGGAGTCATGCCGGAGGGGCTACCTACCGAGGAAGGTCCTTGTGGCAGCGTGCTGTTTGCAGTTAGCGTCCCTCAGAACAATCACTGTCCCCCACCTGGGTCCCCCTCCTCATTGTTGCTAACTTTTCAGGATTCCACAAAACTTTCAAGAGTTTTTATCAGAATAAGGGTGACTGGACTCCAGGCAGGAGAGATGACAAGGAGGACCTGGGCTTTCTGTGTCTAGGCTCCCAGAGCTGAGAGAAGCAGACAGAGGACAACACAGACCCCCGCATGGAGGGAGATGGAGGGTGCTCCTCCCCTAGCCAGGCAGAGAGCCAATGGCCCCACACCCACACGCAGCTCCACGGGGCCGCATCAGCCACAAACAGGCAACTCCAGATGGGATCAGATCGGGACTGAGCCAGTGCCTCTTGGGAAAGCGGAGCGCCAGGAAGGACTGAGCCCAGCCTTCATCAGAATGGTATTCTGACAGCTTACGGAAATAGAACATTCGTGCATGAGACGTGAGCTTTGGGGTAGCAAGGCCCAGGTGGGTTCTCTGCTCATCACGTAACAGCTGTGTGAGTGGGGGAAGGGGCTCACCTCCCAGGCTTGGAAAGTTGTGCCGCTTGTTATGAGTATTATATATTGTAGCTAAATTTCCAGTTCCAGCAATGGGGTAGAATAAATAAACTAAAACAATTCTTCTTAAAACATAATTCACCTAGAAAAGCAAGATAAAACATAATAAGCACATGCTTTTAACTGAATGGCTCAGCTCAAAAAAGAAAAAGTCAATGAAGGGAAAGATGCAGGAGTGAGCGGAGCGGGAGAGGAGAGAGTGGGAGAGGTGAGAGCGACCTCTCAGCGTGGGCACCCTTAGCTACTCTGCAGGGCGCTGGGGCCTCTGGTGAACCCAGGAGGGCTCTGCCTTCATCTTGGCCAGAAGATGAGCCCCTGTGACATGTGAGAGCTGAAGCAACAGAGAGTCAGATCTCCCTGACCCAGGCCCTCCGGGGACACATTTTGCCTGCCTGGTGTCACAGGCTGTGTCCTATTCCCTGCAATGCCATGTTGAATCCCTAACCTCCAGCACCCTGGGATGGGACTATGTTTGGAGAGAGGGTCTTTAAAGAGGTGATTAAGTGAAAACAAGGCCAGGGATTCCGTCAGGCTCCAGTGCGGTCCCAGTCCCAGTCCCTTGCACGCCATCCTCAGCCTTTCTCCGGACCACGGCAGCCCCACAGCTGCGTGCAGCACTCGGCCAAGGGGGTGCAGCTGAGAGGCCCTGGGGGCAAGAGCTCCCCACAGATCTCTCTCCTATTAGCTTCCCTTTACGTCCAGCAAGGGGGCTGGACACATGCGTTCCCAGGTCCATGGTCCCCTCCCAGTTCCAGCAATGTCCCTCTCAGGCCTCAACTTCCCTGGCTCCCTTCACCGTTGCAGAAAGTTGAGTTTCTATCCTGAACCTCTTCCCCCATAACACTCAGGACACTCCTGAGCCTGGGTGGACGTGCTCGGGTGCTATAATGGGAGCAAAAACGGATGCAACAGGCTGAAGAGCAGTTTGGGAGCCTCAGGTGAAGATGCTGAGACCCAGGGAGGCAGTTTCCCGGAAACAACCTAAATGCCCAGCAGCAGGTATTCGCAGAATGTGTGTTATATTTGCACGAAGCAATGCCATCAATATTTAAAATGAATTAACTCAATCTACATGAATATCTATGTACAAGCATAAAACCCAACGCGTGTTGAGCAAAATGGGCAAGTTGCAAAAGGGAAGATGACATAGTTCCATTTACAGTAAGTCTTAAAACAATGAAAATCAATAGTACATGTTGTTTATTATATACACATACATTATAGAAATACAAAGTATGAATGTGAGACACAGAAGTGAATTTTAAGAGGCAGGAAAAGGAGTTATATCAGATAAACAAAAAACGATGGCATTTAACTAAATTATAATATATTTTTTATTTTTAAAAATGCTTTGAAAGAAATAGGAAAGTGTCCCTAGCAGACCTGGATGCATGTTGTTATATTATCTTCCCATGCTTGGAATATGCTGCTAAACATTAACTTCGCATGCGTCATTCACAGCGTAATCGCAAATGCCAAGTGCCTGGCCCAGAAAAAGCACTGGGCAAGAGTTGTTTCTCATCTCTGTCATTCAATGAGCTAATCAATCACCAACTCAGCCAAATGTCGTTTTGCAATTGCCTCTGTTTTTAATTTTCCTCTTGTCATGTAGTAATTTCACATTCTTAATCTTATTTATCAATTTTAAGAGGCATGAAAGGATCCCTGTCATTTGACCCCAAACAAGGAATTTTGAGAGGGCATCCTAAGAAATTATTCAATGGAAGAGAAAAATTATACTCACAAAGATGTTCACAGTTGCACTGTGTGTAATAGAAAATAATTTCTCGGGGGAACACAACTCTGTTGTTGCATTTTATAATTTTATTTAAAAAACAAGCAGTAAGGAAAGTAGTAGGTGAACAAGAACAGTAAAATATCCAACTCTGAAAAATCTGCATCCATGTGACCAAGTCAGGCCAAAAGCCTGGAAATGGAAACCGGCAAGATTTGTCACACGGTGGAGTTATGAGTGTGGAATTAATTTTCCTTTTTCAAAATTGTCATACAACATTTTTTGCCGATATAATAATTTTAAAAAGATGTAACAAGAGGTTTTTATCAGTTAAAAATTGTTGCTGTTAAAATATGCCAACCCTTTACAAAACATTTTAATACACAATGCACTTTTTATTTTTTAAAAATTTCCAATTTACAAACATGTTGCAAAGATAGTTACAGAGAATTTCCATATACCCCACACATAGTTCCCTCTGTTATTAATCTTATAGTCACATGATGCAGTTGTCACAAGAATTGATGTAATATTTACTAACCAACAATGAGCCAATATTGATTCAATGACCCAATCGTGATACAATATGATTCTTTATTTTGAGACAGAGTCTCGCTCTGTCATCCGAGCTGGAGTGCAGTGGTATGATCTCGGCTCACTGCAACCTCTGCCCAGTGAGTTCAAGCAATCCTCCTGCCTCAGCCTCCTGCGTAGCTGGGATTACAGGTGTGTGCCACCACGCCTGGCTAATTTTTTGTATTTTTAGTAGAGATGAAGTTTTGCCATGTTGGCCAGGCTGGTATCGAATTCCTGACCTCAGGTGATCCACCCACCTCGGCCTCCCAAAGTGTTGGGATTACAAGTGAGCCACCTCGCCCGGCCGATACAATATGATTAACTAAAGTTCCTACTATATTCAGATTTCCTTATTTTTTTACCTAATGTTCATTTTCTATGCCAGGACACCATCCGTAGTACCTCATTACATGTACTCATCACATCTCCTTGGGCACATCTTGTCTCCGACAGTTTCTCAGATTTTCTTTATTTTTTGACAAACTTGACAGTTGTGAGTTGTACTGATCCGGTGTTTTGTAGAATGTCTTCCACTGGGATTTGTCTGATGTTTTCCTCATGGCTTGACAGGGGTGATGGGTTTGGAGAGGAAGACCACAGAGGTGATATGCCTTCTTGTCACCTCAGATCCAGCATATTAACATCAGTAGGCGCTGTCATCATTGGTGCGGAGCTAGATGATCTAGCTAGAAGAGTGTCCATCAGATGTCTCCACTATACAACTGTTCCTTTTCCCTCCTGCCCACACCGAACTCTTTGGCAAGAAGTCACTGTGGGAAACCCACACTTGAGGGGTTGGGGAGCTTTCTCTACATCTTTTTGAGAGTGGAGTTTCTACATAAATTATGTGGAATCATTCCGCATGAGAGATTGATCTCTTTCACCTTACTTATTTGTTAGTTTGCCTGTGTCTTTATTTGTTTAATCATGTATTTCTGCCCGTATAGACTCATCGATGTTTGCTTTACGCTTGGTTGTCATACAATACTCCTTTGTTTCTTTCATTGTTCTCATTGTTCTGGCTTTGGCCATTGGGAGCTCTTTCAGTTGGTTCTTGTTTCTCTGGAACATAGTCCCATCCTTGTTGGTTTGCTATGAGCACTTCCTTACTTTATGGCACTACAAGCTGCTCCTGGCTCATCTTGCATATTTCCTGCCCCATTCTTGGAGTCAGACATTTCTCCTGGTTCTGTTTATTAGAGAAAGGCATGAGAAACCAAATTTCAGGCATCAGGTGCAGTCATTGCTATGAGGGTACCATCGTTTCCAGGCCTCCTCATCTGAGGAGCAAGGGAATGTACATGTGTGTTCTGACCCGAGTATGTGCATGAATCCATAAATATTCTCTATGTAACCATCTATGTCTATAATGAGCTAAACCTGAGTTCTTACTGATGGCTCCAGCTCTCATCCATTGCCATGTGGATCATTAGAGCCTCTTCTCCCTGCTTCTCTCTACACCCCCACTCCAACATGGTAAAACTTAGCACCCATTTTCTGCTGCTGTTTACTTGGTTTCTCAGTTTTAGTGCACCTGTAGAGTGGTATTAGTATTGTTAACCCATACCCTTATGGGACATAACTTTATCAGTCAGAGTGCAGTGCTATGTACAGTGTCTTTTACCCTTAGTCTACAGACTCTATCCATTTCCAAAGTTACTCACATAGCTCTTTCTCTATCCATTTCCCAAAGTTACTTAAGCAGCTCCTTCTCTATCCGTTTCCCAAAGTTAGTTAAGTAGCTCCCTCTCTATCCATTTCCAAAGTTACCTATGTAGCTCTTCTATCCATTTCCAAAGTTACTTTTGTAGCTCATTCTCTATCCATTTCCCAAAGTTACCTATGTAGTTCCTTCTCTATCCATTTCCAAAGTTACTTAAGTAGCTCCTTCTCTATCCATTTCCAGTTGCTTAAGATAGCTCCTTCTTTCAGTAAGCTTCTTTCACACATTGGTAATACAGTTGAACTCTTGTTGTTGTGCTCATTCCATCCTCACATCCCTTCACCACTTAAAGTTATTTTTAAAAATAGGCTGGGCACAGTGGCTCATGCCTGTAATCCCAGCACTTTGGGAGGCCAAGGTGGGTGGATAATTGGAGGTCAGGAGTTTGAGACCAGCCTGGCCAACATGGTGAAACCCCATCTCTACTAAAATACAAAAATTAGCAGTGCGTGGTGGTGCATGCCTGTAATCCCAGCTACTTGGGAGGCTGAGACATGAGAATCACTCGCACCAGGAGGTGGAGGTTGCAGTGAGCCGAGGTTGCACTACTGCACTCCAGCCTGGGTGACAGGGTGAGATTCTTTCTCTCAAAAAATAATAATAATAATGATTTTTATTCATTAATATTCATTTCTTGTTTTGTAAAGACATGTAGGTTTTGATAAAAGCATGGTGTCATGTATTTGCTATTGCAATATCATGCAGAACAGTTCACCATCCTAAAGATGTACAATACTTCATCTTTTCAGTACTTCCTCCACGGAAGCTCTGACAACTCCTGATCTCTTCACCCATCTGTCTAGTTGCGTCTTTTCCGTTAGTCATATAATTGAAATCACGTAGTCTGTTACCACTTCAGACTGACTTCTTCAACTGAGCAATATACATTTAAGTTTCTTTTGTGTGTTTTTTGTGGCTTGATGGCTCATTTATTTTTATTGCTGAATAATATTTCATTGTACAATGTAACAGGATTTGTTTATCCATTCACCTACCAAAGGGTATCTTGGTTGCTCTCAGCTTTTGATGATTATGGAGAAAGCTGCTATAAACATTCATGTGAAGTTTTTTTTTTTTTTGCATGTGAACATATGTTTTGAAATCAGGTAATATCTAAGAGGATGATTGCCAGATTGTATGTTAAGACCATATGTAACTTTTTAAGAAATAGCCAACTTGTCTTTTAAAGTGACTGGATCATTTTGCATTCCCTTCAGCAAAACATGAGTGTTTCTGTTTCTCCACATCCTCATCAATATTTGGTAATGTCAGTGTTTAGGATTTTAGCCATTCTAATAGGTGTGTGTGGTAACTTATTATTGCTTTAATTTTAAATTATTTAATAAAAAATGATTGCGAGCATTTTATATGATTATTTCCCACCTGTATATGTTCTTTAATGAGATAGCTGTTCAGGACTTTTGCCCATTTTTTTAAATTGGAAACTTAGTTGGCATTTTACAATTTGCATTTTCTCATTGTTGAGTTTTACAAGTTATTTGTATAATTTAGATACAATTTACTTATCAGATATATGATTTGTAAATGTTTTCTTCTATTTAGTAATTTATCTTTTTCATTCTTTTACAGAGCAAAAGCATTTAATTTTAATGATCCAACTTACCAATGTTTTTTCATAAATGATGCTTTTGGTGTTTTATTTAAAAATGTATCACCAAAGTTAAGGTCAAATATATTTTCACCTACGTTTTCTTCTAGAAATTTTATAATTTGCATTTTACATGTTTGTCTATTATTCTTTTGAGTCAAATTTTGTGTAAGATGTGAAATTTGTACCTGGATTCTTTTTTTTCCCCCATTAAATTGCCTTCAATGCCTTTGTCAAAAATCAGTTGACTATATTTGTATGGGTCTACGTATGGACTCTACATTCTGTCCACTGATCTATTATTTTTCCAAATCTGCTTTTATTTCCGTAGCTTTATAATAATTCTTGAAATTGGGCAATGTGATTCTGCCAACTTTTTTTTCTTCAGTATGATTTTGACTATTTTATGTCTTTTGCATTTCTATGTAAATTTTGGAATCAAATTTGTTAATTTCTACAAAATATATTGCTACTATTGAACTACTACTACGTTCTTCGAACACGCTTCTGTCCCACCCTGACTGACGGATACAGATCTTTCTGGCCCCTGTCCCCTACTTTCTTCTCCAGTGGCAGACTCCCCAGTCTCTTTCCTGGAATCACTGTACCACACTGGTGATGATTCTCCCTGCCAGGGTCAGACAAGAAGGCTGAACAGGGCTGGGGTGAGGAGAAATGGCTGTCCTCTGCCCAGACAAAGATTCAGAATTGCCTTTGGCAAAGTCCTTGCCCCAGAGCGGGCCTTCATTGTGGAGAAAGCTCTGGGGAGGTATTTCTCCATGATCAGTCTTTCCTTCCCCTGTTCATAATGCAAGGGGATCTTTCTCTGATCCTCACTGTGAGAACCCAATGGGGTTTCTGCAGGGAAGGAGGGTAAAGATGTGGGGGTCCCCAGGACTGCAGCTCGTAGGAGTTCCTCCCTCTCAGCCAGCCCACACCTGTCTCCAGCAATCTGTCAAAATTGCCATTCATGTGGTCCTACTGGCTGATGGCTTCAGGGCCATAAGCTCAGGTAAGCAAATCTGAGCTGTGTCTCTCTGATGTCTCCAGCTCTCCAGATTCTGCCCTGTGATCTCCATTTTCTGATGAGTCCTGAAAAGCTGTTGATTTTTAGATTGTTCAGGTTTTCTCATAAGGAGGAATGACAAGTCCCTGCCAGGCTCAGGGGATTCAGAAATGTCAGGATCTATGCCCTCATGAAGGTTTCTTCAGAAGGAGAGAGGGTAAGATGGAGAAGGAGCACTCGCTTGTGTAGTGCATTGCTCTAGGCATGAGCTACCCGTGCAGTTCTACTCCACCATGGACAAGAGTTGCCTTAACCTGGGCCTGCCTTGTGGGTGCGGAAAGCTTTCTGGTGGGTTCAAGTTTCAGCTGAAGGTTGAGGTCTTGTAGGCTAAGGACTCACTTGTCACCCCAACATGTAAAAGCAGGGAGGAAGGAAATTATTCCAAGTGGAGGGGATCATAGTCAGGAACATCTTGTTGGTGCTGTGAGATGCTAGAAATGTACACAAAGGCTCTGTTACAGAGAGAGGGGTTCTGCAAAGGCAAAAGCAAGTCACTTGGGTGCTTCGGTCTTCCTTCATTTCACAAATGTCTTAGGTGCCTTCCACACTGGCCTCGTGGTGGGGGCTCAGCAGTGCTTCTCAGAAGCCTAATTGGTCTGCTCTGGTTGTTTGGATGAATCTTTTGATTCAACAGTCCCTTTAGGGAAGTGTTTTTTGTTTTTGTTTTTGTTTTTATTTTAGGCGGAGTTTAACTCCTGTTGCCCAGGCTGCAGTGCAATGGTGCAATCTTGGCTCACTGCAACCTCCACCTCCTGGATTCAAGTGATTCTCCTGCCTTAGTCTCCTGAGTAGCTGGGACTACGGGCGCCCGCCACCACTCATGGCTAATTTTTTTTTTTATTTTTTATTTTTAGTGGAGATGGGGTTTCACCACGTTGGCCAGGCTGGTCTTGAACTCCTGACCTCAGGCAATCCACTCGCCTCGGCCTCCCAAAGTGCTGGCATTACAGGCGTGAGCCACCAAGCCCGGCTGTTGCTTTGTATTGTTTTGTTTTTAATTTTACAAGCAATTCATTCTGTGTATTTTTAAAATTAATTTCTGGTTTAATGCATTAGAATAACTGTTATTTTTGTGGTCTAACATATAATCTCTATTTTGCATATGTTTCATAGCAACTTGAAAGGATAAAATAATAATTCATGCAATACAATATTTGATAGAGATGCTTTCATGTAACGTTTTTAGTTAAACTATTCAAATTCATTAGGTCCTTAATGTATACATTGTCTATTTGATCAAAGCCTGGGAGAAACATAATCTCCTATAAATGGATTTCTGCCCACTTATATCTACATTTCTAAAAGTATTTTTAGTATATTTAGATGTTGGCATTTAGCACAAAATGTTCGAGACTGATACAGCCTTGTTGAACAATATCCTTTCTTTCCAAAAAATAATGTTTCTCTTTTTTCGTTAAATGATGGTTGCCTTGCATTTGGCCTTTGTTGTAAATGACTATTTCAAGCCTTCCTTTCTTTTCCTTTGCTTTTCTCCACAAGCTTCTCCTGGAGTTTCCTCCTGAACCTCCAGCTGTTGTGTGGTGGATGCATTTTGTGGTCACTAAAACCGGGGCTTCCATTCTGGCTGAGCTACTTCAGAGACTCGTGGTTGGAGGAACGTCACTTCATTCTCCAAGCCTGTTTCTTTACTTATAAGATGGGGGCAATAATTGCTATACATAAGGTTGAATTAAATGAGCGAATGAATTTAGGGTCCGTCTGTGAACAGTTACTGACTGAGTGATTCAGTGGTGAATAGCACACTCACACACAGTCTTCCAGGAATTTGCAACCCCGCAAGCGGGCTGAAAGACTGGCATCAAGCACATAGTTGAAATATTGTATACAATGTCTCAAGCACGTAGTTGCAAATGTTGTAATCAATGTCTCATGTGCAAGGTGCCATCTGTAAAAACTAAGAGGTCTCAGGAGAGCTTGTGAGAGAAGTCCAATCAGAAAGGCTTTGAGGAGGCCGGGCGCGGTGGCTCATGCCCATAATCCGAGCACTTTGGGAGGCCGAGACGGGCAGATCTCGAGGTCAGGAGATAGAAACCATCCTGGCTAACACGGTGAAACTCCGTCTCTACTAAAAATAAAAAAAAAAATTAGCCTGGCGTGGTGGCGGGCGCCTGTAGTCCCAGCTACTCCGGAGGCTGAGGCAGGAGAATGGCGTGAACCCAGGAGGTGAAGCTTGGAGTGAGCCGAGATCGCGCCACTGCACTCCAGCCTGGGCGACAGAGCGAGACTCAGTCTCAAAAAAAAAAAAAAAAGAAAGAAAGGCTTTGAGGAAACGTACCATGCTTCACACAGTAAATCGTGGTACATGGTAACTTTTTCGTTATCGAAACTATCATTAAAATAGCATTTTGTTTTCTGTATGCTTCTTATAAATGGGCCTTATGGTTTACCCTAATCTGCTAATCTTTGTCACGGAATAGGAGAGTTTAACTTATTAATGTTTATTGTCATAAAGTAATATTTTTGTCTTTCTTCCGTCATTAAAAGACAAAGGGCATATTGAGAAAAACATCAGCAACAACTCTGGCAAAGCCTTAATATCCTCCACGTTTAAGGAGCATTTATCCACCACCAGGAGACAAATGGTTTGAATGGGTAAGTCACAGAAGTTCTAAACATGTGAAAAACATTCAGCCTCACAGAGATTTTAAAATGCGAATAGGAGCAATTATGAAAGTTTTTTCACCTTTCAAATTGGCAGTTTAGCAAGACAATATTTGATGTTGGGAAGAGTGAAGTGAAATGGTGATATTTTTTGCTGCTGGTGGAAATAGAAACCTGAATTGCCTCTCAAAAGGAATGTGGTGATCTAAGAGACGAGAGTTAGGAGTTTACACTCCTTAATACCATCACGCTTCCAAAAACCATCCTCAGAGTAGCTCAGAGATGCAGGCAGAGATGTTCACGCAAGGATGTTCACCGCAGCTTTCACAAATGAGCTCTCAGCCACCTGAAGGAATCTGGCCGGGAGAAACAGCCCAGCACAGCCCAGCCTTTCATAGGGATATTTAGCTAAATATTAGGGACCTCCTTCTTCCTGCCGGACACCAGTTTCTAAAAAGTGTATATAGATTTGCAAGTAAAAGATTCGGAATTCTGAGGGAATTTGCTCAGGAGATTATAGATACCTGCTTTCTACTGAAGAATGCATTCAGTAATGATCAGATACGAATTATCCCCAGTTTCCTTTTCTAAACCAGTGAACACTTACAGAGGCCCACACGGAGCTGAGGGCTCCCCAGCACCCCCCACCCCCCGCCCTTTTTGGGAGAGGAGTTTCTCTAAGGTCAAGAGCTGTGGGCCATGCTCTTGGCTCCTGCCCTGGGTGAAATCTTCATCCTTCCCAAAAATGATCATTGATTTCTCCTTTAGGACAATCAGAGGCAGTCCCAGTCCTGCCCTCATGTGAGGCCGGCAACTTCAGAGCATCCCCGCTACCCGCCACTGGCCCAAAGTAGGGCAGTCCTCCTTCGTGGGCGGGGGTCCCAGTCCTAGCCCATTTCAGCTGGGCAGCACACTGATTTCTGCCAGGTGGCCCTCAACATGTTCTCTGCCCACAGCCTTTTCCTTCACTTCCATGAGGTCCCTGGAGGCACAGGACAGACCCGCAAACAGGAAGAGCAGTGGGGCAGGCCACAGGCTGGCACCCAGCACCCAGCCCAGGTGAGGCTCCTCCACCCCCAGTGGGGCAGGCCACAGGCTGGCACCCAGCACCCAGCACCCAGCACCCAGTCCAGGTGAGGCTTCTCCACCCTGGCCATAGTCCTGGGCAAGGCTTTGTGTGTCTGAGGATTCTAAATTCAAACCTCAGCTTCCAGGCGGCTATGGTGGCACATCCATCAAGGTTGGTGATCAGAACACAACACGCCCAGTAGATTCCTAGCTCAGATGTTCAGACATATACATGTGGGCCTCTTTTCCTCTTTGTGGGCCTCTTTTCCTCTTTGTGGGCCTCTTTTCCTCTTTGTGGGCCTCTTTTCCTCTTTGTGGGCCTCTTTTCCTCTTTGTGGGCCTCTTTTCCTCTTTTTGTCCTTTTTCATCAGGTCCCAAAACTGTCACAGCCAGATCTGCAAGAGCTGCCCCTTAATGTGAGACATGGCATCCAAGCATTCTTTATGACATCGTCTAAGATCAAAATATATAACAATTAAAAGTCCTCTCCTATGTCTTTTTATAAATACTTTCCAAATTGTCTAAAAGAATATATTGTTTTTCATGCTCTATATTTCAGCAGGCGAGTTCTATTTAAACGAAGAAAGAAAGCACATTCCAGATCCTTTTGTTCATCCAGAGACTTCAGGTAAAAATTGAGGCAATTAAATTATGCATCCTGGCGGCTTTCTCTCACCGTCAGCACGAGTCGAGATTTTTTTTTTTTTGAGAAGTAAAACATGAAATTCAAAATGTATCTCGAGTCACAGCACGATGGTTTACCAGATGAGTCAAGAGGAAGACCTCCCTCCGTTCTGTCATCAGGGCTGCCTGAGGAGGGCACCAGCCGGTTCTCCAGCAGTCAGGTCTGACAGGCTGGCAGCCTTCATGCCATCCCCTCGGCCAGAGGCTCAGACGCGTGCAAGAATCACGTGGACAAGGAGGGCCGGTACTGGTGGGCCTTGAACGCCAGGCTAAGCCATTTGAATTCAATTTTGTGTCCAATTAGTTGGCTTGCTGTCTCTCAGGAAACTGCAAGGACTTTCACAAAATGCAGTTTGATACGCAAATTTATGTTTTTACACGAAGTGGTTTGGTTGCCTACATATATATTTATATATACTTATTATTTAATATTATATGTATTATTTATATATATATATATATATTGCATTTTAAAAATATCGTCCTTATGTCCCTTAAACTGAAAGCGTAGGTTGGGACTCAAGCCAGGGAACCTTCGCAGCTCACCTGGGTTTCTCTTCCCACTCTTGTGTTTTCAGGGCAGCGTTTATACAACTATTTGCTGAACTGATTAGGTGTGAATTCCAAGCTGATAGCTCTTCATCACTTAGCATTACAAAACTGTATCAAAGCCCCATGTATAAACGTGTTTTTGCACTTTCCTTCATCTTTTTTCATACTTTCTTGCCCCAAGAAAAACTTTTTATCACCTCCCTAAGGAATTTAATAGCTGTGAATTACAAACCCAACAGCTATCACAACTTTCTTAACATTTACTAAGAAGCCAGAGTTGATTGTTTTTCCTTCTGTAAATTCAACGTCAAATGCTTACAAAGTCGAGCACCAGTAAATATGGAGGCTTCAAATGAGAAGCTTCATCCTTAGGAACAGCCAGGATATAGGAGACTTTCATTTTCAAAGTGAGTTCATTGTGTGTGTCTACGGAGGTGTGTCCCAAAACCTCTAAAACCCACAATGCAACAATTAAGCTGTGCTCTCTCTCTTCCACCCTTCAAAAACACCATTTGACTTACGACTTTGTGTCACCACTACTTGTAGAACTGAGCAAACAGGAAACACAAGCCTTGTCTTCACATACGCTCACACAGTCTGCGGCGAGCACACCATACAGAAATTCAGGATTTTATTAGGGAAAGCTGGAGACAGGGCAGTTGCTTTGTTTTCTCATCACAGACACGTCTGGATTCCCAGTTCATGTCGACTTAAATTCCAGCCTAATGAAGGTGTGGACATCCGAGCCGGGCACCCATCCTCTCATTCATCAGACAAACCTCCAGCCAGCACCTCTGACAGGTTTTCAGCAGTGTCTCCGAATAAATGTTGAAAACAACAACTTCCTAACAAGCAGTAAGCCGGTTGGGCTGACTGCATTAATCTATTAGCAATTAGATGATTGCCATCTGCAGTCTGTGCTGTTGTCTGGAGTTGAATAAAGTCAAGGCACACGTGTCGACATGGTCAGGGAACTCCCTGCTATTTTCAACATGCTCCTTGAAGCCCAGCCTGAGAACTGCTGTCCTTTCCTGTAGCCTGGTATCTGTGGACAGTGAACAGTCAACGCGTGAGCTAATAAGCATATCACCAGCCTTGGGACACTCAGCAGGATAGTGGCAGAGATGAACTCCTTGAGCTAGGACCAAGCAAAGCGCAGCTCCCTTCCCGATGGCTGGGCCAGAGGCAGCTGCTGTGACTCTTGGGAAAAGTTTGAACCACACCCCTGAAGAGCCCTCCACTCAGGACTGGGAAGGGCATGCACGAGGGGCTGAAGGGGGCTCCCTGTGGCCATGGCAGAGCCCTTGGGCAGCTGAGGCCCGCAGCCTCCCTGGCCTCATCGCCCATAGCCCCTCCTGTGGCTTCTGATGGAATCTGCAGGGGAGGGGCGCTGAGGGCGGGTGGCCCACTCCATCGAGTTAATGCACACAGCAGCCAGCAAAGGGCCACATCCATCGTGCAGGCGCAGACACCGAGCAGAGCCCCAGGAATCAATTACCAGGAGGCCGCAGAGGCTCACTGGGGGCTGGCTCTGGCCACAGACCATCATGCACCATCCCATTTAATTCTCAGCAGCCAGTGAAGGGTCCATGTGACCCTGCCTTTGATGGTCAGCGCCTCCAGGGGTGGGAGGCTGAGCCTCTGCCCAAAGCGGCTCAGCTCACCCCGGCAGCTGGAGGTGGGCCCAGTCTCCTGAGGCTGAGGCCCATTCCCCCTGCTCTGCTTCCTGCCTCCCCCAAAGAAGACATCTCTGCAGGAGGCTTGCAGCCCACCTTCGAGGGCAGAGCCTGGGAGCCCGTCCTCCGGGGGACTGGAGCAGGACTCGCTCCGGGCACCCTTCCTCCTGGGCTTCTTTCCACCGTGCTATGTTCCCGGCTCACTGAGGCCGGTGGTCCCTGTCTCTGAGTTTATCAGTGGCCATGTGCAAATATGGGCCATGGTGACTGGGCTTACAAAGCCAAGGTGTTTAACCTGGGCTGGCAAATCGGGAGGGAGAGGGGTAAAAGTGTCATTCAGTAAAGAAGGCCAAATAAGGATGGGGGATTTGAGCTGATTTCCAACTGCAAATAGGCATCAAATCCAGGGGCGACATAAGGGAGAGGAGTTCCAAGACTGAGGTGGTTCTAGGGTGTGGGATCTGTGGCCAGTGGTGTGCTACAGAATCAACCGGGCCAACATGTTAAGTCCCCGACATGCCCCTAGCACACTAGTTTGGGTATATTCATAGGTGCTATTTTTAAAAAATTAGTACATGATGAGTTGAACAGTTAAACTGACTTTTTAAATTGCAGAATGTCTTGGAGCTCTTGCAATACTAGTGTGCACAGTCATCTCTAAGAAAGGGGCATTGCCTGCTCTGATTCACAAACTTATTAGGCCAGGAACCCTGCTTTCTGGTGTCTCCTGTGGGATGCTTCTGGAAGATACCGAATGAGGTCTTATCTCTCCACTATGAAGCGATGCGGTGTCAGGGGAGACTCCTCATTGGACAGTCCCAAGTCAAATCCTTTATCCTCACACAACTGACTATATGATCATGAACTCTGGATCAGCAGTTCCTCCTCGGGGGAAAAACCATAGTATCTGTTTGGCAAGCTTGAGGTCAGACTTGAGGATGTGCACACAGCACGTCATGAGTCCTCCAGGGACGGCACCGTCCACCTGGGCTCACTGAGCAAGAGATGGAATGGTACAATTATCCATCTGAAGGCAGGGTCCCTCTCCATCCCTAAATTCTGGCTAAACACTTTTAACTCAATACCTACTTCTGCTCTTTTTATTCTAAAAGGATTGTGAGCCAGGGGAGAAGTAAATTTACCCAGCAGATACTAGGAGTCCGTTAGATGAAATGTCAATTATTTGATAAACCCCTTGAATGAATCTGAGGGCTGCCCTCTGCACTCACCAGCAAGCTCCCTGAGGACTGGGTAACCCCTGTACCAGGCCCCGAGGAATCCGGGCTCCAGGCCTCGGTGTTGGGGGAACGGCCTCGCCAGCAGGTATCAACACGGAGGAGCAGAGATATTTCCATGGCGCGTCAGAGGATTTTTTTTTTTTTTGCAGGAAATAAATCTTCAGAAGTGAGAATTCTAATTGAGCCGAGTTCAGGATAGCCAAGTGTAATTTTAGCAACAAAAGTAGAGGGTTCCAGAAAAAGCATCTCAGGAACAGTCAAATTAAGCTGCAGGGAGATAATTGGATGGAAGGTTTGGTTAGGCAGCGCTTTGAGTGTTGAAGGGAAAAAAGAATCTTTGGGCAGGAGGAAGTGATGTCTTCTATTGTAAGGATGGGAAGGGATACGGAAGAGGCACATACTGAACGTTTGAGGCTTGGGGAACTTTTATTCGAAGTTTTAAGAGTCTCAGCTGAAAATTATCTGTGAAAATGTGATCCACTTAAACCTGCCTAGTGACAAGGTCTGCATCTTAAAAGTTCTCATTTTGACATAACTATTCCTGCTCCCAGCTCAGATCCCAGAACTTGCCTAAGGGACAGGACCCCCTCCTTCCCTGCTGAGCAAACTCCCTCCTCCCAACAGCCGTGACCCAGGGCCCTGCCATTTGTCCTCAGTCACCTGGATGGCCCTAGGGAGGCCTTGAACTGACCAGAATGACTCCATCCCTTCACCTCATCCCCCCGTACCCAACAAAGTGCCTGACATGCAGTAAACTCTCAAGAACATTTAATAAATAAGGGGCATCATTCTCATCACAATAATATAATAAATAATAATAAATAATAATTTTGTATTAATCAGGTTTTTGTCCAAGGAATTCGAAGAGACATTTTATTTCTCTTTACCTAGTTCTGCTGTTCTTATTTTAAGGTGGGTGGGGTTGGAGGAAGAAGAAAATGTACGTACACAGACTGTAAGTCCATTTGGTAAAATGCCTACTATTGAATAAACTCCTTGGAAGCAAGCTGGCGTTCTGAACCCAAGGGTTTCGATGTTCTATCTAGAGTCATGTCAACTAAACAAATGCTTGATCCATGGTACATTCGCTTCCTAGGGCTGCCATTAAAACTTACCACGACCTGCGTAGTTCCAGAAGCCAGAAGTCCAAAATCCAGGTGGCAGCACGTTGGTTCCATCCAGACACTCTGAGAGGCTGTGTTCCGGGCCTCTCTCCCAGCTTTCTGTGGTAGCCAGCACTCCGTGGCACTCCTTGGCTTGTAGATGGTGTCCTCTTCCATCTCCATGTGACCTCTGGTGTCCTCTTCCATCTCCATGTGACCTCCTTTTCTTTCTGTGTCTTCTCCCTTCTCCTCTTCTGTCTCTCATAAGGATGCTTGTCACTGGATTCAGGGCCCATTTGGATAATCCAGGATGACCTCACCTCAAGATCTTTAATTTCTTAGCATCTGCATGGACCCCTTTCCAAATAGGGCCATATTTACAGGAGGAGCAGGTGGACAGATTTTGGGGCTCCACCATTCAACCCAAACCCATGGCTGAATTGCTCACCAGCTAAACCATGATTCAACAAGACAATCAGAAGGAGGGTCCAGGGGAGCCTCATGTCACAGCTCCACACTCATTGTTGAGACGACAGCCCTCAGGGACTAGAAAGCCTGCATTATGGCATTTGACAGAGACATAGGATTTCATTATTTCAAGCTCCCTGGAGTAGATCCAACAAGGCCCAGAGACCGCTCCTCCTGACGTGTGACATGTCATGGTTCATGGTGTCTTTCCATGCTGAGAGGGGGTGTCACCACAGCTGCAGAGGAAACCTTTGCCCGTGGACCACAGGGAAGTGCCAGAGGATGTTATCTGCCCTGCGATTCCCCCAGTGAAGCATCACTGTTGAGAAGTTTTCAGAACTGACTGTGAAGCAAGGATTCACTTTTCTTACCATACTGGTGTGTTTCTCCTAGTGTACAGGAAGGACGTGTTACTGGCTGAATTTGCTTTTTCCAGTAAGATGCTTAGTGCTGGCCGGGTGTGGTGGCTCATGCCTGTAATCCCAGCACTTTGGGAGGCCGAGGCAGGTGATCACCTGAGGTCAGGAGTTTGAGACCAGCCTGGACAACATGGTGTCAGCACATTGGTTCCATCCAGTCTCTACTAAAAATACAAACTACAAAAATACAAAAATTAGCTGGGCATGGTAGCACACGCCTGTAGTCCCAACTACTCGGGAGGCTGAGGCAGGAGAATCGCTTGAACCCAGAAGGCGGAGGTTGCAGTGAGCCAAGATCGTGCCACTGCACTCCAGCCTGGGTGACAGAGTGAGACTCCGTCTCAAAAAAAAAAGAAAAAAAAAAAATGCAGCTCAGTGCTGTATGTGAGTCTCCCATTTGATGCCGATCCAGGATCCAAGTCCTAAATATTTTCTTTCCCATCTTCCCATGGTCTGACCTCTAATTCTGACATTTTTCCAGATCCTAACACATGATTATTTTGTTATACTTTTTCTTCTAAATGATTTCAGGTATTCTTGTGGAATGAATGAAAGGTTGGCTGGATGGATCAGTGCAGGATTATGTGGATAGATGGATGGGTGAAGGATTATGGTGGATAGATGGTTGAGTGGCTTATGGTTGGGTAGATGGGTGGATGATGGATGTACAGATATAAGGGTTGATATGGGTGAATGGATTAGTGGATGAGTGGGTAGGTGGGTGAATGAACAGATAGGTAAATGGATGTAGAGATGGATAGATGGATGGGTGGGTTAGTGGATGGGTGAACAGATTGGTGGGTGAGTAGGTAGGTGGATGAATGAGTGGATGGGTGAACGGATGTAGAGATGGATAGATGGATGGGTGGGTTAGTGGATGGGTGAATGGATTGGTGGATGAGTGGGTAGGTGGGTGAAGGAGTGGATGGGTACATGGATGTATAGATGGAGAGATGGATGGGTGGGTTAGTAGATGAGTAAATGTGTAGAAGGAGGGGTGAGTGATGGAAGGAGTAAAGTGGTGGTAAGGTAGATGGCTGGATATTTGGATGTTTGGATAGTTGGGTGGATGGCTAGTTTCCAGAAAGAGGGTACTTTAAAACCATATGGACATCTGATTCCATTTTAATGACTATAAATATTTAAAATAGAATTATAACTGTTGGTCAAGATTTATCAAACTGTTCAACTTACCATAATTCTTTGATTTTTTTACATAATTCAAATACGTCATTTTATTTTCATTTTTGTTTTACCGACATTAATTTTGTGGGAATCAATTACTTTGGTTTGAATTTTACAAGTATTCAACAACAATCGGTGTGGTCATACAAATCTTCTGCGATTATACCAATGATAAACACTGTACATTTTCTTTTTAGGTGCATTCTTTCTACACAGTTTAAAATTTCCAAGTTAAATTTTGCATATTTAAAGTTTTCAAAAATGATAAGAATACATTTTACTGTGTGAAGCTTATTGCCTGACACATTTATTTTGTGTTACTTCTACCAGCAATATCATCATAAAATAAATGAAATATGCCTCTCTTAGTTCTTTTCTTTTTCTTTTTTTTTTTTTTCTGTGACAGAGTCTCACTCTGTCACCCAGGCTAGAGTGCAGTGGCGCAATCTTGGCTCACTGCAAACTCTGTCTCCTGGGCTCAAACGATTCTCCTGCCTCAGCCTCCCAAGTAGCTGGGATTACAGGTGTGCAACCATCACGACTGACTAATTTTTGTATTTTCGGAAGAGACAGGGGTTTCACCATGTTGGACAGGCTGGTCTTGAATTCCTGACCTCAAATGATCCATCTGCCTTGGCCTCCCAAAGTGTTGGGATTACAATCGTGAGCCACCGTACCCGGCGTGTCTCTTATTTCAAAAGAAAGTTGTGAGAAATTTCTCTCTGATTTCCAGAGTTACTCTTTGGTTCAGGATCTATTTACCTTCCTGCCAGTGTTTGGGTTTTTTTTTTTTTTTTTGCTTACTTGTTTGTTGTTGTGTTTGAGGGGGTTTTGGAAGACCAAGAAGGGAACAGAGGAGTTAAACAGCAGAGTTGGCACAGCAGGGCCAGGCTGGCTGGGCAAGGGTTCCTCTGGAGTGAGTCCCCTGGGGCTCGTCTCTGCAAAGCCCCAGGGCTGACTGTGAAGGGAGGAGTGAGGTGCTTATTTCTTAGAGGGACAGACAGCAAACGTGGTCAGCTTCGGGACAACATGGTCTTTGTCACTACTACTCAGCTCTGCCTTTGTAGCTCCAAAGCAGCTGTAGATAGATGGGGAGGGGCTGTGTGTCAATAAAACTTTATTTATAAAACCGGGCAGAGGGCCAGACTCAGCCCACAGGTCATGCTATGCAGGTCCCTGCTCTAGAGGGTCCTCGAGGGTCACCCGTGGAGCTTGTGAAATGAGGTCACATGTCACAGTCACTTTCTGAAGAGGAAAGAAAGGGTCGACAGAATACATGCATACATCCACACATGTAGCAGCATGTCTGTCTCCAGGGACCATGAGACAGAAGCAAGGACCGCCAGGAAGGCCAGCATGCTCCTGCAGCCTCACTGTCTCCTGCCCCGTGCTGCTTGCAGCCTTCATGATTATTAATGCCAAGTGGACAGCCCTCACGGCAGAGACGCCGCCTGGGGCTGCAGCCAGGGACAGCAGAGTGCCTGGGCACTTCAGTTGGAGTGGATAATGGAACAAGTGAAAAGAATGAAAATGTATCTTCCTCTTATTTTTCAGCCCTGTCCGGGATTAAAAAGCACTCTGGTGTGCAGCCTCTGATTCATAGCTTGGCTATTCTTTGGTGGAGTTCCCTAAATATTTTGTAGCCAGCTTTGACTTGGAAATGCAGCCTTTGAAATATCTTTACTTGACCGAGAGGCCCCTAGTGACATTAAAATAATGATTATCACATATTTTGCATTTCGTTAAAAAGAGTATTGGAATAATACCACACGCATCGGTCTCACCAATGAAGGTGATTTAGGAGCAGGGCTTTGATTTGGAATGGATGGCGGCGGGGCCTCCCTCCACCTCCCATAAAAGGCCTGAGAAGAAGGAGGACTTCATCTTTACACACGGCTCTTCTGTCTGGAGGGAGCCTTATTTCTCCTTTATGCACTTTCAGGAACTCTGCTGTTTGCTGAATTTATGAAGTGGAGAGAAGGGACCTCGCTGTGCCTGCAGCCATGTGACCCTCGGAGCTTCCCTCTGCTGCAGGACCAGGGCACTCGACACTGACACCCTCCATTGCCGAGAGTGTCTCCGGATGGGACGTGAAGGCAGGCGACAACTGTGATCTTCCTTTATGATTGCAGTCCCCCATCCGCTCACGGACGCTTGACGCTTTCTTGAGCACCTGGATGCGGCAGTGACACTTCCAGGCAGGTGCTGTTGGAGCAAATAAGCAGGTCCAAATCCCCGCCCGGAGCTGCTGCCCATGCCGGGGGAGACACTCAGGACACAGACTGGCAGATAACCTGCGCTGAGGGACTGGAGGATGGGAAGGGCTCGCTGGGGGAGGTGTACAGCAAGATGGGCCGGGACCCCGGGGGCAGGAGTGCAGTCGTCAGTAGGACAGCCAAGGCATCCCTAGAAGCTGGCACTTGGACCAAGCCAGAAGGGAGTGAGGGGTACAGGCAGGCTGACCGCAGGGGCAAGAAAGCAAGCGCCAGGGTCCTGAGGCAGGATAGGGAGTGGTGGGTGCCCTGGAGTGGTAAGGATGAGGACAGAGAAGTGGCAGGCCCGTGAGCATTGCTGAGACCTCTCAGGTCCTCAGGGAGAGGCAGGGGCCAGGGAAGGCCTTGGGGCTGACAAGCACAAGACCCACCTCTCTTGACTCCCTGGAGGAGCCCACCAGGAGGAGAGAATCTGAGGCAGCCCCATTCCACCCACACGCCCACCCCCTCCAGCTGACTGCTCTAGCCAGACTGAACTTCTTCCAGCTTCCTGAATGTTCTCTCCACCGGGGCCCATGGGCTTCCCTCCTTTCACCCAGTGACTTGCTCTTCTAGAGGCCAGAGGAGCCTCACAAGGGATGAGCTTGCTGGGCATGGACATCCACCGGCTGCACGCAGCAGGGACAGGTGAGCCGCTCTTCCGGGAGCCCAGGCCTCCCTGTGTGCACTCTGCCAGGCCCGGCTGCTCCTCCAGGATCGGGGAGCGCAAGATCCACTCTCATGGGCTCAGGACCAAGTGGGTCCCCAGGCAGCTCTCAGGGTCACTGAGGCTTCCTCCGATCCCGTCACCGTATCCCCAACACCCCAAACGTGTGCCTCGGGCCAGAGACCTGCTTGGACCAGCCCAGCAGGAGAGCAGAGGACGTGGGGCTGACAGCCTGGTTCTGGTCCAGTGGGGGACAGCCTGGAGTGCTCGCTGAGGAGGCAGAGATGACCCTGAGGGTCCTGGGGAGATGTTGCCATGCCCAGAGGGACCCGGACAGGAGGGAGGCACTGGGTGTGTTTCCTCCCGCATCGGCCCCGGGCCGTCAGGGGTTCAGAGAGGTCAGCTCCTGGGAAGTGCCCAGGGGGGCTGAGGATGGCCATGATCTGAATGTCCGCTTGGCTCACCAGGTGGCCCAAGAAGCCCTATAGACGCTCATCCTTGGAAGCCTGACTCTAGGCTCTGTCCACCCTGAGCCAATGTCTCTGACGACCAGCAGAGTAGCCAGAATAGGTTCAGAATGGCTGTTCAAGGGAGTGTGTTGGCGTGCAAGTGCAACCTTGAACAGGTGGAAACGTGTTTGTCATTGTGCCGGGAGCTCGGCCCGTAGTGGCTGGAGCAGCAGCCAGAGGCCTTGGTCCAAGGCAGGGGCGCAGGAAGGACCATCCCTATTTCTCTGAGATTCCCGAGTCCTGTCCAGCTGGACTTCAACTGGGTCAGAGCCACCCTTTGGAGGAGTCCTCAGTGGTGGTTCACCCCCAGGAAATGCGCCCTTGAGTCATGAGGATGGCGTCGGACCGGTGACCAAGGCCGGGCTGTAATAGAGAAAGCTCAGCAGAGCCTTGGACCCAGTAATGGAGAAGGCAGAGCACAGACAGGATGCCTGACAGGCTCTGTCTCCAGGAACACAGGAAGGGGGACACAGGACATCAGGGACCTCCAGGAAGATGGCACATTGGACCCATTCTGGTTGCTCTGCTGGTCAGCAGAGACATCGGCTCGGAGGGGGGATAGACTCCACCTTCCTTACACACTTCCTGCTCCCATGGGCTGCCCTCTGCTGTGTATCCTACTGCATGGCAGTGAGCACACCTGGGAAGGGCACACCTGAGCAAGCACACCTGGGCAGGGCCTCCCTGTCCCAGGTACCCCCGCTGCACAGGGTCGGGATGAGTGCTGCTGCCTGCCCCTGGAGTGGGTCTGCAAGTGATTGTGGGCACAGGGGATTCTGCTCTGCATATCTAACAATTATTCCTTCCCTGCAGTCCTCCCCAAGATCAAGAGTTGGGGGTAAGCAGGGACTCCCCCTCTGCAGCCTCAGAACTCAGCTGCTTTCATCAAACCAACTCTTGCTGCAGGACCAGCACGAGGCCATCTGTCCATGGTGGGCCCTCTGGCTTCCAGTTCTTGGCAGGCATGCTGTCCAGCCAGAACCCCTCTGAGAAAAAGGTCAGTGTGCCTGAAACCCATCCCACGGCAGAGGGAGATGGAGGGACTTCAGTCCCAGTCTCGCATCATCCCACTGCCTACCCTGAGGCATCATGGGCAGCCACCAGCGTCTCTGCATGTAGCCCAGGACCCTGTGGCCATCTCCAGGGGGTGGGGGTCACAGTGTCGTGCGCGTGTCTGCACCTCAATGCTGAGCACTTTCTAGAACTCTCATAACTCTGGATGGATTGCACATGTGACCTTCCAGGCAGTGTCCCAAAGCTCTGTGTGTGCTGGGTCCCTTAATCTTACTACAATCCAGTAAGGGAGGGACTGTGTGACCCCAGCTGCAAAGCAGAACACTGAGGCACAGGGGAGTGAAGCCCCCGGCCCGATAACGAAGAGGAGGAGCAAGGATGTGAGCAGACCTGCTGAGGTCTGGTGCGCTTGGCCACAAGCCATGCTGGAAAAGCGCTTGGGCTGGATGAGCGGATGTGAGCAGCCCGCAGGGGGAGGGTGCCCACAGGTCTAGGCCCACCTGGTGAGGAGGCCACTCTGCTCGCTGTGGGTGGGCGGGAGGAGGATTTTACATGCTCCACCCTTTCCATGGCGAAACACCCCTTCTTGTCCTCCCTCTCCCTGCCAGGCCCTGCAGTGACTGCTTTCTATGCCTGAGACCTGCAGAGAGTGGGTCAATAGGGCTGGGAACAAAGGCCCCCACTGATGGGCAGAATGGATTTCTGTCAATCTGCAACCAAAACAATGGCTTTGCACGTGGGGTTTCCATGGGCAGGAGCTAGCCTCTGTAGAGAGCGTGAAGGGTTTGCAAACACCGGACCTGAGGACCTGGAGCCCAAGAGTCACGGGAAGAGCTGGGATCATGGGGTGTCACCTTCTAAGCCAGTGGCTCTCAGAGAGGGTCCTAGGACCAGCCATCAGCATGACCCAGGAACCTTCTAGAAATGCACATTCTCCTATCCCCAGCCTGGGACCCAACCCACCTCCCCATTCCTGAGAGGAGATCAGGGGAAATGAGGAAAGCAGAGAATGCTAAGGCCCCAAAAGCCCACCCAGAGATGCCCCTCCTGGTCTGGAGAGAGTCAGTTTCTAGTCCATCTGGCCATTTGGAGGCTCAGGGAGGGGAGGACGTGTTGGTCTTGTTAAACACGGGACAGTGACCCACGCACCGTGTCACAGCCTGGAGGAAGTGAGGCAGCAGTCAGTGTGTCCTGGGGCCGAGGGCTCCCGGCACCCTGGACCCAGTGAGCTTCAAGAACACAGAGGGTCTGCAGCCCTCAGTCTGCACTCATGGGCCCGGTGTGCCCTCACCACCTCCAGGGGGCCAGCATGTGTAGCAGCGCCGTCTGGGAACTCCGGGTGTGGAATGCAGGTGCCCTTTGGGGTGATGAATCCCAGGCAGGATGCGGGTGCCCTGTGGGGTGTTGAATCCCAGGCAGGATGCGGGTGCCCTGTGGGGTGTTGAATCCCAGGCAGGCTTTCCGGCTGCATTGCTGGAAAGAGGCACCAGGAAGGCACTAGTGGCCTCGGCAAGGCTGCCCTGTGAAGCAGGATGAGCAGCCTGGGGTGTGGTGTGTGGCACGTTGACCGCCCTGTGTGGACAGAGGCAGTGGGCAGCCAGGCCTGTGGGGTCCTGTGATCCCTGTCCCCCTACACCTCTCACCTGTGATTCTGCCAGCCTGCCAGGCCCCCTTCCTTCTCACCCAAACCTCCGCCCCTTCCCTGTTCCAGAGAGAAGCTGGGCTTTGGAAGGAGCTGCCGAGGAGATGAGACCTTGCAGCTACCTGGCCTTCAGCAGCATATTCCCCAGAAAGGAGCATTGGTTGAACTGGAGAAAGGCAAATAAGAGAAACAGGCCCAAATCCGTCATGCAGGGTAATGAGTTGGATTTATAGAAAAGGAAACACAATATGATTCCGCGTAATGGCTGTTGACAGAGATTTGGGCTGTTTGTTCTAGGATATTAAATTGACAAACAGCGAGGGTTGCTGGGCTCCCGTCTCCAATTCGCAGGTGCCTGTCAAAAGGTATGCGTTTCTGGGCACCAATCAGAGGTGCAGAGATTTCCAGATAAGGAGAATGTGCAGAACGGCCTAGGAGGCACATGTGTGACCAAGATCTGCATTTCCAACGCCTCCCGAGAAACCCCGCGCCACAGATGAGCTAATCTGTGAAGGAAGCAGGGTGGAAAAGCTGCCTCTGTTGTTCCCAGAGAGAACAGGCCGCATTTTTAAAAATTTAATTAAGGCCTTAGATCAGGTTTGCGTAATTAAATTGCTGCTGTGAGTAAGCAGTGTGATAGATGAACTCCTCTCGGTGACACTCGGTGTGAGGTGAAAAAGGGCCCTCTGGCAGCTTCCTGGGTGATCCTCATGCTTTAAATTCCACGCCTGCATCTCAGATGTGAAAAATGCTCTCATTCCATGCATTGTTTTGTTTTGTTTTGTTTTTCAATCTCTGAAGAATGTTCTCTTCATGAGTGCAAGGAAAGAGGAATAAAACCTGGATAATTTCTGTGATCTCAGGACATGTCTACACAGCCATCTAGCTGCAGATCCCGGCTGTCTACACAGCCATCTAGCTGCGGATCCCGGCTGTCTATACTGTGATGCGGGGACACTTGTCATTTCGGAAGGTTGCTAATGAAAAGTCAGAAATTTCCCAGAGACCCCACACAAGCTAGAAAAATGGGCCGTTTGCATGAGAGATCCTCCGTCAGCAATAATAACTTAGCAGGAGAGATTCCATACGATGGGAAATGATTGTTTGGATGGTAATTTGCTTAGGGAAATCAAAAGGAGGGAGAGACCCTCATGCTGGAGTCAGTTTCCAATGAAAACCAGGAGGATTGCATCTGGTTCTTTAAGGTAGGCATGAAAGTTCTCGGGAGAAAGAGGAGGGAGGAAGGAGGGCTGGAGAGAGGGAAGGATGGAGGACAAGAGAGAGTGGCAGGTGGCCTCATCCCCGGGGCTCTTGGGCTGGAGCAGAGATCCTGAAAGCCATCGGGTGCCGACGAACCTCTGCTGGGGTCTGAGCCCTCATCCCCGGGGCTCTTGGACCAGACCAGAGATCCTGAAAGCCATTGGGTGCCGACAAACCTCTGCTGGGGTCTGAGCCCTCATCCCCGGGGCTCTTGGGCCATGTGGCTTTGAGAAGTCGATGGACACATTTCTGGGGAACAGGCAGAGAACAGGAGAAGCCAGTATGAGCCACCTGAGAGCTGGTGGGCAGAGAGATGCCTTCCTGAGGCGCAGAATCAGGAGAGTCCAGCTGGGAAGGGCCGGCCAGGGAGCTGTCCAAGTCCCCTTCTGGAGGGCTTCCACTGCCCTTCCAGGCTGGGCCTAGCACTCTGCAGTTGTCTGCCCCCAAGAGACGCTCAAGGTAAACTGAGGCCTCACTGAGCAGGAAAGACTTTCCTGTTAGGGCCATTCAAATGGGGTCAGCTTTTGAATGTATGGAAAGGCTCAGGTACAAAAGCTGTGTGGACCCCGTCTGTTGGCAGTGCTGAACGGGAGACCCATAACAGAGGAAACCCAAAGGAAAGGATGATTGTTGTCATTCTCTGAACCCCAACAAGATGAGGAGCAGTCTCTGAGCGAGAACAGTGTCCCCCACCTCTCGTGGCCCTAATAAACACCTGTGGAAAGGAACCGCGTTAACTCTTAGAGACCCTCTCACCAGAAACACCAAGGCCAGGCTGCCGGTTCCAAGGCCTCACAATCTCAGGGACGTTGGGACGCTCAAAGTGTGGCTTGTCCAGGTAGCAGTGGGCTATGATCCACCTGTCTGTGGGCAAATGGGCCGTTGAAGAGTTTCGGGGAAATTTGCTATTTGGATGGATTAAACACTCACTCTGGAATAATACTTATATCAGAAAATCTTAGGCCAGGCACAGTGGCTCACGCCTGTAATCCCAGCACTTTGGGAGGCCGAGGCGGGCAGATGTCCTGAGGTTGGGGGTTCAAGACATGCCTAGCCAACATGGAGAAACCCCATCTCTAGTAAAAATACAAAATTAGCTGGGCGTGGTGGTGCATGCCTGTAATCCCAGCTACTCGGGAGGCTGAGGCAGGAGAATTGCTCGAACCTGGGAGGCAGAGGTTGTGGTGAGCCGAGATTGCGCCATTGCACTCCAGCCTGGGCAACAAGAGCAAAATTCCCTCTCAAAAAAGAAAAGAAAAGAAAAAAAGAAAATCTTTACCTACAAAGCACGAGCTGGCATTTTCCACGTCTCAATGCACCCCTGGCCGCCCACCTCCCCATCTTCCCTGCTGGGTATCCCTGCCCTCCTCCCTCTCTTGCTCAGGCCCTCCCCTGTCCCTTGCACACATAGCCTCTGGAGAGCTCTTAGAATCATGCGTTTGACATTTTTTTGGCAGCGGATTCAAGTGCACGACTCCACACTTTGGCCACAAATGTCTACCCACCAAATGAACTGGTTGGTGGGACACACTATCTGTTTGAATAGACATGGCCCCAACATCCTCAAAAACCAGAGACCAGAGCCACCCTCTAAACTGTCACAGTTTGAGGGAATCTGCAGCTCGTGCAGAAAACTGGTGGAGAACGCGAACTTGAGCGAAGGGTTTCTTCCCGGAGGGTGGGAAGGCTGCCGGGGTCAGCTGACGCTGGAAGTGCCCTCCCCATTTCCCAGCGCACCCGGTTCCAGGGTGATTTATGGTTGTATTATTCATAAATCTGTTCAAGATGTAAACAGGGAGATTGTGCCTCCGTAAGATATTAATAACTTAATGAGTCTGTGCTATTTGTTTATGTAATGGATAATAGGGTCTCTGCAGGGGCCAGATATAATATTACAATCTGGTAATTCAATGACTGCTGTTCAACACACACACACATAGTATAAGTTCGGATCCCTAATGGCATCGTTACCAGCACAGGTCTCCTCAGTGGCTCTCAGGAAATGCTTCCTCTGACAACTTCCCCAGTGGAGCAGTGACTCCCAGGGGCAGGCCAGGCCATGGGGAGCAGACCTGGCCTTGGGTCTCCCTGCCCATCCTCCCAGGACCTCTGTCTCCCAGGACTCTCGGGCCCCCACCAGCCCTCGGTACCACCCCAACCCTGCTGTGCTCAGCTGCCATGGACCCTGCCGGGGCCCCCACCCCACCACCGTCATCTGGTCATTTCTCCCCTGCCACCAGGCACAGCTGGACCGGCACCTGGCCCACCCCCTCTTTCTCCAAACCCCACTCATCCTCAGACCTTCCTGGCCTGCTCCCTGGACCCCACCCTTTGGCTCCACCTCCAACCGTCCCCCAGCATTCAGGCATTGGAGTGAGGAGCCCCAGTACCTGTAACTGTGACCTGGCTCGGAGGGAGGGTCATTGAACAGGTGGTTGAGTTAAGATGAGTCATTAGGGAGGCCCCGGATAGAATAGGGAGGTGTCCTATAGGAAGAGGTGATTTCGACATGGATAAGGAGCGGGAGGGAATGTGAAGACTCAGGGAGAAGGCAACCATCTACACACCAGGGGAGAGGCCTGGGGCGTGTTCTCCCTCAGAAGGAGCCAGCCCCGCCCACACCTTTATCTAGAACTCCGGCCTCCAGAACCACGAGGCAGTCCCTTGCCGCTGTTTAAGCCCCCTGCGCGTGCATAGTACACGGCCCTCGGCCCCCTGGCCCCCAGTGGTTCACTCTTGGCTCCCTGGGCCCCTCACCCAGGGAGGTTACAGGGAGGATACACTTAGAGAGCCCACGCTCTGTGCAGCCCCAACCATGGAGATCAGGCTGGTGTTGGAGCTGGGTACGGGGCCTCCCTTGGCACTGAGCCCCTGGGCCTCGATGCGCCCAGCCTGGTGCTGTAGGACTCAGGGCTCTCCTTGGGGTCTGGCAATTGCATAAACCCTACTGGGTGGGGTGGGTGGGGAACCAGGTGGCCATGGTCCTGGCCCTTCCCAGGAGGAGAAACAGATGAGCTGGCGGCTCTGATGTGAGGGGTGAGAGATGGTAAGGATCCCATCAGAGCGCTCTGCAGGCTGCCATGAGAATTAAGCAGTTTCACGCCCAAGAAGTTCTGTGCCTGTGTGCGGGGTTAAGTGGGGCAGAGGGTGCCTGTCCTGCAGGGGAACAGGCAGGTCCAGTTAAAAGACTCTGGGCCTTTTCCTTTCCCCGAGGGCAGAGGGGGTGGTCAGCAGTCTGTCCCCAGCCTTCTGCCCACCCTCCAGCCCTCACCAGGCCCTTTTCCTCCCTCTCTGCCACTGAGGGGCCACAGCTCAGCTGTGCTCTGCACCCTGCCCCTACCAGCCTCAAGGGCTTGTGTCTATATCCAGAGAGAAGGGCGACGGCTTCCTTCAATTACATTCATCTGAAGTGAAGAAAAGAAAGGAAAAAAAAATACCCAGTCACCATTACTCAGAATGACAAGGCTGCTTGTGATTAAGCTCTGAAGATGCGAGATCCTTTATTGAGAGATTCTTTCACTGCTCAGCTGCAGCACACAGCCTGGGAGGGGGCCTTGTCACTTGGGGCTGGTGACAGCCTCCTTGAGGCAGCATCCCCCTCCCTGGCACGCTGTGCCCTCCTGCCAGGGCACAGAGGGTTTCTCATCTTGGCACTTCTGACGTTTGGGGCTGGGCCATCTGCCATTTTGGGCATCCTGATGCTCAGATCATCCCTGCCCCCGCCTACTGGATGCCAGTCACCCAGCAGCACAGCTGCCCCAAGTCCTAACACCAAAAATGTCCCCAAACCCTGGCAGGTGTTGCTTGGAGCAACATCCCCCCATCTAAGGCGCCCTCCCCACCCCGGGCCTCACCCCGTCTTCCGGCATCGTGTCCCTCCGTGCCTCCCTTCTCTGGGCTGAGTCTGACCCCAGCACATACACCCCTCTTTTCTTCCCCAGGCTGTTTCCCCATCTGTAAAATGAGGGTGACGACGGACAACTTGCGGGACTAAGGTGGAGGTGGACTGAGGTTCTGACGGCCCCATCTGGACTGTAAGGCGAGGGTGCTTTGTAGGACTCTGCCCTTCTCATTACGAGACTTTGCACAGTGGTCCTACTGGATGCTGGATACACAGAGAGGATGGAACGTCTCCGTCCTCAGGAATCTGAAGGCCCTGAAGTGGCATCACTTGCATGGTTATGAGGGTCGTGATTGTCTCCCGATGGGCTGGGAAGGACCCAATGGCAGGAAAAGGAACACTGGCCACTGGGGAGAGCCCTGGCTAGAGCAGGACGGCCTGGGCTGAGCCGAGGTTGGCTGCTGTGTCTCGGGAATCTCCTGTCCTTCGGTGGCGCCAGGCAGTCATGGGATGGGACCAGGGCTTCTGTGAGTCCCCCATGCCCATGGCTCCTCCAGTGCTGCCACCTGAGGACCTTCCTCCTGAGCCGACCTCCTTCCGCCTCTTTCCAGGGCTCCTCCTGGCTGCCCGTCTGCCTGGTAATGTCGGGGCTCATTTTCTTTGAAGATGGCTGTTGGGTTGCCTCTTTCCTGTTTATTTGTGAGCTGCAGTGTGAAATAGCTACTAATTCAGATTTTTACTGTGGATAAACAAATACAGAAAATTAACAGATGTGTTTTGCCGATGTACTCAGCAAAAATAACATCCATCGTGATGGCAGGCATGGAGGAGGACGGAGCCATGAGGAGGCCGAGAGCCCGGACCCAACATCCACAGTGCGAAACCCGAGACATCAGAGAGGGTGGCAGAGTGTGATGTGGCCAGGTTAGCCTCCTGGACCAGGAAGCAGAACTGGAGAGGGACAGAGGGCAGGAGCACATGGACCCCAGAAGGGCAGGGAGGCGGAGCCCCGGGTTGGACCAGGTGGCCATGAGTTCATCTGGAATCCAGCATGGCAGAGACCCCAGGCTGGAGGCCCGGGAAGACTCCGTAGCAGAGGAAGTTGGACCAGAGCATGTGGATTTCAAAGTGCATCAGGAGGCCGAGGGCCTGCAGATATTTGGATCTCAGCAATGGAATGGGAACTAGACCCCTAAAGGCAGGACAAAGCCCCCGGGGATGCCCCAGCCACAGCAAGGCAGGACGGAGCCCTCGGGGAAGTCCCAGTCATGACAAGCCAGGACAGAATCCTTGGAGACACCCCAGCCACAGCTGGTTTCAGTGTCTGCATCCCAATTCAAGATGCAGAGAAACCTCCAAGTTTCTCTTGCCACAGGAAAGGGGGCGAGGAGAGCAGGTCCCTGGAAAGGACTGTGGAGGAGAACCCAGCAGGTGCGCCCCACAGCCCTGGTGCCTTTATCAACCCCTCCTCATACACTAGAGCTGGTGTGAGGGTGTGAATCTACTTCTGATTCTTGAAGCTTAAAGGGCTCTGCCCAGAGCCACTTCCCTGTGATGCTCTGGACAGCAGGGGCCTTATTCTGCTCTCTCCCCCAAGCTCTGGCCAGCACCAGGTAGGAGAGGGGCCCTGTGCTGGGCTCTTCTGACAGCCAGCCACAGGATGTTGGAGGGGCCCGGGCTCAGGCTTGAATGGAGTCCAAGCCCACAAGCTACAGGTGACTCCACAGAGTCACAGGGTTCTCACAGCAAGCGCAGAGCCAGGCCATGCTGCAGACACAAGCCCGGCTATATTCATAGTTTAGGGTTCTTCTGCTCATTTATTTGGTTGTTTGCATACAGACTTTTCATTTCGCTTGTATTCTTTTTTTTTTTTTTTTTTGAGTCGGAGTATCACTCTGTCATCCAGGCTGGAGTGCAGTGGCGCGATCTCAGCTTATTACAATCTCCGCTGCCTGGGTTCAAGCAACTCTCCTGCCTCAGCCTCTCGAGTAGCTGGGATTACAGGTGTGTGCCACCACACCTGGCTAATTTTTGTATTTTTAGTAGAGACAGAGTTTCACCATGTTGACCGGGCTGACCTTGAACTCCTGATCTCAGGTGATCCACCTGCCTCAACCTCCCAAAGCACTGGGATTACGGGCGTGAGCCACCACTGTATTCTTACTCTATTTAGAAACATTCGCCATAGTCTCCTAATTTTAACAAGTAAGCATGTGGAACTTTTATCTTTCTTTCTTGCTGAAAATTTTTTTAAAAGGCTTTTACCATTAGTTTCCCTCCTCTGGGTCATGGTTTCCATAAACGTCAGGTCTCTGTCTTTCCCCCAAAATATCTGAACCCCTTTACTCCCACACACAATGCATAACACACACACAAGTATGTACATGGACACTCACAAGCATACACATACGTGTAGTCACACACATTCCCTTACGTGTGTGCATTTGCACAGGAATAAACACACATGCAACACACACTGACACCCGTGCACGCAGACATACTGTCACACACCCGTGCACGCAGACATACTATCACACACGCGTGCACGCAGACATACTGTCACGCACCTGTGCACGCAGACGTACTGTCACACACGCGTACACACACACACTAGTTTATCCCCTGGAGCCTAGAAAACCGTCGGGCAAGCACTGAAGAAACCATCGATGAATGAATGAAGGACCCTCTTCCTCCGAATGCAGGTCTGGGCTTGGGGAGGAAACATTCTCCACGGAGTGTATTTCTCTCATGTGAAAGGAGACACAGCCTCCTGGGAATACTTTAATTTGCCTTTTCTTTGAGAAGGGACTGCCATGCAGACGGAGCTTTCTTCTAATCTAATTTTACCCCCAAATAAAATAAGACTCAAAGCATGTGAGAACTAGGGAGAAAATGGCTTGGTCCAAGCCTGACATCCAGTGCCTGGGGAAACGGAGGGGCAGAGGGGACAGCAGGGATGGGGGATCACGCGCTTCAAGGCCTCTGTGCTGGCGGCCCTCACTCTTCCTGCCCATGCAGCCAAGAACGGGAGAGTGGCCAGGAGCAGGCAGCCACGTCCCTGTTTGGGGAGACGCCCCTGCTGGGGAGCTCCTCCAAGCCTGCCCCAGCTCCAATGCAGAGTCCCTTTATCACAAACACGGGAGTGAATTCCAGCTGCAGCAGTCATCGCCCCTGGCTCTCCTCTTGGGTCTTGGGCTGCTGTGCCAAGACCTTGCCTGGGACAGTCAGAACCCTGGGCAGGTGATGCCTGCACCTTCTTCGGGCAAAGCTACATCCAGCTCTTACCCAACCCGGGCGAAAGCAGTTGCCTGGAGCCTGGGGTTCTGGTGGACATCACAGGGGATGTCTCCGCCAGGTCCGCACCAGCCAGGTGGACAGACCCGTGGTGGTGACAGACCCCACGTCATGTGGCTGGGATGTGAGGGGTGTGTGTTGCACAACTGTGATTGTGGGGAGAGTGTGCAGGTCTGGATCCTCCTATTTTCCTTAACATCATCCTCTGAATATTTGCACTTGGAAATTCTTTAAAAACATCATGCTATTAGCTGCTTAAGGATGTATAGAGTACAGGCGATTCTGATTAATGCCTCTTCATTCATCTGATAAAAATTCACTGTTTTCTTCCATGGACATTCGAGGTGGCAAAAGTGAGGGGAAGGTAGATGGAAGAGAAGCCCACCCACTCTTCTGGAACATCAATCCCAGAGGGAGGAGATGGATAAACAAATGGTCAAATAAGTGCACAAGGTCCTCTTTTGTCCGTGACATGTTACGAGAAGATAAGACAGGGTTATGAGGCAGAGATAAACCAGAGGACTTTAGGCCAACAGCCATTATCTCCTGCTAAGTATTGATGGGTTAATACTTTGTAAAACGTCTCTGAGTGCATCTCAGATTATGTCCTCAAGATAACTTCCTAGATGCAATAGTACTGGCAGGGAAGTATGAGTATTTTATGGCTTTTTTGTTTGTTTGTTTGTTTGTTTTGAGGCCGAGTCTTGCTCTGTCACCCAGACTGGAGTGCAGTGGTGCGATCTCAGCTCACTGCAACCTCCTCCTCCCGGGTTCAAGTGATTCTCGTACCTCAGCCTCCCGAATAGCTGGGATTACAAGCGCCCGCCACCACACCAAGCTAATTTTTTGTATTTTTAGTAGAGGTGGCATTTCACCATGTTGACCAGGCTGGTCTTGAACTCCTGACCTCAGGTGATCTGTCTGCCTCAGCCTCCCAAAGTGCTGGAATTATAGACATGAGCTACCATGCCCGGCCATATGGTTCTTAACAGACATCGTTCAGGCAACTCTCACACCTGTCCACCCTCCGGAGATCACTTCCGGGAAGGCACTAGCTCACCTGAGCATCTACTTTCCTGTTCTGACATTGTCCTGTGGATTCCCCTGCACTTTGTTTTACACGTGGACCCAAACCTCCCACCGCAGTCTCTGCAACAGGAACGTGACTCCACCCTCTCTGGGGACCCTCCGTCCTCCACAGGGTCAGGCAAGCTGGAAATACAGTCAGATGTTTCTAAGCTCACATGATCATTTTTCAAATCTCCATCCGTTGATAACACATAAAGGAGGCAGGCACCAACTCTCCATAAAGCTTGATTTTTAATAAAACAAAACCCACCTAATCCGGGGGAGCCATGATGGCAGGTGAGCCACTGTGTCCCTCACCTGCGCCATGGCAGGCATTGCTAATCGGTCACAGCACCCCAGTCCACCGTCCTGAACAACAGCAATGTTGGAAATGAGGAAACCATGCAAGGAACCTCATCAAGTAATGGGATGAAAGCAAGAAACCACATTTCTGAAATAACCAGCCTGGCAATGCCCAGCAAGGGGAAGATACACAGTGGTGGAAGCCACATAATGGCACGCCCCTGGCAGGCAGGACACCAGCACAACCGCTGGGGAAATTGTTTCAGTGGACAGGCCAGTGACAGCGAGGCAATTCCAGATCCGAGAACCGCAGGCCATAGAAGAAGACGGGGGAATGCCTGTGGCCCCGCTGTCCATGACGGCAAGGGTGTCGGCAACAACGCAACGCCCATTAGCTGTCACCAGGACAAGGTGGCGGTCACACCTGCATGGCTGCATTCTGCACTGGGGCGATGGGCACACCATGCCACACACATCCAGGAGCACGGACAAGCAGGAAACATCACAGAGAGAGGAGAAGACCTCGAGTCACAGAAGAATAGAGTCAAGGCCGTCCCATCTAAATAAAGTTTTATAGCATGAATGTGTAACGTTTATAGATAAAAATCAACATGGTGAGACTAAGGAAAAACAAAGGAATGGCAAGGATTCCATTGCCAGGATGGGGACTGCCTTTGGTGGGGATGGGAACAGACGGGGTGGCACTCAGGATGGTAGAGATGACACCACGTGCTTGTCCTTAGACTGTATGGAGGGTTGGGGGTAGTCACAGCATCAGGACTCCTGACAGCCTACATCTGAGTCTACACATGCTCTTTTTTATCTACGAAATGTTTATTAAAAGTAATAAAAAATAAAATAAGGGGAAAAGAAGTTCTATCTGGGAAGAGTTGCATCATTCTCAGAGGAGGGCATGGAAAATCGTTTCTTGGCTTTGAGAGGGATGACAGGAATGAGCCACCGCACCCGGCCACAAAATGACTTCTTATGCAAAGCTGAGACGCTGTCATTTATGGGTTTTGATTATTCATAGAACTAGAAAGCTCCGTCTCATACATTCTTGTGGAGGGCATCCCTCCCAACTCCTTTCCACACCAGGATCTGGCCACAAGAGTGTGGGGGTCACTGCCTGTCTTCTTGCTCCCATGGCCCCAGCAACAGAATGGCCCAGACCACAGTGGACGCTCCCTAAGCCCTGAGCCCGGAGAGCAGCGGCGTCTCCTGTGCAGTCACCGTGCCTGCAGCGGGGAGCTGTCACCTTTCCATTTTGCAGGAAGGGGAGGATTTGTAGAAAGGTGAGTCAGGCACACAGCGGGTGCGTTAGTCTGCTTGGCCGCTGCAACCACGGACAGTCATTGTCTCACTGCTCTGGAGGTCGAGATAAGGGGTGGGCAGGGCTGGTTCCTTCTGGGGCCTCTCTCCTCTGCTTGGAAACACCATCTTCTCCTGTGTCCTCACAGGGCAGTCTCTGTGGGTGCCTGCATCCGCAGCTCCTCTTATTATAAGGATACCTGTCCTAGTAGATCAGGACCACCGTGTAACTTCCTTTTGCCAATTTAATCACTGCCCTCTCCCCTCCCAAAAGGCTCTGTCTCCAAATAAGCACATCTTGAGGTCCCAGGGGTCAGAACTTCAGAACATGAAATTGGGGTGGGTGCAATTCTACTCCTGACAGCAGTGGACAGAACATACCCAGGGCGTGGCCCAGGGCCACCCGCAGAGCCTGTGGCAGAAACAGTCAGGGGCCCTCTTGTGAGGGTGGCAAAGACCAGAAGGGAGAGTGGGTGGTAGGGAGGGCTGGCTCAGGAGTGTGATCAGAGGTGGCTGAGGAGGCCAAGGGCACCCAGAGGACGGCAGTTACATCGCCCCACAGTGAGACGCTTTCCTCCCTCTTGGAGCTGCTTGCGGGAAGAAAGTATTCACCAGGCTGCACCAGCCAGAGGCTCCATGCTCCCAGCTGGGTGCTCCCCTCAGTGCTGATGGCCACCGTCGGCTTCTTCACCCACCTGCTCCATGACGGGTGCACCGCTTTACCCCAGACTTAGCAACAGTCCCTCCATTTCTGGAATATGCCCTGTGCCCCCCTCCACTCAGAATCCTGGAACAGGTGCCTTTCCAGTCCCAGTAGGAGAAAGGAGAATCATTTTGTCAAGAATGACGCGTTCTCCTTGCAGGCAATGAATTGGGATCGTGGTGATAGTTTCACATTTTTACAACATGGTAAATGTCCTACCCCTGCGTTTTATCCTCTGCGTGAACGGGAACGAACGCAATCCCACCACGGGCAAGATCTCCTGGAGAAGCACCGTGTCAGTGTGCCATCCGCAAGCCTGACCCCGGCGGGTGCTGTTCCCTCTGTGCCTCAGCCGCGCGGGCTTTATCCGGGCAATTGAAAGGCACTCACAATCCATCGCGCCGTCTTCCGAGGATGGCTTTTAAGGGTAAAACAGATATCGCTTCCGTGGAGTCTCAGCCTCCCTGTTTCACCAATGCTCAGAAACCGCAGCTGCTGTCTCTTTCCTGGTGTTTAAAGGGGTCCTGTGGCTCACACTGGTCTCCAAAGAGCACACACGCATGTAATGAAGCCAGCGCCCTCCATGGCCCTGTCCCTGGGTTTGGCTCCTCCATTCTCTTTCTCGTTTCCTGGGACACTTGTGGGACACACATCCTGCGGGGCCTCACTGTGGCCTCCCCGTGCCACCCTTTCTTGCTCAGAGGCCTCTTCCTCCCCACGACAGTCCTCCTCCATCACCTTAGCGTGCCATCCACCTGAGGCACACACCAGGCTGGTCACAGCCCCTCGTGTCATCAGGTGTTTACAGCACCCCCAACTTCTCCCCACTAGATGCGGGAGCCCCCTCCAGTCTTGAGGACCCCAGATGTCTCCAGACATTGCCGTCTGTCCCATGAGACGGGTGCAGACTCATCCTCTGCTGAGAGCCTGACCACCTTTCCCCATGGGCCAGCACCCCATCCTGCAGCTGTCTCCTCACTATTCTCACCATGTCTGCGTCCTGAGGCCTTCGCCACGGGGCTGGCACCTTGATGGCAGGGCTAAATTGGAGCCGTGACTCCCCAGTGGAACCTTACCCAGGGAATGCCTCCTGACGCCCCTGGGGACCCTGTCCCTGCCATTCCCTCCAGGTTCTCCATGCAACACTTCTGTGCACTGCCCAGGACTGCTTGGAGCACTTGGCCTCTGCCCCGTCTCTCTCGGGCTGTCCTCCAGGCTCGGCACAGTGCAGTGCCCCTGCTCGCAGGTGGGCCTCCTGAAAGCTACCTCCAGTGGCACCTCCTTTCAGGGCTTCCTCAAAGCTGCCTCCAGTGGCGCCTCTGTCCCTCCCTCGGTGCCTCCCACAGCATTGACTTTGGGACCCAGCTGCGGCGAAGGGTGCAAGTCCATCTCCCACTGCCCTGTGGATGCCCGGAGGGAAGCCTGTCAAATGTAGCTGCAGGATTTGGCCTCATCCACCCTTGACTTGTTCCTTCCTGCAAGCTGGCCCTCTGCAGGGAGAGGCAGCCGTTCAGGGCTGTGGGTGGCAAGGGGCCACCTGCACCCATGAGAGGTACGAGGCCCCCTGCAGCAGGTCCTCTTCTATCGGCATCTGCCTGAAGGTGTGTTGAGGCTCTGGCTCTGCAGGTGAGTTGTTGCACCATGGACTGGGCCAAGAGGAGACCCCGCAGATGCAGCCGGCATGGAGGCCCCAGCCCCAGGCCTCTGCCTCTCCATCCCCCACCCCTGCCTGCTCACCTCAGCCATGAGCCTTGTCTGTGGGTCCAAGCCCCCTGCCTGGGGAACGACGGCTCCACAGCCTGACCTGCAGTGTCTCCTGGCTTTGAGAGCCTCCTAGTGTCTGCACAGACTTGTCCTGCTCATGGAGGCCTTTGGGACAGGACTATGTGATCTGGAAGTTGGGAAGGGCAGCAGAGGACAAGCCAGGAGACATCCTGGGCCCCTGGTGCTTTACATTCTGGGAAACTCCATGATAATATGCAAGCCCTTTGTTACTAGGTTCATATGTTTGGATTGTGTGAATGCCGTATCAATATTGAGACCCCGGGAGAAAGATGGCAGGGGAGGAGAGCCAGGAGTCTGAGTCCTGAGCCCTAATCCTGAGCCCTGAGCCCTGAACCCTAATCCTGTGCCCTGAGCCCTGAGCCCTAATCCTGTGCCCTGAGCCCTAATCCTGAACCCTGAGCCTTAATCCTGAGCCCTGAACCTTGAGGCCTAATCCTGAGCCCTGAGCCCTAATCCTGAGCCCTGAGCCCTGAGCCCTAACCCTGAGCCCTGAGTCCTCAGCCCCGAACCCTAAGCCCTGAGCCCTAACCCTGAGCCCTGAACCCTAACCCTGAGCGCTGAGCCCTGAGCCTTAACCCTGAGCCCTGAGTCCTGAGCCCTAATCCTGAGCCTTGAGCGCTAACCCTGAGCCCTGAGCCCTGAGCCCTAACCCTGAGCCCTGAGCTCTAATCCTGAGCCCTGAGCCCAGAGCCCTAACCCTGAGCCCTGAGCTGTGCACCATGAGTCTGAAGCTCCAGTTTTTTTGTGCCTGGCCCACATAGACTTGGCCGGCAAGGCCCTGCAGGGGAAATTGACTAGTTTTACTTGTATAAAATCCTTAATAGTTACATTTTCCTCTCTGTCCTTAATTATAATAATCCCATGGTCAGATGCAATGACAGGTGATGTAGCGGGGGATGAACTCAGCGTGGCCCCAGGACCTGCTCTGGGCTCTGGCCTAAAAGGAGTGAGGTTCAGGCTCCCATCCTTTCTCTGTCCTTCTGCTGTGCCTTGAGCCGAGCCCAACAGGACAGCTGCAGCAGGAGCTCCCGGGGACGGGGCTGTGTCCTGTTTTCGGGTGAGTCTCCAACAGTCAGGGTGGCTGTGAGCTCCCAAGATGGCTCCAGGCCAGGCTGAGGATGAGGGGAGGGGCATCCCCACTGGTGCCCACTGCACCTGGAGCCTGGGGTGGGGCTCGGCTTAGAACGATAAGTCCTGAGTAAATGGGTGAGCAAACAGGCTCATCACACATTACAAAAATTAGCTGACTGTGTCTGTACCCAACCCAACCTATAGCATCTTTGTTTGTTTGTTTGTTTGTTTGTTTTGAGATGGAGTTTCATTCTTGTTGCCCAGGCTGGAGTGCAATGGCACAATCTTGGCTCACTGCAACTTCCACCTCCTGGGTTCAAGCGATTCTCCTGCTTCAGCCTCCTAAGTAGCTGGGATTACAGGCCCCTGCTACCACACCTGGCTAATTTTTAGTAGAGACAGGGTTTTGCCATGTTGGTCAAGCTAGTCTTGAACTCCTGACCTCAGGAGATCTGTCCGCCTTGGCCTCCCAAAGTGCTGGGATTACAGGCGAGTCACTGCACCCAGCCTACATCTTGATGGAGGAACTGTTAGATTTCTCTTTCCTCAGACCCAGAGAAACATCCTATGGGACATTAAGGAAGTAGCCAAGTGACTCTTGGAGGGAGAGAAAGTAAAATAGAAGGGAAGGGAAGGGATGGGAAGGGAAGGGAAGGGAAGGGAAGGGAAGGGAAGGGGGCAGGGAGGGAGGGAGGGAGGGAAAGAAGGAGGGAAGGAAGGAAGGAAGGAAGGAAGGAAGGAAGGAAGGAAGGAAGGAAGGAAGGAAAGAAAGAAAAGGGAGGAAGGGAGAGAGGGAGGGAAAGAAGGGAAGGGAGGGAAGGAAGGTGGCATGGGGTTTCTGTCCCTTCTCTCAAGGGGCTTCTTGTCTGGCCAAGTGGGAGGGTATCCCTGGCTCTCTTCACCCTGCCTTTTTCCCTCCCTCTGGGGACTCCAGAGGCCCCTGCATGGACCTGACCCCAGCAACCCCTCCGGTGCCACACTGTAGGGAGCAGTGGCTGTTGGTAGTACAGACCTTACTTAAACTTTTTCTATGTAAATAACCGATAGTCATAAAAAGGAAAATTGCATTTGCTTTGAGTGGGCAGAAGATACATTTTAGTCAAAATGAGGAATATTCTCCAAGCGTGGCTTCAGCTCATGAATAACAACACTATATTACCTTTTTTTTTCAGGCTTTCAGCTCGACAGAGCTATTTGTCCTTGCGTACCAATGCAACAAATTATATTATTTAATGAAAAATGGGCCAGCCCCAGCTTCTCAGGCAAAGTCTCCCTGTATCAGTGACATTATCATTAATGCATCAGAACCCATGGATCAACCCAGCCTCTGTCTATGGCCACACCAAGAGGGACAGCTCATGGAGCCCAGCGCCCAGGAGATGCCTCACAGATGCCCATGTGCTCACCGATGCAGATCTGGGGCTGCTTAAGAGAAACTTCTTGTGGCTGGAGCTGCCCCAGGGCCCCAGGTGACCGACCTGGCATTGTGCTGGTAAAAGCAGAAGTGAGGCTTTGATCAAAGCTTCTCTGGGATTTGCGGGTGCCTTTCGTTTCAGAGGTCTGCACAGCGGGGCTCTCTCACTTCTTCCCACAGGCTGGTTGGCTCACTCATGCGAGCAACCACATGTCCTCGGCCAGCGCATGCCTGCAGCGCTCACACACGCTTACTGATCTTCCGGCTGGAGGACACATTTGGGAGGGCAGGGCCGGGTCTTGTTCAGCTGCAAAACACAAGGATGCGGGCCCACTCCATGCAGGACACTGAGTGCCTGCCGTACACCCTGAACTGGCTTGGAGAAGGCACTCAGGGCACAGCCAGGCCAGGAGCCACTGGTCTGACTGCCCACCTGCCTACAGAGTCAGTCCTGCCGCAGCTGGGATGTCAGACAGCAGCACCCCGTCTGGAGGAGCTGATGGATTAGCATCTCCAGGAAATTCCAGTCCTGTGGCCAGTGCCATGAGAGGCTGCAATGTAGGCCATGTTTCCTGAGCACCTGCTCTGTGCTGGGGCGGGGTAAGAGGGAAGGAGGGAGGAGGCATAAGACACACACAGATGGTGGCCACCCATGGAGGCTCTGCCACCCCCAGCAGCCCCAAGCCATCCTTCCTGGAATCCTCAAGACCTGGCCGAAATGCAGTTGCCTCTTCCAGCGAGCCCTCCAGAACTCCCACTGGCAGTGACATTTTCTCTATCGTCTGCTGCTCTGCAAGCAGAAACCTCCTCTGCAAGGAGTAAGTCTATGGCACATTTTAACTCCTGGTTACATGGCAGAGTTTTACTCCCATGAAATAGCTGTGAAAACTGAGACCTGGCAAATTCAAGCCCTCCTTGAAGAGGACCGCTTGCAAACAGCAGAACGGGGCAGGACTGTGCATCTTCTGTCTCCAGGCAAGCTGGTTTGAGAGGTCGGTTCACAAGACTTCTCTTTTCACACCTGCGTGGCTCAGGACTGAGGGGTGCCCAAGATTTGGGACTTCCAGTTTTATAGCCAGGAAAGTCCTTGGAAAGCCCAGCTTTCTCTCTGTCCTCGTCCAGAATGACTTGAGGTATATGAAGAATCCAGGAGGATGGAAGTTAAATTAAAATACACACAAATAAACAAGCAAACTACCATCAAAAGGCATGCTCACTGCTGCTGGAGCGAGGTTCACGGGCACGCCTAGCTCTGCAGCCCCGCTGGTCCCCCAGTGCCGAGCACGAAGAGGGCTTCTCAGTCACACTAGCCGGTGAGGAGGAGCTGGTCAGGATGAGTCCCGACCTGCAGGCACCAGCTCCCATGGTGAGTGTGAGTCACACTTGCCCAGCTTCCCCTCTGCCCAGGAAGGCACCCCACTGTAGCCCTGGCAAAAAGCTCGTGTTGGGGCTCGAGAGCGGCAATGTACGTGGACCCTCATGGAAACCAAAGTGTGGGGAGAATGTTTCTTCCCCACCACCCCCAACTTTGTGCCACCTTTCTTTCTTTCTTTCTTTCTTTTTTTTTTTTTTTGAGATGGAGTCTCGTTCTGTCGCCCAGGCCGGAGTGAAGTGGCATGATCTCGGCTCACTGCAAGCTCTGCCTCCCGGCTTCACGCCATTCTCCTGCCTCAGCCTCCCGAGTAGCTGGGACTACAGGAGTCTGCCACCACGCCCAGCTAATTTTTTGTCTTTTTTTTTTTTTTTAGTAGAGACGGGGTTTCACCGTGTTAGCCAGGATGGTCTCGATCTCCTGACCTTGTGAACCACCCGCCTCGGTCTCCCAAAGTGCTGGGGTTACAGGCGTGAGCCACCGCGCCCGGCCTTCCTACAGGACACTGGCCAACAATAGTTTTAGAAGATGCAGGCGCCGCCCGTCTTCCTGACTTTGATGCCTCATGGAACTCTGCAGCCTGGATAGCTCCTGTTTGAAGTTAGGGAGATTTGGAGTCCTTCTCTCCTCCCTGCCAAGTGTGCCCAGGTCAGAGTGTGCTGACCAGCGGCCCCAGAGAGCTGGTGGGTGGCTCTAGCTGCAGGAGTGACAGGTAGGGAGGTGAGGCTTCTCTCAGACCCCCCAACCCCCTCCAGGGATGGAGACCTTCTGGGCCTCTGACAGCCCAATGCTGGCTCCTAAAAATTTACCCTATTCATCATAAATTCCCACAACTATTTTTTTTCCCTTAAATGAGCATTGAAATTTATGGGTGATCATGGAAACCTCTCATCACATGTGAGTCAGAGCCACGAAAATGATGAAGCAGGAATTCTAATTTTTAATGAAAGAGCTGACCCAGGCTGAGTCATAAAAGATCAGACGCTGCCGTGTCTACTTGTCTCTGGATACACCCATTCCTTCTTACCCTGGTGAGGAGTGGTCTCGATTCTGTGATTCTGCCATCGGCAACTGTGAGCTCTGTGCTTCTCTGTGGAGCCCACCACTGACCCAGCTAAGGCACCAGGACGCACAGAACAAGGGGCCCTGGGTCACTGTCTCGGTGTCCCATGCTGTCCTACCCGATGGAGGGGCTGTAGGAGACCTCGTCACACCTAGGCCTGTCCCTGGAGCACAGTAGGTCTTCAGCCCCCTTAACTGAGCAATGTGCCTACACCCCAAGCCCAGAGCACTGCCCACAACACAGAGGACAATGAGAGCCATTCTCTTCTGCCATCCATTCCTTCCTCAGCTCGGCCTTCTCTACCCTGTTCCTGCCAGCCATCGAGAAAGTGAGGTCTTCATGGCCAGAGATCTCTGCCAAGCCCCCTACAGCAGAGCTTCCATATCAGACAGAGTGGGTACAACACGCACATCGTGAAATGACGTGAGGGCAGGACTTTCTCAGCCCTGACTGGAACCCAGCCTCCACACTCACTGTTCCAAGAATCCACTTAACCTCTCTACACCTATATTTCCTCACTGAAAGATTGGGGTCACAAGGCCAACACAGGGTCACTTCTGGGATTTAATGAAACAATATGGATCAAGGCCCAGCCCATCATCAGTGCTGTCATTAGTAGCTTCCCCCTGAGTGTTCCATCTACCTGCACGTCTGCTAGCCTTGCTTTCCGATGCGAGCAGGGATTTTCTCTATCTGAATAATCCAACCACTGGACCATGGCATACTGATGCTGAGAAAGTCAGCGTGTTCCCTAACCTCAGTACCACTGAACAGGAACATAGACGGATATGGGGTACTCAGGAAGTGCTTCATGACCATGTAAAGAAATGGGTATGGACAAATCCATGGATTCAGTGAATAATATGGAGCTGAATTAGGTGTACAGCAAAGCCCTCATTTTACAGGGTATTGAAAGCCAATATCTACAGAGACTGGATCACTCGCCCAATATGGCCAGGAAGAGAATGGCAGAGCCAGTGCTGGGCTGGCCAAGGGAAGTCTCACAGGACTCCCAACATCTGAGACAGCTAAATTATAAAGGAAATGCACTTTTAAAGATAATCAAATCAGGGACACTTCATTGAAGATTCAGCTCAGGCAGAAGGATTCTTTTTAACCCCAAACTCCATGGTCAGCAAATAAACACCCCATGTATTTGCATCCTCCATTCCCAGCTCTTCTACAGACACCATACAGCCCAGACAACTGTGTTCTGCCCTACAGCCTGACAACAGCCTGCCTTCCCATGATGTTCTCTCTACAGCCTGACAACAGCCTGCCTTCCCATGATGTTCTCTCTACAGCCTGACAGCAGCCTCCCTTCCCATGATGCTCTGCTTTACAGCCTGACAGCAGCCTCCCTTCCCGTGATGCTCTGCCCGACAGCCAACAAGTCTATCCTCCCATGATGTTCTGCTCTACAATCTGACAACAGCCCTCTCTCTCATGATGCTCTGCTTTACAGTCTGACAACAGTCTTCCTTCCCATGACGTTCTGCCCTACAGGCTAACAAGAGCCTTCCTTCCAATGATGCTCTGCCCAACAGCCAACAACAGCCTTACTTTCTTATGCTGCTCTGCCCAACAGCCACCAACAGTCTGCTTCCCATGATGCTTTTCCCTAGAACCAGCAACAGTCGGCCGTCCCATGATGCTCTGCCCTAGAACAAACAAGATTCTTCCCTCCCATGATACTCTTCTTTAGAACCAACAGCAGCCTGCCCTCCCATGATGCTCTGCCCTAGAACAAACAACATTCTGCCCTCCCATGATACTCTTCTTTAAAACCAACAACAGTCTGCCTTCCCATGATGTTCTGCCCAACAGCCAACAACAGTCTGCCCTCCCATGATGCTCTTCCCTAGAACCAACAACAATCTCCCCTCCCATGATGAAGGAAGCATCCCGTGATGCTCTGCTCTACAATCTGATAACAGCCCTCTTTCCTGTGATGCTATGCTGTACAGCCTGACAACAGTCTTCCTTCCCATGATGACCTGCCCTACAGCCTGACAAGAGCCTCCCTTCTCATGATGCCCTGCCCAACAGCTGACAACAGTTCGCCCTCCCATGATGCTGTTTCCCAGAACCAACAACAGTCTGCCCTCCCATGATGCTCTGCCCCACAGCCAACAACAGTCTTCCTTCCCATGATGCTCTGCCCTACAACCGACAGCCACACCTCCCTTGGCACCAGGATTTGCCTCCAGTCTGACAGCCTTCCTTCCCAGCATGCCTTGCCCTGGCCTGGGCAGTGTTGTCCACACCCACATGAGGGTGGTGTCGGTGCTGCCCACGTCCCAGCTGTGAGGTCAGCCAGCCACAGAAGCAGCAGCTGTGGGGACAAGCTTCTGTGCGCAGCTCTGTCGTTCAGCAGCTGTGTCCTTCAGAAAGCCCTGGAGCTCTCTGGGCCTCAGGTGGCCTTTCGGAGTGTAGACAACGCCAACAGCTCTGACCACAGACAGCCATGGCAGGCAGGTCTGTCAGTGACTAAGGAATATGCCCAGCAGAGACACGGCAAGACCACAAACCATCTTGGGACCCTGAGAAAGAAGACACGGTGGGCGGATTCAACAGTCTTATGGGGTCACAATGCACAGGGCTTGGTGAGTGACTGGGTGCAGAGGGTGACAGAGGAGACAGTGAAGGAGTCTTGGGTCCTAAAGTGGCACCTGTGGGGGTCGCTGTGTTCCATCCTGTGCTGCAGACCCAGGGCCCAGCCACAGAACTCGGGAGAGGGGTGGGGAGAGGGTGCGGGGAAGAAGAGGGGCCAGGTGCTCTGCCCACACACTGAGTCTGAGGAGCCATCCAGGAGCAGAGGGCTGGAAGGTGCTGGGACCTGGGGGGCTCTTGGCTCAGGAGGGGGCTGTGCTGGAGCATCGCCAGCAGAGGGAAGCCCTGGGATCGGCAGGCCAAGGAGGAGGCAGGCCTGGGAAAAGCCCTCTGCCCTACTCTGACCACATGGCCAGGGAAAGGACCCCAGCATTGCGGCTGCCCCCACCAGCGCTGCAGAATCTGCTTCAGAGGACTTCTCGTGGCACACAGGGAGAGGTGGGAGGAACATGGGAAGAACAGAGAGCCGGCTTCAGAGGCCGGGCCCAGGCTCTGGTCGGCGGGTTGCTAACTCCACCCCCGAGAAAGACATCCTGGCCCTCCAGCCCTGGGGACAGAGACACTCAAACAGGTGGCTGTGCTGCCATCACATCTGAGTGTCTTCACACATGAGCATGATGGTGGAACTCTCTCCCCAAGGCTTTCTGTCATTTCCAAAGCTCCTCTTGCTTGAGTGCTAGTCCTGGGCTGGGTGCCGGGGCCAAGCCACGCGTGTGTTTTCTTAATGCACACACCCAAGCTCTGAGGAATGTCTCATTGTTCCTGTCCCATGTCACAGATGAATAGACTGGGCTGGGGAGCTCCGGTGGGAAGTGGAGAAGCCAGGATTCAGGGTCAGGTACCCTCACTCTCCCAGTGGGCCACTCTGCCTCTTCCTGGGGCCTACTCGCCCTTGGGTGTTTAGCGGGGGCCTGTGATGTGCGGAGCCTGGAGCCTGGAGCTGGGGAAGCAGAGAGGAAGCCAGACCCTCCCCAGACAGGAAAGAGACAGGACTCCACAGGGTGGAGAGGGTTTTCTGGGAATGGGCCCAGAAGCAGTCTGGGATGAGGGAGGACTCCTTTTTCCCTGGGGCTGGTGGCAGGTGGGCACCCAGAAGCCTGAAATTCAAGGCTGAGAAGATACTCCCCAGTGGGGGAGCTTGCCTGGGCCAGTCGGCTTTTCAGGAGCAGAAGTCAGTGAGTGCAAAGGAGGAAGCAAGAAATGCCGGGTGCTCTCGGGGAACCACATTCACTGCCCTCCCTGTGACCTCCAAAGCAAGGCCCTCCCTCGGGGTGGGTGGCGCTGCCCTGAGACTCATGGGAGGGGAGAGGGCTGGGTCGGGCGACCCTTCGCAGCAGGTGACCTGGGCAGGGCGGTGAGGCTGACCAGCGGCCCTGCCTGCTGCTGCCTGTGATGATTTGCTCAACATTGTGTGATGAAATTTCATTATCTCCCACACTTATTTTTGTCTTCTCTATCTATTCTGGGAAGCAGAGTCTTAGATCAGCAATTAGAAATGTCACTTGAGCTTTTGAGAAAGGGGGGGGTAATTTGCGAAGTCTATAATTGAGAATAGTAATCAAATTCGTTGACAACTTCAATGATATACTAAAATGGTAATTAATTGTAAATTTTTGATGGAATATATAATATTTATCTATTTTTGAACTTTTTACTGATTAGCAACAAGCTCTGGTATATTAGTTCTTTTTTAAATCTGATTTCTATAATTAGCATCATCTTTTTGTTTTCTTTTATTTTTTTCCACTGAAAGTTTCCTATGAAAGAGAGAATCCACTTAAGAATAAACTTCAGGGCTGGGCACGGTGGCTCACACCTGTAATCCCAGCACTTTGGGAGGCTGAGGCGTGTGGATCACCTGAGGTCAGGAGTTCGAGACCAGTCTGACCAACATGGTGAAACTCCGTCTGTACTAAATGCGAAGAAAATCATCTGGGCCTGGTGGCACACGCCTGTAATCCCAGCTACTTGGAAGGCTGAGGCAGGAGAATCACTTGAACCTGAGAGACAGAGGTTGCAGTGAGCCGAGATCACACCACTGCACTCCAGCCTGGGTAACAAGAGTGAAATTCCGTCTCAAAAAACCAAAAACAGAAGCGAAAGAATAAACTTCCGGGTCAACTCACCCCTTAGTGCCTGCTTAGTGGGAACAGCGGAAACAGGGTCTCCTGGGCCTCGGGAGCGCAGGAAGCAGATGTGGGAGGGGAGAGAGGGGAAAGGCCCTCTGCAGTGAGACTCACCTGGCACAGCTGCGCAGGAAGCTGAGTAAGGTACAGGGCACTCCTGGGAGCGCTGAGCATCTAGGCTTGCTGGTGAGCACCTGGTGTTAGCGCTGGAAGGCCTGGACCCTGGACCTGCGTTCAACCTGCTCGGGCTGCCCCACGCATGTCATTTATTCAAGGCAGGCCACTGCCAGGATGACAAAACCACATCTGAGATGGAGTATGAGTCGGCTTGGGCAGTCATGACAAAATAACACAACCTGGGAAGCTTTGACAACAGGAATTTGTTCTCTCCCAGTCCCAGAGGCCAGAAGCCCAAGGTGAAGGTGTCACAGGGCTGCTGGGTCTTCCTTAGCTTTCTTCATCACAGAAACGATGTTGCGAAGGGGATAGGAGGAAAGAGGAGGATGCCGCCAGCCATCCTTGCTTGTCGGGATGCCGACAACGGCCAGGGCTGAGAGGAGGAAGTAGTGGCATCGGAAGCCAAGCTTGTCTTGGGATTTGCCACCGAGGTCACATGGGAGTGGTCCCACGGGCCCCTGCCTGTCACCCCTTCTCACAGATGGGAGCCGGGGGTGCTGCTAGTGAGCGGTAGAGGCCATGGTTAAATCCAGTCCCCAAGGGCTAATGATTCTTCTTGGGGAACTGGATGAGATTGGACCCACAGCACATGATTCTGATGTGGCTTCAGTGACTATGAATGAGGTGCCATTAGGGTCAGCAGTGAGCACTGCCCCCCGGTCTCCTTTCTGCAGAAGCCTGGCTTCCAGCACCCACCCGAGCACCATGGGGACTGAGGCTGCAAGAGCAGCAATCTCTGCCCCCTCCCAGGGCACCGTCTATGCTAAATCTTATCTTCAGCATTGTAAGTTGAGAATGTGCTCTCAATCTACATTTTAATTATATCTTCAGATCTCGTCTTCTGCTTCCCAACAAGTCAATGGCACAAATTTTCTCTTTCTACCACGCAGTCCTCAATCTGTTGTATTCATCAGCCCATAGATTACCCACAGAGTCAAACTCTTCCTGCAAAGACACTGACAGAGGAACTGAAACAGAACAGTGAACAAAGTTTAAGAAATTTGGAATAACAGACTTTCTGCTGGAAAAAAATAAAATCTATTTGCACTTATCAAGATACGCCATTGCCTCAAGTAATGAGAACAACCGTTCACAGCACCAAGCGCTGCCTTCTGGGACTTGGAGGATCCTCTCCATTCTGAGGGAAGATTCCAACAGTTACCCAAACCCCAGGACACTGAGAAGGTTCAGCCCTCACCCTCTCCTGGGCCACCTGGGGTCCAGCCCCTGGTCCGTGTACACAGAGCTCTGCTTGCAGGGAGCGGACTTCCTCCCAGGGGCCACCCTCGTGCACAAGCTGATGAGCCCCAGAGGAGGCATGGGAGATGGCAGGTGTAGCCCCCAGACTGCACCTGAGTCCTGCGGTGAGGGCCTGTGCATCGGGGCGGGACAAAGCGGGGACTGAGGAGAGACGGGCTTCCTGGGAGCCCAAGAAGCACAGAGTCCAGGCCAGGCTGGCTTTGAATGTCAGTGAATGCAAAGGAGGAAGAAAGAAGGGCCGGGTGGTCTCGGGGAACCACATTCACTGCTCTCCCTGTGACTTCCAAAGCAAGGCCCTCCCTCAGGCTGGGTGGGTGGTGCTGTGTGAGACTTATGGGAGGGGAGAGGGTTGAGTGGGACAACTCTTCCTAGAGGATGGCCAGAGGAGGGTAGCGAGGCCAAAGCCAAAGCGTCAAGTGCGATGAGGACAGAAGCATAGGTGTCTCCTCCGTGTGTTTGCAAAGCACAGAGCTGAGACCAGGCTGGGCACCCCGAGATTGCAGGGCCACAGCTCCGGCAGCCCCCAGAGACGAGCTGTGTAGCACAATTCTCAGCATTTAAAACATAGGATGCTGTGGCTGGCTCTCTTGAGGGTGGGACACCCTGGGAGTTCTCCCAGAAACACCTAGATAAGATGTGAGAGAACAGGGACTCTGAGAGAGCAGATGGGGCAAGGTCCAGGGACATTTGGGTCCTTCCTGGTAACATGGCCCATCCCCATGTCCATAGGCCAGAGGGAGGTGGTGAGCTGTGCCTGCCAGCAGCCAGCACACTTTCCTTCTCCTGCAGCCTAAAGAGCATCTCGCTGGCCTCTGATGAGCTCTCCGGTGCCTCCCACCCCTAGACCCGCACCCTTTATCATGTGAAACCGGGGCACCAGCAATAGTTGTCACTACTGACCAAATGCAAGATGGGCCCGGCAGAAGGGGTGGTGGATCCAGGCCAGGAAGTCAGGGCCTCATCTTGTAGCCAACAGCAGCCCCTGCTACACCCCTGCCTCCCCATGTCTCCCACGCAGGAAATGAGGGAGCTGATCCCTTGGCTGTGAGCAGGGTGGGCCATCCAACAGCCATTCCTGCACTGCCACGTCCCTCATCACCACAGTCAGACCTCACGCCCCCACCACCGTGCAACACGTCCTAAATCCAATTGATAAGATGTAAAACATTGCCTCCCCCACCTTCTGTGCACAGTGGGTCAAAAGTAGGTGACGTTCATTGCATTACTTGGCATAAACATGATTTTAATAATTACCATGGGCCAGAACCCACGCCTGCTCTTGAATAATGAGCACTGAATTCTATTATAGTTCAGGATTAAATATCTTCCAGCTCAGTTCCTGCAGCAGGCTGGCGAGGCGATGTCCGTGGCCCAGAGCATGCCTCCATGGTGTATACGGCCCAAGATGAAAAATCCCTGCTGCTATTCTGAGCCCCTAATAACATATCATTTTGCAGCCATATACAGCCACATCTGAATTATAGGCTGTATTTTGTAATCAAGAGGATTTGCTTGAATTTGTTATAATTTTAGGTGGTTTTCTTGTTCACTGAAGATAATAATTATTCTCTACCTGAGGACACATACTAGTCTTATGACAACATCTTCACGTTGGAAACGGTTTATTTATAGTTCTTATCTGCACCATCAATATCAGGAAGCTTTAACATCTGCACGTCTTGGTGAGCTGCGCCCAACATCCCAGCCCCAGAGCAGGGCAGGAGCTCAGAGACCACTCCCACAGCCAATCTCCCAGAACCTCTTCCTCTTGCCAACGAGGACAGTGAGGCCCTGGGAGGTTAGTTGGCTCACCGAAGGTTACCTGAATAATTTAAGGCCCTTTGGTAACACACATTAACTCTGCATTTCAAACACCTCCCCGCTGCAAGTGTATTTCAGCAGTCAGTTTTCTTCACTAACCCATATATGAGGGAGATAGGAAGAGAAGTGCAGGTGGTAAGTCGCAGGTGACCAGACACTTGTGTTAGGAAAATCCAGAGCCCCCCACGCCCCAGGAAGCAGCCAACAGAGAATCGCCTCCATGGTGTGGATTTAGAAAGCAGAGTTTAGAGATTTTTCCTGAGAAATTGTGTGGAAGCATGGTTATTTGAGATGTTCATGAGGTGAAGAACATTCATGGACATGCACACACACACACACACACACACACACACACACACACACACGAGAGAGAGAGAGAAAGGGAAACCCCCTCCTATCCGACGTTGCCTCATGATGTTGATGCTACAGTCATAAAACCTTATTTTGCAGATTACAAAACAATTTCAATAGAATATCCCATTTGATCCCTCCAAAACAAAACCATATGTGGTAGAGAGACAGGTATCATGATTACCATTTTTCAAGAAAAACAAAAGAGATGGAGATCCGGGGAGTTGAGAACTCACTCCCCAACACTGGCTGGGGCCTGTGGGGCGTGGGTACATCTCCTGCTCTCGGCTCCATTGTTCTTCCCTTGCTGTCTCACCCTCCACCCCAGGAGGGTTTCCAGGATCATCACTGTCCAGGTGCCTAAAATCCCACCATCCAGAAGCAACCTGTATCTTGTCATTTATTCAGATGTTATAGATTCTACATAGAAGTCTTTTTTTTTTTTTGAGATGGAGTCTCACTCTGTCACCCAGGCTGGAGTGTAGTGGCACAATCTCGGCTCACTGCAACCTCCATGTCCCGGGTTCAAGTGATTCTCCTGCCTCAGCCTCCCAAGTAGCTCGGATTACAGGTGCACCCCACCACGCCTGACTAATTGTTTGTATTTTTAATAGAGACAGGGTTTCACCATGTTGACCGGGCTGGTCTCAAACTCCTGAGTGATCTGCCCGCCTCGGCCTCCCAAAGTGCTGGGATTACAGGCGTGAGCCACTGTGCCCGGCCTGTCTACATATAAGTCTTATGCTTTGCTGATTAAATGTACCTTTAGGTATTTTAGAAAGTTAATTCGTTATGATGAATAGATTTTCTGTCCATCTCCACTTGAAACTGGATAGTTCTGAAAGAATTGTTATTATTCTGTTGTGAATTGACCTTCTGCCCCAGCGACGTCACCACATTCACGGGTGGTGTTCATGGTGTCTTCAGTCTTTTGGTTTTCTGGGGATACAACCATATCCTGGACCAGTGAATAAGTCTTTTCAATGTTAATTATGTATCGAATAACATTCCAACCAGATTCCCCATGGATATTTTGGCAGACTGGACAAAGCAATCTTCAACTGCACACGGAAGATAGAATGTCCAGGAATTGTTATTTGTTTAATTAAGTATAAATACCTCCTTCCATCAAGACAATATGACATTTCCACACATAGACCAAAACAGATCAATGGAACATAACAAAATGCCCAAATTTGTCACTGCCATGGCCATTTTTATGTGTCAACTTGGCTGGGCTGGAGTAGCCAGTTACTCAGCCCAACGCAAACCTGCGTGTAGCTGTGGAGGTATTTTGTAGATGTGGCTCACACCTCCTACTGATGGGCTTTAAGTAAAGGAGATGACCCTTGATCATGTGGGTGGAACTCAGCCAATCAGCCGAAGGCCTTCAGAGGAAAAACTGAGATTTCCTGGAGAAGAAATTCTGCCTCCAAACAGCAGCGCTAACTCTGCCTGAGTCTCCAGCCTGCCAGCCTGTCCTACATATTTTAGACTTACTAAACCCTGTGATCACATGAGCCTGTTCCTTAAAATAAACCTCTCTTTCCACACCTCAAATTTTCTGAATCAGTTCTCTAATCGGATTAGATTTCAAAGCCCTAATGACTCCATTCCAGGGGTGATGCGTCTGTAACACAATGTGGCGATGGAGACACACACGAGCCCACAACCGGATGCTCCTCATAAAACACGCAGAAGAGCCAAGGTTCTGGGTGGCCATGTATTTGGTGCCTCAGAACATTTTTGTCAAACTAAAGAGCATAAGGAGATTGGCTGGTTCTCCTAATTGTGCTCGGCAAAGCAGGGAAAAAAGAGAGATGAGCTCAGGGATTAGAATTTCCAGCACGAGCACCCGGTAAGTGACCTAGAACTGTCTGGGTCTACCCCAAAGGAAGCCCTTCCCTCCTGTTGCTGCAGAGCTTAGATTTCTGAAAACGAAATCCAGAGTCTCATCCTACAAGTGGCTGAATTGCAATCAAAATTGAATCCCACTTTTTAGGGAGGGTGTTGATTGGAGGGCAGACCTGAATGCCCTCAGGACCACCCCCCCGCCACCCACCTCTCTTTGCTTCCAGGCCTGTAACTAGGCTCAAGTCCCAGAAGAAGCCGAGAGGTCAGGGGTTCATGCACGAGTGTGACCTGTGAGAAGGTGCACTATAATTTTTCTTTTTTTGAGACAGAGTCTTTCTCTGTCGCCCAGGCTGGAGTGCAGTGGTGCAAACTCCGCCTCCCGGGTTCAAGTGATTCTCATGCGTCAGCCTCCCAAGTAGCTGGGACTACAGGCGCGCCACCCTGCCCAGCTAATTGTTTGTATTTTTAGTAGAGATGGGGTTTCACCATGTTGGCCAGGCTGGTCTCTAAATCCTGACCTCAGGTGATCCGCCCGCCTCAGCCTCCCAAAGTGCTGGGATTACAGGAATGAGCCACTGCGTCCGGCCTCACTACAATTTTAAAAACCTACATTTTTCCAATTTATAGAGACAGAAATCTCAGGACTATGTGTGGAAATGGACATTGAGAATGTGGGATAATGGTGGAAGGAATATAAATTCAGGCTCAATTTGTTGATATAGGCTCACTAAGCAGAAATTCCCAATTCAGTGCTGTAGCTCAGAGGTGGAGGGGAGGCGGTGGTGGGGTCTCTAACCATGTGTTGGGCTGGTTGCCTGAAGGCTGAACCACAGCATGTGAGCTGGAAATGCAGGGCTGGAATTGGTTTACTGCAGAAGAAGTGATTCGAAGATCTGGAGAGGTTGGAGCATGACAGTGGACATATCAGTAAGACCCACTCTCACCCTGGGAGGGCCTAGAGGCCATGCCTTTGCCTGTGGCCATGAGAAATGAACGCATGCAGGATCCCAGCTTTGTTGAAGTGCCCTGTCGTTGTTCCCTTCTGTAGGTCAGATATTATGGTGGGAAACGCTGCCAGGGAACTGAGATCCAAAAATGTAATGGGGGTCATTGGCCCCTGGTGTGGCAGGGTCAGGGGGCAGCATTTCACAGCCAGAGAACAAGGGGGCGTGGTTGTGGTGATGGACAGCAGAGTCACTGCAGCAATTAGAATAGTCTGACCTGCAGAGACCTATTGTGTTGGTTGGTGGACTGCGGTGTCCATAAAACAGAAGTAGATGGGCAGGCCGGGCATGGTGGCTCATGCCTGTAATCCCAGCACTTTGGGAGGCCGAGGTAGGTGGATCACCTGAGGTCAGGTCAAGACCAGCCTGGCCAACATGACGAAACCCCATCTCTACTAAAAATACAAAAATGAGCTGGGCGTGTGGCGGGCCCCTGTAATTCCAACTACTTGAGAGGCTGAGGAAGGAGAATCGCTTGAACCCAGGAGGCGGAGGTGGCGGTGAGCCGAGATTGCACCATTGCACTTCAGTCTGGGCAACAAGAGTGAAATTACATCTCTAAATAAATAAATAAGAAGTATATGGGCAGTCTAAGTTTTTACGTGACCTATATAAGTGGAAATGTTCTAGAACAAGTGAACAAAAATGTAACTTGAATCACTCAGCCACAGCCCCTCAATCAATTTCCAGTCTTGAGCCAGTTTACAAACACAAAATCCCTTGAATAAAGGGGAGGCCTGTTCCACCTTAGGAAGGACCCAGCTAGGCTGCCAAAAATTTAGTCAACTTTTCTCCCAACCTTCCCCAAAGGATCTGTGGCCGTTTACTGGGGTAGATGTACATTGGAGAAAAGAAACTAATCAGAGCTTTGGGGGACTGCTGGACACTGGCTCTGAACTGACATTAATTCCAGGGACCCCAGAAGTCACTATCACCCTCTAGTCTGAGTCGGGGCTTAGGGAGGTCAGGTGGTCAATGGAGTTTCTGCTCACGTTCATCTCACGGTGGGCCCGGTGGGTCCCTGAACCCATCGTGCGGTTATTTTCCTAGTTCCAAGTGCATGGTTGGGATAGACGCCCTCAGCACCTGGAGGGTCTCCATACAGGTTCCCTGACCCGTGTTGTGAGGAGTGTTACAGTGGTGGGAAAGGCCAGTGGAAGCCACTATAACAGCCTCTACCCAGGACAATAGTGAACCAAAAACAATACTGCAACCCTGGAAGCACTGTAGACATTGGTGCCACCACCAAGGACTTGTAGGATGCAGGGGTGGCGAGTCCCACTGCGTCTTCACTGCATTTTATTTGGCCTGTGCAAAGGACAACTAGATCCTGAAGAATGACACTGAGTTCTCAAGTCACTTAACCAAGTGGGGACACTCCACCTGTGACTGCTGTACCAGATGTGGGGGTACAATAAGACCTGGGGGCAGGTTTTATGGCTTGAGCTAATGGACACATCCTCTGGTCCCTGGTATACTCGCCCAACTTCGTGGCTTGCTGGGTCAGATAACACCAGTTCATGATGGGCAGCTCAGGTCACACGGTTACTGGGGGGCCCCTGATGAAGTGTTCCATTTGTCCTAAGGTCCAGCAGCAAGCCAAGAGCTGTTTCTCAAAAGGAGAGCAACGACAGCGGATGGTGGGGCTTTGCTCCCAAATTCTAAAACATCCTCCGCTGTGATTTACCTCTGGGGCCTGCCAAAGGCTACACACACAGTCCCTGTCTGCCACTGACACCTCAAACAACACTGGATCTGCTGGGTCTTATGGCCCAAGTGGCAGAGAGTCTGACATGTAAATGTCTTAGCAGTAAGTCGCGAGTAATTGCTACTTCTTGCTCACTAGGTCTCATCAGCATAAAGTCATCCATGGAATGAACTAGTGTGAGCTCTTGTGAAAGTGAAAGGTGGTTGACATGCTAAGAACTCAATTCTGACAGGCTGGAGAGCTGATGGACTGCTGGGGCAGGACCGTGAAGGTGCCTGACTGGCCTTGCCAGCTGAAAGCGAACTGCCTTATGATGGGAATGGAGAAGAAAGCATTTGCCAGATCAGTATCTGCATACCAGGGCTCCTGAACAAAGCGCCCGTGGTGCCTGGGATGGAGGCTGTGCTTTGCCTCAGAAACAGACTCCCGCTCATCAAGCCCCAGTGGCTATGGCCACCATGGATTGTCCAACCTGCCAGCAGCAGAGACCAGCACAGGGCCCCAATGTGGCACCATTCCCTGGGGTGATCAGCCAGCTACCTGGGGGCAGGTTGATTACATTGGACTGCTTCCACCCTGGACAAGGCAGCATTTTGTCCTTGCTGGAACAGGCACTCTGGGCGTGGATTTGTCTTCCCTGCACTCAATGCTGCTGCAAAAACCACCATCCCTGGGCTCACAGCTGCCTCGTCCACCATCGTGCTGTCCACACGGCATTGCCTCTCACCAAGGAGCTCACGTGACACAAATGAAGTGCGGCAATGGGCTCAGGCTCATAGAATGCCCTGGTCGCATCCTGCTTTGTGTAATCCTGAAGCAGCAGAGACCAGCGCTGGGCCCCGATGTGGCACCATTCCCTGGGGTGATCAGCCAGCTACACCGCCACCTTGGTGCCAGCATCACCTGCTTTTGACCGCTGAGAAAACCAAGACACAGAGGGGCTGGGACACACCCTGTTTCTTGCAGGTGGGAAGAGGCAGTGCCAGGAAGGGAACCGGGGGCTGGCATCCCCCAGCCTCAATGCTCCTTCTCAAGTGGAGAGAAGTGCCCTGCGGAGCTGGCAGAGTGTCCCCACCACCTGCGGGCCAGGTCGCCTTTCCCAAGGGCCAGGAGCATGTCCTGGCTCCATCCCAGAGCCAGACCTCAGCCATCCTAAGAAAGCCCTGCCCCGAGAGACTCCTGCTGTGGGAAGGGCCCTGCGGCAGCAAGGACAGGAGGATGTGAGGCAGATTTGGGGTGGGGGAGGACTGCGGGAGGCCAGGTGGGGGAGGGGTGTCACCTGCCCCAGGAACCCAAGGGGGGCAGTGCCCAAGACACACACAGGCACCCCCTCCAAAAGAATGATGGAATAGCTTTTTGAAGACTGGCTACAGCACCAGTTTGGAGGGCACCCATCTTGCACAGAGCACGCCAACTCCCCATTGCAGCCCCGGGCACTCCCGAAACCTCTGCTCTTGCTTCCTGACCCCTGGTCACTTGGGATAAACCTGGAAGGTTCTTCAAGGGCAGGTACAAGACAGAGAAGAAAGCGCAGCCCGGAGGAGAGAAGGTGGGGCATCTCCTCCCCACCGAGGCCACCCTGCAGCCCCCCACAGAGAAGTACAGTGAGAAGGTCACTTTGAAGAGAGTCTGGAGGGAAGCCCTCAGGCTGCACAGGTTTTTATTTGTTTGTTTATTTGTTTTTTTGAGACAGAGTCTCGCTCTGTCACCCAGGCTGGAGTGCAGTGGTGTGATCCCAGCTCATTGCAACCTCCACTTCCCTGGTTTAAGTGATTCTCCTGCCTCCCTCCAGAGTAGCTGGGATTACAGGCACCCACCACCACACCAGCTAATTTTTGTATTTTTAGTAGAGATGGGGTTTCACCATGTTGGCTAAGCTGTTCTCAAACTCCTGACCTCTGGTGATCTAGCCCCCTCAGCCTCCCAAAGTGCTGGGATTACAGGCATGAGCCACCGTGCCCAGCCTAGGCTTTTGACATCTGGAAGCAACCAGAAGAGCTTTGAGATGTGCTCAGGACCTCCGCAGGACAGGGAAGGATGCGGGCAGAGCTCGGCATCAGTTCATTTACTCTCAGCCTTGAGAACAAATGGACCTGCTCTGCCGCCTCCACCAAGGCTGGCTTCTCCGCTCCTGGAATAAACTTGCTAGTCCATGATGGATTATCCATCTAAATATACCACAGGATTTGATTTCTTATTTAAATTTTATTGAAGATTTTTGAATCCAAATTTAGAAATGAAATTAACATGTAATTTTTTCTTCTTTTATTATCATTATCAATCTTTGGTGTTCAGCTTTTCATCTTTTTGTGTGTTCTGGAATAGTTTAAATATCAGGAATTAAAGAATAACCAGAATACAGTTCGGAAATCATTAACTCAAGGAGTCATTTTTATTAGGTGATTTTTAAAATAGTCCCAAGCTCCACTGTGACCAGAGTCTTCCAGGTAAAATGACAGAACTTACGGTACAAAATCAAGGTCAGAAGTGGCTGCATCAAGAAGGGCTGGGAGAGAGGGTTGAGTAGACGCTAGGATGGGGAATTTTCAGTTCTCATTTTATAGACATATCTATGTTATTTTATTAAAGTTATTTCAGATATAAGACAAGACTATAAAGGAGACTAATAAACACCCTCTTGCCCACCACCAAGGTTTAGCAAATCAAAACATGATTTACTTAACAAATTCTCATATCAACTTTTTATTGTGCCATAGAGAACACATCTGAAAGGCCCGCCTCCCTGAGTGTTCACACACAGCGTACATCAGATCACGAGGCAGGACCTGATCAGCCCCAGGAGTCTCTGGCGCTCTGCCTCACCCGAAGGGAGGCTCCAATCTTCCCTGTCATGGCAGGGATGCCTCTTGAGCCTCTTAGCCTCCATGTGAATGGAACCAAAGTCTCTTTTTGCTGATGGAATGTTTGTGGGATTCCTCCAGGAATGACCCTGTGCGTGACCTTGTGGCCCCTCCACTCCCGTTGTGTGTGATTGTATTGTGTGAAGTGTCTGGTGTATGTACCCATTCTCTGGATGAGCAGGCAGCAGGCTCCAACTGGGCACTATCAAGAGAAGTGCTTCCAGAATATTCCAGGAAGTGGTACTTGGTAAACACATGGACCCATTCTATTGGGTTGATACCCAGGAAGGGAACTGCATGGGCACGGAATGTGCTGGTTTTTGGCTTCAGGAGGTGCTGCCCAGGGGCTTCCCAAAGGGACGGTGGCAGACACTGCACTGCAGCAGTGAAGAGGTAGATCCCAGCACATCTGGAGGCTGAGGCGGGTGGATCACCTGAGGTCAGGAGTTCGAGACCAGCCTGGCCAACAGGGTGAAACCCCGTCTTTACTAAAAATACAAAATTAGCCAGGTGTGATGGTGTAATGCCTGTGATCCTAGCTACTCAGGAGGCTGAAGCAGAATAGCTTGAACTCGGGAGGCAGAGGCTGCAGTAAGCCAAGATCGCACCATGGCACTCCAGCCTGGGTGAGACAGAGCAAGACTCCGTCTCAAAAAAAAAAAAAGGTGGAGCTCCTTAGTCCCTCATCCCCAGGCATCTCCCCGGGCTGCTGAATACACAGCGGCAGCTCAGGGAAGCGCACAGGGTGTGAGGGCCATTGGACATGCCTTTTTGTGAGGAGGTTGCTGAATACACAGCGGCAGCTCAGGGAAGCAGCACAGGGTGCGAGGGCCCCTTGGACATGCCTTTTTTCTGAGGAGTTTAGTCAAACATGAGGCCCCACTTTCTGCTGCATTTTTTTTTTCTGAGATGGAATCACACTCTGTCACCCAGGCTGGAATGCAGTGGTGCGATCTCGGCTCACAGCAACCTCCACCTCTTATCCTCCATGTGAACCAAGCACATTCCATCCCCACGCGGTTCCCTTCCTGGGTAAAAACCCAATAGAATGGGTTTGTGTGTTTACCAACAGCCACTTTCTGGAATATTCTGGAAGCACTTCTCTTGGTAGTGCCCAGTTGGAGCCTGCTGCCTGCTCATCCAGAGAATGGGTGCATGCACCAGACACTACGCTGGGTTCAAGCGATTCTCCCGCCTCAGCCTCCCGAGTGACCAGAGTTACAGGCACCGGCCACCGTGTTGCATTGTCTTGCTTCCTTACCCATCTGAAGTTCGTTACACACGTTAGCTACGAGTCCTGTGTTGCAAACCTGCCTTGTCAGTATCCCCGCCCACCAACAGCTGTCCTCTCCCTCTCTTAATGGCATCTTCTAATAAACGGAACGTCCTCATTTTAATGTAACTCAACGCATCCACTTTCCTAGGCCTTGTTTACGAAACCTGCCCCCACTAAGACCACAAAGATGCCCTCCTACACTTTTTTCTAAAAGCGCTCCTGTTTTCACATTTAGAACGGTAATACATCTGAAATTGATTTTTATGTAAGGTAAAAGGCAGGGGTCAGGATGCATCTTTTCCCACACAGATATTCAGCTAATCCCTCCCCACTTATTGAAGAGCCTCCCCTTTTCTTCCTGGACTGCAATCTTGGCTTTCTTTCAAATATATATATATATTTTTAATGAAACTCAAGGTTACAGACAAGTTTTCCCATTAATGTCCTCATTCTATTCCAGGATCTCATCCACAGCCCTACATCAGATTTACTTGTCAAAACAATCTGGTTCCTCTGGTCTGCAAGAGGTTCTACATCTCTCCTTGTTTGTCATGACCTTGACGGTCCCAAGCAGTACGGGCCACGCGTCCTGTGAACTGTCCCTGAGCCTGGGTTTACCTGCTGTTTCTTGGAAATCACACCACAGAAAGGAAATGCCTATCTCAGCACACCGCCCCGGGGGTGCGTGATTTCCACCTGCCATTGCTGGGGGTGCCGACCTTCATCATGTGGTTAAGGAGGCATCTGCCGGGATTCTCCACTGTGAGCTTCCTGTGGTTCCTTTTTGAGCCTATTGTTTGCAAACTAGTCATTGAGTCTGACCCTGCTCCCCTGTTTGGAGAAGAGAGGAGCTTATTAATCTCCACCTCCTGGATAACGAGGAGTAGCTACATAGAATCAGAATTCTACAGCAAAGTTTAGTGTCTCCTCCTCTATTTGTTTATTTATTCGGCCATTTATTTATATTCATGTGGACTTAAGACGCATATTAATTTTCTACACTGGCAAATCTTTTCAAACATTCAGTATTGAAGGCAGGGTTGTTGTTTGCTTCTGATTGAGTTGGAGCAAAAGGGACCAGGCTCAGCCTCTGACCGGAAGCAATAAAGCCAGAGAAAAATACATGAAAAAATCATTTTCCAAACACTGGACACCGGGCTGGGAAGGACCGGGGACCCTGAGAGGAGGGAAACCAGTGCAGTGACCTCTGTGATTGCTTCAGCCACTGCCAAGAGTTTCCAGCCACAGTACCCTGAGGGGCATCCACATGGGGACTGGTGGACCCCTGCGTTGAGTGGACAGAGCTCATGAGAGGGGAGGGCAGCACCGGGAGTGGGCCCCAGAGTTCTCCAGGCCCCCACACCGCACTGTTCACTGAATATTGATCAGCACATGTATGTGAGGAAGCTACCTACACCGCAGTGTTCACTGAATATTGATCAGCACGCGTGTGTGAGGAAGCTACCTACGCCTCAGTGTTCACTGAATATTGATCAGCACATGTATGTGAGGAAGCTACATATATGTACTTCTCTGGCTACAAAGTCAGAGCAAGAACCACCCGGAAGAATGGAAGGAAACGATGTTCCAAGCTCGCCAGGATGGGAATATCGCCCGTTCTCACCAGGCGTCGAGAAGAGCTCAGAGTTCCTGGAACATTGAGGAGATTCTTCAGAAGGCTCATGTCTCTGAATAGGGGAAAATTAGCCCTAGACTAAATGTTGCTCTCATTCTGCCTAATCAATGGGGAAAGCAATTCCTGAAAGGATAAAACTATTTCCAAGTAACGTAATTGTATATCAGAACAGAGCTCAAAAATAATGTAGGAATATAAAAAATTTAATACCAAAGAAGATAAAATTCATAACATCTGGCATCCAATAAAAAAACTACCAGGTAGTGCAAAATGAAGAGTAAAAAAAAAAATCAACTAAAATCAACCCATGACCAACACAGATGTTAAAATTGGCCAAAACAGACATGAATATAGTTATTTAAATTATAACCAACCACAAGTTCAAACACTAGAGCAAAGATTGGGCATGTTAAGCAGAGACTTGGAGGTTATTAAAAAGCACCAAATCAAACATGAAAACTGCAGTGTATGAGATGAAAATACACTGAATGAGATTAATGGAAACTTAGACATTGTGAAAGAAAATATCAGTGAACATGAAGGCATAGCAATAGAAACTATCAAAAATGAAATGTATAGAGAAAAAACTAAAACAACAGCATATTAGTGAATGATAGAAACTTTTTTTTTTCCTTGAGACATAGTCTTGCTCTGTCTCCCAGGCTGGAGTGCAGTGGCATGATCTCGGCTCACTGCAACCTCTGCCTCCCAGGTTGCAGCGATTCTCCTGCCTCAGCCTCCTGAGTAGCTGGGAATATAGGTGTCTGCCACCATGCCCAGCTAGTTTTTTGTATTTTTAGTAAAATGGAGTTTCACCATGTTGGGGAGGCTGGTCTCCTACTCATGACCTCAAGTGATCCACCTGCCTCGGCCTCCCAAAGTGCTGGGATTACAGGCATGAGCCACCGCGCCCGGCCGAGAAACTTTTTAGTAGCCTAATATATTTGTCCTTGGAGTCCCCAGAGAGACAGGAAAGAAAGGAAAACATATTTGAAGAAATAATGGCTGACATTTTCGTGAATTTCTGGAAAACTCTAAGCCCAGAAACACAAGATGCTCGTGAGCCCCAAGATTAAGAAATAAGAAAACTACCAGCTGCATCCTCATAAATTGTTCTAAACTACTGATCAAGAGAAAACTTTAAAGCAGCAAGATACAAAGTTATATTACATGCAGAAGAACACAGGTCAGCACGGCAACAGATCTATCATCGGAAACCATCCGAGCAAGAAGTCAGTAGGACAGTGTCTTTAAGGTAAAAAAAAATGTCAACTCTCAGTTCTATATCCAGTGAAAATGTCTTTCAAAAATGAAGACAAAATACTGCTTTAGACATACAAATGCTGAAAGAATTCATCATGGCCAAGAAATATTTCACTAAACAAGCTACTTCACTAGTAAATGAGTTTTGCAAAGTTGCAGAATACAAGATACATGTACAAAATCAGTTGTAGTTCTACATATTATCAATGAGCAATTAGAAATTAAAATTTAAAAGCACCATTTGCAAAGGCATCAAAAATATAAAATACTTATGACTGACAATGTGCAGGTTATTTATGCAATTTCTATCAAAGTGCCAGAAGGATTTTTTGTATCTGATTCTAAAGTTTATACAGGAAACTAAAGGAACCAGAATAGCCAAAAAAAAAAATTTTTTTTGAAAAGAAGAATGAAATTAGGGAAATTGCACTACCCGATTTTAAGACTTAAAGCCTTACTCTGTAGCTGCAGTCATGAAGATAGTGCTGTGTTTTATAAGCATAGATCAATACAGCTATAGAACAGAATAGAGTCCATGGAGAGACTTACTCTATGGACTGATTTTATGTCAAAGGTGCAAAGGAGATGAAATGGAGAAAGGATGGTCTCTTATTTAACCCCATAGAATGTAAAACCCTTTTTTTTTTTTTTTTTTTTTTTTTTTTGAGATGGAGTCTCACTCTGCTGCCCAGACTGGAGTGCAGTGGCGCCATCTCAGCTCACTGCAAGCTCCGCCTCCCAGGTTCACGCCATTCTCCTGCCTCAACCTCCCAAGTAGCTGGAACTACAGGCGCCCGCCACCATGCCCAGCTAATTTTTTTTTTTTTTTGTATTTTTAGTAGAGACAGGGTTTCACCGTGTTAGCTAGGGTGGTCTCGATCTCCTGACCTCGTGATCCGCCCGCCTCAGTCTCCCAAAGTGTTGGGATTACAGGCGTGAGCCACTGTGCCTGGCCTGTAAAACCTTTTTTTGCAGCCCTAAAGATGACAGAAACAATGACAAAGCACAAACACTGAAAGGTCAATGTTTTGCAATACAAACATATGACAAACGAATGGCTGTCCCTAATTTACAATAAGCTTGTACAAATCAAAAGCAAAAGATAAACAACCCAAAAGAACCCCAGGCCAAGAACTGAAACAGGCAGTTTTCAAAAAAAGAAAGACGAATGTGGCCGGGCGCGATGGCTCACGCCTGTAATCCCAGCACTTTGGGAGGCCGAGGCGGGCGGATCACGAGGTCAGGAGATCGAGACCATCCTGGCTAACACGGTGAAACCCCGTCTCTACTAAAAATACAAAAAATTAGCCGGGCGTGGTGGTGGGCGCCTGTAGTCCCAGCTACTCGGGAGGCTGAGGCAGGAGAATGGCGTGAACCTGGGGGGCGGATGTTGCAGTGAGTCGAGATCCCTCTGCACTCCAGCCTGGGCGACAGAGCGAGACTCCATCTCAAAAAATAAAATAAAATAAAAAGACAAATGTACATCAGACACATGAAAATGTGTTCAATCTTATTTATGATTTATGGAATCAATCTTATTTATGATTACTGGAATTCAAATAAGAACAGCCAAAATTAAACAAACAAACAAAAACAAAAACAAAAACAAAAACACGTGTGTTTTTCTCACCCAGCAGATCACCAGTGGTTTAACAGCTGTGGGCGGAGGAGTATCAAGCACTCCCATATCCTCGGGGGAAATGGAAGCTCATGCTGCCTCTGCAGAGGGTGAATGGTCAGCACAGAAGACAGCCACAGATCAAGAAAAACTAGTTGTCAACAAGGCCCACTCACTTAGAAACAATCTAAATAAAACCCGGAAGATCAGAGCAGATTATTTTAACATTTAATTTGTGTTTTACCCTTAACAATATGTAAAATCCATGAACAAAATTTTTGTTCTATACTTTGTGCTATATAAATTTCTTAATGCAACTCATTATCCGAAGACTCAGATGTTGACTCTGGGTTTTCAAGCGTGGTTTTTCCAAATAAACGTTATGATGGTAGAAACCTTTTCCACTATTTCAGGGCAGGAACGTAGTTTTATGCAATATTGAATGGCTTCATCAGGTTCCCCAAGGGCCTCTCTTGGCCCTGATATCACCACACCTGCCTTGTGTCTGTTGGCAAATTTGTTTGTTTTTTCTCCATAGTTAACTCTTTGAAGTCCTTACCTGTCAGTGACTTTGTGGAATTCAGGCAATCCTGCAGCATTACTCTCATTGACTTCATCAAAGTTCTGACTCCTTTGAGAAACTTGAAACACCAGATCATATTTGGTCAACATCCTCATTTCTTTTTTTTTTTTTTTTTGAGATGGAGTCTTGCTCTGTTGCCCAGGCTGGAGTGCAGTGGCATGATCTCGGCTCACTGCAACCTCTGCCTCCCAGGTGCAAGCGATTCTACTCCCTCAGCCTCCTGAGTAGCTGAGATTACAGGTGCCCACCACCACGCCTGGCTAATTTTTTTTGTATTTTTAGTAGAGATGGGGTTTCACCATGTTGGTCAGGCTGGTCTCGAACTCCTGACCTCATGATCTTCCCACCTCGGCCTCCCAAAGTGCTGAGATTACAGGCGTGAGCCACCGTGTCCAGCCCACTATCCTTATTTCTTTACATCAGTTGCCCGCTTTTCAAACTCTAGTATTTCATCTGTCCATTTGGCTTCTAATTTAAATTATTACAATTTTCATTTCTATTGACTTAATTTTCTTCCAACTGAGCTCTCACTTTTAAATTAATGTATTTATTTGAATTGATAGTTGTACATATTTTAGATGTACACATTTTGGGGGTACATGAGATAATTTGATACATTCATATAATCGAATTAGGGCAATTTGAGTATCCATCACCTGAGATATTTTCTTTTCTGTATGCTAGGAACATTTGAGTCATTCTCTTCTAGCTTTTTTGAAATGTACAGTGGATTAATGCTAACCATAGTCACCCTACTGATCTATGGAACACCCGGTCTTATCACTTTTGTCTAAGCATATATCTGTATCCATTAATCAACCTCTCTTCATCCCCTGACCGACTTCCCTTCCCAGCCTCTGATAACTGCCAAGCTACTTTCTGGCTTTATGGGTCAGCTCTCATTTCTAATAGTATCTTTTTTTTGAGACGGAGTCTTGTTCTGTTGCCCAGGCTGTAGTGCAATGACATGATCTTGGCTCACTGCAAACTGCGACTTCTGGGTTCAACAATTCTCCTGTCTCAGCCTCCCAAGTAGCTGGGATTACAGGCGCCCGCCACCATGCCCAGCTAATTTTGTATTTTAGTAGAGATGGGGTTTCATCATGTTGGCCAGGCTGGTCTTGAACTCTTGACCTCAAGTGATACACCCGCCTCGGCCTCTGAAAGTGCTAGGATTACAGGCGTGAGCCACTGCGCCCGGCTGCTAATAGTATCTTGTTCCCTGCGCATGTTTCATATTTCCACTTAAACACATGAAATGTGCTTATTGAGAATCTGTATATCCCCACATCTGGAGTCATTGTAGGACAAAGGCAGTGCTGTTTCTGTTTCCCTATCTGGTGGTATTCTGTGCTTGTGTGAGTTTATGGGTTTCCAACGGATCATTCTCTGGACAGATTCTGAGGCCTGGGTTGTGGGTGTCTAACTACATAAAATAGTGCCTTTCCTTCAGTGAGCCCCGTGAACCTGGGCCTGACTGAGAAATTCATCTGCTAGAGTGTTTTTGGACCATGCAGAAAATTAAAGCCCTAACCCTTCTCTGGATTTTTGAGGTCTGAGTTTTCAAAGGAATCAACCCCCCTCCCTGCCCTCTACCCAGAGCCAGAGTTGAGTAACACAAATGTGCTTGCTATCTCTTTTGCAGGGAAGATTTTTCTCTAAATTCCCCTTTTCCTGACGGTAGCTATTTGAGTCTTCCAACCACACACAATGATCCTTATTTATCTCCTCACCTTGGGTCTTGCGCCATTGTTAGAAACCCAAACTCCATGTGACTGTGCCTGACAACTGCCTTGATGGGCCACCGATGTCTCCAGAGCCTGCTTTTATGCTTTCCTGTTACGTTTTATTTCTGAAGATTGTTCTTACTATTTTGGTTTGGTAAAGATTCGTGTTTAAAAGCATATATTTTGTACTCTATCCGCCATTCTGAAGTATATTAAAGCAGGATGTTTTGTCCAATATATAACTATCAAAAGAAGCCTCTTTTAAATATTGTAAATGTCCCCTTTTAATATTAATTTTCAATATACCCAAATATTATTTTTAAGTATAATATAAAATAATGTTTTTCATATTGATTATCTATATACCATTATTATATTGATTATATACCATTTTATTAAAAAAACTTCTATTTTTTTCTCATTGAGGTTATGGCACCCCTGCCATATATTGATTTCACATATCTTGGGTGCATCCTGGGCTGTTTCTTTCTGTCGGTTCTGTTTGTCACAGTACACTCTGTACCTTGTCTTAATTCTATAGCTTTCTAGTGTATATTGATATTTGGTAGGACATGCCTCTTTTCTTCTTCTTCTTCTTCACAAATAACTCAGCTATTATTTGCCCTTCTCTATTATGTGATAATAAATGTCATGCTCCATGAAAAATACTATTGGAATTCTGCATGGACTTACATTAAATTTATAGACTAATTTAAGGAAAATTGACTTGTTCATGCTACTGACTTTGAATCCATAAATACACCGAGTCATCCAGCCAGAGCTATATGCACAATCTTCCCTCAGTATCCATGGGGATGGGTTCCAGGACCTCCCACAGACACCAAAATCCCCAGATGCTCACATCCCTGGTAGAAAATGGCATAATATTTGCGTATAACCTCCACACATCCTCTGTGCGCTTTAAATCATCTCTCGATTGCTTACAATGCTTAATAAATGTAAATGCTATGGAAATTGTTGTTAAACTGTAGTGTTTAGGGAATCATGACAAGAAAAAGGGTCCATATGTGATCAGTACAGACACAACCATCCACTTTTTGAAATATTTTTGATCTGCATCCACAGATGTGGAACCCACGGATATGGAGGGCCAACTGCATGTCTTTTGGAATTCCTAATCCTGCTTGTAGGGGCCTGGTAAATCTTTGGCATCTAGTAGTTTGTTGGAAAGGTAAATGGAAATTTGTTTCCTGTTGTATTTTCTATTTATTTTACCATTTGGAATGCTACTGACATTTTTTAAAAGTACATATCCAGAAACTTTCTTGGTAGTTTTGTTTCTTTGATGGTCCATGTATACAATTATATCGTCTGCAAATAAATTGTCTTATTTTTATAATTTTTGAATCTATTTTTTCTTGCCTTATTACATTGGCTTGAGTCCAGGGAAATTTGAAGAGGAACAGTTGGAGCTGGGTCCTAAGTCTCATTCCTGGCTTCAAAAAGAATGTTTTTAAAATGTTACCCCTAACGACGCGCTTGTTCATATCCCTGGTAGATGTCCTTCCTCCGGCTGAGAAGCCACTCTCCACTCCTGGTTGTTGAGTAGTTTCTATCCCGAATGGATCTTGGACTTTTTTCAGTATATTTTTCTGACTTTCTTTTAATGAAAGTAGGGCTTAATAAAGTGGGGTCAGTAGTTATCGTGGAAAAATTTAAGACATTAATATGTCTCTTTAAAAATCCTCCTCAAAATCCCTCCTTCCCTCCCTGACCTTATATATCCTTGATACTGGCAGTGTGCTTCAGAACTCTTGGCTCATTCTCCACCATCAGCTTAAATTTCTATTTATTTATTTTTTTGAGACAGAGTCTCACTCTGTCATCCAGGCTGGAGTGCAGTGGCATGATCCCAGCTCCCCGCAACCTCCACCTCCCGGGTTCAAGCAATTCTCCTGCCTCAGCCTCCTGAGTAGCTGGGATTACAGGCATGCACCACCACATCCGGCTAAGTTTTGTATTTTCAGTAGAGACAGGGTTTCACCATCTTGGCCAGGCTGGTCACGAACTCCTGATCTCAAATGATCTACCCACCTAGCCCTCCCAAAGTGCTGGGTTTACAGGCATGAGCCACCGTGCCCGGTCCATCAGCTTAAATTTCTAAGTGGTGATCTCACTTTGAAACGTAGAATTTACTATCTTTGTATCTATGCTAAAACGAAAATGGGCTCATTTCAGCATCTGGCTGTAACTTCATTGTATTTTGGATGATTCCCTTTGAACTCTCTTCCAATTCACTACTTCTCACTTTGACTGCATTCAGGCAGGCTAGACTTTCACACATATATGGCTTTTTTAATAAAATGTATTTCAATGACTCCTTTTTAATTCATGTTTAAGATCTCCAATTAGCTGCTTTTCACAAAAACACGTCATTGCCTTTTGTCTGTTTTTTATTATTTTTTGTGCATTTGTAAATATGATTTCACCTTCAATTCTCTCTTGAAACACCTTCAGCTTATTTTGAAGCCTCTGTTTGTATGTAAAGACATGAATGATTTTACCTAGAGTCAATTTATGTTCCAAGAGTTGGTTTTCTTGGTTACAGTTCTTTATTTCTTATCATTATATTCATTTATGCCTATCTCAGTTTGGACCTCCAAGCCAAATTTGAGTGGGAGAAGTTTGGGGGGGTGTTCCTCCCTATGTTTCTGTGCCTCTCTTTTTTCTCCTCCTCCTGCCTCTGTCTAAGGACGGTCCCTCCACTGCACCCTCCACGTGATCCTGACCCGGGTTCTCCATAGGATCTGTGTGACTTCCTGCAGGGATACTGCAGTTGTCTCGGGTCCATCCACAGTGCCAGGAGGGCTGGGCTCAGATCCCAGTCATGCGGTCTCTCTGTGCCTAAGGCTCACCTCTAACTGTATACCCTGGACTTTATTTACTTATTTATTTATTTGAGATGGAGTTTTGCTTTTGTTGCCTAGGCTGAAGTGCAATGGTGTGATCTCGGCTCACTGTAACCTCCGCCTTCCAGGTCCAAGCGATTCACCTGCCTCAGCCTCCAAAGTAGCTGGGACTATAGGCGCCTGCCACCACATCCAGCTAACTTTTTGTATATTTTTAGTAGAGATGGGGTTTCACCATGTTGGCCAAGCTTGTCTCGAACTGCTGACCTCAGGCCATCCACCTGCCTCGGCCTCTCAAAATGCTGGGATTACAGGCGTGAGACACCGCACCCAGCCGCTCCTGGACTTTAGAGCGAGTTTCCACTCTGATATCATGAGGTCACCTCACCTCTCCACTGTAGGCAGGGAGCCTGCCTCTACCCTCCATTCTGATGTTTCCGGTCACCAGCATTGGGCAGGATTCAACCCCGCCCACCTGCACCCGACTCTGGACTAAGGAGACCAGCTATTCTTTGGGTTTTTTTCTGAACGAGGCATCATGAGTATGGAGCAAAGGAGGTTATTACAAGGTGGATTCTCTATCCTGTCTTCATAGGAAACCCTTGCAATTGCTTTTAAGTGATAGAATTTTAAGTAACAAATACTCCCATCTTTTATTAAGAAATTCTCAAACAAATATATATCATGAAGAATGCTTATTTTGTAGAATTATGTATTAAAAATAATAGAAAATGAATGTGCAATATGCAAGAATAATACACTCATATGGCAAGCCCCAAAAGAACTTGAAAAATTAAGACACTTAATTTGTAAGTGTTATGGGATTCTGGATACAGTTTTCTTTTGACGAAAATGACAATCATCAAGAGTATATAATAGTTTGGTAGACTGAAGAGATAGAAGAATGAAGTAATAATTGTATTTAATGATTAAGCGATTTTCTTTTTTTGCAAGAAACAGGTCAAGTCTGCAAGCAGTTGGCATGCCAATTAGAAAAATCTTAGCAGTTATAATGAAAAATGAAAAAAAAAAGGAAATTAAAAACATTAACATTTGAAAGAGAAAAAAGATTCTTTCTGAATCATGTAGATGAAAGCCCAGGAGTTCTCTCAGAGGCCTGGAGGAGTTTGTCCTATGCCGTGGGTCAGTCCCAGCTCTGGGCTGTGTGTGGGGGCTATGGAGGACTCAGCCCTAGGACCCTGAGGGACCAGGAACCTGGGAGTGAGGGAACCAGGGTGGGGCTGCGTAGGAGTCAGTGGGATGCCACCCTGGAAGAAGAAAGACCAGGCTGAGTCACAAGGAAAAGCAGAAAAAGCAGGGGGGTCTTCGGACAGTTGAGCCAGTTAGGGGACAACTTTACCTTTTACAGTAATAATAATGCATCTTCTGTTTCTGCCAATGACCAACAAATCCCAGGTCACAGAAGACCACGGAGGGCACAGAGGGAAGGGGTGAACACTGCCTGGATTCCACTATGTACATTTCAGATAATGTTCCCCCCGAGGCCAGAGTCACACAGCAAGCTGGGCAGGACAGGCTTCGGACTGGTGGACGTGGCCTCGCCCCCTCTGCCTCCCACAGGCCGGGGGACCTGGCCTCGCCCCCTCTGCCTCCCGCAGGCTGGGGGACCCCAGGCCATGCACTCCTGAGGAATTTCCAATAGGCTGCGGCCTGGCACACACCTCTGAGGCTGCCAGAGCTCCTGCTCCTCCCTCTGTGTGCCATGGCCTGGGGACAGGGCCTCCCATGTTCCCAGAGTGAAGGGAAGCTGGACCCTGGCCTCCCTCCATGTGGGCTCTGATCACACATGTGCCCAGGTGCCCTCCACTCTGGGCTGGGGGCTGACTGCCGCCTACCCCTCCACACCCTCTGCGGAGAGAGTCAGTGTAGCTCCTGGCTCCAGAAGCTTCCACTGGGCTTCTGTGAGTTTCCCCCCTTTACTGTAAGTTAGAGTTTCAGCAAAAAGACATCCCATTTATCAATGTCCTCTTCATCCATCAATGCTCTTTGTTGATTGATGTGTTGAAAGCAATTCGTGTTACTTTCTTCAAGTGGAATCTTATTTGGGTATCATGGACCCCAAATCCCAAACTCTGACATCTGCTAAGGGTGTTCTTTAAAATCTTCTTTCGCCCAACAGTGAAGTGCGGATGGCTAAGCAAAGCATGGCAAGCCGATGGAACAATTTCGCTTTATCAGAAAGCTGCTGCATCTAGGCCAGCTCCAGGGCTGCCAAGACCCCGCGTGCATGCCCTTCCCATCTCATTCCTCTGGCATGCGCCACCCGACACAGGCCCAGGGCAGCCCCTGGCTCAGGCCCGACACCCTCCGACCTCCTCCAAACACTCCATACAGGGCGGTTCACTCGCTTCCCAAATGTCTACTGAGAACTGCAGGAGGTGCTCATGCTTCGGCAATGCATTTTCACTCTTTACAGCCCTGGGTGCAGCCTTCAGTTATGTAGATGAGAGCTCAAGTTGTACCTGGAAAAGTGAGGTGATTTGCATGAGTGTCCACAGCTCGTGGTAAAAATTGCTTTGGCTGACAACAAACCCCAGGTCACAGAAGACCATGGAGGGCACAGAGGGAAGGGGTGGACACTGCCTGGGAAAAGGGACAGCTGAGATGGGAGCTGGGCACAGCGCCACACAGGAAGGCGCCAGTGAGCTGTCCGTGTAGGTAACCTCTGGCCTCTGCCCTGGCCACAGTCTGGAAAAGACAGATGGAGAAACCTTTCTCGTCAGATAAAAGGTGCTGAGTGGATGGAATGGTGGCCCCCAAAAGATGTGTCTGTGTCCTGACCCCAGAATCTGTGAATGGGACCTTACTTGATGAAAAGGTCTTCAGGTTTTGTCATTAAGTTAAAGATCTCAAGATGGTGTCATCCTGGACTCTTCAGTTGGGCCCTAAATCCAACGACAGGTGTCCAGCTAAGAGACAAAAAAGGAGAAGACACAAAGAGAAGAGGAGATGGCCATGTGGCCACAGAGGAAGAGACTGAAGTGAGAGATCTAGAAGCCCAGGGTCTCCTGCAGCCACTGGAAGCCGGAAGAGGCAGGGAGAAGCCTCCTGAGAGCCTCCCGGGAGCGTGGCCCTGTGGACACCGCACATGGATTTCTGGCTTCTGGTCTCCAGAGCTGTGAGAGGATAAATTTCTGTTGCTTTGTGGTCATCTGTTATGCCGCCTCTCCCAGGAGGGTGGGGCTGGGTGCCACAGGCCCCAGGCAGCCATGAGCGCCTGACCCCTCCCCCAGGCAGGATGGAGAAGGACCTGGGGCAGCCAGGGTGTAGCCCTATGCAGACCCCACCACTGTGGGTTGGATGGGGCTCACGCCTATGACTCAGCTCTGCTAACCTGTATCTGCCACTGGCCCCAGGAGTTGGACTGGGAGGAAAGAAAGCAAATTGGCCTCGAAGGTCCTGTTGGCCATGGAATTCTGTGATCAAGGCCCCTGTGGCTTGTGGGAAAATGGTTGAGTCAGATGCCCTGAATTTCTGCTGGTTTCTCCCCACTGTGCCCTGAGTGGAGACTCATGAGGATAGGGAGGCCCAGACACAGAGCTCTTGGAGTCCAGGGAGGGCGTGAGCACAGGGCACGTGGGGCTCCTGGGTCCCATGAGACTGTGAAAGGGGATGTCTCAGAGGGTCCTTTCGTCTGGCCACCTGGTGATGAACAGCAGTGCTGGCCCTTTCAAGGGAGGTGGCAGTGGGCAGGTCCATGCCGCCTAGCCATGGTGGCGTGTGGGGCCACCCGCAGTGGTGACAGCCAGGGTCATCCCACTCCACACACCCCATCACCAGGACTCTAGGTTGTCAACTATAATTGCGCAGATGGCCTTCTGGGGTGTCCTGGGCTGCCTCGCCACGGAGCCGGGTTTGGGCCTGGAAGCAGCCACAGGAAATGGGCTTGCGAGGGACCAGATCTGCTTTGACTGTAACAAAATGTGGCAGCCATCTCGGGCTGCAGCAAAGGAGCCAAGGACAGAGACTCGGCCCTGGCTCCTGGCCCAGGCCTGCCTGCGTCTCGCTGGGTCACCTTGAACGGGCTGCACTGTTTCACTTGGCCTCAGCCCCATCTGGAGAGTGAACAGGACGGGCTCTTGGTGCACAGCCCCAGGCTCAGCCTCGGAGTTCAGCGGGCCCTGGGCGGGCCGCGGCTCCTGAACACAGAGTTACTTGGGACTCCTAAGCCAGTGGCCACAGGGTGACCTCAGGCCAGCCCTGGGAGGCCCTGGCATGTTTTTCTGGACGAAGTTTGCAAAATTCCTTAAAAAAAAAAAAAAAGACTTGGTTAAGAAGCTGCTCTCTGGGGGCATCCTCCAAGGCCCCAATGAAGAATTAAGGTGTTTATCCTCATTCACAAAAGAAATGGGTTGTAAGTAGAAGAATTCCCTACAATTTATTCACACAACAAAAAAATAATGAGCATTAGAAAATTCCTTTTTATTATAAGAGGAGAAAAAAGATGCAAATGGTGATTTAATGAAGGATTTTGCTCTCAGTGCTGTTTTCCACCATCACAAAAGGGACGTTCCTTATTATTCAGAAAGCACTTGGACTGAGAAGAGAAGGTTCCATAAACAGCCATTAGCATCTTAATTACACGATAATTCAAAAGACAGCTCTCCTGAAAAAACTTCGGCCCATAAATCTCTCAGCTTCAATGTCCAAGAAGGGAGACAGATTCTCCCGAGAATGTGGCCCAGGAACTCGGGGGTCTTCCTGGTGTGGTGCCCAGGGGTTTGTCTGGCCGATGGATGGCCGCCTGATGGGACAGTGTACCCAGCCCTGGAGATGTCACTCACCCCAGTGAGAGGCCGCTGAACTGTGTGCAGGCAGGGATGTCACCGCGGCTGGTCAGAGGCCAGTTCACCGCCCTGAGGTCTCTGAGAGGCAGCGGGAGGCTCCAGCGGCGGGGAGAGAGGCTGCCTGGTTCACTCCCTGTCCTGGACATTTTGCTATGTTCTTGAGCAAATCCTAGACCAATGACCTTGTTGTGGCTAGCATCTTTCATTGCTAGTGGGAGACATCACTCAAACCCACTTCTTCGTAAAGGGAAATGTCTATGCACAGTCGTAAAAATGCTGAGAAGCAGAAAAAAAGGGGGCATCCTCAAGGGGCAGGACCCAGGGGCCGACTGACGTCATCTGTGGTCACTTCCACCTTAGGCTCTGTCCTCAGGCAGGCTCCCTGTTCCCAGTGCTTCTGGACAGCTCTGGGCTTGGGTCCCACATGTAGCAGGGCCAGTGATGAAACTGTGCTCCTTTTCTAGCAATTTCTGCAAAAGCCCTGGAATTGGCTCATACTGGAGCCAGTCACTGGCCAGCCCACGTGAGCCCCTATGAGCTTTGACATCGGGGATGGACTAGCCTCACCCAACACGCATGGGCAAAGGAGTGAAGGAGCAGTTCCCCAGGGGAAGAGTACAGCTGGGTCAGAAGTCGGGGGCCAGAACTGGACAGCAAGAGGGCAGACATACCCAAGGGACAGGCCTCCTCTAGGGACACCCAGAAACCCCGCTGTGAACTTTCCTTCAAGTGAAGCCTGATGCCCAAAGCCAACCACTGCAGACTTGGTTGAAGAGTGGGACCCTCTGGCCACCAACTCCACCTCTTTTTTCCCCCTTTGGTGGAGGCCAAGCTCTTCCCCAGAACCCCTGGGGCGCCACCAAACTGAATGAAAACCAGAAATACTGTCCTGTCCATGAAGACTCAAGCCTTGGAGACCCTCATCCAGGGACGATGTCCAAGAGTGACAGAACAGTCCACCAATCCAGACCCACCCTGAGCCTGCAGCCAGGACCCGTGAGCTGAGGATGGGTTCTAAGGTTCCACCGATCCCGACCCGCCCTGAGCCTGCGGCCAGGACCCGTGAGCTGAGGATGGGTTCTAGGGTTCCACTGATCCCGACCTGCCCTGAGCCTGCAGCCAGGACCCGTGAGCTGAGGATGGGTTCTAGGGTTCCACCGATCCCGACCTGCCCTGAGCCTGCGGCCAGGACCTGTGAGCTGAGGATGGGTTCTAGGGTTCCACCGATCCCGACCTGCCCTGAGCCTGCGGCCAGGACCTGTGAGCTGAGGATGGGTTCTAGGGTTCCACCGATCCCGACCTGCCCTGAGCCTGCGGCCAGGACCCGTGAGCTGAGGATGGGTTCTTGGGTGGCTTTTCATCATGTCAGAAAAAGAACCTGGCAGGAAATATAATTTCATTGGCAATAAGCCTGCCCAAGTCTTCAGCAATCAGCAGGTGTGGTCTTCCCAACGCTGCAGGAACTCAGGGTGTCCTCACGGGTCACTGCCTGCTATCACGGCCGCTTCGTTATGCAGACAGGTGGACAGATGGAAAAACGCTATTTTAAAATAATAAAAGTGCTGGAAAAAAAAAAAAGACCCTGCAAGGCCAGGGGCGTGTCAAGTGGACACAAGACACCATTGGAAGAGCTCCCGATGGTCAGAGCTACAAACATCTCAGCTACAAAATAAAAACCCAGTATGAAATTATAACCCTAAGTATAAGTAAATTTCCAAGAATCCATACTAATTTCACATACTAATTTGCATATGAAAATGCAAATGATCTAGAAGCACCAAAAAACCTCTTTACGCAGAAAACAATGGAGTACTAACACTAACTGACTTCATGACTTACTCTAAAGCTCTAGTAATTAAGACAGTGTGCATAAAGTTAGATAAATAGATCAGTGGTACAGAATAGAGAGTCCAGAAATAGACACAAGCAAATATTGGCAACTGATTATTGACAAAGAGGCAGAAGCAATTCAGTGGAGAAAGAATAATATTTCAAACAAATTATGCTAAGACAAATGAAAATCTATATGCAAAAAATTAAACTTGTGTCTATGATTCACAACATTAAAACATTTGCTCAAAATGAGTCACAGATCTAACTGTAAAACCTAAAACTATGAGACTTATAAAAGTAAATATACCTTAAAATTTTATGTCCTTGGGCTAGGTATAGATTCCTTAAATATGACACTAAAAGATGCAATCCATAGAAGGAGAAATTGATACACTGGAATTTATCAAAATAAAAAACTTATGCTTTTTAAATGACATTGTTAGGAGAATGACATGACAAGCCATAGATTGGGAAAAATATATTTGCAAGTTATCTGTCTCGTAAAGACTTGTGTCTAGAATATATAAAGAAATCTCAGAAATCAAGAAAATTGAAAACTGTGAGTACTTCACCATAGAAGACGCATATAAACACATGAAATAATTCTTAATATGATTAGTCATTAGAGAAAAGCAAATTAATGCCATGTGAGATACTACCTCTTACCCCTTAGGATGACTATAATCAGAAAGACCCACCATGCCAGGACGTGGCCAAAATGCAGAGGAAGTAGAATCCTCATGTGGCCGGGGCACGTGTCAAATGGTACCATCACACTGGAAAGGAGTTTGGCAGTTCAGTAAAAAGTGAAATGTATGCCTATCATCTGATCCAGCCATTCAACCCCTTGCGCTTTATCCACAAAAAAAACAAAGTATGTGCTCTTACAAATACTTGTGCATGAATGTTCACAGCAGTTTATCTGTAATAGTCTAAAGAGTAAACAGGCCGGGCGCAGTGGCTCACGCCTGCAATCCCAGCACTTTGGGAGGGCGAGGCGGGCAGATCATGAGGTCAGGAGATCGAGACCATCCTGGCTAACACGGTGAAACAGCGTCTCTACTAAAAATACAGAAAAATTAGCCAGGCGTGGTGGCGGGTGCCTGCAGTCCCAGCTGCTCGAAAGGCTGGGGTAGGAGAATGGCCTGAACCTTGGAGGCGGAGCTTGCAGTCAGCCGAGATCGCGCCACTGCACTCCAGCCTGGGCGACAGAGTGAGACTCCATCTCAAAAAAAAAAAAAAAAAAAAAAGAGTAAACAACCCAAATGTCCATCACAGGTAAGTACATGGACCCCTGGTCTATCCATGCGACGGTAAGGGATCAGCAATAGAAAGGAACGAACTATTTGTGATACATGCAGTCACGTGGATGAATCTCAAAATAGTTATGCTGAGTCACCCAAGTCAGAAAAAAAAGGAGTATATACTGGATAATTCCATTTTTTATAATCTTACAGAAAATACTAACCTATGTATAATGATAGAATCCATAGTTTCCTGGGATGGAGGACTGACAAGGGGCCAAAGGACACCTGCAGGTGATGGCATGGATGTATTCATTATCTTGATGGTGGTGATGTTTCTACCGGCGTCTGCATATGCCCAAACTTACCAAATTGTCCATTTTAAACATATGCAGTTTGTTGTAGGCCAATTACACCTCCTATAATGGCTAGTTTCATGAGTCAACTTGGCTAGGCCACAGTAGCCAGTTGTTTTGTCAAACACTAGTCTAGATGTTAATGCAAAGGTATTTGTTAGATGTGCTTAACATTTAAATCAGTAGGCTTTGAGTAAAGCACATGACCTGCCATAATGTGGGTGGGCCTTGTCTAATCAGTTGAAGGCCTTAAGAGCAAACAGACTGAGATCTCCCACAGGAGAGTAAATTCTGCTTATAGAATCCTTCAGACTTGATCTGCAACATCAACTCTTTCCTGGGTCTTCAGCGGTTGGCCTGCCCTGCAAGTTCCAGACCTGCCGGTCCCCACAATTCCATGAGCCAGACAGTCTCTCTCTCTCTCTCTCTCTTTACATATACAGTCATGTGCTGAATGATGATGTTTAGGTTAACAATGAACCTCATATATGATGGCGGCCCCATAAAATTACAATACTGGCCGGGCGCAGTGGCTCACACTTGTAATCCCAGCACTTTGGGAGGCCAAGGCGGGCAGATCACCTGAAGTCAGGAGTTTGAGACCAGCCTGGCCAACATGGCGAAATCCCGTCTCTACCAAAAAACACAAAAATTATCTGGGTGTGGTGGCGGGTGCCTGTAGTCCCAACTACTCGGGAGGCTGAGGCAGGGAAAACTGCTTGAACCCGGGAGGTGGAGGTTGCAGTGAGCCGAGACTGCACCACTGTACTCCAGCCTGGGCGACAGGGCAAGACTCCATCTCAAAAAAAAAAGATTACAATACCATATTTTTCTGTACCTACCTTTTTCTATATTTAGATAGATAAATATTATTTGTTACAATCACCTACAGTACTCAGTACACACTGTACAGGTTTGTAGCTGAGAAGCAACAGCCTCAACCTACCATATTGCCTAGGTGTGCAGTAGGTTACACCATCTTGGTTTGGGTAAGTACCTACGTCTATGATGTTCACACAACAACGTTGCCTAACAACACATTTCTCAGAATATATTCCCATTGTTAAGTGATATATCACTGCACACACACACACACACACACACAGCCTATTGGTTCTGTTTCTCTGAAGAACCCCTGTCAATACACCTCCACGAAGCTGTTTAAAATATTGAAAGATACAAAAGATGAGAACCTCCTGGCACATTCCCATTGACAACATACTTAAACCTCCAAGAGGAAACATGGTCACGTGACACATTCAACAATGACAAATGAAAACAATGATTTGTAATATGATTATAACAATATTGTTATATGATGATATTCTTGTTTCTATTTTTTTCTGTTTGAAATTCCCCCAAAATTAAAGGACTATATCCCACAAATAAATTGAAAGAGTTCTTACTAATCAATAATAAAAGACAAACCCACTAGGAGAAAATTTGAAAAAGAATATAAACAGTTGATCTACAAAAGACACTAAAATGACATACATAAAAATTGTTAATCCTTATTAGAGGAATGCAAATGGAAACAACAGTAAAACTTCTTCCTACGGGCAAAATTGTCGAAGGTACTGGCACCAGGGATGATATCTGGTGCTGACGCGAACAGACTGACGTGGCTCCTCTCACGCACTGTCCGTAGGGATGCTAATTAATATTAATATTTTTGGAAATTAATTTGTCAATGTACAGCAAGGCCTCAAAATTGTGTCCTTATTTGGACCTAACAATTCCAGTTCTGTAATTTTTTCTGTAAATAACCATAAATATAGAAAATGATTTCAGTAAAAGGGTGTTCATTTCTGAAGTGTTTTCCAAACACTAGAAGTTGTCTAAATGTCCAAAAATCAAGGTTGATTGAATAAACGGCAGTATTTATGTGTTACAGAATTTCAGGCCGCCAGAAAACACAATGTTCTGGAAGAATATATAATTCCGTGAAATAATATTCACTGTGTACTAAGAAAACTGTGTAAAAAATATTTACAGGATGAACATATATGTGAAAAAAGATGTGAAAGATATTAACAAAATGCTAAATGTGGTGAACTCAGCGTGGCAGAATTGAGGAACATTCTGTATTCCTTTTGCTTGTCTCCCCATTTTGTATTTTTTTAATGAACGAGATTTGGTGATGAGAGGCCGTGGGCACAGCCGTCAGGGCAGGTCCTCTGGAGCACACCACCTGGATCCCAACCTCAGCTCCCATGGCTGCCTACAAATCCCAGGACAATTGCCTGCAGGCCTCCTTGCCCCAGGTTCAACGTCCTTAAATCCAGGTATCGACTGCCTCCTAGGGCTGTTATGAAGATTAAGTGAGTGAGTATATGGGGGAACTTGGACTAGTGCCTGGCCCTTAGTATGGGATGTATCAATATTACTTATTGTCATTACTACACTGGATCAATAAAATGGATAATTATCATTCAATCGTGCATTCATGTCATTTACCAACTGTCTGCAAAGCACTGTTTTCAGGGCTGAGAATTCAGCACCAAAGTGGCCTCTGTTCTCACGGGGCACACAGTCTGTGCCTGCTGGGCCTCGCCCCTCCTCCCTGTGCGTCTTTTGGCCTTTTGTGCTTCTCTTTCCTGCATGCTGCAGCTCTTCTCTCGGCCTGGAAGCTGCTGAGGAAGTGCCTGAGCTCTCTACTGGTCAAGTCCATTCCCAGCAGCTGGAGGGGCCCATCTTAACGGCTATCCCTGCTACTTCCCTGATCTGCCTGCCTGCCTTCCTCCCTCCCCTCCCCTCCCCTCCCCTCCCTCCTTCTCCTTCCTTCTCCTTCCTTCTCCTTCCTTCCTTCCTTCCTGACAGGGTCTCCTCTGTCACCCAGACTGGATTGCAATTATACAATCAGAGCTCACTGTAGACTCGAACTCATGGGCTCAAGCGATTCTCCCACCTTAACCTCTGAATCCCTTCCCTCCCCTCCCCTCCCCTTCCCTCCCCTCCCCCACTCCCCTCCCCTCCCCCCTCCCTCCCTCCTTCCCTCCCTTCCTTCCTTCCTGACAGGGTCTCCACTATCACCCATGCCGGAGTAGTTATACAGTCAGAGCTCACTGCAGCCTCGAACTCATGGGCTCAAGTGATACTCCCACTTCAACCTCTGAATCCCTTCCCTTCCCTCCCCTCCCCTCTCCTCCCTCCCTCCCTCCTTCTCTTCCTTCTCCTTCCTTCCCTCCCTCCTTCCTTCCTTCCTTCTCGACAGGGTCTCCTCTATCGCCCACGCCAGAGTACAGTTATACAGTCAGAGCTCACTGCAGCCTCGAACTCATGGGCTCAAGCGATCCACCCACCTCAGCCTCCCAAGTAGCTGTGACTACAGGTGTGTGCCACCATGCTGCCTAACTTTTTGATTTTTTGTAGAGATGGGGGTCTTGCTCTGTTGCCCAGGCTGGTCTTGAATTCCTGGCCTCAAGCTACCCTCTCCTCTTGGCCTGCCAAAGTGCTAGAATTATAGGCGGGAACCACCACACCCAGCCATGCCCAGGTTCTCTAGCCAGAAGCCTGGGGAGTCACTTGGGACATCTCTGCCATGCCCACCACTCCGGAGTCCCCATAGCCTGTCAGTTCTACTTCCTGGATAGCTGCCAAGCCCCCCACATCCCTGCCTTGACAGCTGCTCCTGAGAAGCCAGCCACCCCGGCTCTCATCTGGATCTTCCCAGCCACTGCCAAGCTGGCTCAATTCTCTCTGCCAACCTGGGTCCTCCCCCAGCTGTCAGAGTAACCTCTTGGTAAAATGCACATGGGATATGTGTGTGGAAGGTGAAAGCCTGCAATTGTTTTCAGAGGGAGGCACAGATCCCTGGGAGAGCAGGCACAATAGCCCGCTACAGCCCCCACCTTTCGCGACCTGCTGTTCAGAGACCTGTGTGCTTCCTTTAGGAGATAGCGCTGGCCTTGCATAAAATACATTTTTTCTCCCACTGTATCAGCAGGGACATCCTGACATCTCACCCCGTGAAAACATTCAGCTCCAAATTCAGTATCTCAGCAAGCCCTTGGTCAGTTGGGCACCCGCAACCTAATGGCAAATAGAAAACACCCTCACCGCAGGGAGGAGTGGAGAGAGAACAACCCACCCCCGCCGACCACAGCAGAACACAGCGAGCAGTGGGCTCACATCCCCAGGAGGACAGCGAGGCTGCCACCTGACTGCAGTACGTGCCTGGGTCCGCACCCTGGTCAGCCGCCCCTCCTCTCTGGGTAACGCCCCTTTTTCTATTGCCCTCCTCCGACACCCTGGGTGCCCCGCCATGCAGGATGCCCCTTCTATGGGTCAGGCCTCTGAAGCAGTCCCAGGACTGGTGGCTTGGTGTGGGGTGAGAGCCGAGGACTCCCTCAAGGGTTACACCATTGCCATCCCCTGCGTTTTTGGGTAGGAGTTAAGGTGATGGTGTGATTCCTTAATAGACTTATTTAGGTTTCAAAATCTAAACTCCTGTCAGTTCTGGCTAGTAATCAAAACCAGCCCATCAACAACAACAACAAAATCGTCAATCCGTAGCGTGTGTTGCGATCCAGAGCAGAGCTTTCTGTTCCCTAGCAACCGAATTCAGGCTGCGCTCACCCCCCATCCTCAATTTCCATCTTGGTCTCTCTCTCCAGGCCTCTGGAAACAAGGCCGGGATGGGGCTGGACCAGGCACCTGCCCTTGCCTTCGGGCTGCCCGGGGGTGGTGTCTTTGTAATTACCTCAAGGTTGCTGTCCCAGGGAGACCCCATCTCTTCAATCTGATCTCGGACCCCACACCTCCCCCCTGCCTCCCCACTCCTCAGGTCCGTCTACTTGTAACCTGGGGTGGAGAATTCACCTTTTCTAGCGTCACCATTTTCAGACTCTCCACCATTCTAGACTCCAAGTCATAAGCACCAAGGGCTCCCCTTCCATTCCCTTTTTCTGGAAATATTCAGCATGTAATGAACCAGGCACTGCTCTCCCATAGCCCAAGGTTCCCCGCCATAGCCCTAATGTTGCGAGCACAAAAACCTCAGTGTCTGAGTTCCTGGATACAGCAGGCCGGGTACCGCACTGCACCCCTTCTCCTCTGCTTGGGAGCCCTCCCCAGCCACCCCATTGTCACCACAGCCCCTGTCCTTTGGCAAGAAGCCTCCAATATACCCTCCCAAAGTCAAGGTAGACTGCATCTCTCTTCAAACCATATTTTTTAAAGAAAGAAAATTACTATAAACCAAATTATTGGGAGGGCAACCAGCATTTCAAAAATGAATTAGGATACAATAGAAAACATCAGAGTATTTTTGGGGTAAATATTGCTTCGGAAAGTTTCACTCCAAGCATGTTTGTGCATGCGTGTGTGCATGTGTGTTAAAGCATGTGTGTGCATGTATGTGCGTGTGTGTGGATGTGTGTGCCTGTGTGTTCACGTGCGTGTGTGTGTTCATGTATGTGCATATATGTGTGCATGTGTGTGTGTGTTTGTCCTAAGGATGGACCAAAAGGGCCTGGAAACCAGTCTCCTGGAAGCCTTCCCTGGCACACACCTTGCTGTGTTCTAGAGTGTGATTTTAGGGTAAATGCTCCTCTCTTGTGCTCCAAGAGTGCTCTCCTCTCCCTCCCATCGTGACGCTTGCCACACTGCACTGGAATTGTTTGTTTCCTTGTCTGTTTCTCAAACTGACTGTCACTTTCCAGGGGGACAGAAAATCTATGTCTTGTTGGCTTCCCCAGTCCCAGTGCCTGGCCCAAGTAGTTGCTCAATAAACAGAGGTTGAATGAAGGAATGTCTGGCACAGGAGTTCGGGATGGACAGGATGAATTGGAATCTGTAACATTTTAAAAGCCACATCCTTTTTAGCAGGAAAAAAGGCTTCAATGAAAGGAATGAAATTGTAAGGGTGGAGACCTGGGCATCAATGGCTGACTCCACAGAATCCCATTGAGGGAGCCCCTCCCTGCCAGGGTCCCAGGCCCACCCTGCACATCCAGAGGCAAGAGGTACGTCCCTCATGGCCACCCCAAAGTTGTCAGGAGCCCCAACTTCTGCAGAATCACCTCCCTGCCAGGAAAGAGAGCGGGGAGAAGCTGCAGTTGAGAAGATACTAAACAGGAAAGTCAGCGTTTTAATTAAACAGGATTCAAAATTGATGGGAGAAAACAAGCATGGACACAATCATATTAACACAAGAATCCCGTCAGAGCCCCTGGCAAGGAAGCTTCAGTGCACAACAACCACTGGGACGGGGGTTAGAGGACTCGCAGTGAGAGGCTGCCTTTCTTTGCTCAGTTTCTCCTAAAGTGTTGTGTGTGTGTGGATGGGAGAGTGTGTGTGTGTGTGTGTGTGTGTGTGTGTGTGAGAGAGAGAGAGAGAGATTCAAGGAAAATATGTGTGTGTGTGGTGCTGTGTGTGCATTGGGGCATGAATGCTTGCATGCATGAGTTGTGGGTGAGTGTACGGCTGGGGACAGTCCACATCCCTTCACCTCCCTGGACCAGGCCTCAAGATGAAGGGATGATGCTTCTTCTCCCTGGTTGCTCAATCTGACTTGCAGGCCCTCTACTGGCTCCTCAGAAAAGGGTCTCCAGCGCCAAAAGAATCTCCTGGGGTGCTCAAGCCCCCAGCCCTATGCAGGATGGAGAATATCTTGTGAGTTCCAGAGGAGGGGTTCTATTAGTCGTGTGCACGAACCTGCAGGAAGGCAGAGCTTGGGGTGGTGCTGTGGCAGCTACCGGCAGGGGCCAGAGCCTCTCCAGGCAGCAGGGCCATCTGGACATCCTGGACTGGGGAGCGTATCTCCTGGGCTGTAGAGGGAGGTGCAGAGGGGACATGACTAGGAGGGTTGGAGATGGGGAAAGTGTCCTTGTGTCCTTACAAGGCTCATTTTCCCCCCATCCTTTGCTTGTTATAGGAGTGAACCTGTCTTGCAGATGATCGTTGACTATGCAGGTAAAATAGATTGCGATCATTGTCATCCTGCTCAGAAAACCCACCTGGATAGGACCAGTCCTGGGACTGGGAGCCCGGAGACGCCACTGAGAGCCGGTCCTGCAGGGACTCCAGGGAGATGAACCAGGAGATGGCTCAGCAAGGACCAGGCAGTGGCAGAGGTGCCCGAGTAGAGTGATCGTGGGGCAGAGGACTGAGGGAAAGTGCGTGCCTGTGCCTGGCAGTGCCGCCCCAGGTGGAGGAGGAGCCCTCAGGGTGGTGGGCTTCCGATGAAGGGTGACTCTGCTGGGGTCTGAGGCTGTGCTCCCAGTGGACTCAGGGACCCCACTGCACAAGCCCGATTTTGGGTAACAGGGCACACCTAGGGAACAGGCCCAGAGCACCCTCTCCTTGGAATAAACTCCGGATCCAAGTCCCAGAACCCACCTTAGGAGGCGTCTGCCGCCCCCGCCCCCTCCCCAGCCTTCCAGGCCCTGGCTGCGGTGGATGGGGGCGCGGAAGGCCCAAGTGCGCGAACTTCACCTGGCCCGGCCGTCCTCCCCGTGGGGGGCCCAGGCTGCGGGCGCGTCAGGCCGTCTCTGTCGCCATCCGGAGGAGCGGCTTGGGCGCCGCGTCCCCTCTGCCAGGCCCGGGTCGGCGGGCGGCTGGAGCCCCCAGCGGTGGCGGGCGCGCGCCTCTCTCGCGGATGCCGGGGCGCGCGTAGCCGGGGCGCGCAGTGACGCCCAGAGCGGGGCCGGCGTCCCCCTGGCGGGCCGGCGCGGGGTCGGCGGGCGCGGGCGCGAGCGCGGGCGGCGCGGGCGCGGCGCGGGGCGCGGTGGGCCGGGGCCCGGGCGCGGCGGCGGCGGCGGCGGAGGATGGCGCGCGCGGGGCCCGCACGTGGAGGCCGGCGCGGGGGCGCGGGCAGGGCCGGCTGCTGAGACGCGCTGCTGCCCCCCGCGCGGGCGCCGCGGCTTCAATGGCGCCATCGCCCAGGACCGGCAGCCGGCAAGATGCGACCGCCCTGCCCAGCATGTCCTCAACTTTCTGGGCGTTCATGATCCTGGCCAGCCTGCTCATCGCCTACTGCAGTGAGTACCGCGCGGCCCCGGCCCCGGCACGGCCCTCTGGGCCCCGGACCCCCTCCTCCGGCCCCGGCAGGCGCCCCGCGGGCCTCCCGGAGTCGGCGCGGAGTTACGAGCGCCGGGCGCATGGTCCCCCGAGTCCCGGCCGGTCCAACGCTGCGCTGGGCGGGCGAGAGGGTCCACCCGGGTTCCGGGCGCTCGAGCACTTCGGGGTCGGACGCCCCGGCCCGAGCCTCCCTTCCCTGACTCCCCGGCAGGGCCCGGGCTCCAGGCCCCGGGTGGCGCGGCCCGTCCCTGCCCGGCGGTCGGAGCCCAGCCAGCGGCTTCCCGGCCGAGATGCGCGCTCAGGAGGCAGCCGCAGGTCGCGGAGGGCGGGCGGCGCTGCCGGGGTGTCTGCGGAGCGCCCTCCCCGTGCCTCAGCCCGGGACAAGGGGGGAGGCGGCGGCCGAGCCCGGAGAGGAGCTCTTCAGGCAGGAGCCCAGCCTGGGCTCGGAGGAGCAGCTGGAGCTTCCGCTTTCCCGGGAAACGGGCTCGTCAGGCGCCTTCTGGAAAGAGAAGCGAAGTGAGGGATGGGATGCCCGGAGGGGGCTCGCCGCGGCCGCGGACGTTTCTCGGGTCGTGTCTGGGGCCCGAGCTGGTGACCGGCGGGACTGGCGCGGGCGCGGGCTGGGGTGGTGCGGGCCAGTGGGCGCCCGGGCGTGAGCTGAGGGCTGGGGTAGGGGGTGACCGCCGCGGGCTCCCTGTTGCCTGGAGTGAAGGGTGGGGGGTGGCCTGTGCCCCTGCCGAGGCTCCAGGCGGGTGGAATGAGGGGTGGTTGGAGTCCCGGGTGCAGACTCCAGCCTCGGCGCTGGGGAGGGTGCTCAGCATCCCGGGGCACGTTCGCGGCTGGTGGGGTAAGTGGGGGCCGCTCAGCGTCCCGGGCACAGGCTCTGGCCCCAGATGGCGCGGGCTGGTCGGCTTCAGCTCCGGGAGCTCCGGGCTTCTTGTCTTCAGCGGGAGAATAGGACGGGTGCTGGGGAGCACCTGTCATGGAGAATTGCCATGGGCGCGGGAGGTGATGGAAAAATATGGATTCTTTACAAAAAAAAAAAAAAAAGGCCAGCACCGAACCTCCCTCCACAGACACCACCTCCTCCAGAGCCCCGGGCCTCCAAGCTCCCAGTCCGATCTGATCCTTCCGCTGTCGCCAAAATGAGAGCACAGTGGCCCAGGGAGACCCGGGCAGCCGCGGGATCGGCCTCCGGAGTCCTGGGACAGCCCAGCTCGCCAGGATCGCAAGGGAAACCCGGGGACCAGAGCAGGAATTTTCCTACTTGCTTCAGCGCGGTTATGCATTTCCCTAGAAATGCTGTGGCACCGAGCGGGGAGGGGTCGCCAAGCCTGGGGGTCTCAACCCGAGCTGCCCAGGCAGACGAGGCCACCGTGGGTGCGCCGGCGCCCCTGGGAACTCACTGGCTGGCCGCCTGCAGGGAGCAGGGTCTGGGGGTTTGAGCGACATTTGTGCCTGCCCCCGAGTTTTCCGCGGCCGTCACGGGGCCTGCAGGGGTATGTGGGGGGATTCCCTAGAAGATCCCCAAGCAAGGCTTCCTAGGAGATGTAGAAAGGGTTAATGGCAGGTAAACTCTGTGCGGAAGAGGAGGCATTTGAATGCACTTCCTGGTGGCATCACCCCAGAGGAGAGGAGAGAGAGGAGAGGAGAGGGAGAGGGGGCTCATTCAGCAGTGTTTGGGGAGGGGCTGTAGTGCCCTGAGCCCACTACAGGCGGCCCATCCCTGGCTGGCTGCTAGAACCCAGGACAACACCTCACCCCCAACCCCCAGCAGCTCAGCAGGTGTGGAAAAGAACAACTGCTAATTGTTGCGAAGTACTTGACACCAGGGCCCTGTGGCTTCAACACCGCACTTCCCGAGCCCGCGAGGAGCGCGGTACACACTGTCTCAAGACACGCAGCGTCAGCCCTCTCCCACCCTGCGCTGCATCCTGAATCCTAAGGTGTCAGCACGTTGTTCATCCGGACGGGCTCACACCTTCCTGAGACTGTCGCCTGCTCTGCCGAGTGGAGTCCTGGTGTCCCAGCACAGACATCTGAGCCTGCTGCTTAGACACGCTGAGGATGGGAGATCTGGTTTCCACACTCATCCCTCCTCCTTAGGAGGCCTCCCCAGCGTTCTGGAAACAGCCTTTCGCCAGGACAAGGACAATTGGTAAGAAGGTCTTACCAGAGTAGCAGAAATAATTAATAACAGAAGCTTGGGTGAAGCACATTTTTTATGGCTGTTTCCATCTCCATGTAATGGAATAATTGACAATAAGAGACACACCCCATTACACCAGAAATGTACTTGGAGAAATTAAAACATTTCACTAAAATACAAAATAGACATAATAATAATTTATAGCTTGGAACTGCAGTCCTAGAGAAAAAAAATCCCCCCCCCTTTTTTCAGAACCGATAAAGCAAATTAAATGCAAATTAAACAGTTCCTAGGATTTTCATTCTTTCTTCCAATAGATCTGGGATGAAGAAGAATAGTTCGTATTCTCGTTTGTAAATTGTTTTTGTCATCAGTAAGGATTTTTATTACTCAAAATGTCTTTGTGTTATGAAGCAGATATATTTGTATCATATTAATTAGGGAAACTGATAAGTATCATACAGCGTTCAATTATCCTGCCTATTAAATCTGTGTGTTTCTCTGCAACACATAAGGTGCTGGCTTCCTAGTGCAGCTAGGAGGAAACTGGATTCTTTCTTGGCCTGGTTTTCTGTTGGGGGGATTCTACTGTTCTTGGCCCAGTGAGAGTCCGGCCTTCTTTCTTTCTCGTGTGCTGGGATCCATATAGAAGGAGATGGGCTCCACCGTCTGGCCGGAGAAAGACCTGCAGTCCACCAATTAGGCTAGTTGCTATAGTGACACAGCCTTGTCATTTTCTCCTCCTGGGGAAGAAGTGCCAGGAGACGCAAACAGGGGAAAGGGGCCCTGGATGGCTCACTTTAAAATGCATGCTCGGTGGTCTGCGACCATCACGGTGACAGCAGGCTTGGTTTCCTCCGCGGCCGGTGCTGCCCATGAGGGTTGTTGGATGGTTGGTAATAAGTTGACTTGCATGATGATGAGCTTTGATGGGGAAGTTGAAGCTCTTCTCCATTCTGGTCTGAGGAAACCTCTCTGGGTGTGGCTTAAAAAGAGTTGATATAGGTTGTTTTCCCCTTAGCGTATTTGGAGTAGAGAAGTCTGTCTGCCTAGATGTGGTTCTTGCCTAGATGTGGAATGGGACCTCTTGACCCAGCTAGAGCTGGTTGAGGGTGTTCTGTGCCCGCCGCTGAAGATGTGATCTTTCCACCCTGGCATCTAGGATAGAACAGCAGCAAGGGAGAGAAGCAAATGAGGACCTGGGGCAACTCCCTATGACACCTAAGCACTGACTCGGTCCTTGTGTGCAGCGTTGAAATCAAAGGTGAAGGACACTCTGCACTAGCCTAGATTCCATGTGCCCTATTCAGCACGAGCAGGTGGATGGTGGGGACCCAGACTATATTTCAGCGTACCAGGGAGAGTGAGGAAGACAGACAGGTTCACTATGTGCTGGACATGGAAATTTCCAAATAAATCCCGTCAATATTGAGCTGTACCTTCCAGTTAAATCTCATGTCCTCATCTATAACTATGAGAAGAAATTACAAACAACTTTGGAATTGTTTTGAATCCATTAGAATCCTAACTGAGCGTAGGCACTGTAGTGTTGCATTTCCTTTATAAATACAATTTATTGCATATTTAGGAGCGATTAGAATATGTTACTTTCCTGCTGTTCAAATTTTGTTCTGGAGTTCTCGAAGAGGTAAAATGGAAAACAGTGGAGGCTTAATGAAGTGGTGCCGTTCAGAAGTTTATTTCTCATCTTTTTTTGAAAAAATTCTCACTGTGTTTTTATTTGATGAATTTGGGGCACAAGAAGATGGGATGTTTGTTTTTTTTCAGCTCCATAAATATAAATTATCTGTCTCTGGGATTTCTTTTAGCCGACATCCATGCCCTAGGCTCAGTGAGGAAGAGGCAGGTTTGTCCCCTCACAGGATTTTCCCACGCAGGGACCCCTGGGGGAAGGGACTTCCGAAGGGACCCCTGGGGGAAGGGACTTCCCAGCGGCTCTAGACAGTGCCCTGGAGAGCCGCATTTACTCCTGGTGATCCTGGCGGTGCCCCACTGTCCCCTCCCACCTTCCACCCCTGCTCTTTCACTGAGATAGGGCCAGAAGGGGGGTCTCCACTCTTCCACTGTCCACACAGGTGTCCCTGCTGGACCTCCCTGAGGCCAGAGGACACTTGAACCCAAGAAGGAGGCTCCACCTGATGGGTCTCTTCCATACCAGGCTCCCCAGCTAAGTTCTGCCCCAGAGTTCTGAGCTCAGGATCTGCCACTCGACATGCTCGGAATGAAATATGTAGATCAACTTTTGTGGCATGAAGCATTTTCAGGTGACTTTTATGGGCGTAATTATGGGAAAATGTTATGATAATGTGGCACTAGAAAAGGGAAGAAAAGCAAAACATTAAAATCCCCATTTCTTTATATAGGCTCGCATCTGCGCCGATTTAGAAGGGCTCCTTTTTGCATTAAAATGTGGCGCTCTGGAGTTAATGACCTCTACAGATTGCCACCTGTCACCCGGAGCACTGTCAGCGATGGTCCAGCCCCAGCATTCAGGGTGGAGATGGACAAGGAGGACCAGAATCTGATCAGGTGGCCGGAGTGAGCACTGGGGTGTGGAAAGCCCTGTAGATTGATGACTGTTTGTTAGGAGAACTGTCCTTGAGGCTGTGTCAGGGGCCTGTGTTGGTGCAGATGCAGGGGGCCCATAGCGTCTGGTGTGTCTCTTCTTAAATGCTGCCTTGCACATGGTCCTGGGGCTTCTCCACTGACAAGGGCCCCCTGATCTGCCCCCAGTGTGGATGGTTTCTGTGGAGGCCCTGGATAGGCCTGGAGCCCAGGAACAGCAGCTCCAGCCACCCTGCTCCTCCCTTCCGGACTTCTCCGCCCTAGAATGTGCTAAGACTCACGGCAGCAGCACAAGCTGCCTCGGTGCTGGGCTTTCCAGAAGCGGGCCTGGCAGCTGGCAGCAGATCTGGGCGACTATTCTCGTCTCTCCTTCACCCCGGCGAATGTGGTAGAGGGCTCCCTGAGGCTTTGTAGCGTTTACTTATTTATTAAAATGGCTGGCAGGAATCGGGTGTGGAATTACTTTTATCTCCAACTAGGCGAGCGGGACTCCTCTGGAATCCCCTGGTCCTCCTGGCTCCAGGGAGGCTGAGTTCCAGCTTTGTATGCCAGCAGCATCCTGCGGGACGGTGGGTCTGGGCCCAGTGGGATGGCAGCCCCGCAGTGATTCTCCCTGGAAGAGGCCTCCCTGTCCCTTGGCGTGTCACCTGCCATGGGGTGAGCCTCCGCTTTGGAGGGGCCTGGCTCTGCGGGTCTCCTTCCAGCACTGCTCGAAGGAGGCAGGAGTGGTGGAGCTGGCTGCAGGCTTGCGGGTGAAGCTGGAGACGTGGCTTCCAGGGTATTCATTTAATTAGTCTTGGGTGAGCTCTAGCCATGCGCCAAGCCCCGGGGGCAGAGATGGTCACTCTCCTGGAGCTGACATTCCAGAGGGGAGGGGACAGTCAGTCGGCACAAAGCAAAGGCCGAAGATGATGGGGGAGCAGCCTGGGCTAGGCCCCTGTGTTCTGGTGGGTTCTTCATGCTACCCTTCTGTGTCCCAACCCAGCCGCCACCTCAGAATGTCAGGGACCTCCCAGAGGTGGTGAGAGGCAGCCCAAGATCTAGCTCTGGATCTGGTTTCCATCTGGGGAGGCTCCTCCATCCTTGTTCTCCCTTCCCTGGGCTCCCTGTGCCCCTGGCCCTGCACCCAGCCGGCATGTCCATTCGTTGTCCCAAAGACATCTTGCCCGTCCTCTCTCTGTCTGGGCTGCCGTCACTTGAGACCTCACACCTGCTCTCCCTCCTGAATGTAGCAGCGTCATCCTCAGTGGCTTCTCCGCCTCCAGGCCCCTGCCCTGAACCATAACTTCCCTTGGAAGAACCTGGCTGCCTTCGACCCTCCTCCCCGGCTCTCACCCTCTCCCCTGGCTCACCACACTCAGGGCGCCCAAAGCTGAGCCCTCCGGCCCAGGTGGGAGTCTCCATCCCTCTGTCCAGCCCTGGAGTCCAATCCTGAGAGCAGCCTCCTGCCTACAGGGCCTTCTAGAAGCTTCCCAGGAAGCTGCTTGTGCTCATTCCTCTCCCACATACTCCGGATTGGACATAGGTGCTGTGGTGCTCCTATCGCCCGTGAAGGCCCGGCTTACTCCCTAAATGCAGTGGATGCAGGAAGGCATGGTGAGCTAGGCCAGAAAGTGCCCACCTCATGTCTTAGAGGATCCCCTGCTTCCTGAGGCATCCCCTGAGCATGCATCCCCATCCCCTCTCCAGTGCTGTGCGTGTGTGTTGTGGTGGCCACTGTCGGGGTCACTTTCTTCCTTGTTTTGGGCTGTGAGCTTGGGGCATGGCTGCTGGCCTCGGGGGACTGACTGTGGGCTCTCTGGACAGATGCTTTTGGTCACGGCATCTGCTGGGCAGTGAGCTGTTGGGCTGTGAGCTTGGGGCATGGCTGCTGGCCTCGGGGGACTGACTGTGGGCTCTCTGGACAGATGCTTTTGGTCACGGCATCTGCTGGGCAGTGAGCTGTACGGTGAGGCAGCCACAGGGAACCTCCCAGCTCTCAGTGGGCTGAAGCTCCAGAAGGTCACGTGGATGTGGAAACCCTTCTATACAATGATGTCAACCCTGCAGGCAGAGGAGCCAGGGGAGTCAGGGACGCCTGACCAGCTGTGGGGGACAGAGGAGGGCCCACTTGTGGTAGGCGATGTCTTCTGACGTCACCCACTCCACCCAGAGCTGGGCACAGAGGGGTCTGGCTCTACCTCTGCTGGGACTGCCTGCTCGTTTAGGGCGCTGTGTGGTCCTGGTTTGCAGGTGCACCGCAGGGAGAGTTGTGAAGGGCAGGCGGGGTGGTCCAGCCATCAGGGGCCCTGGTTTCCTGGGGGTTAACGGCGTAGGCTGTGCCACCTAAAGGCACATGCAGGAATCTGTCGCCCACAGCATCTTCATGCTTGGTTCAGGATCTCTGAATGAATATAGGAAAGAAAATACAGAGAAAGCAATACCACTAACACAGTAACAGGCTGCTGTGCTTGCATTTCACCTTCCAGAAAGAGGCTTGGCGCCCCCTCACCTCCCAGCCACCAGGGGAGGAGCTGCTGGACTGGAGGCCCCCTCCTTATGGGGAGCGGTGGGGCTGGTCCCGCACAGGGACTGCAGGCCTGCCTGCCTGACTCCAGGTCTGGGCTTCCTCCCGGTGCCAGCTCCACTCCCCACGGGCTCGGGGCTCCCCAGCAGTGGCCCATCCATGGAAATCAGCCCTGCCAGGGACCATGGCCCCGTTCCGCCCCCGCCTGCGGTGTTCCAGGCCGCGCCTCCCTCCTTCCCGTATGGGCGGACCTTGCCCTGGGTGGAGGGAGGACGCAGGGAGGAGAAGCCGGGGCCTGCGGTCCCACGGGGCCCGGCAGGGTTCTTCCATCTTCAGGGATGCTCCGCAGCCTCGCTGCTGGTTTCTGGGCCAGCCCCTTGCCCCTGTTTCTGCACTCGTAGAACAGCTCTAGAAAAGACGGCATTTCCGCCTCAGCGCAGCCAAGAAGCTTGAAAGACAAGACTGGAGTGTCCAGTGGCCAGGGGTCATCAGTCTGGGTTTAGGCCTGGGGGCGGGGCTGAGGCCTGGGGGCGGGGCTGAGGGTCAGAGGAGTAGCTGGAATCCTGGGGGCGGGGCTGAGGCCTGGGGGCGGGGCTGAGGGTCAGAGGAGTAGCTGGAATCCTGGGGGCGGGGCTGGAGGCCTGGGGGCGGGGCTGAGGGTCAGAGGAGTAGCTGGAATCCTGGGGGCGGGGCTGAGGCCTGGGGGCGGGGCTGAGGGTCAGAGGAGTAGCTGGAATCCTGGGGGCGGGGCTGGAGGCCTGGGGGCGGGGCTGAGGGTCAGAGGAGTAGCTGGAATCCTGGGGGCGGGGCTGAGGCCTGGGGGCGGGGCTGAGGGTCAGAGGAGTAGCTGGAATCCTGGGGGCGGGGCTGGAGGCCTGGGGGCGGGGCTGAGGGCAGGGGCAGGTTTGGAGGCCTGGAGGCGGGGCTGAAGGGTGGGGTGGGGCCCACCTGGAGGCGGGGCTGAAGAGTGGGGTGGGGCCCACCTGGAGGCGGGGCTGAAGAGTGGGGTGGGGCCCACCTGGAGGCGGGGCTGAAGAGTGGGCTGAGGGTAGGAGAGGCTGCAAGCCTAGGGGTGGGGCTGCAAGCCTGGGGGCGGGGCTGAAGGGGCAGGGCTGGGGGCCTGAAGGCGGGGCTGAAGAGTGGGGTGGGGCCCACCTGGAGGCGGGGCTGAAGAGTGGGCTGAGGGTAGGAGAGGCTGCAAGCCTAGGGGTGGGGCTGCAAGCCTGGGGGCGGGGCTGAAGGGGCAGGGCTGGGGGCCTGAAGGCGGGGCTGAAGAGTGGGGTGGGGCCCACCTGGAGGCGGGGCTGAAGAGTGGGCTGAGGGTAGGAGTGGCTGCAAGCCTAGGGGTGGGGCTGAAGAGGCAGGGGCTGGAGGGCTGCTGTCCTCTTGCAAACTAAGTCTCCTGGATTCCAAAGATATCTTTGGTTCTAACAGTTTGATTAATAATAATAATATGTGGAATACCTGGGAAGAGCTCAGAATTGGTAGGTATATTTAGTAGGACTTTTCTCGTTGCTAGAGTGGAAAACTCAAACCCTCCTTTTGGCCTCTTTTTCTGGACTTCTGCAGTGACAGCTCCCCAATCTTTGTTCTCGTTAAAGTTGCACTTGTTCCAATTTCTCCCAGTTCAGGGTTTCTCAGGGCAGCACTGGGGTCATTTAGAGCTGGGCCATGCTCTGTGGCAGGGGTCTGCCTGTACATGGCGGGGCTTTGCGAGCACCCCGGCCACCCCCCACTTGATGCCAGGGGCCCCTCCTCCCAGTTGTGACAACCAAAGATGTCTCTGGACCTTGCCGCCTGACCCTGGGACAATCAGCCCACTGGAAGCCCTGCTCTAGCGCACCTATACCTTGTCTGTGGCCCCAGCAAGCACACTTGTGCTGGTATTTCCTGGTGTGGACTCAATACCAGCAGGGTGGCAATCTTACAGTTTCTGGGTTTCTCCACTTCTGCAGCTGGACGGGCCAGCGTGGGGGTCTGAGGAAGTTCAGCCCAAGTCCCCGTCCCGTGCGTGTCCCTTGCCTCCCGTGACTGTTTCTCTGTGCAGAGACAGCTCCTGCAGGCTCAGTGCAGCCCCTCCCAGACCGGCGGAGCTGCTGGAAAGGCTGTCTGCCGGGAGGGAGGTGTCTCTGCACGTTTCCACACACTTCTGTTTCCAGAGCTTGGAATCAGCGCAGGGTTCACCAGTTGCTTGCAATCTCTTCTCTGTCTTAATTTCTCCGCATTTCACATGTAACCGTGCTGCCGATGGTGATGAAGCCATTTAGAGGCAATCAAACACTCCCGCACCGACGGCGGCGCCCATCAGCCTTTCCCCTCATCTTCCTGCTTGTTTCATTACGCCTGCCTTTCCAGGAGGTGGCTGAGTCCCCAAGTGTGATTTTTGGAGATTTCTGTGGTGTCTACAGCCCGCATTTCCTAAGTGGATTTCTCCCCAGGAAGTTCTGCTCTGCTGGTGGGACCCTTGGTTGCCTAGAGTTTGCTTTATGTCCATCTCTGCGCCTCCCCCAGCCTAGCACCGACGTGCCCTTCTGTTCTAGCCGGCTCCCCTGACTCTGGTCCCTGGTTCCTGGTCCCTGGCTGAGCTCAGGCTCAGTAGGGCCCTCCGCAGGGGGGTGGCGCCGGGGTCAGCCGGCCTGTGCTGGTAGAACACTCAGCTCCACTCTACACTGGATGCTGCCTCCAGGCAGGCTATTCTCATCCTGTGGGCAGCCTCCTGCCTGGGGCGACCTCTGCCACCCCCAACCTTTGTTGCTGAGTCAGGACTTTCCTGTTTCCAGGGCCGTCTTCCTCCCCTCTTTTTAGGGCAAGGCGGACCTTCCCTCCCGGGTCCCCTTGTCGTGCATGTGGTGGGCTGGGGCGTGGAGTGTGCTTCTGTTATGTGGTGCAAATGTGCGTTCCGGGGTGTTAGACAGCACTCCCAACACACACACACCCGTGAGTCTGCCTGCAGCTCCAGATCTGGTCAGCTGGAACCGCACCTCCCTTTGTATCCTCAGACTCCATGTGTCTTAAACCAAAGCCACCTTCTGTTCCCTTCAAATTCAGCAATTCTCAGAGACCCCTTTGCTTGGTAAGATGAGGGGAGGTTAAGGCTTTTCCTCTTTGGGCCTCAGTTTTCCAGCCCGAAATTGATGGTGCTCATTGTCTTCCAGACCCTCAATTTTAGGATGATAAAAACGGAGGTGACGCGGCAGGGTTGTACAGTTCTGTATCAGCGATCCCAGCCTCAGACTCCAAGGCCCCATAATGCAGATGGCAGGCTCGTCTGGGCCCTGACCCCACTCCCCTGTCCCTGACCAACAACAGCTTAAAGTGATGCTTGTTTGCTTTTGGCTTCAGCTTCACGGGCTAAGGGACTGATGGGATTTTGCTTGTAATTCACACAATGAAGTTGAAACATTGCTCGACAAACACCTCTAGTGTGTTTTCAAATAGGGGACGGGTCACTTGGGCCACTGTGGAGCAAAGTGAGCTTGCACAGACGGGTGACCAGGTGTCCCTGAGCACACAGTGCGTGCCGGCCTCCTTGGGTAGAGCAGCCCCGATGCTGCTGAGGAGGAAGGGGGTGTGGAAGGCGCCGGGCCCGCAGGCGGGCTGTGCTGTCCGCCTCTTCTCGGCTGAGCTGGAGAGTAAACCCTGTGAAACACGCATACTTAGCAGGCCTGACTTGCGCTTCCCGTGACGACGTGGCTAATTGGGAAGTGAGTCACCAGTATCTAGCTCGTAGTAGCACTGGGGGACTGGCTGACATCGCACTGTGTCCCAGAACCCAGCCTGCCGTCGCCGCCTCGGGTTCCTGGATGCACACAGACAGGGCTGGGGGACTCAGGAGGTGGGGATGGGCCTGGCCCTGCTCGGGTAGGGCTGGTGCTTGGTATGTGTGCTGTTTGCCATGGAAGAAGCTAACGGGAGGAGCTGGGGCATGCTTGGGGTCCTGTCAGGGACGCATCTTTGAAGGTCAGCCTCAAGGTCATCTCCCGCTGACTGCCCAAGGCCCCTTCCATGGGCATGGCCACTGTGTCCCTGTCACCTCCAAACTGGTCAACCAGGCCTTCCCAGGGCTTCTGGCCCTGCCTTCCTTGTCACCCCCACCCTTCCCCCGCCACCAGACATTCTGAGCCACTGCCTTTCTCGGGCTGTGAGTGGCTTTGCCTCCACCGTGGTGAGCCCCTCCCTCCGCGCTGCCACAAGACTGGCTCGTGCTCCAAAGCCTTGAGGAGCTGTGGCCTGAATGCATGGATTGATTGGAGTGAGGCCTTCTCTCCCGGGCACCGGGCACCTTGAGTCAGCCCCCGAGGCCTTCAGTGTGCCCAGGCCTGACTCCCCAACCTGCTCTGAGCAAACCTAAGGCCCGTTGGCCTTTTGGTTTTTGGTGCATTTTCCCGCCCTCGCGTCTGGGCGTTCTGTCCTGGAGACAGGCTCCAGCACCCGGGCGGTGTGCTGCAGAGGCTGGCGGCGTGAACTCGGGTGACGGCCTCTGCTTCCCTCCTGGACGCCTTCCTGGTCCTGGCCCATCTCTCCAAGGGAAGGGGCAGTCGGGGGTGCCTGGGGAGAGGTAGTCGGGGGTGCCCGGGGAGAGATAGAGGAGGGATGAGGACACAGGTGGGAAGGGCTCGGAAGGCTGAGTTCTGCTGACCTCCCAGGCCTCACGGGCCCCAGGGAATCTGATGGGATGCAGTAATGGGAACTGGGACTGAGACACAGCCCAGGAGTGTACCAGCATCTCCTTTCCTGTCCCCTGGAGGCCCCAGGGGTGTGGCGGAGTGAGGGCTGAGCCAGGCCGCTGAGTGTGGCCGCTCTTCTCAGCCCCTCTCTGTGCCCCGGAGGGTGCATCTGTCCCCACTACACCCAGACCCACTAGCACCCAGGCTTACTGACGTCCCCAGAATGGTCTTCTGAAACAGCAGGCAGAATGGAGGAGTTGCAGAGATGGGGTGTGCGGTCACTTCAGGGCACCCCATCCATTCCGCCCCATGCCGCCTGCCTGGTCTTCAGGTTTTGAACTTAAAGCTGGAGGGGCCGGTGAATACTGTCTGTGTGGGTTCTCCCAATGTCATTGCTGCCAGCCTGTGGCCCACCCGCTGTCTCTACCATGACGGTTTTCACCTGATGTTTTAGAAAAATAGATACCAGTTTTATGACAATGAACATCTCAGAATTTACTTATTTCTTTTTAAAAATCCATTGGATAACAAGAAGACTGAGGAGTCTGCCTGTCCTGGTTGACCTGCAAACAAATCTGCTTGGAGCTTTGTTGAGGCCGATGGTCTGAGATTAACATACAATGGGATTGGACTGGGAGAGAACCTAATTTGTTGTCATTTCAGTATCTCCTGTGTATTTGGTTTTATTACCTGTTGAGGCACATTGTTCTAAAGCATGCCTGGGGCCCGATGCCTTGGTGCTGCATTTCTGGGGGAGCTGGGAGTACTTTTGTCTTAGGCTTTTGCAGCAGTTACAGTGTTAATGGCTCCAAGACTTCTAATGTTTTGGACTCTGCTGCTCTGACTTGGGAGTGGCCTCTCTTTGGAATTTTTTTTTTTTTTTTTTTGAGATGGAGTCCGACTCTGTCTCCCAGCCTGGAGTGAAGTGGTGTGATCTCGGCTCACTGCAGCCTCCACCTCCCAGGTTCCAGTGATTCTCCTGCCTCAGCCTCCCGAGTAGCTGAGACTACAGGCGCCCGCCACCACACCTGGCTAATTTTTGTATTTTTAGAAGAGACGTGGTTTTGCCATGTTGGCCGGGCTGATTTCAAACTCCTGACCTCAGGTGATCCGCCCCCCTCGGTCTCCCAAAATGCTGAGATTACAGGCATGAGCCACCACCGCACCTGGCCAAGAGTGGCCTCTATTTCGAAAAGACACTTTTGCTGTGCTTTCAAATGGCTTCTCTTCTGTAGCATTCCATTCCCTGATAGCACATCCCAGAATGTAGCTAAATACCACCAACGGGTCATATAGGACTCATGTTCATTTATTGGTGCTAATTCATGCTTCTAGGCTCCTGCCCTGCAGAGGTGGAAGGATGTGGGTCCCAGATCCACGCGGGACCTTCCCATGCTCTTCCATGCAGTCATCTGTGAGTCTTGTTGGCTCATTTTCGGGGTTCTGTGGCTGTGTCGGGAGGCAGCGGGTGGCTCCTCTGAGCTGCCTGTGTGAGGAGGTCTGTCCCATTACCAGGGCTCTGCCATGTCTGTGAGCTGGAGAAGGCAGGGGCTTCCAGAGAGAAGAGTTCTTGCTGCCCCTGGGAAGGACCTCGGGAGCATGGGTGGGGTGTGTGCATTTGCTGAACACGTGAGTTGTGAAAAGTCTGGCTGGTGCCAGGTGCATGGGAAGCCACTGACTCGTGGGCCCCTGAGGGCAGATACCTTTGGCCTGGTGTCCCTCTTGCTTTACGCCAAGCACATTGTGGACGGGCCTTGCCAGAGCAGATGTGGACTCGTGAACTTGGGAAGGTTTCAGAACCCACAGCCTAGAGACGAGGGCTCCCCACATGGAGGAAAGAGCAAAACGCATCACCAAAAGTGCCAGGGACAGTGGAAGCCGGTAGCCAAAGGCTTCCCAGTCTGTCTCAGCACTTTCTCCTGTTTCCAGCCATGGGCTGCCATCCAGCTACAAACGGAATCTTCAAAAAGACTATGCTTTAATCAAAATTAGTGTTTCATTGATGAAAATAGACGTGCATTTGCTGAAGGTGGTCATTTTTTGATCTACTTTTGCTTCCATCATTTTGAGGTTCTCAGATGAAAAAGAAAGTGTTTTCGAACACGGGAGAAGCTCTAAAAGTCCCAAGTGCCATTGTCCCCATGGTGATGTTAGATGACACTCGCACCCCCATCAGCTCCTCAGACGTCAGGTGGCTTTTGTCTGTTACACTCTGGGAAGGAGCCCATCCCCACGACACACCAGCACCACAGGACCCCGAGTGTGTGGGGTGCCGAGCCAGCTCAGGATTGTCACCCAGGACCACACACTCACACTCAGGTGGGCTCCATAAGCCAGGCTGGGACCCTGCTCTCTGTATCATGCCTAACCCAGGTTCCACCCCAGAACTCAACACCCAGTTGCTCACTCTTCATTTCTGGTACCAGCGATCGAGTGGGCACTTCTGAGAGACAACAGAGTGAGATTTGGCTCCACCGAGCTTTAGGGGTGCGGGCTGGACTGGAGGCCATCCAGGTGACACTCCCTCGGCTGGCAGAGTGGGCCAGGCCACCTTATCTTGTGGCTCAGAGATAACCCAGGGTGGCGTCCTGGGGGTTTGTTCTCCCAGCACTTTATCTTAGGTGCATGTGTTTCCATGAGATTGGGATAATTCTGTTTAGCAAAGGTCCATTCTTAATCCAGCCGTGCTTAGGGAGCCCTCCCCATGGGGGCGCTGCCCTGCAGCAGAAAGACTTCCGGGGGCTGGGCAGGGGGGCAGCTGGTCTTGGAGAGGGAGTCCTCTGCTCTGGGTGGCTCACACCATCATTTGAAGGAGTCCAATGACATTCTTTTCCTCCTGGGCAGTTGGGCTGGTGAGGCCGTGAGTCCGGGCACCTTGCTGGGGGACGTTTCCCACATGCTGTCAGACTGGCTCAGCTTTATCATTTGGGGGGAAGGACACAGAGCTTCACAGACTCCTGGGGGTGTGCTGAGGCCTGGAGAGGGGGCTCCCTGTTTGGGGCTCACCTGCCCCACAGCCAGCTCTGGCAGGACATGCATGGAAGGCACAAGGCAGTGTTTGGCAGAAAATGAGTCAAGGTTGTTCTGGGAGCTTATCAGAGCAAGTGGCTTTTCCTAGTGTCCTGGGATGGCTCGCCGAATCCCAGAGACCCCTGCAGGCGATTGTGTTAGGATCCTTGCCAGCAGCAGCTGCCAGGGCAGGGTGGGGCAGAGGGGCTGCAGGGTCCAGCCTTGGGGGGCTCAGGGACCTGCCACACACCCCACCCTGCCCTGAGCCTCCTCTGACCTCTGAGGTATGGCTATCCCTGCTCAGGCCCACTGTGGATGGGCACTCCTCCCTGCCTGCCAGCCACACTGGAGCCCGGGACACTGTCTAGGTGAAGTAGGTCAGTGTCTCCAGGCATTCGGGCACCCATCTCTCAGGAGGGACCTGCTGAATGGCCTGTCTACCTGCCACTTGCTGTGGGGCCTCCTGGGAGATACTTTGGGGGATTTCTCAGGTCAGAGGAGAAGCTTGCCTTAGTCCTGTCTGCTCTTCACATGAAACTCTCACGACTCCATCTCCGTGACAAGTCACAACTTCCATCTGTGGAGGGGTCACCCTGCGTGGCCCCACGCTGGCTTAGCTGTTGGCCTTTGGTATTGAACCGGGGGCGTCTGGAGTGCCCTGAGGCTCAGGGATCCATCATCTACACAAAAGTCCATGGCCACTGCTGGGTGCAGGTAGGTATCTGCACCCCAGAGGCAGGCTTCATGGGCCCCCTTTTACAGAAGAAGATACAGAGGGTCTCAGAGGACCACAGTGGCTCTGTCTTACCTGAGTGTGCCAGGCCTGGGATTTGAACATGTGATCTCCTCTGCTCTGAATCTTGCCATTAAAAGGCCTACTGCCCCAAGGGGGGCTGTGGAGCTGCATGGCCAGCGGGGCACTGCCATCAGCCTACAGCTTTGTCCACCTGTGGACCAGTGGGGAGCATCCACCAAGAAGGCATCCCAGGCCACACTTGCAGTCGGCATCTCTGTCTGCAGTGAGCGTCACCCGAAGCATGCCCTGTGCATCTCTGTCCCCATCCTGGTGGGCCAGCATCCCTGAGACCACCCTCAGGCTTGAAGATTTTCTGGAAAAACTTACAGGGCTCAGAAAAGCTGTTACACTCATGGTTTTGGCTCATTACTATGAAAGGACACAGATTACAATCTGCAAAGGGAAAGGGCTCCTGTGGACAAGTCCATAAACCAGCTGGGGCATAAACTGGTCAGGCTGGCACGGCGTGGTCCAAGGCCTCGGACCTACAGAGACACTCTAATGGGACAGGACATTCCAGGGTCTCAGAACTCACTCCCAGGAGCCAGCCTAGGGCCAGCCCTGAAGATAACCCTTTCTTGGGAGCAGGTTTGTGCACCCCAGGCCAGCTGAGGTCGCCCTTCCCTGCACACCCCACGGGGCTGTCCCTATCTCACTCCCTGTCTCCAGGGTGCAGCATGTGCCCCTGGGCTGCTGGCCTCGCCTGGCCCCTCCTCCTGCAGCCCCGCACTTGTTCACCCCTGGTCTCCATGACCTTTCATGACTTGACCTTGCATGGAGGGAAGGCCCATGGCTGCTCTTTCAGCACAATCCGTGCAGCCTTAGAGAAGAAAACCTTTTCCCAGCCGGGAACATGGGGTCCAGAACCCTTCCTGCAGCCTTGTGCTCCATGGGGGAACATGGGCACCTCCAGAATCCTTTCCGAAGGGCCCAGCTTCGGGGAGGAGCTTTGTGTGTGTTTCCTTTGGGGTTCTAATGTTCTGCTAGACTAGTGTGACAAAAACGCGGCATGTCCAGGGTGTAGGGCTCTTCCCGGCAGTGGATCGTCTATCTGAGACCACAGGGGTGACAGGCGGGGCCTTTGGAGGATAGGAGCTGGCTTCGTGTGTCTGTGCCACCGTTCCGTAGCTATGGCCTCAGGCAGGGCCCCCTGCCAGCCTGTCCTCACCTGTGCTACCAGGATGGCCAAGGCTGCCCTGCCGGGTGCTGATGAGAATGAAGAGGGACCTCAGGGCCTGGGACGCCACTGCGCTCAGGGCACACGGCAAATGGACCACGGCCTTTCCTTAGCAGTGACCTCTTCCGGCCATGGCAGGCGGGGGTCCCCAACCACCAGGATGGTGCAGGAGGCCTCCTGCCACACAGACCTAGGATGACACCAAATTCATCAACATCCCTGGCACACAGGCAGGGCTGGGAGGGCTGGACACGTCAGCATGGGACATGCTGCTGGATTTCATTCCACAGGTGATTTGGAGCCTGCAGAAGGCATCCCCTCCAGCCCACAGCAGAGGGGGGACTGGGCACCGAGTGGCATGGGGAGAACCCCGTGGCTGAGCCTTGCCGAGCAAGGGGACAGCCGCCAAGAGCCAGGTGTGCAGTTGGAGAAGGAGATGGTCATCAAGGGCCAGGTATGCAGTTGGAGGAGAAGGAGGTGGCCGCCAAGGGCCAGGTGTGCAGTAGGAAGAGAAGGAGGTGGCCGCAAAGGGCCAGGTGTGTAGTTGGAGAAGGAGACGGCCGCCAAGGGCCAGGTGTGCAGTTGGAGGAGAAGGAGACAGTCATCAAGGGCCAGGTGTGCAGTTGGAGGAGAAGGAGACAGTCATCAAGGGCCAGGTGTGCAGTTGGAGGAGTGGCCGGCCGGTCAGGCTGGGGCCAAGTCACTGAGGCAGGGGTGGGGCTTGTTGGGAGGGCATGAGTTGAAGCCCTGGTCCTTCCAGAGAGGCTCCTGTGAACCCCCAACCCGGAGCCCTGGGGGGCTGAGAAGTCCTTGGAAAATCGCCAGACGTGGTGGCGTCTGCCTGGGACTTGATTTCTCTGAAGGAGCAGCCCTGAGGAATCTTCTGGAATGTGCTCAGTGGTTTGCCAGCCCCTTTTGCCCAGCACGCCTCCCCAGAGTTGCTTCCGTGGCATCCAGGGTTGTCTTTGGCCCCAGAAAGGGCCTGTTTCCCCATGGGGCCTCATTCAGAGCCAGGATGTGCGCTTGGCCTGCGGAAGAGAGGGTGGACTTTGTCCTAAGGTAGAAGAGGGAGAGCGGGCTGGAAACACTCCAGGTGGTCGACCGGGACTGCCCCTAGGGGTCAGTGTGAGGGTGGCCGTGTGAGGAGCCCCTGCCTGGGAGCTGTCGGGATGGACAGCGCCCCCTCCCCAAGGCCAGCGCTAGGTGTTTGAGGAGCTCCGTGGGCCAGGAAGCTGGGGGTTCCCTTTTGGGCATCCCCAGCACGAGGCCCATCTGCAGCCCTGGCCTGGCCCACACCAGCTGCTGGGCCTCAGTGTCCTCATCTGTGCAGTGGGGAGAACCATCGCCCAGCCCCTAGAGCCGCCCGCATGCAGGGAGGGGTTGTTGGGCAGTGGGGAGAACTGTCACTCGGCCCCTAGAGCCGCCCGCTTGCAGAGAGGGGTTGCTGGGTGCTGGTGCAACCCTGAGGCAGAGCCAGTACGTGGACAGCCCTGATGCGTGGGCCACTGTTTCTCTCTCAGGGAGGTGACTGTCTGTGTGGGGGCTGCACTGTTCAGCTCGAGGCTGCACCTCACAGAAGCCATGGGCAGCCGGCAGCTTTATCCCAGCTTTGCAGGAGACAGGCTGGGAGAGGTAGGTGCTGACCCAGGGTAGGCTAGAGAGTAGGCGGGGGTGCAGCCAGTCCCCTCCAGGGCTGCCGCCCCCCCAGAGCTGGCCAATGTGGCTACCCCAGGTCACAGCTCCCGGCTGTGCCTGCAAAGTGTTGGGAGTTTGGAAGTAAGAAAAGGAACAGGGTGTGCCCAGGTGAGGGGGTTTCCCTCCAGAATGAACGGCGCCATATGAGGAGGAGGAGAGAAGGCGGTGGGCGCCCTGAGGCTGCTGCAGCCACTTGGTGTCCCAGAGCCACGTATGGGGCCCTGGAGACAGCCTGAGTGGGGACACCTGGGTGCCTGTTGCATCCTCATGGGTCCCAGGACTCAACCCAAGCGTTCCCTGTAACAACCTAACTGCAGTTGCCCCACAGCTGATATTTTTCTCTTTTTGTTTTTAGTTGGCGTAAAATAATGGTACATATTTATAGGTGCAGTGTGATATTTCAACACATATATACAAACAATGTGTGGTGATCAAATCAGAGTAGTCTGCACACCCATCGCCTCAACATTGATCATTTCTCTGTGTTGGGAACGCTCAAGATCCTCTCTTCCAGGTTTCTTAACATCTGCAGTATATTACTCTTAGCTGTGGTCGCCCTACTGTGCATAGAGTGCCACAGCTGATTTCTCCTGTTTAGCTGTAACTTGGTGTCCACTAGCCAACCTCTCCCTAGCCTCCTCCCCTCTCCAGCCTCTAATAACCATAATTCTCCTCTCTATTTCTATGAGCTCAGTATTTTTTAGCTCTTACGTATGAATGAGAACAGGAGGTATTTATCTTTCTGTGCCTAACTTGTTTCACTTAACACAATGCCCTCCGGAGTCATGCCTGCAGCTGCGAATGACAGGATCTCATCCTTCTTTACGGCTGAATACTACTCCAGTGTGTGTGTGGCACCTTTTCTCTATCCAGGCGCCTGCTGATGGACACTTAGGCTGATTCTGCGTCGTGGCTCTTGTGAGTGGTCCTGCAGGAAACATGAGGCTGAGGCTGCCCTTTTCACGTGCTGCTTTCCTTTCCTTTGGATAAATACCCAGTAGTGGGATTGCTAGATGAGGGCGTAGGTGCTATTTTTATTTTTTTGAGACATCTCCGTACTGTTGTCCACAACGGCTGTACTGATTTACATTCCCACCGATAGTGTATACGGCTTCCCTTTTCTCTGAATCCTTGCCAGCATTTGTTTGTGTGTTTGCCTTTTGTCTTATTGATAATCATTATTCTAACTGGGTGAGTTGGTATCTCATTGTGGTTTTGATTTGCATTTCTCTGGTGATTAGTGATGTGGGGCCTTTTAACATCCATTTGGGGAAAGGACACCCTCTTCAACAAATGATGCCAGAAAACTGGACGTCCACATGCAAAAGAATGAAACTAGAGGCCCAGCGCAATGGCTCACGCCTGTAATCCCAGCACTTTGGGAGGCTGAGGCGGGCGGATCACGAGGTCAGAAGATCGAGACCATCCTGGCTAACATGGTGAAACCCCGTCTCTACTAAAAGTACAAAAAATTAGCCGGGCACAGTGGCGGGCGCCTGTAGTCCCAGCTACTTGGGAGGCTGAGGCAGGAGAATGGCGTGAACCCGGGAGGCGGAGCTTGCAGTGAGCTGAGATCACGCCACTGCACTCCAGCCTGGGTGACAGAGTGAGAATCTGTCTCAAAAAAAAAAAAAAAGAAAAAGAAAAAGAAAAAAGAAAAAAAGAAAGACTGAAACTAGAGCCCTGTCTCTCACATTATAAAGAAACCACTCAGAATGGATTAAAGACATAAATGGAATACCCGAAACTATGAAACTGCTAGAAGAAAACGTACCTGAAATGCTTCGGGACATTGGTCTGCACAAAGGTTTTATGGGGAAGACTCTTCAAAAGCACAGTCAACAAAAGCAATAACAGACAATTGGGATTACACCAAACTCAAAAGCTTCTGCACAGCAAAGGGAACAGTCAGCAAGGTGAAGAAGACACCTGTGGAATGGGCGAGAATATTTGCGGGTTCTTCCTCCAAGGGACTAATATCCAGAATATATTCATACAAGGAACTCAACTCAACAGCAAAAAAACCCCCAAATAATCTCATTAAAAGTAGACAAAAGATATGAATAGATATTTCTCAAAAGAAGACATCCAGATGTTCACCATGGCTCTTTGGTTGATGTTCGGTGTTCATTGTTTTGGAAAACAGACTGGCTATTAGTGATTATAGCTGCGAGAAGGAAATGTGAGTGCAAACCTTCATTCTGTAATAATAAACTTCAGATTTGAGAGAAAAGAACAGGATGGATGTCCACTGAACTGCTTGTAGGGCAATGCTGTATTCTGGGGTGGGGGAACCTGGCTGTGTCATTGAGCAGAGAGCAGCCCCTGAGAAATTTGGCTTGAAGGCCTCCTCCTCCTCCAGGATGCTCCCCTGGCTTCCCTCCCCCATGCTCCCTGTGCTCTGAGCTCCCTGGCTTCAGGAACAACATCAAGGAAGAGGTGGATTTGGATGTGTATGGACTCTGAGGCCTGCGTTCCTGCTGTTTCCTGACCTTGCCCAGGCAGGCAGCCATGCGCATTGCAGGCATTTGATAGACTTCCTTCCCACACTCAAAAGCACTTGAGGACTTAAAGAAATGGGTTTTAGTTGTTTGCAAAAGTCCATCTTTGGAAGATTTCTCACCCCTTCCTTGACATGAGGGAGGGAGGGGCTGGGCACCCCATGTGCCTGGCCCACATGGATATTGCTGTCATCTGTTATGGGGACATGCTCACCTGGTGACTCCAAGCAGTTTTAGGGTCAACCAGGACATTGCATGACCCAGAACTGGTCTCTGCTGGGAAGTGGGGAGACTCAGGAAGCAGGGACAGCCCTGGAGGAGGCCGCTGGGGATCCCAGACCCCAATGACTCCCCTGTCGCTTCTTCTTCATGTGTGGACAGGAGAGAGAAGCCCAGGCCCTGGTCACCACCTGCCAGCAGAGAAGTCCAACCAGTCTGGAATCCCACAGGAAAAGCCACCTTCTCGGGCTGGCCTCTTTTGTCTCCTGCTCCTTGGCAAACTGGGTCAGGTGGCTGACGCTTCCCAGAGCTTCCTCCTCCTCCTCCTCCTCCTCACTGTCTCCTGGGGCTGTGCGTCTGCAGGGAGAAGCGTGATGTGGCTCCCAGGGGGAGGGGAGGCTGCTTATAAGGACAGGAGCACATTCCTGTTGTTGGAAAATGTCCTTCAGTCAGCGCCACACTGCAGGTCTGCAGAAAGCCATTTCTCAGTTTCCATTGCACAAGAGGCCCTCGCCCAGGTCAAGACAAAACTCTGTGTTTTCTCCAACAGACAGAGGCGTCTGCTGTGCAAAGCCGCATTCGTTCTGCAAGGCCCAACCCCTGAGCTCCTAGAAAGGCATTCTCCATTCTCAAGGTTGTCACCCGGCCCGGCACACACAGGCCCTGACGCAGGCCCATCTCTCCAGGTATCGGAAATGAAGCATCACCTGTGGAACCTTACAAGACGGTGCTGACAGTTTCTTCCCGCACTGGGAGAGCCACGGGGCAACTGCCCGCTTGTGCCTGGTGCGTCCCCCGAAGCCGAGGCTGATGTCTGGTCTTGAGCAGTCAGGCGGGCTCCCGGAAAGGGCTACAGATGCGGAACGGGGCTTGCTGTGGGGAACGGTGCGCTCACTCACTCCTCACCATTGCTAGGCTGAGGCCGGTGGCCAAGGTTGGAGCCCCATGGCACAGAGCTGCAGGGAGGGCCACCAGAAGCTGATGGCCACGGTTCAGGCGGGGATTTGGGGAAAGTGTCAAGGGGCCCTCGCCACCCGATTCCGTGTGTGCCTGGTCTGGTAGACCAGGCTGCAAGGTGACTGAGCCCCTGTGGTGGACCAGGCTGCAAGGGGACTGAGCCCCTGCAGGCTGCCTGGTGGGAGGAGGTGGAGGAGATGCCCTGCTGACAGTGGGGCTGGCCCCTTCGCTGCCTCTCGCTGCGCGGCCACAGTGCAGAAAGGAAAGGATCATCTTCTGCTCCGCTCAAGGAGAGGTGGAATTTTAAAGAGAATAACTGGCCGGGAGCAGTGGCTCACGCCTGTAATCCCAGCACTTTGGGAGGCGACGGTGGGCAGATCGCTTGAGGTCAGGAGTTCGAGACCAGCCTGGCCAACATGGTGAAACCCTGTCTCTACTAAAAATACAAAAAATTAGCCGGGTGCAGTGGTGGGCACCTGTCATCCCAGCTACTCGGGAGGCTGAGGCAAGAGAGTGGCTTGAACCTGGGAGACAGAGGTTGCAGTGAGCTGAGATCACACCACTGGCTGAGATCACACCACTGCACTCCAGCCTGGGTGATAGAGCGAGACTTTGTCTCAAAAGAGAGAGACGGCCGGGCGCGGTGGCTCATGCCTGTAATCCTAGCACTTTGGGAGGCCGAGGCGGGTGGATCACGAGGTCAGGAGATCGAGACCATCCTGGCTAACACAGTGAAGCCACGTCTCTACTAAAAATACAAAAAAAAATTACCCGGGGGTGGTGGCGAGCGCCTTTAGTCCCAGCTACTTGGGAGGCTGAGGCAGGAGAATGGTGTGAACCTGGGAGGAGGAGCTTGCAGTGAGCCGAGATTGTGCCACTGCAGTCCAGCCTGGGCGACAGAGCGAGACTCTGTCTCAAAAAAAAAAAAAAAAAAAAAAGAGAGAGAGAGAGAGACTAACTGAAAAGAAGAGGAAAGTAACAACATTTGAAATAAGGATGGTACCAAACCTAGACTGGTTTGTGGTGGGGGGAGTGTGCTGTACACGTGTGATCACTCTGACACAGCCACTCTGGGGTGCGTTTCTTCCCAGGCACAGGCCTGTTTATGTGCAGAGGGTTTCCTGGAGGAAGGAAAGGGTTTGGGACCCTCGGTAACCCTAAAGTTGTCAACCCACCCTACACCGTCTACAGGAAGTCCTCACTCCGCATTGGTGATAAGAGCTGGAAACTGCAAATTTCAGGAAAATGACAGACAGCAGGTCCTGGAGTAACATTGCTTCCTTCGACTGTGTTTTCTTGTAACATCGAAGCGTTTTGTTACAGGCCGTTTTGCTTCAAGCCTCAGTTTCCAAGACCCTCAGGTCCACATGAAGGGAGGGCTCATCGCATGTGCAGAGTTGAGTGCAGCTCCTTCCTGTCACTCAGAGGCCTTCTGTCATGGGCGGCTCTAAGAGCCCCCCCAATAGAAGGACAGACTGGCGATTCCTGGGTGCCACCCCATGCCGGCTTCTAACTGCAGTGTGACCAGACCCATTTCAAGCTCCAGGACCCGGAGGCTTCCCAAGGCTGAAGTCAGCCCAGTGCTCTGAGCGAGACATGGCTAAGAGAAGCTGAGCACCTGGGCAGGCCTGTGCGGCCCCAGAGCCCGCGTCTGCCCTGTGGTTCTGACAGGGCCCTGGCCTTGGGCAGTCTGCAGGAGGAGGAGGTGCCGTGCCTTGCTCTGCTCCATGGGGGCAGTCCCAGTGAGGGCCACTTTGGTCTCCTCGGTGACTCACAGAGACCACCTCATCTGTCTGCCCACTCCCACAGTGCTGGTCCCCAGGGCTGAAGTTGGCAGCCCTGTCTGGGCGCTGTGGGGGCCAAGAAGAGGGCTTGGCCTGGTGTTCTCAGCTTGGATGAGGGCTCTCAGCTACCCAGCAGGGCAGGAGGAAAGGGGGATGATCCAGTCCTCAGAAGACCCTTCCTCCTGCCCTTCCCTTTCCTGTCACTTCCCTCTGAGATCTCAGCCTCTGCAGGTCTCTCGGGGGTGTAGACTCCCCGTCTTGGGGCCAAGCACTTCGAGGCTGTGAGAAAGAAGCTCAGTGCCTGGAAGGAGGTCAAGGCTAGTGTCAGGGCCCTTGGCTGCACCCCAGGCCCGGCCGCGGAGTTGCCGCTGCATATATGAGTGGGCTCGGGATGAAATGAATGCATGCTTCTCAGAAATTCTAGATGAGAAAATTTCCATCTCAATTAATGTAAAATAAGTTTTGGGAGGTGGTGGTAGGCATTGGAAAATTAAATGACACCTTCTTGGCATCTCACGTTGGTGAGAAGGCCAACCGATTATTTTTATATTACAATCCCCAGGCGTTGTCAAATTGATTAATAAATTCATTGAAAACCTGTTCCTTCTTCATAGATTTAATTTTGGTAGCCAGGGAATAACTTCGCCATGACTTTTGAGTCTCAGCTCTCTCTGTCTGACAGCCAACATGGGGTTAATTGAGGTGGCCGCGGCTCCTGGCCCTCCAGAACTTGGGCCACATCTCTGAGGACATGGTCTTTAGTGTCCTGAGGAAACCGAGAACCGCCCTGCAGACCCTGCCCAGGGAGCTTATAAGCCGGGCAGCATGGAGAGCCTGGGGGTCAGTCCCCCACTCATGCCAGCCAGGTGACTTGTCCCGGTGGAGACCCACCGTCCTAGACTACAGGGAACTCTGAAAATTGAGCACAAAACATAGCTCTGAGCTTCCTGGCAGAGAAGGCAAAAAGGGAAAATCCACTGGTCATGTGACCTTCCTTTTCTATTCATGTCTGGCAGCATCTGGGAATGTTGACGTGGTACTAATGGGGCTGTTGCTCTGGGCTGACACCAGGGTGGGTGGCGTTTCCACAAATCATCTCTGATCTCCAAACCATACAGGGTAAGCACTGCCATCTCCATTTTGGGGGTGAAAACACAGAGGTCCAAAGTTGGACATGGCACGGGCCTCCCAGCCAGCAAGTGGCTGAACCTCATTTAGGAATCGTTCCATGGAAAGGAGCAGAGACTCAGATAAGCAGGTGCAGAGCTGGCGAATGCAGGAGCCCAGGCTTGCGCAGGCAGCGTCCTCTCAGCAGTGGGTGAAGAACCTCATTTAGGAATCGTTCCATGGAAAGGAGCAGAGACTCAGATAAGCAGGTGCAGAGCTGGCGAATGCAGGAGCCCAGGCTTGCACAGGCAGCGTCCTCTCAGCAGTGGGTGAAGAACCTCAGTTAGGAATTATTCCCTGGAAAGGAGCAGAGACTCAGATAAGCAGGTGCAGAGCTGGCAAATGCTGGAGCCCAGGGCTTGCGCAGGCAGCGTCCTCTCAGCAGTGGGCTTCTGCAGGCAGGCGGATCACCTGATCGCAGCTGTCTGTCCGCTGTCCTGCCTGACCCCTGACCCCTGCAGGGGACCCTTCTCCTGGGTCACCTTCACGGCACCCCTCTCCTTCAGTGCCTTGACCTCAGACCACAGGGACCTCAACTCCTCCATCCACCCTGGCCTCCTTTCCCCTTCTCCAGTTCCTCTCCTGCCTTCCCATCTGCTCGTCTGCTCTCCCTTGATGCTCCTTTCCTCAGGGACCTCTCTTTTCACAGTGACCCCTGACCTTCTAGTTGCCCAATTCCAAGGGCACCCCTGAGGCCTCATTGCACCCGGCCCTGCTGCATCCAATGCCCAATGCAAGCGGGAGGCCCCCGGCTCCAGGCGGGACGGGGAGTGTGGAGGGCACCGCCCCAGAGGAAGGGACAGTGCGGGGACTTGGGGACAGTGGGCAAGGCCGCTGAAGCCACACCTCAGAACAGGAACTGGCATTGGCCAGGGGATGGGGGTCTCTGTGGGCTCCTCCTCTCCAGGCCCACTGCTGGCTCCCCCAGGGGTCTCCATCAGTCTCGGTGGGCAGGTGTCGTTCCTCCAGGTGGGCTGAACTCAGAGACCCCCACCCTACCCAGGGAAAGGCAACCCGGGCAGCCACCCTCCCCACCCCAGCCTCACTCCCTGTGCGCCGCCTTCACCGCCGCTCAGCACCCGCCGGCCTTGACCTCACCCAATGGCAGGTTGAGGAGAAACAGACTTGGTGAAATAAGGCCTCAGCACAGCTTTCTGATTGGCCCGGCAACGCACTTGCCATTAACTTTATGACGCGCTACCCAAAGACTAATTAAACCAGATGGCGGCGAAACCCACGTGGAGGCGCCGAGACATTTTTACGTTTAAGTTGATCAGAATTAGGTGGAACGGCATATGCTTGTGGAGATTGGGAATTTTTTAACTACATATTAACGGCTTTTCTTAATACTCTTCCTGGTGATCTCAGCACAATCCACCCCCTTTGTGCCATTTAATTCCTGCGATTCCCATTCCCCTGTCACCGAGACCTCGGGGCCGCGTGGTTTTGGTGTAATTTAAGTGAGTGGAATATTCAGTGCAGACATCATCACCATCGTCTGTGACATTCGCTGCTGAACGAAATGGGGGCCCGCCCCCAACTCTCGGCAGGAGCTGGTGGGCCTTTTCCCTGTTGCAGCCTGGGAACGCCTTGGAGAAGGCCATACCCACGGCAAGGTGAGTGCAGCTCTGAACGTTGCAGGGTGAAGCCAGTCTGCACAGGACGTCTCTACTGGCCTCTGCTTCATGTCCCATTGTGTCTGGGCTCGGGTCATGTGGCTCAGGACAGGGGTGGCCCTTCATGAAATCCCCCAAATTTAGATGGAGGAGAAGCCACCGCCACGAAGGCAAGTGCCTTCCAGGAGGTTGGTGGCCGCAGCCCCCAGCCAGGCCAGTGCTGACCCACCTCCGGGACACTGCATGTGGCCCTCACAGTTGTGCCAGGCAGTGCTTGATGGGGAGGGGCTGTGGGGATGTGCACGACCCCATCCAGGTCCTGCTCTCAGAGGGGTCTGGCTGCCCTTACAGACTTTCAAACATCTTATGTATTTATTTTTCGCATAGTTAAAATTCACATAACAAAATCAACCCTGTTGAAGATTGCATTCTGCTGGCATCTAGTGCAGCCACCATGCTGTACAACCCCACAGTAGCCGAGTTCTCGTTTCCGTCACCCCACAAAAAGCCCCGTGCCTATGAAGCAATCCCTCCCTCTGCAGCCATTCTCCCAGCCCCGGAAGCTCCTGCTCTCCCAGACCTTCAGAAGCAAAGGCTGCAGAGGCCTTTCCAGACTGGGCACTCGGACGTCCACCTGAGGTCCTCTCTCTCCTGCCCCCAGCAGGGAAGCCAAAGCAACTGCTACAGGGCCCAGCTGGCACAGACTCCAGGCCCAGCCAGCACCAGCAGTTGCTCAGCATGCCCCATTCTCCCCAGGTCCCAGGTCCTGGGTCCCTGACTTCAGAGGGTCCTGGCCACTGGGACGGCTGGCAGATGCAAGATGGGAAGCAGCCCTGACCCCCACCACCTCCTCCTGGGACACGCCCATGCCCTGCCTCTGCTATCCTTCCTCAGCTGCCTGAGGGCTGGCTGGTGTGAGCCCAGGCTCCTGTAGGGTATGCCAGGAGCAAGCTGTGACCTGGCCCCGGGCTGTGGAGCCCATGCTACTCTCCACTGAGGATCCTGGGCTGCTCTGTCCCGCGTACGGGCATCCGGGTTCTGATAGCCCGCCGGGCCCTGGGCCACCAGAGGCCTTGAATTGCGTCCTGGTGACAGTCAGCCCCTTGCATGGGGCACGCACAGACCTGGGCCTAGGCTGGGGCACCGAGATCCCCACATCCAGCAGCCGCGGTGAGGCTGGCCTGCCTGCTTCCCGGGGCCACCTCTGCCGTGCCGTCTCCTCCCTCTCCCCTGCCCCCTCTGTTGGTTGCTCCTCCCCCGCCCTCTCTGGGCAGGCACGGCCGGGTGGGGGTGAGGTTCTGGCAAAGCCCCCTCTGTTTTCCAGCCCAGTGGCGCTCACATGTGACGGTGCGGGGGCAGCCTCGTGAAAAGCCCCTTTGTGTCTCCTCCCTAATTAAGAAATAGCAGCAGGCTCCGGGGGCCCAGGCCCCACGTCCTCTCTGAACGCTGGCCGTGGTCACAGGCGGCTGGATGGGCAGGCCTAGCAGTGGACTTCAAGGAAGAATCCCCCAGGCCCACCAGGCAGCCCTGCTGCTTTCCGGGGGCTCCTCTCACATTGTCAGGCCACCCGGTAGGTCTGGGAGGCTTTCTCCACCCTCGGGTCCCAGGAGCTGAGATGGTACCCGCAGGAGCCCACGTGGGATCTGGGTGTCTGGACCTGGGGTTTCAGACCTGATTCTCCCTCCTGTTCTGTGGGGCCTCCCTGAGGCTCAGCCCTCCCCTCTGTGAAATGGGGAGAATAAGGCGCTCTGCCCCCCAGAATCCACATTCAGAGAGCTAGAAGTCCTTCCAGGCCTGGACAAAGAGGTGCCCGTCCTCCCCAAACCAAGGCAGAGGGACATCTGAGAGGGTGTCCTGAGTCCACCTCCCCCTGTCCCACCTGGGATGTCCGTCTGTGTCTCCTCCGCATAGCTGCCCATGCCCTCAGGAAAACGAGGGCTCTTGTCTCTTTTCCAGAACCCCAGATTCTGAGGCAAAGGCTCGGAAAGAACCCACAGTTCTCACGGCATTATTGTCACTGAGCGGGTCTTACCCTCCAGCCTGGGAGGCGGACTCTCTCAGAGCAGGGGTGCTCAGCAGGGAGGGCTGACCGAGGGGAGCCCTGAGAGACCCCTGACGAGAACAGGGGGCCTGCAGAGGAAACAGGTCCCCTAAGGTCACGGTCACGCCCAGTGAGACTCCAGCCCAGCTTTCCGGAGTGCTGTGCCCAGGGTCACGCTGGGACAGGCAAGCGGTGTCACCTCTTTTCCTGAAGACACTTTACACCCATGTGGAAAAGGAGAACGGTACTTTTCACTCACCTGGAGGAGGGACAGAGGCAAGGGCTGCCCCTTCCCCCTTTCTTCCTGGGGTGACCAGGCGGCCGGCGGTCCCCCAGCTCACCTGTCCGTCAAGAGCTGTCGGACACCCTGGAGGGAGGGCTCACGTCTGCAGTGCAGCAGGGAGGACGCCTGGGGTCTCCACCCACCGGCTTTGACCTAGCACAATCAACAGCCTTCAGTGGCTGACCCCAGGCCGAGAGCTATAGGGTAGTTTAAATTTGAAAATTAACATGGAATCAAAAGAGACAGAGTAATTTTTCATTCTGCTTGAAAGGTTATTTGCTTTCTCAGCCGATGCTTAGTGTACTGATACATGATGTCAAAAGGTAAATGATTTTAAACCAGATTCAATTTAAATTTCATTACATATTTGTAGGAGATAGAGGCTCCAAGAATCCCGCGTCTTCCCTTTGAGGACCTTTCACTTTTAATAACTCTGGAGCCTAATGCCCTAATCTGTTTATCGCGCAATCGCGTAGTCGCAGGGGCCACGCTTCTCAGACTCAGAATCGGAGCGTCCATGAAACAGGCTGTGGTCTCCAGGGCGGCCCCTCATGCATCTCGCTGCCACTGACCCTGGGTCTTCTCTGCCATCCCAGGCAGCACACGTGTCCTTTTATGTGAAGGGGGGGATGCCCTCCTTGAATGCAGACTCGGGGTGTGGGTCCCCTGTGGCTGCTGGGCCACGAGAGAGGGATGGGTGGTGGGAGGCGGGGACAGGCGGGAGGCCTGGAGTGGGACCAGAAGCAGCTCAGCTGAAACTGGGGGCGGTGGCGGGCAAATCGCGTTCTTCTTGGAGCCCTGGGCTCCTCACGGGCAACTAGAGTGTTCTGAGCAGCTGAGCCCTTGGGAGTCTCTCTGCAGGAGGGAGGTGAGCCGAGCAGGTCCCGTACCTCTTGCCCATCCCAGTCATGGCTGCACCTTGGACCAGTCACCTAACCTCTCTGTGCCATGGAAACAGGGTAATGGCAGGGCCACTGTGCAGAGTGGGAAAGTGTCCCCTCAACATTCATGTCCCCTGGAACCTCAGAATGTGACTTTACTTGGAAATTGTTTGTTGCAGATGGAATTAGTTAAGATGTGGTCACACGAGAGTTGGATAGGCCCTAAATCCAGTGCCCGGTGTCCTTAGAAGATGCAGAGAGACCCTGAGACCACCCAGAGGAAGACGCCCTGTGGAAACGGAGGTGGAGATGGGGGTGACGGGCCTGCTAGCCGAGGAGCCGCTGGGTGGCCAGCCACGCTGGAAGCTGGAGGCCACATGTTTCCCCTGGAGCTCCCAGAAGGAACTGGCCCTGCCAACACTTTGTGGACTTCTGGCCCAGAACTGTGTGAAGATAATTCCACTGTGTGAGATGCCGGGTTTGTGGGATTTTGTTATGCCGACACAGGCCACTAACACGCCACCCTCGGGGTGTGAGGGTCCCAGTACTGACCCCGGCCCAGGTGACACTGGGCATGTGTTGGCTGCTTCCATCCTTCTGTCCATTCCACCGTGCACGGGCTCACCCCGAAGGCCTGGGGCCCAAGGCTGTTCCAACACCCACCACTTACCCTTCTCGCTGGTGAAGTGGCCAACTGCCATCTGATTCTGCAGGTGGGACACCCTATTGGATGAAGTGTTTCTGGAGTGGCCCCTGCACCCAGCAGTGCCTTTGTTGGGGATGGAGAGTCAGAATGCCTGCCATCGGGGACTTGAGATTAATTTGGTGGTGGTCCTAGACGGATGTGAGGGATTTGGAGAGAGACCAGGTGTGGAGGGGCTTTGGGGCAGAGCCGGGGGTGGCCTGACTTGGCTTAATGGGCAGGAAGAGGGGGCATGGAGCTCTCAGACCAGGGGAATGGGCAGCCTTCCCTGATGTTGCCAGAAACTGCTTCCATGTCCTCTCATCTGGTTTAGGGGCCCCTAAACAAGGGGATCTGGAAGGTCGGGAAAAGCCCACTGTCTTTCAGACCCTGGGCTTCAGCACATCCCTCAGGCCAGGGCCAGGGCCAGGGGGGGTCGCAGGGTGGGATGACAGGTTGTGATCCAGGCAGGTGAGGACCTGTCCCCACCGTAAGCAGCCAACCCCTGGAAAAGCCCAGGTGGCTGAGTTCTGCCTGTGTTCAAAAGATGTCTCTTTGTAGGGGATGTGTGCGTGGGAGGCTGGAATTTGCTTTGGAAATTAATTGCCTGTTGAATTCTTCCCACCACGGCCGTAACCGTGCAGGATCCAGGGCATGTGAGGAGGGCTGTGAATGGGCTTCCTCTGGCCCATTTCATCAGTTATTGCCCTATCATCGCTCCTCTGGCTTCATTTACCCAGCAGGACATTGCTTTTACAGGCTCATCTGGGCACTTTTAAAAAATAAAGTCAGTGCATTCCAGGAACCCCTCTTCCCGATTTGGGTTTGTTGTATTTTGCAACATCAAACAGTGAGGAGTGGAAGGTTCCAGATCACGGCCCAGGGACCCCTGGCGTTCAGTTTGCAGACATTCTCTTGCCAGGCAGCCAGCTTTGCTTCCTGTCTGACTTTTGCTCGCCTTTGCTTCCACCTCGTGCTCCCATTTTCTCTCCTTTCTGCATTGCTAATGATATTGTTTGTTCTCGGTGCCACATAAAAAAAGCACAAGATAATCACCCAGGCATTAGTCATCATTAAGCTGGTGATAAAAACAAAAAAATTCTAAAGTGCTGTTTCCAGGATGGGTGTCGTGCCTGCGATGAATGGTGTTTATTACAAATGTGAGTTTCGGGGAGCCATCCCAGCCAGCCGCACGGGAGACGGAGGATGCGTGGCCACAGATGGACCCGATCCGTTAGGTGTAAAAGGTAAATACGGCGAGAAGTTTCCATCACCACCTGGAACTGCCCCAATCTTCGTTGAATTTGTCATTAAAGCATCGTGCTCATCTGTGGGTGCTGTTGAGGTTCCTTAGCAGGGCTCTCTGCGTTCACCTGGCATCTGTCAACTTGGAGTTGACATCGGGGCCAGGATGAGCTTCATGTGGAGGGTGTGGAGGGAGGTGGAGCTGTAGCTCCTGCTCAGACCAAACTCGGGGAGGGGCTTAGACGACAAGGAGGACAGAGGCCGAGCTCCCGGCCAGCCAGTGCCCACCCTCCGGATGGGGAGCGCATGGTTACTTCCCTTGCGGCCTTATTCCTTAGGATAGGTATTCCAAGAATACTTGTCTGCAAGTAACGGAACACGTGACCAGCATTGGCTTAAACAGCAAGGACGTTGTTTTGTTTTTGTTTTTTCCCACGTAGAAGCTGGAGATGGGCAGCCCAAGGCTGACGGTTGCTGTCCAAGACTGGAACCTCCTCCCACCCCTCCCTCTGTCCCCTGCGTCTACCTGTGGTCTCGGTGGCAGAGCCTGTGGCAGTTCTGGGCCTTGTATCTGTAGGTGGGAAGGGCGGCAGCTGCCTTGGGGGCTCTGAACAGGTGTGAGGCTCCCGGAATTCCGTCTGTGCCCACAGGCTGGGGGGATGCAGACCCCCCAGGTCCGGAGGCGGCCACCTCCCATCCACTGGCACCGGCGGCCCCAGGGCTTGGCTCTGTCCTTAGAGTCTCCCTCCCTCAGTGGCTGGTGGGGGCTGGTGGGCTCCCTGGGGCAGTGGTTGTGACTCTACACTCGCGTCCTCCGCTTCTGGAAACTGAGGCTGCCTGGGGTGGGCGCGGGGCCAGGCAAGGTTAGGCCCCCAACCTCGAGAGGCAACCTGAAGCCCTCCCCAGGCACAGGGCCTGAGTCCTCTCATCCGCCCCTGGGAGGAAGGCCATTCCCTTCACAGCCCAGGCCATGGGAGAGACTGCCTGGACATCATCTGGGCCTGCCTGGGGTTTTGTGGCCACTCATGGAGGGTCACCTGGGCCTGTGGGTGGAAGTTTAAGGCCAACTGTAAGTCGGCCCAAGGAGCCCACATGCCCCCAGGCTGGCCTGTCCCTTGGTGACTCTGGCTGGGAGGCCTCCCTACAGGGCCCTCCAGCTCCAGTATATCGTGGGTCTGCTGTCCACCACGTCCCTGTCCTGGGGGACTAGAGGGTGGGGCTGCTGAGCACAGGGCAAGACACTTCCAATGGGAGGCCAGGAATAGCTGGAAGGGGCTGCGGCAGCTGGAGCCCCCCATGGCGGGGCTGTGTCGGTTCCTTCCCAGCAGGAGACCCAGAGCCCATGGGTCACGGTGGAGGATGGCCAGGCTGGATGGGGGCGGCCAGGGAGCCACTGGTGCCCGTGTCAAGGCTTCCAGCTCACGGGCCTCCATCTCCTCCCCTGCCGCTCGTGCCACAAAACCCTGCTGCGCCCTGCACGGAGCCTCTGCTGGAGGCGGGCTCGGCTTGGTGGGCACTTCGTGGCGCTTGGCTCCTGTGCTCCCTGGCTTTGCCGTGGGACAGGGCTGGTGGGCCGGCGGGCAGCCTCCACCAGGGCCAGTTCCACTTAAACACCATCCAGGGGACCCTACGGGGTAGGATGAAACCAGCCCCTGAGTCAGCAAACTCCCCTGGGCCCTCCTGTGTGGCCGGCTCGCGGCATTCCGCTGGGCTGTGGAGGTGAATCACTTATCTCCTGGCTGTTGGCTACTTGAGCAGGAAGGAGGCTTGGGATGGAAAACGTTGGGCCTCTGCTTCTGGGAGCCCCGAAGGCTGGCCCGGGGCCCCGGCTCTCTGCCTTCACCCACACGGGGCTTGGTGCCACATCCCAGGTGCTGCTCCTAGGCCTAGGCTCAGGCCTGCTTGGGCCAGATCAGCCGCCTGGACTGACCCCAGCCCCTCTGTGCCCAACTTGGGCCAGGGCTGCATGAAGGAGGCATCCCGGGGGCCCAGGAAGGAGCCGCTCCCAGGAACCCCTATTCCTGGGCAGCCCAGACTTACTACCAAGAGGCTTTAGTGGGAAGCCTGACCCCAACAGCTGAAAATAGGCCAGGCAGACACAAGGCCAGTCTGGGTGTGGACGCAGGGTCCTCTCTGCAGAGAGGAGGCTGGCGAGAAGTGTGCCAGGGCTCAGGCGGCTGGCGCTGGCCTTTGAAGGCACCACAGGCCGCCCAGGCGAGGTGCCCACAGCTGCCACTGCACACCCAGGTGAGGTGCCCACAGCTACCACCGCACGTGGTCCCAACCTGCCCCGGGGCCGGGCTGGCCTGTGATGCCTGTCAGAGGGCGGAAGCAGGGTGGGAAGATAGCATGATGCGGTCCCCCATTTTTTATTGCCTCTGACCTTATTTTAGTCCATTATGGCTGCTTTTTCGGGATTTTCTCTCCTCCCTCCCGTCTGGCCAGTTTTCCTTTGTGCGGCTGGCAGCCCACCGCTTCCAACGCTGACCTCAGGGCCTCCATCTCCACGGGCCTCAGGATTCTGTCTCAAAAGCCTGCGTGGCTTTGACAGTGTGGGGGCTGGTGGGAGGTTCTGCTGGGCTGCGCCTTTGGCGTTTGGAGTGGAGAGGAAGCTCCTCTTTCAGGTGCAGGCTCATGTGAGCTCCATGCAGACCTCAGGGATGGAGACGCCCTGCCCTGCATTCCCCAAGGCCACCCTGAGGAGCCCAGCAGTGCCTTGGCCTAGGCGCTTGGTCAGGGACGCCCTCCCTGCTGGACACTTGGCAGTCAAAACAGGACCTTGGTGGCATCTGGGAAGTTCTGGAACATTCTCAGCCTGAGATGCGGAAGAGGCATCAGCCCTCCCCTCCTCCCAAAACACTCGGGATGGCTGGAAGCTGGAGCCTCCGTCCACAGCCCACCCCTTTTAGGGGCCCCCACATTGGGCATGGTTAGTTCTCACACGCAGGATCCGGCACACACGCCATCTCGACAAGGATGCCTGGGTGAGTTGCTGCCCTAGCTTGTGGGTGAGACCCTGCACCGAGCTTCCCCAGGGCCAGCAGGGGTGGGCGGCCAGACGAGGGGTTTACTCTGCACCAGGAGTGGGGAAGCAGTGACTCCCTGTCCCTGCTGGGAAACGTGGAGTCTTCCTTACACTGGCAGGACCTTCTGCACCCAGGGCGTTCCTTCCTGTCCCAGGCTCCTGGGGCATTCTCTGATCCAGGCGCGGGTTTCCTGTGGGTAGTTGAGCCAGGTGTATGTGCCTGGCCCTTTCTCCTGCCTCTTCCTCCATCTTCAGAGCCTGTAGAGCCGCAACTTCTCTCCGCCCTGCCCTCAGCTTTTGTTCTCACATCTTCTCTCCCTGGCTCTGACCTTCCTGCCTCCCCTCAACTTACCAGAACCCTTGTGATGAGTTGGAGCCCACCTGGAGGGTCGAGGGTCCTCTCCCATCCCAAGACCCTTGACTTAATCACATCTAAAAACGTCCCTTTGCCATGTAGGGTGACCCGGTGACCCATTCACAGGCTCCAGAGATTAGGAGATGAGCTTCTTTGGGGACATCCCTCGGCCCAGGGGATGCTCCCCATGGGGGGTCCCATCTTAGGCCGATGCCCTTAGGGTCAGGGAGCAGCCTGGAGACCTCCACACAGGGACCCTGGGATACGCTGAGGGCTTGGTCCACACCCCACCCTCACCCCGACAGGTGCCCGCTGCCTGCTCCGCCTGCTGGACTCCGATTCCAGTGCTCATTCTTGCCTGCCACCTGCTCCGCCTTCTGGACTCTGCTTCCAGTGCTCATTCTCGCAAATGCCCCTTCCCCCTCCCGGCTGAACCTCTGCCCAGGTGGAGGCCCTTCCCACTCGGTGGCCCAGGTCCACCCTCTGCCTCAGCGGTCCCCAGGCTTGAGCATGCATCCGAATTCCCTGGGGGCTTGTGGACCAACAGATCGCTGGACTGAACCCATGGTTTCTGATTCAGGGGTCAGGCCGGGGCCCCAGAAGCTGCTGCTGCTGCTGGCCTGGTACCCCGCCTAAAGAAGCCCTGCCTACCCGAGCCCTCCTGTTCTTCCCTGCCTCCAGGCCCCTGCAGAGGCACGGTGGTGTGCACGGCTCATTCTCGCCTTACTCTCCCCATCTGTGGACGAGGCATCCTGAGGTCGCCCCTGCAGAGGCGTGGAGATGTGTGTGGCTCATTCCCTCCTTACTCTCCCCACCTGTGGACGAGGTGTCCTGAAGTCTCCACTCCCGCTGCCCTGCCTCCCAGATCGCTGTCAGGCTGGACAAGGGCACCAAATGGCCCTCAGTGCAGATTTGGAGAATGTGTACTGGGCACCAGCCTTGGCAGGTTTCACGGATCTCTGCACTCATCCTTTCCTGGGTGGTCTCAGTCACTGCCAGGGGAGCCAGTGGCCTCACCTTACCAATGGAGAAACTAAGGGGTGCATGCCCATGGCCCTGCCCGGGTGCTCCCAGCATGAAGGGGCTGTCCAGGGCTGGGACTCCGGTCTGGCCTCATTCTCTCTTTGTCTACCCTGCTGCCCTCCTCCGTCTGTGTGTGGTGTCCTGAGCTGGGACTATGCCATCTGTGTCTTTGGGGAGGTCCCCTGCACCCTGGCCAGGAGCCGAGGGAGCTTTCCACCTGCAGGGATCCTTCACTGTGTACCCTTGGCTGGCTCCAAAATCCTTCTCAGGGGAGCAGAGTGGGAGCAGGTGCCCCAGTCAAGTCTTCCAGGAGCTGTCGCCCCAGACACATCTGAATACTGGCCACCTGGAGCCCTCAGAGTCCCTGGTCCACAAGGGAGAGACGGGCTGGCTTCTGCGTGCCACCTTGCTCACTCCTGGTTAACTCTGCGTGCCGGCCTCACAAGGCTGACCATACAGGGCGGCTGCTGGCCCCGGAGCTCCTGCGGGTGCATCCTCATTGGTACGTCCTTCCTGGTCCTTACAAGAAGAGACAATGTCCCTGAGTGCATTTGCATGTCGATCACGCTGCCATTATGTATCTCGGAGTTTTCATCGTGAGAAGAATGAGTTAATCATGTTGTATATACTGAATAGACTTAGAAAGATTGCAAGACGGCACTTTCATTGGAAGAGGGGAATTAGTTTAAAAATATGCTGTCAAAATATGTTGTTCTAAATGCTGAGTTGATGGTTCTTTTGTTTTGCTTTGTTTCTTGAATGTGTCATTAGAAAGAATTAACAATGACATCAACTGTGAGATGGGACTGCATTTCCTCTGAAAGGGGGAGGATATTGAGTTGTCCTTGGGATTTTCTTTAAGTGATTCCTTTCCCTTAATATATTATATCTCATGATGAGGCCCACTATAACTTTAATTTTTCCATTTATTGAAAGTCAGATGTGTGCATTTGGAGAACTCAGATGTAAGGGGCTTCATTGTAACAGCCCCACCCAGTGCCCCGTGGGCCCTTGCTGGCCTCCCCTGGGCCAATTGACCAGGCCATGTGGTTCACCCTCTGGAGGCTGTGGCTCTGGGGCAATGCTAGAGTCAGAGGCGACCCCGTGGCACTCCCTGTGGCTGGCCGTCACTTCCTCCTCTGTAAATGTCAAGGTCCACTTAGACCCCAACTGCAGCCCAGGCCTGGGGGGTCTCTGAGATCTGCACTCAACCAGTTCTTACAGCGCAGCTGGTACTCCTGTGTTTCTGAATGGATGAGCAGCTATGGTGTCGCCTGGCACCTGCTTATAGGGCAGGGCAAGGCCAGGGCAGCAGGGGTGAGGGGCAACGGGACCGTGGACAGTGAGGCGGACTCCTGAGCTGTTGCAGCTGCCCAGAGACAGCCGGCTACTCCCCGTGCACGGCCTCCAGATGGGAACGTTCAGGAAGGACATGGTGCACAGTCCTTGGGGCACAGAGACAGGCCAGGTTCTGACTTCCAGCTTCCTTCCAGCTCTTGTAAGTCTGCCTGGAAGGGAGGTGAGGTCCCACCACAGCACCTGTTGGAAGCCCTGTGGGAAGCCGCATCCCACCCAGGCTGGAAGTGGCAGGAGGATCCGGGGCTCTGTGGGCCTCTGCCCTAGCTCAGACCCTTCCTGGGTCAGCCTCTGTCGTGTGGTTGAGGGGAGCAGCTGTGGGTCCGGCGATGGTGGCCGGGAGGTCAGAGGGAGGTGCCTGAGATGCGCCGGGTGTTTCACGGGTAGATGGAGCCCGGCGCGAGGCTTCAGGCCCGTGTTACATGCCAGCAGCCGTAACAGGTGCAATCCCGCCTTCCCAGGCGCGCTCTTCTTCAGGCACTTCTGAGATGCACTTTTACTACTTGTTCTCCTCTCTGGAATCGGGAATGTCATGTGACCCTTGGTGCAGGGCACCAGACAGGCAGATGAAAGCGGCATAGACAGAGCTGGCTTGGCCGCCTGGGCCCCCCGGGGCCCCCCGGTGCCTGTCCTCTCCTCCTCCACAGGCCCCGCGATGGCTCTGATGGCGTCGATGATGCTGATTCTCAGTTAAGGACGCTGAAGTTCGGAGGTGCCGGAAACCCGTGAATCAGGAGCCTGGTGTGGTCCTGGTACCTGACAAGCTTCGAGCGGAGTGAGATGGGAGTGGGCCTGGGGGCTGCTGCAGAGTTGCGGTGAGGACTCCAGTAGGGCCTTGGGGCATGAGTCGGTGCCACCTGGGTGCATCGTGTCTCCAGGAAAGGGTTCTGCTCTGGGGGTCCATTCCCCGATGCCTGTGTATAGCCAAGGCCATAGTGAGGAGGCACCCCTGGAAGGGCAGCCCCTGCAACCCAGCACCTCTGCACCCTGCACTGGCTGCCTGCAGCCACTGCACCCAGCCCTGCCACACTCCTTCACGGGGCCCAGCTCCCATCAAGGGTGGTCTTCACCCCCTAGGAGCCTAGGGTTGATCCCAGGAGTCTGAGCCTGTGCACCTGCCCCACCTGTGATGTGGCCTCGGGGACTGTGGTTTGTCAGGTGCTTAGGGAGTTTGTGTAATTAACCAATGCTTTGAGTCAACAAAGACATAGTGTGAGTATGATTGCAGGTCAGCACTGTGGAAAGAGCCAGGAACACCCTGGAAGCGGAGTGGCCTCAAGTGTGCGTGCAGGGCCGGTGGGCGGGGCCCCACTCAGCAGCTGTGCGCTTGCACCAGGAGCACTGGGGGAGAAGCTGGGGGTCTGTGGAGCCCCTGACCTGCCTTTGCTTTCCTTGGGGCCCAGAGGCCCTGCTCTGGGAGACACAGTCCCATTGTAACCTGGAGAAGGGAGGGGTAGCAGGGAGACAATGAGGGGGTACATTTCAGCTGAAGGCCCAGCCTGGGGAAAGGCTCAGGCAGGTGGGGTGCATGGGGCACAGGGTAGCTGCCTGATGGGGGCTTGCCCTTGAGGGCACTAGAACCCTCTGAGGGGCCCTAGCAGGGCAGTGACTGCTTAAACCACCTTCACATTTGAGAACTCGCTCTGGCGCTGCATGCCTAGGACCTGGGTAGAGGCAGAAAAATCAAGGTGGAGGCTGTTGAGGGTGTCCAGGCAGGAGATGAGGGTGTCCAGGCAGGAAATGAGGATGTCCAGGCAGGAGATGGGGGTGTTCAGGCAGGAGATGGGGGTGTCAGGCAGGAGATGAGGGTGTCAGACAGGAGATGGGGGTGTCCAGGCAGGAGATGGGGGTGTCCAGGCAGGAGATGAGGGTGTCCAGGCAGGAGATGAGGGTGTCAGGCGGGAGATGGGGATGTCAGGCAGGAGATGAGGGTGTCAGGCAGGAGATGGGGATGTCAGGCAGGAGATGGGGGTGTCCAGGCAGGAGATGGGGGTGTCCAGGCAGGAGATGGGGGTGTCCAGGCAAGAGATGGGGGTGTCAGGCAGGAGATGGGGGTGTCCAGGCAGGAGATGGGGGTGTCCAGGCAGGAGATGGGGGTGTCAGGCAGGAGATGGGGGTGTCCAGGCAGGAGATGGGGGTGTCAGGCAGGAGATGGGGGTGTCCAGGCAGGAGATGAGGGTGTCCAGGCAGGAGATGGGGGTGTCAGGCAGGAGATGGGGGTGTCCAGGTGGGATTCCAGGGGTCTCCGACCAGGCTGAACTGTGGAAGAATCAGGATTTTCCATAGAGACAGGATGATGGGTTGGGTGTGTGGACGGGGAGGGTGTGTGGTCAGGCCCCTTCAGACCTCCATCCTCCCATGGGTGCTCTGGGAGTGGTTGTAGCCCTTGAGTCACAGCGAGCCTGGAAGGCACATGTGGAGGAAAACTCTGGAAGAAAGAGCTTCCAGGTGGGAGTTGGGGCATCTGGGACAACCCTTCTCCCTTCACAGGGTGTTGGACACCCCCTGAGGACTAAGCTCATGGATGCAGGGGCTGTGGGCCCTCTGGACACCCCCTGAGGACTGAGCTTGTGGCTGCAGAGGCCGTGGGCCCTCTGCTTTGTGGGGCTGGGCTGAGTAGGGTGAGGGAAGCCCTGGCGTCTGCAGACCCTCCTGTACTGATGACCTGTACCACCTGCTCTGTCTCCATGGCGACTCGAGGAGGAGGAGGCTGGGCCTGCATCACCTCCATTTTTGCATGCATGAGAACTTGAGTGTAAGTCTCCTCTGCTCCCCTCCTGTGACATCCGAGCATGGTCGTCTGACAAATGGGGCATCAGGAGTCTTGGTGCTGCCTGTCCCTGAAGTGCCTTTCTGAGAAAACACAGAGTGAAGGAACCTCTGGAGGGCACAGGGGCCATCACCTGCTGGAGCCCAGAGAAGGAATGCACCGGGCACTGTCGTGGGGCCGGCATTCAACTGAAAGGATTGGCTTCGAGTCTTGGCTGACCACTGGATACTCTGGCCAGGGACCTTGGGATGGTTCAGGGGAACCTGCTGCAGGTTTACAGAGAGAGAAGCTGAGGCCCAGAGTGGAAAGCAGGTGGACAGGGCTCCTCCCGTCTCCTCCCCTGCTAGAGGGTGGGCAAGAAACCAGCGCTCCCCTGGCTCCCTCCCTTCCCATCCCTTCTGCTTGGCGACCCTCCTCCAATGGGCTCCCGTCTTTCCTGTCCAACTGTCCATGTCACATGGGACCTGCTGTCTTTGGGCCGGGAGTCATAGCCACCTGGTTCACACCTGACCCCCAGGCCCACCCCTTCAGGGGGCCGGTGGCAGAGGGAGTTCCCAGGAGTGAGGTTTGGGGCAGGAGAGGCGACCCCAGTGCGTGTGGCTATGGGCTTCGACAAAGCAGGGGAGAAATGTCCCTCGGGTTCCAAATGAAAGTGGCTGAGATGTCACAGTGACATGACAGACTGAGCTTCCACTGTACAGGGACCCCCTGTGCAAAGTGGTGCCCCTGCCCGCCCCGACCCCAGCCTTGTTAGGGGACTGGCCACACTCACAGACATGCCAGCCGGCAAGAGCTGGTCATGGGTGTGTGGACCGTCTCAGGGAATCAGTCAGAGGTGGCTGGGGTAGCCAGGAGCCACCACACTGCCTGCCGACGTGGCTGGGCCTGTTTCAGATCCAGGAAGTGTGGGTCTGCATGGGGAACCTTCTGCTTTTGTGATGAGCTGAGCGGCCCCTGGCCAACCCTTTCGGCCTTGCATGGAGCTCAGATGTGTGGCCGCAGGAGCTGAGCCCCAGTCCCAGGCTTGTCCTGCCCTGGCTCTGCCTCTTGGGAGCCTGTCCTGGGCAGGGTGGGGCTGTGATGAAGACTGGGCAGGTGAAAGCTCTGGGGCACCGGCCTGCCTGTCCCCTTCCTGGAGCGGACAGTGAGAGGGGCTTTCTTGCAGACAACGTGAGTCTTGCGGCCTCTGCAGGTGGCTCCTGACACCCGCCCCGGTGCCCTGTGGCCTGGGATCTGGCAGACTTCGAGGTCCCTGAGGCCACAGTGGGTCTTCCCTGCAGGTGCAGTCGACATGTGGGTTACTGACTTGGTTTGGCATTGGCGTCAGGTTGGGGTAGCCGGCCTGCACCCCTAAGCTTACCGGCTTTGTGCAGGGGACTCTAGCCTGGACCCTCCCTTCCTCGCCTGCAGGAGAAATGCCTTTAGACCCCCAGCGCGCCCTCCTGCTGAGCTGTCAGTCTCGCGCCAGAGACCACATGCCTCTTGGGAACAGAAAGGGGTTTGTACAGGGAGGTTGTCTGGGACTGCCCCCAGGACTGCACTCTCTAATCCTGGGAGGAGAGGCTGGGAGGCTGACCCTGGAGGAAGAGACAGCAGGTGCCTCCCACCCCCCAACTCCCCCGGAAGGACGGACGGGCCTGGCAGGGCAGGAGAGGGTGGACGTCCCACAGCCAGGAACAGCCAGGCACACCACGGACAGGACTTCATGCCCAGCACATGCCGGCACAGCTGGTGACGCTTCTGGGTCTGATTCTGCAGCTGAGCTCCCGTTTCCTGTCTGCACAGCTGGTCACTGTGCATCCAGAGGAAGGTGGGTGGCTCTCTCCCGAGCCCTGCTCCTGTGCACCCCGCCTGCCTCCTCCGGACGAGGAACCCCTTGGTGCTTTCTGTTCTCTGATGAAGAGGAGGGATCTCCTTGCCTTTTCTTCTTCTCAGAACCATGATAAGCTTGGCTTCCAGGGGTTTTTCTACAGAGATTATGCAAATGTGGCCCTCGCCTCCAGGGCTGCCCAGCCAGCACTCTTTAGGAGATTACGGAGGCCGCACGTCTAATCTTCACCATATTTGCCTTTTATTTACTCCGCACCTTTTCAGGCTGTGGTCAGCCCTGACAGCTCGGATCTTTCCGGTGAGGAGTACATGTTGGAAACACGTATTTCATGTTCTCAAGAGACCATTTCCCTCCTGCTCAATCCCAAGGCTGTTCATGTACCCAGCAAGGATTTATTGTGTCTTCAGGATAGTCTCTTTGTGTATTTTGGTCTCAGGTTTTAAAATATTGGGATCAGTCAACGATTACGCACTGTCGCTGGTGGGGTTAGTGAGGCAGGTGGGATGGGAGACCTCAGGCTGCAGACACTATAGTCACGTCCAGCATCTGCCCTGCTGCAGGCATAGGGTGTGGCCCACCCAGTCGCTGGGGGCCTCTAATGCAGCCGCCATCTCACACGTGGCTTCCAGGTCACCATGAAAGGGGAAGAAGAGGAGGATGGCACAGGAGGTCAGGCCTGGAAGGACCCGGGCCACTTCTGCCTGAAATCTTTCAGCAAGGAATGGTGCCCCTGCCCCGGCTCCCATCGGGAAGACGGGCTGGGAGCATCTGAGGAATGAGTCCTAGGATTTGGAGGACACAGGACACACACTGTCTTTGCAACAGGGAGATCATATCTTCTCCATGTCCAGGGTGAGAAAGTTGAGGCCAAGAGACATCCAGACACTTGCCAAGGTCCCACCGCCTGTGGGTGGTAGAGCTTGAAGTGAGCGCAGGGTGCTGAGTCCCCAGGCTGTTGCCCTAAATGCTGCCAGGGGACGGGGGTTTGCTGACAGGTGCGGGCGGAGGTTCCCCTGTGCAGTGTCCTTCTGGGAGCAGAGGCCCTGGGAGCACCCCCTGGGAGGCCTGTGCCTGCTGCCGCCCAGCCTGATGGAGTGGCCGGGGTCTGAGGAGGTGGCCCTGAGGAAGGGTGAGGGGACCGGCGGTGATTAGGGTGCAAGGAGCAAAGAATAGAAGTCTCATCGATGCCCTGGTCTCCCGTTAGGTGTGAGGGGGAGGGGTGCAGCCGTCAAACCTTTGGCTCTCACCTGGGACCCCAGAATTGTGGTGTCCAAGCCCTGTGTCTGCAGAAGGCGACCCCAGCACAGCTGGCACAGAGGTGGCAGGGGTGGCACAGGGTGAGGACTCCAGGGCAGGCCCTGGTGGGGCTCTCTCAGCACGAGGTCTTCAGCGTCTTGGCCTCCAGGCTGCAAGTCTGACGTCCAGCTAGGGCCTTGCCCATCAGAGATGTCAGCAGGATGTATTTTGGTCATTTGAGTCAAAGCTGGATCCCACCACATTCTGAAACGCCAGGAAGGGGTCACACCCCAAGCAGTGAGGCCCTCGGGAGATGGCTGTAGAAAGATCTGGAAGGGAATGGGAGAAGGACACCCTAGGGCCCCTTTCCCAACTCGAGGCCACCCTCTGGGCATCTTGGTCCCTGGCCAGAATGAAATTTCGCAGTGAGCTGTTGCCCAGAGAAGGACATTTTCACATTTCCCCAAACCTTTTTTTTTCCTTTTCCCACCTGTCCTTTCTTGCTGTACAGAGAAGCCAGTGTCCAGAAATATGAGAAAATGGGGAAGCAGCAGCCGTGTGGCTGGATGACAGCTGTTTTCACCATGTTTGGTGGAAAGGATGAGCCTGGCACATTGTGGAGGGCATGGGCCATGGTTTGTGGGGTCATAGTGGGTCAGCACCCCAAAGTTAGCAAGGACCCCTTAGCATCTGCATTTCCTGGAGCTGGGCTGATGACATGGAGAAGGAACTCTCCTTTCAGGAGAGCCCACATGGTCTCCTTCCATTGCTACCCTCACAGCAGAGGCAAGAATACAGGTGAGGCAGGGCCAGGCAGGTGAGGGGTGACAGGCAGGTGAGGGAGGTCAGGCAGGTGAGGGGGGCCAGGCAGGTGAGGTGGGTCAAGCAGGTGGGGAGGCAGGCAGGTGAAATGAATAAGTCAGGTGCGGTGGGTCAGGCAGGTGAAATGAGTAAGTCAGGTGAGGTGGATCAGGCAATTGCGGTGGGTAAGGCAGGTGAGGGGAGTCAGGCAGATGAGGGCTGATAGGTAGGTGAGGGGCCAGGCAGTTGAAGTAGGGCAGGCAGGTGAGATGGGGCCGGGCGTTCCTCCGGGGGTCTGCAGAGGACTCCCACGGGGGTAACCCTGCATGGCCAGCTCTAGGACTGAGGAGTGTGGAGGCAGAGAGGAGGGGCCGTGTCAGCTGAGCAGCAGGTCCAGGACAGCCTGGGTGGGTGGACAGGGCAGGCTGGAGGGCAGGGCCTGAGGGAGGCTGCAGTTGAGCCCACAGGGCCCTGGAATGTGCCTGTGCCCGGAGCCAAGCAGCTCCTCCTCCAGCTTCACTTCCGGGAATATCTCCTCTAGGTGCTTGCTGGGGCCGCCCTGCGGGGGTGTGGGGAGGTTGAAGGAGAGGCTGCGCCCCCTCCACTGTCCTTTACCCTGGAACGGGGGGAGGGGGAGGCCCGGCTCTCCGGCGGGCACCGCGGGCGCACCTGCACTGAGAAAGCGGGCTCTGCTGCAGGTCAGGGACACGGGGCTGGGAGCCGCAGGAGCAGCTGCGCTCAGCGACTGTGGAGGCTTGGCCGTGGAGGGATGGAGGTCGGTGCCCATTGTTTGTCTTGGGGGTCCTGGAGGCTGAGCTGCAGCCTCAGCACAGACGCCTTAGCTCCTCTGTCCTCTCCTTTTCTTCCTAGTTCTACTGGCCACTCGTGGGTCCCCAGCCAGCTCTGTCACCCCAGCCAGCGAACAGGGAACATTCCGGAACATCACCTCTCCCCAGCCTTGGGCAGCCCCTCCCCAAGGCTGGGCCCTGGGGCCTCTCACCCTGGGATCCCAGCCCAGCAACCCTTACCTGGGAACGTTCTGCTGTGCACAGGGTGTCTTTCCAGGGGAGGTGGAACCTTTATACAGGTTTTTATGCAAATGATCACCCCACCACTGTAGTATGTGTGTGTGACTCTTAAAAGTGTGTCTTTTCATCCACACACACACAGTCACACTCCCACACACTGTGACCTGCACATGAGTGTGCATGTAAGATGCACATTTACAAATAATACCTGCACAGGAGTGCGTCAACAGAGGATGTGATGGCCTTAGAAGAAATGTCTGACTTCAGTATTACACGGGTGTGTATATGTCACAGATGAGCATTGAACACAAACATGTACACAGTCTGTGTTGCTATACGCATATGTGTAGGTGTGAGCACACTGCACACGCAATGTACACGTTCACACAGGCACATGTATGAGCACTCGTGCCTTTGTGTGCGCACAAGCTGTGTGGGTATATGCATATGTGTAGATGCAAGCATGCTGCACACACATCACACATGGTCACACCGGCACATGTGATGAGCACTCATGCATACATGTGCACACAGGCTGTGTGAGTATATGCATATATGTAGGTGCAAGAATGCTGCACACACATCACACACACAGTCACACCGGCACATCACACGCACGGTCACACTGGCACATGTATGAGCACTCATGCGTGTGTGCACACAGGCTGTGTGGGTATATGCATATGTGTAGATGCAAGCATGCTGCACACACATCACACACGGTCACACCGGCACATGTATGAGCACTCGTGTGTGTGCACACAGGCTGTGTGGGTATATGCATATACGTAGGTGTGAGCACACTGCACACACATTACACACATTTGCACAGGCACGCGTATGGGCACTCATGCATGGCTGCACAGGGGCACACACAGACACACCCCCCCCAGGAGTGCCCGTGTTGTCGAGCCCCCGCCACAGAGCTGCACCGCCGCTTGGTGCCGCATGCAGCGAGTTCCCGCATGGGTTGGTTTTCGTCTCCTGAAACTAATTTGGCAGAAGCAAGTGTCCATATGTAGGTGTGGGTCTCTGTCTTCATGCGTCCCCCATGCCCCGACACACACACACGTTTCCATTAATTAGCAGGGACTTGGAAACCTACCGTCCCCGGCTCAAGGCAAATGCCAGCAGTCCCGGGTTTTTGTGGGGCAACATAGAGGGAGAATTGTCTATCAGAGGGCTTTCCTCTCGGCAAGCCGGGAAACAAGTGGATGTCCTTTGTCCGCCAACAAGTTATATGTCCATAAAAGACGAGCCCGGAGAGGCAGGCCGTCCTTTCAGCCCTGACAGCGTGTCAGCACCGGGAGCCGGCGCGGGTGGGTAACGAGCGCGCACCGCCCGTGGAGGAACATATGGCTCAGGCGTGCGCCGTGGCTGACGAGTTGTCAGGAATTCATGGCAGGGCTTGTTTTGCCAAACATTTCACTATGGAGGAACAAGGACTCCAACCTGGTTATCAAAATTTGACATTTCGAAACCGCCTGAAGAATTTTTAACTATTGGGTTTCCATGTCAACAGCATGCCTGTCTTCATCTGCGGCCAAGGCTTCCGGCTCCCTGTGCCCTGTGCTGCGGGGAGGACAGAGTGCCTTTGTTTGCAGCCACCCATGGGCACAGGCGGCGCGCACACACATGCACACGGCAGTGGCTTTCTGTGCTCCAGGAGGGTTTACGCTGGGGAAGGGAGGAGCTTCACATCTGTGTGTGGAGGAGTGGCTGGGAGCTGCCCCACAGACCCGAGGCAGCCCCCGGACACCCTGGCACTGGCTGGGCGATGGCAGCGGGGCCTGGCTGGGCTGCAGCTGGCTGAGTTCTGTCGTCTGCAGAGGAGCAGGACCTGGGACGGGGGCTCCCTCTGGACGTGGCTGGCCTGGGTGCCTCTCCTTTAGGAGCTCTTAGTGATGGGTGTGGTCAGGAGGAATGCCACCCCAAACAAAAACCCCCTCGGCCTCCCGGTCTGGCAGGAATTGGGGAGGTCCCGCTGACTTGAGCCAGATGGCTTGGTGCTGGCAGAGGCCCCGATGGAACGGATTGTTCTGTGGCTCTCGTTCCTCTGCCTTTGAGACACCCGGGGTGGGGGCAGGGTGGGGCAGGGGAGGCCGGTGCTGCCACCACATGGCCCGGCTCCCTGGGGACCTGAGGACATGAGGTTCCCGCTCTGTTCTTGGTGCATTTCCAGGCAAGATCGTCATCGTCTGGGAGAGACGGGGTCTGGCCATGGGAGCTCAGGGTGGCGTTCCCCACTCCTCCATCCACTCTAGACCAGGGATGCCAGGGACAAAACCCCAGGGCAGGCCATGTCTGTGTGCCAGGAGGCATGTGGGCAGAGGATGGGGCTTGGTTTCAAATCTGGGCCCTGCCACTTACTGACTCAGCATGCGGCCCTGGCCAGCCTGGCCTCTCAATCCCAGCCCACAGGTCCCACAGTTGGATAAGGCTCCTGGGAGGACCCAGAAGCTGGCAGCAAGGAGCTCCCGATGAGTGTCAAACCAAATGCCATGGCCTCCTTCTTGTTTCAGGGGGAAGCCCAGCCCAGCAGGCACTGCAGCCAGGGTCCTGCAGCTCTCCCTGGGGCCCTGGAGGCCCCTTTCTGCTCCCCTGTCAGAGCGCCCAGCCCAGCAGCCTAGAAGGCCCCACGGTGTCCCCAGACTAAGCCAGGCTCCTGCCGGAGTGAAGAGAGCAGGAGAGGCCTTGGGCAGACCCTGTACCCCTGGTTTCCTGAGGCCTCTCTGGCTGATGGTGGGGATCAGGCTGAGGGTGTAGGGTCAGGGTGAGGGGGTGGCAGGGGCACGATGCCTTCCATTCCCCCGTGGGCCATTTGGCGTGGGGATGCCATGGATCCAGGCAGTGCACGGACCTCTCTGTCACCAGCGCACGGTCAGCTCCACGCCCCTTCCTGAAGGCAGATTCAGGTGTGGATGCTCCGGGTTTTAGGCCGAGTGGCCTGCTTTTATATTGCCAGGAAGCTAAGGATGGTTTTAATCATCTTAAAGGGTTATAACAAAAAAAGAAAAATACGTGAAACCACCGAGATGGCCCGGGGCTGCAGAGCCGAAAATATTGACTACCTGGCGCTCTACCGAAAGTCGCTGCCAGCTCCTGGTTTAGGGGCGGGGATGGGAGATGGGACTGAGCAGGTGGAGGAGGAGGACAGTCCTGGGCAAGGGGCTGAGGGCCGCTGCCCCGAGCCCTGCCCTCAGGCTGGTTGTGAGCCAGGCCATGGGGCGCCCCATCCTCAGGCCAGTTTTCTGGCTCTGGCTGATTCGAGGTAGTTGGGTATTGGCTGGCGAGCTTTCCCTCCCTTGAGCCCTTCAGGATACAGTATCGTCCATGTGGAACTTCGGAGGGCAGAATGAGGACCAGGTGGTGGCCGGAATCAGAGCCAGTCAGCTCTCCCTGCACTGGTGCTGCCTGACAAGCAGTCCAGCTTCTGTGGCCCACAGCAGGGAGCATGACTGTGCCTGCTCATGGGTCTGCCGTGCTCTCTGCTCCGGGCCGCGGTGGGCTCAGGTCTCTTCCACGCGTCTCTGTGCATTCTTGACTAGCTACTTCCCGGCATGGTCTTGCCGTGGGAAATCGCAGGACACCAAACTCAACCTCCGGAGCTCATTGAGGGCTCCTCCTGGGTCACACCCACAAACATCCCACTGGCCAAGTAAGTCCCATGGCCAGTCCTAGGATCAAGGGTGCAGGGAGCTTGTCTCCTTCCACCCTGGAGGTGCGGAATCCAGTCCCCAGGGCCCACAGAGCAGGCAGGTGAATCGTGTCATGTTTATATCTGCATTTTACTGTGACTTTTCAGTTTGTGTTTTATAAAGTGTGCAATAGACTTAACATTTGGAGGCATGAATACGTATTTGTCGGGGGGATACATAGTCGTTTTTGTAAACCAATGGGATGTGAGTTCACAGGGGGTGGGAGCCTGTGGGGTGGGCACTGGCTCGGTCTTCCAGCTCCGAGCTGCTGGCTGAATCCCGGGGAGAGAAGTATCCTGGGGCTTTCTGCTGACCTGCCGAGTAATTGCCATTTTCAGATCTTGGTTTCTTGGTAAATAATGACATTTCTCCATCTCACTGAGGATGCTGGCTGTATGGAAATGAAGACAGGACTGGCCCAGCCAGGGCCCTGGAGAGGTGGCCAGAAAGACCCTGGCGGACTCCTAAATTGGTTTATTTGCCAGATAATCGGAGGCAAAGCCGATACCCTAATAGGACATGGGCTCCTCCAGGCTGTGCGTGGCCGGGCGGTGATCACTCTGAAGTGGTTGTTACTGTTTCCCAGGCAGGAAAAGCTGTTTTGATTTCCCTCTTGGCATCTGTTCTGAAACAAAGACAATTATTGTGTTGACTTTTCTTAAAGACGGAGTTACATTTAGACGGGTGCAGTTTGTCACTGCAACTTTTCTCTTCCCACTTTCTGTATTTTTTTAAGAAGCTAGGAGCCCCTCAGGTGGAAATCGGGAAGGACGAGGAAGGTATGCTGTGCTGAGCTACAGCCAGGTCGGTGCCACCCGACAGGGCCTGCCCACGGGAACAGAGCCTATGAGCAAATGAAGAAATATCCAGCAATGTCGCTGGAGTTCCAGGGCCTGTCAGAGAATTTCAGGAGAGGGCTTAATAGCCGCAGGAAGGCCACAGGGCTCAGCTGACCAGGCAAGGTCACCCCCAGGACGTGATACGTCGGCTGAGAACTGGGTAACAAGGAGCCAGATGGGAAACTTCGAAGTCCCAGAACCTGCCGCCACCAGTGCTGAAGGGGGCAGGGGTACAGGCAGAAGGTGGGAGGGGATGGGGCCTTGCCAGGGAGAGGAGTTTGGTTCGATTCCAGCACTGGAGAGAAAACCGGGGTCTGGCAGAGCCCATGTCCCATGGATTGGGGGGTTGGGAGTGGAACTGGGGGCCTGGGAAGGGTTAGGAGCAGCCGGGTAAAAGCCGGCAAGCCTTGACTGCAGGAGAAGGGCTGGCCCCCTCACCCGCAGTGAACCTGCTGGCCACCAGGACTTGTGCCTTCTTGGGTCTAGCCTTGTGTACGGGAGGGTGAGTTTGCCCAGGTTAGACCCGTGTAGGTCACAAAGGTGTGTTTGAATTCATTTCCCACTGCAGCACCGGTGCAGGTGGGAAATAGAAGGGACCCGTGGGCTGAAGCCTGCTCCCCAGGACCAGGGCGGTGGGGGGAGGTGGATCCCCTGGGTGGAAGCCTGGAAAACCTCTGGAGGGGTGGGGGAGGCAGATCCTGCCTGGACCCCCAGAGAATCCCTCTCCGAGGCCACTTGTGCCCAGAACTGACACCCGCCATGGGAACGATGACCGATTACCCGACCTCTCTGCTCCAGTCCCTGGTCCCCTGAGGTCTAATGGGGCACATAAGCCTTTGACTTCTAGGGTGTCCTCCGCCCCGGCAAAAAGGACCCAGTCCCACCTCGAGGTAAGAAACGCTGAGCGCAGATATGCACAGGAGTTTGCCTTTTTTTTTTTTTGCCTCAAATGCATCTTTTGTTTTTCATGAATCCAAGCCTCGCTTCCTTTTCTTTTTGTTCTTTCTCAAGTTACTGTACTAAAATAATCTTATAATTTGCCAATTATTTCTTCTTTACAAAATGATGTTATTCAGAATTTAGTCACTAATGTACTGTGAAACTTGGCCTCAATTTTAGCTTCAGATGTTTAGAGGAAGATTTTTGTGGCACTCGGTGTAATGGGTTTGTTTTTGTGTTTGCCTGTCAGACCATTTTTCATTGACAGTAAAAAAAAAAAAAAAAAATACAAACAGCAGCCATTTATTAGAAGCCGGCCAGGTAACACAGGTCCTGGTAGCAGCTCTCTGTGTGGACGTGAGGCTCCAGACCTGGGCCAAACCCTGCAGAGGGGCTCACCAAAGGAAAATGGGGATCCTGGGCTGAGGAACCTGTTCAGGGACAGGGGGTGGGGGAGTCAGGGCTGGGAGTGAAGCCCCAGGAAGTCCGCCACTGAACGGCAGCACTTCTCAAGACTTTGCGCCTCCTGGGTGTGTGCACTGGACCCAGAGACACCAGGACCCTGTCCTCCCGGGGCGTTTGTACAGGGCCTTGGAAACCCCAGAAACCTGTACCATTTGGGGCACTTGTGCAGGGACCTGGAGACCCCAGGACCCTATACCCCCTGGGACCTTTGTGCAGGAACCCAGAGACTCCAAGGAGCCTGTCCCTGCTGGGGTGTTTGTGCAGGTACTTGGAGACCCCAGAACCCTGTACCCTTTGGAGCATCGTGCAGGGACTTGGAGACCCTCCCCATTCCCATGCTTTCTGGAGGGCCCGTAGGACCCAGACTTTTGCTGAAGGGCATTGTTTCATTCTTTGTGGAGTCTGCCTCTCTCAGGGAAGACAACTCACAGTTCAGCCTCGGCCGGCTGCTGTTTTCCTTGTCCCAGGTGTGAGGAGCCCAGGCACATTCCCCAGCCCACCTGTATGCCACACAGGGCAACAGGTGCCACCCCCCTGTGTCGGTGTTGGGAGGGTGGAGGGAGGCCAGGGTGGGAGGCCCCATGCAGACCTGCAGTGAGGACTCAGTGCACCTGGCCACAGACACACAGGACCCTCCCCTTGGCTCTGGGCTCAAGTCCTTCTTCAAGGTGGGACTGCTGGGAGGCCTTGACCTCAGGGGTGGCAAGGTCTGCAGCCCTGCCAGGCTCCGGGTCTTGAGTGCCACCACCCGTGCCCTGGGAAGGCCCCAGCAGTGCTGTCTTCCAGCTGGGGGAAGCCGGCTCTGGGCTCCCCCGGGGCATGTTGGGGGCCACAGATACCCCAGGGGATCGTGTGGGTGCTGAGTGGAAGGAGCTCCAGGACGCCGAGTGCAGGGCCTGGGAGGCCAGTGTGCAGGGCCCAGCATCAATCAGCCGCTGTGGTTCTTGTCACCCGGGTGTTCAGATTGGAGGGGCCGGGGCGTGTGTGTGTGGTGTGTGTGTGCGTGTGTGTGTGTGCATGTGTGATGTGTGTGTGGTGTGTGTGTGTGTGGTGTGTGTGATGTGTATGTGTGTGTGTGGGTGTGGGGGGTGTGTGTGCATGTGTGATGTGTGTGTCGTGTGTATGTGTGTGTGATGTACATGATGTGTGGTGTGTGTGCTGTGTGTGTGTGCATATGTGTGTGTATGTGTGTGTGGTGTGTGTGGGGGGTGTGTGTGCATGTGTGATGTGTGTGTAGTGTGTATGTGTGTGTGATGTGTGTGGTGTGTGTGTGGTGTGTGTGCATATGTGTGTGTGCGGGTGTGTGGTGTGTGTGTGTGGTGTGTGTGTGCGTGTGTGGCGTGTGTGGTGTGTATGTGTGTGGTGTGTGTGTGGTGTATGTGCGGGTGTGTGTTGTGTATGTGTGTGTGGTGTGTGTGTGGTGTGTGTGCGTGTGTGGCATGTGTGTGTGCATGTGTGGTGTGTGGTGTGTGTGTGATGTGTATGTGTGTGTGGTGTGTGTGGTGTGTGTGCGGGTGTGTGGTGTGTATGTGTGTGTGGTGTGTGTGTGGTGTGTGTGGGTGTGTGATGTGTGTGTGTGGTGTGTGTGTGGTGTGTGTGTGATGTTTGTGTGGTGTATGTGTGGTGTGTGTGATGTGTGTATTAGTGTGTGTGTGGTGTGTATAGTGATATGTGTACTGGTGTACTGTGGGGTGTATGATGTGTGGTGTATGTCATGTGTGGTGTACAGTGTGTGATGTGTATGGTGTGTGTGTGTGGTGTGTATGTGTGTGTGATGTGTTTGTGTAGAGTATGTATGGTGTGTGTGATGTGTGTATTTGTGTGTGTGGTGTGTATAGTGATATGTGTACTGGTGTACTGTCTGGGGTGTATAGTCTGTGGTGTGTGTCGTGTGTGGTGTGTAGTGTGTGATGTGTATGGTGTGTAGTGTGTGGAGAAGTGTCCATGACCACTCTACATAGTGGGACCCCGATCTGGCAGTGTGTGACTTGCTGAGGGGCACAGAGAGGGGAGAGTGGTCTGGGGTCTGCATCCACCTGGAGCCCTCCACGTCCTCCCCTGGCATCTGCGTCTCTGAACATCTCCTGGGGAGCCGGGGGTCGTTTGTCTCCTCCAGCCCTGTTGAAAATGAGGATCTCTGACGCTTTGGCCCTTATTACCAATCAGCCAGGCCGCTCCCCTCCCCGGGGAAGAGATGGGGCCCAAGTCGTTTTTTGCAATAACATTTGTGGAACTTAAAGACAAAATCCTTCATAAAAGGATCGTAAAGTGTAATCACGGCAATGAAGCAGGCCCGAGTGGAGGGGAGGTGACCTTTCCGGCCACTCTCTGGAGGAAATGTCACCCAGGAACAGCAGGTGGTGGGGGCCTTGCCTCCAAGGAGAGCCTCCCTGCTGGTCTGGCCTTGGCGGGGTAGGGGCAACCTCCTACGGGGGGACCCTCGCTGCTGCTCATGGAACCCTCCCGCCATGACAGAGCAGGACACCTCAGGCCCGCTGCTGACCGCAGTCTGGAGAGGAGATATTATCCTTGCTGCAGTGGAGATGGCTGCACCTCACTGGAGGCCTCCCCGCTCTGGCTTGCTGTGTTCTCAACTTCCTGGGGGACTGTGTCCCTGCTCGGGCAGAGCCCACTGACTCCAGGCCTGCTCAGTGCAGAGGCTGCTCCAGGCTGAGTATCTCTGGGACCTGTGGCATTCAGTTAGGCTCTGGACAGGCCAGGTGTCTGCCCCAGCAGGCAGCTTCCCTCCAGGCGGGGCATCCGGGCTTCCAAGATAACTCTCCATTTGACCCTCATTCTCCACCTGGAGAGGCATGGGTGATCCCCTTGTGGGGCTCCAGAAGACCCCAGAAAATGATGGCTTTCAGGGCTGGAGTTGGTCTCTGATAAGCCGAGGAGCTCCCAGGGGCCTGGGGGGCTCCAGGCAGCCCACACCATGGATGTCTGTCCTTGGTCATGTGCCAGTGCCATGGGTACCTGGGTGCTCAGCAGGACAGCAGGGTGGGCTGCAGAGACCACCTGCTCCCAAGTGCTCCGTTGGCCAGAGCTGTCAGCCAGGGTGTGTCATGGTGTCTGGGGTGTGCACCCTGGGGTGGGGTCTTCCCTTCAGGTCCCATGGTTTACATACCATCTCCATGACCCTAACTTCACAGAGCCCCACCCAGCTCTGATACCCGCCACACTGGCAGAGTGGGGTCCAGGACCTCTGCAGAGCTGTGGACCTGGGGGGCATCCTCCCCCTGCGTTGTCTGCCCCCTCTATGGGAGGAGGCTGCACAGGGCAAGCCAATGCCACTGGCTTGGGGGCAGTTCAGGCTCTGTCCCCACTCCACGGCCAGTCTTGGGTTTGCCAGGGACTCCGTCAGCCCGTCCCTCGAGGTGACATCTGACAAGGCAGCCGTTTGTTGAAATATGCAGACCTCTGCACCACATGCTAATCTGGGCTTTTTTCAAATGAGCTGCAGCACCAGGAGGGTGCAACGGCGCTAACTGCATCAGCACATGCCAGCTTCCTCCCAGAGCTGCACAGAGCGGCACAGCTGGCTAGGTGCCTTGCATTTCCACCCCCCTTCTTAAGGCCTGATGTGCACTAAGCACTCACTCTGGACTTGCTGTGTCCCTGCGTGCCCGCAGATGAGGGTGCATGTTGGTCTCAGTCCCCACTCCGGGCTGCGGGGAGGCTGACTTGGAGAAATTGTTGAGTTCTGGCTGTTACCACGATCTAGGCGAGGCCTGCAAACAAGGTGTGGCCTGGGGTCCCACGCTGCCTCTGAGGTGAGAGAGCCCTGAGGGATCCTGAAGTAAGCCAGACTCGGGGCTGAAGTCTGCATCTGTCCCACCTCCTGCCGCAAGGCCCTACGGGTGTGAAGGAAGGATGCTGAGCGCACCTGCTTTTCAGTGGGCAGCAGCCGCCTCTCCTTTGCTGCGTGGTGGGAGCAGTCCAGCCAGCCCCCAGTGGCTCAGTCAACAGGCGGAAGGACTCTCAGGGGAACCATGACTTTCACCATCTCCAGATGGATTCCCGGATCATGAGGTTCTAAGCGAGTCTTCAGGTTTGGAGAAAGTGGACTGTATTTGTGGGAGACACTATTCTCTCTCCCTCTTGCTCTGCCCTCCCCTCAGTCTTTCCGCCACTCACTGAAGCCTGCCATCCAGACCGTGCCATGCTGCCATTTGGCGTAAGGCCTCTGGTCTCGGAATTCCCTGGCACAGTGTTCCTGGTGGCCCCTGCCTCAGAGGGGGCTGGATCTGCCCCGGGTCACAGCACTCATAGGACACTGTTGTGATTGCAATTATTTGGCTGCTCCCTGACCTGAGTGAGACACCCATGAGGGCAGCAACCCTATGTCTTGTATCTCCTAATGCCTAGTGGATAGCGCAGCACACAGTAGGTGCTTAATGAATGTTTCTGGGTTATGCAGTGATTACTCTGAACCCAGCTGCCACTCACAATCTCTTTGGAACTAGGTTGGGTGTTATGGAGCATCCTGTGTTGGTGCTGGGAGAGGTGGAGGCTCTGGGGCTGCCGCTGTTTTCAGGACCCCTGCTATTCCTGGGCAGACAGGGCCGACACCCAGAAATCATCCAGGAGCAGTACCAGGTGGGCTCTAGGGTGTGGAGACAGCTGGGCAGGTCCCTTGGGTGCAGGAGAGAGGGAGGGGAAATTGCTGCAGTTACCTAGTGCCCCAAGGAGATTGTCGCCTGGGCACCTGAGAGACCCCAGGACACAGTCCCCACGGCCCGTTCCAGTTAGAGGCTCTTTGTCAACAGATGCCCCTGGAGTCCGGCAGGGCAGATTAATACATGAATGAGTGGGTGAAGGTGTGAGTGCTGCCTGCTATAACTTGGCTGGGTTCTGCCACCCTGGGGAAGGGGAGTGCCAGGATCTGTGAGCCTCAAGCAGGTCCCACCCAAGGGAGCTGCTCCGGAGGCTCTGGGTGGCCAGGCCCGTCGCTGGGCGGGAGGAGAGCCAGGCACATGCTCGGTTTTGGGGCTGGCCCTCCCATCCCATCACGGGCACAACTTGGGCGGGCAGCCTGGAGGAGCAGGTGGGCTCGCTGAGTCGGGAGGAGGAGGGCTCCCCTTCAGCCCGGAAGAAGCGTGCCTCCCCATGGGGACTGCGCCTGCACGTGGCCAGCAGGCAGAGTCCACTCCTTGGTCAGCACTTCACAGCAAATGCATTCCCAGCAGCTGAGGCTCCCATGCCGGCGTGCGCTGACGGCATTGTCAGTCCTCATGTTGTGCCTGCCCGTCCCAGGGCAAGGTGGCCTGAGTCCACTGCAAAGTCCTTGATTAATTCAGCAAACACATGCTGTGCTGAGCACTGGATGGCTCTTGGAGGTCCCCGAGTGACCATCGGACACTGCCCTATCCTCTTGGAGCTTGTGGGGGAAAGAATCCCCTTTCTCAAACGGGGTGTGTGGACGCCCCTGTTTTTCTCACCTGGCTGGGCAGCCCGCGGCTGTGGGATGAGAGATACGGATGATGTGGACTGCTGAGCAAGGGATGTGCATCCAGCGAGCTTTGGGGAATCCTAAAAGGATCAAGAGTGCGTGAGGGCATGGCCTGGCGAGTCCTCCTCCTACTTCCCATCTGTGAGGGTCCGCAGGATGGGGGGCTCACCTCCATTCCTCCAGGTGCCCAGCACTCATGTTCCACACTCAAATGCCCCTCTGCAGTTCTGGAAAGGCTCACTAGGCCATCCGCTGTTTCAGGAGGGTTGATTCCCGAAGTCACCGGCTCTGGTCACTTCCAGGAGGCTCCACCCTCTCGTGCGGGGAGGACGATTGCGGATGGCCACAAGCTGTTACTACCGACTGTCTTGACTCCGTTCAGCAAGGATTGAAAATAGCCAGTTGGCCAGACTCAATCTTTGTCTTGTTTTAAAAGAGTTTGTTTTTCCAGACTCTGTCCAAGTCTGTTTTAATCCACCCAAAGAGGAGCTAAGTTTGATAAATAAAAGAAGATTAAAAATGGTAGAGAAAAATGTGTTTCCCCCCAGCTCCCAAGAGAGTACTGCCAAAATTGAAGTGTAGAAACAAAAATAGAAATGATCAAAACGTCTGATGGTATCTATATTTTCAAATGAAAAGGCAGAGGGAGTCTTTCAGCCCAACCACTTACGGGAAGATGCGGCGGGCCTGGGAGCTCACCTCGGCTCCCCTGCGCCTAGTGGGAGTCAGGACTGGAAGCTCCTCTTCCTCTGCTGGTGGGCCTCACGCCGTGGATCGAGGGGGTCCCTGAGTTGTTCATGGAGGGGAATGTTGCTTTGGAACAATCAGGGGAGCTCTTGGGGCTTCAGGGGCCTCTTGGGATCCAGCCTTTCCCCAGGTGTTTGCATTCCTTTGTAGAAGGGGAAGTGAGGATACCTTTGTTTGTGATGTCACATCAGCCCCAAGCCTGGAGCCCCCATACTGGGTGAGAGATGGGGGAGACGGGCACCAGCCATGGTTGCTGGGCCAGAGCTGAAGCAGCTGGGAGACTCTTCACTGTGCAATAGTGACAGTAATGGGGAGAGCCGCTCGTGTTCAGGGGTGCTGCCTTATGTACCGGCCCTTGGTTCTCCACTTTAGGGACATTATCTGATTTCATGGCAACCTCGTAAGCCAGTGACTCAGAGTGGGGTCCCAGTGGCATTGGCACAGCCTTGGGAGCGTGTTAGGAATGTCCATCTCTGGCCCCACTCAGACCTGCGGAGTCCGAGACTCTGGGGTGGGTCTCAGTGTCTCCGTCTCTCTCCAGAGGACTCTGAGTTTGACGACTGCCGCTGCATTTCACACGTGGAGAAGGTTGGAAATGTCACCGTTAACTATTGAGCCCAGCATCCCATGGCTAACCGGTGATAGCGCCAGAGTGGAAATAGGGCGGTCTTCACTGAGAACCTACCCTCGAGCCCTGGCCCTGTCCTCCAGCCCCAGTCCTGCCCTGTTGTGTGATGTGTTCTTCCTGCCTGCGTCTTCGGAGGTCCCAGGAGTGAGGAAGGTGACCCTGGGACCTCCCCCGAGTGAACATGGCAGCTGGTGCTGCAGGTGCACAGGCCCAGCTTCAGGCGCAGGAGGCCCGGGGGTGCCTGATGGGGATCTGGCCCCGTGGGGCTTTGTCCAGTTTCTCTGTGGCCAGCTGCACACATGTGGGTGTTGACACCCATTAGGATTGCTCTTTCTCTTAAGTGAGTGTAGCGAGGAGGATGGCTGGAAATGCCATGTGCAGCTGCAGTCCCGAAGCTGCCCGCCTCTCTGGGTCATCATCTCCCTGCCCTCCTGCTCCCTCGCCCCGCCGACTGTGGAGATGACTCGTCCTGCCATGCCTTTTAGCATGAGCTTGTGTTTCCAACCAGTATATATTTTTTGAGATTGGGTGCCTGTCTCTGGAACAAACCAGAAACTCGGGCCTCACAGTGCTGTTCGGGACCCTGGGTCAGCAGTGGTGGCTTTGACCGTGGGTCTGTGGGTCAGCTACAGTGGGGTCAGACTGGACCCCAGGCTCCAGGCTCTGGGGCAGGGGAGTGGACTGGGGGAGCTTTGCTGCTCTCGGCAGGCTGGGCTCCAGGTGGTGGGTTGGGTTCAGGGCTGCATTTCACAGGGGCAGGCCCAGCCTCAGAACCACATCACTGCCAGCCCCTCCAGGTCATGAAAATCCCACTGGCTAAAGCAGGCCACATGGCCAAGCGCAGCATCAGCGCAGGTGAGAGCGTGCATGAGAGTTTTCCCAACAGTCGCCTAACAACCGAAGTCTCTTATCTCCTGGCCCCTTTAATCCAGTTCCCTATACTACCTGGCATACAGCAGGTGCTTATTAAATGCTTGGCCCACTGCTGGACTAAAGTCATTTGGTTTCACTGAACTCATTGTCTTTTTGGGAATTATATCACAAGAAGCCTTCACACCCATGCTGGAAGAGCCTTTTGGCCAAAGAGAAGTTCTTTATAGCGATCAGATTGACCTAAAGAAGAGTTTTCCCACATAAAATGTGAATTCATTGGCATGAAATGACACAGTTTCATCATACATTGTCTCCTGAGTAGAAATAGGAAGAGTAAACACATACCACACCTTTCTCAAAGGGAATGAGCCTCGCTTCCAGCCAAAGGCAGGATTCATGATCCCATTTCTCTGCCTTGATTCTCTTTAGACAGTCACCAAAAAATTAATTGCCAAGTAGTCTGCAGTGTGTAGACACAGAGGGCTTCCAGCCCAGGCCTGATGTTGATACCTGCTCATCAGCGTGTTTGAATTACCTGGACCATCAATAAATGCCCGGAACAATATGAGCTTCAGGGACATGGAATCCATTCGCCACCAGGCAGCTGGTGGTCAGCACTGAGCAGGGAGATGGGTGGCTAGTACTGGATCCGTGCTCTTCTGAACTTTGGTGCAGCAAATGATTCTGCATGCATTCCAGAAAGTGGCCCTAATTTGAATTTAAATCTTATTCATGGTATTCATGTGGTGGCATTTGGAGAAGGGGACACCATGACAATACCAAGCAGGATGCAGGGACTCAGCAAAAGCAGGCGCAGGTGCCTCCCAAGGGACCACCTGCTCCTGTAAAACTGCAGTGGTCCTGCCTATCCTGCTTTTGGAGATGACTGCCCCTGATGGTGTGGCAGGGCCAGGGCCAGGCTTTGGGCTTCAGGACCAGGCAGTGCCGGGTTGGGCTTCATCTTCCACACCAACTGCTGTGTGGCCTGGAGTGGTTGTCAGAGCTGTGGCAACTGTGCACATTGAGGACAAGCACGGGCCCCTGCCCAGGTCTGAGGACTAAGTTCGGAGATGGATGAACAGGCAAAGTCCCCCGCTAGCAGTGCCAGACGCCCTCGGGAATTGGACTTGTGGTCCTGGGTGTTCATTGCCAGCTTGCTCTGCACCAGGCGAGGTCCGAATGATTTCCTTGCAATGATGCACTCATCCCTGAGGCCACCCTGTCAGGTACTGTCACATCCCTCTCCTTCTCAAAGAGAAACCGAGTCACAGAGTGTTTCAGTAACTGAGAACATTAAGTGACTCGTATGTGGCAAAGCTGGCCTGTATCAGAAGCTGGGAACTTTGGGGTATGCTGGGCATGGGTGTAGCAGCCTGTGTGTGTCCACCCGAGGTGGCCCTGCCCTGTTTCCACACACAGCCTACCTAGAGCTAGAGAAGGCTCCAGGAGTTGAGTGCTTGGCTCCAGGGCCTGGGCAGATGGCGCATCTGGCCGGGATAAGGTGTAGGCCTGGGAGAACAGGGTCAGTGCAGGCCACAGGTGAGGCCAGATGCAGACAGGAGCGCCATGAGAGGGCAAGGGCTTCCAGGCTGGCACATGGGCCTCTCATGCACCTTTCCCACAGACTGGTCGGAGGTGCCCAGCAGGACCCTGGATGGCTCTCTGGGAGTAAGCTAAGAGGTCACATCTGGATGGAACCAGATGTGAGGGCTTTGACCCCCACGGAGCCAGGTGCCCCTGGGAAATGCCGGCATTGTGTGAAGGAGTGTCTTGTATCAAAGCAGATATGCCCTGCCCCCTACCCTCATCCCACGGTTCCTAGCAGGTTCCATCGCCTTCCGCACTTGATGCTGCTGGATCCTCCCAAGGTCCCTTTGCAGGTTGGAACCTGCGGCTCCAAGGTGAGGTGGCTTGCCTGGGACCACACAGTGGTTGGGTGTGGAGTCCGGACAAGGTACATCCTGATCCAGGGCCCCCTACTCTGATCCACGGGTGTCTGGGCTCCAGAAAGCTTTCTCTGACCTTCTTGTTCTCGGGAAAGAGCGGTGCCTCCAGGATTCAGGCCTGAGTCGTGCCCGGGACCATGTGGATCCCTTTCGTTCCTGTGTCACCTGGGGGTGAGGCAGACATTCCTAGTCCTGCTTGGGGCATCGTAAGATGGGCTGCTGTGGTGTCCCCTCCCCACCAGGGCTGCTCTGAGGGCCCTGGTCCTGATTTGGACATCATAAGATGGGCTGCTGTGGTGTCCCCTCTCCCCCAGGGCTGCTCTGAGGGCACCCCTGGGGAACATCATGCAAAGTCCTCCGTGCCCCTCTGGGGCACGGGGTGAGGTCCCTCCCTGTGGTGTCTCAGTGAGCAGGAGGCAGGCACAGCATGAATGTGGCCTCTGACAGCACAGCCATGCTGAAGACCCCTCAGCCTGGGCTCCCAGGGCCCCTGACCCTGACCTGGACAAGGCTGGGCCTGCAGCACCCTGGAAGGCAGGGAGCCCCCCAGGTCAGTGCGTCTGAGCTCGGGGAGGAAAACACCAGCCGAGGGCTGGGCGGCTCGGCTCTGACCCAGACGCCTGGCATAGTCTTGGCAGGTGCCAGCCCCGTCTAGCCCCAGTGTCAACAGCAGACCCGTATCCTCTCCTCTCACCTCCTGGGCAAGGCCACTGTCCATGAAAAGCTTGCAAGAACTGGAGGAGCTGCATGAGCAGGATGGGACCAGGTGATGGCGGCTCGCTGGTTTTCCAGGCACACACTAAGGGGCCCAGCCCATCAAGAATTCCGCTCCAGAACTCCTTGATATTTGGCTTAAAGTTCAGCTCTAAATATAGACCTGTTGGGGTCTGTCGCAAGTGTTTTCTTGAGGGGCCTGTGACGATGTGCATGGGGTCCTAAGGGGGGCAGGGTTCTGGCACCCACCCTTCTCGTGGTCTGCAGCAGTGATGGAAGCAGGTGCAGGAGGGGAGACGGGGGCTAAGGAAACTCTGTGACAAGTGCTGCCTTCTCTCGCCTCCCCAAAGACCCTTCTCCAGGAGAGCCGCACCTCTGCCCCGCCCGCTCCCCTGGCTGGCCCAGGACCCACCTGCTGCCCCGCGCTTTCCCATGGCAAGTGTGGGTGTGGCCGCTGTTGGTAACAGAGGTGTGAGATCAAATGAATAGCCTCTGAGCCCCTGGTGGGAGTTGGGAGCCCTGTGGAAAACTGATTGAGAGCACGGGCTCCTGCGGGAAGGCAGTGCTGGCCCCACGCCCTGCGATGGCCGTTCAGCTCTGACTGTCCTCCCGGCAGGAAGCGTCCTCCAGTGCTCCCTCTGCTGTGCTCTGTCACTGTGGCTGTGTGGCTGCAGCCTGTGCACTGTGAGCCCTCCTTGTGTGGGCTCCCGGGGACCACCAGAGAGCCCCTCCCAAGGAGTCACCAGTCACAGCGGACCTCACATGGCTCTTCTGCTGTGGAGAAGGGTCCACACTTGCCTCCTGTGGGCCAGCTGCCTTTGCTTGCTGGTGTCCTGGTGCCTGGCTGCTGTCACCCAGGAGTTGGGCTCTGGGCAGGGAGGAGGGCTTCCTGGAGGCAGTGGCAGAAGTCTGATGGGCTGAAGCCCTCAGGAAACCTTCTCAGGGGGTCCCGTTTAGGAAACAAATCCCTCTGCTGATGTAGCTGCTGGCTGACTCTGTCAGCGCTGCCTGCTGTGGGAAGCCCTTATGAGCGTGTACATCCTCTCTCGGGGTCCTGCAGGCCACGAGGTGGGCAGCCTGCTCTCCTTGGGTCAGGACATGGAGACTTCACAGCCCGGCGGAACCCACGCCCATGCCCAGCTCTGCCTAAATGGATCGATCATCTAGAACCCCCGTCGCAGGGCTCGGAGTTGCGGGCAGGGTGGGAGACCCCTTCCAGAGGGGCCCCTGTAGATTAGCTCAGCTTACTTGATTCATTGATTTTGTCAAGGGTCCGTTTATCATACTGACAACTGGAAAAACCTTAAATAAACATTTATCATCCTCCGAGGGGCCCGGCCAGGCTCCCAGGGAAGAGGAGGGGCAGCTGGGATTGCACCTATATGGGGCTTCCAGGGCTCACCCCGAGGGAGGAGGCCCAGAGCCAGCCCTGGGTGCTGAGCCCCTGGTTTCCCACTGTTGTGACGGCCCTGTCTGCATTCCCTGCAGAATACCCCAGAGACTCAGACCTGGGGCTGATCTGAGGGGGGCTCGTCCCCAACCACCTGGTCACAGGCAGAGATTGGTCTGCCTACTGCTCATTCATTCATGCATCTTTCACCCCGAGAGCCCACCCCTCATCTCCCACCACCACACCCAGCACGGGCTCAGCTCAGACCCTGCTGTTGCCTTCCTCTGGAAGCTTCCTCTCTAGACATCCTCCTGACTTGTGTGATCCCAGCTTCCCTCAGATGCCCAAATGCCGCCTCGTCAGGGGAGCCCTCCTGGACCACCTTGACTCCACAGGCCCCCCGCTCTGTGCCCCTCCTGCCTGGCTCACTATGTCTCCGTGGAGGCCCCCATGCCCTGGCTCTGTGCGATGGACAGTGGTTCCTGTGCCCTCCATGTGCCCCCACAGACACGGGTCGGTCTCAGCTCTGTTCCTGGCTGCATGCCCAGTACCCTGACCAAGGACAGATTGCCCGGAGGCGCCCGGGCCAGAGGGAATAGGATGGAGGGAGGGAAGCAGGATGCAGGCTTCCCTGGCCGCATGCACTGGACACCCAGGAGGAGGATGGGGTCATGGGGAGACCTGCACCAGGGACAGGATGGTGGGAGAGGGTGAGGAGGCGTCCCAGGGATGAGTCCTGGGGCAGGGCTGGGAGGGGACAGATCACCAGGCACCACTGTCCTTGACTCTGTCCCCCACCCGGGGCCCAGACAGTGTTCTGGAAGGTTCCTACAGTGTCTCTGAGCATACCTCCATGCCTGCCGTGGTGCAGGCCCGTCTGCCTCCCACGGCTCTCTCTCCGGGCTGGTGGTGCCCTCCCTGTCTGCCTGACCTGGGGTGCAGCCCTGGCATGCCCGGTCCTCGTCTGTTCAGCCTGTGGCCTCTTTTTGCTGGGAGGGCTTGTCAAGGCCCCTGGAATCCAACCGAGAACTTGACAGTGGAGGCTGTTTGATGCTCATTAGGTGATCACCGTCCACCTGCCCAGCTCTTGGCCTCCGTCCTGGCCAAGCGTGGACACTGTGCTTGTCCAGGCCACTGAATGGGAGCATCAAAGAAGATACGGAAATTCCCCCAAAGCGACAAATGAGGTACAAACCACAGGCTTCCTTTTTATCCTGCTCCCGCTTCCAGAACCCAGGTCCTCGGGCGGCCGCTCAGAAGAGCTCAGCTCCCGCCTGGGCTCAGGGAAGAGATGAGGCTGTGGAGAGCCTTTGAAGGATCGGGAGGAAGAGGCTGGAGACTTTCTGAAAGGGCTCCCGGCAAAAATGTCCCCAGGGAAATGCTCCCGGGTGTCTGGGCTTCGACTTTGAAGGTGCAGAAGTTTGACGGGCTAGTTTAGGCCGTCATTTTTTTTCCATTAATAAAAATTAGGATAGGAAGGAAATTATCATAATCCAACATTGACAATGAAGCTTTCCCATTTACTTCTCTTTCTGTAAGGGTTTTTTAAAAATCAAAATGATTTACGATTAATACAGTGCATATTAAAACTTTTAACCTGGTACCTTCATAAAGTAAAAAAATGTTCCCAACATATTACATTTTTAATCACATGAGTTAATTACTCTTTAGGGAGGCTTTGGAAATTCTGGAAAGGAGGGTATTATGGATTTCAAAGAATGAGACTGAAACTGTCATTTTAATGAGAATGCAAATGAGATTGCTGAGGTTCAGCGGAGGTCACAGCAGCTTCATCATCAGGTTATTACAGCCATTTATTGCCAGTAACAAATGAATATTAAAAGCTATTGTTTTAACAGATTAGACCTCCAAATTATTATTATTTCAAAATTTCCTGGGTGTCTGGAATATAATTTAAAAATTATGAAATGCTAAGATTCTCTGCAGACCTATAATCCTCTCAAGAGCCTGCTGGTTTTTACAAAGATGTGGGTCTCTCTTTCCCCGAGTGTCAGAGCTTGCAGGAGTGTCTCTGCAGAGACAGTGGGACACTCATGGTCAGGTGCTTCCTCTCCCCATAGTGGTCCTGAGAGGGGGTCCTACGAGCCTCTTCAAGCTGTGTCCTCGGGAGTCCCTGGGCGGGGGCCCAGGGTGGCAATGTAGCCCCTGAGGCTGGGGCTCTGAGATCTCCGATGGTGGAGACAAGAGAAGGCTGTTCCAGTGGCTGTCATGGCAGCAGGAGGTCAGACGACTCCCACTGCAGGGCCACCCAGTCCTGGACACCTGTCCCTGCCCCACCCACCACTGTCTCTTAGCAAACAGCCCAGGGCCTGGCACACAGGGGCTCCGTGGATGCCGAGTGAAGGGAGGGAGGATGGATGAATGAATGAAGGAATGAATGGATACTGGCTGGTGGCATGGGGCTGGCGGTGGGCTCAGCGCTCTTCCTAAGCGGCACGACCGGCTTCCCAGGTGCCTGGGCATTCTCCTCCCTCCTCCCTTTCGCTCTCAGAGCAATCCCCTGTCTCACCAGCAGAGCAAGCGGAGCTCAGCCCTGGTGCTCAGACCGTGTCCTGCGAGGGATTTCCGGGGAGGGCGGCTGCTCCCTGATGGAGGACGTGGGCTCCCAGCTCATTCCTGTGGCTTTTCCTGACTCTCACTCTGACAACGTAGGTCTCCAAGCGTGTCTGTGTCTTCAGAAGTGCGGATCTTTATGGGAAGAGGGAGAGAGGGAGACAAGGCAAAAACAACAACAAAAATCCGCAAACCCACTGAACACTGAGAAGCTGCTGGAAGTGGCCTGGGGTGCACCCCCCACGCCACGGGCACCCCGTGGTCTGTGGCCTCCTGCAGCCAGGTGACCCCGTCATCAGCAAGGCCCAGGGAAGAGGGGACCTTGTCCGATCCCCTGAGACAGGAGCCCAGGAAGCTGGTCCAGGAGACCTACCCGAGGGCATCGGGCAAGATACGGGGGTGGGGATGGGGGCGCTGTGGCCGCTGGCTGGAGGCTGCCAAGCCATCTCTCAAGGAACAGCTGCTTCAAGTACACAGACCTGGGAGGGGCTGGGCCTGGCCTTGGGTGGTGCTTGTGAGGGGTGGAGGCCCTGCCACCTGCTCCCCTGCCCCAGCCAGGGCCCTCTTCTTGTTCTAGCTCCCTCCCTGGAGGTGTCCTGTCCTGTGGGCAGAGTCTTCTGATGACTTTGGGATTCATGGACCAGGCTAAGACCCTAAACGCTGAACCCCACTCCGGGAGGGGGATAGTAGGGATTGGTGGTCTCATCAAACTCCTGGGCCACTGATGGGAGGTGATGTCACCCGAGACCAATGGCACAGAGGGCATCACAGGCAGAGGAGAAGAATTTGTCCTGGGGAGGCTCCCAGGGGACTGTGAGAAGAGGCGGGTCCCTCACAGCAAGTGCTCACTGGCCCTGCATCCCCAGAGCCCCCTGTGGTCAGCCCCTCCTGCAGAGCAGCCCCTCTGGGGTTTGCCAAGCTCCGGGGACCTAGTGAGGTTGTGGCTGCATCTCCATCCTGCGCACCACAGGGAGAAGCAATTAAATGTAATAGATGCAGAGGCTCCCGGAATTACATTATTTAGGAGCTGCAGCTTACACACATATGCACGCGTGCTAAGCTGCACATAATTAATAGATTTATTTAAATCAGCCTCTGCCATCTGTATTCATCTGGAAGAGAAGCTTCTTGGCAGGCCCATGTTGGAAGACCTTTGATTTTTGAAAGGAAAGTGGGGTGTCCCGAAGAGGCGCTGGGGCAGCAGGGGATTCGTGTCCCTGGGGGCTCTGGTCTGCAGGGCACACATCACACAGGTGTGGCGGGGCAGTGACTGCAGCAGACAAGGCCAGGTGGTTCCTGCAGTCCGACCCGAGAGGGAGTGAGGCAGACAGGGATGTGGGGTCCCCTCGAGGCTGTTCTCAGGGACACCCCCCTAGGCAGGGTCCCACCTGATCATGGCCTTGCTCAGGGCCCAACCTCCACAGCCCCTGAGGCCCCATGCTCACTTCCCTTGGGGGCACTGTCCAGCTCCGGGGATGCAGACCCAGGCACCCTGCCGTCCACAGTGGTGTCCTCATGCACTCACTGGGCACAGACCCGCCTGCTTGGTCCTGGGAGGAAAAGCAGATGGCACTCATGAGAGTTAACCCTCCCAAAGGAGAAGAGGGCTGCAGCCGGGCCTGGCGTGGTCACCAGGGGCACCCACCGTTGGGAGGCCCGCAGGGAGCGGGGAGTGCGCCCAGGTCTGGGGTTCAGGGCCGGCAGCAGTAACGGCATCAGAACTGTGCTAGCGTCTGAATTGTGTCTCCCCAAAATCCGTATGTTGATGTCCTAACCCCAGCTCCTCAGAACATGACTGTACTTGGAGACAGGTTCTTTAAAGAGGTGATTAAGGTTAAATGGGGTCGTAAGGGTGGGGCCCTGATCCAGTATAACTGGTGTCCTTATAGCGAGAGATGAGGACAAGGACAGGCACAGAGGGGCCACCCTGTGAGGACACAGAGAGAAGACGGCGTCCACAGGCTGAGGAGGGCGGCGCCGGGAGGAAGCAGCTCTGCCCACACCTTGACCCTGGACTCCCGGCCTCCAGGGCTGCGAGGACATGAGTTTCTGCCCTGAGCGATGCTGGGGACAGGGCTGACAGGGATGCACCTGTGCCGTTCTGTTCTGGCCACCCTAGGACACCAGTCCCAGGTGGTGGTTAGATTAGAGGTGACCACGGCGGCTCCTTGCAGGAGGCTGAGTGGGAGCCTGGTCTCGCCCAAGCATTGCAGGCACTCCACTGAAAGCTGGTAGCTAAGGCTCCCTGAAGATGCCAGGCCACAGGCCACTGAGCGCCACGGCCACTCGCAGGTGGGAGGGCACCTCCAGACTCTCGGCAGAGGTCCAGCCCCCACAGCACCCCTTCCTGACCTGCCCTTAGCAGGCGGTGATGGGCGATCATTGTTCAGGGAGGGCTCTGGCCATGCCTAGAGCTCCCTCCCCGAGGTCAGCTCCCCTAGAATCCACTGGAAGGCAATGTCCCCTGAAAATGGGTCCCAGGACCCCTGTCCCTTGAGGTCACAATGAGGACACAACCGGAGGATGTGTCTAAGCCGGGGCAGGTGGGACCTTTCCCATGAGACAAGTTGGTGGAGACAGATTGGAGCCACGGAGCCCGCTCAGGCAGAGGCCCCAGTCTGAGGGGGGAGTGGTCTTGTTTCCCTCCCCTGTCTCCTTTAGATTCTGCACCTCACCAAGATCAGCACAACCTCCAGGGAACAGGGAAGGTGATGGGGACTCCCAGATGGAGAGCAAGCCGGGCCTGTGCCAGTTCATTCTTATTCAGTGCCACCGTCGCAACATCCCAATCTAGTCATTATTGCGTCTTCGCTCTCCGTGGCTGCATTATAACTGGAGCTTATGTTCAATTTGCTGGGAGCCGGCAAATCATCGTCTGCTTTTCCTCGGCACACACTCATTTGCTGTTGGCCCTAGGTGTTTCTTAAAGTCTAGCATTTTACACATAGACAAATTAAATCTTGTTTTTGAATGCGTCCCTCCCTGGAACTGACATAACGCTCTTTAATGTCTGTCGCACCTCTTGGGTTCTTGGGGCTCATAATCATTTGCATTTTCAAGCAGCAGATTCCTTACAGGGACGTATCCTCAAAGCCAATAATGAAGTGATTAAGGAGAGTTGGGCTCCTGTGGGTGTTTGCCACGGTCTCTCTCCTGCCATCCATGTGAGCGTGGCCTCAGGAGCCGTGGTCTGTGGAGAGGTCTCTTCATTGCTGTGGAATATTCATTTGGCCAACCAGGAACACCTCCACAGTATCTTCCGGGCGTGGCCACTGGGAGACTCGAATGCGGAGACATGGTCCAGGGGCTGTAGACCAGCGAGGTCCAGTCAGGTTCAAGGGCCAGGATGGGGAGGGGCGTGACACGAGTGTGTGCCACAGAGGGCTGGTGGTTCACGAGGTCAGGAGGATACCCTGGGTGCCCACGTGTGCCAGGTGCCTGGGCGAACGGCGGGCCCACCTCCTGGGCTTCACTTGCCTCCGCCAGCTGCCAGGGAGTGAGAGAATAGGAGCATGGCGGGAAATTCACAATAAGCAGGTGCCAGGCCTGAACTGTGTCCCCCACATTCAAATGGCCTAGGCCCAGGGCGATGGCATTTGGAGGTGACAAGGTCATACAGGGGCCCTTATACTGGGGTCAGGCCCTTAGGAAAGAGGCGTGAGGGAGGTGCCCCCTCCCTCTCACTGCTACATGAGGGACACAGTGCCGAGGGGCCCAAGGAGGGAGCCCATACCAGGAACCCAGTTGGGCTGCCCTTGACCTTGTTGAGGCCGCCCGGGGCCATGGTGTTTTGTGGTGGCAGCTGGAGCTGACACCAGCGGTGGACGCTCCTCCTGGGCCACTGGGCTGCCCCGCAGCAGATTTTGGGACCCATGGCGGTCGGGGCTGCTTGGGAAGTGGGCCCCATGGTGGAGGGATGGCTCTGACTCTGAGCCCTCAGCCATCACTGCTCTGTGCTCTTTCTAGTCTGGAGGTGGCCTTGCTCTCGGGAGCAGGCACTGAGGTCCCAGCTAGAGCCCCTCCCTGAGATGAGCCGGGTAACCTGACAACCCACACTGCGGGGTCCCCTGCCCCACAACCCCTCCTCTGACCCTGGTGGTCCTGGAGCTCTGCTCTGAGAGGCGACATGGCTGATGGAGGAAGGTGGGCCCCTTCCCCCCTGGTCTCCACGTCCCCAAGGCTTCTCCCTGTCACTGCAGCCGTCACCGAGAGGGCTTTTCTGGGGCAGTCAAGCCTTGAAAGTGGGAGAATCAGCGAGACCTAGAGGGGATATGGGGTTTGGCTGAGCCTTGAGGAGGAGGAAGGAAGCCAGGAAGGGGCGTGTGGGATGAGGGCACAGCCCGAGCCAGGCAGGAGGGGCGGCGGGGCCTGCCTTTGGGGAGCAGAGGGGACAAACCCAGAGGCGGAGCGCGGCGGGGATGGAGGAAGGGATGCAGGGGCAGCGCCACAGGCCCGGGTCTTCATCCTCATTACAACCATCGCCAGAGATGCGGTCGCCGTGCACTGAATCTTTGCGGGGGCCGTGGTAGAGACGTTTCTATCTCAGCCTGGCACGGGAGGACCTGAGGCCAGAATGCAGGGGTCCAGACCCCCGTGGGTGTGAGGGTCTGGGCAGGAGTGACTGCAGGGTCTTCTTTCTATGCACACGCCGGCCATCCTCCATCAGGCAGCTGCCCTGGCCACCGATGCCTTCGCAGCATAGGATTTGGGGACCTCCACGTGCCGTCCCATGGGAAAGCCGAGTCCTTGTAGGGGAGGAGCGTCACTGCTCTCAGCAGGGGACCGTTTCTCTAACGGGAGCCTGTCAGTTTCTGGGCGGGGGTGTGATGTGGCTGAGGCGTCTGTCCCTGTCGTGCGCCCAGGCTGGTGCCGTCAGGCTCCCGGCATTGGTGCACCCCGGCATTGGTGTGGCCACTGCACTGGTGTGGCCCTGGCATTCATATGGCCCCAGCAGGCCCCCCAGCATTTCCATTCTCGGCCTCCAATCCCTGGAGACCACACGTGGGATGCCAGGAGCACCAAGGGTGCAGGTAGGCCATCAGGGCCTGGGGCCAGCCCGGGCAAGGACAGTGCCAGCAGGCGCCCCCAGTGTGAACTAATGTGAGGTGCTTTCATGCTGCAGAAGGCACCTGGGTCCTGACACCCACACTGGGCCATGAAAAACGTTGTATTTTATTATTATTATTATTATTATTATATTATTATTATTAATTATTTATTTATTTATTTTTGAGATGGAGTTTCGCTCTTGTTGCCCAGGCGGGAGTGCAGTGGTGCTATTCGGCTCACTGCATCCTCTGCCTCCCGGGTTCAAGCAATTCTCCCGCCTCAGCTTCCTGAGTAGCTGGGATTACAGGTGCTCAACACCACGCCTGGATAATTTTTTGTGTTTTTAGTAGAGATGGGGTTTCACCGTGTTGGCCAGACTGGTCTTGAACTCCTGACCTCAGGTGATCCACCCACCTCGGCCTCCCAAAGTTCTGGGATTACAGGTGTGAGCCACCACGCCTGGCCTCACAGTTGTCTTTAAAGTGGCTTTTGTTTGGCTCCTGTGTGTGAGCAGTTCTCATCCTGTGCAGTCCTCTACACCTGGGGATGGAGCGGTTCCCTGTGTGGGTGACACTGGGATTTGTCTGGGTCTGGCTGTGGCAGGCTCTGCTCTTCAAGCTGGGAGGTGGGTGGGGACTGTGGATGGGAGGTGATGCATCCCACCCTGGGAAGGCGTGTGTGATCATAAGGACAGAAAGGCCTCAGGGCCCAGGGAGCAGCTGGGCTGATGACATCCCACATCTCGGATCCACTCTGCTCTGTGGCTCTGGGACCCTTTGCTGGTACCTCTATCACCAGCCCAAGGAAAGTCCTTTCTGCTTGAAGGACAGAACCCAGAGCCTCTCCCGTCCGCAGGGATAGCCGAGTCCCCTGGCTGCAATGTTTCTGGGGCCCCTTTGCAGGTTTGTGAATTCCTCAGACTGCTCCGTAGATGACAAGGCTGTTCCAGGGTGTGCTGGGGCTGCTGGCCTCTGGGGAGGAAGGCACATGGTGTCCTCAGCAGGGGCTGTGTTTCCAGCCTCGTTTCGTGGATGAAAAATCACCCACACTTCTGGAGCCTGACCTCTCTGTGGAGGCCACACCTCTCCACGGTTTGAAATGTTTGCCACCCCTGTTTGTATCCGCTCCTAACAGTGGCTTCTGGGTTGGCAGGGCTGGAATGCTTGGCTTTGTGATGATGACGGTGGCCACGGCAACGCCTCAAGCCTTGGACCCCCCAACCCCACTGGAGATCCGCGATGCCCATTGGGGGTCATGGGCCACTGGCACAAACAATGCTCCCCCAGGTGTCGAAAAATCAATAAACCATTTCTGGTGCTGGGAGCAGACGTTGAGTCACTGACCTGGGCTTTGACCTTATTTAGAAGTTTGTGTTTCCGAGGCTCAGCACGGCTGCGTGGGGACCAGTCCGGGGCCACACACATTCTGCACAGTGACGCGGGATCAGAGTCCTTTCTGTCCTGGGACTGGGACCGTGGGCGGTGGCTCGGCTCATGGCCACTGGTCACCCTGCCCGGCCTCAGGCTCCCTGAGTGCTCTCTGCCTCAGGGTCCCTTTCTTAGGGATTCATAGTAGGAACAGCCTGGCAGGCGGTGGTGTGGACTAGGTCCTGGCGCAGGGTAAGCACTGATTTGCAGCCATCTCTGCTGCCCTCCTTATCCTAAGCCCCCTCATTTCCCCAGAGCCTTTCTTTTTTCTTTTTTTCTTTTTTGAGATGGAGTCTCGCTCTGTCGCCCAGGTTGGAGTGCAGTGGCGCCATCTCAGCTCACTGCAAGCTCTGCCTCCCGGGTTCACGCCATTCTCCTGCCTCAGCCTCCTGAGTAGCTGGGACTACAGGCGCCCGCCACTATGCCCGGCTAATTTTTTTGTATTTTTAGTAGAGACGGGGTTTCACCGCATTAGCCAGGATGGTCTCGATCTCCTGACCTCGCGATCTGCCTGCCTCGGCCTCCCAAAGTGCTGGGATTACAGGCGTGAGCCACCGCGCCCGGCCCCGCGGAGCCTTTCTAGAAAATGGGAAGGGGGCACAGGAGGGTCACTGAACAGTAGTGTGGACCTTACAAGGCCTGTGACTCAGAGAGGCAGCCCCGTATCAGCAGCAAGCCCAGTCCTCCCCACCAGGGTGAGCATCTAGGGAGGGAGGGGGGGAATTTAGCTCCTGTGGGGACCCCCGGGGCCCGGTCACAGCCTCCAAGGCCCTCGGGACTCCACTGACACTGCCAGGAAAAGCTGCCTTCCACCCCTCCTAGGCCATCATTGACTGGCAGATGGGACAGCCAGGCCCCCACGCCCAGTCTCTGGTTAATGGTGGGTCAGGGCGGGTCAGGCCTGAGCCCCTGACACGGCTTCTCATGAGAACTCCACCCCCACAGTGAGAGAGGACTCACTCGTGAACTTTGGAAAACTCCCCCAAACCACACGGGGCCCCACTTGACAGCTCGGAGACCCTCTTTCCTCTCACAGCCCCGGGACCCCGGGATGCCCGTCTGTGCGGAGGCCCTGGGGGGTGATGGCACTGGAGGCCCTGGCGGAGCTGCAGGCTGGTGCCTTGGCATCTCCCACACCAGAGCTGGGCTGGACCGAGCCGCCCGCTTGCTCCTGCACAGCCGCAACTGACCTTCAAGAGCCTCGGCCCTTGACCTTCCACCATTTCTCTGACATTTAGCAAACAGTGCCGGCCGCCCCTCCTCAGGTACTTGGCCAGGTCTTTGCGTGGCCCCCAAGAGCCCTGTGGACAAGTGGCCCCCTCATCCCCTCCAAGAGCCCTGCAGACAAGTGGCCCCTCGTCCCGGGTGCTCTTCCTGTTTATTCTCCAGCGGGGACCACCGTGGGCGCTTATGTCGGTTTCCAGAGACTTCCATGACTGTACCCACCCCACACTCCTCTAGAGCTGTCCTCCAGTGGGGACCACGGGGGCCGTTTCTCCCAGCTTCCGGTGGTCTGTCTGGCCTCACTCACCGGCAGTGTGGAGGCTGGGCCCTGAACTCCTCTGGGCACAGGTGGGGCTGGTGTTGGCCGCATATCTGAGTGTCTGAAGGCGGGTGGCGTGTGGGGCTCCTCTTGTCTCTATATGGGAAGAGGGGCCTGGCTCCCAGAGGGTGCCTGCATCTGCCATCTGAGAAGGGGCTCTTGCTGCTGCCGGGCAGGCATGGGTCCTGGAGCTCAGCGCTGCTGGGCTCTCTGCCCCTCGGACTCCTCTGCACCCCAACAGGCTGGGGCATGGCCTCCTCCCTCTGAGCAGCAATGGTCACGGTGCCTGTTCTGCTACCAGCGAGCTGAGCAGGGTATCGGGAGCTCGGGCTCCTGGGAGGACACCAGCTTCCTGACAAAGGTCAAGACCCCAAGGACCCACGCCAGGTGGCAGCGTCGACTCCACCCTACTATAAGTAAAGGCCACTCCCTCACTGGCCTGCCTGGCCCAGCCCGCCTCCAGGTCCTACCAGGTTCCTCACTGGGCCCAGGTTTTCCTGGAGCCGGGCATCCTTGTCCTTCCTGAAACCGACGATGCTGTAGAAGGAGCAGCTGTTCTCTGTACAAAGAGTGCATTGTACAGCCAAGGGTTCCTCAGCGTGGGGTCCCCCAAAAGCAGACCCTAAGCCGAGGCCTGGCGTGCACATGATGTGTGCAGGAAGTGAGGACGTGGAGCGGGCGGGGAGTGCGGTCCACAAAGGCGGCTCATCCCCTGGTCACGCTGTGGGCAGCTGGACACATGACCACTGTGAAAACGGAGGAAGACAACCAATGAGAATGAGCAAAGGCCGTTACTCAGCGCCCGCAGCCTGAGGATGGCAGGAAGCTTGTGGCGGAACAGGGACGCTCCAGGTTGCGCGGATGGGAGGCCTAGGCCTGGGCAAGCCAGAGCAGCTACCTAAGGGGGCTTCAGGGCACGTTGGGTTTTCTCTGGTTGGTCCTGAGTTGGGACGAAGGGACACAAAATGAAGGAAGCTGGTGGTTACTGACCAAGTGCTGACCTTTTGGGCCTGAAGGCTGCAGAGGCTGTGGGTTGGCTTCCAAGCTTGCAGCTGCAGGACAGTGGGCTGGAATTCTGCTGTCACATGTGGTCTGGTCATTGTCCTTCTGGATGGCCAGTCAGCCCACTGGGAGCTCTGAAAAAGGTACACACCATGGGCTGGGGCTCCGAGTCTTCTTCCCAAGGGTGAGGGGTTGGAGCATCTATGGGCCCAGCTCTGCAGGCCTTAGTTGAGGGCCACTCCTCATTGGTCCCAGGGACTGCAGCCTCCTTCTCAGTTGGACAGAGTGGGCTCCAGCGGTTGGAGAAAGCTTCCAGGCCTGGCACTTGTGTGCTGGTCCTTGGGAGCCACTGAGGGAATGTCCTGGGGGTTCCATCAACTTTTGCAGCGAGGCTCAGCTGACTATAACCAGCATGGAAGCAGGACAGCTACCCCATGGTGGGTGCCTTCGGTGCCACGCACAGTCTGAGACACCCGCCCCCCAGTGGCCCTGCAAAAAAGAGGAGGTGCAGAAGCTGCAGCTGGGAGAGTTGTAAGCTGGCATCTCCATCCATGAGGGGTTAGAAGGGAATTAAAATGCACGGCCCCACACCTGCTGTCTGTGCTCTGCACTCTGCCTTCTCATCCCATGGTAAGGTGGGGGCTGGGGAACCTCATGGCCGTGGTGGGGCTGAGAGGAGCTTCCCTGGAGGAGACTGGCCATGGTCACGGCAGGCGGGAGCGGACTCCCTGCCATGTGAGGGCATGTGGGCTCCGGCTTGAGGCAGGCCCAGGGAACAGGCAAGAACCCCACTGTCACGGCCAAGTGCTGGGTGGGGTGTAGACCCTGAGAAGGCACAGTAGGCGGGGCACTCCTCAGGCGCTGGCTGCAGGGGATGGGAAGTGGCCCTCCTAGCGGTGGGTAGAGGAGTGGGAATGTAAATGTCCCAGATCCAGGCCCTCTGGCTTAATGGACAGCAAAGTCCTAGAAGTGGCTGTGGGGTGATGCTCCTGTTTTAGTTTTGCAAATGCATGATGCTCTGTTCCCAGCAATGTGTACATAAATATTCAGTGCACCAGGGCCACCAATACCTAACTCTTTTCAACTCTGCTTAGCTCAACCTGCCTGGCTGGTGCCAGCCTTGGGCAGAATCTGATGTTTTCCCCCATCCATTGAAGGCTTTTAGGGCATCCACAGAGAAACTGTCATTCTCAGGTCTTAGGTTCTGGACATCCACCTACCACGTTAGAGCTCTGCCTCACTGCTGAGAGGATTTCCCGGGACTTGCACCCACCGCAGCCCTGTGCTCAGCTCTCAGGAACACACATGCTGGCTTCAGCCATGGAGCTTGCCTTATGGGACTAGAATTGCCTTGGAGCAGTGGCTTGAGATGGCAGGTCTGGGTTTTATTCTCTCCTGATTGTTCCTTGCCTAGACCAAAACCAGGGATGGGTGGACGGATGGATGGACTGATGGTAGACAAATGGATGGATGGATGATAGATAGATAGATGAATTGATAGGTAGATGAGTAGATGGATGATGGATGATGAATAGATGTGCAGCTGGGTGGATGGGTGGATGGATGGATGGACAGATGGATGTATGATGGATGGATTGTGGCTAGATGGATGACGGATAGATGATGAGCTGATGATGGATGGATGATGGATGGATGGATGGATGATGGATGAATGATAGGTGGATATGGATAGATAGATGATGGATGGATGGATGATGAATGGATGATGGGTGGACAATGAATGGATGGTGATGGGTGGATGGATGGTGGATGGATGGGTGGATGGTGGATGATGGGTGGATGGTAGGTAGATGGATGATGGGTGGATGGTAGGTAGATGGATGATGGGTGATGAATGTATGATGGGTGGATGAAAGATGGATGGATGATGGATAGATGGATGGATGGACGATGGGTGGATGATGAATGGATGGTGATGGGTGGACGGATGGTGGATGGATGGGTGGATGGTGAATGATGGGTAGATGGTAGGTGGATGGATGATGAATGGTAGATGGGTGATGAATGATTGATTGATGGAGGGATGGATGTTGGATGGGTGGATGACAGATGGATGGATGATGTACAGATGGACAAATGGGTGAGTGGAAAGATGAAGGGGCCTATGAGGATGTTTGGCCTCTTTAGGGAGGTAGCAGGGGCTGCCCGGGTACACCTAGCTTTAGCCCAACCTCTCCTTCTGCTGCCATAGGCAGGTTGCTGAGCTGCCTCAGCCTTAGTTTCCTCAGCAATACGTTGGGGGGTGGGGTGGAATCTTTGCCTAAGAAGGTTGTGAGAACTAAACGGGGTGAGGTGTGTAAAGGGTGTGGCCTGTAGAGAACCCAGCCCCTGATCATGCTCTCCTCCTTTTGCCTGTGTCCTCCTTGGAAGCATTTTTCAAAGCCCTGGGTCCATGCAGCCCTTGTGGTTCTGCAGCTTTTTTGCCGTAGTTTGCTCACCACTGTGGTTTCATGATTTACGCCTGGGGCCGTCAGTGGGTTGGGTTTGTCCTTTCTCCTTTGCTCCGCAGCACTGCTGCCTGCGGACTGGCCGCACTGGATTCCCCTTTCCCTGCGGAAGGGCACTTGCGTTGTCTCCAGGTTTCGCTGTTCCACTTGTGGAGGGGCCTTTCTCCACACGGGCAGGTGCTGCTTCGGGGCATTTTCTGAAGAATAGAACTTCCAGATTTCGGGTGGGAACATCTTGAATTCGCTTTCATTTTCCTTAGGATAGTTGAACAGGAAATGATTGTTTTTAAACAAAAACACACACACAAAAATGTGTTTGCTTCCCTGAGGGGCAGGCGGAGCCCTCACTTGGGGAGAGCATCCCGCTGTGTGCTGCCCGCCTGGCCTCCGGAAGGCTGCTGGGAGGGCCCTCGTGTGTGCCCATCTGTTTCCGAGGACTGCGGGTAGCAGGCTCCCGCCCCAGGCTGAGTGCTTTCCTCCCAGCCTTATTAGGAAATGCTTTAAAAGGACAATCCCCACTTTGAGTGAATGGGATCTATTAAGCCCAGCGAAAGTGTGAGTTAATGTGTGCAGAGAAAAGATAAGAATTTCAAAAAGGAGAGCAGGGTGATCGTGGGTGCGGGTCTGGAGATAAGAGTCCCTGCGGTTGCTGTGGGCGGGGATTGGTGGGCATGGCTGGCAGGGCTGGCCAGCGTGGGCAGGTGGCCTGAGGAGAGGGGGGACAGGCCTGCTCCTCCAAAGGTCCCCTCCCAGCCCCCTCCTCCTGTCCACATTCACTCAGAACTCACCAGCTGGTCACATATCCTCCAAGCTCCTCCGGGTGAGCTCGGGAACTAAGAGCAGCTCTTAGTTCTGGGTACCCTGGGCTGTGGAAGGGGTGGCTGGGGCTGCAGGAACAGGTGTGACACCGCTGTCTGCAGGGTGGCCTGGGGAATGAGGTCTCACAGGATGATGGTCAAGAAGGGCATCCCTGGCTGAGGCTCAGCCCATGCAAGGTGCTGGGCAGGCCTGGGAACGGGCAGAGGTTTGGCTGCACTGGAGTGGCCTGCAGTCCTAGAGCTGGGAGGTGAGACCAGTGAAGAGCATGGATCCACCGTGGGCAGCGTCTGTGCCAGCTGGGGAGCTTCAGTCCCATCTAGGGGACAGTGAGTTCACGACCTCTATTTTCTGGGTACGCCAAAGCAGGTCACAAAATAAATGCGAGTAAAACAGCCAAACCCTGGGCCAGCAGGCAGTCTGTCTTCGCCCGTGTGACTGAGCCCACAGGGCCTGCCCAGACTGCGGCCTCAGCCATCCCAAGGCCCAGCTGGTCAGCGAGAGAAAGCAGCACCTTCCCCCTGCCCTGGCCTGCGCCTCCATCTTCTCTTTTTTCCTCTGGAAACTGGTGGCCTTTCCTCTTCTGGTTTTCTATCTCTTCTATCACCTGCTCTGCTCACGTCTCGTCTGCTCCAGAGAGAGGATGTGCAACTCACTCAGCCTGGGTATGAAGCACTGAGGAGAGGTCAGAGCCAGCCCTGCTGGGGCATCTACCCTTGGTGCAGAATCAAAACTTGAGCTCAGATGAAGATTCTCTTCTGGGAGTGACTCCAGACAAGGGCTGGCTGGGACATCTCTCGGAGATCCCCACAACAGTGTGTCCCAGAGGTCTCCTTGGGGACAAGATATGGCCTCTTCCACACATGCAGGAGGAAAAGGAGGAAAGAAAACATTGATTGAGACCAACCGTGTGCAGTGTTCTCTGCCTGCATTTGCTGTAATCCTTGCAGTGGGCGTCAGTGAGGACTCGGGGCACAGGGAGACTAATGACTGGCCAGCGGTCTGGTCACAACGGTGGCTGGAGCTGTGACCAGTGGTCCTCCCCCCACGAAGCCCATTGCTTTTTGCCCCATGCTGCCCCATGAGCCTGGACTGCCAGCCCAGGCTCCCTTCTCCCCATTGCCCTTCTCTAGATCTCCTTCCACTGTCCAGCAGTGCTGAGCACAGCCTCTGGGGCTGGGGTGGGGGACGAGGGCAGATGAGGACAGAGCATCCTTTTGTGCTCACGGCCAGGGATGAGGGCAGACGAGGGCAGAGCATCCTCTTGTGCTCACGGCCAGGGCTATCAGGCACCCTCCATCCTGAACCCACAGCCAGCTCTGAAGGAGGGGCAGGGCCGGGCTGTGAGCAGACTGGTTCAGGCGAACCACAGGAACCCTCACTGGCCGTGGCCTCCTACACAGCCGCCTCCCCTCTCTGGTGCCTGGTTTTGGCCTCTGTGGGATGGGGACAGCTGCCTGGGGTGTGCCAAGTACTGCAGGTGGCCGCAGTTACTCAGAAGAGGGCAATCTCCGGGGAGGACGATGGATGCAGGGCCACGGGCCGTGGATACTCAGACTAAAGCTCTAGAGGAGTGTGAGGTGGGTGCAGTCATGGAAGTTTCTGGAAACTGAAAAACCTGGCCCGGCCCCGACATTTGAAATGACCCTTTGCTTCTCACCATGTGCTTGGCATCGATTCAATAAACCGTGTGTTTGGGGTGTCTCCGGGGGGTCTGGGCGCCTTGCTGTTTTGTGACCTCTGGGATGGCTGGTCTGATAGTGGACTTGGAGGCTGCCAAGGACATGGGGAGTGTGGCCGCTACAATCAAGGCCCACGGGGTGCATAGCATTCCTGTGAGCACCATGGTCCCTCCTCACCAGAGCAACCTCAGCGCTCCCGACCTTGGCTGTGTGCATGGTGCCCGTGGAAGCCACTGTGCGTTGCCATGGGCCCAGTCTGCTGTCGTTGCATTGCTGATCCTGGCTGACACGGGGGCCGGGCTCGTCAAGTGGTCATGGAAGTGCATGCTGACCTGACCCACGTGCATCCCGGGGGGTGGCCTCCCGCAGGCCTTGCTTGGGTTCCGGGTACTGGTGAGGCCCATGGCTGCCTTCCAGGCCTGTCCCCAGCATGCGGCTGGCGTGCCCTCTCACTGTTTCCCAGGCCCAGAAAGAGGCAGGAACTATGGCCTGTCATGCTCTAGTCCTTCTGGGGACTTCTTTGGGCCCTCATGGGCCATGCTGGATTTACCCCAATGTCCTGGCCGCCAGTGCCCCCGCACACATAGCCGCGGTGCCAGAGGCCTCCCTGAGGCTGTGCTCTTCCTGGCCGACATGCTCACGTGCAGATCACCCCTCTTTCTGGCTCAGCCTCACTCCTCTGCTCCCCACACTCCCCTGGCAGGGCCCTCCCATGCTGCATCTGCCCTGCCTTCCGGTCCACACTGGATGGATTCTGCCTATTGGTCAAGGCCAACATCATGACCTCCTCCCTGCCTCGTGGTCTGTGATTGTTAGAGGCACAGGTATGATCATGCCCGCTGAAAACATGGCTGAGGCTGCCTTTATCTTTGCCTATACATATACCACTTCTTCCTTTTCCTCAGAGTACAAAGCATTACATTATATGAATGTAACACAATTTATCTACATTGTTTTTATGAGACAAGGGTATCTCAAATCGCAGAATATACATGACGCATATGGTAAAAAACAAATTACAATGACAAAGGAAAGTTCCAAATGAGAAGCAGGATTTCACCTCCTTCTTCCTGGCATCCAGGCCTTTCCCCAGGGACAAAATGGTTAATAGCTTCTTTCTTACCCAGCCTGGCCCTGATCACGAATACATTTTTAGTTTCAACATGCGTGATGTCAGCAGTGCACACTCAAATTTTACTTCTTAATTCATCACCTCTGGTCAGGACCTCGTCACTTTCCATTTTGAACAGTGAAAAACACGGAGGGCCTACTTTCTCCATTAAAACACTGCCTTCCTCTTTTCATTCCTCTATTATGTATTTAATGGTCAGGGTTTGAGAATTTACATTTCGCTTTCTACTATTAATTTGTGTACATGTTGGTTTTAAAATTTGAATGGAATTAAAGGACATTTATAGTACTATCCCATAAATGTTTATAGCAGAAAGAAGATTTCTGACTAGAACTATGGAGAAAGAGATATACCATTGTAAAGATTTTACCTGTTGGAGATTCTTTCAAGTATGAAGGCCTAATGTATCTTCATACCTATTCTTCACAGTTTTTCTACTTCTAGAGAGTCAAATGTGCTAAATTTTCCTTTATCCCATATCTCCAAGTACATTCCCTTGATTCCTTTCTCTGGTGGAGTGTAACCTAGATCAGCTTTTTCTATAAGGGATGGGACTAGTAAACTGAACTTCTGAATCCCCTCAAATGGTATGCATCGTTGACTGTTTAGCTGGGTATAAAATTCTAGGTCTTCTATCTTTTCCCATCAGAATCTGAAGTCACTGCTCCACTGTCTTTGAGAAGCCAGTGTTTCTAAAGCAAAATTCAGTATCAGCTCATTTCTTTCCTCAGAACATTTTTTTGTTGTTGTTGTTTGCTTTTTTTTTTTTTTTTTTTTTTGAGACAAAGTCTCGCTCTGTTGCCAGGCTGGAGTGCAGTAGAACAATCTCGGCTCACTGCAACCTCTGCCTCCTGGGTTCAAGTGATTCTCCTGCCTCAGCATCTGGAGTACCTGGGATTACAGGCACCCACTACCACGCCCAGCTAATTTTTGTATTTTTAGTAGAGATGGGGTTTCACCATGTTGGCCAGGATGGTCTCAATCTCCTGACCTCGTGATCTGCCTGCCTTGGCCTCCCAAAGTGCTGGGATTACAGGCATGAGCCACTGTGCCTGGCCTGTTTTTTTTTTTTTTTTTTTTTTTTTTTTTTTTGCTTTAAAAAAAAATTCTGCAAGGTTTTCTTGCATTGGTTGGATCTAGGGGTCTGTCCATTAGATCTAATCAGAATATGGTAAGTCTCTACAATCTGAAGATGTGCATTTATTTATTTGACTATTTCCTCCTCTTTGTTGCCTTTTATTCTCCTTTAGAACTTCTAATAAATGAAAGTTGGATGTTTAATGTTTAGGATATACCCTCTAGGTCTCAAATTTTCCATACTTTTTCACCTTTCTATGTGCTCTCCACTCTTATAAACATATTTGATTTTACTTTCCACAGCCCAGTCTTCATTCATTCCCATTTTACCATTCAGTGTATACCCTAGACCTTAAAATGGTCCACTCACATTAATTTCCAGGAGTTTTTTTCCTTGTTCTCTTGTTTGCCTTTTCTCCCCCTTGGGAGCCTGGTTTTCTCTTATTGATACCATATTATTTCAAATTTTTTGAGAATGATACTATTTAGAATAATCACAATTACGGTTATGATTATTTTCCCTGAATTATTTCTGTCCCCTAAGGTTCAAGTGTAGAGTATGCACAGCTGAGCCTGACTTCTCTTTCATGCCTCTAGCTTTCTGCAAACACCTAGTGATCTCTGCCTGCTAGGTCCTGTCTGTATAGGAATAAAGGTTGAAGTGTGTGTAGTGACCGGTCAGTGTGAATCACCTCTACCCTGTGTAGCCCAACAGGCTTCTCACTTGACCATGAGCACTTACTGTATTCCCTGGGAATGAGCAAGGTGTGTAGACAGATGGGCCACCCTGGAAGTGGGCATGCAGCCGATGGGCAAACAGGGTCCCCACATTTGCTGGTGCTGGCGGCTTGACCCTAGGGACAGGTGTTTTTGTGCATTTCACTCTTGGGAGGAATTGTGCTACCTTTGGACCTGCTGACCCTGCTTCTCATGAGTGACCAAAGTCCTTAACTCTGCTCTGCCCTGGTTTTTTCTTAGACCTTGAGTTTTTCACTCCAGAAGCAGGTTCCTGGCTTTTTTTGTGTGCCATGGGCCTGTTTGGAAGTCTGGTGAAGCCTGTGCCACCCATCTCAGGACAAACTAAAAATACCTGATGAAGAAGATCAATTATATCCACATGCAGTTAGCAAATGGTAAAAAGCCTATTTTTGATACAGTAATGTGTTTTCTTTATGAACACATTACATACAAAGTCTAGTAGTGGGACGACCATAATTTGAAGTAATGGTGAAAATAAGCAATAGACTGAGATAGCTACAAGAGCTGTAATGTGATATGAAAATACCTGTGCTTTTTGTTGGTGACAAAGTCATAGTTATGGCTGAAGTATTGTGTTTACTGCCTACATGCCTAACTGAAGGCAGTGTTAAATTTCGTTTAGAGACATGTTAAATGCTCACTTTCTCCATCCAAAGTCCCACACCTCAGGCACTGTGGGGACTGTCCCCGGGCAGAAGGCACCCCCTCTGTGGACAGCTTTCCTCTGGCCCTGGTCTGAGCTACACTAGCCTTAAAGCAGCAGTTTGCAGGGGTTTGGGGGAAGACACACCCACCCGGCACTGTGGAAGTGCAGCTCTTTGGCCAAGTGCCCTCCTGCCTGGACACCTGGCCATGCCCCTGGTTTGTTTCACCTTCTCGGGAGGATGTGGGCATCCTTCTGTTGGTTCCCACCACAGTTTTTTCTCTTCTGTCCAGAGACTGGGCCCAGGACCCCCTCACCCTTTCTGGCTTGCTTAGATTTTGATTAGCATTTTGATTCCCAACACAGTAATGGTTTCAGTATTTGTAAAGGGTTTTTCCTGTCATGTCAATGAGAACCCTAGGTGTCTCCTCCTGAGATGTGTGTTGGTTTTATCTGGTTCAGGTGTTCACACTGCCATCTGGAGCTGACTTCCCAATGGCACCCAGGGCCTCTTTGGTCTGCACTGTTAACTCACTCTTCGGAAGCCCTACACGAGGTTCTTGAGTTTGCAGCTGTGATTGCTTTTAAAAGTGTAAGCAATGCCACATGCATTTACTAACAGGAAGCCTTGGTGCCCGGAGAAGTGTGATGGTGGTCCCCCAACATTAGGTATGGAGGTCCTCCTGTCCCACCTGTTGAAAGTGAATTGGTGGGCCTGCCTCTATTTATGAACTTTCTTTTTTTTCTCCTTTATCCTCTTTAATTCTCTTTACAGAAGGATCTTCCAATTGTAGTTCTTAAATATTCCCTTGGTGAACGTAGCACACTTTTCTATTTTCAGAATTTCAAATGATATGCACCTGATTGGGGACACAGTGAGTGTCAAGGGCAGGCTCTCTCTCCTGATTGAGGTCCCTTTGGGGGCCAGGGGTGAGCACATGTGATAAGCACCCAGAAGACCCCCGAGTCCTCTGACTGGGGAGCCCTGTGCCAGGTGAGGGATGAAGGCCAACGACCTTGCTGGAGGTCAGGCTCTGCGAGCCAGGCAGGGTGGGTTCCTGAGGAGCTGCTACCTTAGATCTTTCCTAGAGAATGTCTAGGGGTGGAGAGCAGGAAACAGTGGGGTGCTTATAGGAAATGGGGTTTTGAAGGGGATTGCCTGAGCAGAGAGAATGGCTAGTCCCTCCCAGGGCAGATCCACAGCTGCTTAGTTGCTTGGCTGGTGTGAGGCTGGGGCCACTCCTTTAGGTGAGAGGAGTTGGATGGGACATTCTTGTCTCTCCTGGATGTTTTCGGGGGCAGGTGGAGGGTGATGAGCCAGAGGTGAAGAACTGCTTCGTGGATGGCCTCTCCCCTGGCCGGCTGCTGGGCACCGCGAGCCAGGTCAGGCAGACAGCATCAAGCTTAGTGGCTGGTCCTGACTCTGCCCTTGACTTTTTAGTTGATGTTAGACCAGTCACCATGCCTCTATAAGCCTCAGTTTCCCCAGATGCATACTGATTGCCTTGATCTATCTGACCTCCAAGAGCCCTTCAGGGCCAGGCCTCTTTCCCTTCCTGGCACGTCAATACTGGTGCAAGGAGGAGACAGCCTTCATGTGAACCACATGCACCGCGGGCACCAGCACTGCCCCCACCCTGCACAGGTCAGGAGAGAGGTTCAGGGTCCCAGGAAGCTTAGGCCCCGATTCCTGCCCACTGCTCTTTTCTGGTCATTTGAAATTGAATTTCAAATTCAATTCAGGCAAAAATACCTTGAGGCCCACCACACTGGTCTTGGTACTGGGCTCTGGGGCGAACCCCTGACGAGGACACCTGTGCCCCCTGCTCTGGGGAGCGGGGTTGGGGAGCAAAAGTGGCCTAAAACAAAGACCCTTTCTTCCTAGAGGCGGGAAGGGAGGCAGTGCAGGGAGGCATCCGTTTGTTTCCTCTGGAACGGAACGTGGGCATTAACAGTGCGCCCACGCTCTTGGGTGCAGGGCAGCTGGCTGGAGGGTGGTACACAGTAGGGGCAGGTGTGAGTGTGTTTGTGTGTGTTTCCAGGCAGATGTGCCGTTTTCAGAAGCCGCGGGACCAGCCTCCTCCGAGCCCTCCCAGCCGCTGGTCGGGCCCGGCTGGGGCGGTACCTGGGCCTGGGGTTTCCCTGTCTCTCCTGGGGCCTTGGGTGCGAGGGAGGCTGGGCGCCACTCGAGGCCCCGCGTCCGGTCTCCCGCGCCAGCAGGGCCGGCTCTGCAGTGAGGCCCCTGCGCACCTAGGTGGAGCCCGACCCGCAGTTTTCGGCTGGGCCGGCCCCACCTGACCCGCCGGCGCGCCAGGCGGGGGCGCTGCAGGGCGGGGTCCCCGGGGTCCCTCGCGGCCCAGTGCGCATCCGCGGCTCCGCGGCCGGGAGGAGCGCAGACGGCGGCGGGCGCGGGCCGGAGTCCGAGGCTGCGCGGGCCCGGCCACCTGGGCCGGCAGCGACTGCGCCGCGCTCCCCCTCCCGCCGCCTCCCCCGAGGAGCCGGCGCCGAGCCGAGCGGGCGGGCGCGCGCCTCCAGGCCGGAGCAGCGGCGTCCCGCGGGCGGCGAGGCGCGCAGCGTCGCCGGCCCCACCTGTAGGCGCGGCAGCCACCGGCACCGGCACCGACACCGGCAGCGGCGGCCCAGCGTGGGCAGCCCAGGGGCGCGGTGGGCCCGGACCTAGTCCCGGCCGCGGCGGCGGAGGCGCGGGCTGCTGGGAGCGCAGAGGCCGGCACCGTCCGGTGGGGACCGGCCCGCCAGCCCCGGGCCGCGCAAGTTCGATCGCCGCGGGCTCGGCCGGGCCGCGCGGACCCCGGCGGCGGCGATGGTGCGGCAGCCCCGCGCCCGGCGCGCAGCCCCGGCCCCGAGCCTGGCCCGCCGCGGCGGCGGTGGCGGCGGCGGCGCGGCGGCCCCCTGAGCCCCGGGCCGGAGCGAGCGCGGGCGGCGGAGGAGGCGGCGGCGGCGGAGGAAGAGGAGGAGGAGGAAGGCGACGCCGAGCAGCGGGCGGTGGGGGCCGACAGGCGGAGGAGGGGGCCGGGGCCGCGCCGGACCCCCCCCCCCCCCGCGCCGCCCGGCCGTTGCGCAATCCGCGGCCCGCCGTCCGGGCCCTGCTGGCGGTGCGGCTCCGGGGGCGGCGGCGGGGCTGATTCATGGGGCCGCGGCGGCCGCCCCCCGGCGCCCCGCAGCCAGCGATGGTGGCCGAGTGGTCGGAGCGGCGGCCGCCGCGGCCCGAGACTTTCTGCTAACCTCCCCGCCCCCGCCCGCCCCCTCCGCGGCGCCCCCCTCCCCCCGCCCGCTCCCCTCCCCCCTGCCCAGAAAGACACAAATCGCCTCCCGGAGTGGCGCCTCCAGTCGCGGCGGAGCGCGGCGTTGGCGGCGGATGGAGGGCGCGAGCGGGCGGCCGCGGAGGCTGCACCCGGCGGGGCGCTGATGCGGCGCCTGGACCTTCGCTGCGCGACTTCGGGGGCGTCGGCCGAGTTGGGACTCCGCGATGCAGCTCCTGAAGGCGCTCTGGGCACTGGCAGGGGCCGCGCTCTGCTGCTTCCTCGTCCTAGTGATCCACGCGCAGTTCCTCAAAGAAGGTAATTGTCCCCGGGCGCGCGGACCGGTCCTCCGCGCTCTGCCCGGCTCGCGGCGGCTCCGGCGCCCGACCCGGCTTCCAGCACGTTCCGCTGCCGCCGCGCTCGGCTGAGGCTCGTGGAGCGCCACTGCGGGCCCGGAGCGGCCGGCGGCGCGACCCTACCAGGAGCCCGACCCCCCGCGGATCTCGCTGCCCCGCGCCCATCGGGGCTCACCGGCAGGGCGCGGGGTCGGGGCGCGCTGCGTTCTCGGTGCCTCTGGCGCCGCCCCGGATCCCCAGCCCAAGCCGAGGCTGCCGTTCCCATCCCCTGCCCCACTGGGCTCGGTGGCAGCGGCGCCCGCCCGCACGCCGCCGGGCCCTCGGTAGATGGCACCAGCGCTCCACGGTGGCCGGCCGGGCTGGGGCGGGAGCGGAGCTGGGACCCGCCAGGGTGGGCGCCGGGCTGGGACCCGCGGACGTCGGGAAACCGGCCTGCGCACCTGTTCCCCAGGGCCCAAGCCGCCTTCCAGAGACCCATAGGTTTGGGAAGCAGGGGCTTGGTCACCGGGGTGCGCAGGTCCCCGCGCCAAGTTCTGCCCCTGCTCTCTTGGTCTTTGCTGGACTGCAGGGCAGTCTGGGACTATTGAGGCGCCCAGGATAACGGTTGGACCCTCGTGGCTGGAGAGGCCCTTTGTACTGGGAAGCATCTTACTGGGGGTTGGGGGCAGGGCCACACCTCCCCTGATGGGCGGTCGGTCGGCTCCAGGCACCCCAGACACACTCCTGGAAACTTCCTGGTTTCAGGGCCAGGCTCCCTTTGCAGGGCTCCCGGTGCACCCCGGGATCAGCCTGGCCTGTCATATCAGACTGGGGGCAACTGAGGCGTTGGCCTCCCCCCGGGCACCCCTGCTCATGGTTACTAGTGCTCTGGCACACAGGCTGGGCCAGCTCCGCCTGGTGCTCCCCTTGGTCCGCTGGGAAGGCTGAGCACCGGAGGGCGCCTGTGTGGCTGGTAAGGCGCTGGGTTCTCATTAGTTCTGGGTTCCTGCAGAGGAAGGGCTTGCAACATTCAGCTGCTTTCCTGACTAATTAATGAGCCGCCGGAGGCCTGGGGAAGCAGGTAGGTGCAGGAGCCCGGCCCGAGACCCTGTGACCTCCACGGGCCTGGTGTCCACTTCCCTCCCTTGCTTTTGGATGTGGGCACCTAGTACAGAGGAGGGCCAGGTCTGAAGGGAGAGTAGGCTACCCCAGGACTCTGCTGCGGGCTTGGCCTGCCAGCCCGGGCTTGCGGGGACCCTTCCCCAGGTGGGAGGCCCAACTTCTTCCTGCTGCCTTGCTGACCCACTTCAGGAGTGGGTGGTTCTGCCATAGGGCAGTAGCACTTGGGGCTGGGGAGGCCATCCTTCCTGCTGAGGAGTCATTGGGTCCAGGCAAGCCCGCGAGGGCTGTCCTCTGCTGGTGTCGCGTGTCAGGACTGTGGGAGCCACCCCTGGTGCATTCCAGGTACCTGGCAAAGGGGTCCCTGCTCTGCTGGGCCTGTTTGTGTTCGCGCTGCAAGTTCTCTGCCTCTCTGGCTGATCTCGAAGTCTCTGGGGGATTGGCTTGCGGAAAGGGCGTGTATGTGAAAATTTCAGTGTTTCTCTGAGGTCCAGGTGCCCAGCTGCATCCTGACACTCTGTGATGAAGTGAAGTTCCACTGACTTTGAAGCTGTGAGTTAGTAACGGGAGAAGCTCCTGGCCATGTGGCCGGCCTGTGACAAGGGCTTCCTTTCTGCCTCGCCCTGCGGCGCTGCCCCAGTGCAGGTGCCTCCGGGGGCTCTGCTGTCCCCCTGAGGCTCCAGGTCTAAAGGACTCTGTTTTTTGGCCAAGAAGAAAGAGTTTCTGTCTCCCAGATGGGAGGGTCTAGGTGTGGAGCAGGCCTCGCTTAGTGGAGTACTTTTTGTGGATTTAGCCCTTCACAGAGATCTCCATGTTTACCTTGAAGCAGACACACGTGTGTCGGTGTTGTGGAAGACGGCGCAGTCATAGGAAGGTGGGATGAGGATGGGGTCAGCTGTACGCTGAGGGCACAGGTACCTTTGGAGGAGCGATTGCGGGTCCCAGTGTTTGCGCAGCCCTCCAGGACTCCTGAAGTCCTGTCTCCCTGTCCGGAAGCGGTGGCCTTCACCACCCTGGGTTGAGCCCTGCTGCCTGTCTGTCTGGAAGGTCAGGACTTGGGCAGCCTCCCTGTCCTTGCTGAGACGGCCTTTTGGCCCCTTGGCATCAGGAGCCCCAGGGGAGGCCTGGGGGACCAGCAGTGAGAGGTGCAGGGAGGGGGGTGGCCGACTCTGGTTCCTGGCTGATGGGCTCGGCCTGGGGCCACTCTCCTCCCAGCAGCCGCTGTCCAGCAGGAGGGAGGGAACAAGGCAGGCGGGTGGACAATTGTGACTTGTTGTCTGGGCCTGAGTGGGAAAGAGCTGTTTAAATAGCCATTTTCATGAATCTGTTTTCTTCAGGGGTGAAGAATGGGGGACCCAGGGAGCCGTTTTTCCACACTTCTCCTTTTGTGTGGAGATAGAGGCCACCCCGTGGCTAATCCGTCCCCCCCTGGCCACTCTGGTCTTCCAGTGTTTGTGGAGATGAATAGGGCTGTGAACCGAGAGAGAGGCAAATTGCGGTCCATAATTGCAGCCTCGGTATGTCCCAGCTTTGTGAGAACAGGTCCTGCCCACCGCACCAGGCCTGGCTGGGCAGCCACAGGCCCAGGAAGAAAGCAGGGCCGCAGCGTGGGGTCCGGCACTGGGGCCTGGGCAGCTGCTCTTCTTGCCTTGTCATCCTTAGGACACGCTGACCCTCCTCTGGGAGGGGAGAGCCGTCCTTTCTTCTGAACTGCCTGGTGTGTGCACGTGCTGTGTCTGCATGGGGTGTAGTTAAAGTGGGGGACGAGGGCGGGAATCCCAGGACCCTGATGGAAGAGCCGGCCGCTTCCTTAGGGTGCAGACGACGTGTGTCACGGAGACGCGAGAGGGAAGCCAGCACTTTATCTCCATCATCATGTTTGGCCTCCAAATACGGAGTTAAGGAAACGGCGAGAAGTATAAAAATATTTTCCACCTCCCTCTTCCAAAGACTTTACAATATTTTTCTGGAAGTCTTGAGTCACTTGGACTCCAGCACTCCAGCACAGATGAGCAGGCTTTGGTGTGGAAGCTTAATGTAAACAGAAGGATAGGAAAATACTTCAAAGAGGAAGGAATGCGGCAAGCCTGGGCCACCCAGGCAGGCCACAGCGGCAGAGAGGTTTCTGGGCTTTGGCACCCAAAGGGACATGAGAAAGCCGGGAAATCATTCGGCCCGATCCTTTCTGAATGGGAGGGAGAACCCAGTGCCTCTTTCCTTTAAATGTGGGTTTGAGGTTCAACTCTATCTCGGTAAATCCTTTTGGTGGCAGGGGAGTGCATTCGACGGCTTGAACGTGCTGTGCAAAAGCCTCTTTTGCAGGTTAATATTGAGAACTTTGCGTCCAGCGGCCGCGGCACGGTGTACCCGGGCCTCGATTCCAGAAGCGCTTTCAGAACCGCTGTGGCGTGCCTGTCTTTGAGCAGCTGCTCGGAGGGCAGACTGTTGATTGAGTCAACGGATTCAACTTCCATTGATTTAGTTAGCTGGCTCTTTCGGAAATGAGGCGTCCTCCTGCAAACCCATGTGGCCCGTAACAAGGGGCATGCTCAGCTCCGTGAAGGCAATTGATGGTGTATGAATGGTTATGGCTCCGCGCAGTCATCATTAATTGATGCTGTCTTTACAAGATTAGCAGCCAATGCAGAGTGTTCGTCTATCTGTTAGATGGATCAGTTTATTTTTTAAGAAATGGATAGAGAACTTCTTAGGAGACACAGCACAGTTCCCGGCCCTAAGACTCCATCAAAAATATTTGCTGAATGCGTACAGCCATTCTGTCCCAGAGGCATAGAGCTAGGGCTGTGGATGGTCCATGATGGGTTGGGTGAGGGCTTGGTAGATGCCCTTGAGGTTTCCCAGAGCAGCAAGGCTGTTCTTGGTGAGGGCTCGAGGCTGCACCGGGCTCCATTCTGAGTGTCTAACGGTGGAGGAGGAACTCACTGCACGCGGTGTGTGTGGAAGGAGGAGGGAGTTCGGCAGCTCTGTGTTCTCAATGCTTACGGCCAGCTGTGCCTGCACCCCTGCACCCAGTCTTGGCATGGGGCTGCCCCGGCCGCCAGGCTCCGAGCTTGGAGCTGGCTGCTCATTTCTCCCTGAGTCTCAGACTGCGTGTGGAGGGGTGCTGGGCTTTGTCTAGGGGCCCCAGGGGCTTCCCTAGCCCACTTCCTGGGTGCATTGTTTTTATGGCCCTGATGAGGTGTGCAGGCAGACAGAGCGCAGGGGCATCGCAGTGCCAGCCCCACATGGCAGGTGTCCCTCAGCCTGCCTCTCCCTGACCCTCCAGCAGACGCTGTTTGCAAGGCCAGGTAGGTGTGAATGGCTGCTGGGAGGGGTGGAAATGAAAAGGCGTTAAAAATAACCAACTCTTTTATCATCATTTACTATCATTTCTTGTGTGACACAGAATCTAAATAAAACCCACACTCACCGTAATGGGATTCTCATCTGCTGTGTCTCTGACAACTGTAAAAGTTAGAATATAAAAGGACTGGAAATGGAGGTGACTTCCAGACACAAGGTGGCTCATCACAGCCTTGCTGGGCACAGGAGTCCCAGCCTCCCAGGCCTCCCTGCAAGGGCCGAGCCAGTCCCTGCCGAGGGCCAGGCTGGCAGTGGACGGACGGGGCCAGCTGGGGGTCCCTCCCACTGCACACTCGGGAGGATTGGATTGCGGCTGATCTTGCCGCCGGCATCTGTGGAAACTCATCAGTCTCCCATGTTGCTGCCGTGCTGAGCACAGTGCGAGAAAGCCGTGCGGAGAATGGTTTTATTCCCCACTCGGTGGTCTGGAGGTGGGTGGTTTTTGCCCGTCTCTGGGCGCGCGGAGCTGTAGGAGAGGGGCCACTGGCGAGGCCGTGTCCGTGCTCAGTAGAGTGCTGGCTGCAGACACAGCCCAAGAGCCCCTGGGCCTGGAGAAGGCCGGGTTCGGGGGCAACCTTCTTGGAAGGGTTCACTGCTGACATGTTCATGTGTGTGCATATGTGTGTGTGTACACGTGCCTGCTTATGCATAACTAAATGCTCATAGGTGTTCATATCATTGTGTGTGATCTTCTTAAACATAAACTACAGGATCATGCATTATAAACCTCATTTAAAATACAGCCCCTTCGTTAGGGAGCAGCGCACGCAGGCAGTGGTGTTCCTGTGTTCCTGGAGAGGGGAGGGAGGCATCCTCACCTTATTTACGCAGAGACACATAGTTTTGTGGCTGCACTGCGATCTGAGCAGACAGAAAACATGGAGCGAAGCACGCAGCTGTGGGTCTGCGTGGAACATGGGACTGTTCGCTCACACACGCACCCAGTGAGTGGACAGGGCTCCTTTGAGACCAACCATGGGACCCGGTAGCCTTTGTACTGTGGGAGCCCTGACCTGCCTGTCGGGGCAGGCGGCCCTTTCCTCGTTCTCCTTTTACCTGGGCTCTGTGTGTGAGCCCACCTCTCCCAGAGACACGCACTGCGGTGCCCCCCAACAGAGACACACCACACACTACACGATGCACACACCCACACCACACAAAAAACACAACGCATACCATACACCCCACATACTGCACACACTACACACCATATGCTGCACACCACATACACACCCCACACGCAAAATACACCACATACCACACACAAAATACACCACACACAAAATACACCACGTACCACACACAAAATACACCACATACCACACACAAAATACACCACACACAAAATACACCACATACCACACACAAAATACACCACATACCACACACAAAATACACCACACACAAAATACACCACACACCACACACAAAATACACTACACACAAAATACACCACACACAAAATACACCACATACCACACACAAAATACACCACACACAAAATACGCCACATACCACACACAAAATACACCACACGCCACACACAAAATACACCACACACCACACACAAAATATACCACACACACCACACACAAAATACACCACACACGAAATACACCACACACCACACACAAAATACACCACACACTACACTCAAAATACACCACACACAAAATACAGTACACACCACACACAAAATACACCACACACACCACACACAAAATACACCACACATGAAATACACCACACACCACACACAATAAACCACACACAAAATACACCACACACACCACACGCAAAATACACCACACACACTGCACACAAAGTACACCACACACAAAATACACCACACACGCCACACACGAAATACACCACATGCCACACACACACCACACACCACACACAAAATACACCACACACAAAATAAACCACACACAAAATACACCACACACCACATGCAAAATACACCACACACACCGCACACAAAGTACACCACACACAAAATACACCACACACCCCACACACAAAATACACCACACGCCACACACACATCACACGCCACACACACACCACACACCACACACAAAATATACCACACACCACACACACAGTGCACTCCAAACACAAAATATACACATACCACACACCACATACAAAATACACCACACACCGCACACACACCACACACTATACACACACCACACACCACACACAAAATACACCACACACCACACACACACCACACACTATACACAAAATACGCACACCAGTGCACACCAAACACAAAATATACACATACCACACACCACATACAAAATACACCACACACCACACACAAAATACGCCACACACACACCACACACACAGTACCCACCGCACACAAAATATACACATACCACACACCACATACAAAATACACCACACACCACACAGTGCAACCAAACACAAAATATACACATACCACACACCACATACAAAATACACCACACACACCACACATCACGCACACACACCACACACCAAATATACACACACCACACCCCACACACGAAATACACCATACACAAACCACACACAAAATACACCACACACCACACACATGCCTCACATCACACACAAAATATACACACGCCACATCCCACACACACCACACACAAAATGTGCCACACAGACACCACACACACAGTACACGCCACAGAAAATATACCATGCAAACATACCACACAGCACACAACACACCACATACAAAATACACTACATATATACACACGCCACACAAAAAATACACCACACACACACGCAACATCATACACACACGCCACACACCACACAAAATAAACCTCATACACCACACACACACCACACACCACACACCATACACACACCACACACAAAATATACCACACACACCATATACACCTACCCACACATATAACACACCACACACCACACGCCACACACCACACACAAAATACACCACATACACCACACATACCAGACACCACACACCACTCACAAAATATATCACACACACACACCACACACACACACCAATCACATGCACACACCCCCCCACAAAACATCACATACATCATACACACACCACACACCACTCACCACACAAAATACACAACACACAAAATACACCACATACACCACACACATTGGACACCACACACTTACAAAATACATCACACACCACACACACACACACCACACACAGCAGACAGCAGACCACACACACACAAAATACACCACACAGATATCACACACACCACACACACCGTGCACCACACACAGTACACACCACACGCACAGTACACACCACACACATAGATACACATGGCACACAAAATATACTATGTAAATACACCACACACGTACACACCACACACAAAATATACTACACATTCACACCACACACAAAATACACCACACACACACACACATACACACCACACAAAATACACACACATCACACACACTACATGCCATGCACCACACGACACAAAATACACCTCACACACACCACACCACACACGCATGCACACACACCACTCACAAAATACATCACACATGCACCACACACACAGCACAAATCACACACACATACACCACAAACACACACCACACAAAATGCACCACACACCCCACACGCACCATATACACGCACCCTCCACACACACACAACACACCACACACATCACACACGCTACATGCCACTCACCACACAAAATACAGCACACACGCATACACACGTATACAACACACAGCACACAACACGCTAAATACACCACATACCACAAGCACACCATTCACAAAATACATCTCACACACACACACCACACACACACACACAAAATACACTGCACTGATATCACACACACACCACACAGAAAATACATCACACACATTCACATGTACACACACACACCACATGCAGAATACACCACACACACTAGATACCACACGCACACCACTCACAAAAACATCACACACACAGCATACACTACACACACAGCACACACCACGCACACACACACAATACACCACACAGATGCCACACACAACAAAATACACCACACACTAGACACCACACACGACACACTGTGCACACATACCACATGCCAAACACCACACACACACAGAAACCCACAAACATACCACATACACAACATACATACACAGATAATATACCACCTAACCACACACAACACACACACATAAAATACACCACATACACATACAAAATATTCACACACACACACATAAAATACACCACATACACATACAAAATATTCATACACCACACAGCACACACCACACACACCACACACCACATACACACACACAACACATCACACACATGCCACATCCCACACACCACACAAAATACACCACACATACACCACATACAAAATACACCACATACACCATACAAACTAGATACCACACACCACTCACAAAAAACATCACACTGCTCATACCACACAGCACACACCGCAGACACACAATACACCACACAGATACCACACACAACAAAATACACCACACACACTAGACATCACACACACACTATGCATTATGCACACACACCACACACACCACAAACATACACAACGTATACACAGACACAGAATATACCACACACAACACACACACATAACATACACCACATACGCATACCAAATACGCATACCACACACACACCACACATACCCTGTGAAGGCCACGCACACACAAAGCGCAGAAACACACCCCCACACAAACACATGCCAAGACACACACACACAAACATACACCACATGCATGTTATACACACACAGCCAAACATCATAAACACACGTTACACCCATCACACCGCACACACACGATACCCCAAACACCACACAGTCTGCAGCTCACCCCGTGGGCCCAGCCTGGCGTTCTGGAGGAAGGGAGAGGAGGGTGGACCCCAGCTTCGGCCTCTGCCCCTGCAGCCTTGTCCCCATCCTCACCCGGACCCTGACCCTGGCCCTCGCTGGCTGGGCCTCTGCAGAGGCTTCCTGAGGAGGAAGGTACTGCCCTGACCTTCACAGCTGGGGCAAGTGTGGCCCAGTGAGGTCAAGGGAGGGTGCAGATCCCAGAGGATAGCAGGACAGGTGCAGCCACGTGGCTCTCTTCTCTCTATGACCCCAGGCAGAGGTGGCGTGGGTGTTGCCTGGGCATTGCACACGCACCTCCTGCTGCAGGCTGCATCACCCGTCTTGCAGGTCTTGTGCTCCTCCCAAGGGTCACACCCACCTATGCAAATAACCTTTGGGACGAGGAAGCCCCACCTGCAGCATGATACCAGGCTAGTGGCTGGGCTTCTGGGACCCTCGGTCTCCTCTTTGCAGGAAGGGAATGATAAAAGGAGTGGAAGCCCGAGGACTTCCACGGGGGTCCCCTGACAGATGGCCCCAGCAGTGACCTTGTGCAAAACCCAGGAGCCACCCCTGCCAAGTGCTGGGCGTGTCTGTGGAGCAGATGAGGCCACAGGCACTGGCCACAGGACTGCGCTGTCTGGAGAGGGATTCGCACACATTTGCAGGGGTGCAGGGCTGGTGTTCTCAGGATTTTGCCTGGCTTCTCTGGATCCGGAGGTCCTGGGAAGGTGGCTTGGACCCTGGTGGGCGGAGTCTTTGAAGTGCAGTCTGGAATCTTCCATGCACAGTTGGGCGACCTGGACAGTGCCCACTGTGTTCTCTAGAGAGTTCCTCAAGGATGCAGCCCCTTTGTCCAGACACTGTTGCAGGAGGCAGGGAGGGAGGCCTGCCCCATGTCCCCTGGATGGCAGGATGGGCTCCCACCTTGTGTCTGGCTGGGCTGTAGTGTGCGGGGCAGCCAAAAGGCACCCTCCGGGTAATCAAGGCCTACCCCACATGGGGACTCTGGTGAGAACCGGGCCTCCACCGACCCCCTGTCCAGGGTGCAGGAGCCAGGCCCGTGCTGTCAGCTGTGTCTGTTTGTCTGTGGTTTCCCTGTGGCTTCATGGCACATGCAGGTCTCTCTTCATGCTTTGGGTGTGGAAGCCGTCGTCAGCTGAGAGTGTTCTGTGGGTGGGTAGCTCTCCTTCCTCCTGAATTTGGGGTGACCTTCTGTGTGGAGGCCCATGACGGTTTCCCATGCATTCCGGGGCTCTGGGATGCTGTGGGCACGAGTTCTGGAGGGGTCTGCACACCTAGGTTCATCTCACGGGCCTCGGGGTGGGCAGAGGGTCCTGGACTGCAGGGACTTGCCCTTCTTTGCAGCTTTGTGCTTTGGTGGTAAAGAAAGGGCTGTGTCCTCAGCCACACTGGGAGCTGCTGCCCTTGCGTGGAACAGGAGCAGCTGTTTGTGGGCAGTCCAGGTGTGGGCTGCAGGCGGGTCGGGGTGGGCTGCAGGCAGGCATTTAAGGAAGTCACAGCTCCAGGCACCAAGGAGGCAGTGGCTGCTGGCCCTGTCCTTTGCTGCATTTCTGTGGACTCCTAGCCCAGGGAATGGAGCCCTGGAGGGTCCCAGGGTAGCCGGTGTCACCTGAAGTGTCCCAGGGACACCTGGTCCTCTGGCTGATGGGGCCGCCCTGTGGGGTAGGCCAGGCCCTGGCTCTCTGGCCCTCAGGGCAGGGTGCGGGTTCCCCACTTCCCCGGCCCTCACACACACCCTTCCAGCCACCCGCGTGAGCATGCTCCAAACACGGCCTTCTGCCCTTGCCTTTTCTTCTCCTTTTGCGTTTTAAAAATCAAATCAGCGGTTCGGAAGGCCTGGAGCTTGGAGGACTCACGCAGAGGCGGCCTTCTGCCTGCCCTCAGGGGCTCCTGAACTTCCCAGAAGCAGCCCTCCCTCCCAGGCTGAACTTTCTGTCTCAGTCCCCGCACTTTCCCAGCTAGGCGGGCTCCTTGTTCCTGCCCATTTTACTCCAGAAGGGAAGCAGGCAGGCCCGGGTTATCCTGCAGGTGCCAGGAGCCCCCTTGGCCAAGCTCCATCTGTGCATAATGGGGGCTCCAGTGGTTTGGGGGGTTGGTCCATGGGAGAACTGGATGTTCACCAGGGGTCAGCATTGGCCTTGAAGTGTGGAGAAGGGTCATCTTGGCAGAGGTGGCAAGGTGGTGAGCCCCTGGGGCTGAGCACAGGTGCGTCTGGTGAGAGGGGCCTGGCCATGACCGCAGTGACTGCTCTTCACTGTCACCTCCTTTGCTCCTCAGGCCACCTGCGCAGAGGGTGTGATCCTTGCATGACTTTGCCATTGAGGAAATGCAAGGGCAGAAAGTGCAGTCTCGGCGGCCGCCCGAGAACCAGGTGCCCTCTCTCCCGACTTTGCTCCCTGGATGGGGCTGCACTGCCCGTCCTGAAAGGCTCTGCTGAGGCATTGGGGGAAGGAAGGCATTGCTCGCAGTGGGAGGGGTCCTGCAGAGGGTCCCAGGCAGGGTGGGTGCTACCTTCAAAGTTGACAGTGGGACTCCTCACCCCGTCCCCTGTGTTGGACTCGAAGTGGGTCCCCATGGATTGAGTCTGGTGGCTGCTGGGTATCGGGGCTGGTTTCTGGGCTATGGTCTCTTGCTGTGACAACGGGGACCTGCGGGGATGGGGGCACGATTCGGTGCCACCTCCCTGCCTCTGTGGCCTCCCGGTTGGGGCAGGGCAGGGCCTGGAGGTTCTAGAAGGCCCTTGGTTCAGGTGAGCACAGTGCCTTCGGGGATGCTCCTGGCAGAAGACTCAGGAATCTGTGGGAAGACCCGTCCCCGAGACCATTCCAACTGGACCGCATGGAGCCAACCTGGCCCCCCGTGATCTTCCCTGGGTATATTTAGAAGAGGTCATGGAGCCTTTACAATACACACTCTTCAAAGTCAGCCTCTGCCTCAGAGAAGGTGGATTTTATTAGCCAATTACCTTCCTTCTCCTCCGATTACAGAAGCAGCCAAGCAGGCCTTCTGATTCGCTTCACCGATAGAAGAATGCAGACCTTGCTTATAAATAACTGTGCTTTGCAGAACCAGAAAATCCATCTTCAGACCCTCCTGTCCCCAGGGAATGCCTGCACAGTGACAACTCCCTGCTCCTGCCCGCTGGTTGCCTTGGGGACAACCTTGATAGACATGCTGGCCTCAGTTTGGCATGCACGTATTGAGTACCTGCTGTATGCCGGACATGGGCTGCTTGCTGGCGGAAGGTGGCCAGGGGGTGACTGGCTGGGGGTTTGGTAGGTCTCATGGGATCATTTATGTGAAAAGGCAGAGTGAGGACTTGAGTCTCTGCACCTGTGAGAAATGTACACCTGTGGGGTCAGTTGGAGGTCCCCAAAGACAGAGCCACCTGGAAACCAGGGTCGGTTGGAGGTCCCCAAAGACAGAGCCACCTGGAAACCCAGGGTCGGTTGGAGGTCCCCAAAGAGCCACCTGGAAACCCAGGGTTGGTTGGAGGTCCCCAAAGACAGAGCCACCTGGAAACCCAGGGTCGGTTGGAGGTCCCCAAAGACAGAGCCACCTGGAAACCCAGGGTGCTCTCTCATTTGGAAAAAGGGCCTTTGCAGATGTAGTTAAGGTCAGGTTCTCAAGATGATGGTGCCTTAGGTTAGGATGCACCCAAACTCCAAAGGCAAGTCCTTAGAAGAGAAGAGAAGCAAACAGAGAGGGGGCCTCGTGAAGATAGCGCAGGGTCTGGAGTGATGTGGCCACACGCTGAGGAGCACCCGCAGCCATCAGGAGCTGGAAGAGGCAGGAAGGATCCTCCCTGGAGCTTTTAGAGGAAGCGCAGGCCCAAGACACCTTGATTTCCAACTTCTGCCCTCCAGAACTGTGAGAGCAGAAACTCCTGTTTTTAAGCCACGAGTTTGTGGTGGTTTGTTACAGCGGCCAGAGGAACCGGATATAGCAGGCCAAGCCGAAGATCTTGTCACAGGGGATTGCAGCCGACGTGTGTGTGTGTGTGTGTGTGTGTGTCACGCGCACATGCACGCGTGCTTGGGGGTCTCTGGTCAGCGTGGCTGGCGGATGGGGCCTGGGTCTGATTCGGGTCCACCTTGTCTCAAGGAGGACCTGGAGGGGACAGATGCTCCGTCAGCATGAAGGGGAAGATCCGGATTCCCATCCCGGAGGTGGAATGCCACGGAGGCGAGGGCCCTTGAGTTGGGGGTTAAAGAAGAAGCTGGTTTTCCCGAGGAGATCGGGGTTGGGGTGGCCAGCCCAGAAATTCTTAATGCTCCTCCTTCCATAAATCCAGCATTGCCCAGAGCAAGGGCACGCACCGCTGTTGGCCTGCAAGATGGTTTTATGCGGATGCGGACGGGCATTTGTTATTTTAATAGCTGTGTATCAGCTTTTATGGCTACCTTCTATTTATGGCAAAGGCGCTGGCTTTCCATTCACGGGCTGATGGGAGGTTTCTTTTTAGCAGTGAGGTGATACATGGGTATGGTGCAACCCTGGCGGATTCACAGGTGGCCCAAGCCCGGGAGACACTGTTGTGGCTTCTCGAGCATCTCCTAAACACCCAGTGTAGAGAAGGGGCTGAGCCTGGGCCGAGCTGACCACGAGGGGCTGCCATACACAGACCCAGGACTGTGACTCTGAGAGCCCACCGGCTGGTGTACCTTTGAAAGTGACATTTTCATTTTTTTTTTAATCCAAAAGAAAATTGTGGAAAAGATCAATGTTTGTGCCCAGCCTCCTCCAGGCCATTTCCTATTCCAGTTGGAATCCGTTGTGACCAGCTTCACAGTTACCTGGTATGTTATTAAAAATGTGTCTGGTGTTTAGTCTTTTTGTTCATGATTTGTTCTTTTTTTTTTTTTCTTTTTGAGATGGAGTTTCACTCTGTCATCCAGGCTGGAGTGCAAAGGCATGATCTTGGCTCACTGCAACCTCCGCCTCCCAGGTTCAAGCAGTTCTCCCGCCTCAGCCTCCTGAGTAGCTGGGATTACAGGCGCCCATCACCACGCCCAGCTAATTTTTGTATTTTTAGTAGAGATGGGGTTTCGCCATGTTGGCCGGGTTGGTCTTGAACTCCTGACCTCAGGTGATCCGCCCGCCTCGGCCTCCCAAAGTCATGATTTGTTCTTAATGCACTAATTTATCTTAGTTGAAACACACATTTCTCTTTTCTCTGAAGTTGGTGGCTTGGCCTTGACAGCAACCTGAAGAGTTCTGTGTATTGAGTTGGTTTCTTCTTGTCTCTGGGATGGGCTGTGAGCCAGGAAGAGGAGAAGCTTCCCGGTTCCTTAGTGAATCTTCTAGAAGGGATCGTGGTTGCCCTTGGGTGGAAACTGCCCTCAGAGCCACAGGCAGGAGTGGGTGTTCCCGTCGCAAGCCACCCCTCTGGGTCCTGCCCGCTCTCCTCCCACCCCCGTGCGTCTGACCCCCAGGGCTTGCGATGCCTCAGTTGCCTGCAGCCATGGCCTTGCCCTGGATGGAGAGCACAGACAGAGGCAGCTGGGAGTTTCTGGGAGTTTCTGAGGCCTCGCATTGGACAGAGTCATCCTGCTGGCGCAGGGAGTGGGCACTGACCGGGGGCGGCCCTGAGGGCTCCAGATGACAGGAGAGAGCCTGCTCCAGGGCAGCGGGGTCACAGGGTGATGGGGTGACCCAGAGCAGCTGGAAGGTGAATGCCGGAGCCTGGGCCTGACCCTGAGCTGGCCTGAGGGAGGGGCCATGGCCAGCTGAGCCCTGAACTGATGTGGGCAGCATGTTCCCCAGTCAGGAGATGGTGGCGTGGCAGAGGGAGGAGGCACTGGGCTCGCGGAAGCCCACGTAGCTAGGGTCCAGCCCCTCCCGACCTCCCCCACGGAGTCTCCCTCTCAGGGCAGCCAGCATCCCGGGCGCCTGGGCCCGGTGTCTGTCTCCCCAGGCAGGTGCCTGGGATGCAGTGCCCCAGCCTCACGGCCCTGAGCGCCCTTCAGCCACTGAAGTGTGATGGCCGGGGGTGATGCCCACGGCCCCGGGGCACCTCCCCTCCTTAGCAGGTCTCTGCCTGGACGGCAGGAGGCGGGGGGTCCCTTGCAGGTCCCGAGGCTGGTGGGGCCAGCCTTGGTCGGGCCCCACCCTGAGGCCTGGGCCTGAGCCACGGGTGGAGTTGCTGTTGTGGTCAGTGACCCACCCATGGTGCTGACCCTGTGCCAGTGCTGTGCCCAGGGCACTGTGCCAGCCTCCTTTCTTTCTATGGGCTGCTGGTCTGTCCCCAACACTGTACAGTGGCCCTGGAGTGAGGCTGGCAGAGCCTGCAGCCCCCCAGGGTTGAGCCTTGGCTGTCCCCTTGCTGGTGTGTGACCTGGTGGCTGTGTTCCCCATGCCCTGTCTGCTGCCCTGCACGCAGGATAAGCATCAGAGGACCTTGGAGGCTGTGGTGCAGGTGAAGTGGGAGCCACTACAGGCAGGGGCTTGGGACGTTGCACTCAGCTCTCTGCTGTCCTTGCCTCATGCCCAGCCCTGGGTCCAGGTCTCTTCCCCCTCCTGCTGTCCCAGCCTCTGATTTGGGCTGAAGAACCACGAAACGGGTGCTCCGGGCACTGTCGTTTCTCTTTTCATCTCTGGGGCGCACTCCTCTGCGCTCTGCCTGTCTGGCCGGTATCTGCTGCCTCCCTCCCTCCCTCCCTCCCTCACTCCCTCCTCTCAGTGACTAACTCGGTCCTGGGAAGGTTGGTTCTTGCCTGCCCTCCTGCTCAGAGGCCTGAGCCAGTCTAGAGCAAGGAAGCCCTGTGCTCCCGAGAAACCGAGCAGAAACACAGTTTTCTGGGGCATTTGTAGGAGATGCAGGTGCGGGGAGCATTCCTGGAGCTTCCCTGGAATCCCTCCTGTGTGTTCCGTGGTGGTCCCAGGGGTCTCTCAGAAAGACACCTACCTGGGGACAGAGGGCTTGGCTGGCTGGATCAGGGTCTTTGTGGTGGACCTGTCTGTGGGGTTTGGTCCTGAGTCCTGGACCAGGGCCTCTTCAGAGCTAGCTGAGTGGGGCGGGGGGGTCTGTAGGAGGGAGGCGTCCCTGCAGCCGTCGGAACTGAGATGTCCTCCGGGAATCCCGACAGGAGCCGCAGCAGACGCGGGATGGGAGGTGCCCAAAGTCACGTCCGCGAACAGTGTCACCTGGGAGACGCCATCACTCTTTCCCAGCTTGACGTCCTGAGGCCGAGGCCAGCCCAGGACCCCACCTGTGTCCCCAGCAGCCTGGTGTATAAAGCGGAGCATTGGAGCTGGGAGAGGAGGGCTGCAGAGGCTGAGATGCAGCTGGTCGGGCCCAGCCCCTCCATTTTGCAGATGGGGAAATAGAGGCACGGGGCAGGGGAGGGACTGGCCCAAGGCCATATGGGTCTCAAATTACTGATGGTGACCGATGTGAAGGGGACGTGTCTTTTCAGGCAGGGAGACTGCTGTGGGCCTGGCACCAGGTAGAGGTTCTGAGCTGGCTGTCTGGGCTCGGGGGGTGTCTCAGGGCACAGGACTGATGGGGGTGGCTGGGGTCGGGGATTAGGGACTGCTGGGTTGAGGAGGGCTAGTGCCAAGTTGAGAGAAACATCCCCTTGGCCCAGCACCCCAGGTGGCTGTGTTGGTACCAATTGCTTAAAATTGCACCTTCATTTTGCAGCTCCTGTTGGGCGCCTTCTCACCGCGCGCTCGGGTGCAGTGAACTCTGGGAGCCGTCGCAGCCCAGGGAGTCCCCAAGGAAGGCCAGCTGGGGCCATCCCTTAGCACGGCCTCCCCAGGCCTCCACTTCCCGATCTGTGAAATGGGACAGTAAGAGCTCCCCCGAGGCCAAGTCCTGCCGCCCTCCTGCCCTGCTGTGGACCCCAGTGCAACTGTGAGCATCCGAGGTGGTGAAGGGGACCTCACAGCACACAGAGTGCACGGCGCTGCAGCCCAAGGAGACCTCATCAGTGTGTCGGCTCTCATTTTCGTTATTTTTCCTATTATTTTCTCTATCTTCTGAAGTCCTTATGTAAGGAATTATGGTTTCCGGGGAGACCCATTGTGATAAATGCCAGAAAACAAAAGCTTTTTTCCAGGGCGCTGAGGCCTGTGGATCCTCCCAGGCCCTGGTCATGCTCCTGTGCCCACAGAGTGGCCCTGTGTTTGCACTCTTTCTCTGGGGATGCACAGGGGCGGTGAGAGGGAAGCAGGCGGCTGCTCTTGGCCAGTGGAACTGCCCGGCGTTGGGGTGCAGGCGAGACCCAGCGAGGCTCGAGGACTGCAGACTATGCAGCAGATCCTGGCAGGCTTTGGCTGTCTGACCCACTCGGATGGGCGAGGAGAGAAATGGGGGGACCAGTGGGACGTTCTGGGGTGCACGCATGTAGGGGAAGCTGTTAGTGCATTCTGAGCACCCGGTGCACATAGGTTGACAAGCTCCGAGGCACACACACACGAGTGTGCACAGGCAGCCTCTGAGGGCTACGCCCACGGGGATGGGAAGATGGGGCTGGGATAGGGAGGGCTGGGCCCCACCCTCTCAGGGACATAGCCTGAAAACAGGGCAGTGCAGGACTCTGATGCCTCACACAGTCCTCAGAGCAGCCCCGGTGTGATGATCCCCATAGGCTCATGCTCCCGTCGGCTGCCAGCCATCTCTGCATCCTGCCTTTGAGCCTCTGCACAGCCCTCATCTGTGGGTGTCCAGAGCCTTCTGCAGAGGCCAGACTGCCACTCAGTGGTCCCCGCATTTCTGTTGTCTACCAGGAGCACTGTCTGTATTTTTAAGAGGTGGACAGATAGCAGTGCAGACAGACGGATGGGCGTAAGGACGGGCGCCCTGCCAGGATGCTCCGCTGTCTCTCAGCCCCGGAGGCAAGTGCAGCTGGAGCTGAATTTGCCTCCTGAGCACATTTTTTTTTTTTTTTTTGGTGCTCAGAGTAGCCCTTGGGACTGCCCCATGTCCCCAGCACACCTTCGGCTGAGCAGGGTGCCTGTACCCCTGAGGGAATTTGCAGATCAGCTCTCCCTGTCCACACGGGGCACATAGAGCCCCAGCCAGGGTGGTTCTAGTTCTAGAAAGGAGTGCTGCCTTGAGCCTGTGACCGGGTGGTGGTGGTGAGCCTGAATTTGGCTTTGGAATTAGGCCCCTGAGTGTGGCCCTGCTGTGCTCGTACCCCTGAGTTTGCAGCCTGCATGCCCCAATTGGGGCCCGCCAGTGGCAAAGCAGTTCCCTTCCCACCTACTCAGGGGATGTGCAGCCATGGAGCCTGGGAGGAGGCACCACCACCACCCGTGATCAGCTCCAACCTCAAACTTCAGGGAGACATGGTTCCCCAAATGGTTGCCCCTTCCAGGTTCTCCTCTTCCCGGCGCGTCAGTGGGGGTGTGGTTGTGCCCCAAGGCTCCAACAGGTGTTAGGGGGAGTGGAGGCAGCTGACAGAGCAGGGGCTGGCGTTATCCTGTGGAAGAGGTCGGGGAAGTGGCCATGTGTGTTAGATCCGCAAGTGCTGCCGGTAGCTATGAGGAGCTCCCTGATCAGAAGAGCCCAGGTCTCGTCTCTGGATTGAAGCCACTGGGGCTCTGTGGAGGCCACCAAGAGACCCTGCATCCGTTCCGTGGACAAGCCACAATAAGGGAGATGTCACACATCTCCAGACGTGCTGCCACACGCAGTGCAGCGGGCAACCTGCCCATCAGGCTGCAGGGGACGGGGTGCCTCTGGGGACTGGCTCCCAGCAGCCCTGGAGGTCCTCTTGCACTGTTTAATTCGTGTCTACACAGGGCCACGCTCACATCAGCGTGCTCTAATCCTTTAAGAACTGAGATTGTCTCCAACTACAGCTGAGTTACAAGCTGCATAAATTAAAACTTCTCATACATGGTATCTTGTAGCCTTATTAAGTGGCAAGATTATGCAAAACAATCTGTAAGTATGATAATACAACTTTCGCCATGGTTTGTAACAGGACATTTGTTATCTCTCATTCTGCTCTAATTAAGCTCCATTCTGGAGGAATTAGTGGTATTACTGTTTAAATCTTAACTTTTGTATTAAGAAAGCATGTTCCAAAGCTTTTGAAATGCATCTTGAAAGCAGTGCCTGAATTAACAGGTTTAACAAGGAGCGTAGGAATTTCAAAGCTCGGCTAATCTGTAGAAATTATGGTAGCTGTGCCAGATTTATTTTTCATTTAATTAAAACAAAAAGTTGTTTTGCTGAAAGTTACCCAGATAAAGTTGTTTCAGCAAAGGCAAGAAGCAGTGTTGAAGAGACGCGGCCTTCTGGGGCCCAGGACTGAGCGTTGGTTTCTGTTGACCACGCTGTGCCTCCACGGCCCGTGTGTCTGGGTCTGGGTTCTGGGCCCTGGGCTCTGGGATGGCATCAGGGCTAAGGGACACCAGCCCCCTCCCGGTGTGGTCCTCACTGATTAACGCTCCTCAGCGCAGCACATTCTCAATATTCTGTCAAGGGGCAAGGTTGAGAGTGTGGTTTTATTACTGTTTGTGAAAATCACAGGCTTTATGTTTTAGGGCAGTTGTAGGGTTACAGAAAAATGGAGCAGATGGCAGTTTCCATCTAGCCTCTCTCCTGCCCCTCCCATCCCCACAGGGTCCCGTGATAACAGCTGGCATGAGGGAGGCGCGTGAGTGACAAGTGAGGCTCGACATTGACACGCTGTTATTAACCGAGGCCCATGGTTCACACCAGCGCTCACTCTTGGCATGGAGCATTCTGTGGGTTTGGACCCACGTATCGTGACGTGCGTCCACCGAGATCGTAGCATACAGAGGGGCGCCACTGCCCTAGGGCTCCTCTGTGCTGGATGCCATCATTTTCATTTTATTTTATTTTGTTTTTGAGACAGGGTCTCCTTCTGTCACCCAAGCTGGAGTGCAGTGGTGCGACCTCAGCTCACTGCAGCCTTCACCTCCCAGCTCCACTGATCCTCTCGCTCAAGCCTCCTGAGTAGCTGGGATCACAGGTGTGCACCCCCACGCTTGACTAGTTTTTGTATTTTGTAGAGATGAAGGTCTCGCTGCGATGCCCTAGCTGGTCTCGAACTCCTAGGCTCTGGCGATCCTCCCGTCTTGGCCTCCCCAAATGCTGGGATTCCAGGTGTGAGTCACCACAGCCGGCCAGTTTTTTAAAGAACACCAAAAAATAGCATTCATGTAAAGTTATTTGCCTCGTGAACCACCATTGATGGTCCCAGAGGGGAGATAGTCAGGGCCTTCCCTGAGCGTGTCCCCAGAGTGTCCCCAGGAACACCTGCTGCCCCCTTCACCACGCCACCATGGCCCCCATCACCCGGGCCTCAGTTTCCCTGCTGTTCCCCTCTCTACCGGCTGGCTCATATGCAGAGTGTCCTGGGAGCCACCTGCCACCCTCTTCACCACGCCACCTGGCCCGCATCACCTGGGCCTCAGTTTCCCTGCTGTTCCCCTCTGGCTGGCTCACATGCAGAGTGTCCTGGGAGCCACCTGCCACCCTCTTCACCACGCCACCATGGCCTGCATCACCTGGGCCTCAGTTTCCCTGCCGGTCCCCTCTGGCTGGTTCATATGCAGAGTGTCCCAGGAGCTACCTGCAGCCCCCTTCACCACGCCACCATGGCCCGCATCACCTGGGCCTCAGTTTCCCTGCCGTTCCCCTCTGGCTGGCTCACTTGTGAGGGGAACCCCACCACATGCGGTTATATCTGCACCTCAGCTTCCGGTTCTTGGCTGAGTCTGACTTCATCATGCCCTTCATTGTCATCCTTTCAGAAAACTCTTACTGGCACTTCTCAGCCGACTGGCTCCAGACACACGTGGTAGGCACAGGCTGAGCTGCTGCTCTCTGGGTGTGGAGACCCTGGTGAGGCTGGAAAGTGCCCCAGAAGGGGGAGTTAAGGGATGGAGAAGGGACAGTCGGGTTGGACCAACGCACGGGCCGATTATGACTTGAGCGTGACGCTGATGGCATGAACACAGGAGTCCCGGCCCTCCATGGTGGGGGGAGTGTACCTGTCAGGGTTCTTCAGAGAACGGAACCAATGGGACTTCGAGAGAGCGAGAGGGAGCGAGGTTTCCCTTTTTAAAAATAAGCTTCTGCAGTTTCAGAGGCTGTCAGTATGACATCTGCAGGGAAGAGGGCAGGCTGGAGACGCAGCGAGAGGTGCAGCTGGCGTCGTGAGGCCTCCGCTGGAGAATTCTTTTCTTGCTTGAGGAAGGTCCATCTTTGTCCATTGAGGCCTTCACCTGCTTGGATAGGGCCCACCCACAGTATGGAAGGCCATCTGCTTTATTCAAAATCACCGATTCAGGCGTTACTCTCATCCAAAACACTCCTTCACAGAAAAATCCAGAATCATTTGACCAAACCTGTGGGCACTGTGGCTCCGTCAAGTTGACACATGTTACCCATCACTTGGAGGTTATTTCCAGGGGGCAGTGGTGAGGGGCTGGCGCTGTGATCGTGCTTAGTGTTTATGGCGTGGGGCTGAGGGAGACCACACAGGAAGGGACGTCTCCTCCTGGTGCCACCTCCTGGGAGAGTGGCCATTTCGTGGGCCCAGCAGTGGCTGCATCTTAGGCAGTTGTGTGAGATGACCTCCATGTAGGCTGCCATGGTGTCACCGGCTGACCTGGTTTCACTCACACTTCTGACACCAAATGTGTCAGTTTTTCACACCAACAAGTTCTCCAACTTTCCAGACACCAAATGAATATCTGGCCATTTAATTAAATTGTCCTCCAATTTAATTCGGTTCTCAGACTACTCCCCAGAGTTAGCTGAGACCCCACCGAGGAAGGGCTCGGTCCCACAAGACTGCTCCCCCTTCAGATACCAAGTCCAAGTGCCACCAGTGGAACCAAGCGCCAGGTGGTACCTGTATTTCCGACTGACTGAATATAAGTCAGGGGGTTTCCACCACCCTCTCCTGGCATTCCGTCATTTGCGAGAATGGCCCACAATCCTCAGGAAGCCCTTTGCTTACCATTCCCTGCTTGTTGTAAAGGGTATGACGGGCTGTGCCAGCTGGCAGAGGTGCATAGGGCCAGGGGAGGGGCGTGGGTGCTGAGCCCCCATGTCCTCTCTGGGCAAGCCGTCCTCCCAGCACCCTCCTGCGTTCACTGAGCTGAAAGCTTGCTACCTTCCCCCCATCTTTTAGGAGTTTGATGTTTCCTTGGGTACATATGATTGATTAAATCCTTGGGTATTGGTGATTAACTCAATCTCCAGCCCCTTTCTGGAGTTGGGGATGATAAGGCAGAAAGTCCCAACCCACTCAATCTGCCTTGGTCTTCCTGGCCACCAGCGCCCATCCTGAGACTCCCTAGGGCCCTGGCCTTCAGTCCGCTCCGTAACACGCAGAAGACACTTTCCACTCTGGAGATGGCAAGGGCTTGAAGGGCTGGGACAGAGACTGAACGTGTTCGTTACTGCTTCGCATCGTTTGGGCCATTGGGTGCCATGGGCAGGTTGGGCGTCACAGGCCCACAGGATGCTGGTTGTGGGCAGGTGGGCTTGAGGCTCCTCAGCAGCCGCTGATCAGACTCAGCATGGCACAGAGAGAGCGTGACTGCAGGGCAGAACCAGCATCCCTCACAAGCCAGGGAGTGGACAGGGCCTGATGTGGCAGCCCTGGACCCTGTGCGTGCCAGGAGCGGGATGCATTTGCAGGGGCCACCTCCACTTCACAGGCCCTGCCTCCTGGAGGGTTTGGGAGCTGCCATGGCTGGCCAGCCACACAGAGACGTGTTGGCTGCCCCTGGTTCTGCTGGAGCAGGCTTGCTCATCCCCAGCACTGCCGATGTTTGAGGCAGATCATTCTTCCATGTAGGGGCACCCTGTGCTATGTGGGGGGTTGAGCAGCATCCTGGGCCTCTACCTCCAGTTGAGATGGCCACAGATGCCTCCAGGCTGGGCATCTCTGCTTGAGGGGAGCTGTCTTGGCCTAGAACACAGGCTGGGGGCCGCTGGTCCAGCAGGAGCCTTCCTGCCTCGATTCCCTCTTGGCCTGCGGTGAGTGTTTGCAGCTCTCCCCCCGTCTGTCTCCTGACTTTCCCTGGGCTGGGCTGGTCTTGTTGTGTCACCCTGTTTCTGCCAGACCTTGAGATTCCAGTCAAAATAAAACAGCGGTGGATAGAGGGGCTGAGTGTGGCCCCCCGAGGCCCTGGGACATCTTTTACCATTCGCTGTCACAGCCGAGATCTCCCCTGTGTCAGTGATCCTATGCAACATCCCCAGATAACAGTGCAGGGCAGATAAGTGAGGATGTGGTGAAGGGAAATGGGGGAGTGGACGAGGGGCGTCCCCGGGGAGGATGGCGCCTACCACGGGCAGTAAGGAGGTCTGCGTGAGGGATGCAGGGACACAGGAGGCCAGGGTGGCATCCTGCCTCCTACTTGCGCAGGTCCAGCGGGGATCAGAGTGGAGGCCTCGCACCAGCTCTGGGACATGAAGGGGCCCGAGGCAGCCCTTGTGGCCACACGGGCCTTGTCATGGTTCGGCCTTTCCACTCTGTGTTCCGAACTGTGCAGTGTGTATGTGTAGGCACAGATGTGTGCCCGTGCCCATGCCTAGGACTTTGCGTGTGTCTGTACGTGTGATTTCGTGTGTGTGTGCATCTTCGTTGGCGACACACGTGTGCAATAGTTCTTCCATTTCATTTTCTCTGGTTTGGGTTACATTCACCCAACTATGATGTTGAAAATATTAAATGGAAAATTCCAGAAATAAGCAATTCATGAGTTTTAAGCCGCACGCCCTTCTGCGTAGGGTGGTGGTGTCCCCCATGGTCCCACGCTGTTCCACTCGGGGCATGAATCGTCCCTTTGTCCATCAGACTCAAGCCATAGCTGCTGCGTACCCACTGGTCACTTGGGAGCCAGGGCGGTTACCGGATTGACTGTCGCGGCGAGGCTTGCGGGGCTTGTGTTCGAGGTCGGTAGAGCCTGACACTCGGTCACGGTGCCCACGTCATTCCCCCGGCTCCCTCTCCGCGGTCACGGTGCTCACGTCGTTCAGCCGGCTTCCTCTCCTCACACAGAGCTGATGCTATCCTTGGTCATCCAGAAGAAGGGAGGACGTACAGTCAGATATTTACAGAGAGACTCACGTGTACACGGCTTTAACTACAGCCTGTTATTAGAATTGTCCTGTTTGATTACTAGTTATTGCTGTTAATTTACACACTTTGTCATAGGTTTGTATGTAGAGGACAAAACGTGGTGTGTGTAGGACTCGGTATTACCCCTAGTTCCAGCATCCGCTGGGGGTCTTCGATGTATCCCTTATGGAGAAGGAGGCTTCTGTCTCTCTCCACATACCCTTGTATATGACGTGTGTATATATCCTTATATCTTTTTTTTTATTTTTTTATTTTTTTGAGATGGAATTTTCGCTCTTGTTGCCCAGACTGGAGTGCAGTGGCACCATCTTGGCTCACCGCAACCTCTGCCTCCCAGGCTCAAGCGATTCTCCTGCTTCAGCCTCCAGAGTAGCTGGGACTACAGGCATGCACCACCATGCCCGGCGAATTTTTGCATTTTTAGTAGAGACAGGGTTTTACCATGTTGGCCAGGCTGGTCTCAAACTCCTGACCTCAGGCGATCCTCCCACTTTGGCCTCCCAAAGTGCTGGGATTACAGGCGGGAGCCACCACGCCCAGCCCCTTATATCTTTTGAATGGGTCTTTTACATTGTACAGAATTTAAAAGGTGCAAAGCAGCATTCTGTGAAGTTTTCCCCAGAACCCAGTTCTCCTCCCTCCCCCTCCAGGTATGTGTGTTCTGCCTAACACAAGTGCACGCCTGCATGCACACACACCCCACGCCATCTGTGAGAGTGCGCCCTACGCCTTTCCACGTTTCACTCCTTTGGCATATTTCTGGAAGGCCTCCCTAGAGCAGTGTGCGGCGAGTGGCCTCGTTCCTCCACACAGTCGCACACCATTCTGTCCAGTGCAGGCTTTGATTCGTTGATGGGCTGTCTCATGGCTGGCACATACAGACCGTGCCAGTGTGAGCGGCATGCACCTTCCAGTCCCTGTGAGTGGGCACGCTGGTGGGTTAAGCCCTCAGAGGTCTGTGGCTGGCACCAGCCTTCATCAAGGGCAACTACAGGACCCTCTGGGTGGTGCGAGAATGTGCCGACTCCCCAGCCTGCATCCAGGGCACATGCCCTCCCTCCTCCGCATCTTCCTCAAGCCCCAGGCAGTGAAGGGGCCTCTCCTTGTAGTTTGAATTTGCGCCTCATCCTCAGAGACAGTGTGCATGGGGGATGGAAATGGGAGGAGATGGCCCAGAGGAATGTACAGGCACCCACCTTTCCGGGGCCACCCCCCCACAAGCACACCAGTTAGCAGGTCCTGGACATGGGGGCCTGGCCTGGGCTCCAGGGTCCCTGGGTGACGGCTGTGTAGCTTTCTCCAAGTCACTGAGGCATTGTGAGAATGGGGACTGGTGGGGTGACCCCGAGGACCTCACTGGGGCTGTGGATGGAACACGCCCAGGAGGCATCCGTGGAGGTGGGTCCATCAGCGTTTCCACCTTGAGTACCTCTCACCCCCTTGCAGTTTCTCTTCTTGGCCCATTTTGCAGAGAATGTTTGTGTCCTTGCTGTGGACTCCCCGTTTTCTGCGACGTGGGCCCTGTGTCTTTGTTGTAACATATATCGTATCCTGGACCATGTGGCCTCTGGTACAGAGACGCTTGGCTCGCCGCACATGTCTGTTGGACTCTGGCTGTGGCCGTTTCTCAGGGGACTGTGTGGCCTTGAAGTGTCCGGGACCTGCTGGTGTCCAGTGAACACCTGGTGAAGGAATAAGTCAGTGGGTGCCAAGAGATGGTTTGGCCAGAGGCTTGAGCTTCACAGATGGAACCTGGGCCCTGAGAGGTTATTGGTGTCACATGGGGCCATTGAGACGTGCGGGGCTGGAGGAGCCTCTGCCGATCTATGAGGCCGATGCCCCTGAGGCCGAGAGGCCCAGACAGGGACCCCGCATCCCCTGCTCTACCAATGCCTCCTGGGCGTGTTCTATCCACAGCCCCAGTGAGGTCCTCGGGGCCACCCCACCGGTCCCCATTCTCACAATGGCTCAGTGACTTGGAGAAAGCTACACAGCCATCACCCAGGGACCCTGGAGCCCAGGCCAGGCCCCCCACGTCCAGGACCTGCTGGCTGGTGTGCTTGTAGACAGGGTCGCCCCGGAAAAATGGGTGCCCGTGCATTCCTCTGGGCCCTCTCCTCCTGTCTCCATACCCATGCGCACTGCCTGTCCTCAGTTCCGGTAGGGGGAGGGCTTGAGTGCCCGGAGGCTGCTCTGCCCACATGGCGTTGCTGGGCCCACCCACTCAGCGATGAGTCATGGACAGATGAGATGCCCACCTGAGGGAGGCGGCCACGCAGTGCGGCCACGGCACCACCACGCTGGGCAGCAAGCACGTGTGGCTGGGGGTGATCACCCTGGGGACAGTGGTGCCGGGTGTCTGACGGTCTCCTTGTGCCCCTGCCTGCTGGTGGAAGATTAGGGCAGGGCTTATTCTTCCACCCCTGCCCCAAGAGGAGCCACTACAGGGCCCAGGGGATGGCTCAGAGGTGCCAGGGTATCTTCCGGACCTGGCCTGCCTCTCCCCAGGAGCATGGTCTCCTGCAAGGCACTGCCCTGGCCCTGCGCTGAGCCGAAGGGCAGGCACGCAGATCTTCCCCAACCAGCCCACAGAGGTGCAGCTGCCTCTCCCTTCTCCTGGAGGTTTTACATTCTGGAGAGGAGGTTTTGCTTCCTAAAAAGTAGCTTTCATCATAACACAGGCACTGCTCCCGCCTGCAGTCCTCTCTCTGGCCAGGCAGACTTGGCAAGCAGCAGCAAGTGGAGATCCAGTGGGCTGGCAGGCTGGAGGACCCTGGCTCCCAACTCGTGCGTCTCAGGGAGTGCACAGAGGGGAAAGTGAATGGGGGGCAGTGGTCAGAACCCCCTGGCCTGGAGGCATATTCCCCATTGCTGACTCTTATTATTTGGGGGACCTTGTGGGCCCCGATGACACCCACCCGGGAGTTTAGTTTTGATAATCCAGGTACCCCGTGGACAGCACTGGACTGTGTGTGTCTCATTCACTCCAAGCGACAGGCGCGCAAGCTACCGATGGATGAATTCTCCCTTTGTTACAAATGAAGGGATTGCAGCTCAGAAAGGGGCATTGACGTGCCCAGCCACACAGCTCAGGCAGCCGCTGGGCCCCTCTTGGCCACAGTACAGGCAACCTTGGACCGAGTGTTTACATCTCAGGCACTGCGTTCCTTCGTTTTAGGATAACACTCTGACCCTGTATGTGTGCCTTGAGGACCTTCAGTGCCCTGGAGTCATTTGTGACATGGGCATGTCACCACTCAGACATGTCCTCTGCATTTTGCTGCAGATTCCACGGTGTTTTCTCATGGTGTTCCAGACTTGTTCTGGGTTTTGAGCCGCCGTGGTGGTGGGGACAGCAGGAGATGGCTCCCGCCCAGCAGGGACTTTGTGGGAAGACCTGGGCTGGCATCCACTGGATTTGCCCAGGCCCCTGTGGTGCTACAGGGAGTGCTCAAGCTTGGGAGGACTCCTGGGCTCTGGCTCTGATCCCTCCACTCACTGGCCTTGGGCCAGGTCCTCTTGCTTTGTTTTCGAAATTTCTCCCATGGAAGGTGAGCACATCTGGGAGGTGTGCAAGCCCCCAGCTAGCTTGTGGTGCCCTTCTGGTGTAGCTGCAGCCCATAGATTTTTTTTCCATCCTTCCACTCTTATAATGTCCTCCAAGGAACAGGAATTTGGGGAGGATTGAGGGGCCCAGGGCAGGCTGGGGGCCTCTCTAAGGGTATGAGAGGTATGCTTCTTAGCAGTTGGATTTGGGATGGAGAAGTTTTCTGGGCTTGTTGCAGAGTGCATTTTCCTTTTAGATTCTGGGGAGGAGGAGATGGATATTACAGTAGTAATGGTGGTGTGGGAGATGATGATACTGTGAATATGATGAGGGTAATGAGGATATAGGTGGTGATGGCAATGAGGAGATCTTGGCGGTGTTGATGGTAATGATGGTGATGATGATCGTGGTGATAATGGTGGAGAGGAGATTATGGTGTTGCTGCTAGTGATGGTGATGATGCTGCTGATGATAAGGAAGAGGTGGAGGACTGAATGATGATGGTGATGGTGATGATGGTTATGGTGGTTATGATTATGATAGTGATGATGGTGGTGGTGGTAATGGTGATGATGGTGGTGATGGTGGTGATGGTGATGGTAATGATGGTGATGATGGTGATGAGGGTGATGGTGAGGATGATGGTGATGATGTTGTTAATGGTGGTGATGGTGATGATGGTGGTGATGGTGATGATGGTGATGATGGTGATGGCGATGGTGATGATGGTGGTGATGGTGTTGATGGTGATCATGGTGGTAATGGTAATGATGGTGGTGATGGTGAGGATGGTGGTGGTGGTGGTGGTGGTGGTGATGGCAATGGTGATGGTAATGATGATGTTGGTGGTGGCAGGGATGGTGATGGTAATGGCAACGATGGTTGTGGTGGTGATAGGGCCTACTTTTTTATGTCTTACTGCATTTCATCCACCATCTTCTTTAATCCTAACAGCCTAACTAGGATGCAGGCAGGCATTTTACCTGCGAGATATCTGAAGTTTTGAGAGGTCAAGAAACTTGCCCAAGGCCCAAAGCTTGTACCTGGGAGGCCTCTAAATTTGAACTTCAACTTGAGCCTGATTGATTCTAAAATTGGGGCTTTGCCCCTCTCACCCTGTGACATGTACTGAAAATGATTAACATTCACTTAGAGGGCTGTAGGGTCCCTGTGTCTTGTCACAGCCATGCCAAGTCCCCACCCACAGTTGGGATGCCTGGTGCTAATCCTGGAGTGTAAGCGTCCATGAGGGCAGGTTCCGGGGAGCCCAGAGTCCCTCATGGGTTCACAGCCACTGCAGTGAACAGGGAAGGGCCTGCCCCATGGGGTGGACCCCCAGCTCTGTGTGCTGGGTGGCTGGAGGAGGCAGCAGTGGGAGATGACTCAGCCTGGTGAGCCTGATGAGTCAGCACAAGGTCTGACCTTGGGAGGCTTCGGAGCCGGGCACCTGTCCTGCCACGTGACTGCTGGTGCACCTGCCCCAAGAGCCCCATGAGAGTCAGCAGCAGGGCTCCGCTCTCCTCCACCTCCTGGAGGTCATTGAGTCCCTGTACCAAACCCTGGGACCCCAAAATCCCACCTCCAGGAATTTGTCCTGGGGCACAAGGAGAGACAGAGTGAGAGCTCAAGGCATGCTCCCTCTCGAGAATCGCAGTGGCGAACCGTCGGAGACAGCGTGCACTCCAGGTTTCAGACTGAGTGGATCTCAGCCCCCAGGGATACTCCCTTCCACAAGCAGAGAAAATTCGTGATGTTTTGAGAACTGAAAAAAAGTAGGTTTAAGCAGCAGGCAGGATGATTACAGTGTTGCTGTAGGTATTTGTCTGGATATAGATGTATGTATTTCTATGAAGACATCCAGAAAGCTGAAATACTGAAATGAGGATTTGGGGAAATGAGGATTTGGAGTGGCTACTAGAGTGGTGGGATTATCTGTGGAACTTACTTTCTTGTCTGATTTTCTTCTTTTTATACAAAAGCCATGTTTACTTTCATATGCAAAAGCCTGTTACTCAAAAGCGGTTTTGCTGCTGCTCTCTTTGCTTTGAAACTGGCGTCTGGGATTCAGCCTGGATTAGCGATCGCTGCTTAGGAGTGCCGCGTGTTTCCCCTGCCTGGCTCCTTACCTGGAGGCCTGGGTGCAGAGGGGAGACACGCTCTTGGTGGGAGGAAAGGGGCCTAGGGCGCTCTGATGATTTAGTGCTGTCAGACGCTGGGGTTCTGAGCCAGGCCCTTGCCCGTGATGGCTGGTGCCAGGCCTGCTTCACGTGACAGTTCACGCTGGCTTGCTTCTGTCCAGGTTTCGCTTCCACTCTGTGCCCAGGGCAAGCAGTAACCCATGTCCTGCATCACTTTCACTGATGCAGTCACCACATGTACTCAGGATTCTTGGGGACAGATCCAGGCCAGGCTCTGGGGATGTCTGAGGAGGAAGCTGTGTCCCTACACAGTGGGGCCTCACTCAGGCCTGCAGGCAGGGCCCGGTCCCGTTAGCCTCGGAGGCAGTGCATGGATCTGGGGCCAGCCTGGAACAGTTCTATCCTGGGTTCTGATTAGGGCTGGCCCACCCATCCCAGGTACCTCAGCCTGGAGCAGGTCTGTCCCGGGTTCTGATTAGGCCTGGCCCACCCATCCCAGGTACCTCAGCCTGGAGCAGATCTGTCCTGGGTTCTGATTAGGGCTGGCCCACCCATCCCAGGTACCTCAGCCTGGAGCAGATCTGTCCTGGGTTCTGATTAGGGATGGCCCACCCATCCCAGGTACCTCAGCCTGGAGCAGGTCTATCCCGGGTTCTGATTAGGGCTGGCCCACCCATCCCAGGTACCTCAGTCTGGAGCAGGTCTGTCCCGGGTTCTGATTAGGGCTGGCCCACCCATCCCAGGTACCTCAGCCTGGAGCAGGTCTGTCCTGGGTTCTGATTAGGCCTGGCCCACCCATCCCAGGTACCTCAGCCTGGAGCAGATCTGTCCTGGGTTCTGATTAGGGCTGGCCCACCCATCCCAGGTACCTCAGTCTGGAGCAGGTCTGTCCCAGGTTCTGATTAGGGCTGGCCCACCCATCCCTGTTGCCTGGGAGATTCTGAGTCAAGTGCAAAATGGGGGTTGGGGAGGCGGGGTTGCCAGAAGGGTCTGCAGCAGGCAGACCCAAAGGAGAGTGGTCCAGTTCATTAAAAAAAACAAAAACAAAAAACTCAAAACTAAAACTTTCCATTTTTTGCTTGGTCTAAGTCCTGCCCTTTTCTGACCACCCTGGGGGTCCTGAGGAGTGAGGGAGCTATGACTTGTGGGGAGGGTGGGGTCGTTTCCCTTTGGAGAAATTCTGCTCCTCCTTGGGAGGTAGGAGGCCCCGGGCCCATCCCTCTCCAGGCCTGGGGAACGTGGAGGGAATTCTCACACCACGACAGCTCAGGGCTTGGGGCTGGACAGGCAGAATGAGGCAGTGAGCCAGCCCCTCCCACGGCCCCAGGCTGCCAGCCCCTCCCACGGCCCCGGGCTGCCAGACCCCTGCTTCTCGGGGGTCTTGGTCTCTTTTCAAGACCCACCACCGACGCTGATTTTGTTTCTCCTCTAAAGTCAGGTAAATGTCTATGATGTGTTTAGGAAATACAGAAACACCTCAGGAGACCCTGTCATCCAAGAAGCCTCCTGTTTTCTCGCTATCCAGCACCGTAGCCATCAGCCATATTCACGATACCTCCTTCCAGTCCTTTTTTCTCTGAACATTTATGCTGGTGAAGTGTGCGCTGAAATACGGTTTTGCCTCTGGTTTTTCTCACTCATGAACACGTGATACTGTTGGTTTTTTTTTTCCTGGGAGCCTCTCTTACAAAGTTGACTCATCCGTCCTCCACTTGGGGCCACGTGGATTGGTGTCCATGTAGGAAGTCATCTTAGTGACAGCTACGTCTATTTTTTCCCCAGACATGCTGCGGTTTTCCCAGCATTGTATAGCGTTTCCTGAGTTGGTCACATCCTGCTGACCGTGATGGTGGAAGCATTTTAGAGAATCCTCTTGGCGCCAATCCTGGTGAGGAAGGGCTGTTTTTACCTGTGCGTGCCAGATGTTGGTTGGGGGTGGTGGAGCCATGATTACTTGAGGAACTGCAGAGTGCCGTGGAGGGGCTCCCGAAGCCCGCTGGCCTTTGTCTGCTTGAAGCCACAGCTCCAGGCCTTCGTTCCAACAGAGGGCAGGCACCCGACGCTCGGGAGCTCTGTGCCCCATGGCAAAGCTTTCTCTGCTAACACCCCAGGTTTGCAGCCCTTGTGCTGTAGCGGAATAGGGCCATGCTTTGCTGTCCGCAGTATCTGATGGACCGTCAACTGGACATTGGACATTCCTGAGGAGTGGCGTGGGCAGGTGCTTATTCTTACACGTCAAGTGGGTTGGGTTCATTTGAGTGGGTTGGGGGAGCGTCAGGAGGCCCCTAGGCTGCAGTTAGCCAGGGCACAGTCTGTTACTGTGGAGCGATGGCCCTGGCAGAGGAGAGCACTGCTGTCGGATGGATGTGCGTAAACAGGTGGGCGGTGGTGTGTTCTGAGGAGGAACCTCTACTTGGGTGGGAAATGCACGTCTCCCAGCTCAGCAGGTTCCTGGGTGAGGCCTGAAGAGGGAGATTGTGTTTTCAGAAATCAAAGACACGTTGGGGCAACATCCAGATGCCAAGGAAGGAGCCAAGTTTCTGAGTTAAGAGACCTTCGTGGACGCTCGGCCAGGCAGCTGCCTAGTCCGAGACCTGTGGCATCACTGTCCGTGCATTGTCTGTGGTGTGAGACCTGTGGCATCACTGGCCATGCGTTGTCTGTGGTGTGAGACCTGTGGCATCACTGGCCATGTGTTGTCTGTGGTGTGGACAGGGCGCTGGAGCCAGGAGGAGTGGGGTTGGGCCTTGGACCTCGCCTCTGTCCACGCCTCTGTCCACTTCTGCTCACGCACAGCTCCTGAACCCAGGACGGGGCCGCCCCCGTTTCTCCTGCAAAAGAACCACCATGATTCTGAAGCTCACAGACCTGAGGATGGTGTATGAGTTCCCCAAGGCTGCTGTGACCAAGGACCACAGGCCAGGCAGCCTCTACACGACTGGTGTGGAGCCGCCCGTGCTTCTGGAGGCCGGGGGTCTGGCATCAGGGCCCCGCAGGTCCGCTTCCTTCTGAGGGTCTTGGGGGAGAAGCTGCTCCCGGCTGCTCTCTGGCTGCCCGTGGCTCAGGCAGCCCTTGGCTTCCACCTGCCTCCCGCCAGCCTCTGCCTCCACCACATACAGCCGTCCTCCCTCTGTGTCCTAACCTCCTCTTGTAGTGAGGTCACCAGTCATATTGGATTGAGGCCCACCCTAATGGCCCTCGCCTAACTTGATTACATCTGCAAAGACCCTGTTTCCAAAGAAGGTGACAGTTACAGGCCTCAGGGGTTAGAATCTCAGCATGGTTTTAGGGGGTCAAAATTGAACCCATAACAACACACAGTGGAGGGGGCTGTTTGGCTTTGGATGGAGCCCCAAGAGAACCTAAGGTCGGCTCAGCAGGGTCTGACCAGAGGCGGGGCAGGGAGGCCTTCCCGTGGCCCCCGAGAAGGGCCTGGCTGCACTGCTGCAGGCACGTTCCTGAGGGTACTGGAGGACAGGCCGGAGGCTGCATCCCAGCGTTTGGCACAGTAATGGGTTCAGTCTTGCCCGTTGCTCGTGATTCTTTCTGTTTATGGAGCTGGGTGTCCAGCCTCACCTGTGCTAAGTAAGATTCACCTGCTGTGAAGTCACGAGGTCCTCGCCTTGCGCCCTGGCCGGCGTATAAATAAATCACGACGAAAGGTACACTGAGGAAGCGCCCTCAGGCACCCAGTGAACTGCGGACCTTCATGCTGGCTCCCGGGGTGGTGAGGGACCACAGAAGGCCCATCCCCAGCACGGAGGAGCAGAGGGGCAGGCTCGCAGGCAGCTCGGGACCACCAGGAGGGCTTTGTCCCCAGCATGGAGGAGCAGAGGGGCAGGCTCGCAGGCAGCTCGGGACCACCTGGAGGGCTTCGGGCCGTGTTGAGCTGTCAGCGTTGGGCCGTGTGATTTCTGGGGCTGAGGCTGGGGCTTGGTCCCGTGCTGTGTGTGTTGACTCCGCCTTGCAGAGAATCTCCATTAGCAAGGGCTTCATGAGGATGGGGAGGGAAGGATGGTGAATGCAGCCGAGCTGTCCCTGCTGCAGCCCCTTCCCTTCGTCTGCTTCCCCCTCCCAGACTGTGGTGGGACACGAGAGGCATCGGGGATTTGACTTGTGTCCCTCCCACTCCAGTACATTAATGACTGGCTGGATGACCCTTAGTAATTTTTTTTTTTTTTTTGAGGTGGAGTCTCGCTTTATTGTCCAGCTGGAGCACAGTGGTGCAGTCTCGGCTCGCTGCAACCTCCACCTCCTGGGTTCAAGCGATTCTCCTGCCTCAGCCTCCCTAGTAGCTGGGATTACAGGTGCGAATCACCACGCCCAGCTAATTTTTTGTATATTCAGTAGAGACGGGGTTTCACCATGTTGGCCAGGCTGGTCTTGCACTCCTGACCTCAAGCGATCCGCCCGCCTTGGCCTCCCAAAGTGCTGGGATTACAGGCGTGAGGCACCGCACTCAGCCTATTTTTGATAGCTTTGAAAACACAGCTAGCGGCAGACCGCGAAATACAGCCTCTCTGCTCCCTTCCTTCACCTGCTCCCCTTTCGCTGAGATGCTGTCCTGCGTTGCCTTTCGTACACCCAGATTATTCATTTTGTTATTTATTAGAACTCACTTATTCAGCATTCGTTACCTGCGGCATGTCAGCCCGGATGGGGCAGCAGACACAGCCACCCCTGGAAATCTCCTTCCTTCTAAACTCGGAACTTGATCTTTGGGATCTGTGGCGGGAGCTATGCCTGGCGAGGGCTTTTGGGGGCTCGGCCATGTGGATTCTGTGGCCAGGGCTCGTGAGAGTCTGTGTTTACCCTCCGTGTCCTGCCACTTTGTGTCCCCTGAGACCTTCAGAGATGTCGCCCCTTTGGTGTTCTGATTGTGTCCACGTGGGCTGGCCTTTCTTGCCTCTCCTGGTAGAACTTTCTGGAAACCACCTACCCACCCCTCTTCCTTCCACCTCCTTCCTCCTCCCACCTTTTTCTGACTCACTCTTCAGTAAAGCATGTGCAACACCTCCCTTCCCTGGGCAGAAGCTGTTCCAGGCCTCCGGATGGGCAGAGGCAGTGCCTGGGGTGTGAGCCTTAACTCCAGATGTGCGGCCCTGAGGGCTGCTGAGAGTCAGGAGGGAGGGGCCCACCTCTGGCTGCCAGGGGGCTGGGTGTTGGCAGCTCTGCTGGAATCCTGGGTCCCTGTTTACTGCTGTATGCCTCTCTGAGCCTCAGTTTCCTCACCTGTAATATAATGAAAGGTTGCCTCTGCACAGGGTGGGTCTCAGATCCAGGGCAAGGCTGGAAGCAGCACAGGGCGCTGTGCCTGTGGTCAGGGCCAGAATTCCAGGGTGCGTCTATGCAGGTGCAGGAGCCCTGTGCTTCCCACGGACGGGGCTTCCTCCCCTGGGTGGCTCATCCCCTGGCCGCCCACTGGGCCTCATGCTTTTCCATTTGTAATCCTTATAGAAACAAAGTCCTTGGCCGCCAGCGTGGGTGACTCCAGTGCACACCCCCGCAGCACAGGGCGGCTCACTTGCATGTTCAAGTGTAATCAAGGCGAGCCTGTGAGATCACGGCAGGCCACGCGTGTCTCACAGCCTGTGCGCGTCTTGGGAGACTGCAAAGGGGTTAAATGGCCCGTGTACCTCCCTGCAACACTGACATTTTGAGCGTGTGTCAAGGTGTCCCTATAGCACGCCCACCTGTTGCCTTCCCTGGGGCCCTGTCCCTGGGCACAGGTGGCCTCGTCTCTCCTGGACCCTCCAGCCCTCCCATCCAGTGGGCTCTTCCGACCCCCAGCAGCCCTCGCCTAATGGGAGGTGCCCCCGCCCCACCTGTCTGCTGTTCCCCACGTGTCTCCCGTTCCCCGCGTGTCTCCCTTTCCCGGAGTGTCTCCCTTTCCCCGAGTGTCTGCCCTCCCACGAGTGCCTTTCTCTGAGCTCCTCCTCTGCTTCCATCCCTGTCTCTGAGAAACCCTCCTGGGCAACCCTGCCACCTTCCCATGGGGGTCTCTCCTGATGTGCCCAGGGCCCGCTGATGTGTCTCCATGTGTCCCTCTTCTGTGCACAGCAGGGTCCCTTGAGAGGGGGTTTCTGACAGGAGAGCCACGGCCGACTGGTCATCGTGGGGAGCAGTGGGTGGTGCAGGAGGTCACAGTGAGCCGGTGGCCTGGTCACCCTCCAGCCTGGCTTGTCTGAGTTTTGAATGTGAGCATGTCACAGACCCAGGAGGTGGGGCTCCTCCTCTGGCATCCCTGGCAGGGCGTTTGCTGCCTTTTCCTCACTGGCACTCAGGGACCAGCCACTCTTGGCTCTGTGGTGCAGCCCGGCCATTTCCAGACGGTTCCTGTGCTCGGGAATATGCTAACATCAATGCTGGAAGATTCTCCTGATGCCTTCACTGAGCTCTAGGGAGCACTCACGGCTGTTCTGAGTCACGCCGTATTCCTCCTTCCTCCCTGGAGTCCTCTCTTCAACACAGGTCCTTTCACTGATGATCTGAGGACCTGAGTCTGGTCCCTTACGTCTCTCCTGAGCCGTCCCTAGCACAGGCCCCTGGACACTGTTTCACCTCCTTGAGCTGATGTCCGTCTCTGTTAATGTGTGCAGAGCCTGCACTGAGCCTCTGTCATCCAGCCCACTGTGGATGCCCCTGCGGGCCCTGCCGTCTCTGCCTCCCAGCCTCTCTGGGGTCCATCTCCCCCACTCTGTTTGTCCTTCTGACATTCTTCTTTCCTCTCTGTCTCATCTCCTGAGCTTGGGGTTGTCTGGACTTGAGACGGACTCCTGGCCCTGTGGTTCGGCCAGGCGCTCATCTCGCCTTCCCAGCCTCCTCCGTGAATTAGAAAACACGGATTTCCATCTCCATTGAGTGTTTGGTTCTGGGGCAGGGTTGAGGCTCCAGTCCGCAGTGTGATCTTGGCTCCACCTGCTCTGGCCTTTCCCCGGCTGCCCTTGTGGCTGCGCCCCAGCCCGGGGCTCCCAGCCTGAACCTGATGCAAGGCCATGCTGACGTCCTTCCGGCCCTTCGTGACTCTGTCGCCATAGAATGTGGCCCCCTCGAGCTCCTGGTGGGTCCTGAACAAAAAGAGGATGTATCACAGCTGCACAGAGTCTCCAGGCCCCCATGGCTGAAGAGGCTCCTGGGTGCAGTCTGGAGATTGGCCGGTGGCCCTCAGCCCGCTTCCCACCACCCCCGGCTCGCGGCCCCTGCGAGATGGGATTCTGTGGAAGGACAAAGCCGCTCGCGAGCATGTGGGAGCCGTCAGACGCCCTGGTTTATTTCCACCCTGCACTTGCGAAGCGGTCCTGACCTCCCGGCCGACGGGTGTTATCTCAGGACAGCCGGTGTGCTTGGCTACATCACCCCTGTCTGCTGGTGGGCCCCTGTCTGGGGCCCCCAGGCGCCCTCTCCTGAAGGGCCTGCGCAGAGCTGGGGGCCCGAACCATTCCTCACCCCAACTCTTCATTGTGAAAATTGTCATAGATACAAAACCGTGAAGAGAATCACACTGCAGACACCCATCTGCCCCCCACAACTGTTTATGCCGTGTGTGGGTTCCACAGCTGCTTAAAAAATTGCTAAATGTTCTTCATTCCTGGATATGTTGATACACAGACGTTTACCCATTCACAGATGCACTGATGCATTCTTAGACACCCTTATACTTGGGAGACCCACATGTCCTGGTTTGCACGACACTTGCTGGTTTCAAAGCTGAAAATCCCGCCTTGTACCAACCCCTAAGTCCCGGGCAAGGCAGGAGGACCCCGGGCAGGAGACAAGTGCCCTCCCCCAGGGCTCCTTGCCTCGTGGTTAAAGGGATGCAGAGGCCAGACTCACACTGTGCCTGGTGTGTCCACAGAGTCATGGCTGGGAAACATGCTGTAGGTGACCTTTGTAAAAGCTCCTCTGAGATTCCATGCGTCCTGGGGCATCTGTGGAAACCCTGCTCCTGTCGCAAGCAAGTACTGCCAGGGTGCTGCGCGTCCTGTTGACCGAGAGCTTCGTTCACACCTTCTGTGCCGCACACGTCCAGCACTTGTAGTGTGTGAGACAGATGTGGGGGCCGGGGTAGGCACTGGGGGTGGCACTGGGGCTGGCCAGCTGGAGCCGGCCCTGGAGAGAAGGCCGGGCATGGGGTCAGCAGAGCGGGCCTGGCCTCCCAGTCACCGGGGCCAGAAGCCACTGGCTGCTTGGGGAGAAGCCACGCACTGTAAGAACTCAGCGCTACCTGGGGGATTCATCCTTTTTCTTTACAATTTCAACCTTCTAGTTTATTCAAACAACCACAACCAGATTCTAGGAAGTACTCGCTTACAAAGCCTCCGTGTTTCCCAGGACGCCCCTTCAGGAGCCACCATCCCCGTCCCTCCTGAACCCAGGCTGCCTGGAGGAGGGTGGACAGGTATGTGTCTCTCCAGGTGAGAGAGCTGCGTTGGGGAAGACGGGAACAGTGATAAGAGTTCTTAATTAGCACGAATCTGCAGCCCCTGCCTTTGTGCCAGCAGAACTGATGAAAAGCACTCGTATCTGCCCATGGTGGCAGCCGGCGGCTCGGTCCGACGAGCTTGTCCCCAAGCAAAGGGAAGCGGATGGCTTGAGGCTACAGCCAGTCTTTCTTCAAGTCCTGGGCAGTGGGGAGGTTGTGGCAGCAGGCGTGGCCGAGGACGCTCTGTCCGTGTTCCTCTCGGATGGGCTTCGCCTAGCTGTGGGGGCCATGCTCGCCTTCCTGGGGGGCTCCCTGTGCCTGACTTTCAAGGCAGTCATTTCCCTTTATGGTTTTCACCCTCTGTGGTCATAAATAAATCCCTTTCTATTTACAAGGTGATTCTCCTGCGGTTTATGAGGACATCCCCCACGGGTCCTTCTGGCCCCTGTTCCACATGAAGGGCACTCTCTAGACTGTTCCTGGGGTTCACAGTCCTGGCCCCCGCCCCCATCCCCCCCTCTCCAGGAGGGGCCCTGTGACAAGAAAGGCAATGCCTCTTCCACTGGGGCTTCAGGGGAGGGCCAGGTCATTGCGGGGGACCATGGAGGTACAGCTCCTGTCCGCAGAGAACCCCCTCCCAGCCAGCCCTCTCTGCATTGCACATCCCTCCTGGGGCTGTCAGCAGGCCTTGCCCCTCCAATGGCCTAATGGTTTCCAATCCTCACCCTGGCTTTGCCCTAGTTTGTGCAGGGATGGTCAGGTCTGTTTCTACACTGGTGGAGGCTGTGAAGAGCTGAACTGGGGCTTCTAGAATACAGCCAGGCACGTCCCTACTGGTTCTGTGGGGTGCAGGGGTCATCCTTTCCTTTGAGAAACACCGGCCTGGTGTGCTGATTCTCTGGGACCCTGGAGCTGGGCCTGGGGCTGGGGATCACTCCAACAGAGCTCACCAGCCCCGGGGCTGCTCAGGAGTGGGGTGGGCTCTCAGCAGGGAGTGAGGGTCCCATCAGCAGTCAGGCAGAGCTGGGGACAGCGCTGCAGGCTTTGAATGGGAAGGTGGAATACATTCATACAGTGTGGCCAATACCGCCGTAACCCCGCCGTGCTGATTTTCTAAAATTCGAGCATTTTCTGGTCGAGGCCTGATGAGCCTGAAGGCCCAAGTGATCGTGTCTTCTGCAGTGGCCCCGAGGGTGCTGCTGGATGAAGTGCACATCGTGAGGCCTGGGAGCATCCCTAATGCATCACCTAATGCATGGGATCAGGTGCAGTCACCTGGGAGCATCTCTAATGCGTCACCCGCCCATGCACTCGGGATGCTCCTGGAGCCTGGCCGCTTGGGACAGGGTCCCAGAGGTCTTCCTCCTGCCTGCAAGTCACAGCACGAGGCAGGAAGGTGGCATTTTGCCTGCGCATGGAAACCAGGGAGTGGCCTCGCTGAGGCCGGATGGGCTGCACTTTGTCCCACCAGATGGGCCACTGAAGCCCAAAACTTCTTCCTGCCTATCCCACCCTCTGTCTAGGGCTGCAGAAAGCCCAGCGAGGTGGGTCAGCAGCGAGATGGTGGGAATAGGGAACAGGGAGTTGCCCAGCTCCGAAGGCTGCGTGGCTCTGGGCTCGGCAGACACCCAGCTGCTTGCAGGTCCGTGGGGACCCCTAGGGGTTTGGTGGGCACGGCTGGGGTGGGAGCGTCTTGTCCGAGAGAGGCCTTCTATGGGTGTCCAGTCTCCTTGGTGGGCCGGTGGACATCTGGATCTGGGCTTCATCCATGGTGAGTTCATTGTTGGGCGAGAAACAAAACCAGGGCTGGGCTGGGAGCGTGGATACCTGTGGTCACTCGGGGGATGCCCTGTGCAGACCCAGCGTGTGGTTGGCTGAACAATGCACTCCCCAAAAGATGTCCGGGTTCTAATCCCTGGAACCTGCGGATGTGTCATTTCGCCAGGCAAGAGGGTCTTGCAGATGTGATTAAGGATCTTGAGATGGGGGCGTGACTGCGGCTTATCCAGGTGGGTCTCACAGGCAGTCACAGGCGTCCTGGGAAGAGGAGGCAAAAGGGGCATGAGGACAAAGCAGAGAGGGGGTGATGTGAGGCAGGGAGCCCAGGGGTGTGGCGGCCTCTGGAATCTGGAAAAGCAAAGGGAACAGATTCTCCCCAGAGACCTTAGAAGAAATCAGTGACACCTTGACTTTAGCCAGTGAAGCTGGGCTCAGACTTCTGGCCCTCAGAGCAGCAAGAGGATAAATGGGTGCTGTTTCGGGGCCTGGTTTGAGGCCATTCGTTACTGCAGCCGTGTGGAGCTCCTGGAAGCATGCAGGCACTCCCGTCCCTGCCTCAGTGGCCCCGGAAGCGCCTCTCGCAGAACCTCGGCACTCACTGTCCTCACTGTCGTCACCTCTCAGGCTGAGTGGCCCATGAAAGAAACTGGGGATGCAGCAGGAGAGAGAATGGCAGAGTCTGTCTCCGCGTCTATCTCCTGGGAACATAAAGCTGCCCCATGCCTGAGGCGGGGGCTGGATGTTCTGGAGCCTGGCTTGGTGCATCCCTGGTGAGATGTCTGCGGTGACACGACCACATGCCTGCTGGGCTGTGTGTTCTGAGAAGACGGAGCAGGGCCCTGGGGTTGAGTCCCCTCTGTACCACCCCCTGCCTGGAGGTGCACAAGCACATATGGGTCCAGCCTGTCCTTACGTGGTGTGCCAGGGTGGGGTCCTGTTCTGAGCACTCTGTTCATGGTAACCTCAGTTGTTACTCTTAAGAGCCCTGCCACATGGGCGCGGTTTTTATGGCCATTTTTTACAAAGGGAAATTCAGGCCACTGGTAAGTGGCACACTGGGATTTGAACCCAGTAAGTGTGGCGCCAGGCTCTGTGTGGACACGGAGGTTAACAGCAGGAAGCACTGGGGTTTCTGATTTTAGAGAGGTTGTTTCTGCACTCTTTCAGGATTGTGGGTGCAGTCGAGCCTGGCCAAGCCGTGGATACCTGGATACTGGAGGGTGGGAGTTGGGGCTCTGGAAGTCTCTACACCTGCCCCAGTCCCCCACAGGCTTAGCAGCGGCACAGAGCCACTGTCCCAGGCTCTCCTGCCTCCCCAGGACCGAACTGCACCGTGGCAGGCCAGGAGCCTGTGCACTGACGCTCGCCTCTGCCAAGCCTTCATATTTACCTTTGTGGGATAGATTGAATTAGAAAAAGGCCATGCGTGCAGTTTTGGAACAAGAGACCTCGTAAATACTTTATTGGAGCAAGCTCAGGATTTACTTGCTCATAAAGTTGCCGGGGATGGCTTTGCCTGGTGTTGGGTAACGGATTGGCGTTGTTTCATATTCATCATCTGTAATCAGGTGGCCTCGTCCGCACCCGCAGCTCCGTCTGGGAAGTCCTGGAGGCAGCGTGCACAGTGGGCCCTTGCTATCTGTAATCGGGTGGCCTTGTCCACGCCCGCAGCTCCGTCTGGGAGGTCCCGGAGGCAGTGTGCACAGCGGGCCCTTGCTGCTCTGCTGGGCAGTATAGCCTCTCCTGGGCCCTGTGGCCACTGGGAGCAGGCAGGTGGCTTTCGTGGCCCATCTGGGATTGAGGATGGCTGTGCTGGGGGTTGCCTCTGAGGCTCTCCTTTCTTCGTGAGGCTGCTTCACACCCATTCTTGTCTCCCCTTGCCTCCTGACACCCTGGGTTCCCCATAGGCCCCCCTCGCCTGCACAGATTTTCACCTAGGCCCTGGGAGGCTGGTGGAGTCCTGGGTTCTAGAAGACCTCAGAGACCCAGGGCAGAGTGAATGTCAGGGGTTGTTAGAAGCAAGGACTGCCCAAGACCCATTGCTGAGGGAAGAAGGAGTGATGAATGAGATGGATAAACACGTCAGCTGTTCGGCTTTCCACATTCATGATCTATTTTCAACCTCCATGTCCTGATGTTTAAAATACAGCAGCTAAAATATCTAGTGGTCTTTTCTTCCTCTTCTGAGTGCAGCCACGACATGCCACATCTCTGCCCATGGTCAGTGGCCGGGCTGTACAGAGCCTGGCCTTCTTGCCTTTGTCTCTAGAGGGTGCCGTCAGGGTTGGATCTGTCCATGCGGGAAGGAGCCTGAACCCCAGACTCTTGGACCTCAGACTGGGAGAGGGTGTGGGTGAAGGCACATGGACCAGTGATTGATTAATTGATTGACTGATTGGTTTATAGACAGAGTCTCACTCTGTCGCCCAGGCTGGAGTGCAGTGGCATGATCTCAGCTTACTGCAACCTCCGCCTCCCAGGTTCAAGCGATTCTCCTGCCTCAGCCTCCCGAGTAGCTGGGACTACAGGTGCCCACCACCACACCCAGCTAATTTTTGTATTTTTAGTAGAGACTGGGTCTTGCCATGTTGGCCAGGCTAGTCTCGATCTCTTGACCTCATGATCTGCCCACTTTGGACTCCCAAAGTGCTGAGATTACAAGTGTGAGAGTGCAGGGCCAGAGGATGGCAAAGACGGGCTGGCCCCAGGATCCTCAACTGTTGGCGTCAGGACCGGACTCAGGGCCTCAGTCTGGCAGCATGGGCGTCACGCTGCCTGCCGGGCAGAGCCCTTTGCCCCACCTGAAAGCCCTGTGGTCACAGCGTAGAGTCTGGAGCGGCATGCTGGGGTGGGAAGCGCTGTCCTCGTTGCTCTGGGCCCTGGCTCAGGAGCCCCTGAGAGCGGCTTCTGCTCCCCGAGCTTCCTGCGCTCCCTGAAAGTTGTGCATCCAGTGCTGAGTCCCGCGGGCCTGGGGGCGTCGGCCCTCCTCCCTGGCTGTGACATGTGGGTTGGAGATTTGCCTGTGTCTTAGTGAAATGCCAGTGGTCAAATTCAACGGGAAAGAGGAAAAGAAAGCATGAGCCTGAGTCCAGGGTGGAGGATGGCGGCGTCGAGGAAGGACCCGGGGCCCTGCTTCTCCCACCGTCCCCAGTCCACACCCTTCTGGGATGGGGGCAGGGTGGGGGAACTCTTGCCTCACCTCCTTTTCCTCTCCTCGTGCCCACTGCCCCCTTGGTGTCCTCTCTGGTGAACTCCAGCCACCTCTCCCTCCACAGGGCCTGCAGCGTCTCCAGGTCCCTGACCCTTGGGTGGCATCTCCCGCCTCTTCCTCAGGGCCCTGCAAACCTCTCCTCTTATTTCACCAGGAGCTCCTTTCCTTCCCATATTTGTGTAAATGAATTCACATATTTTGACTTAATTGTCTCAGAATGGCCCAGTTTGGAGTTGGACTTTTCTGATGCTCATAAAATTCAGGAGGCGGTTTTTAATCAGTTAGTTCTGCTACGGCTGCCTCCTCAGAGAAGGGAACAGTTTCTTGTTCTTCTATTTTTGTTTTTTGATGTTGTTGCTGAGGACAATTTAATTTGATCTCTGAATCATCCATGTATCCATCCGTCCACCCACCCCCCTACCCATCCTATCCACCCACCCACCATCCCCCATCCTATCCACCCACCCACCATCCACCATCCATCCACCACCCCCACATCCATCCTATCTACTCACCCCCATACCCATCCTATCCACCCACCCACACCCACACTATCTATCCACCCATCCACCCACACTATCCATCCACCCACCCAACCACCCATCCTATTCATCCATCCACCCACCCACCCACCCTATCTATACACCCACCCACCCACACTATCCATCCACCCACCCAACCACCCATCCTATTCATCCATCCATCCACCCACCCAGTCTATCCACCCACCCACCTATCCTATTCATCCATCCCCCCACCCACCCTATCTATCCACCCATCCACCTATCCTATTCATCCATCCACCCACCCACCCACACTATCTATCCACCCATCCACCCACACTATCCATCCACCCTCCCACCCATCCACCCACCAACCTATCCTATTCATCCATCCACCCACCCACCCAATCTACTATCCACCCACTTGCCCACCCTATCTATCCACCCATCCACCCACCCACCCATCCTATTCACCCACCCCCCACCCACACTATCCACCCCCCCACCCACACTATCCACCCAGCCATCCACCCAATCCACCCACACACCAATTCTATCCATCTACCCATCCATTCTACCTATCCACCCACTCACCAGCCATCCATCCATTTATCCATCCTTCCATCCATGCACCCACCCATCCATCATCCATCCCTGCTTCCATCATTTCATCCACACACCCACCCATCCATTCATCCATTCTTGTGTTGGGTGCTCCATCCATGGCATCAGCAGATATGCCCAGGGCAGCATGGCACAGGAACCCCCATGCCCATCATGTAGGTGCTCATGGGCACTTCTGCTCACTCTGGCCGGGGTAGGGGCTGTTGGGCCCATGCTTTGTGAGGTCTTCTCAGAGGGCATCGGCGGTTGTAGCAGGAGCGAGTAGAAGGGAGCCTGGTGTCCCAGGGTGAAAGCAGGGAAGAGCAGCTCCACTGAGTCCGGCTGTGGCCGCAGAGTGGCCCAGCCTGCGGCATCAGGAGAGCCCAGGCCCGTGGCCTCGGGGTCTTGCACTTTATGAAGGGAGCAAGGCAGGGTGTGACAGTAGCTTCGTCCTGAGACCTTGCAAACATACATGTGACTGGCCTCTCGAGGTGGGGAGTGGTGGCCGAGGCCCTGTGATGCTGAGAGCCCACGAGGTCTCAGTGTCGCTGGGGATGGGGAGAAGCCTCAGCCCGGAGCAGGGCTGCATCTGCAGGCCTCTGAGCCTGGCACGGTTTGTGCCTCTGGAGGTGGCTGGACCCCTGCCTGTGTTTCTGTTTTCCTAGATGAGGAGTTTGGGCTCTCGCTGGCTAGTGAGGCTGAGTAGTGATGGTGTCAGAAGCCAGGGCCCAGGTATTTCTTGAACCATCCATTCCAGAACAACTTCTCACGGCAGTGCAACCCCTACAACACACCTTCCCTTCTCCTGCACCCTGAGTGGGAGACGCTGAAATCACCCTAGAGCACAGGAGTGCATGAGAACCCAGGGGTACCGGGGGCCCACCTTGACACCATGTGGTATTCAGGGTCAGAAGCTCCCAAAGTTACCCTGATTGCTCTATCCCCAAAATATTTATGTAGCCACGTTTCAGTGACCCGGAGGAGAGGGATACCTAGGACAGGGAGTGGCTGTTTCACATGGGGGGCAGGCCCTGGGCACCTCGGAGGGCCTGGCCGGGCACCTGCCTATGTTGCAGAAAAGCATCTGCCCCAGACGCTTGTTAGAAAACAGCAAGGCAGGCTCCATTCCAGACACTTGCAGTGGGGAGAGATTGCACTCAGCTCCACTACAGCACGGGGCGCTGGGGATTTCTGGAGTGAAGGAGTGGACAGAAACTACTCAGGGGAGCTGGGCTTGGTGTCGGGAGGAGGAAGAGGGGCTGGAGCAGACATGGAGGGGATCTCAGCTGGCCGAGGTTGAGGCTCTGCCAAGAAGAGGGCTCGGAGGAGCCTGACCAAAGTTACACCATGGAGGGAGTCCTTGTCACCTGCCGTGGTACGACACTGTGGATATTTGGAGAATGGCGCAGCTGTAGGAGGATTCCCGGAGGAGGTGGTATCGATGCGGGACAGCCCACGCTGCAGGCTCAGCTTGTGTGGCCGCCTCTGCCAGCAGACAGGCCCCTCGCCCTGACTCAGTGTGTTGGCTGCCTCTTTGGAGTCCTGTTGACAGGTGTGAACAGGTCCCCTGGAGGTCTCGGCTGTGTGGACAGGGCCACCTTCCCACCTGGGACTGCCCGTGACAGCCAAGCACACTACTGGGCGGGCAGGGACCCAATGCTCGCTTCCTTGTTCTGTGGACACTTCGCTCCATTCACAGCGTGGTTTTCCTCCCCAGAAGCTCTTAACTCCAGACGGCCCTCTCCATCTCTCTGTAATTACCCAGAAGAGGGCGAGCTCGGCCCTGCAGCAATGTGTTCTGTGGGCTGCAGGGGGTGGCGGCGGTGAGCACAAACTCCAGCTGTCACCTTCGACCTTGCAGGATGCCCTGACGGCGGTGGGATGGATGAGCATGGTTTCGCCAGCAGCCGCAGCCTGTTGCGTGGCCCTGCGCGGTGACCTGTGGGACGGGACGTGCCGCGTGGCCCTGCGCGGTGACCTGTGGGACGGGACGTGTCGCGTGGCCCTGCGCGGTGACCTGTGGGACGGGACATGTCGCGTGGCCCTGCGTGGTGACCTGTGGGACGGGACGTGTCGCGTGGCCCTGCGCGGTGACCTGTGGGACGGGACGTGTCGCGTGGCCCTGCGCGGTGACCTGTGGGACGGGATGTGCTGCGTGGCCCTGCGCGGTGACCTGTGGGACGGGACGCAGCCCGTGATGTGTTTGTGACGGGTGTCGGTATCACCTTTTGAGCAGGTGTCTTGGCCAGGTCCCTGGCGTGAGTTGGTGGAGGAAGGGGGCGGCTCATCGCTGAGTGCCAGGCTGATGTGAACTTCCCGGGGCTCAGCATCTTTCTTGGAAAGCCTGCAGACAGGTGTGCAGGAGGAAGAGCCAGCAGGCCCAGCACGCCCCATTTAACCGCATCAGAGCCTGGCACGGCGGCCCGAGGCCTCTGCTGGGCTCCTCACGGTGCACGTCAGAAAGCCTATTGCCCTTCGTATTTCCTACAGATACTTTAACAGAACTTGGTCCATTTTCTTGGGGAAAATTTTAGATTTATGGAAAACTTGAAGGCAGTTCAGAACGTTCCCATATACTATGCACCTACTTTTCACCTAATAATTATTAATAGGACATTTTAACATTCATATACACGTTTGTTACAATTAAAGAACTGGCATTGGCTTGTCATCTTCAGCTGAAGTTTTTATGGTATCCAGAATTCCTTAGTTTTGTCCTTTTTCTTTCTGAGATCCCATCCAGGATCCCACGTGGTATTATTAGTTGTCACGTCTCCTAGGACCTCTCCTGGCCCTGACAGTTGCTCAGACTTTCCGTGTTGTTGATGACCCTGACAGTTTTGAGGAGCGAAGTTGGGTATTTTACTAAATGACCTTCTTTTGGAATCTGATGCTTTCCCCATGATTAGAATCGGGCTGTGGGTGTTTGGGAAGAAGATGCCAAAGTGAAGTGCCCTTCTCATCACATCCTATCGGGGCATCCACTGTCATGAGTGTCACATACTTGGCCTTGAGCACCTGCCTGGGGTCGTGTGGGTCAGGTTCCTGCCCTGTGAGGTCGCTCTTTCTCCCATAGGGTGCTCCTTGGAAGAGCATCCCTAGGTGCAGCACTCACTTATGGAGTGGGGGAGGGACAGGCCGCCTCCATGAGGACACATCCACTCTACTTGGATTCTTCAGCGTCGGAGACATGCGTTTTCTCCCCATTTCGTAATCGGTTCAGTCACTCTCACTGTTTATCAGTGTGGACTGATAGATGCGTTTGTCCTTTAGGCTGCGATCCAGGGCTGCTTTATTTACCGGGTTGCCAGGTATGTTAGCTCTGGCCATGGGCGCTCCCCCTGGCACTCGTGGGCTCCGTTGGCACAGCCCATCAGTGACTGTGTGTTTTGAGCTGTTCTTCACTTCTTGGCACCACCAGTGACTCCTGGCTCATCCTGTCTAGCTCCTGTCCTAGTCTCAGAAACAGCCGTTACCCCAGGGAGTGTGGGTTTCTTTCATCACAGAGTACTATTAGAAACCTAGGTCTTGGCCGGGTGTGGTGGCTCACGCCTGTCATCGCAGCACTTTGGGAGGCAGAGGTGGGCGGATCACCTGAGATCAGGAGTTCAAGACCGGCCTGGCCAACGTGGCAAAACCCTGTCTCTACTAACAATACAAAAACAAACAAACAAAAAAACATCAGGGTGTGGTGGCGGGCACCTGTAATCCCAGCCACCTGAGAGGCTGAGGCAGGAGAATTGCTTGAACCCAGGAGGCAGAGGTAGTGGTGAGTCAAGATTGCTTCACTGCACTCCAGCCTGGGAAATAGAGTGAGACCCTGTCTTGAAAAAAAAAAAAGAGAGAGAGAGAGAAACAAAAACCTTGGTCTTGGTGTCCAGCATCCTTGTTGCTAATGGAGTGTCATTCATTGTTTCTCAGCCTTCTTGGCCGACAGAGGGAGGAGATGCATGAATGTGTATGACCCACCAGTCTATTCACAGCCATGAATACACCGTGTGTAACCACCATATCTATGTTGAGGTTAAAGGGGAGTTCACTCGGGCGTCTCCAACTCTGATCACCACCCCGTGGATTATTCTAGCCCCCTCCCGTTGCCTGTCGGTAAACTCCCACTGCAACAGTGAGGAACTGGCCCCCACTGGCCATGCAGCTCACTGTTCAGTTCAAGTATCCGCGTATAGCACTATCGCAATCATGAGTCTGTCCTACGGGAAGCACCTTTATCAACTCATGCACAGTGCTTACGATCAGGTCCTTTTGCTTTCAGTCTTACAGACCTCACCCCTTTCCAGAATCACACCGGGGAGCTCCTTTTCTCCCCAGCTCCCTCAGGGAGGTTATTTCACACATTTACAACACAGATGCTCCTAACGCCAGATAAAAGTCCTGCCTGGAATGCCCAACCTAGTAAATGATATTTTAGATTTGCATAGATTGAAGTTCACTCTTTAGTGGAATTGTGGGGGTTTTGGCAAATGCATGACGCTGTGTGTTCACCATCACAGCATCCTACAGAATAGTTTCTCTGCCCTAAAAATACCCTGGGTCCAACTATTCATTCCTCTTTCCCCGCCAGAAACCCCAGCAACCATTGATCCTTTGACTTTCTCTGTAGTTTTATCTTTTCCAGAGTGTCATGGAGTCGGATTCATAGTGCATGCAGCCGTCTCAGACTGACCTTTTGCCCTCAGCAGTAAGCGTTTAAGGTTTCCATGTGTCTCTTGTGGCTTGGCAGCATCTTGTTATCCCCGAGTAAGATTCCACTTATATGAACGTGACCACCTTTTGTTTATCCATTCACCTGTTGAAAAGTTTCTTGGTTGCTTCCAGTTTGGGGTGATTTTGAATAAGGCAGCTATAAACATTCACACGCAGCTTTCTGTGTGGGCAGAAGTTTTCAAATCGATTGGCTAAGTACCTAGGAGTGTGATTTTGGGATCGTATGGTAAGAGTATGTTCTGCCTTGTAAGACGCTGCCAAGCTGTCTTCCAAAGTGGCTGCATTATATCGGACCCCCGCCGGCCGTGAAGGAGCGTTCCTGTTGTGCCATATCCTTGCCAGCATTAGGTATTTTTTGATTTTTGGAATTGAGCCATTCTGGGAGGTGTATGGCCGTTACCTCCTTATTTCAATTTGAAGTGTCCTGATGGCAGATGATGTTGAGCAACTTTTCATATGCATATTTGCCATTTTTTTGGTGAAGTGTTCATTCAGATCCTTTGCCCATGTTTTAATTGGGTCGTCTGTGCTCGTATTGTTCAGCTTAAAGGTTTCCTTGTGTGCCCTCCAGATAACAATTCTTCATCGCATTTGTGTTTGCAAATAACATCTCTCTGTCTGCGGTTTGTCTTTTCATCCTCTTCACAGTGTCTTTGCAGAGCAGATGTTTGTAATGTTAGTAAAATCTAATTTATCAAATGGTTTTCTTTCATAGAGTATGCATTTGATGCTTATCTAAAAGCTCATCACCCAATTCAAGGCTCCATAGATTTTTCTCCTGTGTTTATTTCTACAAGTTTCATATTATTGTGTTTCGTCTTTAGGTCTCAGGTCCACTTTGAAGTGGTTTTTGTGAAAGTGTGAGGTTGGCGTTTAGATACCATTTTTCCTTTTTGCCTGTGGACCTTCCAGCTGCTCCAGCCCCGTGCTGAGACCTCCTGTCCTCCGTGGGATTGCCGGTCTTGTGGGTTTGTGTGGGCTCCGTGGATGTTGGAAGGATGGCCGCGGGGCCCCTTTCCTTCACTGTGGCAGCAGCCCCTCCTGGTGATCCTGCAGCTTCCTCTGTTTCCTGTAATCTGCCGGGATACACACCAAGGCCAGAAGACATGATTTCCACTCGGCTTGGCATTGGCACCACGTATGTGTGTCTAAAGAAGGTTAAGCAGAAGAAACCTGATAATAGTTGAATTTTTCTGGAAGTTCAGTCTTTTCTGTACCATCCTGGACCTCCCAAGTTGGCTCCTCCCAAGACAGGAAAGTCTGCAGTAAGAGTCTTGGTACAGTGAAGGATGTGTTGTCTCCGTCACTGTCCCCGGAGCCAGCACGTGCCCGGCAGCTGCAGGTCTGGGGGTGGCGGGGGAGGCAGCCCCACAGGCGCCGAGGATGGAGAAATGCGTCAGCACCCAGAGGGCGCCGCGTGCAGGCTGGGCCAGTGCCAGGGGTCGCGACAGCGCACGCAAAGAGTGCCTGTGATGCTGCTGGTGGTTTTTGTAAATTGTGACACAGCCCTGCCCCCCCAGGTAGTTCCATCCCGCTGTGCTTGGAGAGCAGGCAGCTGCAGAGAGGCTGAGCAGCTTTCTTAATGGGGGCGAGTAGCAGGATGGAAACTGCAGCCTCTGTCGTGGGAGGCCCACGCTGTTGGACCCAGCAGCCTCCTTTCTTGGCTCATCCAAAATGAGACACTCACACCCTAGGTGCAGCTGAGGCAGGACCCTCTGTGTCTGTCCCTGACCCACGCCTGGGCTGATGTGGAGGCTGCAGGGAGTAAGGGCCTCAGGGCCATGGCCAGGACGAGGGGGAGGGAGGCACAGGCCTGGCCTGGGCACTGAGGCTGCCCGTGGAGTCCGTGTTAGGCTGACCTCAGCAACACATGCCAGCAAGGACGGGGGGTTGCATATTCTCCAGATGCTCCCAGGTGACCCGGCAGGCAGGTGTGTGCACTTACCTTACTCCCACCATCCAGGCGGGGAAATGGAGGCTCAGTGTGGGGGAACCTTGCCCGGAGCGGAGGATGCGATCCTGGTCAGGCTGGGACCTGCTGTCTCTGCAAGCCAGGCTGGGGTGGGCACAGGACGTGACTCTGCCGGCTCTGTGAGGTCTGGCCTGAGGCTCTGGTGGGTCCTTGGGGTTGAGGTGGACTTGGGAGGTGACGCAGCTGGCAGGAGGGCTGTTTCAGGGCATTTGGCAGCACAGGCTACCATGTTCCACTTCTCCACAGGCCCAGGCCAGGCGCGTGGGGACATGGGGAGGCTGGCTGCTGCCCCACGGGACCCAGCTTGTGGGGGTGTCAGAGGAGCCCCTGCCTTGGCACACCCTCCGTGCCAGTCCCAGCCCCTCCTGCTTCCTGGTCATCGCCCCCTTTGCCTCTGGAGTGTGGCCTTCTGCCCTCCCCTGCTGGGGTCCTGCAGGTTCCAGGCCCAGAAGATCTCTCCTGTTCAGATCATGTCGCCGATCACAGCTTCCTCTGCAGGTACCCAGGTGCCCTGTGCCTGGCTTTTCTCCCAGGTGGGATGCCAGGTCTGCTAAGGAGGGCATAGACGGGTTTGCTCCCTGTGCAGCCCCAGGGGCCTTCGCCACCCCCTCCAGGAGAGGCGATGCTTGGACCTGGTGAGCTCCCAGATGTGCTGTTGAGCTGGACGAGCTTGGAGAAGCAGAGCTGCCATGCTCTGTGTCCCTCTGGAGCCAGAGACAGGGCATGGCTGCCCCCGGGAGGATTTTAGGCCCCTTCGTAGGGTGTTTCTCCTTAAGACAAATAGCCACTGCTGCAAACAGCTCCGCGGCCACCAACAGTTATGGGAAGTATCAGACACATCGGCGTGTTTGCCAATCCTTACGTGTGCCAGCCTCCTGCAAGGTGGAAGGTGTCAAGTTAATTAGGAGATGGCACCTGGGGCTGTGGGTGGGGGCTGGGAGCTCAGGCGTGCAGTGTGACCAAGAAGTGCAGAGCCGGGCGCCGTTTCCCTTAGACCTGAGTAAAGAGGAGAGGAGTAAAGAGGAGTGTGAGGGCCACAGCACACTCGCAGCTGCCGGGCAGAGGGGAAGCCCTGGCCCCTCCGCAGGCCCTGCCGGCGGCCTCCTGAAGGAAGGGACCCACCAGACGGGTGCTCTGGGGCCCCAGCGGCTCCCCTCGAGGTGGACTCCACTTCAGCAATGCTTGCTTGAGGGCTGGGCCTGCTGGGGTTCTCTGCTTCAGCCCCATCTAGGCCCTCCCACCCTCAGGGCCTGGCCCTGGGCTGACTCTCCCCTGCTTGCTCAGCTCACACGCCCTCTCCCAGGCCTCCCATCCTCCGGCTCAGGAAGGACAGAGGCGGAACAACCCAGCGGCCCCTCCTCGTCCTGGCCTCGGCACCCCGGGGCTTTGGGAATGAGGCACTGTGGAGCACAGCTGAGCCCGTAGCTCTGCCTCCAGGCCCCCCTCCGGATGCCCCACAGTCCACAGCTCCCTGGGCCCCAACCCTCGCTGCTGCTGGCTTTGCTAAGTCCACCTCCTTCCTGTGTCCCCTGTGCCTAGAAACGGTCTGAAAGGCACATGCATCCTCTTAAGATTGGGGTGGGCACATGTTTTAAATACTGGGGAGTCACAGGTTGGGTCACACTGCATGGTCTCCACTAGAGATGGTTTTGCCCCTCAGGGGACATTTGATGATGTCTGGGGACAGCTGTGGTTGTTCCAACGTGGGATGCATGGGACAGTCCCCAGCACAGAGACCCAACTCTATGTCCACATCACCACTGCAGGAAACCCTGGGATGCTTGGGACGGTCCCTAGCACAGAGTCCCAGCTCTGTGTCCACATCGCCTCTGCAGGAAACCCTGGATCACAGCCCCCTGGATGGGAGAGGGCAGATGCCACCCGGCAACGCCGAGTGTCCTCCCGGCAGAGGAGTGCGGGCACCTGGGAAATTGGAGCTGAGCTGGGGTCACGTGCTTTAAAACCTCTTGGGCTCCAGTGTTGGCTGGGGAGCCCCAGATGTCCAGGGATCCCTGGGTCACCCTGTAAGCTGCATAGAGAGCCAGCCCAGAGAAGCCAATCCCAGCCTGGGAGGAACTGACCTGACTGGGGTCGGGGCGGGGGACGAGCAGGTGGAGTGGGAGGCTGCGAATTCTAGATTCTCTAAATAGGGTGCTCTGCTTGCAGAACGGGGGCGGGGGATGAGCAGGTGGAGTGGGAGGCTGCAAATTCCAGATTCTCTAAATAGGGGGCTCTGCTTGCAGAACGCTGCTGGGCATCTCTGGTTGGAGGCGAGCTCGCTGAATGACGTGTCCCCTGTTTGCCCCAAGTTACTCCCTGACCCTGGCACTGACCAGCACATGATGCCTTGTGGGTGGGGTGGGGAAATTCTGAGAGGGGCAGGCGCCCAGAGCTGGTGACAGGCACAGAGAAAAGGAGGCTTGCTCCACTGCTGCCTCGGCCCTGGCTTTGGGGCGTGCGTGGCCTTTATTCATTGCCTTTGTTGAGTCGTCAGCGGCGTGTGATGACCAGGTGTGCGCTGTTGTGTCCACAACTTTCCAGCCTCGCTCGGGCCCAGGGCAGGTGGCCACGCCTTCTTACTACACAGGTTCACGGGATAATTGGTGGGGCCAGGTGGACCCAGTGAGGCGCTAATGATGGAAGTCTGTGCAGTGAGTGCCGCTTCCAGAACAATGACAGCGTCCACGTCTTCACCGCCCTCCATCAGGGGCCGCCTAGAAGCCACACAGGCTGCAGGGCTGGCTACCGGGGCCCTGAATCACGGGGGCGATGAGCCCCAGGCTCCAGGCGCTGGGGAAGGAAGCTGGGCACTCGGCTGTGGGGCTTTTGTTTCTACCTGAAACCAGCCAGCCAGGCCCCCCGAGGAAAAGCAAAGTGAGCCCAAATCTGCCCCCTATACCCAGATACCCAGTGTCCCAGGGGCACCTGCATGGGGGGAGCCCGGCGTGCGTGCTGGCTCTGGGATGCAAGGCCCAGGGTCACCGAGGACAGGGGAACTCGGCGTGTCCTGCAGCCAGGGGCCGGCGCTCTGGAATGCAGCGTGGAGTCCCTGCAGGAACGTTCTGGAGGGGGTGTGGCTCCCCGCCCTGTCCTTTCTAAGGACGGACCTCCTGGGCCAGGCAGAGGCAGAGCTCCTTCGGCTCACCCACTCGGGACGGTCAGGGGACCGGGGCTGGGATGACCTGCCATCTGCTGGGAGAGGCAGGGGGCCCTTGGTGTGCTCCGGGGTCTTGGCCCCTCTGCCAGGCCAGGCCAGGGTGAAGTGGGCAACCTCAGGCTCCCCTGGCAGGAGCTGCAGCCCACCCAGGTGAGCGGTCCCTGGTGGGCAGCCCCACCCAGCCACATGCCTTCCATGAGGGCCACGCTGGACACACGCCTGCCCGGCCTTTCCAGCAGGGACTGACGTAGACAGGCCTCTGCCTGGAAGGGTTCCCTTGGTGTCCTGGTGCCCCGGCACCGGTGCGGCCCGTGCAGGCGCTGAGTGGCTCGCGTGGATATTCCCTGCCAGGCGGCAGCATCCTCACGACTGCTGTGAGTGTCCCCAGGTCTCCAGCTGTGCAGTGTGAGGGAGCTCTTGGACCAGAGCCCCTGCTGCCTCATTACCCAGATGCACAGCCCCGGCGTCACACCGGCCTCCCGAGCCCCGTGTTAACTGCAGAAGAAATTAGCCAGACTCAGGCGCTGGGAGCAGGTAATTAGTTGCTCTTGCCCGACCACAGCTTCGTGGCTGGATCTCACGTTGAGAGGACTTAGGGGGAAATCTGACGCCCTCCAGGTTTCCTGACATTTGCTAGACATCGCGGAATGTAAAGGGTCTGCGTGGCCGTGTGGGAAGGACAGCAGGGGGCCTAGGGGGCAGCTGGGATGCGGCCTGGTCTAAAGGCAACTTCTCAGCTCCTGGCTGTGAACGGGCGATGGGACCCCTGAGCCCCAGCCCCTGTAAAATGCAGACATGCGTGCCCACCTCCCAGGCAGTACGGGTGGCAGGGGTCCAGCCAGACACACGGCTCGGTACAGGGCCTGCAATCCTGTGTTCCTTCATCACGTTGTCACTGAGTGTCATGTGAAAACCAGGAATCCACATTCTCCAGGGCCTAGGCCGGACGTGGTCTTCCTAAAGGTCATCTCCTACCTGGGAGTTGGGAGCGGCTGGGGTGCAGGTGTTTCCTGTGGGCCCAGGGAGACCCCACACATGCAGCTTCCCGGCCACCGTCCTCAACCCTTACCGCCACGGGCCCTGCCTGCCTCCCACCTACCATGGGCCTGCCTGGTGTGGGTTGAGGCTTTTCTGATCCAGTCCAGAGATGGACGGGTGTTAATCCCGCGGGGTGATTTTACACAGTGAGAAACCCAGTCCAGAGGCAGATGGGTGTTAATCCCACAGGGCAGTCTTATAGAGTAAGAAACCAAGGCCACTGTCCTTGCTTTGCCCCGACCCCTTTGGTGCCAAGTTTTGGGGTGGGGTCCAGAGTTACACCCTGAGGTCCACCCTGAAGCCCACTGCGCTGCTGCCTGGCCAGGCTGGGACCTGGATCTCTGAGCTCGGTGCCTGCCACCCTTGCGGGGATACTAGGGTGAAACAAGACGCACAGAACGTGCCGGGCCCTGGAGAGGCTGTGAGCACCCTGGGTGTTGAAGGGTCCCCTTGGCTGGGGAAGCCCCCTCTGGAGGCCGTTCTCTGTGTTGGGCATTGAAGGGCCCTGGCCCTGGGAGGTTTTTCAGTCATGGATGCCTTGGGACCTGGCTGCGGAGGCCCTGACCCCTCCTGACGGGGAGCAGCAGAGGCTGGAGGCCTCCTCGTCATCCCTGCAGAGAGAATTGAAGGCTCCAGGGCGGAGTCTCTGCAGCCCCAGGCGGAGGCTGGGCTGGAGTGAGGTCACTGCTTGGCCTGCAGAGTTGGTGGCAGGCATAGACTACAACACTAGAGACCCCATGGGCCTGCAGCATCCTCAGTTCCACTAGACGGCTGCAGGCGTGCACTTCCTGGGGCTGAGAATGGTGCTCACAGCCGTCCTCAGTCCTGGCCCCTGGCGCCCTGTGGGACAGGAGTTTGGCGAGGATGAGTGAGGGTGGGGCCAGGCCCCATGGAGGCAATTCCCAGGGGCTCCCAGGGGCTGGACCACAGGGTCTCCCAGCAGCCCGAAGAGCCAGGCCGCCCCCACTGGGCAGCAAGGAGGAGGCTGGGCCTCCTGGAGGACTCCAGAGCCGACCTGAACCCCACGACCTTTGCGGGGAATGAACCAGTGAAGGGATGAGGAGGGCACGAATGTCATCTGCCCACCACGGCAGGGAGAGTGTTCCAGCATGGCTGTGGCCTGGGAGACTGGGCAGGTGGTCGTTGCACAGATATTCCTGAATGTTGGAGAGAGGGGGCCAGCGGGCAGGAGCATGGGTGTGTTTGTGGAATGTTCTTGAAACAATACAGCTTATCTTCAGCGGGGCTCACCACCCACGTGCAGGGGCTCTTCTCTCTTCCCCACCTCCCTCTCTCTCGAGCTCCCTGCTTTGCTCTGTGTCTGTCTGTCTGTCTGTCTGTCTGTCTGTCTGTCTGTCTCTCCCTCTCTCTCTCTCTCTCTCCATCTCTCCATGCTTTGCTCTGTATCTCTCTCTTTTCCCTCTCTCTGCATCTTTCTTGGTGCAAATTCCTCCTGAACGGAGCCAAGAAGGGAGGCTTCTCTAGGGAGGGATTGGTGGGGGCGGCTGGGGGTGGCAGTGGGTCCTGGTGCTTCTGTTGTCGTGACCATGTGAGTGCGTTTGTTTAAATGACTTGTGGAAAGTTACATATTAAGTCATCTTTAGTTAAAGTGAAGATGAGGATATGGGAGGAAGCCAGAACGTGGAAACGGTGAAATACTGAGAAATTGAATGTTCATTTATAGTGTTGATTTGATTTCTCAGGGATGTGTGTGCCACTGTGTTTATTTCTCACAATCGTGGGTGAGAAACAGCTCCCTAGGGCCTGGGCGAGGCCCCCACGCTTTCCAGGGGGCAGCTTGTCACTCAGAGGGCCTGGGGTCACAGGGCCTGTTGACGGTGCACTGCCCCCACTGCCCTCAGCTGCCCGGTGCACAGACTCAGCAGGCGAGAAGTCATGGCCAGAGGAGAGTCTCTGTCCCTTTCCTTGACGTTCACTCACTCGCTCACTCACTCACTCACTCACTCATTTATTCACTCACTTATTCAATCATTTACTCATTCACCCACTCATCACTCACCCATCACTCACTCATTGACTAACTCACTTATTCACTCATTCACTCACTTATTCAATCATTTACTCATTCACTCATCACTCACTCATCACTCATTCGTTAACTCACTTATTCACTCATTTATTCACTCACTTATTCAATCATTCACTCATTCACCCACTCATCACTCATTCATTAACTCACTTATTCAGTCACGCACTCATTTATTCACTCATTCACTCCTTTACTCATTCACTCACTCATTCATTAACTCATTTAGTCACTCACTCATTCACTCAATCACTCAATCACTCCTTGACTCCTTTACTCATTTACTCATTCACTCATTCACTTATTCACACATTCAATCATTCACTCAGTCATTCACTGATTTACTCAGTCACTGATTCACCCACTCAGTCACTGATTCACCCACTCACCCACTCATTGACACACTCGGTCATTTACTCAGTCATTCACTCACTCACTCACTCACTGAGTCACTCAGTCAATCACTCAGTCAGTCATTCATTCATTCACCCTCTCATTCATCTACTCATTCACTCTCTCACTCATTCATTCACTCAGTCACTCAGCCACTCATTTAGTCACTCACTCATTCACTGTCTCATGCACTCACGCAATCCTTCCTTCATCTGCCTTTTGCCAGTCATTCATGAAGTGCAGCCCTTGTTGGGCTTGGGGACAGGAAGGAGCCAGCCCATGGGGCATCTGGGAGGAGCTTGCTGCACTCTTTGGTTTGTGTCCACACCAAAGAGGAAAAGCAAGTCTGGCCCAAAGCAGGGTCCCAGGGAGCCATTTTCCTGAGGTAGGGGGGATCCTCTGTCCTGGTCAGGGAGGTGCCCGGGCAGCAGCCCCTACTCCACCATCCTGCCCGGGCTGTTCTGGGCCTGGGGCCTGGGGACGGAGAACGCAGAGCACAGCCGGCCTTGTTCCCGTTGTGGCCTGTTGCATGCAAACAGAGCTCCGTCCACCTAGCACCAGCTGGGGCCAGAGAGCAGGGCCAGCCTGTCCCAAGCCAGCCAGGGCTGGGTCTGAGAGGTTGACGTGTGCTCGGGCAGCACAGTGGGCAGGCGTAGCTGGTGGAGGGCACAGCTGCGAGAAGCAGAGGCCAGGGGCCTGGGGGCAGGCAGCCCCTGAGGCTGGTAGAGGCCTGGGAGGAGCTAGGGCTTCCCAGTCTTCTTCAGGGCAAGCACAGGCTGACCTCCAGCCACTCTGCCTTCCTGGCCGCCTCTAGCAACCGTCTCCCAGTCCCTACCCAGGGGGCCCAGAACCTTCCAGCAGCAGCTCCTCCTCCGTGAGGGTGTCTGTCTTCCCAGGCGTCACTGCGCAGCGCATTTCAGGGGCTCTTGAGCAGCCCCTGCGTGTCTGTCTGGAGCCCTCCATCCCAGCTAAGGGGGGCAGAGTCCCACCAGCACTCCCCCTTTCCTGGGCATTGCACCCATGCTCAGTCCTGGCCTGGTTCCTCCTGTGTCTGCAGGACATATTCCCAGGCCTCTGCAGGTGCAGCCTGGGGACCTGCGAGAGAAGGAAGGGGTTTCTGGGGGTGGCACTGGGCGTTTTTGATTCAGTGTCCCTGAGGAGCCAGTGCAGGGAGCTGAACCACAGACGCTCTGGCTTGGGTCCTGGGGGCTGAGCAGCCCCAGTCATTGTTGTAATCGCAGCCATTGTTGCTTTTTTATTTGTAGTGTCATCTTCTCCACCTGCTTCTGTCGGATTTCACAGGTGGCTCTTGGCACACTTGGCCCAGGCAGAGCTTGGGAGGAGCTGTGGGTCCAGGGCGCCTTCCTCCTCCCTCCCAGCCACCCACACACTTCCTGTGGGCCCTGCCCACGTTTGCAGGTGCACAGGCAGTGGCCAGACGGCCAGGCCGCAGGCAGTTGCTCCCGGCAGTGGTGGGAGCCAGCTGAAGATTCCAGAAGGGCCATGGGAGGGGCTGGCCAGTGGGGACACAGGGAGGTGTTGCCGTCAGCTGGCCAGGTCGCTTCAGTTGATGTTTTCCTGAGATCGTTGACTTTGCTAGCAACACCAACATTATATTTCACAACTATGTGAGTGAGGGCAGCCTGGGCCCGACGCTGGCTGTTCCGTGGGGGAACCGGGCTTCCATGATCTCCTCGCACACATATAATTGCTTCTGTTGAAGTCAGACTGTGATGGAGGAGTTGATTCTGGGATTTAATAACAAACTTGATTTCACTGTAACTTAAATATTGAGACTATGATACTCCATCAGATCTTAAAGAATGCATTTTCTGTGTTTTTAATCCTCATACTAAGTGTCTGTACAATCAGCGATAAGACTAAACATTAGGCACTTAACTTATGAGTCAGAGCAGAGCTACCTGTGTGGGTCGCTCCGAGTGGAGGTGAGGTCTTCTGTTGTGGGCCTGTGTGGATCGCTCCGAGTGGAGGTGAGGCCTTCTGTTGTGGGGAGACGCTCCCTGGAAATTGCTGTTCTGTCCTTGATGGTGCCCCCACTTGTGGCAGGTCCCTGCTGCCTCCGAACCCCAGGAGCCCCCAGGGCTGCTGCTGTGAAGCCTGGAGATGGCTGGGCCTGAGGCCTGCAGCTTGGGGCAGAGCTAGTGTGGGTGTGGGCTGGTGCCCTGGCTGAGCAGGAGTCTGGCATCTTATTCCAGGAGTGACAGGATGGGGCAGCTGTGCCCAAGGAGGACAGCCTCAGTGTAGGGCAGAGTGTAGTCCAGCTGGACGGGACAGGCGCGGGGCCCTGGGAGGCTGAGGCCAGGGCTCTGGACCCTCCTGGCCCCTGCCCCAAGGTATGGGCAGTAGGGGCCCAAGTGAGCAAAGCCGGGCTTGCCAGATGATGTGCCTGGCCAGCTGCAGGGGCCCTGGCTCGGGGCTTCTGGGAGAGTGGAAGGGAGGTGTCTGCAGGTGAGCAGCCTTTCCGAGTCACTGGCTCTGCCCCAACACCTGCTTTGTCAGGGTACAGACACCTGTATGGTGGGCAGGGCTGGGGATGCCTGTGGGGGCCTCTTGAACAGGGCCGTGGCTCCTGGTGCGTGCCTGTGTGTAAGGATCTGTGTGCATGCGTGTACCTCACTAAATGAGTGTGGCGTAGGGGTGCATGTGTGCCTGTGAGGAGTGTGAGCTCATGGTGGCATGTGCACACATGTGCACACATGTGCCCATGGCAGGAAGCCTGGTGTGGCTGGTCTCCGCCCCGGAGCTCTGATGTCTCAGTTCGAAAGCGGTTCCTGCTAACGCCTCCTCGCCTGTCTGCCCTTCTCACCTTGTCTCTTGGCCTCGGTCCACACTGGCTGGCTAGTTTCACCCAAAATAAAAGCGGTAATAATAGTAACATCCTAATTGATGTGCGGAGCCAGCGTTATCGGCAGCAAAGTGCCTTTACCCCTGTGGTCATGAGGCGGCCTTGCCAGCCTGAGCTCTGCCGTTATCCCTGCTGGTCTCGTATCTGTAATGAAATCCCGCACCCTCGCTCAGGTGTGTGGTTTGTGTGTTTCGGGTGTGCGCATCTGTGTGTGCACGTGTGGGGCATGTGGTGTGTCTGGGACGAGGCAGAGTAGAACTCACAGCCTCTGTCCAGCCCAAACCATCGACGTCCCCAACACTTTCACAGCCACTCCCGCCCACCGAGCACAGCCGAGCCATTTCCCACACCCGCAGAAACTCTCCTTGAGGCCTTTCTCCTTCCGGTTTATGAATAGGTCTTCTCCTGTGTAAAGCCTTGAAAACAGAGCCGAGCACAGATTTGGGACCTGGGATCCTGAGGCTGTCCTGCCCGGGGGTCACTGCAGAGGGAGTCTTGTCCTTCTAAACTGACAAGACAGTCGCTGAGGACATAGTGCAAGGGGCGGCCAGGGTATTAGAAACCACACACCTTGAGATTCTCAGTGGCGAAGAGCACTCACCTGCGGGTATCGGGGGCTCAGGGAACACACAGGTGTGTCCTGTCACCACGTCCTGGCAGTGCCAGTCCAGTTGCTGGCGTTGCTCACAACTTCGTCCTTGAGAGCCACTCCTACAAGGCAAATGACTGGTCACAGGGTACACGTGTCTTAGACCCCCGACACTAAGCCCTGGGTCACCACACACAGGCAATACCCCTCCCCTGACACTAAGCCACACATAGGCAACAACCCCCCCCACACACTAAGCCCTGGGCCACACACAGGCAATACCACCCCCCCCCCGACACTAAGCCCTGGGACACCGCACACAGGGGGGACCCCGACACTAAGCCCTGGGACACCGCACACAGGCAGCACCCCTCCCCCGACACTAAGCCCTGGGTCACCGCACACAGGGGGGACCCCAACACTAAGCCCTGGGACACCACACACAGGGGGGACCCCAACACTAAGCCCTGGGACACCACACACAGGCGGGACCCCGACACTAAGCCCTGGGTCACCACACACAGGCAATACCCCTCCCCTGACACTAAGCCACACATAGGCAACAACCCCCCCCACACACTAAGCCCTGGGCCACACACAGGCAATACCACCCCCCTGGACACTAAGCCCTGGGACACTGCACACAGGGGGGACCCCGACACTAAGCCCTGGGACACCACACACAGGCGGGACCCCCCCCATCCCCCGACACTAAGCCCTGGGTCACCGCACACAGGGGGGACCCCGACACTAAGCCCTGGGACACCGCACACAGGCGGGACCCCGACACTAAGCCCTGGGACACCGCACACAGGCGGGACCCCCCCCCATCCCCCGACACTAAGCCCTGGGTCACCGCACACGGGGGGACCCCGACACTAAGCCCTGGGACACCACACACAGGGGGGACCCCGACACTAAGCCCTGGGACACCGCACACAGGCGGGACCCCGACACTAAGCCCAGCTCTTCTTCTGGCCTCACTTCCTCCCAGGCCCCAGCTCAGAGATGGTGCCCATGCAGGTGGGCAGGACAGGCTGAGGACACCCCATTGCCCCACCCGTCACTTGGACACAGGCTGGTGTGTGAGCACTCCCTACGGGAACTCTGGGCGGCCCCACGGCGCCTCCTTTTCTCCCCGTTGGGGACCTGCCCCCGGGCCCCACCTTCCCAGTGGCACTGTGGGTCACCTCGGGCCGCCCCCTGCCCTCAGGCCTGCGGGGCCCCTCAGCTGCACCTTGTTTTTGGTCTGACCAAGCACAGAGCTGACATTCGTGAATGGTAAATGCCACCCTCTTGGTCTGTGCCTGTCAAAGTCATTTTGGATATTCATCCTGTCATCCGTCACATCAGACATCCTCCCAGATCTGTGTCACAGCCTGGCAGGATCACACGGTTTGTGGGTCTGCGCCCCACGGGTGGCAGGAGCTGCTCCAGAGGGCCCAGGCTGAGCTCCAGACACCCTGAGGGCCTGTTTCCCGCCAGGGAGGCCCCAGCCCTGGCCCCTGAGTGGCTCCCTTTGTCACACCTCCTGGAGCCTGGGCCTGATCTATGCCCACCTGAAGCCACATGCAGGTGCCCCCACTGCCCCACCAGCCCCCGCCTAGCACCTGGAAGAAGGGGGTACCGCTTGTCTCCCTGGGTCCAGCCATCTCCCCTGTCAAAACTTGGCTCACTTATAAAAACAGAGTGGCTGGACTTGGACCTGTACCCACCTCTACTCAGTCCACAGCATCCTTCCTGCCATCACCTGCCGGGGTCCTGGAGAGCCAGCAGTCCCCAGGGTCTGGGCAGGGCTCTGGGAATTTTGCCGGATGCTTTCTCCATTGCTCTCCCCCTCATCCACAGGCCCCAAATCGTGACCGCACCCCCCCAACCCCGCCGCCCAAGGCCTGTGGCATCAGCTCTGTGAGCTGTTTCTGTAAAGTTTGTAGGAACCCAGGTGATGATGGTGCTAGCCTGGGTGGGTTGTGGAGGGCGTGCTGCAGCCCCTGAACCCAGTCCAGCCCCTGCCTCGCTGTGCCAGTGCAGCAGATGGGGCCGGCGCCAGGCTCTTCGGCTCTTTGGCTCTGCAGGCCTTAGGCTCCTGGAGGCCACCAGACCACTCCTCAGTTCCTGTCCTGGGACGGTGGAGGCTAGATCTGGCCCTCAGCAGGGCTCCCAGGCAGGTCTACCATGCAGCTCTGCTGGAGGGTGGAGGGTCCCACGCTGCGTGGGAGCTCAGAGCTGGCGTCTGAGTGGGCATGGGGGCATGCCAGCACCCACCGCCCCCTGCATGCCGATGAGGGACATGAATGGGCCCACGGCCTGCGGAAGCTCCTCCAGCCTGTGCGCCCAGTGCAGACACAGCCTGGGCTCCCTTGGCAACCAAGGCTGGCTTATCTCAGCTGTCACGGGGAGTGTGCTTCTAAGGGGGGGCTTCCCCTGGGACGTGGTCTCCCTTTTTGGCTTAGACACAGCCAGCTGGGTGGGCAGGGCAGGGCAGGGCTGGGCTGGGCTGTGGGTGATGAGAGGCGTTTACCCCGGGGCCATTTCTTGCAGAGGCTGGGCGGGGGCTCCTAAGTGTGCAAGCTCCCCCAGCCACATGGCGCACAGATGGTGCCCGGCTCACACCTGGCTCTGCCTGTCAGGGGTCTTCTCTGTATGGCAAGGAGCTAGGCTGCGTCCCTGTTTCAGAGGCCAGGGGACTCTGAATTAGGAAGTGAGTGGTCTGCCCAGGCTCCCCAGTTGGGGAGGTGTTGGTGGGGGTCTGCCCTATGGGACAACTTCTGTCTGAAGCTGAGACCGTGGGGGCACCGTGGCCCTTGTTGGGGCAGTGAGAACAGTGGGGGGCTGTTGGTGGGGGTCTGCCCTACGGGACAGCTTCTGTCTGAAGCTGAGACCGTGGGGGCACCGTGGCCCTTGTTGGGGCAGTGAGAACAGTGGGGGGCTGTTGGTGGGGGTCTGCCCTACGGGACAGCTTCTGCCTGAAGCTGAGACCGTGGGGGCACCGTGGCCCTTGTTGGGGCAGTGAGAACAGTGGGGGGCTGTTGGTGGGGGTCTGCCCTATGGGACAGCTTCTGCCTGAAGCTGAGACCGTGGGGGCACCGTGGCCCCCCTGCCAGGGCAGTGGGAACAGTGGTCCGTGGTCTCTGGTGGTTCCCTGCTGCCTTAGAATGTGCCAGGTGGCCACATTCTTTCCACAGAAGGGGGTCTCTGTGAAATGATGCGTGACAAACACCACCTATGGAAAGGAGGTTTCATATGATCAACCCATATGCAGCCCGACAGAAAGTCAAATTTGGGGATGTGTTCCGGGAGGGGCTGGTCCTGGGGGCTGGAGGGGTGGATTCTTTATTTTTTAAAATCTCTCTCTCTGACTTCCGATTTTTGCCACACGATGATGTCACTGCCTTTCTAAGAAAACTCCCCCAAAGGCAGCTTTGTTCTTTTCCATTCTGATGGTGGCTGCCCCTCCCCACTGCACTCCCTCCCCTCGCACACGATGCCCTCCCCTTCCCCCTGCACGCCCTCCCCTCCACCCCACACGCCCTCCGCTCGCACACAACACCCTCCCTTCCCCCCCGCACACCCTCCCCTCACACACGATGCCGTCCCCTCGCACACGCGTGTGCACACGGCCTCGCTAACTGGGAGCCCTCGGAGGCCCCCGGTCCAGGCCAACCCAGCGGAAAGTCGGTGGGGGGACCTGCAAGGTCCCATGTCCTCTCAGCAGAGGCCACTCCCCAAGCACTCGGCCTGGGCTTTGTGGGAGTTGGCACTGGAGAAGGAATTGTGATTACTTGCTTTATTTTTGAATGTTTTTCCTTCTGGTCTTAAAAGCAATGCAAACTCCTTATTTAAAAACAAAAAAAGATGAGAGAAAAGACAGAAACACCATCCCCTATCTCCAAGAAAAGGCCGGCGCCGTGGGTAGACCAGCAGCACGCTGAGGGGGGCAGCCTGCTGGCATCGTGGGTGGACCAGCAGCATGCTGAGGGGGGCAGCCTGGTGGAGGGGCCTGCACTTTTCTGAGGGGGGCAGCCTGGTGAAGGGGCCTGTGCTTTGCTGAGTGGGGCAGCCCTGTGAAGGGGCCTGTGCTTTGCTGCGTGGGGCAGCCTGGTGGAGCGGCCTGCGCTTTGCTGAGGGTGCCAAGCCCTGTGGGGAGGCCTCGCCACTGTCCCAGCCCTGCCAGAGCCCCAGGGGACCCCAGAACCTCCCAAATGGCCTCCTTCCAGAAGTTGGGCAGGTGCAAAGGGGCGGCCCAGGGGTCCGGGTCTACCCTGTACCTCCAGACAGCAGGGACACCTCCAGGCTATCATGCCCCACAGGCAGCCCTGGTGCGGCCTCCACAGCTCCTGACTCCTGGTGGGCCCGCCCTCCCTTCTGAACCCCCCTTTCTGAGAATGAGGCGATTTTGGAGCTCGTGAGCAGAGGGGCGGTCAGCACTGGATGGCAGCCAAGCATCACCCAGCACTCGGAGCCGGACCACTGAGGACCCTGTCCCTGCAGCCTGGAGACCAGGCCGGCCTGGACCCCTCCCCAAAGGCCTCACAGTGGGCAGAGATTGGGGTGTGTGGGAGTGTACATGCCGTGTGTGTGACTGTGTGGTCTGTGTGTGTGGAGTATGTGGTGTGTGGCCTGCGTGGTCTTTCTGTGTGATATATGCTGACCCATGTGTGTGGGTTGTGTGTGGGCACGTGTTTGGTCAGTGTGTGGTATGTACATTCACATGTGGGGGGTGTGTTTGGTCTGTGTGTGCACGTGTGTGGTGTGTGTGCATGCACACGTGTGTGTGAGTCCTGTGTGGTACACAGGGGGAACAGCTGTGGGAGAGCCAGGGAGCTCCACTCTAGAGCTCCACACACCCTGGCTCTTGGCTGCCCTGGCCCTGTCAGTAGTCCCAGAAGGAGGTTTTGGGGCCACTCAGGTATTGGGCTAAGTGTTCTCATTTGGGGAATGGGACCCTGGGGTTGGGGTGAGTCCTGGGCCAGCCCCTGGCCTGGCAGAGCCCATCCCTGCCTTTGCATCTGCTGCAGGCTCCAGGCATCCACCTGCTGGGGCTGAGCTGGGGGTCGCGACAGCCCAGAAAGACTGAGAGGCACTGCAACCCGGCTGCCATGTGGATCTCAGATGCACGGCCTCCAGCGCCATGGGATAAGAACGTGTACCGTTCAGGCTGCCCGGTGCGTGGCTCGCTGTGGCGATCTGTTACGCAGGAAGCTCCTGCAAGGCCCTGATGCCTCCTCTGGGAAGCTTCCCAGTGGCCGCAGGGCAGAGGTGTAGGGGTGGCCTTGTTTCAGGGCTCAGCACCGTCTCGTCCATGGAGTTTGGTTCGAATTGTGTCCCTGAGGGCTGAGAGTGTTCGGTTGGCCGTGGCTGGTTTGGGGACCGCCTGGGTGAGGGTGACCTGGGATTGGAGACCCTCCAGTGTGCACTTTGGTGTGGCCCTGCCCAGTGCGTGGCACCTGTGCCCCTTACAGAGGAGGAGTCCAGCTAGGAGGGACAACAGCTTGCCCAGGGGCTGGCCATGCCAAAGCCCTGGCCGGTCGGGTAGCACCTGAGGGGTGTGCTGTGTGGTTGGCGGCTTAGTGACTAGGCTCAGCAGCAGGGCTAGCAGGCTTTCTCAGGCTCAGCAGTACCCCAGCACTGCTGTGGCCATCTCCCCATGGCACCAGCTACTGTAGGTGGATGACTCCAGAGCTGCCCCATTTTGGGCCCTGCCCCAAGGAGGCAGCTGGCCCTGGGGTGGCCTGGACACCATGAGTCTCTGCTGGGGCTGATGTCAGAGGGAAGGGTCTGGGGTCAAGGTGGCGGCAACGCAGCCTGGAATAGTGGAGTGGCCCAGAGCCAACCTGCAGAGCTTAACACAGCAGCTGGGGACCATCCTCAGATCACAGTGACTTTCCTTCTGCGTAAATCACAACGTAAGAACGTGTGCTCGGGACCCGTCCAGATGCGTGTTGCCCCACAGCATGGCTTTGACGCAGTAACCGCTGTTATCCAGAGAGAAGCAGCACCTCATCCTCCCGGATGCTCTTTCCTCGTGGTATTTATTCATCCACTTCTTCTCTTGCTCATTTGGTGTCGCCCTTTTCTGGGAGCAGTGTGTAATTTTGTGTGCAATTTGGTAGTGGAAGTCCAAGTTCCCGCCCCACAGCCTTCGGGGAGGGGGCCCCGAGCGGGGGACCAGGGTTTTGCTCATCGTGGGAGGGGCTTGCTGGTGGGGTTGGTTCATAGTCCCAGGGGAGGCCCCTGCTGCCCCAGCATCCTTCCTGTGAACTTATGCCACCCCCTCCCCGCAGCCACGCACCAGCCATGACTCAGCAGGCCCTTATGCACTGGGCTCTGCAGCCTGGCCTGGGGCACCTTGGACAGCTCCATGCCCTGCACCATGGGCAGAAGGAGCTGGGGCAGGCCGGTCTGGTGCCCACTAGAGTCATCCAGTGCCTCCTGGTCACAATCAGACACGGGCACTCCCCAGGGTTGAGGACAGTCTGAGCCGTGTTGGGTGTTGGGATGAGAGAGCTGGGCGGCCTCTCCAAGTTCCTCCAAGCCGCACCCTGCCAGCACATGTGATGTCTGCCCTGGCCAGGGTGCTGGGCTGGGGGACCCAGAGGTGACAGGTGACAAGGCAGGTGCCAGAGGAGGGGCCGTCTAAGGTTATCATAGGAGAAAAAGTGGGATGGATAAGGAAGGGCACCCAGGCTGTAGAAACGGCTGCTGGAGAGCACCCGGGCATTGCCTGCAGGTTCCTCTCTGCAAGGGTGGGATGGCCACCCTTCGTCCCTCACGCACCCACCACGGCTTTCCTCGGAGTCACCTCCCTGCCATCCTGTTGTCCTGAGCCCCCCAGGCAGCCCGCAGACTCTCTGCTGATCCCCACAGGCTGGGAGCCCTGAGTCCGTGCATCTCTGATGCTGCGGCCATCTCCCCCAGCTGGAAGGGGCCCCTGGGGAGGACACCAAATTCTTTTCTAACCGCCGTGGCCCCAGGGCCCTGCACAGAGGAGGGCTTGCAGCAGGCACTCATTACCTACTCAGATGAAGGAGTGAGGCAGCGAGTAAGTAGACATCCAGGTGGTTCCAGGGAGCAGGTGCCCATGTGGAGCTGGATGGCAGGGGACCTGGCACTCACCGTTCAGGGCAGATTTGGGCAGCACTGGCTGAGGGACAAGCTCCATCCTGCCCTGGGGATGCTGGGTTTTCATCTTCACCTGGAGCACGGGCACTGTCTTTATTTGTCAGTGTTAATATTTGGCTGTGATTGGTGGTGGCCATGCTGCGTTTTACCAGCAGAGTGGTATCTTAAATTCCATGGGTTTATTTGCAGGGTAGAACTTCCTGGCTGTTCATCTTCCCGCACCTGAGATGCCTGGGCTGTCGGGCCCTTGCAGAGACAGCCTTCTCCTTGGAATTTAGGGGATGCGGAGGGGGCAGTGAGGAAAGCCAGGGAAATTATTTATGTTGGCACCTTTGGAAGAAATGTGTCCCTTCTCTGTACCACAGGTAATCCCAGAGCCTGACTCTGCCCCCGGGGTCCTTCCTGCTTCCCTCGTGCCCTGTGGGGTATCTGTAATGTGGGGAGCAGAGGTGGTGTGACAAGGGAGATGGGGATGCAGGGTGCTCCTGTGGGAGCCTGTCCACGACACCCATGGGTGGTGGGTGTCTGCAGAGCACATCCATGAAGCTTGTGTGTACCTGTGTCTGCATGGGCACGTGCACCCCTGGGGAGCATGTCCTCATGTGCTGCTGGTGAGCCTGAGACCCCTGGCCTTAGTGTGCTCACACCTGGGTGCCACCCGTGTAAACCTGCGTGCCTGTGGCTCACTCCAGGGGTGTGTTGCGTGCACATCTGTGCCTTGTGTGCGGTCATGTGTGCCTGTTTGCACACACGTACATGCACATATGTGTGTGTGGGCGTGCACCGCGCTGTGGGAGGGCGGAGGAAATCCTGAACCCTTTGGCATCGATGCACACAGTGGTGCCCGCCTGCTCGTTCCTCTGTACCCAGGCAGGCATGGCAGTTCCTCCCTGGCAGCGTGGCTGGTTCCACACAACTTTTGACAAGCCTGAGCGGGGGTCTGACCTATTTTCCGGCTCCAAAGTGCCACACCCTGGGGCCAGTGTGCTGGCACTTGGGGATGGAGACCAAGCACTGTGCCTCGTACAGCCCGGCTTCTCTCCAGCAGGTGCCTGATTGTGTGCAGGGGAGCCAGCTCCCTCCTTGTGATCCGAACCTTTCATTTCCGGGCGTGATAAAGATGGGGCTGTGTTTAATTTCCTGTCTGCCAAGGCAGCACCACCGCCTGAACACCAGGCTGCACACAGGGTGGAGTTCGCCGACTTGACCCAGCTCTGGCTTCCATCGAGCGCTCCTTGCTGGCAGCCTTCGAGGTGCTTTCGGACGCTCCCTCTGAGTGAAGCGGTCTCCCTGCCCTGTGGCCTGGCTGCTGGGGGCCCCTCTGTGGGTGGGCTCTGGGTGGGCTCTGGCTGTGGGGTGTCTGTAACGTGTGGCCGCTCAGTCGCTTCTGCTCCTCTCTGCAGGTCAGCTGGCCGCCGGCACCTGTGAGATTGTGACCTTGGACCGGGACAGCAGCCAGCCTCGGAGGACGATCGCCCGGCAGACCGCCCGCTGTGCGTGTAGAAAGGGGCAGATCGCCGGCACCACGAGAGCCCGGCCCGCCTGTGTGGACGGTAAGCACCCGTGGCCCCAGGACCCCTCCGGGTGCTGAGCGCGGCGTCACCAAAGGTGCCTCTTCCCTGACGCGGCCCCTTACCTGAAGGTCCCCCTAGGCCTCAGCGCATCCTCGGGTCAGGCCCCTGGCTGTTGGCACAGCTGTTCCCATGGATGGTGTGAGCTTGTGGCTTGGGGACTGGCTGGGGTGCAGTCTCCAGTTCCTGGGGGAGTGGTCGGGGAGATGCCGGTGCCCTGCCTTACTTGCCTATGTTTGGGGCTCTCTGGCCCAAGGCTGTGGTTCTCTGATGTTGCCTCTGGGAGAGGAGAAGGACAGCAGAGGGGTCATCTGCAGGATGGCAAGGTCCCCTGGGTGCCGTTCCATCGTCTGCGTGTGGTCTGGCCGAGGCTGCCAGCGGGACCTGGCTCCTTGTCTCTGGGTCTGGCCAGTTCAAGACACTCTCATGCCTAGACTCGGGAGGCCGCAGCTCCGGCCCCCATGGGCTCTGAGCACATGCAGATGAGTGCCTGCTGGCAGCTGGCAGTGACCCCCGGCCCCTAGAAGTCAAGCTTCTGACAAGCTGGGCCGTGGCTGAGGGATGATAGTGTTGCTGAGTGAACACTTGGAAAGGGCACCTGCTATGAGGTGACATGGGGCGGGAGGGGCTGTCCCGGCGTCTGGTGGGAGCCTGTCATCTGGTAGGGAACTCTGCTGTGTCTATGCTGTGCCTGACCATGGGGAGAGAGTGGGCTTGACTAAGACCACTGGTGACCAGCTAAGTTCAGGGGACAGCATGAGACCTGGGAACCCCACAGCCGGGACCTCCCCAAGGCCCAGTGTGTCCCGGGAAGGCATCTGGTGTCAACACCAGCCAAAGGTCACAGGTGGGCATGTAGGCCCGGCATTAAATCCAGGCTGCCTCCCTCCCTTGTGACCAGAGTGGGTAGGGAGACCCCTCCCTGGGGCAGACATGGGGGCTGCCATGGGCCTAGCCAGCAGCAGCCATGTGCCAGTCCAGGCAGCCTTGGGGTGAAGGACCCCACGCAGGGGTATTGGATGCCTTGGTTCTAGGCGCAGCAGCTTGACCACAGCCCAGGAGAGAGTGCAGGGAGGGAGGGTCCCCCGTGGGTGAGATGCGGAGTCCCCTATGTGGGGTCCCTGACGCCACTTCTTGGGGTGGAGAGAAACCAGCATCCCTGAGTGACAGGCGTAGACTTGGGGTTGCCCTCGAGCTGCGGCCCGGTAGGGGCAGAGGCCCTGCAAAGCCAGAAGAAGATAGGGACAGGGGCTGGGCAGGTGGAGTAGGGCCGAGGATATGTAGGGGTGTCGCTGGCCAGTGGCCCCTCCAGTCCTTGGTGGACTTCAGGGCAGCTATATCCGTGGCATCCTGCACTGAAACATGGTTGCGAGCATCTCAGGCCTGGCGCAGTGCTCACTGGCCTTCTGGGGACGCGGTGCAGGGACCTGTGGAGATGTGTCCCATGCTCAGCTGGCCCACCCCATGGATGGCAGGCCCCTGCCAGGCCTCCCAGGGCTGGATTTGGAGTCTGAGTTTCCTGACTCTGGTCAAGGGTCCTTTCCTCCCCCACTCCCCCTGTGGGGGCTCCGGATGCCCAACTTCGGATCCCACCGCCTCTGCCCAGGAGCCTGACGTGGGCAGCCTTGCCCGTGTGCTGTGATTGAGAACACGGGGTCAGGGATAGAGCCTGCTGCTACGTGGGTGCTGGTGAAGGTCCATGGAGAAGGGATGGGGCGTACAGAGACAGGGCCAAGGCATCCTGAGCACTCCACAGAGGGAGGCGGCTGCACTAGGAAAAAGAATGCCCGTATCAGCCAGGCGCAGTAGCTCACGCCTGCAATCCCAGTACTATGGGAGGCTGAGGCAGGTGGATCACGAGGTCAGGAGTTCAGGACCAGCCTGGTCAAGATGGTGAAACCCTGTCTCTACTAAAAATACAAAATTACCCGGGCGTGGTGGTGTGCACCAGCTACTCGGGAGGCTGAGGCAGAGAATTGTTTGAACCCGGGAGGCGGAGGTTGCAGTGAGCCGAGATCACGCCACTGCACTCCAGCCTGGGTGGCAGAGCAAGACTCTGTCTCAAAAAAACAAACAAAAAAAGAATGCTGGTATCACCGGGAGAAAGGTGTTCTAATAGGCCGAGCCCTTGATCCTCCAAAGCCAGATAGACCCCTCTAGGGGTTCTCAGCAGAGTCAGGGCATGGTCAGGAGGAGGAGGGCTGACGGAATCACTGAGCTCCCTCTGGGTGTCTCATTGATGAGCGTGTCCTAAGACTGTGCAGGAACAGGCCAGGCAGTGAGTCTGCCCCAGGGCCCACTACCTGGACCCCTAACCCCTGAGGCCTTTATAGGAAGGGAAGAAGGGGAAGGGGCCGCGGGCTCTTGGCTGAAGGGAGCATGCCTTGCCCAGGTCTCAGTCCGTGCAGCTCTCCTGGTCACAGATGCCCTGTGCACCTGGGGGTTGCGTGCACTGCTCAGGTGGGATACCCAGGAAGAACCGTGGGCCAGGTGGCCTTCCAGCTGAGCCACCTGTCTATCTTCCCTAGACCTAGCAGCCGTATGCCACTGGCCCTCCGGCCACCAGCCCTGAGGGTTTCTGGGAAGCTCTTTGGCACTTGGGAGGGAGAGTGTGGCGCGAGAGGCTGAGCTTGCTGGAGTGGGCTGGAGGAGAGGGGAGCCATCAGAGGCTTCTGGTGCATTTTGAGGACCTGGGGCAGGGAGGAGTGGGCCGCTGGAGCCTTGTTTTTGTCCTTATTAAAAACATCTATCAATTTGCATCTGTAGAAGGCATCTGATTAAACACCAGGTACGCAGGGCCTCAGGGCTGCTCAGTGGCTCTCAGGCCTCGGTTCTACAGAGCTGGATCCTGGGGCGAGCTGGGGCAGAGGCGTGGCGGTCTTCTTCCCAGGGAAGGGGACTGCTTCTCCCACAGCCACAGCCCTCCTGGCTGCCTGTATCTGGAGCCACTGGAACACATGGTGGCCGGGGCGCCTTCTCGGGGACACTGATGCGTCTCAAGACTGGGAGGGGGAGAGCGGTGCCCTGCACGGCCAAGGAGTTCACAGCCAGGCCGTCCTTTCTTCTCATTACTTCCGCCCGCCTATCGGCAGAGTTGGGGTCAAAATTGATTACTAATTGAATCTGGGTCTGCTCATCTGAAACCACATTCACTTTCCTCTCACCAGGAGCCTCCTGGTGCCTCAGGAGCCGGGTCCCAGAGACCCAAATTAAAACCGTACTGTTTTCAAGGGAGGCCAAACAAATTAGTTAGCTTAGTTAGCTTTGCTTCTTTTTGCACAGTGGGCATTTTCCAGGCTGCCATCTAATTTAATTTTTGCTTTTCTATTTTCTTGCTCTGCGTGCATAATAAGTTTCCTCGCATGTGAATTGCATTTGCTGAAGAGAAAACTTGTGCTGTGTTGGGTCGGTGTTGGAATTGAATGTGAGTAGGGTTGAAATCGGGGAGGCACTTGCTGCCCCTACCGCGTTCCGTGACCACAGGCGCTCGGAATGCCGGAGCAAGCCTGACTGTGCTCACTTGTCCATTGGTCGGTTTCTTAATTATTCATACATTTGCTCACTCACTCATCTGTTGAAAGAAGATGGATACCCATGGCAGCAGAAGAGGTGCATGGGGAAGTCAACTCAAAACACCCAATACAGAGAGCCATGCAGTGCTGCAGGTGCGGGAATTCAGACTGGGGCCCCAGAGTGCCATCACTTTTTCCCGCTGGGACCTCAGCAAGGATGCATCCATGAGGGGGCATTTGAATAGGGTATTGAGGGATGATGAGGAGCTCACCAGAAATGCTTCTCTTTGTGAAAAGAGGGGGCCAGTGGTTAGAGAGGAATTCTAGCCTCCAGCCTCCCCGGCCTTGTCTCTGAGCTAAAGCATTTCTGGGTGAACCATGTCCCTGCCTGTACAGGGCAGGGCTGTGAGCCTGTGCACCTGCATGCGAGATCCAACTTACGGAACCATCAGTGAAAGATTCAAACACAAACCAGCCACGCACTGTGGCGCTTTCCATCCTTACACACAGTATCAGCCACCGAGCCTCCCCTCCCCCAGGGCTGCCCTCTGAGGCAGGCACCCAGGTGCGTGATGCCCTGGCGGGCTGGCCAGGCCCTGCTTCTGCTCCTTTCTAGCTGTTTATGCAGACGCGCCAGGTTCCCTTTTCCATCAGCACACACGTGCTGGGTCCCGCAGCCACCACAGCACGGCACTGAGGACTGAGACCCTGTGTCCGAGTCCAGCGCTCACCCAGCCCTTGCCAGGCATGCAGTACCTGGCTGTACCTGGCCAGCCCGCCTCGCTGAAGCAAGGTCTTCCTTTATGAAGAGAGGTGCTGTCTCCCACAAGTTGAGTTCTCCTGAAACTCCTTTCCCAGGAAATCAAAGACTGCAGCCCAGTAGCGGGGGCAGCAGAGGGTGGTGGTTTGTGAGCGGAACTGCCCCAGAGCTGAGCCAGAGGGGTGAAGGGTGGTAGCCTCAAGTCTCGGTCGTGGGCGGGGGCAGTTTTCCCTGGGAGCTTTTGGAGGATGGTAAACTGCAGTCATGGCACAGCGCAGACCCATTGTCAGGGCCGCAGTGGCCACTGGGAGGTGCAGGACAGGCCGGGCTGACTGCCAGGTCTGGGGAGGCTGTGCCCAGGAAGGGGCAGGGCCAGAGGGCCTGGAGGTGGGTGTTGGGTGGAGCCTTATATTCTCCAGGCATGAGGCCTTGCGAGCCACCTGGGTCCTGGGCTGGGAAAAGAGGCAGAAAACAGGCAGGTGGGCACTGCCGGGTTCTGGGCAGAGGTATGGTGGCCAGAGTCTTTGCTTCTCTGTGGTTGGGAGTTTGAGGCAGGCGTGGGACAGCAGAGGCCTTGCCCGCTCTCAGGCAGTGTGGATGGTTGGCAGTAGACGCGCAGCCTTAGGCGGGTGGACGCTGAGGCCGTGGGTTTGGCATCTGTGCTTCACGTGTGGTTTAGAGTCCAGGTGTGAAGAAGAAGGGGCACCACGAGGGGGATCTGTGGTCAGCGTCACCTTCCACCCCACGTCCACAGCCCTGTCCTCATCCTCCAGCAGCAGGTCGGTGCGGGAGGGTGGAGGGTGCCCTGGCCACGTACAGGAGTCTGGAGATGGTCCTGTCCTTGCTGTGGGGATGGGGACCACACTGATGGCAGGGCCATTGGACCCTGGGCTGTGGGTCCTGGCAGTGACTGCAGGAGCCAGGGTAGGAGGGAAGTCACTTCTTCTCTTGCCTTTCCCCGTTGTTGACCGTCATCATGCCTAGCTGCTCATGATGCCCTAGCAATGTGGGGTTTAATTACAGGAGTGCAGGAGCAAAAGCCTTTCGGTTCTGAGAGGCTGGGCACAGCGCGTCATCTCCACCTCGAGGCGCCAACGGGGCCCCCAGGGCCAGCTGAAGGCATGTTGTGGCTGGGACTAGGGTGACGGGAATTTTCCACCAGGAGCGACGTGAATCACCTGCTCTATTGTACGCAAGAGACTGGGAGTGCGCCAAGGTCCCTAAGATGCGGTGTCTGTGGCCGAGTCAGCCTGCATCTACCAGTTGGTGCTCAGCCTGGCCAGGGGTTGGCCCCAGGGTGGCAGCTGGAGAGGCTGTGGCTGGCCCTGCCTGCCCCGTTCATCCCTTCGGCAAGTGGTGGTTGGGATAAGGAAGGCCCTGCTTCCCTACAGTTGTTCATACAACATGGGGACATCTGTTTGACCACAGAGCTCACAGGAGACCGCCTGCTGGCAGTTGGCTGTTCATGGGCAGCCCTTCCTGCGTTGAGCCCTGACCACCCTTGGCAGCCTGGCACCCCGCACTGGCCACCCAGCGCCATCCAGGAGGGGGTCTGGGCCCTCACCAAATCATCGAGGCCCTGATCTGAGGAAGGATAATGAAGCTGTTTTTCAGAGGGGCCCAGACCCCCACGTGGAGCACCGGCTTTGCTCTGGGCTGTTTACTGGGCACCCGCTCCCCTAACAACCTTCCTGAGAAAAGGACTCATGTTCCAGGTACCTTCCAGTACGCGACGGAGACCAGCTGGGTACCTGCCTGCCTCAGGAGGCACCCTCTCCACTGCTTAGGGGCATGGACATGTCGGCTTCCTTCTGGGGGCTCAGGGAGATCCCAGCATTTCTGGAGGCTTCCCGAGGCCATGGGCGACTGGGTGTACAGCCACATCCTCAGCCAGGTTGTGGGTCCTGGCCACCCTGGACCCCTCATGGCTTGGGGTCCGTGCTTTGTGGCACAGAAGCTGTGGGTGCTGGTGTGGCCCTCTGCTTGGCAGGCATTGCCAGCCACTGCATCACGCGACCGTGGTGGGGCTGTCAGGACACATACATCTCCGCGCAGACTGCTGCCACCCGCGGCCTTTTTGTTATGGAACCACTGCTGGGAGAGGGTGGCGTGTTATAAACGCTTGGCAAGCGGAGAGGCGCCTGGGGGCTGTTGGCGACACTTTCTTCCCCAGCACACCCCTCCGTTCCATTCTGCCTGGATCCAGATGGGGTTGGAGATGCCCTGGGATGCGGGCACCATGTCCCTCAGTTCTGAGCATGATTGGTTTGTGAGGAAGATGGTGGGAAGAGACCCTGCCCCCGGTTCCCTAGGACGTGGATGTGAATTGCTTCAGTCCAGAGGATGCAGCCACTTCAGGCCCAGCAGGTGGGCAGGGCAGGGCAGGTGTGTCTGCTGTTGGAGCCACAACTCACAGTGCCCTGGCCAGGGCCACTGTGGTGAAGTTGTTTCAGGGAGGAGCTGACTGCCCGGCCCGACCCATGGCTGTGGCGTGAGGGTACAATGGCAACTGTGCTAAAGGCCAAGCACTTTGCTTCATCAGAGCCCAGTTTTACCAGAAGGGAGCAAGCCAGTCCTTCTCCAGCAAGTTACCCAGCAGTTCCTTCCAGATCTCGGTGCGTTTAATTGTTGGAAAACCACACAGTAGCTGCATGGCTCTCTGACGCCTCTGTAGAGAGATGAGACGGTTGGAGCCAGGGTGTTCTGCTGCTGAGAACATGAAGTTCCTTGAATGTCCCCCTCTGTGAAGCGCCCCCACTCCCAGCTCCAGGGAGCACAGCTCAGGGTGAAGGAGAGGAGACCCCAGCATTCACGGGCACTACGTGAGCGTCACCAGATGGCAGCTGGGGTTGGTAGATAAGTTGCTGATTTTTGAGGTGCTGTGGGGAGTCTCAGGTTGGGAGCACACTGGGAGGTGGCTGAGCAAACATGGGTGCCCGAGCCTCTCCGTGTCCCGTCACGTAGGCACGGCGGCTCTGGAGGGAAGGGGGTGGTCTCCTTGCTCTAGCCTCTCCATGTCCCGTCACGTCGGCACGGTGGCTCTGCAGGGAGGGTCCTGTCCCGTCACGTTGGCGCCGCGGCTCTGGAGGGAAGAGGGCGGTCACCTGGCTCTGCTCCCTCCCTTTCATAAGGGAGGCTCTTTCCCAGGGCTGTGGACACAGGGCCCCTGTGCTGCCAACCAGGAGAGCCAAGAGGAGGAGGAGGAGGAGGCCAGACACCTGGGCTGGGCCTGACCCTGGGCAGACCACCACCCTCCCCTGGGGCTGGGGCGCTGGTGTCCTGGCCCCCTCGAACTCTTGAAGCCTGCCCGTGGAAGGCCCACTGCACGTGGGATGCATCGTCCACGGGCCTACAGGGTTTGGAAGGAGCACGCCTGCTCCACTCGTGCTCCTGCCTTGAACCCACCGTCACTCCTTCCCATGAGGATGGGGACAGCTTATGCCTGCTCCACAAGGCCCCCACTCCGTGTGATTCGGGGACAGAGAGCTGCAGGGTCCTGGGCAATGGGACCCCAGGCTGTGCTGCCCAGGCACGTCCCATCCCTCGTCCTGTTGGGCCCCTCTGCCAAGTGCAGGCCTCCCGGCACTGACTTTCCCATCCGAATCACTCCCAACAAACTTGGGTGGGGTTTTAATTTTTTTTCGAATTCTGTCATTTTTGAGCCGAATGACTCAAATGACTAATAACTGTCTGGCGTGGAGGAAAAGGAAGGGGAGGGCTGGGAGGAGCTCCTGTGTGAATTTGACCTTGATCCAGCACCCACTCTGCAGCCTCCCAGGCAGAAGGCCCCTGATGGAAGCTGGGACAGATGTGGGGAGAGCAGGGGCAAGCAGGGAGCAACCTCCTTATCCCCACAGTCATTTCAGGAGCACTGAGGGCTGGGAGGAGGGGCCGTGGTGGGGCAGCCTAGGCCTATGGGGTCTGCGGGCCCAGAGCTGAGTCAGGCAGCGTGTGGTGGATCTGGTAGTAGCTGGATGCATCAGTGTGGCAATCCAGGAAGGCTTCCTGGAGGAAATGGGCACTGTGTTTAAAGGGGAGGCCACACCCATCTGTCATTGTGTACTGGGCATGGTTGTCATCCAGGATGCCCCAGGGTCCTTCAGCAGCAGGCATGAGTGGGGGTCCACTCCACATCCAGCCCTGCCCAGACCCCCTGGCTGCTCCTGGAGCAAACCGTGTCTGAAGGGGCTGGCAGGATGCAGAGTGGACAGCAGCCCTCACTCTTCTGCGGGAAAAGCTTTTGTGTGCTTCAGTCATTAGAAAAGTGAATGTAAGTCCTTAAGTACTTGGATATTTCTGTCTTGGTCCACTTTGTGATGTTGAGACTGGGTAATTTGTAAAGAAAAGAAATTTATTTTACACTGTTCTGGGGGCTGGGAAGTCCAAAATCAAGGCACTAGCGTGTTCAGTTGTGTGGTGAGGGCTGCATTCTCCAGAGAGGCAGAACGCTCCATCCTCACGTGGTGGAAGGTGGAAGGGCAGAAGGGGGCCAGGCTCCCGCAGTCAAGTCCTTTTACAGCATTATCTCTCCAGGATGGTGGAGCTTTCATGACCTGAACATCGGTCAAAGTGCCCATCTCCCAACACTGCTGCATTGGGGGTTAAGTTTCCAACACGTGAATTTAGGGAACACTTTTAGACCACGGCAATTTAGAAATACGTGAATGTTCTTAACGCAGCTGTGGCCTCAAGCAGGTCCCCTGAGCGCTCTGAGCTGTGGGCAGAGAAGCAGAGGAGGGACAGTGTGGTTGAAGGCACGGTCCTGCCTGGCTTCCTGAAGCCAAACACTGATTCTTTTTTTTTTTTTTTTTTTTTTTTTTTGAGACAGAGTCTCGCTCTGTTACCCAGGCTGGAGTGCAGTGGCGCGATCTCAGCTCACTGCAACCTCCGCCTCCCAGGTTCAAGCAATTCTCTGCCTCAGCCTCCCGAGTAGCAGGGATTACAGGCGCCTGCCACTACACCCGGCTAATTTTTTTTTTGTATTTTTAGTAGAGATGGGGTTTCATCATGTTGGCCAGGCTGGTGTTGAACTCCTGACCTCCTGATCCATCTGCCTCGGTCTCCCAAAGAGCTGCAATTACAGGTGTGAGCCACCACGCCCGGCCGACGCTGATTCTTTTTCAGGGTGTTGCTTGCTCTCTAGAGTCTGCTAGAACCACCCTTGTGGTATACTGGAACTGGCTTGCACCAGATTGCGAGAACCATGGGTTAAATTTTCAGGAAATGTGTGAATTGACTTGTAATACTCCCATTATTAAAAACGAAATTACCATCCTGGCCAACATGGTGAAGCCCCGTCTCTACTAAAAAATACAAAAAATGAGCTGGCTGTGGTGGCAGGTGCCTGTAGTCTTAGCTACTTGGGAGGCTGAGGCAGGAGAATTGCTTGAACCCGGGAGGCGGAGGTTGCAGTGAGCCGAGATCGCGTCACTGAACTCCAGCCTGGTGACAGAGCGAGACTCCATCTCAAAAAAAAAAGAAACAATGAAATTATATAAACTGACCTGTAGATAAATTATACTGAAACCAAAAATATCCACGTGAACACACTAAAAAAAGAAGAGTAAACAATATCTACATCAAGTGGAAGAAAGACAATAATAAAGATCAAAATGGGAATAAAGTAGAATATAGAAAAATAATGAAAATTACCAAAAGTTCTTTTTTTTTTTTTTTTTGAGATGGAGTCTCATTTTTTTTTCTTTTGAGATGGAGTCTCTTTTTTTTTTTTTTTTTTTTTTTTTTGAAGATGGAGTCTCACTCTGTTGCCCAGGCTAGAGTGCAGTGGTGTGATCTCAGCTCTCTGCAACCTCTGCCCTCCCGGGTTCAAGCAGTTCTCTTGCCTCAGCCTCCCAAATAGCTGGGATTACAGGCTTGCACTGCCATGCCCAGCTATTTTTTTTCTTCTATTTATAGTAGAGATGGGGTTTCACTGTGTTGGTGAGTCTGGTCTCAAACTCATGGCCTCAAGTGATCTGCCTGCCTTGGCCTCCCAAAGTTCTGGGATTACAGGTGTGAGCCACTGCCCACCCAGCAGGTTAGTTCTTTCAAAGATAAATGAAATTGACAAATCTCTAGCTAGGCTGATATGAGGGAGTAGAGAGGGATAGAGAAGAAGGAAAGTGAAGGAAGGCTGAAATTACCACATCATAAATAAAAGGGGACATTAGTACCCACCATATGAAATAAAAAGGTTAAAGGGATACTATGAACAATTGTATGCCAATACAGTAGATAGTTTAGATGAAATAAACGCATTCCTAGAAAGACACAAACTTCCAGAACTAACTCTAGAGGAAACAAACAGTTTGAATAGACCTATGTTAAGTAAAAACAAGGAATGAGTTATCAAAACTTCCCAACAAGAAAAGCCCAGGACCAGATGGCTTCACTGGTGAATTGGTCCAAACGCTTAAAGAAAAATTAACACTGGATCTTCTAAAGCTCTTCCAAAAAATAGAAGAATAGGGGCCACTTCTTAACTCACTCTATGAGGTTGGTATTGCCCTAATACCAAAGTATCAGACATCACAAGAAAACTACAGATCTATGGATACGGACATAGATGTCACTTTGGGTTTCGTGCATTCCCACAGTACGCCTCATCCCTGAGGCACGTGTCTCTCCTGCAGCACCACCGTGATGGGGACAGTGACATCCATGCCTGCATCTCCAGCACAGACCTGTGCCCTGAGTATGTAAAGGCGCTCTGTGAATGTCAGTGGGTCCTGATGCCTCCAAATGCCTGGTTGAAGCAGGTTTTCAGGGAGACCCGATGATGAACAAAGCCAGTGAACCAGCAGGCCTGAGCTGGGAGCAGAGAGGGAAGGATGGGGGACGCTGCCGCTCTTGAACCTGAGTGATGCCTTCCAGGTTCTTGATGGTGTTTAAAGTGTCCACTACACCCTGCTAATAATGCCGCTTGCCTCATCTTACATATGTTAATCAGCATCTGAGAATAATCAGCGTCTACAAGAAGAAATATCTTTGAAAAATCTTTGAGGAAATTCTCTCCAGGAAGCCGAGAGCTGAGGGGGCCCAGCATGTGGTGCTGGCGCGGGCCCTGATTGCGGCCATTAGCAGGGACATTCGTGACGTTTCAGGGAAGGGTGCATGGGGTCTGCCTGATGCCAGAGGACCTTGAGCTGCTCCCGTCCACTTCCACCTCCGAAACTCAGCCCCACAAACACTCCTGAGGGCAGGGTGGGTGGGGGAGCAGCGAGGTCTTACGACTGCTGCGTTCCTATTATGGCCCATCTGGGGATTCCGGGGCTCTTCTGAGGAGGACAGAGGCAGGTCCCTTGTCCCGAGCCTGCAGCGTTGCTTGTCCATGGCAGACGCCAGATGGATGTGCACAGCCCATGGGCGCTCAGTTCCGCAGCTCCCTGCCTCTCTGGGTGGAGTCTAAATATGGGTTATTTTTCAGCATCCTGAAAGCCACGCTGCATCTTGCGTGAGTGACGGAGCACCGTGACAGTTGATGCGGCCGGCAGGTTCAGGGCTGGCCTGTCCCAGCTCCTTCCTGAAGGTTATATGGATCACCCCATTCATTGTACAAACACCCACCCAGGGCAGTACTGCTGTCACCTCCTGTTAAAAGCAGGGAAGCTGAGCCCCACAAAGGGTGGAGCTGGCCCCAAGCCCACAGCTGGAGAGTGGGGGCACTGGGTCTTCAGTGCTGCAGAGAACGTCTCTCTTCTGTCCTGGAAATGCCCCTGCTGGCCCAGACCTAGGGCGTCGACGTGTAGAGAGAGAAAGGACCAGGCCTGTGGCCACAGTGTGGCCTCTTGGGCTCCCAGGCAGTCATGGAATAAGGGTTCAGATGGACAGTGCCCTGTGCTGAGGGGTGTGGAGGGAGCAGTGACAAGAGCCTAGAGGAAGGAACCATGGCCTCAGACTGCAGCGTCCAAAGAGGTCGTGTAAGAGGAGGTGACGCCTTTGCCCGTCATTGTCAGGAGCAGGTGCGATTACCGGGCAGGACACCCGGGGACCTTGATGGTCTCTGGGCAGCAGAGTCCGGGGCAAGTCTCCGAGGGCCCTGCTGAGGGCGCAGCGCCTTCTGGACCCCGCGGCGGAGGATCCAGCATTCTTCCTGGCCTGTTGGCTGCAGAGGCGGGACACAGGCAGAGACCCTGCCTCACTCTGGGCCCTCGTCCACCCACAAAGGGACCCAGAATCATAGCCGCAGCCTTGTTGCTCGCTGGGCTTTGAGCAAGTGGAGAATTTTGCTTCAGCCACCATGGTCTGGCCATGGAGCCAGGAGGTCTACGGGGACCGTCTTGTGGAGGGAGGGAGACATTCACAGCCCAGCCCACCGTCCACAGACCAGCCAGGAGGCTGAGTCCAAGACAGGAGGCAGAGAGGCTGGACCTCATGGTCACATTCTCCTCAGGGGGTCCAGATTCTGCCTTCTCAGGGGAACCCAGATTCAGTGGCACAGAGGGACTCAGGCACCACCACAGCAGCTGGGCTGGACGGTGGATGTGGGTGGAGGAGGCTCCAAGTCAGGGAGCCCTTCCGGGAGGAGGCGGTGGCCAAGCTGGGGGTGGGGCATTCTTTGCCCTTGTCCTGCTTTTCTCCCTGTCATCACCCACTTGTTCTCGCCCTGTCCTGGTTTGATGAGGGACCCAGCTGCTGTCCTCTCTGAGCTGTGCTGGGGGTGGCAGCAGGGGCCGGTGCTGGGAAGGCCTCCGTCCCTGGCCTTTTTGGTGGGGCTTGGCCTTTTTGGTGGGGAACAAGGACCAGCAGCCCCACAGCTGGCGCCCTCCACCTCCCTTAGCGCAGGCCCTGCTTTGATGAACATACAGTCCCCATGCTGTCTTTGATGTGATTTGAGATTTCAAACTAAATTAAATAACATAATGAAAAAGCCAGGGACATTTTGAAAGAAAATTTTATTTTGATCTTGGAGATGCTTTGATCATGTGACTTGGAGGGGGGTGAGTGGGGTTGCCTCCCTGTTCCTCCCCTGCTCCGGGTGTGGGGCGGGGACGGCTCTGGGCCATGTTTGGGGCCTGTCTGGATGCCGAGTCATCTTCAGGTTCCCAGACTCCAGTTCACCCTTCTAGGGGGCTGGGTATTCTCTCAAGGGCTGTCCCCCCAAAAAAACCCCAGGCTCCCATATTGCAAATCCTCTAAACTCATTGTCTTCGGACACGCTGTGCCCTCACTGTCCCATCTCCCAGTGCCTGGCAAGGAAGTTGTTGTTTGCTGACGATGGTTGGATGGGGCCTGGACTCTGGAGCAGAAGTGGCGCTTGAGCACAGTTGCTGTTTGCTGACGGTGGCTGGATGTGGCTCGGACTCTTTGGAGCAGAAGTGGCGCTTGCGCACATCTCGAGTATGTTTGTGGTGTGAACATTTTCTTTATTTCATTTTTTTATGGGGCTGTGTTGCCATCAAGAGGTCCAGACCCTTCTAGAAATCTTGGACAGGTTGTAAGAATGAACTTAAAAACTCTTTACACAGAATTTTCCCCTAGAGACAATTCTTTCCAGCCGATAAAATGCCCGGCAGCCCCCTTAGCCGCAAAATGCTGTGGCGTTGGAGCTGATGTTCCTGTTTTCAGGAGAACAGCTGCATGTCCCAGGCGAATTCATCTCAGCACCTCGTGGAGGCAGATGACTGGAGCTGCGGAGGGTGTGCTGGGATCGCCCCACTGGGCTCCGCCCTGGCTCTGCACCTTACCAGCTGTGCAACGACACAGCGCGTGGCCCTCTCCCAGGCCGGGGTCTCTCTTCTGTCAGCAGAAGTGAGGAGGCTCCTCACCTTCTGGGTGGGTTTTGGGGGTCAGGAGGTGAAGGGAGCAGACACTCTCAGAGCTCCTGGCCCTGGGAGCACCCCGATCCGTGCCTACAGCTGCTCTTACAGTCTCGGAGACCCAGGGCCGGCTGCTGGAATCTCAGAGTTAGGGTCGTGTCTCTTCGGGGGAAACTCTGACGCAGGAGCAGGCACAGTGAATACAGTCAGAGCTCATTCATTCCAGCTCCACTATTATGGAGCCCAGGACAGTGTGGGGTCTCCAGGCCCCAGGTGACCTTTGTAGGAACAAAGGTTTGCTGAGCAAATCATGAGAGCACGTACGGGGTGTGTGTCCAAATCGTCTGGACCCCTGTGTAGTCCACACTGCAGTTGGGGTCACTGGCGTACTGCTGGCCCTACGGTCAGGGTCTGTGGCCACCTGGCACAGTGTCCCACCAGAGCGCAGAGAGGGACATTCCCCATGCCCCACCCTCGGCCCCGAGCCGCCTCGGGCACGTCTTGCCTGCTGGAACCTTGCCCCAGCCCTCTCTCCTTGTGCCCTTCCCACGTTTACAGAAGAAGGCTGGGCTGAATGGTGTGCAGGCCTCGAACCCCGGCCGCAGAACTCGCCCCGATGAGGGGAAACTGGAGGCTCTTTCCTCCTGACCATGCATGATGAGCCGGTGCCCCGAGGGTTTGTCTGCGTCTTTCCAAAGACACCTTATGGCGTGTTTCCAGTCAGTAGTCAGACATTCTGCTCATCTCCCTGGGTTCAGAGCCTGCTGGACACTGATCAGTGCCCAGGCCTGGTCCCGCCCTATGGGGACAGTGCAGCAGGGAACAGAGAGGGGGCAGCGTATGGCAGTGGGTGCCAGATTTGGAGGAGATGCCGGGGGCTCGTTCCCCCACCCTCCTGGACAGCGTCCTCCTCCCTGCACATCCTTGTGAGTAATGCTCTGGGAACCTCCGGGCTCTGGAGACACAGTGGGATGGAAAAGGCCAATAAAAGACAAATACACAAGTCTGCAGAAATGAACTGGGGGCCTGGGAGCCTGGGAGCCTGCAGAGACATCCACAGGGGTGATGGTGACTGGGGGCTCATTGGGGTGCCCACTTTGGGGAGATGGTGACTGGGGGGCTCATTGGGGTGCCCACTTTGGGGAGATGGTGACTGGGGGCTCATTGGGGTGCCCACTTTGGGGAGATGGTGACTGGGGGCTCATTGGGGTGCCTACTTTGGGGAGATGGTGACTGGGGGCTCATTGGGGTGCCCACTTTGGGAAGCTGGTGTTGTGGCTGATACCTGCAAATCCAGAAGGCTCTGGCCTTGTGAATACCTGGAAGCCAGCTCCAGGTGGACGTGGGGCTGGGGCTCGGCCTGGGTGGTGAGGATGTGCCTGGTGCCTGTGGGGACAGCGGGAGGAGCTCACAGGAACATGGCGGGAGCACAAGGCTTGGAGGTTGGCATGGTGCAGGGAGTCAAGGCTGGTCCCTGGGCAGGGGCTCTGCAGGCCAGAGGACATGGTTGATTCAAACCTGCCGGGAGCCTCGGGGGTGCCAGGAAGGTGACGGATCACTCTGATGGCCTTCTACAAAAATCTCTCTGCTGCTCTCTGGACCATAAGTTCAGGGCAGCAAGAGGAGTCTGCAGAGGTCAGGCTGGGCAGAAAGTGGCAGTGACTGTGGTCGCGTGGGGAAGTGTGTGATGGGGGTGATTCAAGGGCCCAGGCGGTGGGGCTCCAGTAGAGGTGTGAGACCGTGTGGAGGGCAGAGCTGAACCCAGGCCTGGGTGTATGTGCAGCGATGCTCTGTGTCCACCCCAGGAGGCCCCAGGCACACGTGGAGCATCTGTTCTGCCCCCCGGCTGGTGCGAGCTCACCGGAGCAGGTGTCCAGCAGGCACGGAGTGAGAGACACAGGCTGGGAGCAGGTCAGACTGGCAAGCCTGCTTGGGTGTGGGAGTGTTGAGGTCACCAGGGAAACTGAGGCGGCAGCTGAGGACACAGGGCCCTAGGCGATGGGCACCCACTAGCCCACAGAGGGGCCATCCTGGCCTACCCGCTGTCGCAGCTGCAATGGTGGCCTCCCCCAATCCTTGCCCTCCCTATGAGGCTGCCTGTGGAAGGAAGCAGACCTCCCACGCAGGGAGCCCGAGAGGTGAATAAAGGTCTCCTTTAATCATTCAGACCACTCGGCAGATCTGGCAGCTCATGCCTCCCACAGGAGCAGAGCCTGACTGATGGGAGCGGGAGCTGCAGGAGGGACGTGGGGATGCTTGGGATGCTCCGGGACGCAGGGTGGCTGGATGAGCAGGGTGCTGGGCCCCTGGGTGTCTTAGCTGCGGTTTTCTTTGGCTTTAACTTTTTGTCATTTTTAAGTGTCTCTGGCTCATTTTAGAGCCAGGTGACTTAACAAAGGTTTCATTTACCATTGGGAAGGGAAGGATATTTCTAATCTGAGTTATGGACATGTCAACGGGGTGCTGCTTCTCAAGGTCAAGCCAGACCCTGCAGTTGGGGGCACTAGAGTGGGCTGAGGGGCCACATTGGGGTTAAGTGGCCTGCATCTTTATAGGTCCTGTGCCTCACTGCCAAAGTCACCTTGGACCAGTCACCTTCCCACTGGTGACGAGGGGAGACGCAACTGTAGGCAAAGGGCAAAGTGCAGCAGCCGGCACACGGTGACTTAGGGCCTTTGCAAGCATGATTTTACCCAGCTGACTCTGTCTCTATCACCACCTGGTGGCAGGAAACTAAAATTGCAGGCATACTTGTTCAGAGGTAAGCACACAGCATTGCTTTCTGTGGTTTCAGTTACCCATGGTCAAAGGTAGTCCAAAAATATTAAATAGAAATTTCCAGAAATAAGTAATTTGTAAGTTTTAAATTGCACGTCATTCTGAGTAGCATGACAAAAATTTTGCGCCATTCCACTTTGTCCCATCCGGTCCATGAACCCTCCCTTTTCCTGGCATATTCACACTGTCCAAGTCAGCTGCCTATTAGTCACTAAGTAGCCGTCTTGGTTATCAGACGGACTGTCGTGGCATCATAGTACTTGTGTTCAAGACACCCTTATTTTTCTTAATAATGGCCCCAAAGTGCAAGAGCACGGGTGATGCTGGCAATTCAGATATGCCAGAAAGAAGCCGTGAAGTGCTTCCTTTAAGTGAAAAGATGAGAATTCTCAACTTCATAAGGAAAGGAAAAAAATCACATGCTGAGGTTGCTAAGATCTACAGTAAAAAATCTTCTATCCATGAAGGAAACAGACCTCATGCTGGCTTTGCTGTTGCACCCCAGACTGCAAAAGTTATGGCCACGGTGTATAAAAAGTGCATAGTTAAGATGGAAAAGGCGTTCAGTTTGTGGATGGAATACATGAACAGAAATGGATTTTGATTGATGGCAGCTGGGTTTGGTACTCTCTGCCGTTCCAGTCAGCCACTGGTGGTCTGGGGGTGTATCACTTGTGAATAATGGGGGGCTGCTGCATCTCCTTTGAATGTTGCCTCTGATGCCTGAATGATGTAAGGAAAGTCCCCCAGACCTTGGCTCAGTAAATGTAGTCGTGTCTCGTGAAATGATCTTCCCTCATCATCAGGCCATCTTTGATGACCCTTGTGAAACGACGTCTGTACAATTCTATTGGTTTACAAAATATGCGTGTAGACATATTCTGAAGAGATTGCTTGATCTTAAATTGGGCTTAGAAGCCCAAAATAGGTGACTATTCTTTTTTAAAGTGTAACTTAAAAAAATATTTCATTGACACATCTATACAGGCAAATTGGAAATTGTAAGTGCAAACCTTGATCTCACCCCTCCTGGCCCGATCTCACCCCTCCCCTTGGCTCACCAGAGCCCTAACTTCTGTCACTGCAGGTTTGCCTGTTTCAGAACCTCCCATCAACGGAAGCAGGGAGTAGGCCTCATTTTTGGACTTGGATCCTTTCCCTCGTTACGTCTGTGAGAGCCGCCCGTGCTGTCATGTGTGGTGACAATCTGATACTCTCATTGCTGTATAAAATGTCCCTGTACCGCCATCTATCTGTCTGTGCCAAGGACGGTAGACGTACAGGCTCTTTTGAATTTTTAGTCATTCTGCGTGATGCTGCTGTGAACATACTTGGTGCACGTCTCCGAGTGGCTGTGTCCACTGACTTATCTCCAGCATTCGCCTTGGAGTGGCAGGGCTGTGACCTAGCCACGGTAGGCCCTGCAGAGTGTTTCTCAAAGCGATTGTATCATGTCACGTGCCATCAGCAGTCCATGAATGTTCTGTGTGCGTCATGGTCCCTCCAGCACCGGCGATGGTCAGTGTGTTTAATTTCAGCCATTTTGCTGAGCCTACGGTGTTTCGTGGACTTGGTTTTTTCTGCTGCGTCAAGATCCTGGGCATGACTCTACAGCCGTCTGGAGTGGCCCAATAGCTGCTTTTTATGAAGTGTTCATTTGCGTCTTCCACTCATGTTTATTGAGTTGCTGGTCCTTTTGTTAAATAATTTGCAGGAGCTCTTCCTATATGCTCCATTCAAGCCTGTGTTTATTCTGTGGCTGGCCTTCTTATTTGCTTAATGGTACATTTTGATGAGCAGAAATTCTTAATGTTAGCTAAGTCGAATTGATTCATCTTTTCCCTTCCAGGTCGTGTGTTTTGCATTCTGTGTGGGAAACGTCATCTTACCCCAAAGCCGTGAGACGTTCTCTCGCGTTCTTGTCCCAGCTTTCCAGCCTTACATCACACAGTTGGGTCTACCAGCCGTTTCTGATTAAGTTCCATGTGGTATGAGATGGATCTCAAGGCACATTTTTTTTCTCTGCACATGGAGACCCGACAGATCCAACATCATTTATTGAAAAGTTCTAGCCTTTCACTCATAATGGTTTTATGTAAAGTTCTGAAACACTTTAGAGAGACAGAATGGAAGACTGGGTCTCATCCCTGAATATATTATATCTAATTAGCTAATTATCTTTTATGTCTCATCCGCTGAAAGCCGGAGCTGAGATCACACGCAGATTCCTATCTAGCGGCAGGCGCCCTCCCGAGAACGCTAACGAACCAGGGCCCTCTCTGTTTTCCTTTTCCCTGGGCCGCCTGCTTGAACATCGCAGGGTGGGATTCGCAGTGGGGAGGTAGATAGCTGCTCCCCACCTGCCCCCAACGCCCCCATCGCCCCCACCCTGCATCCAGCCTAGCCCTGGCCTCCTACCCCTCCCATGGGAACGAGGGGCCTGGCCTGGCTCCAGGAGGGTGGGGACTGGGAGAGGTCCCCGGCCTGGTGGTCTTTCTAATGGCCTGACTGGCAGAAGAGGGGCCTGGTGTGATACTCAGCATTGCAGAGGCCACTGTGTGCCCTGGGTCCCCAGAGGGGAGCTGAGCTGACCCTGCAGATGGTCGGGGAGGTTCAAATATGATCGCAGCCAGGAGTAGTTCTGGGGCCATGTCTTCCCCTCTGCACTCAGAGGGGAAATGCCAGCTATTATCCCAGCCGAGAAATGAGCCATGGGGCTTGTTCTACAGTGTCTGATGGCCATGGAGGTGTTTTTGTCTGTGACTTCTTAAGTTCGTACACTTTACTTTTTTTATAGAAGGTTTAGGTTTACAGAAAGAGAGCAGGAAGCAGAGGGTGTCCACAGCTCCCTCCCACCACAGGACACCATCACTGGACTCTCTTATTGGCAAGGTCCACTGGTTACAATTGATGAGCCAATACTGAGGCCCATGACCAGGCGTTACTGAGGCCCGTGACCAGGCAATACTGAGACCCGTGACCAGTCAGTACGGAGGCCCGTGACCTGGTGATACTGAGTGACCAGCCAGCATCCACAGTGTACACTGCCATTCCCTCTTGGTGTGGACATGTCATGGGCTTTGGTAAATATGCAGTGCCAGGAATCCCCGTGACAGCGTCACACCGGCTAGTTCCACTGCCCTGAAACCCCTTGTCGGAGCGGGTTTCACATGCCCCAGCTCCTGGGGATGGTGACATCAGCAGGCCTCCCTCCAGCCTGCTGGGAGACACAGGCACCGCATGTCTGCTGTGTGGGCTGTGGGGAGCATTCCATCCGGAGCCCAGGAGGTAGAGGGTGGCCGACTGTCTCAGCCTCCTTCATCCCCATGGTGCTGAGTGGTTGGAGGGAGGAGGAGGGACTGAGGGAGTGGGCGTCCAGAGAGTCACCCAAGCACCCCAGCTGCATAGGTGATTTCCAGAGAAATGTCACCCAGTCCTGTCTGGGGAAGCCCAAACAGGGACAGCCTGGGATTGAGGGGGAGGAGGGCAAGTCGGGTGAGATCCCTACTTGGAGAGGTAGCACCCCGACCCTCACCCCTCCCAGCATGCAGCAGGCCCGTTTCTGCCTGGAGCTTTTCCAGGGGCAGCACAGGGCAGCAGGGATGAGGTCTGCCCATCCGAGCGGCCTGCAGGAGGAGCCTGGAGCCCGCCCGCCCTCCCCAGCCAGCCCCGCACTGCATCTAAGAGCCACGCGCTCCTGGCTTGGGTACCACCTAACGGTGTGATGATTTACCTGTCTGTTCCCTTTCACCCAGGAGAACAGAGCATATTTCAGGGCAGGAATCAGGAGGCAGACCAGGAGGAAGGGAGGAAAGATTGGAAAACTTCTAATAAAATTCCATTTCCTGAAATAGCCGTAACTGTGATATCAATATATCAATATTTGCAGTCTTATCGGTTCTGACATGGGTATTGCGTGTTAGTGAACGTCTTCCACGTGAGTGCCCCTCCCGCCTTCCGTGCCACACTCCCCTGTTGATATTTATTTATCTCGCGGGCTTCGCTGGAATCTTGAGGGTCCTTGAGACTCCGCACTGCGTTATAACTCCTGCCTGGTTAATTCAATTTCTCTTATATTCTGACTCCCCTGGCAAAAATAATCGGCTTCTGGCCACCAGGGCCACAGACTTTCTGTCATGAGCATGGGTCTTCACCGGGAGCGTTAATCCCCCAGCACTCAGGGCCGCGTCTTCACTGGGAGCTGTAATCCCCCAGCACTCAGGACCGCGTCTTCACCGGGAGCGTTAATCCCCCAGCACTCAGGGCCGCGTCTTCACTGGGAGCTGTAATCCCCCAGCACTCAGGACCGCGTCTTCACTGGGAGCTGTAGTCCCCCAGCACTCAGGACCGCGTCTTCACTGGGAGCTGTAATCCCCCAGCACTCAGGACCGCGTCTTCACTGGGAACTGTAATCCCCCAGCACTCAGGGCCGCGTCTTCACTGGGAGCTGTAATCCCCCAGCACTCAGGACCGCGTCTTCACCGGGAGCGTTAATCCCCCAGCACTCAGGGCCGCGTCTTCACTGGGAGCTGTAATCCCCCAGCACTCAGGACCGCGTCTTCACTGGGAGCTGTAGTCCCCCAGCACTCAGGACCGCGTCTTCACTGGGAGCTGTAATCCCCCAGCACTCAGGACCGCGTCTTCACTGGGAACTGTAATCCCCCAGCACTCAGGGCCGCGTCTTCACTGGGAGCTGTAATCCCCCAGCACTCAGGACCGCGTCTTCACTGGGAGTGTTAATCCCCCAGCACTCAGGGCCGCATCTTCACTGGGAGCTGTAGTCCCCCAGCACTCAGGGCCGCGTCTTCACTGGGAGCTGTAATCCCCCAGCACTCGGGGCCGCGTTTTCACTGGGAGCTGTAATCCCCCAGCACTCAGGGCCGCATCTTCACTGGGAGTGTTAATCCCCCAGCACTCAGGGCCGCGTCTTCACTGGGAGCTGTAGTCCCCCAGCACTCAGGGCCGCATCTTCACTGGGAGTGTTAATCCCCCAGCACTCAGGGCCGCGTCTTCACTGGGAGCTGTAGTCCCCCAGCACTCAGGGCCGCATCTTCACTGGGAGTGTTAATCCCCCAGCACTCAGGGCCGCGTCTTCACCGGGAGCTGTAATCCCCCAGCACTCGGGGCCGCGTTTTCACTGGAAACTGTAGTCCCCCAGCACTCGGGGCCGCGTCTTCACTGGGAGCTGTAGTCCCCCAGCACTCAGGGCCACAGGCCGCGATCTTGGGAGGACACCACCTGGCTGGCACCAGGATTAACTTCCCTCCTGGTGGAGGCTGCTGCGGGGGGTCTCAGCGTCAGCTCTGGTGGATTAATGAAGATGAAAGGGCAGGACCAAGCTGTCTGAACGGGCATTGCCATGGTCCCAGTGCTGGCGACCTCCCCAGATTCATGTGTTGAAATCCTCACCCTCGAGGTGATGGTATTTGGGAGGTGAGTAGCTGGTGAGAGGGGAGCCCTCAGGAATGGGATTAATGTCCTTAGAAGAGAGACCCTCCCCACTTCCCCGACGTGAGGACACAACCAGGAGGCACCGTCTGTGAACCAGGAAGCCCCCGCCAGACACCGAATCTGCTGATGCCTTGATCTCAGACTTTCCAGTCCCTGGAACTGGGAGAGAGAAACCCATTGTGTCTAAGCCCCCCAGCGTGTGGTCTGTTGTCTTGGCAGCCTGCGTACACTAAGGCAGGCATTGCTTCATCTCCAAACTCTGAAAAAGGAGAAGGTGGCTGCAGGCCCCAGCCCATGAGCTTCGCCTGCAGGGAAACCCAGAAACCTATCAGGCAAAAGGAGCCCTTGGCCCCGGGGTAGCCCCCTTTCAAGCCCAGCCCACTGCGCCCATGCAGTCCGTGAGGACCCACTTCTAGAAGGTCAGGTGCCCATGTCTCCGCCTCAGTAGGGCTGCATCCCAGGCAGATTTGCCAGCCTCGCCATGGTGAATGAGTGACCCTGAAGTGCCCCACATGACCAGGGAGCACCCTGCCTTTGAGTTTCCAAAATTGGATGCAGCAGGGTCCTTGGAATAATGACGAGAGGATGCCTTCTCCATCTGTCCCAGGTGTGAGTTGGTGGCATAGCCTTTCCTCCCTGAGCCAGGGGGTCTTAAATGACCGAGTCAGGCTCCTGGGGGCAAAGGGGCCATGGGAGGAGCCCCTGTGTCAGGTAAGACGTTTGTCACCAGGCCCACCTGCTTCCCAGCCCCATGTTGCCCACTTGCCTGCAGGAATGAACCATAGCCCAGAGACGTCAGTGCTTTCTGGCCCTCGCATATGAAGGCTATTGCAAAGCTGAGATTGTGATTCCACGTTTCACCAGCCCTAAGGCTGTGCTGCCTCCCGCCTGAGCTGGCTTCTCCATTCAGTTAGCTGGAAATTGAAAATTAAACAAACTGTGACCTCTCCGGGTCCCCAGTCCTGGCTGTTACTGCCCCTCAACTCCCAAGCAGCTTGTCTCAGCCATCCAAGCCTGCGAATCCCTCCTGCGGAAAGAGGAAGGATGATGTCCCAGAGCCAGATGTTCAGCCCTGGCCTCATGTTAGGCGCTTAGATCCTCTCAGAGGACAGCTCTCCGGGCTGTGCGTGTGCTTAGGGGCTGGCCCACACTGCCCCTCATTCTGTAATCGGCTGCTAATGGCCCTGTGCGCCTTGGGAGTCAGCCCTCCTTAATGGTGGTTTTTATGGTAAATAATTGCAGTATTGGATACCATTCCTTTATCTAGGCCACGATTCCTCTGAAGAAGTCATTATGAATTGGCTTACAGGGTTTGGAACGTTCTTTTTAATGAAGGCTCTTGCTGGACCAAGGCGCGGAGGACAGAATGCTTAAGCACACGCTGGAAGGCCAGGCCTGGTGGGCACTGGGTAAACACACCCATGCCAGCCTTTTAGAGGCTAAGCCCATGGCGGGCTGTCAGCTCAGACTCAGGAGAGCTGCCGGCTGGGCTCAGCCCCACTCCCGGCCCCGCACTGAGGCTCTAGAGAGTGAAAATGGGGGCAATCCATCGGTGGAGGTGGGGGAAGCAGGAGCAGTAGCCGCGTGGCCTGGGCAGGGTCGAACCCAAGGTCAAAGCTCCTTGCAGCAGAGACAGGATTTAGGAGCGGCTGGTTAATGACCCGGCAATTTTGCCGTCTCATCAGGATGTAGGAAAATGCTGGGTTGAGGCATTTTGTCATGGCCTGAAGGCGAGAAAGCACCTCCTCAGTTGTGTGAGGGCAATTTTACATGATGGAGACCATCAGGAGCCGTGGCTTACTTTGAGGCAGCTTTATGGGCCTCTGGTGACTCTCTGTACAATAAATAAGGCAGGGAAACACCGTTCCCAAAGCCTGGGACAGTTGGTGCTAACTTATCTGTTTGAATGGAAATCTTAAACCTTGTTAAGTCAAACTGCCATTGCTCATTACCCATAAATTTGGAGGCCAGAGGGAAGCGTCACCCACAGGAATTTATTAGAAAATGCTAGAGGATCTTTTGTATCCCAGGGACACACCAAGATGGGAGGAATAGACTGTGCCGTATGCTCACACTCTTAAATCATGCCTTGGATGTTCAGGTTGCACAGACATGCAGGAAACCTGTGCCCTCCGTGTCCTTAGCTTCCGGCTGAGTTCTCACCCTGCTAAGCTTCCCCAGGAGCTCGAGCCATTCGGGGAAACAGCCAGGAGGACCAGAATGAGCAGGTCTGAGCCGTGAGTCCTCCTCAATGTGCAGGGAGCACCGAACGGAGCCAAGTTGCCCCTGGCCTGGAAGCCCCACCAGCCCTTTCACCTGTCTTTCTCTGCTCAGGGCATTTCTGACATCTGGGGTGCTCTGTTGAGAATCACAGAAATTCTCAGCCGAAAGTGGTGCTGGCTTGCTGAGGCAGGCAGCCTGGGGTACGTTCCACTCTCTGTGGAAAAGTCAGAGTGCTCCCTGCTTTCTTCATCGGTGCTCATCCCAACCAAGCCATCCAGAGTGGTGGTTCCTTCAGAGGCTTGTGTTCTGGGAGCATGACTGTTGGGATGGAACAGTGTCTGGAGAGGAACCTGCCATCCCAGTCAGCGAGCCTGAGTTTAAACCAGACATGAACAGACACATTTATCAGAGAATCCCCTGGCCTCCCAGGGCCTAATGAGACCTTCAGGGCACCTCCAGTCCTGGAAACACAAGCAAACAGTGGCCCCTCTCTGAAAACAGCTCCCTTCTGTGGCTGTCCCTGGTGCCTGTCCCTGGAGAGTCTCTCAACTGTGACTCAGAAATCAGCTCCCTGATGTGTGACCAGGCCCAGGATTGCAGGCAAAGAGAGAAGGTGCATGTTTCCGAGACCCAAACAATATCTGATGAGTGGGGAGTAAGCCCGGGCTGTGAAACTGCATCCTTGGGGTCCAGATCTTGGGTCTTGTACATAGTAGCTATGTGTCTTTGAAGCAATCCCTGAACCTCTCCAAGTCTCAGTTTTCTGGTTTGTAAAGGGTGTTTGTAACACTGCTTCAGGGATCAGAGATGATTTCTGTAAGTGATTGAGATAATTTCATTATATTTACCAAGCTCAGCTGATATTGAGAGATTTTCATCTCGAAGTTTCCTTCTCTGAACTCTGAGTGTCAACAGCCTTTGTTCTTGGCTTGGTTTTTGGACTCCTGATTGTTAAGCCTTAGCCGATGGACTCTGGGGAAGTTGGTTTGTGGGAATCATCATACTTCTGCTGCTTGCATCTGCGTGCAATACAACAGTCCACTTCAATTATCTTCACAACTAGCATCCAACATTTAATGTTTATGGTAGAGAATTTGGACAGTAGAGAAAATTGTAGCCTAAAGAAGAAAATGGAAATAGTTCTTTTATTGCCCTAAGGAAACTTCTATTAGCTTTTTTGAACGTATCCATTTTCCTTACATTTATCAGGGGAAAAAAAATGGGTGAGATTGAAGAAGTTGCCGCATATCAGATAAGCATTTCCTCAAAGCATGATTTGTTGTGTGTGATACCGTGGCTGGGTATAGAATTACAGCACAAACAGATTTTCTTTTGGAGCTTTGAAGACATCACTTCCTTGCCTTCTCCCAGCCTACATGATGGCTGTGTGATACCTCACTCCTTTGCTCATCACCCCTCAGGAACCCATGCACCATCCTTTTGACCTTTTGATTCTGATGCATCATTGCATGACATCTAGGTATGTTGACACCTTTGGGCACTTTGCATGGGAAGTTCAGATTTAGCTCAGGGAATTTTATGTATCTGTGATTATTTCTTTTCCTCCATTGTCTTTATTTCCCTTGGGACTCTGATCAGAGCAATTATTCTCCATTGGAAATAGAACCTCAACACCCAGACACGTGCTGGTGGTTTTCATCACTATAAAGACCACGGTCCTAATGGCATTTGGTGCTCAGAGCCCTGGATGCCGAGTCCTGAGTATGTCCAGGACAGTGTGGAACAGACAAAAACCCTGACCCCAAGGCTGATGGCACACCCCGCTAAGGAATGCTGCACCAGTGCCTCCAAATCTCCAGCTTCTTCTTTTACATACTTGTCTCCTTTTCATCTGGGGCACTGTGCTCTAGAAGATATCGGTCTCGTTGTTCAAGTTCTGAGGAAGGTCCCCTCCATCACCGTCATCTTCTCCTCCAGCAACCCCACTTTGAACTTTGGGGGAACTCTTGCTTTCTGAAGCAGTCTGCTCTGGTTTGATGTGGCACCATCCTTGTGGATCTCTGCAGATGTTTTTTGAAAAAGATTAAACAGAGTTTCTGCCTCTGTGTGTCTCTGCTTCCTCTGGGGTCAGTTTTCAGCTCGCTCCTCTCTGTGCCTCTGCTTCCTGCTGTCAGTTTCCCTCCCAGGCAGTCCTGCCTGTCTCGTCGCTTTCTGGACAACAGAGGATTAGGCCTGTAAGCCTGGGAGGGTGGCTGGGACCCTCTGCCTCTGCAGCAGGCTTCTCTCCTAAGTTGGGGGAATGGCTGTTGGGCTCTGCTGGCCAGGAAGAGGCCGGCCTTCTTCTGAGGGTGGGATGGCTGGTGCCCTGTCGCTGCTGGACTGAGAGGCTCTGGGTGTTCCAGGGTGGACTGCCTGGCTGTGTACTGTGTGTAGGGCTTGGATGTCAAATGGATCATTTGAGGCTTGGAATAAAACAGAGCACAGGCTGACCTCAGCCCCGGGTATGTAGGAGGTGAGGGAGGGTGGAAGGTGAAGGTGCATGGGGCCAGGTTATTTTTGGCTCTGATGTCCACTCTGTGGAGCTGTGGTCCACACAGAGACACCGCCTGCTGACCTGTCCTGCCAACCCACAGGTTCTTTACAGGCCCTTCCCCTAACTCTGCCTGGGAAATGCATCATAGCTGGGTATAGCTCTGTAGATACTAGGGGTGGGAGGGCTGGCCCCGGCTCTGGGGTCGGGTGTCTAGTGAGGGCCCGTTCTGCCCCAGCCCTTTGCCCACCTCACATCTGGACTTTTTGCCCGCCTCACATCTGGACTCCTCTTCGCCCGCCTCACATCTGGACTCCTCTGCCCGCCTCACATCTGGACTCCTCTTCGCCCATCTCACATCTAGACTCTGTGGGATGTTGCAGGAATTGCCCTCCGCCCTTCCTCCTGCTTGGGCCGGGCGGTGCAGATGTAGGTCCCGGTTTCATCTTCTCTCATTTCTTGGGACTTTGCTCCCGGCTGCAGGCACCCTTCTAGCAGTTAGTTACAGTGAGACGGTATGTCACATTTGGGCCTCCGGCATTGCTCGCCCCCACCTGCCCCAGCCAGAACTCGGGGCTCCCCAGGGCAGGGCTTTTGTTCCGCCAGCGGTTCCTTTCTGGCACCCGTCCATGCCTGTCCATGGTTTGGCTGTGTGGACTGTTGTGTTCACACATCCCAGGATCTGCTCTTCCTGCCTCTGGAACGGGCTTTATCTGAGTGACCTTTCAGGTACGTCCCTCCTCAGCCTTCGAGTTACAGTTTGCACAACGGTGATCTCGGTGTTATTGATTGAATCGCGTCATTTGCAAACCACGCTTTTGTTTGGGCGTCGACATTGGGGCTGATCCATGTTAGTGCAGTTAGACGCTGCATCTGGGCCCTAGTGACTGCCTGTCCCGGAACAACACGTCACAAAGGCAGGGACAGTGGGAGGTCCACACCCCCCACAGAAGGAGCCCTCGTTCAGGGAGACGCCGTGGGGAGGGGGGCCACCTTAGCTTGCCCGTTGGGTCTGCAGTGTGATGGGAGATTTGCAGCATTAGCAGTACCTATAAGAACAAGCCTGGCCCGATGCACAGTTTTATCGGGACACTGTCACACTATTCTTTCGGTGTTGCTGTGGCTGCTTTGTGTCACAGTGACAGAGACGAGGCTGAGATAGAGACTGCGTAGCCACAGAGGCCAAACGATTTGCTGTCTGGCCAGTTTTTTTTTTTTTTTGAGATGGAGTCTCGCTCTGTCACCCAGGCTTGGAGTGCAGTGGCGCGATCTCGGCTCACTGCACCCTCCGCCTCCTGGGTTCAAGAGATTCTCCTGCCTTAGCCTCCCGAGTAGCTGGGATTACAGGTGCCCATCACCACACACGGCTAATTTTTGTATTTTTAGTAGAGATGGGGTTTCACCCTGTTGGCCAGGCTGGTCTCGAACTCCTGACGTCAGGTGATCCACCCACCTCGGCCTCCGAAGCTCTGTGGCCTTTTAAGAAAAAGTTTGCCAATGACCTGCCATCAGAGTTCATTTTGTTTACGTAAAGATCAACATGGGTATTGCCAAGTGGCAGAGATGCAGGACTCAGGAGGCTTCCTGTGGCGGGGCCCCCGTCCAAAACTCTGGGCCTCAGAGGTTGCAGCGGGAGACAGAGCAGGGGATGCAGAGCAGCCTTCAGGGATCAGCCTGGAAAGGGCATCTCTGCTGCCCTCAGCAAAGCAGCCCGGCCCATACACCCACTTGTGGGATCCTGGGAGGCATATTCCTGTTATCAGGGCAGCAAAAGGGGAAATAGGCTGGAGAAGCTTTGCCCAGACAAGTGGACCCCCCACCAGCTGGGCATCTCAGCAGGACAGTCCTGGTGGCGGCCGTTTTCAACACCAAGCTTGGAGAAGACCTAGGAGGCATGTGCCGAGGTTGCTCTGACACCACTGGGTGCAAAAGCCCGGCTTCCCTCTGCAGTCTCCAAGCATCTGTCCTGGCTCTTCCTTCACAGCTGCCGGGGAGCCCCGCCTGCTGGCTGAGGCCTGAGGCCTCCTGCTCTCTTATTCTTCAAGACCCACCCTGTCCTCCCCAGTCTCCAGGTCAGCATTGTACCATTGCACACAGGAGTGCAGCCCTGAAGCCTGAAGGCCCTGCAGGTGGCTCATCCCAGACCCACTGCCCTGTGCATCACAGCGCACCCTGACGCCCAGGCACAGGTGCCTCATTTGCCCTCATTCAGGAGCAGAGAGTTGGCGCCCACCACTGGCAAGCAGGTGCTGCCTCCAGAAGGCTGCTGAGGCAGCTGGCGGTGGGGCAGGCAGTGGGCCTTGGCTGGACCATTTGAGGCTTGGAATAAAACACAGAGCACAGGCTGATCTCAGCCCCCAGAGGGCTCACAGGCAGCCTCCCTGGGCCACAGCAGCCAGCCTCAAAGATCCAGCCGTGTCCCCAGCCTGCCCAGTCAAAGGAACCAGAGTGTTCTGGGAGGGCAGAGAGCCTGGACAGCGTCCACCTCATGGTCTTGGCCTGTCCCTCCCACCTGGGGTCCAGGTTCCATCTGGAATTTGGGAGTGGCCACAGGTGGGAGGACACCTTCTGGGTCTGGGCCAGGTGAGCCTTTGAGGGAGGGTGGACGTTGTCCCGGGAGAAAGGGGCCAGCAGACATGCCTCTTAGGGTGTGGGGCAGGCAAGCAAAGGAGGCATTGGAGGGAGGCGGGCCTCATCCCTGCTTTGTCTTTCCTGTGGCTCCCGCTCAGAGGCGCAGGGGGAACAGCCATCACCACTGTGGGTGATTCTCCCAGGTATGCCTGGTGGTCGTTCAGGAGTCTACACGGCTCCCACTCTCCAAGCCTGTGTGATGTCCAGTTCTTTTGTCCCAGCCATGCCTGCAAATGGCCCCCCACGAGGAAGGACACAGGACTGCAACCCAGTTCTGCAGGCTGAGATAGCTGGAGCCACCCTCTCCCCAGCCAGTGTGGACTAGCCAGTGTGGACTCTGCGGCCGGGGAGCGGGTATGCACTGCTCATGGCTTGGACTCTGATACAACAAGCCCTGCTCAAGTCCTGGTTTCTCCACTCCCAAGCCATTGACCTTGAGGAGGTCAACTGATTTCTCTAAGTTTCTTCCTGGAAGTGGGATGCTCCTTGGACTAACCTCCCTGGACATTGCAAGTGTGAAGTGATTAGAGGGTTCCCAGGATGGTCTGGTTAGGGTGGGGGTCACCTTTTTGAGCTGTCATTACCACTGGGCTCCCAGGGGCAGCCCTGGGTAGGCCTCTGCCCTGCAGAAGACTCTGCTCTCTCGTGGAGGACGCCCCTGCCTGGCATTCGGCTGGAAGCCACTTCTGACCACCCCAGAGCCACCCATATAAATCTGTATTAAGACACAATTATCTTGGACATTCTCTCCTGCCCACTGGACAGAAAGCTGTTTCCGGCACAGGCCAGCTGCTGTGAATACAGCTGCCTTCTGAGTGCCCGTCGGGGATGCTGATGGGCTGAAACAATTTTATTTTCCTGCTGTCAGGGCAGGATCTGCTCGTGGCTCCCCCATAGGCCTGGGGAGCAGGACCCTGCCCGCCCGCTGTGCTCCCGACACCTTTGGTCATCACGCCTTGGCTCGGACGTCGGTTTCAGATGTGCAGTTCTGGGGATGGGGATGCCGGGGTCGGTGGAGGCAGCTCAGGGTGGCCGGGCCACGCGATTGCAGAAGGGACATGTATCCAGGCTGTAGTGACCTTCCCGTGTTCTTGAGGGACTGCTCCCCGGCAAGTCTTCATCTCCAGCAAGACTGACCAGAGGGGCCAATCAGCTGGCCAGGAATAGACCCAGCAGCAACGTGGGACAGCCCAGACCTGGCTTTCTGCCTGCTGCCTCCCTCCTGGGCCCATCTGCCTGAGTTTGGAGTCCAGGCTGGGTCTTCTCCTCCCCGAGGCCTCCCACCCCTGAGCGCCAAGGCCCAGAGGAAGCAGCTCCTGGTTGGAAGTTTGCAGGAGGAACTTGAGGAAGAAACTGAAGAAAAAGTGAGTCTCCCTCACAAGGAGAGTCAGGTCGGGCGGGCGTGGCGTCCCCCTCCTGGATGACAGGCCACCCAAGCACAGCTACAGGCAGCTGTCCTGGCCCCTGGGGAGGGATAGAGGAGTCCTGCAGTGGCCCTGCCATGTTGCTCCAACACTGTGGAGGTCCAAGCTGGAGGCAGCCCTGCCTGATCTGGCATCCTCACCCCCAGACCTTCCAGTCCCCCAGGCCTCCCTAGACCCCGAGAGCTCACTCCCCAGAGCTCCCCATTCCTGCATCCCAAACCTTCCAGGCCCCTGGGGCTCCCTATCCCCGCCCCCGTTGCTCTGTCTGATGTCAGCAGCTCCCTGACTCTGACCCTTGCCATTCCAGTTCCCTGGTCCTCCTGAGCCGCCTCCCTCAAACCTCTTTCCTGAATTCTCTTTCCTGGGGCGGCTGCTCTGGGCCCCATGTTCCCTCTGCTGAGGGCTTCTGAGGCTTCTCTTTCCTGTTCCCTTAAGCTGGGCTATAAGGGCCCCCAGGGAGGGGCTCTCTCCCGCCGGCTCTGTGCAGCTGATGTTCTGGGGATCCTGCTGTGCCCCGGGCTCCACACCTGGATGCAGTGGTACAGGCAGCCAGCCGAGCCACCCTCGGAGAACTGACCCTATGCGGGGCAAAGACACAGGCCTCAAATCCATCCATGTGTCTCAGGGCCCTGTGCAGAGGAACCAGGAAGAGGTCGGGCACCAGGCGAGAATGCTGAGGCCTGTGGTCCAGGGAAGGGCTTCAAACAGGTCCTTGGAGGGACATGAGTTCTGGATGAGCCTGGAGAGCTGGAGCAGGAAGAGGTCGGGGAGCCGCGTGTGTGACCTAAGCAGGGCTGCGGCAGGCGGGGCCAGGGCTGCAGGTGGTGCGGCCTCTGTCCCACACGTGGAAAAGTGTCCTCAGCCCACCCACAGGACGGAAGCCCTGCGCTCAAGGAAGGATGCTGGAGATAGACGTCACAGGAAAACGCATGATGGAAACTTCTAAAAAGAAAACGGAAAAACAAAGTTAAAAAAAAAAAATGCTGGTGTGTACATTTGTGTATTTCAAAGACCTCAGGGTGTAAGGACAGAAGAAACTTCTCACATGTTGGAAGCCTGTCTCTGAGTTCCGGTGCCAGGGCACCGTCCCGGCTCCCTGTCCATCCCTCTCCCGGCTCCCCGGCTCCCCAGCTCCCCGTCCATCCGTCTCCCAGCTCTGCGTCCATCCCTCTCCCGTCTCCCCGTCCATCCCTCTCCCGGCTCCCCGTCCATCCCTCTCCCGGCTCCGCGTCCATCCCTCTCCTGGCTCCCCAGCTCCCCCTCCATCCCTCTCCCGTCTCCCTGTCCATCCCTCTCCCGGCTCCCTGTCCATCCCTCTCCCGGCTCCCTGTCCATCCCTCTCCCGGCTCCCTGTCCATCCCTCTCCCGGCTCGGCGTCCATCCCTCTCCCGGCTCCCTGTCCATCCCTCTCCCGGCTCCCCGTCCATCCCTCTCCTGGCTCCCCAGCTCCCCGTCCATCCCTCTCCCGGCTCCCCATCCATCCCTCTTCCGGCTCCCCGTCCATCCCTCTCCGGGCTCCCCGTCCATCCCTCTCCCGGCTCCCCGTCCATCCCTCTCCGGGCTCCCCGTCCATCCCTCTCCGGGCTCCCCGTCCATCCCTCTCCCGGCTCCCCGTCCATCCCTCTCCGGGCTCCCCGTCCATCCCTCTCCGGGCTCCCCGTCCATCCCTCTCCCGGCTCCCCGTCCATCCCTCTCCGGGCTCCCCGTCCATCCCTCTCCCGGCTCCCCGTCCATCCCTCTCCGGGCTCCCCGTCCATCCCTCTCCCGGCTCCCCGTCCATCCCTCTCCGGGCTCCCCGTCCATCCCTCTCCGGGCTCCCCGTCCATCCCTCTCCCGGCTCCCCGTCCATCCCTCTCCGGGCTCCCCGTCCATCCCTCTCCCGTCTCCCCGTCCATCCCTCTCCCGTCTCCCCGTCCATCCCTCTCCCGGCTCCCCGTCCATCCCTCTCCTGGCTCCCCAGCTCCCCGTCCATCCCTCTCCCGGCTCCCTGTCCATCCCTCTCCTGGTGTGGCTGAAGATGTGTTGTTCCATGAAGCGCCGCCCTCACCGTGTGGACCGGCCCTGCCCAAGCACTCTCAGGGTTCTGCACAGGCCAGGCAGCTTAGCCCAGTGGTGACCAAGTCCACCCCCAGCTCTGTCCCTTCCTTTAGGATGGCCTAGGGCGGACCCCATGAACCTCAGTTTTCCCACTTGTAAATGTTATCCCAGCATCACCCCCAGGAGTCACAGAGGCCTCGTGAGGCTGCAGAGGGCCCGGTTCAACCGGCACCCACCCGTGGTCTCACTGCAGCTGCTGCAGCCCCGGTGGGTGTGGATGGGTGGCCATGGTCCCCCCACCCTGTGTGCAAGGAGGATATCATGTCTGAGGCTGAAACCACCTGCTCACCCCAGACCCCAGGCCCTGGCTCCGGCCTGTCTTCTTTGCTGGAAGCAGAGTTATAAATAACTTCCAATTTGGGGCTCTGTGGGGCTGGCAGGAGCGTGTGCGTCCCACGACCCAGGTTGCTGCCAGCTTTTGCTGGGTTCTCAGAACAAAAGATGGAAGATCTCGAGGAGACTTTAGTGCACAGCCTCCTGCTGTACCCGCCATGCAGTTGCCTGCCCAGTCCCTGCTGCCGGGGCCCTGTGGCATTTAGTCTCCATTCAAGTCCAGGTAGCCCCACAGCAGGAGAGAAGGGCGAGGGGGCTAAGAGGTGACGGCAGCACACTGAGAGGGGCCACCAAGAAAGGGAAGTGGGCACCCACAAACACAGAGGATGGGGAGGCAGGAGGAGCTGAGGGACCCCAGCACTGCTGCTGCCCCTGGACAGGGCAGCCTCCCAAAATTTGCCCACCACGACTGGGCACTGACAGCCAGTGTGCCAGGCCCCTTGTGCATGCCAGGTCTCTAGGGCAGAGGAGGACTGAGGATGTGGTCCTCACCGTGGGAGGTCCTGGTCCAGTGAAAGAGGATCCAGATGTCCTGGCTCTTCCCACTGCAGCCGCCTTGGGAGCACAGTGCTGCAGACACCTGCACCTGTGCCTGCTTCACTCCCACTGTGCCACCGTCCAGTGCTGGGCCGGGCACACCAAGCTGTGTCGGCTCTCATCTTAGGGCGCCCGGGTGGCAAGAACTGGGGAGCATGGAGAAAAGGGCCCCCAGGCCCAACCTGCGCTCCCACCACGGCTTCTGGAAGGATCCTAATCTGGCTCAGGCTCGCTGGAAACCTCAGACATGTTGCCTAAATTCTGAGCATCCATTTTGTTCTCCGGGGCCCTACCTGTCAGATTCAGTGGATTGCTCAGAATATTAGTGGATCCTGGAAGACATCGTGGTGCAGCATGCAGCACTCGGAGGCAGGGCCTGAGCCACGCTTATCCCTGAGCACATCATGCTCAGAGTTGTAGGGAGAGGCAGCCCCTGCCCATCGCAGCTGTAACCAAGGAAAGCACATCCAAATGCCTGGAACCGAGTTTCCCCCCAATTAGGAGAAGCACAGAAAATGAGGGGCTCCAACCCGTGAGGACACGCACAGCTCAGCAGTAGAGACGCTCTCCTCATTTCAAATTGTTTAAAAACCAGAGATGAGGCCGGGTGCGGTGGCTCACACCTGTAATCCTAGCACTTTGGGAGGCTGAGGCGGGTGGATTGCCTGAGCTCAGGAGTTCAGGACCAGCCTGGGGAACACGGTGAAACCCTGTCTCTACTAAAAAAATACAAAAAAAAAAAAAAATTAGGCGTGGGGGTAGGTGCCTGTAATCCCAGCTACTTGGGAGGCTGAGGCAGGAGAATTGCTTGAACCTGGGAGGTGGAGGTTGCAGTGAGCCGAGATTGTGCCACTGCACTCCAGCCTGGGTGACAGAGCAAGACTCCATCTCCAAAAAAAAAAAAAAAGAAAAGAAAAAAGAAAAAAACAGAGGCAAGAAGTTTCCAAGAGAGGCGCTTTCCCTGATTCTCAGACAGAACACACGTGTAGTTATTTAGTTGAGTTAGAAGATGGGGTCTGTCCTTCTTGCACACACTCCGGATCCTGGGGTGTTGTCCACATGTAGACTCTCCCACTCCTGCTTGATCAAACACCAGCACCCCGTCGTTGGGGGCTGGACATTGAGGGGAAATGGCCTTAGGTTCTCGCACAGATCCGTCCACTGTCCTAGGAGCTGTGGAGTCTTTGCGAGGGTACGGGAGCTCCCCGTCAAGCAGACGTTGTTGTGGACTCACTGGAGACTCGGGGCCTCCCAGGGCCTGAGGCTGCGGCTCCCCAAGGCCGTCCTCAGCTTCCCATCGATCCCATTCGTGGAGCACAGTGGGTGTTTGATGACAAATCACAACTTCTGCACCCCTGTGGATGTGTTCAGAGGATCCAGAACTCTGTCCTCCTGCTCCAGGTTGTGGCCAGCAGTCTGGGCTCCCTAGACCAGCAGCTGGCAGGAATGCCAGCCCTGCCACTCTCCAGCCTCAGGAATGACCTGACCTTAGAACCCAGGGCTTCTCCAGGTGTCCCCTAGAGCCGTGATGATGAGGGGATGAAATGGCAGATGGCACCTGGGTGAGACCCCCACACCCAAGGGGCTGCAGATGAAGGGGTTGGGGCAGAAGGGGTACAGGTGGCTTTGGGAACATCTGCCCCTCCACCCAGAGCCCCCTGAAGTTGCTAGTGATGTTGATACATATCATCGTGAGCTTCTGTCCCCTGGTGACCCCACGTCCCACAGGACCAGGCTGAGGCTGAAAAGAGGTCTTCTTGACATCCTTACCAGCGGTTGGTCAACTGTCCCACAAGTTGGTGAAAGCAGAAGACCCTGACGTCATTTGCATATAACCCAGAAGCACAGTCATTGTCACTGTATTGACAAAACCCTGACAGCATTTGCATATTACCCAGAAGCACAGTCATTGTCGCTGTATTGACAAAAGCCTGACGGCATTTGCATATTACCCAGAAGCACAGTCATTGTCGCTGAATTGACGTGTGTCTGGATGAGGCCTTTGCTTTGCGGGTGATCTGTGGCTTGGTGCTTTCGTCGGTTTTTTTTTGTGCGTGTGTTTATTTCTAAAGCCAGGCTCCTAGTTATACTTGATGATTTCAAGGTTGTGTTTCATTACAGTGTGGCAGGAAGGCTTGACACGCGTGGAGTCCCCTGGCAGTTTTTGACTTTTGATTTCCGTCTCTCCCCTTGTCTTGACCACACCTAAATTCACAGCAGATTGTTTTTTAGAAATGTACTCTATTGCATCTTTCGGTAATATTCAGCTAGTGTTCATGGAAACAGCTCCTTGCTTGCTTTCCACACTTACCTTCCGTTGACTTATTTAATTCTACTTAAGTTATACAGTCCCGGTGGCAATACCAGCTACAGGGTCACAGCCAGGTTTCGGAATAGACACGGCTCTCTTGGTAAACGCACACACACAGACACACACACACTCGGGGCACAGTGATGCAGGAGTGACCTCGGACAGGCCCGGATGTTCCTCCCACGTAATAAAGACTTTCTTCAAAGGCATTACACACAGACGAGAGTGCTGGTTAATAGCTTAACGCCATAAGCTAATTAGCTGGGGGCCGGTGGTGAGAGAGCGCCAGGTACGGCACTTGCTGGGCACTGTGCCCTTTCATCAGCCTAACAGCCCAGTGCTCAGTTGCCACTCCTCTCACCTATTTTGCTTTTAGAAGGTGCTGTTTGCACCCTTCTCTTCAGATGAGGCCAAGAGGCTCTCTTGGCCAAAGTGAGTTTACCTGAAGGGACGGGCTGAGGCCAGAGCCAGGTCGTTGGGCCACAGACCGTGCACTCGCTGGTTCCTCCACGGCTCAGGAACAGCCTCCCACTGCCAGGACAGCCTAGGAGGCTGGGCCAGCACCTTCATTCAGTTCAACGCTTTCTATCACAGAACTGTTTTGAAAAAATTGCAAACTTTCAAACTTGTCATTGGCAATACGGTTTGGCTCTGTGTTCACACCCAAATCTCATGTTGAATTGTAATCCCCACATGTCGAGGGAGAGAGCTGGCAGGAGGTGATTGGATCATGGGCGCGGTTTTCCCCATGCTGTTCTCATGACAGTGAGTGAGTTCTCACGAGATCTGATGGCTTAAAAGTGTAGCCCCTCCCCCGTTGCCGGCTCTCCCTCCTGCCTCCATGTGAGACGTGCCTGCTTCCCCTTTGCCTTCTGCCATGATTGTAAGTTTCCTCTGTGGCCTCCCCAGCCATGAGGAACTGTGAGTCAGTTAAACTTTTTTTTCTTTATAAATTACCCAGTCTCAGGTAGTTATTCATAGCAGTTTGAAAACTGACCAGTGCAATCAGTTTTATGATTTTCCCAAGGCCCCGAGTCTCCTTACCATGGAGTGAGCCGTTACCTGAATTCCAGGCAATGGTATTTTCTTGGGAGGGGAGTGAGCGTTCGGAAGCAGAAGTGCGTGGGGATGGCTTGGCTCTGCCGTCCCTCAGCCCTTCCTGTCTCCTGTGGGATCAGGGGTTTGCTCACAGGACGGTGATCTTTGGAGGCTTTGTGGGGTAGAGGGAGGGCACTGTGTTGAGAGGCACTTGGAAGTAGGCAGAATTGAGCCCAGGAGGAGAGGAGGCAGCCGTGAAGCGTGATTGGCCTTCCCAGGGAAGGGCGATGGAGTGACTCAGAACTCCCAGCAGCTGTCCCATAAAGCCTCCACATCTCATGATGTGACCTAACCATGGTCTAGAAGTACAGTGACCCTTCCCGTTCACGAGGCTGGACACCCAGGACTCAGGTAGGAACAAGGTTGATGCTGCCTCCAGAGCAGACCAGCCGCAATTCAGTCACTGTGTGCACTGTGTCACCCTGGTAAGCACCTTGGCCCCTTTCAGATTCTCCAGGCCTCCCCACACTCCTGCCCGCTTCCCAGGATCTTTGAGGTTGTCAGCTGGGACAGGCAAGTGCCCAAGGCACTAAACAAAGACTGAGGCTGTGTCTGGGTAAAATCCCCCAAGAGCGGCTGAGAACTCCAATTCCTTGGAAATACAAAGGTTTCCATGTTTCATGGTGACCCCAGGGCCCGACCTGCTCACACGCTGTGCCCGGCACTTACCTCTCGGGGTGCGGCTCCCAGAGGAGCTTCCCAGAGCTTCCCTGCTGATAGGCTGTGTTGACCAAGAAGCCAAACTCTGTAAAATATTTAAGGAGGTTTATTCTCCGCCAGTGACCATGGCCTTGGGTGATAGTCTCAGGAAGACCACGTGTGCCTGAGTTGGGTTATAGTTGGTTTTATACATTTTAGGGACACAGAAGTTACAGGCAAAGGCATAAGTCAGTGCACTTAAGATGTACGTTGGTTTGGCCTGGGAAAGGGGAGATCTCCAAGGTGGGGGCTTCCAGGTCATAGGTGGATTCAGAGATTTCCTGATTGGCAATTGGTTGAAAGAGTTAAGCTTTGTCTAAAGACTTCAGAAGTCAGTAAAAAGGAATGCTGGAGTTAAAATGGGAGGTTATGGAAGCCACAGTTCTTATTATGTAGATGAATCCTGTAAGCAGCAGGCTTCAGAGAGAATGAATGTCTCTCCTAGGACCTTAAAAGGTGTCAGACTCTTAGTGAAATCTCTCTTGGATCCAGGAAAGACCTAGAAAAAGGAGATGCAAATTTTCCTCACAAGAGACGGCTTTGCAGAGCCATTTCAAAATATGTCAGAGAAATGTTCTTTGGGGTAAAATATTTTGATTTCCTTTAGAGCCTGCTATGTGTCATGTGATGCTGCACCAGAGTCAGGTTGGAATTTGGTATCTTATTGCCACAAATTATCCATGTTGTCAGTCTTATGATCTCTCTTTTAATGATACTGCTGGTCAGTGGGGCCTAAACTCCAAAAGGGAGGGGGCGTATTGAGGGGTGTCTAATCTCCCATCCCATCATGGTTGGGAATTCAGTTTGTCAGATTTCTCTGGGCTCTCCTTGGCCTATGGGGGTGTCTGTTCAGTTGGCTGGGGGGCTTAGGGTTTCATTTTGGGTTTACAGCTCTCTGCCAGTTAGAAAACACCCCATTCAGAGTCCTTTGCATGTACACCTGTTGCCGGCTGCATCCATCACCACTGGTCATCCTTCCTTGTGGTTCCAGAAGCTAAGAGGAGGGCAGGGCCTGGAAATGCAGATGCCTTCCCTTAGTACACACAGGCCCCACGTGCGCCCCGGGAGTACACACAGGCCCCACGTGCGCCCCGGGAGTACACGCAGGCCCCACGTGCGCCCCGGGAGTACACGCAGGCCCCACGTGTGCCCCGGGAGTACATGCAGGCCCCACGTGTGCCCCGGGAGTTGGAAGGGGTGCTGAGTGGGGTCAGCACAGGTGGCCAAGGTCACTCCCACTTCTTTCAAAGCTCCTTCCAGCGGGCAGGTGGAGGAGTTCCTTGAACTGTGGGCAGCAGGCAGTATGGCGTCTGAGGCCGCCAGGGGTCTCTGCCCAGGAGGGGAAAGGAGACAAGCCTAGGTTTCACTGTGCCTTTGTCTGCTATGGCTGCTATAATGGAGTGCATAGACAGAAATTTGTTTCTCACAGCTCTGGAGGCTGGAAATCTACGATCATGGTGCCAGTAGGGTCGGGTTCTGGTGAGCACTCTCTTCTGGTTTGCAGACAACTGTCTTCTGGCTGTGTCCTCACATACTGGAAAGGATGAGGGGCCTCTCTCAGGTCCTTTTTGTAAGGGCACTAATTTCACTCATGAGGGCTCCACTCTTATGGCCTAATCACTGCCCAAAGGCCCCACTTCCTAATACCATCACTTGGGGTTTAGATCTAAACATCATAATTGCAGGGGGGCACAGAAGTTCAAACCATAGAACGTGATGCTCAGGTGTTTGGATGTTTGGGTGAGTGGATGGGAGAAAGAATGGATGGATGGATGGACAGGTGGATTGATGGATGGTGGGTAGATGAATGGATAGATTGATAGAAAGTGGATAGGTTGATGGATGCTTGAATGGATGGATGGATGGTGAATCGATTTTTGAATGGATAGATGGGTAGGGGATGGATGGATGGATGGATGGTAGACAAGTGGATGGATGGATGGATTGGAGGAAGGATGGACTGATTGATGGATGGATGGATGGACTAATGGATGGATGGATAGATGGAGATGATGGATGGATTGATGGTTGAATGGATGGATGGATGGATGGATGGATGGATGGATGGATGGATTGGTGGAGGGTGGGTGATGAATGAGTGAATTGATGGATGGGAGGATAGATGATGGATGGTTGGATGGTGGACAAGTGGATGGATGGATGGATTGATGGAGGATGGATAGATGGATGAATGGATTGATGAATGGGTGGATGGATGGATGGATAGATGGTGATGGTGGATGGATGTTTGAATGGATAGGTGGATAGATAGGTGGATGGATGGATTGGTGGAGGGTGGGTGATGGATGAGTGGATTGATGGATGGGAGGATGGGTGGGTGGTGTATGGTGGATGGATTGAGTGGATAGATAGATGGATAGGTGGATGGATGGGTGGGTGGATGAATGGATGGTGGACGGATGGATGGGTGGATGGGTGGGTGGATGAATGGATGGTGGACAGGTGGATGGATGGATTAGTGGGTGATGGATGGATGGTGGATGATGCATGGATGGTAATGGATGTTTGAATGGATAGATAGATGGGTGGGTAGATAGATGGATGGATTGGTGGCAGGGGTGGGGGGGCATCTGTGGATGGGTGGATGGGGGATGGCTAAATATTTCCTGAACCTAACTATGAAGCCTTCTGTGAGCCTTGATGGATCCAGGTCCTAGTGAGGGCACCAGGTTCCCTGAGAAGGCAGTCAGAGTTCTCAGCCTCCGTGTTAATTTTGCCATGGCGAGTGCCTCCCCTTGAGGCAGTGACATTCCACTTGTAAACAGGACCATCCCTGGGAACTCTCCCCTCCTCACTCTCCCAGTGACAGATCCACAACCAACAGCACCCAGCTCCATACACACCCTGCTGGCCTCAGGTCACCTCCCTAAGTGCCCCACCTCTGAGGGGGGAACATGTAGCTGCCCCCACATACCACGACCCACCTTCCCTGGGCTGCCCCAGGCTCCCTGAGTGCGGCTCCACCAGCACTTAGCGCCTGGGACCTCCTGGAACCAGACAGGAGACACTTTCCTTTTTGGACATTAAAATTAAAAACTGCGGCTGCCTCTCCTGTCTTCTCTCTTAAATAGCTTCTGTCAGTTCGTAGGAATTTGCCTGAGGAACATGATTAGAGGGTTTTTTTTTTTCTTCCACTTACATGTCTTAATGAAATAATGAAACAGGTAGCTTATTACAGTTGGGGTTTTTTATTGTTTTTTTGTGTGTTTTGGGGTTTTTTTTTCCCTCTCTCTCATCTAATTTGATGACCCAGACTTGGAGGGTTTTGCACTGGCGCACCCTTCATAAAGGGAGGCGTTTCCATTCTTGAGCGTGATGGGGACAGTTCCTGGAGCTAATGAATCACTCTAATCAGAGAGCCATCTTGAAAATTAATACATTCTACTGTAACTATTTAAAGAAAAAATAATTATCAAGACTGTTCCCACTAAATTATGCTGTCTAGAAGTTGTAGAAAGAAAATTTTATCTAATTTTAAGATGTAATCTGGGTTTTGCAGATTTTTCTTTTTTGAGTGATTAACAGATCAGCACTGAATAGCAAGGACCAGAGCACGCTGCCCTTTTCTCAGTGTTCTCCTGGAGTCTTGTCTTGTGTCAGCCTCATGCACCCCAAGGCCTTGGCCCTGTCTTGGCTCCTGCCCCCTGAGGGCCAGATCTTCAGGCCTCTTAACTCCCCCTGGCTGCTCGGGGGACGGTGGCTTTCCCTGGCCGGCTCCTCCCTGGGTTCATTTCTAAGTAAGCTCCTTGCTTAGCTGAAAGGAGAGTCTTGACTTCCCAGTTTCTGAGAAACAGTGTGTCCTGATTTAACAAAAAAAGAGGGCTGGGCACAGTGGCTCATGCCTATAATCTCAGCACTTTGGGAGGCCAAGGCTGGCGGATCACCTGAGGTCAGGAGTTCGAGATCAGCCTGACCAACATTGTGAAACCCCATCTCTACTAAAAATATAAAAAACTAGCCAGGTGTGGTGGCGCATGCCTGTAATCCTAGCTACTTGGGAGCCTGAGGCAGGAGAATCACTTGAACCTGGGAGGTGGAGGTTGCAGTGAGCCAAAATCGCACCACTGCACTCCAGCCTGGGTGACAGAGCAAGACTTGTCTCGGAAAAAAAAAAAAAAAAAAAGAGAGAGAAAACCTTTGTTGATGTGCTGCAGTTTAACTGCTAAGCACAACATGAAATGGCCTATGTATGTCCTTGGTGTGGGTCCCTCCAGCCTCTGCACCTGCCTCCCAGGAGGACCCCGTACTCACAGAAGTCTTCAGCTGCAAATGTGCAAGATGGCTAGAGCAGTTAGGGAGGCGCGGTTTTCAAAAACGCGTGGAACCCTTCCTCTGGTCTGCACGCCGTATGCAGCGGGGAGTGTGGAGCAGATGGACGTAGACACGTTACCGGGTCTGACCCCCACCCCAGAGATGGGGCGCCTCTCACCCACCTGCAAACCCCACATCTCGGGTCCACATCTGGAGCACCCCCGTCTGCCTTGTCCTCAGGCTCTGAGTTCTGAGAGGGATTTAGCGATTCCCTGACTTGGGACACGTTCACCCCAGAAAAGGCCAGCCTGTACCCTCAGACCCAGGGCCAGAAGCACAGGGTCGGGTTCTGACGCCTGAGGAACCTGCGCAGACTTGAGAGCAAGTCCTCTGGGTGGAGACAAAGTGGTGACGTGAGATGTTGCTCAATCTTGAGGCCCTGCTGCTTTACCGAGTCTGAGCCGATGTTATTCACTGGCTCTCAGTTTGGGGTCCTAGGTCACCCGTGTAGCCCCTCGGGCGGACAGACTGGCCTGTCCCCCACCCACTCACCCCAGCTCCCTGGGCCAGCCCAGCTGTGCTTTCATGGGGCTGGGGCCAGACTGTGCAGGAAAGAGCAGGTTGATGGGCTGGTATCATTGGCATAACAGGTGAGGGGGGCCACAGCCTTGGGCCTTCCTTGCACCACCCTCTTTCCTGTCCCCGGTTGGTGTAAGTGTCTCTGAGCCTGGCTGGGTGCTTCCCTCAGTCACTAGCAAGGTCCTTGCTGCCCCCAGGAGCCAGTCCCTCCAGGATGAGGGATACGGCAAGGGAGCGCTCCCTGTACACCGCTCTGCCTTGCAACCTCTTCCCTGGTGGCCTGGCGTCCATCACAGGTGGCCTCACAGCACTGGGGGAGGTGGGCTTGGCTGGGGTCAGTGGATGTGGAGATGTCCACCCTGCCCTGTGGCATCAGCTGGAGGCCAGGGGCCTGTGCTCCCCCCACCCCTCCTGCATGGAAAGATGCTCATAACTGCATTTGTCCTCAGCCTGCCAGGCAAGGGGACGGGGCTCCCAGCGGGTTCCTGGATGTGACCCTTCTCCCACCCCATCTCCTTGTGTTCACACAATGACCCCTTGGCCCAGGTGGTAACTGTGTGCTGGAGACCCACAGAGAACCACCTTGAGTGGACTCCACATTCCAGAAAGTGGGTCTGGGTGTGATAGGCAGGTGTGAGGGCCGGGGCTATGGAGGACTGTGGCTCTTTGGGACGTGTATCAGCCACACAGCCGTACCAGGGCCTGTGTGCCCAGTGTGCAGCCTCCACCCTACTGGCCTCTCCAGCCCCTCCATGCTTGTAGCGAGATCCCAGGTGCTGGCCCTCCCACAGGCTTACAGTGATGACCAGCCCATCGCCAGGGCCAGGGCCCCTGCATCCTCCTGCAGGCCCTTCCTGCCTGCTGTGCTGTCACCCTCTTATCTTTGTGGGCAATTCACCCTTTAAACCTCATCTCTTCTAGGGAGCCCTCCTGGCTGCCCTGTGGACTCCCTCTCTGTAGTGTAGCATCTTGGACTGATGTAATCAGAGCTCTTGGGGACAGGCCTGTGTCCCTCAAGCTGGACGTGACCTGAGGCACACGGAAAGTACAGCCCCAATGAGTGGCCTTGGCCTCTGCCCAGGAGGCTGTGGGCTGACCTATGTCAGCCCAGGCTTGGGGGGCCGTGCTGCCCCCGCCCCCTGTCTTCTATGATGAGTTGATCCAGGCACAGAGCTGCCTGTCGTGGAGGGAGGACGCCTCGCCTCCTGAGCTTACCCCACATCTGGATGGGGTCCAGAGAGCGCCCACAGCATCTGCCTGGAAGCAGCTAGGTGAGCATCAGGAAGATGCTTGACCCTCCTGAGCGCCGTCAATCTCCAGTGGTCAAGGAGACCCGCCGTAAAGCAGGAAGCACGAAGCCAGTCCCTGAGGCCGCAGCGGCCGGTGAAGTCCCTCCATACCTGAGGCTCCCAGGCAAGCCTCAGGGCGGCCCGGGGACCATTGGTGGTCAGGGGCTGTGGGCTTCCTAAGCTCAAGCTGGCTCGGGTGCGAGGTGCAGGGGCCACTTCTGGGCCCCTTCCCTTGTTTGCCAAGTAGGGAGCCGCCTCCTCTCGTGGCTGTAAGGGTCTGATGGAAGGATGGGCGGGGCCGTCTTTCCAAAGCCCTGGGACTGCTGCTGATGCAGATTTTACTTCACGTTTGACATTTTTGGTATCGTCATCCTCCCGGTCTTTACTGAGTAACAAAACCAGCAAGGCCTAAGAGGGAAGATGGAGACGTGGCCAGGACAGGGTCGCCTTGTGTCGGGCACCAGGACCGCAGGTGAGGAGGCAAACTGGGTTCGCCTGTGTGCTGAGCACCCAGGGCAGATGCAGCCTCGCGAGGAACGCAGCCTGGAGAGGCTCACAGTCGCAGTGGCATGGCTGGGCAACGGAGGACGCGCCAGGAGCAGGCTCTTCTTCTGCCCCTGCTGCAGGCGCTCAGTCCTGCCATAATCTGGGAGGTGACCTCTGCTTTTCCCCACCTGTGGACCCTACGGGGCGCCTGCCCCTTGGCAGGTCTGCTCAGGAGGAAGGCCAGGTGTCTGGCTCTCTGTGCTGGGCACATCCGGGGAGGGCCCCAGGCGGCTGACGTTGAGTCTCGTGGGATGGCGAGGTGCTGCCTGTGGAGACTCGGGCCCCAACTGTCTGGGCCCTCCCAGGTGTGCTTGTTGGCTCCCAACTGCTTCCAGGAGGTCCCTGTCACGGGATCCATCCTGAGACAGCCCCCCTTGGATGGACTGAGCTGACACTAGGTGCCCTGGAGGGCTGAGTCGTCCTCCAAAGGGGCCTGTGCCACCAGCTCCTAGGGCAGGAACACTGGGTGCCTCCTTCCTGTCCCCAATCAGAGAGGCCCTGGTTTACTCCTCCCTGAACCTGGGATGGGGCAGTGTGCCAGGGGGAGGAGGCTAGGGTCTTCCTGGGAAGACACCGAGACCTGAGCCCTGGCCCACCCAGGAGACCCTCCCTTCCTTCAGCAATGGCCTGTGGCCTGAGAGCTGCCTCCAGCCTGCAGGATGTCAGACAGTGAGACCCTCAGAGTGCAGGGAGGGCTGCAGTAGGTCAGCAAATGGGGCTGCTGAGAGTCAGGGGTCCGCTGCAGCCCTGGGCCCCTCCCTCCTTGCTGTCAGGCTTAATCAAGGCAGCTGGGACTGTGCTCATGGGAAAGGCAAGAAGCATATTTTGGGACCATTAGAGGCAATTTTGTTTACCTGATTTATTTTAATTTACTTAATTGATTTAATTTTTTAAGAGACTGAGTCTCGCCGTGTTGCCCAGGCTGGTCTCAAACTCTTGGGTTCAAGTGATCCTCCTGCCTGGACCTCCCCAATTGCTGGGATCACAGGCCTGAGCCACCATGCCTGCCCTTACCTGGTTTTTGAAAGAGGATTCAGTCATAGCCTGACAGTCTGATGAAGGTTAAGGATATGAAATGAATCCCATAAATGATGATGGCAGTGGCAGCAGGGCACAGCAGTGCTGTAGGATGGGGAACTCCGCAGAGCTCTCCAGCATGTGGAGTAGTATTTAAAACGCATACGTATCTAGACAGCCTCGTGACGGTGTGCAGGTGGCCATACGAGGGGCGTGTTCCCAGGAAGGTCAGAATGGGAAGCAGCCGTGTGTCCTCAGTCACCGACCTCAGGCCCCGTTGGGCCCAGGCCAGGAACAGCCCAGAGCTTGCTTGGGACCTCAGGAGCCCCTCCCAGGCCACCTCAGGGATGGGGCACCGTTGAGGCAGGAAGGGCATCGGCGGCGCCTTGGGCCCCGTCATCTTGAGAACAGTGTAAGAACTCCGCGAGCCCGTGCTCACTATTCACAGAACTCAGCAGAACTCAGCAGCGTGTTTGTCAAGGGCACTTACTCAGGCCCAAGGCCGTTGGAACGCTGCCCTTCGACCCTGTCCGCCCACTCGGATTCCCAGTAGCTGAGCGCAGGACGTGACCTCGAGTCGAAGCCTCTGCTGGAAAATACGTCCTTGTCTGCCTGGAGGGGCCTCAGTGACGGGGCCTCACTCGTCCTCAGAGCAGCCTGGCAGGATGAGTCCAGAGCCATGAAAATGCTCAGACCTTTTCATCCCATAATTCTGCTCCCAGAAATTTGCCCTAAGAGAGTAATTGAAAGGAAGAGGGAAAAACCAGGAAAGCACAAACACCCGAAATGTACCACCACCGGGAATGGCCAGGTGAGTCGGAGATCCGTGCGCGTCATAGTGCAGCCCGTGCAGGCAGTAAAGGAGGGACTGCGACTCTTGCAGATGGCTGTGACTCAACCATGGGTAGATGAGGAAGCATAGCCTGAGGTCCCAGAGGAGACCAGCAGGTGAGGCCCGCAGGAGGGGCGGCTGGGCCTGGAGCTCAGGGAACTCTGTTCCCACCCCTGGTCCGGCTCTGGGCCTTGGTCCTGTTTTCTGCCTTCGTCCCGTCCTGCCCCGGGCCTTATTCCTGCTCTCTCTCTGTCTCAGTCCCGCACCACACCGGGCTTTGGTCCTGCTCCAGGCCTCATTCCTACTCTCTCTCAGTCCTGCTCCGGGCCTTGGTTTCTGAGGGCCTCCCCCAACCCTCCAGCCTACCCTGGGCTTTGCATCTTCCAGGCCACAATCCTGACCCAGCTGTGGGGTGTGGTCAGCCATGGCCACCTATACCCATCTTACTGACTATGCCATCTCAGATGGACGCAGCTGACAGATGGTGCCCCGGGTGTTTCCGCCGGGTGGGGAAACTGTGGGGTCCCCTGCTCCAGAATGCCACCCTCCTGTCTTCTGTAGACGATTCAGCATCTCCACTGGGCTGTCGGCTTCTCCTCTTTCTTCAGGAAGCCCGTGGGCCCCTCTGAGGTCCCTGCCCACAGGCCACGCGGAGGCTGACTGCATCCATGTTCCAGCATCACCGCTTGTAAGCCGTGTGACCTTGGGCAGACTTCTTGAGCTCTCTGAGCTTCTGTGTCCTCTTCTGTAATGTGAAGATGAAGCTAATTGATTCCCCATAGGTAGAAATCAATAATAAAATTCCAGTAATAAATGAGCATACCAGTCCCTGGGAGGACCAGCAGGGCGGCCCTGACAGTCGGCAGCTGTCCAAGGGCCCCAACGCTCAGAAAGCTGGGGAAAGGGGTGGTCAACATTAATACACACAAATACGTAGAAATGACTGTGTGGCATAGCCCCAGGGAAGGCTGGCACTGCTGGGACACCCTGCGCGTTTCCTGGTGTGTCTGGGCTCTGACGTTTCGAGTGGGGCCCTTCCGGAGTGCAGGAGGCTCTTCTGGAGGTGTGGGACAGAGACTCCTCCCAGAAACACGGGCGCTTCCCAGCCAGTGCTCTGGGCCTGTTTGCCTTTTCCTGAGCCCTGAGCCCAGGAAGCCCGGCTGTGTCCGCTCACCCCAAAAGCCTCCTCCCTGCCCCATGTGCTGGTCACAAGTCACCAAGCCTGTGGGTATCTGGTACTGCTCCCGGGCAGTGCCTCATCTGATGTTCTCTGTGTCCCCGGGCCACAGTGCCCTGGCAAGGGCTGACCTACAGGGGGAGGCTGCCTGTGAGCAGCTCCAAGACCACCAAGGGCTGCCCACCGCTCAGACCTCCTCCCCCACCCCCCACCGCTCCAGACCTCCGCCCCCACCCGCCGCCGCTCCGACCTCCGCCCCCACCCCCCGCCGCTCCAGACTTCCACCCCCACCTGCCTGTGAGCCTTCCTGCCCCAGGCTGGGACCACTGGGGAGGTCAGGCCTCAAAGTGCTGCCTCCCATCGGGCAGAAACGGGAGCCCTGAGCCCTCCTGTGAGCTTCAAACGTGCCCTGCAGAGATGGTTTCACAGTGACCGTCCTCAGTGCCTGTGTCAGGACTTACTGCCTGTGGGTTCTTCTGTGGTACCTCTGAGATACCCCATTTCCATTTGACTTCGTGAGGCCAGGTGGTGTGTGTGTCTTTGTGTGTCTGCATTGAGTGCTTGTGCATTTGTGTATGTGTGCACATTGTGTGTGTGTGTGTGATTTGTATGTATTTGTCTGTATTAACGTTGCCCACTCCTTTTCCCATGCTGTTGATTGAATCCTCCATCACCAGCCAGATCTGGGAGACTCGAGGGACACTCTTCTGGGTGAGACACTGCCAGGGAGAGCAGCCTCCCCAGCTCAGACAGCTGAGATGTGTTTCTGACGATATCTGAGTAAATGCCCAAAGATTTCTCCTGGAATCTCACTGGTTTTGTTCTGGATGATTCATTTTTCCAAGCTGTTGAGTACAGCAAGCAACTCTGTGTTAATGGAAATGAGGAAAGTTTATTGCCAAGGGAAGCCTGCCGTTCATGAGCACCTCGGGGCTTGGGTGTTGAGCTGAGTAATGTTATGGCCACGGTCTCAGGCAAAGGAGCACCACTTGTGCCTGTCTGTCTGTTCCCCTGGAGTAGCCAGCATGTTCCTCCCTGTGACGTCAGACCAAGGAACAGTCCTATGGACAATTGGCTTCTCTTCATGGGTTTCATGGGTTGTGTGGTTCTCAGGTTTGGGGGTGGGCAAGGGCACCTGGCCAGGGTGTGGGCAGCAGGGGCACCTTCCTGAGCTGCCGACTCTTTGAGAGATTGGCTGGGGCTTCCTGGTGCTGGAAAAAAATAGGCGGGCCCTCTGGCGTCACCAGAGTCCTGGCGAGGGGAGTCAGCGTGGCTGGCTTCAAGTTCTGCATACAGCATCACTCAGTCCCTAGTGTAGGGCTTTCAAGCACCACAGGGCCACACAGCCATCCTGCTGACCACCACACAGACAGGACGCAGAGGGTCAGCACTCGAGAGCATATAGGCTGTTTGGGACTTCGATGAGCTGGGTCAACTGGGGTCCACTCAGACCCTCAACCCCACCTGCCCCGGACCCCTGGTCCGTAGAATTCAGAGGCATGTGAAATCAGAGCTGTACATCCCAGTCTCGGGGTTCGATGGGCGGGTGCCATGGGAGAAGTGGCGCAGGCTGCCCACCCTCAGACCCCTGCACACCCACACTGAGGCTGGGGAGGAAGGAGACTGTGCCAGCCACCCGGGCCTGAGCTCTGCAGACGCTGTGGCTTTGCGCATTTCTCAGCACTCTGCGTTTATGACCTTTCCGGCCAGATGTAGCATAGCAGGTGCCTTCCTGTCCCTTCCTATCCTCCCTCCACTCTTCCCTCTTTTCTCACTCCTTCCTTCCATCCTTCCCTCTTCTCCTCACTCCTTCCCTCCATCCTTCCCTCCTTTCCTCCCTCCCTCCTTTCCTCAGGAACTTTGAGGGGCCCCTGAGTGCCCTGCCCAGGGACAGGAGGTGAAGGTGAAGGTCTGGGGCTTCAGATGCCAGCACTTCCTCTTTGACCTGCAGGGGGGTCCCGGAGTGAATGGGTGGCAGCCACCTGGGCTCCCATTGGAGGGCGGAGCTCCCCCCAACTGCAGAGCTAGGTTCCGGAGAGGGGAAACCCTGAAGGATCCCTGCAGGTGTCCAGGCAGCTGATGGCTGGGGTCTGACACCCCTTCACCCCCATACCACTGTTGCTGTCCTTGCTGCCTTCAAAATCTCTCAGCCAGGAAATGAGGGTGGAATGAGGTTTGCGCCTGCAGAGCCACCTCTGAGCCCAAACCCTGTGCTACATGAGACGCAGGTTGTGTGTGCAAGGCCTGGCCTGCATCATTCCAGCTTCTAACCAGCACAGCACAGTCGCGCAAAGGCCCTAGGATACGAGGAGGGAGCTCCCGTCTCAGGGAGACCGAAAACCTCCCTGGAAATCCAAGACTCCTTATTGGAGCCCCAATGGTAGCATGCTAGCTCCCCTGCTGCTTGGGTTAGATGAGAAACCAGGGGCAAAAGGGCTTCCTTGAAGGGATGGGGAAGATGGCGTGCCAGGCACATGTTCCCTGGGCACAGGGATGGAAGTTCTGAGCTGTAATCTACTGGGGAGGATCCAAGAAGAGAGGAACCTGGACTGGAAAGAAGACAGGCCACTGGGGTGCAGTTAGGGCTTGCTTTATTATCCCTCTCTGAACCCCAGCATCCTCATACCTGAAATGAGCTAAGGATGAGAGCCTTCACCTAGAATTGCCATAGGAATGAGGGCAGCCATGTGTATGGCACAGGAGGGAGGGAGTCACTCCAGGTAGCTGCTGACGATGGAGATGGTGGTTATGGTGACAGTGGTGATGATGATGATGATGATAATGATGACGATGATGATGGTGGTTGTCATGATGTGATTAGGGTGATGGTGATGATGACAAGGATGAGGAAGATGATGATGAGGATCAGGATGGTGGTGGTATTTATGATGATGGTGATGTTGGTGATGGTGATAATGAAGGTTATGATAATGACATTGATGGTGATGGTGACAACAATGATAATCATGGTGGTGATGGTGGTGGTAGTATGACGGTGATAATGACTGTGATGTTGAGGATGGTGGTGGTGATGATGGTGATGAAGACAGTATGGTAGTGTTGGTGATGATGGTAATGGTGATAGTGCTAATGGTGATAATGTGATGGTGATGATTACAATTGATGATGATGTTGGTGATGGTGATGATCATGGTAGTGGTTATGATAATGTGATGATAGTAATGACAGTGATAAAATGATGATGGTGATGATGATGGTGATGATGATGAGATGGTAGTGGTGGTGATGTTGGTGATAGTGAGGATACCGGTGGTGGTTATGATGATGATGGTGATGGTAATAATTGTCATGATGATGGTGGTGATGACAATATGATGATGGTGGTGGTGGTGATGATGTGTGATGGTGAGGATGATGATGGTGATGATGGTCCTGTTGATAGGATGGTGAGGATGGTGAGCATGATGGTGCGACGATGATGGTGAAGATAATGGTGGCGATGGTGGTGGTTAGGATGATGTCATAATGATGGTGATGGTGATGGTGGTGATAATGGTGGTGGTGGTGGTGGTGATGATAGCGATGGTGGTGGTTATGATTATGTGATGGTGATGATGATAGTGATAGTAGTGATGATGGTGGTGATGATGATGGTGACAATAATGATGGTGATGATAATGGCAGTGGTGATGATGATGGCCCAGGCAAGTGGATCACCTGAGGTCAGGAGTTCGAGACCAGCCTGGCCAACATGGTGAAACCCCATCTCTACTAAAAATACAAAAATTAGCTGGGTGTGGTGGTGCATCCCAGCTACTCAGGAGGCCAAGGGAAGGGAATCAGTTGATGATGGTGATGGTGGTGATGGTGATAATGATGGTGGTTGTGATGGTGGTGGTGGTGATGGTGATGATGATGATGGTAATGGTAGTGAAGGTGATGATAGGGAGAGCTGACTGAGCTGAGCTGGGAGAGAGGAAGCTGAAGCACAGGGTTCTACCCATGATGGGAGGGATGCCAGTGCCATGCAGGGAGGCTGACCTGAGTGGGGCACATTCCTCAGGTGTCGTCTTGAACAGAGGCTCCCACCTGTTCATAGGAGCATCCCAGGAGCTGAGCAAGGATGAGTATGTAGATTGAGGGTGCCTGGGGGTCAGGGGGAGGTCCTGCGAGCTTTTCTGGCCCTACAGCGGGTGCCTCCTGGCCTCCCTTCCGCAGCCTCGGGGTGCAGCCCGTCTGGGCTCTACAGGCCCCGTGCGTGGCCGGGGCTGTGCGCTTACCTGCGAGAGACCCTTCCAGCCTGGCCCTGCAACAAGCTCCAGCACTAACTGTGCCTCCTGCTCTACTGACCAGCCCAGAGCCCTGTTCCTCAGACCTAAGTAATGTGGCAATGCTTTTTTTTTTTTTTTTTTTTTTGGCGCGACCAAGGCTCACTCTGTCCCCCAGGCTGGAGTGCAGTGGCATGATCTCGGCTCACTGCAACCTCTGCTTCCCAGGTTCAAGTGATTCCCCTGCCTCGGCCTCCTGAGTAGCTGGGATGTACCACCATGCCCAGCTAATTTTTGTATTTTTAGTAGAGACGGGGTTTCACCATGTTGGCCAGGCTGGTCTCGAACTCCTGACCTCAGGTGATCGACTAGCCTGGGCCTCCCAAAGTGCTGGGATTACAGGCGTGAGCCACCGTGCCCTGCTGACAACGCCTTTTAAGGGAAAGACCCACCCTACTGTTGACCTTCATTGTTCTGATTACAATGTTGCAGGACTATGAACGCACACAAAGCTGGGAGCCCTTACCAGGCGGTAAAACTGGAATAAACCAAATAAACTGAGGCCTATTTAAAAGCAAACACAAAACAGCGAAACCAATAACATTTAAAGTTGCAGCACGCGTTTTGCAGGGCAGATGCTTCTCGGTGACAGGGCACTGGCAGTGAGCTCCAGGGTGGAGAGATGTACCTGCTGGCTCTCCGTGTGTATACATTTCCCCGCGTTCCGTTCAGTGAGCTCTGCTCTTACATACTTAAGGACGTGTCGCATGAAGGCGTCTTAATAATCACGTGGCTTTGTTTGTTGTCATCACGCCTTATATTTAACCCAGAGCTCTCCTGGAAGGCACTTTTATGAGCGGGTTCCTGATAACTTGCCTAAGATGTCTCTTTCGGGTGAAGACAAGCTTTGCCTTGCAGCGTGAGTAAGCGGAGCTTTAAACGGGAATAATCCAATTATTGCAGCGACTGCGAACAGAAGAAATGTTCATTGCATATTTACTGCTGCACTTACTCCTGATGAACTGCTCTGAGACGGGGAGAGGGAAGGCGGGAAGCACACACAGTGTGGCCCTGGGTGCACCACCCACAGCCCCAGAGAGCAGCTCGCACACCCCACTGACACATTGAGCTCCTGCCTCTTCTTCCTGTTGGAATTTACACGGGGTATTGGGAGTGGATGGGCCTTTGCTGGATGTGATGTCTGCATGAATGTGCACGAGTACACGCACACACCATATACACACACACACACCCCACCTCACACACATGGGCCCCTGGGACAGCATTTGGAAATAAGTGTCCCTCCAGATCACACTTAAGACTGTGCTGGATTTGGTCACAGGGCTGCTGGATCCCGAAACCCTTCTTTCATCGAATCAGTCAATGTTCCAGAACAAGTAACTCGTGTCCCAGACAGCTGCCCCTAGGAACATAGGAGGGGGCTGGGGACAGCAGAGGTCGCCTTCCAGCTTCAGGGCAGGGGTGCAAGGAAAGGAGCTGGAAGCTAGCAGGTGGGGTGGGGTAGGCATCGGCCTTTCCACACACACTAGGCCGTGAGAGCCTGACCTCGCCGGGGAGAGTGTACCCAGGTACGACTAGAGCTCCCGGGGCAGAGCAGGCCGGCAGGGGCTGGGGGAGAGATCCTGAAAAAGAACGGTCTCAGGATCCAGCAGCCCTTTGACCAAAGCCAGTAGAGTCTTAAGGAGACTGGGGTCTGGGGGTGCCCCTTGGGTAGGAAAGGAGGGGAGCGGAAGCGGGCCTGGGTTTCTTCTCCCTCGGGAGTGGGGGTGCCACTGTGACCTGCTTCTTGGTACACGTGAGTGTGCACGTGGATGTGCATGTTTGCCTGTGGGCACCTGTGTGCACGCACTCCAGGGGCAGGGCTCGTCCTGTCTGCAGGCCGGATGAGAGCTTGTCTGGCAGCTCTGAGATCATCACAGGTTCTCAGGACACTCAGTAGCAAGAGCCGTCCCACTTCAGCAGTTCAGATGTTCGATCCTGTTATAGCAAACAAGTTCAGATGTCTGATCCTGTATGGCAAACAAGTTCAAATGTCCGATCCCACGTAACAGACACACCCTGCTGGATTTTGACGGTACAGCTCCTCCCATGCCATCTGCCCAGCCCTACTTCAGGCTGAGAACCCCACTCAGCTGTCTGCTTCTCGTCCCCCAAGTTCAGGCTGGGGAGGAGAGGATGGGAAGAGCCCTCTGGCTGTTACTAGAAGCACTGCCAGCTGTGGAGAGGCCCGCAGCCCTTCATCCCTAGGGCCTGGTACAATGGATGTGTATTTGTCCCACTTCAGTGGGTGCCCGAGGCGGCACACAGCTCGAGTGGGTGTCTCAGGACCGGCTCCTTCCATCCAGTAGAGGACATGGGGCAGAGGGTAGAGGCCCCTGTCTGCAGAGATGACCTTTGCAGCCGGACCTAGAGGTGGCTTCCACCCTCCCTCCACCCTGCATGCGTGTCCTCCAGCTGTGTCTAGAGCTGTAGATGCAGGCGTGGTGAGAGGAAGCTGGGTGGCAGCTCCCAGGGAGGGCTCTCCTCTAAGGCACTGGTGTGTGTCCCCACACTGAGGACGTGGCACACCCTCTCCTGCACGGGTCCACCCAGGTGCTGTGGGCCGCCCTCCTGGGACCCTGCCTGCCCGCTGGGAGTCGGCGCAACCCTCAGCTGCCTTTCCTAGGGTAAACTTTCCTCCCAGGCCTTTGTGTAGATGGGGTTTTTGAAGTCCCCTTTAACTCGGTCCCTGTCACCCAAACAGCCACACTGTTCTGTCCTCAACTCCATTCAAGGGTCGCCCAACCGTTTTTGGCAAGTTGGACTTTCGGCAAATTGATTGGGAGCCTGAACAAGGCTGTGCGGAGGACCTGTGGCCAGCCAGGCCCCGCCCACATCTCAGCCCTTTCTTCCCCATGCTGTTTGCAGGGTCACCAGGCCTGCTCCTCTCGGAGACTTCAAGGAGAGCCCGGCTCCTGCCCTCCCCTGGCTGCCTCCCTCCCCTGAAACACAGTCCCAGCCCGCACTGGGCAGCGTCCTCTGCGCTCTGCCCTCCTGGAGCCCAAGGTTTTTATGCTGCCACTGACGAGGGTCTAGGTGCAGCGGCTGCGTCATCCCGGGGACTGGGGGGCCTTGGAGCGGGAGCTGGCCTCTGTCTGGGGAGGCAGCTTGAATGTACACACAGAGGGGACCTGGGGTGGTGGAAGGAGCCAAGCCCTTCTGTAGACCTGGGGACTCATTGCCAGGGAGCCAGGTGGCCCCGGGGATGATACGCATGTGTGGTTAGTCTGCAAGAGGGCACACAGTGGACTTGTGTGTGAGTGTGTGTGTGTGCGTGTGTGCGTTTGTGTGTGGACATGTGGCTGAGTGTGGTATGTATGTGTGTGCCTGTGTCTACATATGTGAATGGCATATATGTACGTGATGGAGAGCATGGTGTGGGATGGAAGATGGGGCTGACTGGCACCTTAGAGAAGTGTTTCCAGGCAGAGAAAGAGCACTGCTGGCCCAGGGCCTGGCTGGGCTGGGACTCGGGGGCTGTGGGGTCCTACAGAGGCTTGAGATCGGTGAGACTCTAGATCCAGTCTGGACAAACCCACTCTGAGACGCACTCCTATGCCCCCTTTCTATCCTAGGCAGGGGCTCCCTGGCTCCCTTCTCCAGCCACGTCCTAAGCACCTGCTCCTACCGGCCCGGGGACAGGCACTGCAGACATAAATACGCATGAGACCCTGTGCCCTTTACGCCCCGTGCCCTTTACCTGTCGTGTGCTCAGGACCCCCCAGGTTAGCCCCTGTGGATGGGTAATGACGTTTGTCTGCCCAGAGCCCACGTTTCAGTCACCGTCACTCACGCTACCTCAGGAAGCTCTGTCAGCCCCTGGGCACGCCGCTTCCCTTCCCTGAGAGCTATTGCAACATTGCGACCAGAGGGGAGGCCTCCTCACCCGAGCCCGGGGAAAGGGAGTTGTGAAATGTATGCTTGAAAGGCCCCTTTGTCCCCGGGACATGGTGGCCCGGCGCTGTGCCTCTGACCGTCTCCAGCAGGAAGTGGGCTGGGGTGGGTGAGCCCAGCTCCTGCCGTCAAACAAAAGGTGTTGTGTGCTCAGGGCCGGCCCGCTGGTGCCCTCGGGAGGGCCAGGCCCAGGGACGGGGCAGGCCTGCTGCCTGCTTGTCCCTTTGTTCTGCAAATGCTGAGAGCAGGCGAGAGTGTACATGTGGGTGCATGTGCAGATACATATCTGTGTGTGTGCATGCATGTGTGTGCGTGAACGTGTGTGCATGTGTGCGTGTGTGCTGCACCTATAGATACGTGTTTGTGAGCATGCATGTAAATGGGCATGTGTGTGCCTGTGTGTGTGCCTGCATGCCTTTGCGTGTGGTGTGTGGTGTATACATGTGTGTGATGTGTACGTGTGTGTGTTGTGTACATGTGTGTGTGGTGTGTGGCCAGGCATGGCAGCTACAGCATAGGCAGGGCTGGAGCCACCTTCACCAGCCTAAGTCCCCCCGGACCCCGCCGTCCTTCCTTCTTCTCCTTCAGGTGACCCTGAGCACCACCGTGCATAGTACCACATCATGTCTGGCAGGGATGAGGGTCCTTTCCGTAGACAGCCAGTGGGCTGGGCCCTGGCACTGGAGAGGGTGTGTGTCCAAGATGCTGAAAGCTGGCACATCACCCCAGATCCCTCCCCCATCCTCAGCCCCACAGTCCCAGTGAGCTCTGGTGGCTTGCATCCTAGCCTGACCGAGAGGGCCCCAACAACACAGCCTGTAGGTTCTGGCCAGCCGAGCCTTGTGCTGGGTAGTGCGCTGTGGCCTGCGCCGTATCCACCCTCAGCGTCCTTCTCCCGGGATTTCCCAGCCCAGAGCATGAGCTTCGTGGTGGGCATGAGGTCCCAGCTGAGCTCGGTAGTGAAGGATTTGGGCCCAGGCCACCTCCTGTCCACCCTCTCACAGCCTGCCCTGCAGGCAGGTCAGGACCTGCCCTCGGACACCACCCACACTGCCCGGGTTTTCTGGTCTGTGCCAACCCCACTCCTGCTGGCCCAGGCCCTGCCCTGTGCTGCAGAGAGTGCCAGAACTGGCCCGGGCAGATGCAGAAACATCTCCCTGTTGCAGTTGAAGGGCTCACTTCACCTGAGACAGCCCAGTCCCTGCTTCTGGCTGTTAGGGCAGAACAGGACAGGCACTGGGGACCCCAGGGGGTTTCTGAGGCCCCGTTCAGCTCAAGATGAGAGCAGGAGCCACATTGCACTAAAGACTACCTTGGGCGCCATGGTACGGGGTGGATGGGAGCCCACGTGGGGATTTCTTTTAAGCCACACTGGAGCCTCTTCCTTTCATGTCCTTCAGTGTTGGTGCTAGAGAAACACACCCTCAACACACACGCGCACACACACACACACACACACACGATGCTTTCTGTAATTTGTCCAGCTCTTTTCTCAGGCATTGCAAGGGGATTTCTGCTACTGGGGCATGTGTGTTTCATCCTGTAGCTTCCTCGTGGGTTTAAGGTTCGTGTTTGTGGGTGTCTGAGATTTTCTACCATATTTACTGTTACCCAACACGATGCATCAGGGATGGGAGACACAGCTGCTGGTGGCTTTCTGCAGGAATAGAACAGACAAGAAAAGGGGCCCCGGGAAGACGCATGACAGATTCCGGCCATCCCCACTCATGGCGCCATCCCCTCTCTCAGCGCTGTCCCTCGGGGTTGGTGGACGTGCAGCAGGTGGCTGGGACCCTCTGAGGGCCTGGGAGCTGCAGCCTGGGTGGCTTGTTCTTCCTGGAGTCGCCCTGGGAAGCCGGGGGGTTCCCTATCCCCACGTGCCATGTTAGTGGCAAGGAGCACAGTTGCTTTTTCTCGGAGGGAGACACTGATTCTCAGCTGGAGTTTCCTCACCTGACTCTTCAGGTGAACGAGGGATGTTCCCATGTCTCCTGGTCTCCTGGCTGTCTCAGCCGGCTCAGGCTGCCGTAGCAAAACTCCGCATACTGAGGGGCTTAAACAACACACGTTTATTTTCTCACGGTTCTGGAGGCTGGACATTCAGGATCATGGTGCTGATAGGTTTGGTTCCTGGTGAGGATCTGATTCCTGGCTTCTAGGCAGCATCTGCTTGCTGTGTCCTGAGATGGTGCAGGGGGCTGGGGAGGGGAGAGAGAGAGAGACAGAGAAAGAGAGACAGCGAGCACACATGCTTGAACTCTCTGGAGTCTCTTAAGGACAGGAATCCTGGCAGATCAGGGCCCCACACTCATGGCCTCATCTAACCTTCTTCACCTTCTGAAGGCCCCATCTCCAAATCCAGGGGTGAGGCTGCACTGAGAGGATATTGCATCCCTAGCACTGACCTGGAAAGGGATTGGGGGTAGCCATGCCCGGCTGGTGGACGCCTGCCTCCCTGGCTGTGGGTGTGAAGGTGCCGGGGGTGGGGTGGGGCAGGACTGGCTGGGACACAGCACCCCACAGCGTCCTCTGCCGTGGGTGCTGTGGCAGGCATGACCAGCCCATCTCAGACTCCTCTCCACTGCAGTCATGCAGGCTTCAGGCAGCTCCTCCCCCCTTGTCGGAACTGAGGACGAGAACCCATTCATTCTGCCTGGGATGCTGTCCCTTTGTCTGTCTTCCAGAGGGCCCCTGACCTCCCAGACCTGCCTCCCCTGCGATGACCCCAGGGCCTGTGCCCTCGTGGGGTGAGGAGTGAGCTGTTCCCCAGGACCCTGTCCTCTGCTGCCCACTGCTCCTATAGGAACAGCCACTGCCTGTGGTCCAGCGGCATGATTGGCTGACCCTGTGCAAAATGAAATGCAAGGCCCTTGTTAAAAATTATTCAGAATTTCAAGACTTGGGAACTGCAGAGCGTTGTCCAAGCGGTGGCCCTCCTATACCTGGAGCCGTGTGCAGCAGCCTGTTTGCATAGCCATGAAGCCAGCCCGCTGCCCGTCTGGAGGACGGTATGTTAGCACACATGTGTGCACACACGTGCATTTGCACAACTGTTTATGTAGTTGTCATATCCTTCCTATGGCGAGGAATCTTGGAAATTTTTTCAGGTTTTCAAGTAAACAGGTATCCTGGGGAACTACAGTTCTGGTTTATGCACATTGAGAGTTGTGTTCTTTATTTAAAAAAAGGAAAAGAGGTGACATGGAATAGAAAACCCAGGAGAGAGGAGGAAGCCAAGGGCTCTGGAGCTTCGTGAAAGGGACCGGGGCTGCAGACGGGAGGTGGGGGCTGGGGGCCATGGGGGCCACTCTTGCCCTGGGCCTGGGTGTCTGTGCAGCCTGGGCCTGGTGTGGGTGACAGAGAGGCCTTCCCTACTCTGCAGGGCTGGCAACTGAGGCAGCCCAGACACTGGGTTCTCTGCATCCTGGGGCCAGTGGACCCATCAAACATTGAGCCCCAGGAAGGAGGGACCCAAAGGAAAACAGGAAGGGGCTTCATGCGTGCATTGCCCACATCCAACAAGATGAGTTCCAAGCCTCTATTCGGAACAGTGAGGACCCCGAGGAACTCGGAACAGTGAGGACCCCGAGGAACTGTGAGTGGGCGAGGAAGGGGAGGAAAAGGCCCACCCTGGCCCTCCCAGCACTGGCATGAAGCGAGCCACATGCAGTCCATCCACTTGGCACGTAGAGTGGGGTGCCTGGCTCTCACCAGCGAGTGCAGTGGGGATATGTGACTTCATCCGTTCTCCTAGAGCCTCGGACCCAAACTTTCAAACTTCTTTTTCATGTAAGATGCAAAGTTCTCCCTAATCTCCCGCCATAGGGTTGAAGTCGGTGGTAGAATCCTGTGTATATAAGTGTGCATGTTTATAACTTAACCTTGAACTAAAATACTGCCGGGCAGGTGTTTGGTATCTGATCTGAATGCCTACGTTTTTCAACTGGATGGCAACCCCTGTTTGTAGGTCCAATTTTTATAAAAGTAATTATGTGTGCATTAGGAAGGACATATTTTTTCCCAGTTTGAGAAATGACTAATCGTTCTTTTGAGATTCCCGCAGCGAAGGTTATGTTAATACAATCAGCTTTTACTCCGCCATGAAGTCCTTCTCGTGCTTTCTGGTGGAGAGTAATCTCCAGTCTGCCTAACACCTACAGCCACAAAATAGGGTGGGCCTCCAGGGAAGAGAGAAAATGCAATTCTCTCTGGCATGGGAGGAGTTAATGTGGGCTTCAGAGTCCTTGTGCTGGTGGGGAGCCAGTGCCCCCATCCACCTGGCCCTGCCCTGCCCCCTGCCCTGTCCAAGGGCCATCACAAGGACTCACATCCTTTAATCTTGGAGGCTTGACATGGCTGGTGCTGGGCCGGCCCCAGGGGTCAGCCGGGCATCTGCAGATGAGACGAGGCGGGAGTAGGATGGGGGCCAGGGGTGGTTGTAAAATCCTCCAGTCAAGGATGGGAAATCGACTCCCCATCTCCAGCCTGGCCTCACTCTGAGCTCCAAGCCTGGGCCCCCTTGTTCCCCTTTGGTTACCTCCCTGTGCACAGGCTGCCCTCGCTGTATCTGAGGATGTCCTGACTGGGAACCCCCTCCTCCTGCCTTCTTCTGGCTCTCAAGTGGATTCCAGACAAGAGACAGTGAGGCAGCCACACTGCAGGAGGGGCCATGGCTCTGCTTCACAGACATGTCTCTAGCTCCCTCGATCATTGCTTGCTGCTCCACGACTGGCCGATGGCAGAGCGGGACTTGGGGAGCAAGCACTAAACCAGGAGACCAGGAAGCTGGCAAAGCCCCTGGGCCCAGTGTCCCTGTGTGAGGGTCCCTGGGTGGAGCCACGCCGGGCATTGCCTGAGGGCCCCCCCAGCCAGTGCCAGGACCCAGGTGCCCTCAGCAACACCCTCACGATCCATGAGAGTAGCACGCTGATTGCCTCTCTCTTTTCTCCCACAGCAAGAATCATCAAGACCAAGCAGTGGTGTGACATGCTTCCGTGTCTGGAGGGGGAAGGCTGCGACTTGTTAATCAACCGGTCAGGCTGGACGTGCACGCAGCCCGGCGGGAGGATAAAGACCACCACGGTATGTGGCCCTCGGCTTTCTCGTGGGTGTGCTGGGGAGGGGGTATGTGTGTGCGGGCCTCCGACGCCACCCGGGCTCCGCGGGGACAGGTGGCAGCTGCTCACTCCATCCTCATGCAGAGAGGCCAGGGCCCTGTCTCCTCCCCCACCTCCCTCTCTGGTGCTAAATTCCTGACCATCTGTCCTGGGGCAGACGGTCTGTGAGTACATGGGGGCTGAGAGCTGGATGCAGAACCAGCTGCAAGGCTGGTCAGCCCAGAAGTCAGATCACTGACCAGGTCTCGAAACCCCCTGGTTAGAGCCGTCTTGTTTCCGGGACTGATGTGCCCGTGATTTTGCAGGCTGGAGGAGGCATCCGCCCCTCCTGAAGATGAACTTCTGATAACTCCCCCAGGGCACGGCGGGGGTTCTGTGGAGACAGGGCCAGGTTCAGGTTCCGTCCAGGTGTGCTCCTTCCGTCCCTGGGCCTGGCCTGGTGGCTGCTCACACCAGAGACCCGGAGGGCCCTTCAGCTCCTCTCTGTCCCCCTGAGTGGGGCATGCAGTGCACCCCGCCCTCCCAAAGCCACGGCTGACCTGGGTCTCTAGAGCTGCTCTTCCCAAGGGCGGGAGCTTGGGGAACGCCGGGTGGACATGGGCCTTTTCTGAAGGCGGCGCCTCCAGGCATGCCACGGATGCTGAGGCGGTTTCCCCTGCAGAGGGGCAGAGGAGGGGAGCCCACGCCCACGTGCATGGGGCTCGGGGCATTCCCATGAGGTGGCCTCAACTCCTCACTAGCGAGTGGCACCCCCTCATCCTGGCTGCTCCTCCTTTGAGGTTGGCATTGGAAGCTGAGGACGTGAGTGGGTGAGCGTTTCCCTAACACGGATCCGGGCTCCACGCTCTGGGAATAGGTCAGGGAGATCTGTGGCTGGGCAGAAGGATCTGGAAAGCCCCCTGGCATCCGAGCCTCCTCCCAGGATTGCACAGGGAGAGGGGGCTGCAGCTCCTCACACTGGGCTGCAGGGAAATCCTTCCCCTTGCTGCCTGAGCAGCCTCCAAGAGAGGGCTCGGCTGGGCTGTTCCGGCACTTGGTTCAAGAGGCCAATTTGGTGGAGTTGCTGCAAGGAGAACCACGGATCCCTGGGGTTCTAACGTAATTCGGGGCTCTCAGGGTCGTCTTCTGAGAGTCGCACGGCTTTCTGCTGCAGCCAGGATGTCAGTGAGATGGGCAAGGCGGCACTCCAAGCCCCCCATGGGTTTCTCAGGGACCTCTTGCATTTGTGGAAGTTCATGCAGACTCAGCCTCGCTGGCAGCCCAGGGCCTCCCCAGGTGTGGGCCTGCAGGAGGAGTGTGAGGCCAGGCAACGGCGCCACCCCGAGGCATGCGGACAGGACAGGAGATGAGGGACGTGGGTTGCTCTAAGCTGAGGTCCTGGGCTTTGCCTGGTCAGGGTTTGTTTATCTGGCATTAAGTGCAGAAGCAAATGATTCCGTCCTGCACCCAGGAAATGCACAGTGCTCTACCATGTCCTTACTGCTACCTGTCTGCAGAGGGGGTCTAGGCTCTCCTCTGTCCCTGCTGGTTGGGGTTCCCAGGCCTGCGTTACCGCCCTGAGTCTCCAGCAACACAAACAGCAGGTGCATTCCATCCACCTGTGGACCCCAGTCAGGCGCAGCCTTTCGTTTCCCTCATAGAAGCTTCAACATAAGCGGCCACCTCGCCCTGAATTTGGGAGGGAT